>NC_000003.12:10000-1260000 GCF_000001405.40 Homo sapiens | reverse complement strand
CAGAACCTGTGAAAATCTACTCTAAATTTTGATCCAAATTCAAAGCAGTTTTAACATATCATTTAAACACAGAATTTCTTTATTCCTCTAAATAAAAATGACTAATATATACTATTGTGTGTTTGTATGTATGTGTGTGTATGTATATAATTACATATAGTATACTGCAAATATTATTATACATGGATACATCTATACAAGCATGTCTACATTAGGTAATTTAATAGATTCTCAAAATAATTTTGATGTAGATATAGAGCTAGTGTTTTTCTAGTTTCATGAATGAGAAAATTAAGGCTCAGAATGTAACATGCAAAGTCATACATTGTAAAGGACAGAGCCAGAATTTAAAGACTCAACTCATGTAAGTTCACATCCCTGTCTGTTTTCATCTCTTCATGCTGACTTTATGCATCTTGTATTTAGTCCTTTGTGTTTTTCCACTGCCAGTAAATTCATGGTTAATCTTCCCAAAATAGAAATTAAATAATTACATTTAAATAATAATAGTAATCTAGTGTCCTGTGAATAGTAAGCTGAAACATATGTGACACGTCATTAATTAAAAACAAAAAAAACTTACTTAGACAAAAATATCTTAACAAAATGGATTTTCACAGCATTTGCATTTCTATTAATTAATGAGAAAAGCATTATGGCAGAGTGGTTAGAAGCTTGGGCCCTAGAGTGAGCCTGAGTTCAAATGCCCTTCTACCATGTACTAGTAAATTACTTGTTCTGTCTTCTTCAGTTATTTATCTATAAACATGGTTATAAATAGTACCCACACTTTAGTTTTAGTAAATAATATGAGAAATGAGATTATCTAAGGAGAATTTTTAGCAAATGCTTAATAAATGTTAACAGTCATCATTGGTAGGACACATCTATAAAGTATTCTGAGTGAACTCCAGTGCTCTGCAGACTGCAACCCATGAGCTAAATCCTACTCACTGTCTGTTTTGTGAATAAAGTTTTATTGGAACACAGCCACATTAATGGGTTTATGGGTGGCTGCTTTCACCCAATAACAGCAGAGACATTGGCCGGAAAATCAAACATATTTACTATCTGGCTCTTTACAGAAAAGGTTTGCTGACCACTGGTCTGTCTCTTAACCAACACTCCTTCAGATTAATATCTCAATCAGGCATGCTTGGCTAATCTATGACACAGCTACAAAGTGCATCTGAGAAAAGAAAATGGAAGCACTCTAAGAAAAAGGTAGCTGTCCCCATGGAGCAGATAAAACCTGAACCTAAGTATGCCAAGATGAACTGGAGATATAGGTCTTCAGGGACCCCAAGAATATTAAAAAGGTGACACGAGGAGAAAAAGTTGAAAAAGTTGACTTTTAAACAGCCATGATGCCCAGACACTGAAACTTCTTTTATTTGAAAGACTAAGCTGCTTCACCCCACGCTTTTTTATTAAAGGTATTCCAATCCCTCACACACAAACCATGCAATGCCAGAGCCAGGCCACTGCACACTCAAGCTTTGTGACTCGTATGAAGCAAGATTTCCCTGCATTACAACAGTGAAAGGGAAATAAATTGAGTGATTCCATTAGTTTCTGTTCAATGAAATCTTATTTTATTGCTAAGCTTTGACACTTTTTGCAGAACCTCAACTATCTTTTGTCTTGCTCACTAAGAAGTAGCAGCAGCACCAAAAAATCATCTGGACATCTGGATATTGCATTCAATAATTTATTGGAATTTCAGTCATACTGCTACAATGAAAGTAGAGGAGATAAAAGGAACTTCACCCACACTACAAATAAAAGAACTGGAATAATAGGTTTTTTTTCTTCCTCCCTTCAAAATATTAAGTTTTATCAATCACAATCTAACAGCTCTGGGACCAGAATTGGCTTTGTTGTTAACAATATCTCAATCACATATATTGCTTTTCCAATACAACTTGGAGGGGACTGATTTGTGATGGAGCTGATATAGGAAATGCAGAGGGGGCAAACATATAGCCAAATAAATCAGGTTAAAATGAAATTGATAGAATGGACTTCAAGGCAGTTCCTCACTCACTTTCTCTAGTTTAGATGCTGCATTTGGTCTTAATGCTGACTTCTAAACCTTTATATCTGACCTATTTACAGGAAGAATAAGGCATCAGAAACCATTAGTATCTAGGCAGTGCTGCCATTTTAAAAGTTTGTCTTTTGTTGTTAAATGGGCTTTCTCTAGAGGAGAAATATGACCCTTCGGTGTAGCTTTGAGCTTTGTAGAATAGCTCGCTCTCACCAGCTAGTGTTCTACCCTGCCGGGAGGGGTGTGAAGGGAAAATTATTTAGAGTAATTGGGAACTTTACTCTTAACTACTATATTGTACTGCCTCCACAGCAGAAAACCTCTTGGATTTGAAGTAGAAAATGGGCTCTGTCAACACTGAACTACTTATTAAATGGAATTGGGGAAATTTCATAGGGCAGGGGTGGGGAAGCAAGGTTGGGTGTTTACCTCAGGCTCATTACAAAAAATTCAAGGTGAATCGAAGGCCTCGAAGGAATTAATGAAATTATAAGAGTGCTGACCAAAAATAGTTTTTACAATCATAGGGCTTAAATAATGTTTCTGCATGTGCCACAAAAAGCATTATAAAGAAAATGAGAGAGAAATTGAATTACAAAACAATTTCTTTGCTAAAATTTCTGTATCATAAAAACACAACTAGCCAAGTTAAAATAAAAATAGGAACATTTCACATAATTTGTAAAAGAAAAATATTAACATATTTAAAATAATTCCTGGAAATGAATTTGAATCCTTCAACAGAAAACTAGGCAAAGACCCAATTTAGGAAATTTACAAAATAATTTTAAATTGCCAATAAACAGATAAGAAAAGTTTGATTTTACAAATAAACCTAGACATCCAAATGAAAACAACAAGAATTTGTCACCCATCAGATTGCTAAGGGTACATATTAAGCAATACATAATATCAAGAGGGATTGATGTAATAGCATATTCGGGTGGTGCTGTTGAAAGTATCATTTGGCATAACCATTTTTCAAAGGTTGTTAATCAAGATGCATTCACATTTAAAATGTATAACCTACTTTTCCCAGCAATTCAACTTCCCAGTATCTACTGTTCGGATATAATTGGCAAATGAGTAAAGAAGTATATAATAGATAGTTATTTTATTACTGTCTAATGAAGCCTAACAAAGTCCAATAAGAGACATTTATTTAGAATAATTATGGTAAAGACATATAATCAGATGATATGTAGCCATTTAAAACCATGAACATATCTATTTATATTCCCTGATGTCTAATAATTGGAATTATTTGGGATTTATTTTTTGTCTTCTTTTCTTCTTGATTGAAAAATTTACTCCTGGTGACTTCAACTACTCCCAAGGCTTCAAGTAACATTTATATGTAGATAATTCTCAAATTCATATGGTTAGCACAGACTTTCTGTTGGCAATCCAGACCCTTATATCCAACCTCAGGACATCTCTGAAATTGAACTCTTAATTCTTTATTCAAAGTAGTTCTTCAAGTCTTCCTCATCAAAGTAAATAATAAATATCAATTATCCATTTGGCGATATTTGATACTATCCTCTTTCTCAAAACCCACATCCCACCTCATAGCAAATATTATTGGTTTAACATCCAAAATTTCTCAATCATATCTCAGTTTTCTTAGTCTCCATTGCTACCTCTCACCCACACTTTCACGTCTAACATCTTAATGACTCAATAGGCTCCCAGATTATTTCATAACTTAGAAAATTATAATTCTTAAGATATTTTAATACAGATAAAGCAAATAACTTTAATTAAAAATTACATTCTATAATAGGCTTGGTGGCTCATGCCTGTAATCGCAGCACTTTAGGAGACCACGACAGAAGGATCATTTGAACCCAGGAGTTCAAAACTAGCGTGGGCAACATAGGGAGACCTTGTCTCTACAAAAAAATCTTAAAAATTAGCCGGATATGGTGGCACACGCCTGTATTCCCAGCTGCTTGGGAGACTGAGCTGAGTGGATTTCTTGAGCTTAGGTGGATCCCCATTGTGGTTAGTCTTGATCTCTCCACTGTACTCAAGCCTGGATGACAGAGCGAGACTCTGTCTCAAAAAACAATAAAACTAAAACTAAAATAAAATAAAATAAAAAATTAGCCAGTCATGGTGGTGCAAGCTTGTGGACCCAGCTACTACTCAGGAGGCTGAAGCAAAACGATTGCTTGAGCCCAGGAGTTTGAAGCTGCAGTAGGTTGTGATGGTGCCACTGCACTCAAGCTGGGCAATAGAGTGAGACCTTGACTCTAAGAAATAATAAAAATAATTTTAAACTTAGATTATATATAATCGATTAAATCATGTAATAAATTAGGTAACGTCATCAATTAAATAATACATTTCTTAAAATTGTATGGAGCTCTACTGTTCCTAGGATACAATTCAAAATCCTGAGTGTTAGCAATAATGCCAGCATAATATGGTCCCTGCCAATTTCTCCAGCTTTTACTGACACCATTCCCTTTTTTCCTCAATAGGCTCCACAATTCCTTTCTTTCTTTCTTTCTTTCTTTTTTTTTTTCCATTTTCAAATGTCTTACGTAGCCCCTTCCAATTTCATAGGCTTTAAACGTGGTGTTTCCGTCTATGGAATATTCTTACCCCATTCCTCATATCACCATGGGAGAGTGATTACAACTTAGTCCTAATTTTTCACCTTCCTGTACCCTATTGCAATGACTTTGCAGCATCTTCCATCAGAGGCATAGTCTCTTTCACCATTCCTCAATCTGGTCTGACTTTGCAAACAAAATGCAGCAGAAGTGACAATATATTGGTTCTGAGCATATGCCTCAAGTAGCTGTGTAGCCTTCTATCCCCTTGCTCTTGGATCCCCACCCAGCTACCATGGTAAAAGCCTGGAGTAGCAGGCTGGAGCATGAGAGGCCATGTGCAGAAGAAATAAATCACTGCAGTTGCCCCAGCCTGGGCCAACAATACGTAATGAATTAGCCCAGCAAGATTAACGTAACTGCATATGTGACCACCAATGTAAAACTGAACCCCAAGAAGACCAGAGGAACCACCGAGTAAACCAAAAATTCGTGACCAAAAATAAATGTTTACTGCTGGACATCATGGGTTTTTTTCATGCTTTGTTTCAGCACATTACTGTGGCATTAGATACAAAAAACTCTAACAGATAACTAATTTTGATGAACCTTAATTTTCCTTCATTGGAAATTTCATCCATCTTGAATCCTGCTTTCTTGAGCCTCCAATAAATAACTTTTTCATTTTAGTCTCTCAGAGTCTCCTCAGACTATTTATTACATTTTTTATGCTGTACATATTTATGTGATCCCTCTCCTACTGCTTTCGTAGACTCATGGCAGGCAAGGATGTGTTTGTTTTATCAGCACTGTAACTTCCACACATGATAGAGTCTGACACATGATAATAGCTCAATAAAAATAAGTGAAATTGATGGATATAAATAAAAATACCTTTATAGTGTATTGTTCCTGAAAAAACAGGATTAAATTTTATTCTCATTCCTTCGTTGAAACGAAGTAAACTTCTTTCATTAATCCAATGAAATACTACACAACATTTAAAATAAGTAAACACGTAGAAATATGGCTGAATTTCAAAAACTGAATGTAGAGTGAAAAAGGTGCCAAAGAAATTGTACTCTGATGACATTTATATAAATATTATAAACAAAGACAATAAAAATTTCAAGCCATACTTCAAAAAATTATCACCAACTTCAGGAAAGCGGTTACTTCTGGGAAGGGAGGGAAAGAAAGCACGAGATGAAAATTGGCAGTATTGGTATATTTTATGTCTTTAAAAAAGATCTGAAGCAAAAATGCAAAAACATTAACACACATTTAAATAAAAATCTGTTTATAATATTTTTATAGACATTTCTGTATGTTTGAAATTTTTTATAACTTAAAAATTTTAAAGAAAAATGTCGGTTACTAGAACAATCCCATTTATATAAATTTATGTGTGTGCGCAGAGACATGTAAGCACATGCAAAATGTATACATACATACATTATTTTTATATAATAGACTTATGGTTGTTTTGGATAAAGAGAGACAAAGACTGAGATTATTCCTTAGATCAGCAGTCCCCAACCACTGGGCTGCAGTGCTGGGCCATAGACAGTTAGAAATCTGACTGCACAGCAGGAGGTGAGGTGAGTGGCAGGTGAGAGAGTGTTACCGCCTGAATTCTGCCTCCTGTCAGATCAACAGCGGTGTTAGATCCTTATAGGAGTGTGAACCCTATTGTGAACTGCGCATACGAGGGATCTAGGTTGTGCACTCCTTATGAGAATCTAATACCTGCTGAAACCACTGCCCTCCAACCCCTCATCCTGGGGAAAAATTGTCCTGCCTTAGATGACCAGGTAGAAGTTTAGTAATTTTGAGAAGTCAAATCAGTTGAAAACGATGTCATCAATACGCATGACTGCTTAACCAATTTATATGTAATTAGCAGACAAAATTACCTGCAAGGACTTTTCCTCCCTGTATGCAGCTATTACATAACCATTTATCAACATATAATAATTATAGAGTATATAAACACCA
Source organism: Homo sapiens (assembly GCF_000001405.40). Lineage (NCBI taxonomy): Eukaryota > Metazoa > Chordata > Mammalia > Primates > Hominidae > Homo > Homo sapiens. The sequence goes on along the minus strand of NC_000003.12, from coordinate 1,253,388 downwards.
ATAACTATTTATTCCATGGAAAAGGGTGAAAGACTGTTTCACTATCTATTGAGATCTCAAATTTTCGCAGAACAAGACTAGTGAGATAAAAGAATGAATAATAAAAATGTATGCGTTTCTTCTTTTGCTTTCAAAAACACAAGGGTAAAGGACATGGTGTCACAATGCTGGGCTTGGTAAGGAGAGGTGGTACAAGGACTGAAGCTAATGAAATATACAAGTCCTCTGATGAAAACTAAGACAGGAGTCTGGAATAATAATTAGGTATTCTGAAGGGGCTTTGCCTGCTGGCAAAATAAAAGAGGATGATTGAAGTAAATTAACTAGATTAGAACACGCACATAGGACTCTACCTGTCTCTAAATACAATCTTAGCAGTTCAGAGGAAGAAAATGCAGAAATTAAGCATTCTGACTTCCCGACATTGTTCATGCTATACCTTCTTTCAATAGGGAGTCTTCGTTAAGGAAATGCCCTGAGAACATTACTTATGCCCTGGGTTGAGTCAAATCCAACCGGATTTACAGTGGCCCAGCCTGAAGGTTCTCGGAGATGCATCTTCTCACTATTTGTCTGTTTCTCTAGGTCATATTGGCAGGAAGGACCCTCTATTTGCTTCGAGAATAAGCCTGTCTTTCCCCTTGAGTGTGGTATCCACAAAAGCTTATTTCTCTGCAGTAAAATAAGCATCTTAGTCAGGAGACCTGAATTTTAAAAAACAGATCATGAATATGCAAACTTTGAAAATTCTGAAATCTTAATTGTTCTCCGTATTTTATTATTTTTGTTAAAATATCCTCTAAAATGACTAGTAGGGAAAATGTTTTAAAGTGTTTGTTGTATTATTTCCGTAAAGTGAAATAGTTATCCACAATTAACAAATATTCATCCATCTGTGTTTATGATTTGTATAAGAAAAAATTTTAGAAGAATCTACTAATGTTAACAGTGGTTGTCTCTGGCTCAGGTGATATTATTAATAGCTTTTCCTTATTTTCTAAATGTTATATATTGTCAGGAATCACAATTGTAGTAAAAACTGGTAACTACTAAGCAGAAAAAAGTCACACAAAAATAAGAATTAAAAAATGTGCTTCTATTCTTGTCCTCAGAGAACAGCACAATGAAAAGGCTGTTCTTCCCACAGTTGGATGTAGGAAGAGATAATTTCAACAGAGAAAGTGATTGTTGGCAGATTTTAAAAGGGAAAGGCAAGCTAGGCAATGTTTAAGAAGTGGGCCTAGGTTGTGAGATAAAAATAAAAGGCCAAAACCTTCAGGACTTTGTAGCAAAACAGAAATCCAATGGTATGTGATAGATGGGATTGGAAAAAGAAAGAGGCTGCCTTTGTTGTGTGTTTTAACGTTTCATTGGAATTATTTTGGGGAAATAACTCTAGAGGTAAGCAACTGAAACACATCTAGTTAGTCAGAGTGCCAGATTACCTTGACATCTCAAGTACAGCCAAAGTCCATCCTGGCTCAGGGACTAGGCAATGAGTCAGACCTGAATCAGAACTAAGTATCAAGCAGTTTATAACATAAATTATATTAAAGGGTCAGGAAAATGTTGTTTGAGGTATGTGAGGATGATTTAGTTGACTTTTATAGGAGAAAAATACTAGCTCATACTTTTTTCCACCTACAGAGGGCCTTTCTAGACTGAAGATGCCGGCAATACAGTAACATCTTTGAGCTTCATGGTGACTTAATGTCAGGCAACATTAATGGCCCACTGAATGGACCACTGATGTCGGTGGTCATTAATTGGAAAGTGAAAGCAGGTGTCATAGTTGGATTTTTCACTAGATTAAAATTTTGGTTTGGATTTCATCATGGCTTAGATTTCACCAGATGAATGAAATAAGGGGGAAAGTGAAAGTGAATCATTGATGTGCAAGTGATGAGCAAGTGAGTTAAAAGTTAATGAGAAGAAGTGTTTTTTGCCTTTGTCTCAGTATAGAGGGAATGACAAGACGAAGCAGGAGAAGGACAGGAGTAGTTGTTAGGATTCGTGAATTATAGGATCTAGCAGAGTCAAAGTATTGCTGGAGTCCATGGACTGGAGAGAGTGAGTCAGACAGTCAAATTTGGGAAGGTTGAAAATCAGATTATGGGTGGAACTGGCAACTTTAGACATTGACAAAGTCTTAAAAGAGTCATCTTAGCAGCGTGGCTATTGGCTAAGATGGGTCGATAAACAAGGGCAACAGAACGAAAGAAGTCAAGAAACTGGCAAATCAGGATATTGAGTACTGAATACCAAATTCACCAAAGGCTGAAATGGCCAAGATATTCGACAGGAGTATTATGCAGAGAATGACAGTGAGCTAATAGGTAAAATCTTCAAGAAATGTTGGAGTTTAGGGGATGAGAATATGATTGCAACAAAGAGAAGTTATGAGTAGTGCGGGCTAATGGCATGATTTTAATGGCAAAGGAATTAGATATGAGGGAGGAGGGATCATCTGGAAATGGCACGGAGGAGATGGGACGACTCTATCCCTACTGACAGACCTGTGGTAAGAGGGGTATTGGAGAAAAGAATCAGCAGTTCAGCCAGAGAGGAGAAGCATCTTCAGATGGAAGCCAAATGTCAGTTGAAGCAACACAGTCAGGGGGACTTTCAGGGAAAACTTTAAGTGTGCAAAGATTTTGCTAATTATTGATTTTGGTTTTAGGAGGCCCAAGGAAGAATTTCACAAGCTGCGGAGGATTGGGAAGTGGGTTCAGATACGGGAACATTCAGAGCTCTATGTAGATGAAGGTTTGGGCAATGAGGGGTGACCTAAGAATTCCAGGCTTGCTGCCTTATGTACACAGGAGTCAAGACCTCGTAAAAGCAGAGATGGTGATGTCAAGGCAAATATGGGAGTGAGGATGTGTGTTTTGAGTGTGTGTTTGTGGGAATCTTGCCAAGACACCTTCTTCACTCCAGCTGTGAAAACGTGGAGCTCAGGGGAGGACAATTTTATCCAGTGCATCACAGACTCTGACATTTTCCCCTGTTAACTATGGAAAGAAGGTGGAGGATAGAGTGAGCTAACTGGAACCACAGGTAGAAGTGAGATGCTTCTTTAGGACATCTGCCACCTGGGACATGCTTTGAAATGCCAGTGTTGTGTTTGAAGCCTGATTTCTGTTGTCCATTAGACCGAGGTTTAAAGTCCTGGCTCTGCCATTCACTTGCTGTGAAAATTTAAGCAAGCTCAGGAAATGTTTTCCCATATTTTGGCTTACTGGACACATATAAGCTTTTATTAATTTTAATATTTATAGCAATAATAATATTCAGGGCCCATAGTCAGCTAGACTTGCCAAAGAGGAATATCATAAATTTTAAAGTTTGAATCAGCTACATTTTACACCTTTTTAAATAAAAACAATAGGATTGCTTTCTAAATGAGTACTGAGAAAAGTACAAAAACAAAAAACAAAAAACAACAAAAAAACAAAACAGAAACAACACAAAAACAGAGCCTTTCAGAAGGCTGAGAGGCAGCTGGCAGAGGGTGCAGCCTCCAGCACAGTTGTTTATATTTGATTACTTTTGCTTAAAAATGGATGAAATAATTAAAATAAAATCCTTTGTGCTCAAGGGACATACCCTACTAAGAACTCTAGTAGCTTGTTTGGATGGGATTTCTGGAAGAATTACAGGAGGGTTATATAATCTCCATTCATAAAAATAGAATTGATTTATGCAAAACAACTCATTAATATGTATGTGAAAGTAGATCTCTCAACCGCACAATTCTCAAAAAGGAGGAAAAACACCTGCAATTGACTTGTTAAATCACGTCTATAGATGGAGACTCTTCCTTATTTGCATTTTCTGTCATGAGTAGAAACACTGCCTAGGAGGATAGTATTTCTGGCAAGGAAATACAGTTTGAAAACCTATTACTTTGGTTAATGCTCAAGCACATTTTTTTCCTGGTGCTTTATTCCAATGGCATTCATATAATTCCTTTTTTAAAAAGTGAGTCTGCATTTATACTTTGGCAGATGTATAAATACAGAAAATAGACCTTATTTTACTTACTGCTTGCACTTATGTTTGACACATATGGTAGGTGCTTAATAAATATGCATTGTTTGGATGCATAAATGGATAGTTGAATGACCATCTTAGTGGTGGGAAATACCAATTACCATTTGTTTTTCCCTAAGATTTCTTTACATCATAATAGAGCTATTCCTTCTATCACCTTGTGTTGACCCCTATGGTAATGCTATTTGATTGTCTTTAGACATTAACCTAAGGTTCATTTTGAGACTGTTTGCTACCCACCGTCTGATATCTGTCCAGGGCAGCACCATCAGTGTTACCTGTGATCTTGTTAAACATGTAGAATCTTGGGCCTCACTTTAGACCTACTGAATCAGAATTTGCATTTAATAAGATCTCCAAGTGATTCCTGTGCACATTAAATTTGACAAGCATTAGTTGAATGATTAAGGAAGCGGTTAAGATGTCAGAATGTCTGGCATCAAATCCTAGCTTCACTATTTATTTATTCTTTTTTTTTTGAGATGGAGTTTCTCTCTTGTTGTCCAGGCTGGAGTGCAATGGAGTTTCACTCATGTCGCCCAGGCTGGAGTGCAATGGCACGATCTCAGCTCACTGCAACCTCCGCCTCTCGGGTTCAAGCGATCCTCCTGCATCAGCCTCCCAAGTAGCTGGGATTACAGGCGCCCACCACCACACCTGGCTAATTTTTGTATTTTTAGTGGAGACAGAGTTTCACCATGTTGGCCAACCTAGTCTCAAACTCCTGAACTCACGCAATCCACCCACCTTGGCCTCCTAAAGTGCTGAGATTACAGGCCCAACTTCACTATTTCTTGATGTCCTTGGGCACATTACTTCACTTCTCTGAACTTAATTTTCCTTATATATAAAATTGAAATTATAATAGTAGCTTCTATTTTACATGGTAGTTTTGAGGATTAAACTAGATTATCCTGTTTAATTAGAAATAACTGTAGGAAGGTTGGTACTTACTTTGAGGAAGATACAACTAAAGCATACATCACAGAGAATGTGATCAACATCACAGAACTTGAAATACTCATGTGGTTTATTTGTATAAATTCCCATTATTCCCTCACTGCTACAAAAATAGAGAAGAAAGTAACATAAATGTACTTACATCAATTTGAGAACTAGAATATGTTACCTTCCCAAAGTATCCATCTTGGAAATAGGGAAGGAGAGTTAGCCTCATAAAAGCACATGAAGGAATGCTCAAAGGAAATACTCGAAACCTAGTTTTCTGAAATTGGTAAGCAGAAGCTCTGGAGTCAGTTACAGGTTGTGAGCCTTCCACCAAGAAGAGCCACCCAACATACCAACAAAATAAGCAGTAGATTCACTTAAAATTTGACAAATTTAGCAACTCCTTTCTATTGTCTGCATTTTAGAGAATCTATTGATGCTCTTGTAACAGCTACAGTCAGAGAATAGTGAGATGCCCAGTGACATTGGCTATAGTGGTAGCAAACCAGGCACATAGTTTGGGAATTTTTTTTTTAACAAATGTTATGTAAAAGGCTTAATAGATACCTAATACATGGTAGCTATTATTTTTGAGATATGCTATAGGAAGCTACCATAAAAAAGCCAGCATTGCATGTCTGTGAGGGGACTATAATCCACGGAATCACCCACTGCTCTTGATGCAGGTTCACAGGAGAAGCTTCCCTCGGGCTTTTTATACTCAGGGTGATTATACTCACAGAAACAGTTGTTATATTTTTATCCAATGAAAGATATGTACCGCTCTTTGCCTTGGTCACTAATTCTAAAGCTTTTTAAAGCTCAATTTTCATAATGGATTGGATCTCATGGCATGAATTTTTATTCTCCTCTGGTTCTCTTTGGATTTTATTCTCCTTTGGTTTCACTTACAATTCAAGCCTCTTTTTTTTTTAAACCATATAGTCTATTTTAATAGCTATCAGATATTAAGACTTATTGTAAGACTGCAGTAATTACTAGAATATGGCATTTACAAATACAACAAAGGAAGAGAGAAAAAAGAGGTCAATAGCAGGCTCAAGCAGGCATGCAGATTTAATTCCCTTTAGGAATGGCACTGTAGAACAGCAAAGAAAGGACTGCATCTTTCATATATGTTCTGGCTCAATTGGATCCCTATAGAAAAAAATTGTATATTGAACCAATTTTACACCATGAAAATAAATGAATAAATAAATAAAATGCAGGTGCATTATAATTTAAATACGAAGGACAAAATACACTATAGAAGATAACAGGAAAATATGATCGCAAGGAAGGAAAACAGTTCTTAAACTTTTTACAAAAAACATCTCAAAAAGAAAAAGACCAATAGATTGAACTATGTTAAATTTAAATTTTTCTGTTTATCAAAAGACATGATTAAGAGAGTGAAAAGGCAAGCGACACAGTAGAAGCGGTTTCCTACACAAAAAAGCAACATTGTGCTCTTCTCTAGAATCAATCACTAATGAAAACAAAGACAACACAATTAAAATATGGAAAAATGAATTAAGTTATTCCTAGAAACCAAGGGGAGGGAGGGAGGTTTCCAAATAGCCAATAATAATTTTAAAAAGTGCCCAATTTCATTAGTGATCAGGAAACAGAAGCTAAACCAAAATGAGATACTTTTTACTATCCCCCTGCAAAAGGCTAAAATTTTTAAAAAGACTGATCATATCAAATATTGTCAAGAATATAGAAAAAAACATTACTGGAAAGAGTACAAATTAATAAAATCACTATAGACAACAATTTGGTGTTATCTTTTAAAATTGTCATATGCATGCCCAATTTCCCGATAATTCTGATTTCTGGTATATACAACAGAGAAATATTTACACAGATCTCCCAAAAGATATGTGCAAGAATAATCATAGAAGAATGCACTTAGAAATAATACAATTTTCCAATAACAGTAAAAGTTCCACATAAACTGCATTATATTCATACAATAAAATATTATATGTGATCAGAAAAATGAACTACAGCTACCTACAACAATATAAAAGGATCTCAGAAACATAGTTGGCTAATAAGCCAGACTTGAAGCAATATATTATATATTGCATGATTTTATTCATATAAAATTAAAAAGCAATAATAATTACAAATTCACAAGTCAAGATATGGCTCATCTTTGAGGCAGAAGGAGGATGTCATAACTAGAAGGGGATATAATGGGCGGACCTTCTGGGGGTGTTGGAAATATCTATTCCTGGATCTGGCTTAACAATACTTCATTGATCTATCTGCTCATGTTTTTTGTACTTTTCTGTATATATTATACTTCTAGGGAAAAGAAGAGCATAAATTAATACCTTAAAACAAGCTTGTCCAACCTACAGCCCTCAGGCTGCATGCAACCCAGGATGGCTTTGAATGTGGCCCAACAAAAATTCATACATTTTCTTAAAACGTTATGAGATTTTTTTGCAATTTTTTTTTTAGCTCATCAGCTAAAAATTTGTGTATTTTATATGTGGCCCAAGACAATTCTTCTTCCACTGTAGCCCAGGGAAGCCAAAAGATTGGACACTCCTGCTTTAAAACATAATTAACATTTCAATGGATTTCCATCAAAACTCTTTATTATTTGTATTTGCTGTTTATTTGTTTGTTTTTGGCTTTCTTATTGTTCCAATAATGTTATTTATTTATTTATATTCCTTTTTTTATTTCAATAGGTTTTTGGGAAACAGGTGGTGTTTGGTTACATGAATAAGCTTTTTAGTGGTGATTTCTGAGATTTTGGCGTACCCGTCACCTGAGCCACGTACACTGTACCCAATATGTAATCTTTTATCCCTCACCAACCCCCACCCTTTCCCCCAATCCCCAAAATCCATTGTATCATTCTTATGCTTTGTGTACACATAGCTTAGCTCCCACATATGAATAAGAACGTATGATGTTTGATTTTCCATTCCTGAGTTACTTCACTTACAATAATAGTCTCCAATTCCATCTAGGTTGCTGTGAATGCCATTATTTCATTCCTTTTTATGGCTGAGTAGTATTCCATGCTATATATATATATATATATATATATATATATATATATATATGTTATATATATATGTGTGTGTATATATATATATATATGTTATATATATATGTGTGTGTGTATATATATATATATATATATATATATATATATATATATCACATTTTCTTTACCCTACTTGTTGATTGATGGGCATTTGGGTTGGTTTCCATATTTTGCTATTGCAAATTGTGCTAATATAAACACGTGTGTGCAAAGATTTTTTGTCAGGCCTCTGAGCCCAGACCAGGCCATCGCATCCCCTGTAACTTGCACGTATACATCCAGATGGCCTGAAGTAACTGAAGATCCACAAAAGAAGTAAAAACAGCCTTAACTGATGACATTCCACCATTGTGATTTGTTCCTGCCCCATCCTAACTGATCAATGTACTTTGTAATCTCCCCCACCCTTAAGAAGGTACTTTGTAGTCTCCCCCACCCTTAAGAAGGTTCTTTGTAATTCTCCCCACCCTTGAGAATGTACTTTGTGAGATCCACCCCTGCCCACCAGAGAACAACCCCCTTTGACTGTAATTTTCCATCACCTTCCCAAATCCTATAAAACAGCCCCACCCCTATCTCCCTTCGCTGACTCTCTTTTCGGACTCAGCCCACCTGCACCCAGGTGAAATAAACAGCTTTATTGCTCACACAAAGCCTGTTTGGCGGTCTCTTCACACAGACACGCATGAAATTTGGTGCTGTGACTCGGATCGGGGGACATCCCTTGGGAGATCAATCCCCCGTCCTCCTGCTCTTTGTTCCTACCTCTCTACCTCTTCTCCACTTTCCTGGGGCAGGGCCAAGTACCCCTCAACCCCTTCTCCTTCACCCTCAGCGGCAAGTCCCGCTTTCCTGGGGCAGGGCCAAGTACCCCTCAACCCCTTCTCCTTCACCCTCAGCGGCAAGTCCCGCTTTCCTGGGGCAGGGCCAAGTACCCCTCAACCCCTTCTCCTTCACCCTCAGCGGCAAGTCCCACTTTTCTAGGAGGCAAGAACCCCCAAACCCCTTCCCTCCGTGTCTCTACGCTCTCTTTTCTCTGGGTTTGCTTCCTTCACTATGGGCCACCTTCCACCCTCCATTCCTCCTTCTTCTCCCTTAGCCTGTGTGCTCAAGAACTTAAAACCTCTTCAACACACACCTGACCTAAAACCTAAACACCTTATTTTCTTCTGCAACACCGCTTGGCCCCAGTACAAACTTGACAATGGCTCTAAATGGCCAGAAAACGGCACGTTCGATTTCTCCATCCTACAAGACCTAAATAATTTTTGTCGAAAAATGGGCAAATGGTCTGAGGTGCCTTACGTCCAGGCATTTTTCACACTTCGTTCCCTCCCTAGCCTCTGTTCCCAATGCGATTCCTCCCAGATCCTCCTTCTTTCCCTCCCGCCTGTCCCCTTGGTCCCAACCCCAAGCATCGCTGAGTCTTCCCAGTCTTCCTTTTCTACAGACCCATCTGACCTTTCCCGTCCTCCCCAAGCTGCTCATTGCCAGACCCAGCTAAGTCCCAATACTTCCTCAGCCTCCCCTCCTCACACCCGGTCTGGCTTACAGTTTCGTTCTGTGACTAGCTCTTCCCCACCTGCCGAGCAATTTACTCTTTAAAAGGTGGCTGGAGCCAAAGGCATAGTCAAGGTTAATGCTTCTTTTTCTTTATCCCAAATCAGATAGCGTTTAGGCTCTTTTTCATCAAATATAAAAATCCAGCCCAGTTCATGGCTCGCTCGGCAGCAACCCTGAGCCACTTTACAGCCCTAGACCCTAAAAGGTCAAAAGGCCGTCTTATTCTCAAAATACATTTTATTACGCAATCTGCTCCCGACATTAAATAAAACTCCAAAAATTAAATTCCGGCCCTCAAACCCCACAACAGGATTTAATTAACCTCGTCTTCAAGGTGTACAATAATAGAAAAAAGTTGCAATTCCTTGCCTCCACTGTGACACAAACCCCAGCCACATCTCCAGCACACAAGAACTTCCAAACACCTGAACCGCAGCAGCCAGGCGTTCCCCCAGAACCTCCTTCCCCAGGAGCTTGCTACAAGTGCCAGAAATCTGGCCACCAGGCCAAGGAATGCCCGCAGCTCAGGATTCCTCGTAAGCCGCGTCCCATCTGTGCAGGAACCCACTGAAAATCGGACTGTTCAACTCACCTGGCAGCCACTCCCAGAGCCCCTGGAACTCTGGCCCAAGGCTCTCTGACTGACTCCTTCCCAGATCTTCTCGGCTTAGCAGCTGAAGACTGACGCTGCCTGATTGCCTTGGAAGCCCCGTAGACCATCACGGACGCCGAGCTTTGGGTAACTCTCACAGTGGAAGGTAAGTCCGTCCCCTTCTTAATCAATACGGAGGCTACCCACTCCACATTACCTTCTTTTCAAGGGCCTGTTTCCCTTGCCTCCATAACTGTTGTGGGTATTGACGGCCAGGCTTCAAAACCCCTGAAAACTCCCCCACTCTGGTACCAACTTGGACAGCACTCTTTTATGGACTCTTTTTTAGTTATCCCCACCTGCCCAGTTCCCTTATTAGGCCGAGATATTTTAACCAAATTATCTGCTTCCCTGACTATTCCTGGATTACAGCTGTGTCTCATTGCCGCCCTTCTCCCCAACCCAAAGCCTCCTTCGCGTCTTCCTCTCATATCCCCCCACCTTAACCCACAAGTATGGGACATCTCTACTCCTTCCCTGGCAACTGATCACATGCCCATTACCATCCCGTTAAAATCTAATCACCCTTACCCCGCTCAACGCCCATATCCCATCCCACAGCACGCTTTCAAAGGATTAAAGCCTGTTATCACTTGCCTGCTACAGCATGGGCTTCTAAAACCTATAAACTCTCCTTACAATTCCCCCATTTTACCTGTCCAAAAACCGGACAAGTCTTACAGATTAGTTCAGGATCTGCGCCTTATCAACCAAATTGTTTTGCCATCCACCCTGTGGTGCCCAACCCCTACACTCTTTTGTCCTCAATCCATTCCTCCACAACTCACTATTCTGTTCTCCATCTTAAAGATGCTTTTTTCACTATTCCCCTGCACCCCTCGTCCCAGCCTCTCTTTGCTTTCACTTAGACTGACCCTGACACCCATTAGGCTCAGCAAATTACCAAGGCTGTACTGCTGCAAAGCTTCACAGACAGCCCCCATTACTTCAATCAAGCCCAAATTTCTTCCTCATCTGTTACCTATCTCAGCATAATTCTCATAAAAACACACGTGCTTTCCCTGCCAATCGTGTCCGACTGATCTCTCAAACCCCAGCACCTTCTACAAAACAACAACTCCTTTCCTTCCTAGGCATGGTTAGCATGGTCGGAATTCTTACACAAGAGCCAGGACCACACCCTGTAGCCTTTCTGTCCAAACAACTTGACCTTACTGTTTTAGCCTAGCCCTCATGTCTGCGTGCAGCGGCTGCTGCTGCTTTAATACTTTTAGAGGCCTTCAAAATCACAAACTTTATCAGTCCTCCAGGCCCAAGTTGACTCTTTAGCTGCAGTTGTCCTCCAAAACCGCCGAGGCCTTGACTGACTTACTGCTGAAAAAGGAGGACTCTGCATATTCTTAAATGAGGAGTGTTGTTTTTACCTAAATCAATCTGGCCTGGTGTATGACAACATAAAAAAACTCAAGGATAGAGCCCAAAAACTTGCCAACCAAGCAAGTAATTATGCTGAACCCCCTTGGGCACTCTCTAATTGGATGTCCTGGGTCCTCCCAATTCTTAGTCCTTTAATACCCATTTTTCTCCTCCTTTTAATTCGGACCTTGTATCTTCCGTTTAGCTTCTCAATTCATCCAAAACCATATCCAGGCCATCACCAATCATTCTATACGACAAATGTTTCTTCTAACATCCGCACAATATCACCCCTCACCACAAGACCTCCCTTCAGCTTAGTCTCTCCCACTCTAGGTTCCCACACTGCCCCTAATCCCGCTTGAAGCAGCCCTGAGAAACATCGCCCGTTCTCTCTCCATACCACCCCCAAAAATTTTCACCACCCCAACACTTCAACACTATTTTGTTTTATTTGTCTTATTAATATAAGAAGGCAGGAATGTCAGGCCTCTGAGCCCAGGCCAGGCCATCGCATCCCCTGTAACTTGCACGTATACATCCAGATGGCCTGAAGTAACTGAAGATCCACAAAAGAAGTAAAAACAGCCTTAACTGATGACATTCCACCATTGTGATTTGTTCCTGCCCCATCCTAACTGATCAATGTACTTTGTAATCTCCCCCACCCTTAAGAAGGTACTTTGTAGTCTCCCCCACCCTTAAGAAGGTTCTTTGTAATTCTCCCCACCCTTGAGAATGTACTTTGTGAGATCCACCCATGCCCACCAGAGAACAACCCCCTTTGACTGTAATTTTCCATCACCTTCCCAAATCCTATAAAACAGCCCCACCCCTATCTCCCTTCACTGACTCTCTTTTCAGACTCAGCCCGCCTGCACCCACGTGAAGGTGCATGGGTTTATTTCACCCATGTGAAATAAACAGCCATGTTGCTCACACAAAGTCTGTTTGGTGGTCTCTTCACACGGACACACATGAAATTTTTTTCTTTTTTTTCTTTTTTTTTTTTTAGTATAATAACTTCTTTTCCTCTGGGTAGACACCAAGTAGTGGGATTGCTGGATCAAACGGTAGATCTACTTTTAGTCCTTTAAGGAATCTCCAACACTGTTTTCCATAGTGATTGTACTAGTTTACATTCCCACCAACAGTGTAAAACTGTTCCCTTTTCACCACATCCATGCCAATGTCTATTATTTTTTGAGTTTTTGATTATGGCAATTCTTGCAGGAGGGAGGTCGTATTGCATTGTGGTTTTGATTTACATTTTTCTGATAATTGGCAATGTTAAGCATTTTCCCATTTGTGCTTGCTTGCCATTTGTATATCTTCTTTGAGAATTGTCTATTCATGTCCTTAGCCCACTTTTTAATGGGATTGTTTGTTTTTTTCTTGCTGATTTGTTTGAGTTCCTTGTAGATTCTCGATATCAGTCATTCGTTGGATAAATAGATTGTGAAGATCTTTTCCCACTCTGTGGGTTGTCTGTAAACTCTCATGATTATTTCTTTGGCTGTGCAGAAGCTTTTTAGTTTAATTAAGTCCCATGTATTTATCTTTGTTTTTGTTGTGTTTGCTTTGTGTTCTTGGTCATGAAATCTTTGCCTAAGCCAATGTCTGGAAGTGTTGTTCCAATGTTATTTTCCATTATCTTTATGGTTTCAGGTCTTATATTTAGTCTTTGATATATCTTGAGTTGATTTTTTTTAAGGTGAGAGATGAGGATCCAGTTTCATTCTTCTACACTGGGCTTTTCAATGATCCCAGCACCATTTGTTGAATAGGATGTCCTTTCCACACTGCATATTTTTGTTTGCTTTGTTGAGGATCAGTTGACTGCAAGTTTTTGGCTTTATTTCTGGGTTCTCTATTCTGTTCCATTGGTCTATGTGCCTATTTTTGTAACAGTACCATGTTGCTTTGGTGACTATGGCCTCAGAGAAAAAGGTGAAGTCAGGTAACGTGATGCCTCCCAGTGTGTTCTTTTTGCTTAGTCTTGCTTTGGCTGTGTGGGCTCTTTTTTGGTTCCATGTAAATTTTAGGATTGTTTTTGCTAGTTCTGAGAAGAATGATGGTGCTATCTTGATGGGAATTGCACTGACTTTGTAGATTGCTTTTGGCAGTGTGGTCATTTTCACAATATTGATTCTCCCCAACCATGAGCATGGGATGTGTTTCTATTTGTTTGTGTCATCTATGATTTCTTTCAGCAGTGTTTCATAGTTTTCCTTGTAGAGGTCTTTCACATCCTTGATTAGATATATTCCTAAGTGTTTGTTTGTTTGTTTTTGCAGATATTGTGAAAGGGGTGGAGTTCTTGATTTGATTTTCAGCTTGGTCACTGTTGGTAGGCAGCAGAGCTACCGATTTGTGTACTTTAATTTTGTATCTGGAAACTTTGGTGAATTCATTTACCAGTTCCAGAAGATTTTTGGATGAATCTTTAGGGCTTTTTAGGTATACAATCGTAACGTCAGCAAACAGAGACAGTTTGACTTCTTTTTTATCAATTTGGACACGCTTTATTTCTTTCTCTTTTCTGAATGCTCTGGCTAGGACTTCCAGTACTATGTTGAATAGAAGGAGTGAAAGTGGGCATCCCTATCTTGTTCCAGTTCTATATCTTACTGGTTTAATCTAGGAGAGTTGTATATTTCCAGGAATTTATCCATCTCCTCTAGGTTTTCTAGTTTATGCATGTGAAGGTGTTCATAGTAGCCTTCAATAATCTTTTGTATTTCTGTGATATCAGTTGTAATATCTCCCGCTTCATTTCTAATAGAGTTTATTTGGATCTTCTCTCTTCTTTTCTTGGTTAATCTCACTAACAGTCTATCAATTTTATTTATCTTTTCAAAGAGGCAGCTTTTTGTTTGATCATTCAGGAGCAGATTATTTAATTTCCATGTATTTGCCTGGTTTTGAAGGATCCTTTTGGAGTTGATTTCCAATTTTATTTCACTGTGGTCTGAGAGAGTACTTGATATAATTTCGATTTTCTTAAATTTCCTGAGACTTATTTTGTGGCCTATCGTATGGTCTATGTTGGAGAATGTTCCATGTGCTGATGAATAGAATGTGTATTCTGCAGTTGTTGGATAGAATTTTCTGTAAATATCTGTTAAGTTCATTTGTTCTAGAATATAGTTTAAGTCCATTGTTTCTTTGTTGACTTTCTGTCTTGATGACTTGTCTAGTGCTGTCAGTGGAGTGTTAAAGTCCTCCACTATTATTGTGTTGCCATCTATCTCATTTCTTAGGTATAGTAGTAATTGTTTTATAAATTTGGGAGCACCAGTGTTAGGTGCATATATATTTAGAACTGTGATATTTTCCTGTTGGACTAATCCTTTTATCATTATATAATGTCCCTCTTTGTTTGTTTAAACTGCTGTTGCTTTGAAGTATGTTTTGTCTGATAGAAGAATAGCTACTCCTGCTTGCTTTTGGTGTCCATTTGCACGGAATATCTTTTTCCACCCCTTTACTATAAGTAAATTTGAGTTCTTCTGTGTTAGTTGAGTCTCGTGAAGACAGCAGAGACTTTATTGGAGAATTCTCGTTTATTCTGCCATTCCGTATTTTTTAAGTGAAGCATTTAGGCCATTCACTTTCTATGTTAGTATTGAGATGTGAGGTACTATTCTATTCACCGTGCTATTTTGTTGCCTGAATACCTTGTGGTTTTTTTTTGTTTTGTTTTCTGTTTTCTTTTCTTTTTTTTTAAACATTGTGTTATTGTTATATAGGTTCTGTGAGATGTGTGCTTCAAGGAGGTTCTATTTTTGTGTATTTTGAAGATTTGTTTCAGATTTAGAGCTCTTTTTAGCTGTTCTTGTGTTGGCTTGGTAGTGGCAAATTCTCCCAGCATTTATTTGTCTGGAAAAGACTGTGTCTTTCCTTCATTTATGAAGCTTACTTTAACTGGATACAAAATTCTTGACTAATAGTTGTTTTGTTTAAGGAGGCTAAAAATAGAATCCCAATCCCTTTTAGCTTGTAGGGTTCCTGCTAAGAAATCTTCTGTTAATCTGATAGGTTTTCCTTTATAGGTTACCTGATGCTTTTGTCTCATAGCTATTAAGAGTCTTTCCTTTGTCTCAACTTTAGATAACCTAATGACTATATGCCTAGGTGATTATCTTTTTGTGATGAATTTCCCATATGTTCTTTGAGCTTCTTGTATTTGGATGTCTAGATCTCTAGCAAAGCTGAGGAAGTTTTCCTGGATTATTCTCTCAGACATATTTTCCAAATTGTTAGATTTCTCTTCTTCCTCGGGAACACCAATTATTCTTAGGTTTGGGTATTTAATGTAGTCTCAAACTTCTTGGAAGCTTTGCTCATTTTTTAAGAATTATTATTATTATTATTGTTTGTCTTTGATGGACTGGGTTAATTTGAAAGCCTTGTCTTAGAGCTCTGAAGTTCTTTCTTCTGCTTGTTTGATTCTATTGCTTAGACTTTCCAATGCATTTTACATTACTCTGTGTCCTAGATTTCCAGAACTTGTGATTGTTTTTTATTTATACTATCTATTTCACTGAAGAATTTTCCTTTAATTTTCTGTATAATGTTTTTAATTTCTTTAAGCTGGACTTCACCTTTTTTTGGTGGCTTCTTTTTTTTTCTTTTTGAAACAGAGTCTCGCACTGTTGCCCAGGCTGGAGTGCAGTGGCGTGATCACAGCTCACTGCAAGCTCTGCCTCCCAGGTTCACGCCATTCTCCTACCTCAGCCTTCCAAGTAGCTGGCACTACAGGCGCCCACCACCACGCTTGGCTAATTTTATGTATTTTTTAGTAGAGACAGGGTTTCACCATGTTAGCCAGGATGGTCTTGATCTCCTGACCTTGTGATCCACCCGCCTCAGCCTCCCAAAGTGCTGGGATTACAGGCGTGAGCCACCGCGCCTGGTCTCTGGTGCCTTCTTGATTAGCTTAATAATTAACCTTCTGAATTATTTTCCTGGCAATTCAGAAGTTTCATCTTGGCTTGGATCCATTGCAGGTGAGCTGGCATAATCTTTTGGGGGAGTTGAAGAACCTTATTTTGTCATATTATCATTATTGTCTCTCTGGTTTCTTCTCATTCGGGTACATTATGTCAGAGGGAATATCTGGGATTCAAGGGCTGCTCTTCAGAGTCTTTTGTCCCATGGGGTGCTCCCTTGTTTCGGTGTTCTCCCGCTTCCCCTAGGAATGGGGCTTCCTGAGAACTGAACTGTAGTGATTGCTTTGCTTTTCTGGATCTGGCACCCAGTGGAGCTACCAGGCTCTGATTGATACTGAGGAGTGTCTGCAGAGTCCTGTAATGTGATCCATCTTTAGGTCTTGCAGCTGTGGATACCACCACCTGCTCTGGTGGAGGTAGTAGGGGAGTGAAGTGAACTCTGTGAGGGTCCTTGGTTGCGTTTTTGTTTAGCGCTGGTTTTGTGTTGGTTGGCCTCCAGTCAGGAGATGGCGCTTCGGGAGTGCATCAGCTGTGGTCCTATACGGAGGATGCAAAAGTATTCAGGTTTCTCAGGTGGTGGGCAGGGCGATAGAGCTTTCAAGACATTATGACTTTTGTCTTTGGCTACCAGGACACATAGAGAAAGACCACCAGACTGGGATAGGGATAAGGTGTGTCTGAGCTCAGCCTCTCCTTGGGTGGGGCTTGCTGCAGCTGCTGTGAGGGATGGGGGTACAGTTCCCAGTCCGATGGAGTTATATTCCCAGGGGGATTATGGCTGCCTCTGCTGAGTCATACAGTTCACCAGGGAAGTGAGGGAAAACGCAGTCACAGGCCTCACCCCACCCCCACACAGCGTGAGTCCTAAAGGCCAGTCTCACTCCCACCATGCCCCACCCGCCCCCAGCAGCACTGAGTCTATTTCCAGACAGCTAGTGACCAGGGCTGAGAACCTGCCCCAGACCACCAGCCTCCCTATTGAGAAAGCAAGCCGACTCACAGTTTTTCTGCATCTCAGGGAGCCTGCAGCGGTGATCCAGTTCTTTCAAAGGGTTTGTGGATTCTCTCGGCTTTCCTGGTATGTTCCTGGGGTAGTTTCTGGGGCAAAGTATGATGTGAGTCTCCACATGCTGCTCTATCCCTCCCAGCAGGAGCTGCAAGCTAGTCTTGCTGCTTATCCGCCATCTTCTCTCCTGTATTTGCTATTTAAACACCTGAATCTGATTTACTTTTTAGACAATATTGGATATAAATTCAGATAATTATATACACATTATTACTTATAAATGCTCTTTATATGTATTATATATTTATTTATATATAAATAAACAATAGAAATATTTGATCCTTTAATGCAAAAAATGTCACTGTAATTTGAACCAATTTTATAAATCTTAGAAGCAAAATCTCTATGTGCTATGTTCATAAATTCCTTGAAACAGTTTGTCAAATAACATGAGTAATAAACAAGCATTTCAGCTTGTGCATCTGTCTCAGTTTTGTAAATCAGAAACTCCCAGTTTTGATAGAATGGATCCCCTACTTTCTTATATTTTCCTCTCCCATCCCAACTCTTAGCCTGCACAATTTTATTCAAATGAACTAAAAAGACTAGCTCCTGCTGAATATAAGTAGAAGTAGGCAGTGGGAGAAGGCCTGAATTTTGAAAAAGTACCATTTCTGATAAGACACATAAATAGATTTCCAGCAGCGATAGTGTGGGAAAAAATGAGGCTAAAGCATTGAATAATCTACTTCCCTGTTGATTTTAAATATAAATATAACAGTGGCTTGCTATAATTTAACCACGCAACTGCTTACAGTCTATTTGTTTAAGATCTGAATTATTTTTAAAAGCAAAGACAAAGTTTTCTCCTTGATATGATAACAATTGGTGGTTATGCTGTTATTTCATTAAGACAAATTGAGAATATTAAATCCATTGTAACATTGCTTATGCTATTTGCAAATGATACTGAAAAAATCAATACTAATTTACCAACTTTTTTAATTTAAGAAATTAAAGAAAAAATATTTCTTCATGGCTTTTGTTCAGTTAGTTCTTTTCTGATGTAGAAAAAAGGTTAAAAGCCATTTAGCATTTTCATTTATAATTAGGTATGCATTACCCACTTAATACGCACTTCGCAATTATCGGAGACTTTACAATTTCCAAAAGCATTTTTAAGTGTTATTTTTAAAGCTTCTTCTGCTGGGTCTTAATTTCTTTTTCTGATATAAATGCACTTTATCACCATATCATCGGGAGCACATATAACTGCTTTTATATTTCTTATATATGAAAGAATTTTAAAGAAATTTGGAAACTCTTAAAATTTATTTCTAAATGTGAGGGTTTTTGTTCTTGCTTATAAGACCCTGGTCAAAAGATAGAAATAAAAATATTTATCACCTTTAAATACACAAATATCTTAGAATCCTTCTGCAAGGAGTCAAAGACCTTTATGTTACGACTTTACCTTTTTTGTTTTTCTTTGAATATGGCATTAAATTCATGAGAATTCTGATTTACTTCCTCTGTCTACAAAATAAATATAAATTTAAAAAGTTGTTTCAAGAAGGAAATGTTAGAAATTCTGGGTCTGCTGTAGGTTAGTTGACCTTGGGCAAGTAACATAGTTGTCCTGCCTTTTAATGTCTTCACCTGTAAAACATGGTTAAGAATAGCTTACAGGTATAGAATAAAGATGAATGGCATGGCAGGTGTAAAACCCTTTGCATTCCTCTGGAAAAAACTATGATGATTGTAAATGCCTACATGTTTATAGCCCTTTAAAATGCATTCTTACTGCATTTTAACCTTGAACCATTTAAAATCAATCCTGTGATGTGGTGCAAGAATTCGTTCACTCCATTGTATATGATAAAAACTGAGGTTTGGGATGCCCCCTAAGTATGTGTGCTATGGTTTTGATAATATTAATAATATCATTAATATGTCAGACTAACATATTTAAGGAAATAGTATGTGGTATTTCAAACTACTTTTTTTTTTTTTTTTTTTTTTTTGAGACAGAGTCTCGTTCTGTTGCCCAGACTGGAGTGTACTGGCACGATCTCAGCTCACTGCAACCTCTGCCTCCCGGGTTCACGCGATTCTCCTGCCTCAGCCTCCCGAGTAGCTGGGATTACAGGTGCACACCACCACACCCGGCTAATTTTTTGTATTTTTTATAGAGACGTGGTTTCACTATGTTGGCCAGGCTGGTCTCAAACTCCTGACCTTGTGATCCGCCCGCCTCGGCCTCCCAAAGTGCTGGGATTACAGGCGTGAGCCACCGCGCCTGGCTTCAAACTACATTTTATAAACAACTTCAACATCCTTAACATTATTCAGAACGGTTCCATTGCTCTTAGGATAAGCAGTAAAATACAAAACTTGGCCTCTTAGTATTTGTATGGCCAGACCCCTGCCTAGCTCACCATCTTCAACTCATACCAGTCTATCAGTTGCCCTTGCCCTCTGCTTTCCACATAATATATTTGGTCCTCATAGTAACCCTATATGAAATGGGCAATACTGGCATTTAACCATAAATTAACACCGTACACAGTGTCATACTGAGTGTGGAATATTGTACTATGATGGATTTTTGCATGTTTCTTTGGCATCTCATAATATCTCTAAATTATCCTATTGTTTGCAGATTAGGCCCGGATATAAAGGACTACTTATAAGTGGCTCCAAATTAGTTTTCAGTCTCAACCTAGAAAACCAGTCATTTCTGATCCCTAGCTTTCTGCATTTCAGTTCTCAGGTCTTTTGCCCACCTCCCCACACTTTCTTCGATACTTGAAGATTGTTCACACATCTGCATTTCCTCTTACTGTTCTTCCGACCTGTACTTTCTCTACCACTTTCTCTGTCCAGAATACAAACTAACATGTCAAGGTTCAATGCAAGCCCCATTTCCTTTGAAAGGCTTCCCTTGCCTTTTCTCCAATTCAGACAAACTTCACTACTTCTCACTTTGAGCTCCACTCTGTTATAGGTCAATTTCACCTTTCTCACTTCACTTGATGTTTTGGGACAGTGCAGTAGGTGGTAGGACTCTTCACTCTGTCTGGATTTGAAAACAGACTCTCCCACATACGGTGTGTGATTTTAGGCAGGCTAGTTCATTCTTCTGTGCCTCAATCTGCTTATCTGAAAGTGAAGATCATGATACTCTCAGAGGGTTATTGTGAGGATCAATGGAGCTAATTTACATAAAGAGTTTGGAACAATGCCTGCCACATAATACTTTGTAGGCGTTAGCACTTTCCTTTATTTTCCTTTTCTTATTTTTAATTTTATTAAAGGTTTCCCCTGTCTGTTCTGTTGAGACAGGAAGTAGCTGTTTCTTATCTACCATTTAATCTTTAGGACCTAGTGTAGTACTTGATGGGTATAAATTAGGTGTTCTCCGGTTGCTTGGAGGATGAATAAATGAAGGGTCAATTAGGAGGCTCCAGCCCAGCTGCCTTTCCTTTTGCAATAATGGAGCAAACTTATTTGAAATGCTAGCTGTGATTACACATTAAATAATGTAGGATCAAAAAGCCCCATTCATGACTACCTTTTATCATAAATGTTTATCTTTTCATTGGTAGAGTTATATATTATAAGGGCATTTAAAAATTACATCTGAGTGATATCATGGGTTTCTTTCAAAACACCTATCTCATTTTCTCAAGGATGACATTTTAAACAGCAATGACAGATGCAATGTTCTCTCACACAAGTACAGAGTAATTCATTAACATACATACATACAAAAGGAAGAGGTCTAAGTTCAACCTTTACCACCAAAAGCTTTGATAAATAAAAGAAATTGAAAGCAGCTACAAGTGATTTTGGAAGTCAAACTAGTTTTATCATTCAAGAATGCCAGGATGATAACAGAAGCCTTTGGTGACTAGACTCCTGCTGAATTTGTTTTAGGGTAGAGTTTGGGTTGGGGAAGAAAGAGATACTTAAAATAGGATCTACCTGAGTATTTGGAAGGACAGATTATATGACAATAGCTGAAAGAGACTTTTGTAATCAAATAATTCAAAATATACTTTAGCTAAATCCAGAGAACTGAATGACTTGTCTAAGTTACATAGTTGGTTAAAGACAGATTTGATTTAGGAGTATGTTTCACAACAGGTAGTTTTTATATACAGGCCACATTTCAGGATGGTTTCATGATGAGACGATTCATAATGAAGCAGAGTGTTACAGTCTGTGTCTAAAATAAACTCAAAGTGTGCTTTTGGATTACTGAATACCAGGATAAAAGTGACAAACAAAAGCCATCAATTATCTAGAGGTATGTCCCTGCAGCGTTTCTGCCATGGACAGGGTAGATTCTGAAAGGTTGTTCATAAGGCCATTCATTCTGAAGGTCAAAGTGACATTTTACAATGGACTGCCAACGGACAGGAAGCAAGGGAGTTGATCCATTTTTATTCTGATGCATAGCTTGTTCTTATCTATGGGAGTTCATGGGAGTGGGGCTTCTGCACCCGCTTTTTTCTGTCAGTAAGTAGATCGGCAATCTCATATTAAATGTTTAATCTCTGTCTCGCTTTGGATTCCTTAGAAGCAGAGCCTGAGGCAAGGATTCAAGTGCATATGATTTATTGAGGATATCCTCTTAGGAGAAAGGCAGGGAGGGAAGAAGGAAACAGCAAGTGAAGAAGCTAATTAAGGTGTTGCAGCTGTTGTCTGGTTTCAGCCTGATCCCATGGAGAGGTTTGGGGCATGAAATGCAAAAAGGGATATCTGTGGGTATTCATAGCTGGGGGTTGGCACATCACTTGCAAAAGCGGATGTGGACAAGGAATCACCAGCCTCTACTACCAGGCTTATTTGACCCATTCTGTCCTGAAGATACAGTTTATTATTTAGACAATTACTGTGCCAGCAAGTGAAACAAAGAAAGAAGGCCCACATGAACTGTGTGGTCAGTGTTTGAGAAGGACTCAATACTGTGACATGAAGTGCATGAGTTTTAGAGTCTGAAGTCTTCTTTGTCTATACACAAGTTCCAACTTTTCTCTAACAACATACTTTAAGAAAGCCCCAATATCAGTGAGCCTCAGGCTTCTAATCTGTAAAATGGGGGCAATGATAGCAACTGCCTCCTACAGCTGTTGTCCAATTCAAGTGAAATAATATATGTCAAAGCACATGTATTATATTTGACATGAAAAGAAAAGAACAAGAAACTAGCCTTTAGGAAGTTTTCAAATGTAAACTAAACTAGGAGAGTTTCCATAAGAAACTCAAGTGGTTTGAAATATATAGATGTCTGTCTAAGTTGAGATAGGTAATAATAGTGAAAGAAAGAATTAGAGCTGTCATTTCCCTAGGGTCCATAATGGATCAGGGACTTGACCTTCATTTTCTCAGTGACTCCATGTCACTGTCCTATGTGGTGGCTACTGCTGTATCCTCATCGTATAGATTTCTTAACAGAAGCTTAACGTTGTTAAGAAAAGACCTAATTTCATACCACTAGATATTTGACAAAAAGAATTTGAACTCACACCTCTCTGTTTCCCAAAATCTCAGCATTTATCTGCTGTGGTTATCCTACCAAAGGCCTTTTCTATCACAATTGATATTGTTAAAAATTTATGAAGGAGGTTGTGAGGAATTATAATTAAGATGAAGGTACAGTTCATGCACTTTAGGAACTTTCCATTTGGTTGGGGACTGGCATTTATACCCTTTACTCTCTGTTTCCACACTCTCGCACATGTCTCCCCGGATACAATGAGAAATATTTCAGACATGACACCACCACCATGTTGTGGTCCTTGCTTTTGCAAGCTCTTAGAGCCTAAGATCCTTTAACTTTGCAGAAGAAAGATTAGTTAATGGATATAGGCCATCTTACTTTCTGCATTAAAGGTAATAGAAATGCTTTTCAAGATCAACAGTCATACACCTTCTGCCCCAAAATGGAAAATTTTATGATAAGATGGGAAAGTCAATAAGGACAGAAAAATTGATTTGTCCCATTTAGCCAGATGAAAGCATATAATTTCTTCTTAATTGAGACTTTTATTCTGATATGGCATAAACAAAATAAGTTTTAACTAGAGAAACTTCTCGTTGCAAGAAATTTTTAAAGCAGAAAGAAGGTATGATATAATAATGTAGGACATTTTAAAACATATTTTTGTTAAAAAGTACAGAACAAAGGAGAAGAAATCTATGGTTATATCAAAGAGTGCATTGATTTGAGATGTAGACATTCAACTGTTTTCGAGAGTAGATAGAATCATAACTGTAGAGAAACTCGAGGGTATAGCAAATAAATATGCTGTATGGAGTTTCCTTTACCAAAGAGTCAAATTTATGATTATGGAATCTGATTCATATCATGTGTATGTTGTAGGGTCATCTCCTATCCAAGCAGGAGAAATAAACAATTACTGTGGCAGAATCGTTCAAAGTCTGGAACAATTCTTTATTTCTATAACATAAGTTTTTATGTTATTTTGTTCCCTATTATTTTTCCAGGTGATAGTCTTAGCTGAAATGAAGAAATCAAGTGTTATAAATATTTTTATCCTATGTTCGAAAGTAGCCACTGGCCCTTTCCCACCTTCTATTTAGGTTAATAAACTTCCACGTTCACTTCTTACTTCCATAGATACAAATACATTTGGATACAGTTAGCAACATATTTATGTGTGTATATCTGTATATATGTATATGTGTGTGCATGTGTGTATGTGTATGTGGTGTATGTAAAATCAGAAGCAAGGCCATCCCCAAAATGGTCAACATAAAGAGAACTCTGTGTAGATCAAGGGATCTCTGGTGTAGAATAATCTTTGGAACACAAGACTTGCAATGAGAAACAGACCCAGTTATTAATTCATGTATCTACTGATGACTGAAGTAGTTTCACAAGGTGAGTTTTGGTCATGTATTTGTTAATAAAATTTCAGAACAATTACTTTTTCAAAGTAACAGACAGTATAGACATTTCTATGAGCCCTGCAGGTATAGCAGCTCACTTTTTGGTTCCTTGGCTAGATCCTCTGGGACATAATGGTTGGTGCAAAGGGAGAAATGCAAGCCTTCTACTTTATCCACATCAACAGATATAATTACTCTCAAGCAAGGCTTTTGCTGAATCCAGTATGAAACATTTCAGTCCCTGGAAACACTATATATAAAGGATATTAGACGCAGTATGTCTATTGTTCATCTGCTAATGTCCCCAAATGTCACCAGGGTAATTACTTGGATGACATTTATGTGATGCAGCTGGACATTGTTACAGTTAATATAAAGCCTGCCTTTGGCAACCACTTTATTTCCACCTACATCAAACTACGGGTGCATGATCGCTTTTCTTGGGAGAACGCCCACCTCCCCCAGATGACCTCTCTGCCCTCAGCTTTTTCTTCCTGTGCTCTCCACATTGCATTAATATCCAATGCAAAAGAAAAAGAAAAAGAATGCTATATCATACATCTTTATCTTAATATTTATGTCTGAAACTTTTAGAAATGTTTCTAAAAATAATTCACAAAATATAATAACATTGATCTTTTCCCTGTTTTTTTTATTCTTTTTTTAGAAGCAGGTTTCTATTATACCCAAGAATCTAGATTCACAAAATGAACATTGTCAAAAGCCCATAAAGTCATATTCATTCTCAAATATATCATTGGCAAAGCTAGATTTTTAAAATGTGTGTATCAGAAGAATATTATATTTTCAGAGACAAAGATTACAAAATTTACCCCAAACTCACATGCAAATTGGAGCTTTGCCTTCCGACTCAGAATTGTCCCCAGAAGATTGGTGGCCAGGCACTGGTACATGCCAATATCTTGATCTGTGTGGGGGCTATTGATTGCAAGACTGCCTCCATCCAACCTGTAGTGATAACTCATAGTAAAATCAATGTCTGTGCCATTTTGCTTCCACCTTCAAGGAAAAAAAAAATAAAGTGCTTATAATATACAGAGTCAATCAATCTTTGTCTTAAAAAACATGTAGTTCTAATTCCTGCAACTATAAAAAACACCAAAAAACATGATTACATGTGGAGGTAATCCTACCAGTTTTACCAAAGGTAGCTGTCTTGGTGGGTTTGGTGAGATCAGTAACTAGATTATTTGAAAGATGTACTCTTTATAAGTTACATTCACCCAAATGTATACAAAGAGGAAACAGAACTCTCAACATGAGAAATAAAAATTAGACAGTCAGTCAATAATACTGGCCAACCTATTCCTTTAGTGACTTTTCAAATAACATATACCTTACCTGAACATCCACAACTGGTAGCACAAAATTGAATGTCAAAATGATTTAAAGATAGGAATTCAAGAAGCGTATATTGAAAGCGGCAAGCATAATTTTACAACGCCAATTCAGGGCTGATAACAAAACAATAATAACCTGACTACTTTAGAACATGATTACCTCTGTTAGTATGTTACTTGGAAAATTAATCATGTTGAAAATATTTCAATGGTACTTAGAAATGCCAAACTAAAATTATACTTTAGCAAAGCAAATGCTGTTTGAGAGGTTTTTATTTTGAGAAGCAAAAATTCTCTTGGCTTAGCTATTAGTCAACAATTCTTTAGTACATGAATTAACTAGCTGAAGAGTCTTAGAGTTATATTTACTTTCAAAGATTCATAACTAGTTTTAGAAATTTTATTTGGTCATTTTTAAGACAAATGAATACCTGATTATTATCTCTAACCAGACTCACTTTTCCTACCTTGAAACTCCCAACTCCATCAAAATCCCCAAATATTTTGAAGCATGAATCGTATATATCTAATGAGATACATTCCTAGGGCACAGGCTGTGTATAGTCACATAGACCATTTTTTAAAATAAACACTTAAAACTATTGAATAATGACAAACAGTTGTGCATGTAGAAAAATATCTTTTCTCACTCATTGCTAAGTTCATGGCTGAGGTCTCTAAAAGGAAAGGAAGATTAATAACAGAAAAACATATAATTTTATTTAATATAAATATTCCATGACATGAAAGCCTTCAGAAAAAAAATCCTAAAAAACAGGAAAACCTGTGTGTTTTTAATGCTAGTTTTGATGAAGAGTAGACAGTCCTGCAGAAGTATGATTGTAAAAAGAGGGTATGATCTAATGGTAAGAAACTGGCGGGAAGTTAGCAAGGCCTTTTGTTCCAATTCTTCTTGATTTCTCTGTGTCTTTGAGGAGGAAAAGGGTGTTTCTTTCCTCTGGATATAGAAATGATACCTCTGGAATAAAGGTTTTATGACCTGCTTCAGAGAAGAAGAGTGAGGGGAAGGTGAGAATGATCTTCCTGCTTCTGCTATTTTCTCAAATGCCAAGGTGCCATATTTTGAGGTGGTATGTCCTGAACCCCATCACAGTCATCTAGGAAAACAAGTGAATGATCTTTTCCTATGGAATATAGCCAGTTTCCAAACTGTGTTTTTTAGGGTTTATGCCAGCTTTGCTATGATTCTCCCCTTTATACCAAAATCATATTAAAAATATTTTGGTGGGAGTGGTTAATTTTTTAAAAAATGACATTTTACATAATTAATTCAAAGAGGTTGGGTGCAGAAACTCATGCCTGTAATCCCAGCACTTTGGGAGGCCGTGGTGGGCAGATAGCTTGAGGCCAGGAGTTTGAGACGAGCCTGGGCAACATGGCAAAACCCCGCCTCTACTAAAAATACAGAATTAATTCAAATGTCATTGACTTCTTCGGGCGCGTCTTCAAACATCCCATGGGGAGAATCTGACAAATGCCTACCAAAGTAGAAAAGAAATATGAATTTAGGTAATCCTCTACCATGTTAAAGATGAGATGTGATGGATCAGATGTCAAATCAATCAAAGGTTTTGAACCAACTCTGTTAACTTTGAAATTATTTAGCCATTTCCTGCACACCTGGAAGTTGAAAGACAGCAGTTAAAGAGTACATTTCATTTGCCTAGATTTTCTGCGATCATTTTTTTCTAGAGGAATTTGTAGAGACTGCTCGTTTTCAATATTAGGGTAAGAAAAAAGTGAAAAAAAAAAAAAACAATAATAAAACCCTTCAAAACTTTTCTTTCTTTAGGCCTGTCTCAAGACACCAATATTCTCCTTGCCAGCACTCTAATATAGTTTTTGATAATTTGCTCTTTAGACTTCCATGTTCCCTATCGTTTTCAAAGCATAGGATATACCATATTTAGTTTGCCAGCTCCTTTTAATTTTGGAATCAATCACTGAAATAACCGCTGTCATCATTACATGCTCCTAATTAAGCTCAGTAATTGTTTTTCAACACAAATTCAAAGTTGTTGGCTTAGCGGCAGCAAATGAATTTTTCACAGTATCCCCATAATCATTCTGATCACTACGGTACAATGATTATTAAACTGTACATATAGATCAGGGGTTCAACTCCTGGTGTGGGCTTTGTCCTAATTAATATGTCTAAATCAATGGAGAAACAGTATTAATGAATTCAAATGATTGTCATGCACACATTTCTGATAGAATTGCATACTGACAAGTGTCTTCCTATGATGCAACCTAGGAAATGTGTTTTAAATGATTGCTTTTAGCATCTGAATTAATATCATATTAGTTCCAGAAAACATAATGGATGTGAACTAAAATCTCGACCCTTTGTTGGGAAACATCCTTCACTTTTAAGTAGTTCAGTCCTGTGTCAAGAATAATGGCTGGGCTAGGTGCGGTGGTTCACGCCTGTAATCCCAGCACTTTGGAAGGCCGAGGCAGGCTGATTACCTGAGGTCGGGAGTTCAAGACCAGCCTGGCCAGCATGGTGAAACCCAGTCTCTATTAAAAAAATACAAAAATTAGCCGGGCATAGTGGCACACGCCTGTAATCCCAGCTACTCGGGAGGCTGAGGCAGGAGAATTGCTTGAGTCTGGGAGACAGAGGTTGCAGTGAGTCAAAATTGCATCACTGAACTCCAACCTGGCTGACAGAGCAAGACTGTCTCAAAAACAAAAACAAAAAAAGAATAATGGTTGTGGGCTGTGTTTGTTGGCTGTCCTTCCGTAATATGTGTGTGTTTGTGTGTGTGTGTGCATGTGTGCGCGCTTGTGCCTGTTGGTGTTTTTCAAAATTAGGCTGTGCTTTAGAATTACATGGTATATTTGCTGAAAGAATGTGTTTCTTTTTTTTTGAGTTTTATTTATTTTTAATTGACAAATAATGATTGCACATATTTATAGGGAGTAATGTGATGTTTTCATACATGTATGCATTTTGTAATGATCAAATCAGAGTAATGAGCATATTCATTACCTCAAAAATCTATCATTTGTCTGTGGTGAGAGCATTCAAAATCTTCTCTTCCAGCTCCTTTGAAATATACAATACATTATCATTGAGTATAATCCCTCTACTGTCCAAATGAATCCCAGAACTTATTCCTCCTGTCTAAAGGTCACTTCTCACCCTTTGACCCACCTGTCCCCTTTCCCTTCCTGCCCCTCCCTGACTCAGCCTCTGGTAACCTCCATTCTACACTCTACTTCTATGAGTTGATTCTATGAAATCAACTTTTTTTAGATTCCATATATGAGTGAGATCAGATGATATTTGTCTCTCTCTGCCTGGCTTATTTCTGAGCCCATCCCCAGACCTCTGACAGAGAACACCAAAATCTAAATTTTAAGTCTCTCTGGGTGATTGTGATGTACACTGAATTTGAGTCTGTGACCCCTGTGGAAAGAATCCTAGTCCTAGCTTTGACGTTCCTTTGCTGCATATACTTGAACAAGCCTTCTGATTTCTCCAGAAGTCATTTCACAAATTATACGATGTGTGCAATAATGTATATTCTGCTTATCTCACAGGATTGTTAAAAGGATAAAGTTGCGGGAAATGAATAAAAAGAACAGAAGGGCAGAGTCACTACTATTATAGTTTTTTCTTAGAGGCCTAGAGCTTCTCTAGACTTAAGGTTGTGTTCATGACTAGGGTAGAGTAGACTAAATTACAGAAAGGAGTCTCCTCTGGTGACCAGGTAGAGAGAAGATTGTCAGAAATCCTTTTTTCTGATAGAGAGTATATTCTATTTAGAAATAATTTATGTGTATGTTATTTCATTTTTCCAAATCAAATATATATTCTGAGGTAGAACTAAGTTCATTGCTACATGATTTTCCTAGACTTTCCAGGTATAAGCAATCCTTCCAAAGCACCATCTTTGGGTAGCCCATTTCTCTTCCCTTTGCAGGGCTTCAGGGCTGGACTTCATATTCTCATGTGTTATGTGATCTTTGAAAGAATAAAGGGTAATCCTTTTTCATGGGCAAGCTTAAGCTCTTTCAAAAAGTTTGCTTTTAATATTGCTTATTTTCCC
Source organism: Homo sapiens (assembly GCF_000001405.40). NCBI lineage: Eukaryota > Metazoa > Chordata > Mammalia > Primates > Hominidae > Homo > Homo sapiens. Next base: position 1,223,394 of record NC_000003.12, on the reverse strand, counting down.
TGAGATTTCATTTGCTGTATGGAATTTACTAAAAGAAAGAAAACACATCTTAAAATCAAACCCAGCCTCATTTTATGAATAAGGAAGATGACGCCAGGAGAGAAAAATGATTATTCCAAAGTCACCAATGGATTGATAGAGCTGTGACTAGAAATGATAACTTTAAGTCAAGGATTCTTTTATGTTGCTTTACACTATACCCAGGTAACCTCAAATAACGTTAGAATCTGTGAATTGTGAAGGCTTTCCTTCTAAGACACACATGCACACACACACCATCTAAGGTGAATATAGTTGTGAGGCTTTTTAAAAAATAAAATTTAAGTTAGAAAGGGTCATATTAAAACTGAACTTTTACATTTTGTTGGTAATGCACGTTATCTGAAATACCTCTGTCCTTTGCTTTATTATCAATAAAGTTGGGCCTGAGTCTGACATTTAAGCATTAAAAACTTAATTCTTTTCTCACTCTCTTTCCATAGTTTCTTGTCTATGAGTAAGGGGAACAACGACTGGGGCCTGCTGGAGGATGGAGGATGGGAGGAGAGAGAGGATCAGGAAAAATAACTAATAAGCACCAGGGTTAGTGCCTGGATGATGAAATAATTTGTACAACAAACCCCCATGTCACAAGTTTATCTATATAACAAACCTGCATATGTACCCCTGAACTTAAAAGTTAAAAAAAAAAGAAATGAGCCAAACCAGGTTATGGGGGCTGGAAATAAGCACATAAATTACTTGTCTTTAGCCTTTTAGCTTACAAGGATCTTAGAAATAAAAGCCATTTAACAACATTGAAAACTGTTGCCTTCATTCTATTTTTTCACAGATAAAACTAATTAGCAAATTATCTTGAGAACCTATTTTATATCCTTCTAACTGTTAAAAGCCAATAGATTTTTTATATAAATATGTAATTTATGTATTTATGTGTCTGTCTTATATTCAGCAAACTTTCAAAAAATGTTATAGGAATTCTTATATTCTTTCTCTACTAACCCCTAGGATCAACCTAGTTAGCTCTCAAACATAAAATTACTACTTTAAGTATTAGGTGATCTCACTAAATGTATTAATCAAATTTTCATATATTTAACCATATATTAAACTAATAGGACAGCTCATCATTTAAGAAAAACTAACAAATCAACAAACTCTGAATTGAGTGTCCCAAATTTGCAAAGTGAAGGATCTTCCCCTGACAGATGAGTTTCACTGGTTTGGGTATGATAAAGACAAGGAAGCTTTAGTCTGTGGAATGAGAAGACATGGTTTTTCAGCTCCTTTGTTGTAAAAAGAAGACACTGAAGTTAGCTCAAAAAAATTCAAGATAAGGTAGAATTGCCTTTAGCTTTGAAGTCATTTAGCTAATTAAGTGCATTTAAGTCATTTAACTCATTAATCTAGACAATTTTAGGATCTAAATAACTATGCACATCAAGAGTGTATTTTTACTGCAAAATAAAATCAGGCTAAACCAGCTTATTTTGCCAAAATACACTGAAGTTGTTACTCTTTGTGTGTGTCATATCAACTTCACATCTGTAAAACAAGACTTAAAAAAAGGTTTTAAAACCCAAAGCTACAAAAGTTTAATATGTATTTTCTTTTCCTGTATTAACACTACATATGAAGTTTCTACTAACTAAATATCTGTAGTATTTACCTATGAATATTTACGTATGCATATATTTTTAAATTTGTAAATTCCACCCACAATATGAAGCAAATTCTGCCTTTGCTACAACTTGATAAATAAGAACAAAAACTTACTGACCCTTTCTCCCTAGAATTCCACAAATAATATGTGAGAAACAAATATAGGTTTTTTTTTCTTATTTGCCCAGAATAAAAATTCCCTTTCTGCCTTAGAGGGTACATAGCTGTCTTCAACATATTTTTCTAAAATCAGTATTTTTGGGTGATGTGACCCACCAGTGAAGTCACATAATTTTATCTGATGAAATAAATCTAGATATCCATCTGGATTCATTCCTTATAGAACATTTTCATAATCATTGCATATGCAGCAACTGAGGCTGCAGTTCCGCATTGAGGCAGGGGTGGGAAATGCAAAATGAGCTTACATTTTAGTCTTTCAAATTGAGGAAACAAATCTTTTTTTTTCCTTTCTCTTCATTTTTTTCTTTCCTTTTATCTTTCTTTTCTTCCTGGCTTCCTGTGTTACTTGCTTCCTGTCTTTCTCTTCTCTCTCTCCCCTATCTCTCTTCTCTCTCTCTCTCATTTCTGACCACAATAAGGCAATGCATGGCACCAATCTCAAGAATAAATGTTCTAAGCAGACCTAATCAATAAGACAGAGACATAAGTACGGTTACCTGGAGCTGGTGGGTAGGGGGTTAATTATTGCCTGGAAAGCGGCATGAGGGAATACCCTGGGGTACTGGAAATGCCTATATCTTTATCTGAGTGATTGTCACATGGCTGCATACCCGTAGAGAAATTCCTTGAGCTGTACACTACAAATTAGGACATTTTATAAAACACTTTATTTTGTGTATGTTTTGGTTCAGTGAGGAAGAACAAAATAGTGTGGTGCCCACAGGTAGGATTTTACCTATAATGAGGCGAAGGGTAACCATTAGCAGCACAATTCAGGATGACCTCAGATTTTGATAAATCCAAAGGAAAAATGACATCATGTGGCTCCTGAGTAAAAATAGGACGGCTTAAAAGACCATCACCTGGGAAAAGAAAAGAATAAATCACATGAAAAAAAAGTGGCCCTGTTTTGAATGCAAGTCTATATTAAATATCAATTCAATATACATATTTAAAATTATTTTATTTTAAAACAATCTCAAATTCACAAAAAGTATTACAAAAATGGACAAAGAATTTTTTTCTCTTGTAAACCAATCCCCTATTACCCAAATAAATTAGTTTATATTTCCAACAAACAAAGGGCATAACACCCCCAAAACCAACAATATCAAGAAATTAACATTGATTCAGCTCTAAGCAGCTAATCTTCAGGTCCCATTTCCCATTTTTTCTAATAAAATTCTATTTTTTGTTGTTTCATTTTTGTTGTAGAGACAGTGTCTCACTCTGTCACCCAAGCTGGAGTGCAGTAGTGTGATCATAGCTCACAGAAGCCTCTAACTCCTGGGCTCAAGTGATCCTCCCATCTCAGCCTCCCAAGTAGTTAGAACTACAGGTGCCTGCCACCATGCCTGGCTATATGGAGTCACCTTCTGTTGCTCAAGCTGGTCTCAAACTCCTGACCTCAAGCCATTCTCCCACCTCAGCCTCCCAAAGTGCTGGGATTACAGGATTAAGCCACTGTGTCTGGCCCCCAATAAAATCTTTTACACCAAAAGAATCCAGTTGATATTTTTTTTCTTTTTTATTTTCTTTTTATTTTTTGAGACAGATTGTCATTCTGTTGCACAGGCTGAATTGCAGTGGCACAATCACAGCTCACTGCAGCCTCAACCTCCTGGGCTCAGGTGAACCTCCCACCTAGCCCTCCTGGGTTAATTTTTGCCACCATGCCAGGTTAATTTTTGTTTTCTTGTAGAGATGGTGTTTCACCATGTTGCCAGGCTTGTCTTAAAATTCTGGGCTCAAGCATTCCATTCACCTCAGCCTCCCAATGTGCTGGGATTACAGGCATGATCCACCATGCATGGCCTCTCTTAATTATGTCTCTTTAGTCTATTTCAATCTGCAACAATTCCACAGTCTTTCCTTGATTTCCCTGACTTTAACACCTTAGATCACAAGGCAGTTATGTGGTAAAGTTTCACCTCATTTGGGCTTGTCTGAATAGTCAGGTATCAATGGCAAGTCACAGACTCTTCCCTGTATTGGTAGGAGCTATATGCCAAGGGCACATATAATAAAAGGGTCTATAAAGATGTTCAAAAATAATAATAAAAGCAGTAAAAATTGGCTTTAAAAATCACTATAAAAAAGGCTTCTCCCAGCCAGCAAGTACACTGATCCCATTGTCTTGCCCTCTTTCCCTCTATCCTCTCCTCCTTCACTGGATACACCATTGGAGGTAATAAACCACTTTCATTACAATTCGATTCAGGATGCTGTGCTCTTTATGCTGCGTTCTGTCAGGTAGAAGGTTAAGACTTCTATCTGTCCCATTGCTCTTGAAGTTAAATAATCATTTGACTAAGGTGGTACCTGTCAGACTTCTCCAGTATAAAAGTAAGTATCTTTTTTTTCTTTATAATTAGTGTTTTGTGGCTAGGGATTTTAGACAATGCAAATATGCCTCACTGGACATTTAAACTTTTTATTCATATATTTCTATGAGGATGATCTGTTTTATCGGTGTGAATCCAAGGTTTCTTATTTTGGTAAATGAGTTATAATACATTTGCTATTTATTCGATGCTTTCAAATGGCTTGCCTTTGGCATGTCCTTACCCTTCTTTGAATTCTTCCTTTCTGATACAAGAGAGAGTTCCAGGATCATCTTGTATTTCACCTGCTCTGCCAGCAAAGTAGCCATTTTTGTTGTTGTTGTTAAAAACAAAAACAAAACAAAACAAAACAACCTGGCTTCCTTTATTAGAGATTGGTATTTAGAAGCCATCATGAGGATGCTCACCGTACTCATTTTTTTTTGAGGTGCTCTTGCCCAGAGCCTCTCAGCAAATTTGTGTGTGTGCGTAGATTTTATACGTGTGTGATGTGTTCATTTATGGTGATTTACAGTTGTCCTCTGTTTATATTTGCAACTCCCATTTAGGCTGTGAGAACCCTGGTGCCCATTATCTTTGACATATTTATGCATTTGCTCACTTCCCCTGTATGTGACTAGTCTCGTATCACTGTCAGCGTCCTCTTCCCCCTGCTCAGGTCCTGATGTCCACTCCCAGTTTTACTCCTATACCTGCCCTGACACCACTAGCTGGGTGATTCCTCCCTCCTCACCTCACTCAGATTCTGACCCTGTTTAGGGTCTGCCTCCAGTGTGGATGTCCTCCTTCACCCCACTCGGGCTCTGACACTTGGTACACAGACATATTCCTACATGGATAGCTTTCTCGCTTTCTCACATCTTTCAGATCACACGGGAGCTCTCTTTCCCCCAGAAACCACCCTCCTTCTCCTTGGCTCCAACACCAGACTCCAGGCTTCTGCCTTCAACACCCTCCCCTAACAATGGAACCCTCTTCCCCTTCCTCAGGCTCTGATACCCTCTGCCAGGCCACCCCACCACAGGTATGGCCTTCTCACCTTACTTGGGCTCTGCCACTCACACCAAGTCACCACTGTCCTAACCCCTGCCCTGCATGGATGCCTCTCTCGCCTCTCTCAGGTTCCAGCACCTCAGGCTGGACTGCTGTGGCTCTCCTCTTCCACATGCACATGGATGCCTACCTCACTCAGCTCCAATTCATGGCATTTGGACTAAATTGCTATGAAAGAAAGGGAAGGGGAAGAGGATGAGGAAGAGCTTAGTACTCATGTGTAAGGTGAAATTCTGTGGTTTTTATTTTTTAATGTCTTGAAAGAAACCAAAATATTTCTTCCCCAAATATTGAGGATTGTTGAGTTAAAGGCACTGAAAAGGCAGGAGAATACCCGGCCTCAGCCTCTGTTTGCTTGATGGCAGGACATCCATGCTTCCTTACTGGAGACAGCACTTGTTATCAGCCCAGAGAAGGCACCAGCAGGCACCAGAGGAATCTGAGAACAGATTTCACTATCCTCTCACATTTTCTCACCTTTTAAAGGACTAAAACTGTTCTTTCCTTTGCCTTGTTACTATGCAGAATTTATGGCATTTTGATAAAATATTATTGAAACATCACCCCAAGCCACTGCCTTGAGAAAAATACTTTTGAATTGATGTCTCTCGGCATGATGGGTCCAGCATGTGTTAATACATTTCTGCTTTTCTTTTGTTAATTTGATTTTTGTTTGTAGGAGGGTGTCTCAACTAAAAACCTAAAAAGGGAAATAAAAGAAATTATGTTTTCTCCCCTCCAGTGCAATGCACAACATCAAGCGTAAACCTGATCATGTTAGGACTTAATTTGAAGTCCAGTCTGTAACTCTAATAATTGTACTTGAGTGATGTGTGAGCTTGCTTCTCCTATGTTAACCCATAGTCATTTCCTTCTATACCAACCACAGCACTAGAGAACCTCAAAGCTGGAAGATCTTTTACAGACCACTCAGGTCAGACTTCTTGGTTGGAAAGACCATAGAGCTACTGGTTAAGAACGTGTGCTCTGGAATCAAATGGGCCTCAGGGGATTTAAGCAATCTTCTGTGTCCTTGTTATTAAAATAGATGCAATGTGTATATCAGATGGTTGTTTTGAGATTTAATAATATATTGTTTATAAAATATGTCACATTGTGCCTCACAATGAGTAGATATATAGTCATCAAATTATGACAATCATCAGCATCATCATCATCATCCATCATTATTATTAAAGAGAAGGAAATTGAAACCCAGGAAGTTGAATCATCTTTTCCAAATTTAACATCTGTCTTAAGAGAGAGCAAGAAATTAAACTTTGGCTTCCTGATTCCCTCTCCATTGTTTTCACCATCCACTCAGATCTGCTTCCATCATATTAGTCTTCTAAAATATTTGCAATTGGGTAAAATAAGTTCTTTTATTAACCTCATCTTAAAATTGTAATTTAGGCACCTTTCCTCAGTGACCTAGAAGTGTAGATAGATAGAGGTTTTAATTCTAGCCTGGTCAATTACTGGCTCCCCAGTGCTGGACAATTTACTTCACCACTCTTGTTCTCTGATTTCTCAGCTGTTAAAGGAGGATGCTATGTCATATATTTTAGTGTTCCTGTAAATGATGATCGAGCAAGTGGATTGAAGATGTTTGAGTGAGTTTTCTTATATCAGTATCAGTGCCTAATGAAATGTGTGAGACGTTGTAAGTACAAATAACAGACAAACAGAAATTAACAATGCCTGAAAAGAAAAGGAACATATCCTGACAAAATTACTTAAAGAAAAAAACCAAAAACAACTGTGGAGTAAAAGCAGTCTGGTCAGGCTCAGAGAAGGGAAGGAGTTCTTGATTTCCTAATGTCGTCCTCACACCCTATAGGATTTACTGGTGAAATAACAGCATTCTGAGAATTCTCATTATAACTTCTAAATCTGGAGATAAGCAGATTTGTATGTACACAGATGGAAAGGTCTTATCTTTTTCTTTTACCTCTTTCTGGCTGAAGAGCAATGAAAAGGGCTTCTAGGAAAAAAAAAAAAGTAAAGTGGGGAAATATGGATAGTAAAGCTGACTCTGTTTAACCAATTAATAATGTCATGCCCATGCACTCAGGGGTGAAGCCTCTGAAGCCCATTAGAAAAGTGCTACATCTTCCAATGAAGTATACTGAAGTCTCTTCCAATAATAATCTGGCTACAATTCATTGAAAAAGAAATCTTAGGATAGAGAGAAGCACCCAGGTATCCTAAAAAGGCTGAACTTTCCTTGGCCCCATCATTCTCTCAGGCTACAAAATGTGGGTACTCGCCATAAATCCTGTCTCCAAACTGGAGCTAAGAAGGAGAAAAAAAATTGTTCCCAGATATAATAAAAATAAAATTCAAAAAATATATTTCCCCATTAAGTAAAATGAATTTTCTGTACACAGTTTCTCAAGCATGAACAATATGAAAAGAAATGGAATAGTAACTATGCAAATATATTGCAGCAATAAAAGAGTAAAACATGGCATGACCAAGACAGGGAAAATACTCAATCTAAAAGAAAACATAACTCAAGAAAACCTGGGGAATTCCTCAAAACAGTTTTATGCTATAGAATAAGAGCATGAGTTTTTAAAAATAATATAACAATGTCAATATGAAAAAAATACACAGACAATAGAACCAGATAAATTTGGAGACCATGAACCTAAGGATGCAAACTGTAACCCAGGCAACATCAATAAATAACAAATAAATCAATTGGAATAGGCAAGCAACAAAACAGATACCCACTGAAAGTCACATTACTGCTATAATGTTTTGAGATGATTGTAATTATCTCACATAATGTGAAAAAAGCACAGATAATAAAACAATGAGGAGAAGGTAATGGATTAGAAACATAGATAAAGATGATTCAACATTAAGATCCTTGATGTCACCGAGTTATAGAATCAAACACATGTCTCAGTAAATACCATTAAGAAAAGTTACTATAAATGGAAAGAACATGTTCCAGAAATATTTGAAAGAGTGAATACTCAACACCAAAGCGTTTGCTGATTAAGTGACTAATATTTGAAGAACATCAAGAGGAAGCTTCTTTAAGAAGACTGGACAGAAATAGCAAGCTAAGTAAAAGTGAAAGGATGGGCACAGGGGCTCATGCCTGTAATCCCTGCACTTTGAGAGATCAAGACAGAAGGATCACTTGAGGCTAAGAGTTTGAGACCGAGCCTGGGTACTATAGGGAGACCCTGTCTCTACCAAAAACAAAAAGAAAAGAAAAATTAGCAGTGGTGGGTGCTTGTAGTCCCAGCTACTTGGGAGACGAAGTGAGAGAATCACTTGAGCCCAGGGATTTGAGGCTGCAGTGAACTATGATCACACTGCTGTACTATAGCCTGGGTGATAGAGCAAGACCCCATCACACACACATACATACACAGAGTAAAAAAGAAAACTCAGAATAAGCTGGGATTTTAAACAGTACCATTTTATACCAGAAGTCAATGAAGAAAAGTCTGTAAATATTCCAAATGGAAGGATGACTTTAGTATTATCACCAATATATCTTTCAAATATAATGGCATCTGAGCCGGGCACAGTGGCTCACACATGTAATCCCAGCACTTTGGGAGGTGGAGGTGGGTGGATCGCCTGAGGTTAGGAGTTTGAGACCAGCCTGGCCAACATAGTGAAACCCCATCTCTACTAAAAATATAAAAAATTAGCTGGGCGTGGTGGTGGGCGCCTGTAATCCCAGCTACTAGGGAGGCTGAGGCAGGAGAATCGCTTGAACTCAGGAGGCAGAGGTTGCAGTGAGCTGAGATTACGCCATTGCACTCCAGCCTGGGCAACAAGAGCAAAACTCCGTCTCAAAAAAAAAAAAAAAAAAAAAAAAGACATCCAACAAACACATTTGAACAATTTGAACATTAAAAAAACTAATATAAAAAAGCTAATATGAAAAATAACAGATGATTATTCTTAAAGAGATCACTTAACAATGAAATCCATTCAATTAAATATGAATCAATATGCAGATCTTGAGAATGAAAGAGGAATAATGGGATACACACAGAATACTTTCAAACACAAACTTACACTTAAGAACTCTGCTAGTTTTAGTTATAGAACAGAATATAAATGCTACAACCTCGATAAGATAAACAACAAAATAGAAAAATGAGAAGTGAATGAGGGAATATAATTAGCTAGTATGAGCGCTAGTATCATCTTTCACAGCAAAAAGTCTATAGATACATACATGTACACATATATACATATAATATTATTGTATTTACAAACAAAGGCACTCTGACCTCTTTGTATCATTCATTGTATCTTTTAACCTTAGAGAAATCATTTAAAAAATTTTTTTGTCTCAAATCATTTATTAGAAGTTCAAATTATTTATCATTTTTACTTTGTTTTATTCTGTTTTCTAAAATAAAATTTAATCTTGACGTTAAAAGTAACGTCTATGGTATGATCTCATTTTTATAAAATATTTGTATTCTTCTATGCTATTATCTATCTATACATGAATACAGTATATCTTTTCTGTATTTATATATATAGAAAGATGGCTATAATTTTACCCAATATTAATAATTTTTATTTTTAGAGAAAGTTTTATTGGAGATAGGTTTTTTATTTTCTTTGCATAATATTTCATAGTTTGAATGATTAAAATAAAAATGCGTTATATTAAAGAAACATCAGATTTTTTAAAAAATGAAGAAAAGAGATGGGAAATAAATACGCTGAGATGGTAACTTAATTTTTGATGGTGGGAATATGAATGACTTTTTTGCAGATCTCCATAAAATCTCTTTAAAGTTTCCAACCCCCTACCTCCTACACAAAAAAAGAAAACCTGGTTGAAATAATGCATATTAAGCAACATACATTATGCCAGGCACAAAACAAGCACACAACAAATGCTAATTCATTTGCTTTCCTTTACTTTCACTCAGAGAAAAGTCTGGTTTAAACTTCATGTAGTCCAAATTGGGGGTATAACTTGGCTTAATAATATCTTATACTTGTGAGAATGATTAGTGGTTTTCAAAAAATATATACATACAGCAGTTTCCAAATTAAATCCCTGTGATGCCTTTTGTGAGATGCACATTTCTGTTCCCATTTGATAGATGAGAAACTTAAAGACATTTTTCTAAGTAACTTTAGGTCATTTTGAAAGACACAGAAGTTAGGTCTTGTTGAATTATCATCAGTCAGTTGATATCATTCCTTTTTTTCATTTATATTTGTTATCAACTTTTTAGGAGCTTGAATTTATACCACTTGATAAGTAAAAAGTCTAGTTTCAACTAATTGTTTAATATCTTTTGGTAAATTGTTAGATTTTTCTCATACTGTAATGAAATGATGAAATAACAGCAAGTCTTTATTGTTTTGTCTATACAATCAGAAAGCAAGAACAATGTTGGTTTTCTGTATAGGAACAGCTGAAAACATGTGACAATATGATATCAAAAACAAGAAATCAAAATGCATTTTCAAATACTTGTGCTTTAAGAATGTATTTGGGAAAAAGAATGGTGTTGGTATTTTTGAGCCACTGCTACAATCAGTGAGTAATTGTATTGAAGACACATACTACTGTATGTGTATGTGTATACACATATATATGTGTGTGTGTATATATATACACACACATATGTATATATATACACACATGTATATATATACACACACATGTATGTGTATATATATACACACACATATAAAAACTATATGTGTATACATACTACTATACATTGTAATCACCAATGATTATAATGGTACTCTCTACAAAATGTTTTATTAGAGAGGCTGGGCATGGTGGCTCACACCTGTAATCCCCACACTTTGGGAGGCCAAGACGGGCAGATTGCTTGAGCCCAGAAGTTCAAGACCTTATCTCAAAAAAAAAAAAAAAAAACAAGTTTTATTTGGCAGTAAGGCAAGAACTTTGGAATAGGTAGACACTGAAAAATAAATGTTTCTAAGTAATAATTATATGAAAATTGTACAATATTGTTGAAAATGCATAAAGGGTTCTGCCCTACCTTTCTTCCTCCATTATCTTCTATGGAATTAAAAAGTTAATTCCATGATCTGACTGCAATATTACATCTAACCTACTGGTATCTAACGTTCATTATTATTCCCTAAATACTGAGAACTTTTTATTCGAATGCAGTGACATTCTGGCATTTCTGAATGGCCCATGAACCATTTCATGGAGAAGTAGCTCTTAAACTGTGGAGATCCTTAAAGGCATGTTCAATCTGCTTTAGGCCATTCCTTGGGCCATGGCTGACTGGATGAGAAGTGAATATGTTCTTCTTGGGCTCTGGTGTTTCTCTCTCCCAAGAATTTAGATATAATATTAAGAGATGCTAGTCTCTGCTGGTTGCTTGAGCAGAGATGAGGATGTTCATAACTTTTATAATATCCATCGTCCATAAAACTCATGAGGAGGTAGAGAACACCAGTCTACACAAAGGCAGAAATTGAGATAAGTAGATGATAGAGAGAGAGGGTGGGGGGGAACAGAATGATGGAGAGAATGAGTAATTTAGAGGAGAGAGGCTTTATTCCCTGAATTTTTAGATCTTTGGTTTCAATTTCTAGTGAGATCTGCCTCTAGGTTACATGAACCACTAATTGTATGGTTTCTGTTTCTTACAACTAAAACAGCCTTGAGAAAGATAGCTTTAAATAAACCATAGAAAGAGACCAGTGTTTGGCTGCTTTTCCTCTCCAGAACTACAAAAGTGCAGACAACCTGGGCTTTTAGAGGAAATCACAAGGGAAACTCACATACATTAGAAAGCCTGTATCTAAAAGAACACAGAACTAAAAGTCATATTATTTTTGGTTCTACCTGAATCACATTGTATGAGCCTGGGTAAATTTCAGGTTTCACCCAGGGATAAGACTAGAGAGCTCCAAGATCACACCCAGATATAAAGTACCTGAGATCTTTCTGTGTTAGAATTTTGTTGCTCCCAATATATTTCCCCACCGTGGCTCCTGGAACCTCCAGAATATCTTCTACCGCAGAAGTCTAATTTGCACAAATGTTGCAAAGCCTTTGAGGATTTTCCATTAGTGTGAGTTGGGGCTATGAGCTGGGGCACTGCATATTGGTTAGGCAGCTGATGAAAGGGAGAACCTGGAAGTCAGTGGGTCAGCAGTGAGTCACATTTACACTGAATGGTGGGGCAAGGCCCCCAGGTCATGTGAGGGTCGCTGAGAAAGTATTCCCATGCCCAAAAGGAAAGTGCCATTAAAAAGCAAATAAAAAACATCATTCCAGATCAAGAAAGATACCAGGGAAGTAAGAAAACATTTTATATTTTAATGCCTTTAATGGCAATTTTTTTCTGCCTTTTGAACAAGGGGCTCACATGTTCCTTTTGTACTGGGGTCTGCAAATGATGTAGTTGAACCTGACTAAAACTTAAAGACATTAAATAATTAGCTCAAAATCACATCCCTATTAATAGTCCAGAGCTGGCATTCAAATCCAGGTTTGACTCCAAGTCCAGAGTGACACAAATTATACATCCACTTGAGTTCTGCATACTTTCAGTACTATAAAAGCTCTACCCTCCCTGGCTTTATTTTTCTTCTATTACCAAGCTTCTACCTTAGTTTTTCAAACTCATACTCTTTAACCTGTAGAGCTTAAGCTAGACTAAACTCACTTAATATCTTTCTTGGAATGCAGGTTCTATAAAGAGTTAAGCCTTTTTTTTTTCTTTCCTTTTTCCTTCCCTTTCCTTCCCTTCCCTTCACTTCCCTTCTTTCTTCCTTCTCCCTCCCCTTACCACACGTATTTATCTTTTACCAATTTTCTTTAAACTTCCTGTCAAGTCACAAAATTTTAAAATAGAAAAAATACTTAGAGAAATGTTTACCTAATTTACAGAAAAAAAATAAAACAGAAAAGTAATTCTAGAGAGGTCAAGTGTCCTACTTAAGAACTAGAGGCAGACCGGAGCTTTAAGTCAAAAGATCAAGCTCTGAACTGAGATCCCACTGCCTGTTGATGTTTATCTTTTGAAGGGTTTTATGCAGTGAAGATATGTCAGACTTACTTCATAGGAGAAAGAAAAAAGGAAAAAAGTAAACTTTGTCAGCTATGTTCAAAAATAAAGATGATAAAGCTAGAGTTTTAAAAATAGTTATGAAATTCTTATACTAGTCTAAGTAGAGAGATACATCTTACTAAGGTGGTGGGAGCAAGAATTGAAAGCAAAGGTAAAAGGTGATTTGCCAGTTAACTGAATGTGGGAGCATGATTAAAGGAAAAGGAAACATTAAAGATTGCTCAGATATTTGTTGTTTTTCAAAATAGAGGAATAAAGAAAAGAGGAATGCTTGTATTAGGAAAAAATACTAATTCAGGTATAAAGATACTGATTTTGATGGTGCTGGGGCTCACAGTTTTACCTGTCCAACCAACAACTGGAGACACTGATGTTGCTCAGTATTTAAGGGCTGGGATGGGAGACTGATTTTTGAATTGTTGTCTTTTAAATTGTAATAAAAATAAATTTTCATTGTAATAATCATTTGATAATAATACTTTCAACAAATGTATTTGGAATTATTTCAAAAGTATATGTTCAATAACGCTTGAACATCAAGCATCAGTTAGATTCAAGCCATACTTGAAATCAGCACTCACTTCACAAGATGCAAAGCTAGACTGTGTCTAAGGACTGGACACTCAGTGGCCTCTTACTCTAGGTAACACCAAAGATGTGAAGAAGAGAAGCTGCACAGTCACCTGACAGTGGCCATGCTTGTTATTTCTTACATGCAGTAGACATTTGAGAAGACAATTCTTAATGTGAAAGCTGCTTTTCACATAATGGAATCATTCTGGTTATCTTTATGTTACTCTAGCAGAATGAACTAATGGTATACACATGGTATAAAGTTGAAGATCCAGTATTCAAATATGAAATATGAAGTATTTCAGTCCAGTCAGACATCTATGGTGACCTTGTGATTTGAGATTAAGCATTAAACCTGCCTAAAATGTATATGCCATATTGGAAGTGGCATGCAGATCATAAAGTAAATTATAATAAGAAGAGTTCATTAGCATATATTTCACATTCTGTTGATCTCTTTAGGTTAAAGCCAGACCAAAATAAAATTCTACATCATTGCTTATCTAGATATTGCCAGCACACAGTGATAAATCCAACATAAGTAAACTCGACCAACTTTTATTAGCTCTAACTCTGTGTTGAACCTTCTTTATGCACTGACAATGCAAAAATAAATAAGTGGATTACATTCAAGAAGCTGACACTCAAATAATAATTTGGGAGCATAGTAAGTGCCAGGAATCAAGTTAAACTTGTAATATGAATTATCTTATTTGGTCCTTTCAAGAACTCTGCGAGGCAGATTTTAATATTTCCATTTTAAAGATGAGAAAATGAGGTTTAGAGAATGGAAATAACTTGTTCAATATCAAATAGCTAAAGGGTGGTGAGGCTCAATTTTGAGTCTAGGCAAACTGACTCCAGAACTCATACCGTAAATCACTATGATTTATACTCCAGAAAGGGAAGCCAATAAGAAAACAATTAACGAACTACAATATTACAGGATAAGTACTACACCAAAAGTATAAATATAATTTTAAAGGAGCCCAGAGAAGGAAGCAATTAATTCTACCTAGAGGTTTTGGAAGAATGCCAAAAGAGGCAACATTTGAACTATGTGTAAAAGAATGAAAATAAGAATGGCATTGAAACAGGAGTTACAGTAAGGAAGTTTTAAGAAGAAGAAAAGCTTGAATAAAGATATGAAAATACCTGTCATTCAAAAGAATATAACTAGTCTGGAAGGTAGGAGAGTCATGAAATAAAAAGATGGAATGGCAGATTTAGAACAGTTTTGAAGGACCTTAAATGATATGACAGAGGTTTGAATTTGACCTGTAAACAGTTAGAAAACATGGAAGTGTTTTCAGTTTTAAGCAAGATTATGATATGTTTAGATCCATGACTCACGGGAGGAAGGATAGGGAAAGAGAAACCACAGATCAAGGAGATTATTTATCAAACGTTTGAAACCACTGAGATAATTGGGCATTGTCAGTAGGAATAAAGAGGACAAGAATGATGTGAGAGCTTTTTTGGAGTATGTAGGCACAATACCAACAAAATATTATAAATGATTTGATGTGAGGAAAGAGGCAAAGACAGCATTAGAGATTACTCTGAGTTAGCTATTAGGGATGAATGGAAGAATGCATGTATGTTGAAGTCCTTAGCTGTTAAAGGAAGAGGAGAAGAGAAAGATGAGGAGCAGTGAGAATGAAAGAAGATGAGAGAGGAGATATAAATTTAATTTATTTTTTATTCATTTACTGAACAATCATTTATTTGTGGGATTACTATGTGCGAGAACCATCTTAGAGCCTGAAAATACAGCAATGAACAAAACAGATAACTTTGAGTCTGTGACAGCGTTTGTATTCTAATTGAGGGAGGCATAAGATAAATGAACAAACAAACAGAAGTTATATGAGATTGTTGTGAGTGCTATGGAGAGAAATAAAGGGTAAGGGAGCTAGAAATGCTGAAGTCAGGTGTTATTTTATAAAAGGCAGTGAAGGAAGGCATCACTGGTCTGGTGACATCTGAACAGAGATCAAAAGAAAAGTGGATAATAAAACATGCACTGAGAAAAATTTCTAGGCAGAGGAACAGCAAGCGTCAAACCCCTGAGACTGAAAGCATTGATATAATTTAAGGGAAAATAATGGTGGCTGGGACCAAAGTATTTGTGGTATAGATGTATAATAATTGGATTCTAGATCTTTTTTTGTATATTAAAGCAATGAGATTTGTAATATGTTGGAGAAAAATTTGGAAATCATGAATGAGTATCAGGTATTCAGCCTAAGGAAATGGAGGGATAGGTTTTCCATTTTCTGGGGAGAGAAAACACTCAAGTAGAACAGCTGGCTTGTGCTGGGGGTTGGGAGGAGGACAAAGACTTTGGTTTTATAAATGTTGAGTTTGAGGTTTCTGTTAGACTTTCTACTGAAATATCTAAGGTGGCATCCAATAGATGAATCTGGAGTTCTGGAGATAATTATGAACTGAAGGTATATGCATTTGAAGATCATCGGATTGAGTGTATACAAAGCAAAACAAACAAACAAAGACCCCAAACCCATCCTGAAGACACAGCAACAACTAAAGATCACACTGGTGAGGAGGAACCAGTAAAGGGACTGAGGAACAATAGCCAATGTTGTAGGAGTGTCCTATGAGAGTGATGGACTAGAATCTAAAATTAAAGAAGCTGAATGGTCAGCTTTGACAAATAGGGAAGCTAGGCAAATAAGATGAGTAAAAAACATTCCACTGCATTTAGCAATGTGGAAGAGGTTACTAAGGACCTAGCAAGAGTTGCTGAGTGGAGTGTACATCCTGAATGGAGTGAGGATATGGAGTATGTAAAGAGAGGAATTGAAGACAGTGAATTTGAAAAAGAAAAAATTCTAAGGAGTTTCTCATAAAAGGGTCTAGAGAAATAGGTTTGTACTACAGAAAGACATGGGGTCAATGGTGCATTTGGTTGAGATGGGATACTACATTATATTGACATGATTCTGGGCATGATGCAGTTGCATAAGAACATGATGATACAGGAGAGGGAGAAGACAATACCTTGAGTGACACCCTGGTGGTGACAGGGAGGCACTGAGTTCACAGTGCAGTGGTTGGCCTTAGAAAGAAAGCTTCCATCCACAGTAACAGGAGGGAAGGCAGAGTAAGTGGAGACAGATGGAAAATACACTGATGCATGTGGGGTGGAAAGCAAGTTAAAATTATCTTCTGTTTTTTTCTCTTATTTCCTTGGGAAGTAGGAAGATCATCAGCTGAGACAGATGATAGGAGGGGAAGTATGGGAGGTTTAAGAGGGATGTATGTGTGAAATGATCTTCAGGAGAATGAGAAAGTATTTGGATTAGAGATATGTGATAGGACATATCAGGAAAACTTGCGAAAATTTCAATATGGACATGGAAAGATTGCAGAGTACCCTGCAATTAGGTACTCTTGCAGATTGCAGATTATAAGATTAACCCTGCCTTTCAATGACTCTTAACTACTTTGCAACAATGTAAAGAGGAGAAAACTATTAAGAATGCAAATGACTTTTGGTCATTGAAATGCAAATAAACTGTGTCCAATGAAATGCAGGTGATTTTTTTCCTATTTTTCCCTAATGAATAAGCCAAACTTTTTGCTTGTTTGCTTTTGTAACAGCTTTCTTAAAATATAATTCACATACCATCCAATTTACCCATGGTAAGCCTGTTCTGCATCTATTTATACATTTATTTTAGCATTCCTTATCACCTACACATGTGTGGTACTTTGGATTCTTCTTTGAACAAGTTGCAACATTTTACTGGTCCCTTCATTGATCAGTGAGTTAAAGAAAATCTTTCATGTGTTCATTTACATTTCTTTGAAATTGATGATTTTGCCTTTTTAAAAACTATCATAAAGCATGTTAAATTTGGATTTTGTGAGGGACTTGTAGATGTAGATAGGTAGCTACAAGCAGGAATCTGGTTGGGGAAAGAGACTGAGTTTGATGGCATTGCTTTGTAAAAGGCAGCAACAGCATGGAACTGAATAAAAAGAAAGCTAAGGATGAAAACCAAGGACTGTCAACATCTAGGGAATTGACAAAAGAAAGAAAACAGCCCAATGTTCTGAGGAAGATCTGCATGAGAAGTTGAGACTATTTTGCCAGAACACCATTGTACTATTTTTCTATTGTTGCCGTAACAAATTACCTCAAACTCAATGGTGTAAAACAACACAATTTTACTATCTTATAGTTCTGTAGGTTTGAATTCCAAAATGGGTCTCAGTGAGCTCAAATCAAGATGTCATCAGGGCTGCATTTCCTAGAGGCTCTGGAGTGAAATCTGTTTCCTTGCCTTATACGACTTCTAGAGACTGCCCACGTTCCTCGGATTGTGGACACCTTTCTCTATCTTTAAAATCAGGAACAGCATGTTGAGTCCTTCTCACATTAAATTACTCTACTATTCCTCCATAGTTACATTTTCCTCTGGCCCTTTTTCTACCTCCCTCTTCTACTTCAAAGGCCTCCCCAGCTAATCCAAAATAATCTCTTTATTAGCAACCTCAATTCCATTTTTAACCGTAATTTCCCTTTGTCTTGTAATCTAACAGATTCACATGTTCCAGGGATTAGAATATTGACATCTTGGGGGCCATTATTCTGCCTACCCCATCCATCATATGGGAGGCCAAAACAGGAGAGTTTTTAACAAGGAGGATGTAATTAAGAGTTATATTAGTTACACATGTTAAGAGTTATATATGTTAGAGAGTAACCGTGAAAAACAAGAGCAACAGCAATAAGGCACTAATGTTGATCATCAGAAAGTCCTTGTTTCTTCTTTGGGAGAAATTTCACTCTCAAATCAAGATGAATTGAGACATAAAGGCCAAGCTTGAGATAAACTGGGAACTGAAATAAAACTATGGAATGGTGTACAGGTTGCTCTATAAAGAAGTCAGACAGCAAAGAGAAGGGAGAGGTGAGCAGAAACAACAGCAGGAGGTAGAGAAATTGTTTGTATGTATGTATTTCAGTTTGGATTATTTATCTTTTTAAGATGAAAGAGACAAGCCTATTTGTACATTGACGCTGAGGGACCAACTAAGCAGGAAACTCAGATTCTTTCTTTTGAACTTCTGGGTATTTGACCCTATTACTTTCCCAATTTTAGAACACTTCAACATTAACCTTTGAAAAATAACAGCCTACTGTCAAGTACACAAAACAACTAAAAGCGTTTTTTAAAAATGTCTCAGAGTAAAGATGCTAGAAATGCTGTAAAACCTATTATTATCATTGAGATATTGCAGTGTGGCCCATTGGTTCCTCTTTGAGATAAGAGTGTGTCTCTCTGAAATGTCATTGGCTCTCTCTATATATACTAATAACATAAACATTTGGAAAAAGTAAATACAGTCATGAGTGGCTTAACCATGGAAATGCATTCTGCGAAATGTGTCATTAGGCAATTTTGTCATTGTGGGAATATCACAGAGTGCACTTACACAAACCTAGACAGTATAGCCTGCTACACACCTAGGCTGTATGGTACACAGCCTATTGCTTCTAGGCTACAAACCTGCACAGCCAGCATGTTACTGTACTGAGTACTGCAGACAACTGTAACACAATGGGGAGTATTTGTGTATCGAAACATATCTATACATAGAAAAGGTATTATAATCCTAAGTTACCACCATCTCATAGGGGGGAGTCGGTCATTGACCAAAATGTTATTATGCAGTGCATGACTGCAAATAACTGATGAGAATACTCTAAAAAAAATCTGGAATGGCAAACATACATACGCACCCCAAGCGTGCATTATTTGATGATAACAGACATAATTTTGCTACCGTGGTTTCACTGCTAAGCATGCCAGTCCATCAACCACGCTTCATGTTTATTGTCAACATAAATATCTTCATGAAATCAACGCATTTGGGCTAAACGTCTCCCAAGTGCTCTTCTTCGGAAAGCTAAGACCGTACCTCATTTTCATGTGTATCATCCATGGCTTTCTACCTTCTTCAGTTGAATTCTATCCCGCATTCCTGTCACGTACTTCTCCTGCCCCATGTGCCATGCAAAAATGCCACCAAATTCGTCAGAAAAGATTTGCCCTTTGTGAAACTAGCCTGATTAAGTTTTATCAGCTCATATCTCTCTGGATGTTTGGTAACCTCATTTCTTATTACTGTCTCAGGGATCTTGCCTACAGCCAAGGGCAAATCTGCTCATTTATAATTTCCTGGTTCTTTGTGAGCTCTTTTCTCACAGATGGGGGCAGGTATTTTTGTTTTTGTTTTGCCTGTGTCTGTAACTGTGAGACATTTTTGCTACTGTTGTTCTCACTTTGCTTTAAAACTAACTTATTTAGAAATAAATGTATATTTTCTTAGTGGAACACAATGAAAGCATCTCATAAATTAAAATTATTGTCTGATAAAACCTCTTACATATTTCCTGTACTTGGTAAAGTCAACTTTCTTATCAAGAAATGCTCCTTATCATGTTGAGAGTGGATGATCACTTATTCTTCCTATTACTCTCTTGCTACATCAGTTTAAACTTCATAAACACCATAATTATACTAGACTGAATTCAAATATGTAATAAGAAAATGAAATAGCAGCCCGTGCTTCATTTTGCTAAATTATCTTCCTCTCAGTAAAAAGATAAAATGACAGGGATAGTTTATGGAGATGACAAACATGAGGAAGTTCATATTTTTCAGACTCATACTCAATATTTTTGTTTTCTTTTATGAGCAGGAAAACCGGTTCATTCCCTGTGTGAGAAAAGCCCTTGACATTTACTGTTTATTCCTTCAAGGTTCAGCTGGTTCTGAATTTGGGTTCCTGTCTTTCTTACTTCAATGTTTGAAGACAAATAGTTTCCCTGAGTTGTTACATTGACTTTGTAAAAATTTTATTTTATTTTATTTGTATTTATTTATTTATTTATTTATTTATTTATTTATTTATTTATTTTTTGAGACGGAGTCTGGCTCTGTCGCCCAGGCTGGAGGGCGGTGGCGCCATCTTGGCTCACTGCAAGCTCCGCCCCCCGGGGTTCCCGCCATTCTCCCGCCTCAGCCTCCCGAGTAGCTGGGACTACAGGCGCCCGCCACCACGCCCGGCTGATTTCTTGTATTTTTAGTAGAGACGCGGTTTCACCGTGTTAGCCAGGATGGTCTTGATATCCTGAGCTCGTGATCCGCCCGCCTCGGCCTTCCGAAGTGCTGGGATTACAGGCGTGAGCCACCGCGCCCGGCCCAAACATGTTACAGCTGAGTATGCATGAAGCTTTTCCTTCTCCTCATTCCTAGTCATGCATTCTTTCTTTGTGTTCTTTATCAACATGTTTCTATGTTTTTCACCATAGGGAAACAGACAAGAGAAATAAGTGACACTCCCCAGCGACATGAACTGGCAAGAAAATGCAGGAAAAGTTTCATTTACTCCACTAGCATTTTTTAAAGATTAAGGTTATTATTTTATGCCGTTATAAATGTAATGGATGCTTATTATGGAATATTTGCAAGACTCAGAAAAATAGAGAAAAAATACCCAATTATTACATTACAAAATAATTCTGTTAAGATATTTGCACCTGTAATTCCAGGATTTTTTTTTCTATACTATCCCATCAATTTTTAATCCCTGCTGTTATTCGGTTAACAATATAACATAGGAATTTCTATGCTATTAATTTGTCCTTGTGAATTTTTATTTTTAATGGAATAATATGATTCAGAAGGTCCCTAACAATCCATCACAAGACTGATAAGTCTAAATGAAGTGAAAATGTTTGGGTAGCTCCATATTTTTGTTTTCTATTATAAATAATGCAATAATAAAAGTTTTTCCTAAATTTAGAATTACTTTCTTAGCAAACTTTTCTAGAAGTGGAACTACTGGATATAAGGGAATTGATGTTGGGGTTGTTCTAATAGTTACAGCTAATTTTATCTAATCGAATCTTGTGAGGTTCAGGGAGTGTTTTTCAGTTCCAATGATAGTTAAGCTGGGATATGAAAAATGAGAGTGATGATATTTTTGACAACTCTCTGTTATATGTAGTAACTTGGCATTTATTATCTGATTCAAATCTCAACAAAACTCCATGAGAAAAAAAAGCTAATTTTCCCGTTTCATGGAGGGTAGAATTTAAAACCATTCAGTCAAACATTGGAAGCCATGATGCTAACCCAATCATAGGGAAAAAAAGAGCAAATGGATTCTTTTAGAAAGAGAATAGGGGCTGAGCATGGCGGCTTACTCCTGTAATCCCAGCACTTTGGGAGGCCAAGGTGAGTGGTTCACTTGAACTCAGGAGTTTGAGACCAGCCTGGGCAGCATAGTGAAACCCTGTCTCTACAAAAAATACACACACACACACACACACACACACACACACACACACACACACACAAAATGTTAGCTGGGCACAGTGGTGCCTGTAGTCCCAGCTACTCTACTCAGGAGGCTGAGGTGGGAGGATGGCTTGAGCCCAGGAGGCAGAGGTTGCAGTGAGCCTAGATTGTGTCACAGTACTCCAGCCTGGGCGATAAAATCAGACCTTGGGAAAAAAAAAAAAAGAAAAAAAGAACGAAAGAAACAAAGGGAAAGAAAGAAGAAAGAGTATAGGGTAAGTAAATGCATATGCCCTGAGAGAAATAAAGGAGTATTTAGAGAAGTCAAGTTATTCTTCTTAAGGAAAAAGTTGACAAGAAATGGGGCTAGAGAGATAACCAAAGTGACATGAAGTTATTTTGAGCCTCCTTAAAGAATGAGGAACTAATCCTGAGGGCTTTGGGAGACATAAATTTTACTTAAGGCTGTGATCACATTTACAATTTGGAAAACATGTCCAAATTCTGTATACACATATGCATGTCATGCTTGCATTTATGGAGCTTAAAAAAGAGAGCCCAGTTATGAGCTATGAGCTAGTGTCCAGATGAGAAGAAACTAGACTCAGGCCAAATCTAGTCTTTTCTTTATTTGCCTGCCAGACCCCAAAAGGTCCAAATGCCTCTGGCTTCCTTTGATGCCATGGCATTGGCTGTTCTTACTGTAGCTTTAGAGGTACCACAGATGGCCTCCATCCACCAAGATTCAACTACACAGTGAGACTAAGCCCACGCAGTGCTCAGTAGATGCAGCTCTCCAAAGAGCTGAATTAAAAATACATGCTGAGCCAGGCACGGTGGCTTACGCCTGTAGTCCTGGCAGTTTGGGAAGCTGAGGAGGGCAGATATCTTGAGGCAAGGAGTTCGAGACCAGTCTGGTCAACATGGTGAAACCCCATCTCTACTAACGGTACAAAAATTAGCCAGGCGTGGTGGCACACACTTGTAATCCCACCTACTCATGAGACTGAAGCAGGAGAGTCACTTAAACCCAGGAGGTGAACATTGCAGTGACAGCCTCAGCAACAGAGCGAGACTTCATCTTAAAAAATATATATATATGTCTAAAAAAAAGACATATATATATGTCTAAAAACAAAGTTTTCTACCGCTTTATCTATGAAAATGTAGGCCTTTATCTTAATTTTCCATACAGATTTCAAAGCTAAGCAGAGTGAAAAACTTAATTTTAGTAAACATTGCTATTGCATTTGTCTATTGTTTATTTTATTTGTTTCTTTTGGTGGTAGAATGGAAGAAATTGACTGTTTAAGAAAGTTTTTGCAAACGCCAAAATGATTCACAAGTGGCAAGTACTTATATTGACAAGAACACAAGTGATAATAGAAAATATAATGGAGAGTTTCCTTTTGAGCCATGAGTGAGCTCTTAATCACTCACTTAGCAGAGAGTGCTTCTTATCTCCTCCCGTCTGTGTTCCAATTCCTCTACCTCAAATTGCCAAAAAATGGAACCAAAACAAATAGGCAGCAGAGAGAACAAAGTTTTTAATTGCAATATATTTCATGGCATTTTTTTTTACATTTCAAATAGCCATTTAAAAATACTAAATATGAATTAGTTTCCTAGTGCTGCTGCAACCAATTTTGGCAAACTAGGTGGCTTAAAACAACAAATTTGGCTGGGTGTGGTGGCTCACACCTGTAATTCCAGCACTTTGGGGGGCCAAGGTGGGGGGACTGCTTGAGCCTAGGAGTTTGAGACCAGCTTTGGCAACATGGTGAGACCCTGTCTCTATAAAAATTACAAAAATTAGCTGGGCATGGTGGCATACACCTGTAGTCCCAGCTACTAGGGAGGCTGAGGTGAGAGAATCACCTGGACCTGAGGTGGCTGAGGCAGCAGAGAGCTGTGATGGTGTCACTGCTCTCCAGACTGAGTGACAGAGGGAGACCTTGTCTCAGGAAAAAAAAAAAAAAAAAAGCATATATTGTCTCTCATGGTTCAGGAGTCTAGAAGTCTACAGCCTGAAACCGAGGTGTCAGCAGGGTTGGTTCCTTCTGGAGGCTCTGAAGGAAAAACCATCCCATGACGTTCTGGTTTCTTTTGGTGGTTGCCAGCAATCCTTGGCATTGTTTGACTTGTAGATGCATGATTTCAATCTCTGTCTCCATCTTCACGTCACCATCTTCTCTGAATCTGTGTGTCCTATTCTTTTCTCATAGAGACATCAGCCACTGAATTTAAGGCCCAGTCAAAATCCAGGTTTTAACAAATTACAAGATTTTTAACAAATTACATATGCGAAGACTCTGTTTCTAAATAAGATCGCACTCTTAGTTTCTGAGTGGGTGCGGATGCTTTGGAGGACACTCTTCAACCTACTATGTTGTAGCTCAGCATTTTTTCTTTTCTTTCTTTCTTTTTTTTTTTTGTTTGAGACAGTTTCGTTCTTGTTGCCCAGGCTGGAGTGCAATGTTGCAACCTTGGCTCACTGCAAACTCCATCTCCCGGGCTCAAGCAATTCTCCTGCCTCAGCCTCCTGAATAGCAGGGATTACAAGCATGCACCCCCATGACTGGCTAATTTTGTATTTTTAGTAGAGATCGGGTTTCACCATGTTGGTCAGGTTGGTCTCGAATCCCTAACCTCAGGTGATCCACCTGCCTTGGCCACCCAAAGCCCTGAGATTACAGGCATGAGCCACTGTGCCTGGCCAGCATTTTTTCAAAATGCAATTTGTGTGGTAACACATGTTGTGTGGGGTATTTTTGAAAAATTAGGTTAAAGGATTCAAAGCTATTCTTTTTATTCCTTTTATTAGAGCTTTTCCTGATTTCTCAGGCCTTTTAACACCAAAATAATGATTATGATTCTTCACAGGGAAATGTAATACTCAGTGGTTTCCAAACTTACTTGAATGAAGAATATTTTTTTTGGTAGCATACCAAGGAATAAGTTTTTTTTGTTTGTTTTTTATTAATAGGCAGTTCTTTGAGAGATGATGGGGAAATACTGGGAAAGACAAGTCTCAAGTGCTTCATAGAATGAAGTTCACTTCATTTTCTGCCCTCCAGCATCTCTTAGAATGCTCGCCTGAACTCTAGTACAACTAGACACATCTCACAAAGTCCAGTGGAAAGAGCTAAGCTTGTCTGTCTTTGCTTTTTACCTGATTTCCTGTGGATACTGTCAAAGTAATTTTTTTAATGTGAAGTATTGGAAACGTTCATTGTTTCTTTGCATGAGTTAGGGGGGATAGGATGCTTTTCTAGAATAATAGTAACTACCAGATAATTAGCACACGTAATAGAGCAGACTTTGAGATAGTTTATAAAATCTTATTTAATGAAATAACATAAAATATTAATGTAATTTAATCCTTTTGATGTCCCTGTAGGCTTTAATATTACTTCCATTTAACAGATAAGAAGGTTCAGAGAGCGGTTACTTGCCCAAGTTCACACAGCTGGTAAACTCAGGAGCCCTCACCCCTTATCACTACGTGGGCTTCCTCTCCACATAAGTGCACATTTTGCTATTTTATCACCCTGTATGTGGTGTGTATGTGTGTGACTTACATCACTAAGTGTTGTAGATGCTGCTTTCCTATTTACTTATTTACTTTTAATTTATGAGCTCCTTAGGTTTCACTAAATGTGTGTAATTGACTTGGAGATAAAAATGCCCACTTACTGCCTCTCACAACAATTTGGCTTTAACAATTTAAACAATGGCACCCCTGGCAAATCACAAAGGCCGATTAGCAAGTTTTCAGGGCTGTGCTTACAATTGCTGCCACCTCTATCCCTATTATTACATCCAGAGAATGGATGAGGTTAGAGACAAAATGGTCTAATTAACCAGGAGCTGCTTCAGTATCCTCAATGACCAGCCAAAGATTAATCAGAAACCAGGACCTTGCTTTGCAGATGGGTGAGAGATGATGCTGAGAGGTATGTCAATGAACAATGGCACTGCAATGACTAATAGCCAATTATGTCTATAACCTGAAACAACTGGTTGAGAAATTCTCTCAGGCAAACGTGGGCAATCAAGAGGAGAGCTTGGGAATTATCTCTTGTCTCAGAGATAATGCTTTTGTATCTCAAGAGTTTTAGAGAAGCTGACAGATCCACAAATGGCAAAAGATTAATAAAAAAGTTAATGATCTGAATGCTTTATTTTTTTCAGTGTTCTACAGGTTTCTTCTCCCACAGCTATTGATCACTGATAGACATATGGGAACTCTAACCTGCGCTAGGCTGGGCAGAAAGTTTTATAGGTGGACAGCTTTTACTTGTGGCTATTTTTGTTTACCTCTAAATCTCCAAGACCTGCAATAATGCATGGTATTTAGTGATTGCTTGATACATATTTGGCGAATAAATAATCAGATGATGTAAATGGTAGTTTTTAATATTAAAATTACTAAATTTCCTATAAACCCATCACCAGACACTTTATTGAGTATGAAGCATTTATTTTGTTTTTGCTGTCATTGTTTTTGGAAGGAATATCTTTCGAGGGCCTATGATAAGTCAGGTCTTGGTCCAAGAGCTTTGCATTATAATGTCAGTTAACCCTCATCATAACACTTCATTCATTCAACAACAAATATTTATTGTCTTCCCTCTGCCAGTCACTTTTAGAGACCAAGCATACAGCAGGAGATGAAACAAAAACAAAAACAAAAACAAAAAAATCTCTTCTTCTTATGGATCTGAAAAGAAGGAAGTGTTATCATTATCATCCACTTTTTATCAGAGCAGTTAAGCCATTTGCTGAGGTCAGAAGTATCTTGGCTCCAGAGAAAATGCAGGCCCCAACTGAAGAGCCTTACTCAAAGCACACTGCCTCTATCCCAGCCACTATGCTGAAGGTTTTCTGCACCATATTTCATGTGATATTTCTGCAGAGATTACTACACTAAAGAAGGAAAGAAGGCTCTTACTCTCACGATGAATGCTCAGCCTGAGCAAATGCCAAATGCTGTTAAGCAATGCCCATCTCCAAAACAAATTCTTTCTGATTCAGTCACCAAGGTTAAAGGAGGTATTTCCATAACCACAAGCAAATTAGTCTAGTTTTGCATTAACAATAATGAGATGGGGCAATAAGAACCTAACCTTTCATTGTCTCTTTTTGCTTTATGACAAAGACAGCACTTTTTCATACTGGACAAGAAAGGAATTACTTGCTGCTGAGTTTTGTGCAAGCCTTGTGTTAGCTCATGAAAAAATAAAAATAAAAAAAAAACTTCTCTTTGGCTGCAGAGATATCTGGTACAGGTCTCGTATGGAACACAGAAGGTTTCAGTGATGTGTCCCAAAAATGTAGAAATAAGATTATACTAAAGGTGAGAATAGTAAGATTCAATACATAATGAATGAGGTCAACCACCTGTCAAAATAGCCACAAGAGTTGACTATAAATATATGCCTGAAAATGTTTGGAGACACTCAGTTTCATTCAAAAGGTAAACTAAGAAGGCAGAATCAGGTGGAGCCTAAACAAAGGCTATGAGTTTAATCAGTTACTCTTTACTAAAAAGTCAATTAACTATAAAGATGTCTGTATAGACCCAGAAAAGAAAAGTAAAAGTAAAAAGAACAAGAGTTTGGTAGTGTTTTCACAGCACTCTTTCTAAGGAACAGGGGGAATTTACAAGTCTTCATCAAAACTCTAACAAATATCTCTCAAGATTATTCATATTCCATACTGGCCAACCAACTCCCTGATACATAGGTATTTTTAAATTTAGGTTTTATTACTATTCAGGTATCATGAACCCAAGAAATCAGGAGAAGATTACCATTGAAAAGATGGTTTATTATTCACAGGTCCCAAGAGGAGGGGGCAGGACCCACCATGCAGGGTTTCAGAGGAATCACCAGGCTCAGTTTAGAGGCAGAGAAAGTGGAGAAAAACATAGGCAAGAGCCTGTATAGAGGTTTCCATGGAAAAGAATACAATGTAAGAAGGCTTAGAAATGGCTAGTTGGATCATCTCTTCAGATTCTGGGGTGCAGAGGCTGTCTTTAGTTGTCTGGAACCTGGCCCCGGAATAATTAGGACAAGCTGAACCTGGCGTGGAGTGTAAAGGATCAGTAAAGGAGATGGTTGGGATGTGGGTAGTAGATTGTTTGATTTGCCTATTAAAGGCATATGAAAAGGATGCTGGAAGGGGAGTCTTTTTTTTTAATCTCTAAGAATTGCCTAACTTTGGAAAGGGCAGTCTTTCCAGAGTCAGCAAGTCCCTAGATGTCAAAGCATCAAAAGTACAGAAAATAAAAAGACAGGATTAATATAACATCTCATGCTGCCAGGTAGCAGGAAAAAAGGAATAAGATACATGTTCTCAATGGAGTTGACATCACCCCCAAGGAGGTGAAAATTGGCTCTGGGGTATTGGGAGAAATGAAAGAAAATGTTACTTTCCATGTATAAGGCACAGAAATACATAAACAGATATATACAGATAAACAATACAAATGCAGTATCAAAATTTCATTGGCAGTGGTCTCAAAAGTCTCCTTTGTGAGGAGAGGAGGGTGATAATGAACTAAAGGTTGAGAACAGGGAATCCTAGATAAGAGATGTAAGTATATGGTAAATGAAAAAAGAAAACAGCAGATTACAATAATACATTATTAGCATATTAATATATTAATGTAAGTAAATATATCATTTTTCTGATTTATATGTAAATGTTTTCTAAATTTTCTTTGCAAGTTTTTCTCCATAAAGATCTGATCCACTCTGAGAATGCTAAGAAAACCCAGTCTCCCAAGTCCACAGAGCTAAGAATCAGATTCTGAAGTGAGGAGTCTGAGAACATGATGCCCTGTACAGGTACTTCCATTTCTCTAAGAGATATCCTGTTGTCTCCCTTTAAAAATATCAATAATGTTATAGTTGCATTTTATTTTAAAAGATTTCTCCCTTTAAACATTCTTGGGGCAGCGCTCACCTAGAATGTGTTGATCTTCAATTGACTAAATAGCATTTCTGGATTAATTGTTGCTTTTTCTTCTTTATAATTTCTACTGGATTTGTGAGAAAAAGAGAGGTGATCAGAATTGCAATGTGTCATGTCTACTTTGGTTGCGTGAACTAAAATGGACATGATGCAGAGATTAGCATAGGGCCTGCATAAGGATAACACATGCTTTGGGGAAAAAAAACATAGATAAAAGCCATGAGGCATTTCCTACATACAAGAAAACGTTTCATATCTTGTTTTGGATGGCAGTTTCATGGTATATACAATTCTTAAAACGTATTGATCTGAACACTTAAGATCACTGTATTTTATTTACTATAAATTATGCTTTGACTTTATAAAAGTGAGTGCAGTGGGAAGGCAATGATGATTGAAATCTGATGTTCACAGAGTGGACTGCATCATATACAAATAAGGTTGAACAAATGGAGCACTACCTGTAGTGGACTGTATTTTATAAAACAAATGAAACTACATTGGAACATATTTATAAATTAAACCATAGAGTTCATGAGAAAATGGAGGCCCAGAGAAACAGTTGAATTTACATATTTGGCAATCAGAAGAAAGGTGTAATAACGCTAGAGAAATAATATGCAGGAACATCCATTGATTGTGACCATATGGTAGTTATCACGTAAGCATTTCAAATTTCTTATTTCATTAATGGTTATATCAACCCTATGAAGAAGGCACTACTATTATTCTATTTTTACCTTTTTAAATAATGTGAGTCTAGACAGGTTAAGTGACTTATCAAAGATCATATAACTAACAAATGGTGGAACTGAGCCTTGAAACTCTTATTTTTGATGTCAGTCTATATTCTTCAGTGCCAAGACATAATACTTCCACTTAATGCTGGTTAGCTGAGGTTACTGTATGCATGCTGAGTCATTAAATGGCAAGCTGTGTCACACTGTGCACTCTAAATTTAAATACGTAAAAGTTATTTAAAACAATAGCACAGCAAAACCTGATTGTGTTAACCTGCGCTTAATTTGGTTAATTGCAGGACTTTAATAGCTCAATATGGCTAGCAGGTGGCAATGGTGTTCCATTAAGCCAACACAGCAACTTCAGGCAAATTAATGTACATGTAACATACTAATGTACATATAACATACAAAACTGCAAAAGAGTGAGAAGGAGTGGGCTACGTTTCTTTAGTAATTCTTGTCATCTAGGCCCTAGGATTCTTATGCACTTAGCCTCTTGCACACATGGAATTTTTGAGTTGTTCAAATACGTGGAGTTTAATTGCTGTGTGGGTGAGCTAAGTTGAGGAAGCAATAATGGATGCATTGAAGGTAGACTAATTCTAAGCTGGATAAGGGAGGACAAAAATAAAAGAGAAATATCTTATTTTCATATTCAAGGGCAGTTTTAAGGCTTTCTGTACAATGAGTGTATTTATACATATATGAGCACAACAGGGGTGTGTGTGTGTGTGTGGTTGTCATTGCTATCTTTGTTGTTGGGGTGCACATGTGAGGCCTAGCAGCAGGTGTGCATCTGTGACAATGTATAAATAATTTTGGACTTAGGTTCCATTTATTTACCTCCAGAAGAACAGAACTTCTGAAAGCAGTTCTGGACTCTGTAGACTGAAGATGGAGCTCAATGAGCACAGGGTCCATTATACATTTGCAGCAAATGAGGCACCTTTGCCTACAAATGCTGCAAATAATGTATAGTATGGTCCATGTGGGCTCCAGTTTCCTGCAACCAGAATGCTAGACAGGAAATAGCTTCCTGGCCAGAAGATATTAATTTTAAGTTTTGAAAGATTAGTAGTAGCTTGCTAGAAATACACGGTAAGGGAAGAAATTCTAGGAAGAGGCACTAGCAAGTAAAAAAGATGTAGAGAAATTAAAATCCTAGTGCCTTGGGAAAGATAAGCACTTCAGAAAAGTGAGAATTGGTGGTACCCTACAGAAAAGAATCAATGAAGGCTTTCTGGCCATGTAAGAATTTTGAATATTATCCCATTGTTATCCACTAGATGAGCTTATCCATTAGAAAATTAGGAGACTTCTAACAGGAGATAATGAAGGACTGACCTAAAAGGATCAAAAGGACGAGGCAGATTGAAGAGTTATTTGAGATACAGACTAAATACTAGAGCACGGCACCGCAATAAAGTAGGTAGGTGTCAAAATGAGGCTCTGCTTACCTATTATTGTGATCAGAATGTGAACTGTAACAGTGATTTTTCAAAAAATTATAATTTAGAGTAAAAGAAAGCTGTTATTCTACTCACAACACTTTTGACATTACATGTATGGGGTTTTCTTTTACAGCAAGTAATTCTCCAGTTCTCTGCAAATGCCAATTGGATGTGTCCTACAATTTAATTCAATTCTGACACTAAACTACCTAGAGTAAGTGTAGCCCCCACAGGTTAGGAGTTCAATCCCACAAGAACACCCTCCATTTCAGGTGCCAGTTGCAAGTATTGGGTACCCAGGGTGTCCACACTTCTGCTCAACTTGGCTACAAATTAGGAGTTTCAACAGTTCCCTCTAGGATGAGATAATTTGCTGTAACCTTAGTCACATTTACAGGTTTTTACAAAGATACGAATAAACAGCTGGCTGAAAAGGTACCTAGGGAGAGATCCAGAAGGGTCCTATGTGCAGGAGATTCTGTCCCTGTGGAGTTGGGGTGCACCACCCACCTGGCACATGGATGCATTTGTAACCCAGAAACTTTCCAAACCTCATAGGCTAGGGACTGGTGTTGAGGCTTCATCACATAGACATTATTAATTATTAACCTAATCTCCCCTTCCTGGAGGATGGGAGACGGGACTGAAAGTTCCAAGCTTCTACTAACAGCTTGGGCTTTCCAGTGGCCAGCTCCCATTCTGAAGCTATCCAGGAGCCCACCATGAGTCACATCATTAGAACAAATGACACTCCTATGATCCAGGAAATTCCAAGCTCTGGAATCAGGAGCTCCAGAGTTCTGTGTCAGGAACCAGGGACAAAAAACAAATACTAGGACAAAAGATGCTCATAGCACTCATCACTAAGGAAATTGTAAGAGTTTTAGGAGCTCAGTATTAGAACCAGGGACAGAGACTAAACACATATTTCTTCTTATGTTATCTGCAGTAACTTCCTTTCCTCATGCTGAAAGTACATGTCAATACTTTCAACATGCTCTGAGATGGTTGAAAATAATGAAGTAGAAGTAGCATATATTTTAAAAGAATAATAAAAGGAAGACAAGAAAAGTGGTGAGAAATGACTTTTGGACTTATGTAACATGTACCCACCACCTGGGTAATAAATTGCTTTGGGAAAACTAATCTCAGAGGCTGCCAAGTGAGCCAACAGAAGGGGATCCCTAGATAGTGAGTCACGCGTCAAAAAGAACAGGCTGAAGGTGATATATGGTTGGTCAAGAGCATATTTTATAGGTAGTTCATATTATCCCTCCCTCACCGCTGTTCTCTGAGGAGTATTTCCTGTACCATTCTGCTTTCTCTTACAGCTTTTTTTCTTTCTGTAGAGATGTGATTAAGGATTTTCCCAATTCTTAAACTTTGCTTAAACTCTCCTCTGCAAGGCACCCATTTTATAAACAGTCACTGCATTTGATCACAATGTGTTCATAACCTGTCAAACAACTCAACCATGTATATTTCCTAGAGGCTGTTTAGAATTCTCCAAGCCTAAAACGATGATACAAAAAGCAAGGCGGTTTCAGTAAAAAGAGAACTAGAGTCAGCCTAAT
Organism: Homo sapiens; assembly: GCF_000001405.40. Classification (NCBI taxonomy): domain Eukaryota; kingdom Metazoa; phylum Chordata; class Mammalia; order Primates; family Hominidae; genus Homo; species Homo sapiens. The sequence continues at coordinate 1,190,409 of NC_000003.12, read as the reverse complement.
AGGAGAAGAGACATTGTGACATATAAAGTGCATGTGACTAACGTTATAGACCGAATGGTTATGTGCTCTTAAAATGTATTTGTTGAATTCCTAACCCCCGATGTGACGGTATTTGGAGGTGGGGACTTTAGGAGTAACTAGGTTTAGATGAGGTCATGAGGGTGAATTCCTCATGAATGGGATAGTGCGCTTATAAAAAGAGACATCAGAGACCTTTCTCCCACTCCCCTCTCTTTCTCTCTCCCTTTCTCCTGTGCAAACACACAGGAAAGGCCATGTGAGGATGCAGTGAGAAGGCTGCCGTCTGCAAATCAATGAGAGCCCTTACCAGATTCACTGCGTTGGCACCCTGGTCTCAAACTTCCAGCTGCCAGGACTGTGAGAAGTAAATGTCTGTTCTTTAAGACAGCCAGTCTGTGGTATTTTGTTATGGCAGACTGAGCTGACTAATACAACCAGAGTCTGAGAACCTAAATTCATATCATCATTTTGCTACTAATTTTGTGATATGCAATAGAATGCTTTGCCACTCTGATCCCCAATTTGTTTGCCTGTAAAAAGAGGGGATGGAACACATTCTGGTGGAGGAGAGTCACTTTATAGTAGAGATGGTGGCATTTTTTTCTCTTCCTTGGGTTTGGCAGACATTACTATTCAATCACAGGATTCTTTCCCATTGGGTTCAGATGTGGCCTCAAAGGCTTCTCATTGCAGTTAGTACTAAATGCAAGCATCCACAGATAATGAAATGGAGTCGACATGAAGGAGGCAATGTAATACCAGTCAAGGTATATATAATCTAAAGTTCTGGCTCTAACAGTCCAAAATTATTTCATATATCCCTTTATTAAACAAATACTAAGTCTATTCAGGATGTACAAGTGAATGTGGTAAGCACTTTAAAGGATTCAGGAAGGAATTGGACAAACTTTTAAAAAATATAATTGCGTTATCAACTTCTGCAAATTCCAAAGAGTTAAAGTCCTTGCTAATTCTAAAAGCCTTAATACATGAATGTACAATGTATAATGTTTTGTATAAATGCATTTCTTCATTTAAGACTTCTCCCCTCCTCCTTTCCAGAATGAACTGAAAGACTTCTTACAAGGCACCACCTCTTATAACCCTTTCCCCCAAAAGGAGATTTTTATATTCAAAAACATTGTAGGAGTGGTTTACTCAGCTATTTTGTCTCTTATGGCACCAACAATTATAAACTTGGGTCACATGGCTGTTCTGAAATTGTAAGGCGGATATAATTATAATTTCTGGCCTACTGTATCAATTCTAGCTACACTTTGTAGCTAGATGGCAATCAAATCATGCTGAGCTTGTTTTTTTTGTTTTGTTTTGTTTTGTTTTGTTTTTATCAGCAAATGCCTTTTTCAATCTCTTTTCACATCACCTGTGGACATCTGCATGCCAAAGGTGAAGCTTCTGCCAGGTCTGTGTTACCAATCAAATAAAATAACTCAAGCCTAGGCTAGACGGATAAGCAATCACACATGTGTACAGAAAAAAGCAGCCTAGCCCTAAACACCAGGGAATTGGGTCAATAAAGAAAACTGAATTGGAAGATTTCTAATAGAAAAGCAGTGGTAACAATTTCATATCATATTACTCAGCATAGGCTTGGGAGGAAACCTGCTGTTCTCTAGAAGCCAAGTTCTCTTTTCCTATATTTAAATTGAGATTTTTCACTGTATTTTTGGCTATCATTTATCTTTGTCCTTGGCAATATTCACTTTTGATATTACAGTGTTAATTATTTTTCATTATTTATTGTTGGGTTTGTTGAAAGAGCAGGCATTTTTAAAAACCTCAATTGATAAACTTGCCTTTTTAACCAAATTCCAGTCCATGGAGACCACAGAAACAGCAAGTGTACACAGGCTTGGCTAATTCCGTATATGCAGTATCACTAATTTTTTTTCTAAAGCAATTACAATGTAAACTTTTAAAAAATATAATTGCATTATCAACTTCTGCAAATTCCAAAGAGTTAAAGTCCTTGCTAATTCTAAAAGCCTTAATACATGAATGTACAATGTTTTTGAATATAAAAATCTCCTTTTGGGGGACAGGGTTATAAGAGGTGGTGCCTTGTAAGAATTCTTTCAGTTCATTCTGGAAAGGAGGAGGGGAGAAGTCTTAAATGAAGAAATGCAAGCATTCCCCTCCAGTTCTGGGGATGCAGACTAGCCATTGAGTTCATAAAGACTTCAGTCCTCTCTACCCTTGAGGTGGGGATATGGTTTTTCAATTGCTATTAAGCATTGCTTGACTATTTGCTTGCATCATTGGGTCATTATGAAGGATTTTGCATGTATGTATTTGCAGGGGGTGTGAATAAATGGCATTTAAATAGAAAAAAAAGAGTAAGATTTGGCAGGGGTAGCGGGTGTGCAGAATTTAATAGAGTTGTCCTCCAAGGAAGGTGGTGCAGTGTGGGGCTTTCGAGGTGTGGACCACCATAGGAGGTACAGGAAGTGCACAGGAAAGAACAGACTGCCCAACCAACCATACGGTGCCCAACCAACCATACAGACTTCTTGTTTCACAGAAGGGCAACACACAGGGTCCCTGCCATCCATGTGCCCAGGAGGCACTGGCACAGTAGGGGCAGAGCCAGCTTCTTGGGCATCTGACCTGTGTGGCTTCACAGCACACTGTGTTTAAAAACACCCACTTAATGATTTATGAACAAGAGGTCCTGCGTTTGCATTTTTCCCTTGGCCTCACAAATTATGTAGCAAATTTTGGGTAGGGGCAATGCTGGATCCCTGCTGTGACACTTCAGACCACCCCAGCCTCCCTATGAAAACTGTAACAACCAAAAATGAAACCCAGACACCTGCTGGGCTAGAGGAGGGAAACTACAGAATTTATGCTTGGAGAATAACACCAGGACTCTGGATAGCAGGAAATGAAGCCTTTGTAGCCTGACACCATGGGCCTATAACTGTGTACATAAAGACGCTATGTTTTCTACAAAAGATCAAATAAAAACAGAGCCTATGGAGAATGATTTTTGTACAGCAGGCACAAACTTTAATTATTTCATCCTCATTGGCTTCCATAGCTCAAAGGAACGTAAGGCAGGAGGTGAAGGTGTCAGAAAGAAAAAAAAAAAGTATGTATGGATAGAACTGGTGTGGGTTACAAAAAACATACTTCATTACGCATCAGGCAGTTTTTTTTGAGTTGCTTGCCTCCCAAAGGAAGGTTTTCACTTTAAGGGGAAAATCGACCATTGGAATTTATCAGTGGGAAGTCTATGAATTGTAAAAACAACAACAACAAAGGCTTTTCGCAAGCCATTCTATGTGGATAAAATAGGTAAAAATCCTCGTGTTGGGCCATTTGCTAGGACACACGGAGGTACTACCTGTTTTGCTCTCATTTCTCCTAATTGGCTGCATTTCTCAACTTCTCTTTTCCTCTTTGGTAACATGAAATAGGCCTTTATATAGATGGAAAGACTTCCTTTCTATCTGTATTTGGGCAGAGGGAAGGGAAAGGAATCATACTGTCAAGGGCAGTTTATCTTACCTCTTTTTTTTTTTCTTTTAACCCCTTTATTAAAAAAAGAAAAAAATAAAAAGAATGGGACCAAGCGACTTCAGAAAGGCTACTGAGTGTGGCAGCCACTTAACCATTGAGAAAGGGGCTCCATCCACACTGTAAAAGGTCTCCAGCCAGCTAGACCAAGCAGCGCTCCTCCCCACAGCCACTTTCAGGTTGTCTTTCCGATTCAGAAAGCTAAATTAGAAGTTAAGATGAGTCAATTTTGCTTTTCACTTTGCAAATAAAAGATGAAAGAGCCCTAACTCCCAGGAAATAATTCACGAAAGAAAAACACCTAAGTGGGATGCAGAGTAGTGAAATAACTTGCATTTGGATTTGACTTTGCCAGTCAATCTGTAAGGCCCAATATTTAAGTTATTCTAAATTAAAGATTTTTTTTTTTCCTGAAAGTTTCTCAAAATGGCCAAAGGGAAACAGGTCATTTTCTCTCATAAGTAATTATGAGAGAGTAGTTGCAGTGTGTGAAGCCATCTGTGAAAATCGGGTTTGAGCTGACGATAACGTCTGAAGATATGAAAGATTTCCATATTTAAACATGTACCTATGAATCTCTTTTCCAATGATAAGTAACCCTTGGTAACATCAGCCATCTCTGTGACTCAATTCTAACAACCTTCTGAATACTTCTTAAAATGACTTTCATAAATACATAGAAGTTACTTTTTTTCTCTTCTCTGAGAATTTAATTTCTTGTGCTGTCTTTCGTTTTCTTCCATATGCTACTTATATGTGAATATATTATATTCTATATTAAACAATAAACACTTCCATCACAAAAATCACATTTATATTCCCTTTTGTATTCTTCATACTGTTTGGTGAATTGTTTTGGATGTAGTAGGTGAATTAATTGATATTTGTTAAATGACTGAAAGTAACAAAGGCCTAAAATGTATTAAGAATACATCTGTCTCTAGGAACTAAATAATTTACAATGATCTTTTAAATTACATAGTGTTTAATGTGATCAACGCACTGTGTTTTTCATTTATATAATACTCACAAGTTGTTATTACTAATAACTCAATGTTACAAAGGGGAAAAGTGAGGTACAGGGATTAAATAATTTATTCAAGCTTACAGAGGGGCACAGCAAGGATTTGAACCAATGCAGTCTTCAGTCCGTACTCTCAATTACTATGCTACATGTAGCTTTTCTAACACATAATATTTATTGTGTCATTAATTGTTGTAAGTACATTACATGCACTATCTCATTTATATCCTGAAATCTATTAACAGATGCTGACTACATGCCAAGGTCACATAGATTAGCACATTCAGTGGCCTTTATACCAAACACAGACAAAGTGTTTCATACTTCCAAGGATTTGTGCTAATGCAGTGGTTATCAAACTGTGGAAATGGAACCCCTGGAGGTTCTTAATACCTTTTTAGAGTATCTGTATAATCAAAGCTCTTCTTGGTATCAAAGTGAATATTTTGCACTATTTTTTCTCTTCACATATTTTAGAAACATCTTTTTTAAATAAACAATTTCACTGTGGAAGAAATAAGAATCTCTAAGTGTAAAAACCACTGCCAATAAATACAAAATTTTTCAAAAATTATGAAACGCCTTAATCCAACACTTTTAAGGAGAAGGAATTTTAAGTTTCCTGAACCAAATAGGACATATTCTATTACCTTCTGAACCATCTGAAGTTTCTTATTAGCTAAAAATTTTATGAGCAATAATTATTTCACAAATTTTAGAAATAATTCTTTACTAACTGCTCTTAACAGAATGAGAAGACTTATGAGTATATATATCTTATTTTTTACTGTTTCTTGTAGTTAGAACTGTTTATTCCTCTAATGCCTACCAAGTGTACATTAACGTAATGCTAGAATGAGTACAGCTTGTTCCTAATGCTGTAAACACAGCCAAAATATTTTTATATATTTGAATTAATTTTATATCCTCATATGATTCCCTAATTTGGACTTCTAGTAGAAAATACCAGTAGGGAAAATGTTCTAGTAAATAATGCATTATTTCATAAGATTTGCCCATTCAAATATGTACTTAATGCCTGGGCTACGTAAGTTTCAGTCAGACTATATTTAGCTATCCAGATCATTTCCTAGGACAATCAAATAGTTATTATTAATTTTCAGATGTCCATATTGAGAGTCATTATTGTATTTCAGTGTAATCAATATGTCATGGTGGTGCACTAGAACTAGTAACAAATTTGGGCTTCAGTTTGTTTAGTATTTTTATATAAATTTTTGTGTCCTTCAAATACAGCCTATTATGAAAACAAATACCTGAACTTCATAGACAAATATCCACAATTTAGTTAAAGAGAGGCATTTTTATGATACATACTAATCTCAAAGAACAGTCTTCTCAATGAAACATCATTAGAATGCTTGGTAACAGGCAAGACAAATAATAATGAAACTGCCCATCCTATCATATGAGCGTTACCTTCACTGTAATTTCTGGGTTAGAACTACATTCAATGACATATACTACTTCTTCTATTACACTTTTATAGTATTCATTTGGAAAAATTACCAAACTACCAAATGTAAAACAAAAAAAGTGTGCTGGGAAGATCCTAGGATGACCCCCAGTGATCCAGCCTCGTGGCATTCATATCCCTGTTACATCCCTTGTTTTTGAGTGTAGGTGGAACCTGTGCCTTATTTCTAACCAATAAAACACAGAAAATGGGACAGATATCACTTCCATGACCAGGTACATAAGATTATACCTTCCATCTTGTGAGAGAGTATCTCTACTACCTACTCAAATTGCACACTGTAATGAAGCAAGCATCTGTGTAGGAAAGGCCCTAATTGCAAGGAACTGAAAATGGCCTTCAGCCGCTAGCCAGCTAGGAATGGAGGCCCTCAATCCAACAATCAGTAACTGAGTTCTACCAACAACCAAATGAGTTTGAAAGCAGGCCCTTCCCTAGTCGAGTCATCGCATGACAACCCAGTCATGAGTGACCCCTTGGTTGTAGCTTTCGGATGAGAACTTGAAGCAAAAACTCAGATGAGCTGTGCCCAGACTACTGACTCACAGAAAAGGTGACATAATAAATGTGTTTTTTTTTGAAGCCACTATGATTGTGGTAATATTATTATACAGCAACAGAAAATCAATGCAATGATTCAGACTAGAGTTCTCTTGGAAGGTTGCCAGAAATGGAATAAGGGATTTGAATCCAAAAAGTACTCTTTTTATAAGATGTAAAAGCCATTTAAATAAAAATGTAGGAATGTGTCCAGAATGTGCAGAAAATAAGTAATGCCAAGGATTACAAAAATATGAAATCTAGTTGTGTATTGTGCAATCAATTGAATACTGGACTTTGTGAAATACTTTGGTACTTAACTAATACTGAAAAAAAAAAATATGGTCATGGCCAAGAGCCTGATTACCTGGCCTCTAATCAATCCATTTCTTTTTAAATTTAAAATTTTAGTTATAAATTTTTCATACAATGAAAAATACTAATTGATTAATAATAGATATTAAGCCATAGTAAGTCTTTGAGTGCCATTGTGTTTTCATAGAAGAGTTTGAACCATGATAGCTTCGGATTCACAGGTGCCTTTTATTTTACTATGTTTATATTTTTCTGACAATAATTTTGATGTTAGAATGAATACTATTTCTTTGAAAACTGTAAATTTCAATAGGAATTCAGTGGCATTATGCGTTGCCTTTAAAATCTTTTATCTTCGTATACCGGACAGTTCATCTTGGCATTTTAAAAAGATCACAACATTAGCACACACATGAAGATAAGAAGAAAAGAGGCCATGCCTGCGGAATTATGCCAGTGCTTTTCAGTAAGTTAACAATACAGTTAAATTTTTTTAAACAATAATCACTTGAGACAATACATTTTATGCATTCAATCTGGACATTTATAGAGCTGGTCTTTAGATGAATCTGTCGAAAAGGTATAGAATAGACCTCTCTAGGATGACTTTTTTCAAAAAAGAAATTAAATTGTTCATGCAACACCATTATGCATGCAAGAAAAAATATTCATAGATGCATGATAAACATTTCAATTGTATTACACTTTTATAGCTGGAACTGAAATATAATTTTATATCACAAGCATTCAGGCATGTTTCATCAATTTTCTGTTCTTTTACTCATATGAAATGTGTGATACATGGTATAACTATAGGCGTACTTTGTATATGAGTTACATTTCTGAAGCTAAAAATTAAAAAAAAAAAACTAAGGAAAAGGAGAATGTGGGCAAATGATTGCCTTTTTCTTAATACAGAATGCCGATTAATGCTGTGATTTAAACCAAGAGAATACTCACTATAACTACATGTTTGTCATCCTTTCCTAGGATGATACTACCATTTTGAATTACAGTAGAATTAACAAGACTTGCTCAAGATAAACTACCAAGTAACTATAGTTCTATATTAATTTCAGAGAACAGTATCCTCACCTCCATGATTTACTTTCTAGGGCTCTGTGGAAAGTCAGCTACCTGGAGTACCTCCTTGAAATCTGGAGAACAAAGATGCTCATCATCAGATTCCAGTTCTAGTGGGGAAATAAAGTTACTAAAAGTTCATGCACAGGGATGTTGAGCTAGTTTTATTTTTCTCCCTTGGATATTGGGACAAAACAGTGAGTAGATTCTTCCACAATTCCTGAACAAGATGTTTAGAAGAGTAGCTGAAAATAGTTAAGAAAATATTAGTAGAATGAATGAATATAAAAATACCTTGAAATTATTCAATATATATTGAATGCCTAGAAAGAATAAAGCTTTGAAAAGCAGAACGATTAAGAAAAAAAAGCACAGTTTCTGAACAAAATGAAGAGATGTTCTGTGATGAGTGTATGAGGATAGGGGTTTGGCAGTGACGTTGTCAGAGCGATGATAGGCAGAGGAGGTATTTTATGATGGAGTGTATGGAAAGAAACAATGTGTGGCATAGATACACATTGAATATTCTATTCAGTAGTTTTTGGTAAATGTTATCACTGTTTTGATTCCTTATAAAGAATCAGCCTGACTGAGCAGAATAAAATGCTCTCAAATATCAATTTTCCACACCCATGAATAACCTAGCTGTTTAAGCCATGAATCCTTAACACACAAACCAGTCACAAGGGATAAACCCTATGTGCAGGGCACATACTCCGTAGAAAGAGGTCACCTTTCCAACTGAAAACTGCATAAATGTAATACCTGGAGACACACATACACACAAGTACAAACAGGTATCTATAATATTGTGTCTCAACAAGATGCACCCTCAAAATTAAGGTGTTTGTGTTATTCGGCTCATTAAAAATACACAAACAAAGACAAATGCTATATTTGTTTTGCCACTTTTGCTACTCAGTTTTATGTAAAACAGGATGAAATAACAAAAAAACCCCTAAGATTTGGAATAATAAGCAGCTTGCATAATTTGATGATACATGCATAATCACAATATCTGAGAAGTCATCTCCTTTTTCTGTGACCTTTATAGAGAGAGAGCAACCTCAGGATTTTTCCCCCTTCATGGGATGTGAGTAAGTGAGTTGTGTAGTGGAGAATGTGTTTTATTCATTGTGCATCTCTAGAGAAAATCAGGTCACCTTCAATGATCTTATCAGTCAAAGAAAATAGTACTGCTTCACAGAGCTATTAAAATGGAAGAGAATTAGAATGTATAAAAAGCTTTCAGATGCCAAGATCAAAGGGGAAAAAAGGTCATACACTAGGCAGGGACTGTTGCCTTTGCCGAAATTCACAATTTTGATTAACATGAAGTTGTAAATGACTACAACAGTGTAAGCAGTCATAATAAAATAAAGTAAGAAACCAAGGCCAAGGACATTACAAAAATGCAAAGAAAAAAAAGTAAAAAAAATAAGAACAAGTGAGGAAGAAACTAAAAGAGAATTAGAATAATATGCTTTTGGATCATTTGTTTATGATTCACAAAGCACTTTATCATATAACAGGGATTTTAACTCTCACAAATGAGGGAGGCGTTGTTATCCATACTTCACAGAGGTGGAGACCAAGGCTCAAACCATATAAATGTGTGCAGGTGCAAGGGACTGAGAGGCAGCAGAGCTACTATTCACTCCCAAACCTCTCATACAATCAATAGAACACTGTAAGATCTCCATAAATATTGGTGAAATGAATAAGCTTGCATTTAAGCCTGTTTTTCAAAATTCCATATCTAATGCTCTTTCCAATTAGCTGATCCCTCAATGAGTGATGAATTTATGCAAAAGCATTTCTATTCTAGTTGAAACATTGCTGACAGATAAGTAGATAAAATATTTAGTAAACCTGGATTTTAAAAATAGAGTCAGCAGGATTAGTATCTTAGGGTAACAATGTCAAACTAGAAAGGGAAAAAAATTGATTCATCTATTTTGGTGGGAACTAATAACAAGAATAATACTGTCATTCAGCAAATTATGTCTTAATTACATTCAAGGTAATTAATTGAGCACTGCCTGTGTGTCAACACAGAAATGGAAAGTATTATGAATACCCATCCCCACTTCATCTTGATTCATTAATTCTTGATATGTTGCCACATTTGTGCTCTTTCTTTATGTATCTTTCTCTCACTGTCTCTCTCTCTCTTTCTCCTTCTCTTTCATTTACTCTTTCTCTTTCTTTTCATTTTTTTTGCTGAACTATTTGAAATTAAGTTTCAGAGACCTCCAACTTTTGCTTGGGATGAACAAAGCTGGAATAAAAAAGTATTATGCCCACTCTCAGCATTAAAAAAGAATTGGACAAATTGCAAATTCATAACTTTTCTTGAACTAGTCAGAGAGCTGTGATTGCAGGAATACCAACTAACTTAAAACCTAAAAAAAGATATGTGCCTATGGGGAGAGAGGGTAAGCTAGCATTTGCTCACCTGGTAACAAATTAGTAAAGAAGGAATGTGGTTCAGTTGGCTGCAGGCATAAAACAAATTTTAACTGGCTTGTAGATTCTCACTGTAGAAAACCTTGGGGCAAGATAACAGGGAAATTTGCACCCAGAATAGGCTCTTTCCTTGGGCCCCACCAGAAGCTCATGCACACACAAAAAAATGACTGTGGTAGAATCCTCATTGTACAAAACATGGGGAGGAGAACAGCAGCCACTGCAGGAAAGACAAGAAGTCCTGCTTGTATCCCACCCTCCCCTAATTCTCCTTGGGAGAAAAGCTTTAAACTGCAGGAGGAAGTGTCTTAGGGAACTAGGGAACAGCCATTGCAGCTAGAGATAAGAAGCATTAAAAATAAAACTCTACTCCCTTCCCAGAATTACAGCTGTGGGAAACACTGGAACACGGAGGCAGCCACCTTTCTGAAACCTAAGGACATAATTCGCCTAAAACCAAGGCTTAATTAGAACAGCAATGCTCCTCTTACCACCACGCTCCCGGGCTGAAAAGCCTCCAGTGACATCTAACAGTGATTAAGAGCTTTGAGAGTTACAAAAGTGTGTGGGTAGAGACTCCGAGATTGATATAGTTTGGATGTTTTGTCATCTCCAAATCTCATGCTGAAATATAACCTTTAGTGTTGGAAGTGGGCCTAGTGGGAATAGTTTGGGTCCTGAGGGCAGATCCCTCATGAATGGCTTGTGCTGTCCTTGTGGTAATGAGTAAGTTCTCACTCAATGAGTTTATGCAAGATTTGGTTGTTTAAAACGAGCCTGATACCTTCCCCCTGTCATTCTTGCTCCCTCTTTTGCCATGTGATGCTCCTGCTCCCATTTTGCCTTCCCCTATGAGTGGAAGTGTCCTGAGACTCTCACCAGAAGATGTTGGCACCGTGCTTCTTGTACAGCCTGCAGAACCACGAGCCAAAATAGGCTTCTTTTCTTTATAAATTGCACAGCCTCAGGATTTCCTTTTACATAGGAATGCAATGCAAATGGACTAACAGAGAGTTGCAGTGTGAAGAGATTACCCTAAAGATGGGAGTGAAACAGACTACTCTCTGGCAAACCAGTCCTCACTCTAAACACAAGTATAACCAAAGGAAGTGGAAGCCAGTGGTAGAGTGCAAGCATAACAAACCCAAACCCAGCACAACTACTGACTACATTGCTCAAACTTCCACACTAACGACCTATCAGAAGTAAAAACATGCCTATTCTTAGGTTTAGAAACTATTTAGTCTCCACTCTTTTGGACAAAATGTCGAGCTTCAGCAAAAAGTTATTAAGCATATGAGAAAACAGTGGGGGGAAGGAAACTACCAAGAGACAAAGCAATCAACAGAACCAGAATCAGATATGACATAGGTATTGGAACTATCACATAGAGAATTTGAAATAACTCTAATTCATATATTGAAGCTCTACTGGAAAACACAGACAATATGCATCATCAGCAGGCTAATTTCAATAGATAGATGGTAAAAATCAAGTAGAAATCTAGGAATGGAAAACATAGTAGCAGTGATGAAGAAACCTTCATCTTATCAGTAGACTTGACATATCAAAGGAAAGATTTGGTAGACTTGAAGATGTCATTAAGGAATTCCTAAACTAAAACACAAAGAGAGAAAGAGTGAATAAAGCAGAACAGAGCATCTAAGAGCTGAGTGTAATTGGAATCCTGGAAGAATAAAGTAAGAAAAGTGCAGGGGAGGCCGGGCGTGGTGGCTCATGCCTGTAATCCCAGCACTTTGGGAGGCTGAGGTGGGTGGATCATTTGAGGTTAGGAGTTCAAGACCAGCCTGGCCAACATGGTGAAACCCTGCCTCTACTAAAAATACAAAAATTAATCAGGCGTGGTGGTTGGTGCCTGTAATCCCAGCTATTAGGGAGGCTGAGGCAGGAGAATTGCTTGAATCCGGGAGGCAGAGGTTGCAGTGAGCGGAGATTGCACCACTGTACTCCAGCCTAGGTGACAGAGTGAGACTCTGTCTCAAAGAAAAAAAAAAAAAAAATGGAAAGGGCAGGGGGAGTTTAAGAAACTCAGTGAACACCAGTCAAGACAGAAGTCATATTCAAATAGAAGTATCAAGACATACAGAAAATCTTACCAATAAAGAAAAAAAATTTATACATATATACCGAAAAATAAAAAAAGTAAAGAATATTTCCCTTCAGAAATCATGCATGTAAGAAGAAAACATAGTGATGTCTTTAAAGTGCTGAAAGAAAAAAATCTGTCTGCCCACAGTTCTATACCCAGTGAAAGTATCTTTCAAAAATTATGGAGAAATAAAGGTTTTCTTAGGTAAACAAAAATTCAGAGATTACATTGTCAGCAGAGCTGAACTTGAAATATATTTTAAAAATTTCTTCAGGCAGAAAAAAGGTGATGCTAGATAGAATCTTGAATCTTGACAAGGAAATTAAGAGATCTATAAATGCAATAAATGAAGACAAAAATACAATTTAAATTTCTTACTTTTAACTGCTTTGAAAGAAGTTGCAGAGTATCACATTTCATCCCTAAATTCCACAGCATTATTTTCTGAGAAAAAGACTATTCTCTTTCAATAATCATAACAACATCACACTTGAGAAAATTAAGGTAGACACAATACTTCATTATAATCTATGTTCAAGTTTATTCAACAAACCCCCCAAAATTTTTTATATCTGAGTTTTAAAATATCAAACCAACATTGTGTTTACTATGCAATCTCTCGCTTCTTTTAATTAGAACATTTTCCTCACATTTTTTACTTTTATCACGTTGACGTTCTTGAAGATCCCAGGCCATGGAGAAGGGTTCCCAGTTGGAACTTTGTGATTGTTTCCTCAGGATTAGATTAAGATTAAACATTATGGCAAGAAAAGGACATGAGTAATATTCTATGCTTTCTTTTGTCATCCAGAGGTGTATTATTTCAGTTGGTCTCATTATGAGTGATGCAAAATTTGATCACTTGGTTGTAGTAGAAAGTGCACCTCTTAGCATTGAGGAGGCCTTTTACTCTGCTTGTAATGAAGAAATAATCTGTGGAGTGATATTTAGAGATCATGTGTAGTACATTTTGACTCATTAATACTTTATTAGCATAAACATTTTAAAACCCTTCACAGCTAAACATCTATCTATGAATTGTTGTCTGTATCTATTGCTTCTATTTCCACACTTTCCACTTAGTAAATTCAATTTTACTTATCTCTTAAATAAACAGACATAGTTCAACTAAAGTTGTAGGTGACATGCTTGTTATGATACCTGTAGATATTTTTAACTTCTCTATATACTTGAATAATCAAGAGTTATAAATTTTTCCCTCACCTGAAAACTTGCTTTTTCTTTGCTTTTTGTGATTCCATACTCCCTAGTTTGCCTCGTATCTTTGTGGCTAATATTTCTCCATCACCGTTGCATGCTAGTCATTCTCTACCAGCCACTCTCTTCGGCTAACCAGGTTGAATCAAACAGCCTCAAGTTTGATCTGGGGCTTTTTTCTGAGGCAGAGTTTCACTCTTGTTGCCCAGGTGCGGTGCACGATCTTGGCCCACAGCAACTTCTGCATCCCAGGTTCAAGTGATTCTCGTGCCTCAGCCTCCCGAGTAGCTGGGATTACAGGCATTCACCACCATATCCAGCTAATTTTGTATTTTTAGTAGAAACAGGGTTTCTCCATGTTGGTCAGGCTGGTCTCAAACTCCCGACCTTAGTTGATCCGCCCGCCCCGGCCTCCCAATATTTCTACTATATTTTGTTATACATGTTGTGGTGATTCCCAAATTCATCACAACTCTGACTCCTTTTCCTTCTTTTTATTCCACAAACATCCACTGTTTGTACTCAATATTTCTACAGGGACAATAAACTCAGAGCTTTTCAAATCAAAATGTAGAAGGAAGCACTTACAATCTCACCCCAGATTTAGTTCTCTCCTTTTTTATTTCAGAAAATGCCACAACCAGTGAACCAATTGCTGAGGTTAGACACCTAAGAGTCCTCCTTGACAAATTCCTTCTTCTCCATTGTATCTATATAAAATGCAATACCAAGTCTCACTTTTAACCCTTCAATTACATCCTAAATCTATTCAAATAGTTCTGTTGCTACAGCAAGAGTCCCGCATCACACTATTGCTATTTTGGCTTTGATTTCTATGACTGCCTTTTAATTCTCATTCTTTCCACTCTCACAATATATTCACCAAAGAGTAGCCAATGGGGTCTTTTGCATATACAAATCAGATAATGTCTTTGTTGTTTGCCTCTCCTGCTCTACTGCCCTCTTGCAGCTAGAAAGTCTTTAATAACTTCATATTGTTTTACAATATAGTAGAGTATCCTTAGTAATTTGTAAAAGGACCTACAAAGTCCTATATAGTTTGGTCCCTGCCTCTCCCTGCTGCCTCATCTGCTGTGCTCCCAGTTGCTATCTGCAATTGGCTAACCTGCTGTTAGCCTTGAGTAGACTGTGTTTTCTCCCATACCTCACTTTGTTCTTTTGTTTGTTTGTTTTTGCCTATACCCTAAATGCCTCTTCTCCACTGTATCTAATCATTGGTAAAATTTTATTCACATTTTAGTTAGAAAGTCAATTTTTTATGGTAGTGTTATTTGAACTCCTTAGATCAAGTGGAATTTTCCTTTTACATGCTCTTAAAGATATGTCTTTTTTTTTTTTTTTTTTTTTTGAGACAAAGTCTCACTCTCTTGCCCAGGCTGGAGTGCAGTGGTACTCACCGTAGTCTGGGCCTCCCACCCTCAAGCAATCCTCCTTCCTCAGCTCCCTGAGTGTCTGTGACTACAGGCACACCACCATGCCTGGCCAAATTTTGTGTTTTTTGTAGATGGGGTCTCACCATGTTGCCCAAGCTGGTCTCAAACTCCTGGGTTCAAGAGATCACCCACCTTGGCCTCCAAAAATGCTGGAATTACAGGAATGGCCCACCACACTCTGCCAAGATATTTGTTTTAATACACTGATTATAGATGTGCTTGGGAGTGTGTCTGTGTGTGCACACGCGTGTGTGGGCGCATGCATATAAGAATAAACAATTATTTCCGGACTATAAACTTTTTAAGGATTGGGGCAATGTCAGCTTTGTTCAGTGCTTTACCTGTAGCACAGTGCTTGGCATATCAATTTAGCATTATTATTCATTGGGTTCTTCCTATGTGTCAGCCACTGATTTAAGGGACACAGAAGTGAGCATGTGGGTGAAGCCATGAGTATTGTTGAATGGATGACTGAAATTTTAGGAGATTAGTGTGGACTCCAAAGTTCACACTGATAGTTACTAATCATACTTTGTACTACAATTATAATCTTGAATTTTAAATGCAGAAAAGAGAAAGAGAGATGGATTCAGTGGCTGTCATTTCCATTGTTCAGTCTACAGGGTCATATTTACGACAGAAGATCTGACAGGAGAACATTTGTGATAAGAAAACTGAGAAGTTCCATGAGATGCTGCTAAAAAATTTCCGTTTGAGTTTCAGATTCCATCTGAAAATACCTCCTCTATACCTTTGTATTTAACAAAATAACTCTTAACGTGACCTCTCAGAGGACATTCTATGAGCTCCTATGCCAATTAAAAGACATTTAGTAAATTGGGTGCCTCTGAAGAGATGTACAAATTTGTTAGCTTTACCTCTGGCTGTAGCTAAATGAACAGGAAATTCTTAGGGGAAAAAATAAAGCCTCTGTAAAAGCGAATGTATTGTGTGGGTACCAGAGAAATGCCTCAAGCTGAGATTTGCAGAGAAGACCCATTTTATAAAGGGCTATATTAAATTAAGTAAGTGCTTGGAGTCTCTGGAGAGAGACACTATGAAGATATTTGAATGAGCACAAAGTTAAGTAGCAATGAATGTAGAGTTTTCTATTACTGGTGTTTTCTCCAGTGTATTTTGTAAGCCCTTTGTGAGGCAGTAATACCCACTGCATCAGAAAATCACAGTGTATTGGAGATAGAAAGGAATTTAAAATTCATAATTCCAACCCCACCAGTTTACAAATAAAGAAACAGAAGTCTCGAGAGGTACATCATTGCTCTGGTGTGCAGGAGCATGTAGTGGCATATCTGAGATCAGAATTCTCGTCTAGCTCATTATTTTAGTTTTTTTTTTTTTTCCCCAAAAGGAAAATACAGGAAACAGGCAGTTCCAGAGATGGTTTTGTTTGTAATCCAATTTTCACGTCATTGAAGATTCTAGAAATGCATTCATTTTGTCAACCGCCAAGCCAAATAAAGATGACAATAATATTGTGGATCAGGCAGTAAAAAAATAATCTCAACAGAAGCTCACAGGGAGGTGGTGTGATAAAGTGGAACATCCTTGGGCATTGGGATTGGATGGGTCCGGGTTCACATCCCAACTTCGTCATGTACTAGTTGTATGAAATTTGGCAGCTGTTAACTTATCTTAATTAGTTGCCTTTATCTAAATGGAGATTATAATACTTCCTGTCCTTTAGAGGATTTTCTGAGGATTAAATGAAATAATTCACGTAAAGCACTTAGCTCAATATCGAGCACATGCTGTAAAGCTTAGTAAAGGCAGCTGTTTTTACTGGAGCATTCACACTCACCTCTTTGCAAACCGCCAGGTGATATAAGGGCACTTAGCATAAGAGGTAGATTTCCAAATGAAGAAGCCAGAGACGAAGTCCAGTTAGCAGCAGAATTGGACTGATATAAACTTTTCTAGGATGAAACAAATAGAGTGATCCTTCAAAATGTCCTCTCCTTACGGTATGCCTGGAGAGATGTCACAGATGGCAGAAAAGCCAGAAGAGAGAGAACATCTCCAAATAGCAAGACAAGTGAGTTAAATGGGCAATGGCGCTGAGTCAGTTCTGGTGTGATATAAATAGTGCTGAGTTCTGTCTTTATTTTGTGAGCAGAGACCTTGACCTGAACCCTCCACTCCTGGAGAAAGATCTTCCAGTAGGAAGACATGTGCATTATGTGAAAATGGGCAGAGATTCCTGCCTCTGATGTTGAATAGCCAAGTGAGACACCAACAGACTAGCAGACCAGAGGCCAGCTGCCTCTAAATCATTTTCAAAAAGAGACAGCTTGCCTCATGACAGGGCTATAGATAGAACCTTGCCTTTGCTCTCGTGTATATGAGTTGCTTATCAGAAATCTGACTGCCCTTTCAAGAATATGTGATCCACTGGGACATAGTTCATTCCGGATTTTGGTGAGATGACTGACATTCCAAAACTATGGGTTAAGTTGTGATACACACACACACACACACACACACACACACACACACACAGAGAGTTATTGCAGACTGTCTTCACTTTTCACAAGGATTCTTGGATGCTTTTGGGAAATGGTACACTAAAGTGGGCGGAACAATCTGAAATGACCATTTATTTAAAAGATAATGTCAGAAATGCACTTTCTTTTGATCTCAGAAAACTTTACTCGAAAGTTTCACTATACAGATTAAATGAAGTAATATTATAGGTACTTAGTGCAGAGGCTGGCACATGGTAGGTGTTTAATCATTGTTAATTCCCTTCTTTCTTGTTTTCCTCCTTTGTGATACACTGCTGTTACATAAAAAGTCAGTTTCAATTTTTATTCTTTATCACCAGTAGCATCTGCAGAGGGCAATATAATCCTGCTATTTTTGAAGACATGAAACTGATAAAAGAGAGAACTGGGGTTCAGAGAAGTGATATTTTTTAAGCACCTCTGAGAAAGTAGGTACAAAGTTGGGAGGGAGAGAAGTATAAAGTTCATATAGTTACTCTTCCAAGAGGGCTTTAGGGGAGTGGATTTAATGGGAGATTTTCCTGAATTGTCTGTCACCTCCATGAGGAGATGGTCTGATGGGAGAGGGATAGGAGTTACCATGTCAAGGGACTCAAGAGCTTCAATGGGTTTGGATGGTGTGAAATTGAAGGCTGAGGCTTTATGAGAAGGCACGATGCAACATGGTTCTTTAGAATTATGAGCATTCTAAAGTCAAGAGTATACAGCAGGCCGAGTGTGGTAGCTCACGCCTGTAATGCGAGCACTTTGGGAGGCTGAGGCAGGAGGATGGCTTGAACCCAGGAGTTCAAGACCAGCCTAGGCAACATGGGGACTCTCTGTCTCTGCAAAAAATTAAAAAACTAGCCAGGCATGGTGGCATGCACCTGTAGTCCCAGGGACTTGGGAGGCTGAGGTGGGAAGCTCACTTGAGCACAAGAGGTCGAGGCTGCAATGAATTTGTTCACACAACTGTACTCCAGCCTGGGCAACAGAGTGAGACTCTGCCTAAAAAAAAAGAGTATAGAGCAGTGGTTCTCAATCGAAGGTACTTTTGCTCCAGTGGATTTGGGAGTCAAGCCAGTTTTTGGTTGTCACAACCGGGGGTTGGTGGCACAAGTGGCATTTATAAGTACAGGCAGGAATGCTGCTAAACATCTACAGGCTCACACAGCAAATAATTATTTGGTTCAAAATATGATTAGTTATCTGCTCAGCAGTGTTGAGATTATAAAATTCTGGTTTACAAATAGGACATTAACTCTGTAGCCAAAATTTAAATTGTGGGTTATTTTAGCTGTATTTTCACATTTTCCCCATCTCTTTCTGGAACCTACACATATTATTTCTTTGCTTAAATTTTTGGAGTTTGATCTATGGTCAAAATAACCCAGTTATTCACTTATGATAAATGAGATGGAGCATGACCCCCTGTCCATTTTAACATTGAATATTTAGCTCATAGCATTAAGAAGTAGACATTTAAGCCCAGGGATCAAAGAATGACAGCAAATTTCCCAGTGTTGGAGTCTTAAGATCTGGTCCATAGAGTTATGAGCACAATTTGGTTGCCAATGGCATTGGCCATTGCTGCTAGTTCAACTGTTCTTAAAGCAACTATTGGCACTACCCCTACCCCAGTCACCACTAGTTACTGTTTATCGAGCACTTTCTACGCACTTTGCATTCTTGCAAGTCTGTACAAATAGTAATATATAAAACCCACTCTATGGAGTGGGTATTGTGGCTAATATAAAGGTAAAGAGATAGATGCTAAGCAAGGTTTGTAACTTGTCAGAGGTAACCCAACTTCTTAAAGAGCAGAGATGGGATTGGTACCCAGCTATGTCCTTCCTCAAAGCCCATGTTTTTAAAAGTTAAGTACCCAGCAGTGTTTATAAGGAAGAAACAAGGGAAGGAGGAAAAAATTCAGAGGAGATGGCTTATGTATCTTTCCTTTTGATTTTTGACACACTTAATTTGGTTCTCAGTGTCCCCTGTGATAAGACTTGGGTAATACAAACAATACAAAAAATGAAATTGTCAAGGTTTGTACAAATGTTTAAGCTTCACTTTGGTTATTCTTATTTATGTTAAGTTCTCTATCTTCCTGGGATATCAGTTCTTTTGAAATCAAAGGGCTGTAGAGATTGGGTGTTTTATCCCCAAATAGACACCCAGGTTTGTTATTTAAATAGACACTCGATTTTCAACGGGTTCTGCTACTAACTGTGGGTCTTTAGCTTACGTTACCCATATTTTGGTCTGTATATTGGGGAGAATAACACTTATTGTCCTTTCTACCTCACAGTTTTTAAATGATTATAATTAAAGATCTTTGAATAGTGTGAGTAAGCATATTAAAAGTATTGCTTTTTTTTTTTTTTTTTTTTTTTTTTTGAGATGGAGCCTTACTCTGTCATCCAGGCTGGTGTGCAGTGGCATGATCTCAGCTCACTGCAACCTCTGCCTCACGGGTTCAAGCAATTCTCTTGTCTCAGCCTCCTAGGTAGCTGGGGCTACAGGCTTGCACCACCACATCCGGCTAATTTTTTTGTATTTTTGGTAGAGACAGGGCTTCACAATGTTGGCCAGGCTGGTCTTGAACTCCTGACCTCAAGTGATCCGCCCGCCTCGGCCTCACAAAGTGCTGGGATTACAGGCATGAGCCACCGCAACCGGCGAAAGTATTCTTTTTCTAATAAAATTTAAGGTGAATATAATATGGGCCACCCATATCACTTGAAAATTGTAAGAAAATACACAATAGAGCTAAATATTTGATTATTTATCAAAGTCAGAATTTTTGGTGATATTTGGAAATTCAGAATGACCAAAGTTTATCAAATAAAATAGAAAGCCTGAGCCAGTTATCTGATTAGCATAGTGAGAAGTGTCTCAGCTTTGCAGGCTATCTACATAATTGGCACAAATGTTTAAAGGCTTGACCATTTTTATTTTAAAAATAGTATAAATCCATTTGGAAAATTTAGAGAAGTAAAAGGAGGAAATAAAATATGCTGAAACTCTACTACTTGGAATTACTTTCCTAACTCAGCTCTGAAACTTGACCATAAAGCCTCTTTATATTATTTTTCTAGCCCCTCGTTAAATACGGTTTATGCTGAAGAAAGATGAATAATTCTCATCATTATCTGCAGTATCCCTGAAAAGCTAAATATGCAGTCAAACTCTGGATCATCTCACAAGCATTGAGGATTAAAGTGGAATGTGGACAGAATCAGAAAAGAGAAGACAGAGCTGAGGAAGGCGGTTGAATACAACAAGGAGGCTGAATGTCCCCTCCTTCCCCACACCTGACCACAGCCTCTAGCTGGTTTGCTGTCTCCCTTTTAGACTATGTCACCTTTTTTAAGTATTTAGAAAGAACATTTAATCTGGAGGCCTCTTAGGCTAAATAGAAGAACAAATCCTCTGCCAATTGCATGCTCTTTGATAAATTCTCATTGCTTTTAGAATTAAATCCTAAAGCATGACTAGGGCCTCTGAGACTAGTATGTCTGCCTTTTCCCTTCCTTCTTCCTCATTTCATACCATCCTTCCTCTGCCACTCACTGCATCCCCATCAGTCATTCTGGCCTGCTTTGTCTCCACGGATGAGTGACTTTGGCTTTCCCTTGCCAGGAATACGCCTTTTTAAACACCCTTCCCACTCACGTCCACCTGAGTTATTCTCTATATCAGCAATATAGTTTGATTCCGTTAAAACAGTTTTCAAAACTTGTATTTTCTTAAAAAAAATTAACCTATATATTAGCATCACTGTTGTTAGACCAGATGCTTCTAGAATGTCCCTTTTTTTGCTCATCATTAACTCCACTAAGCCTAGAAATTGCTCTGTGCTTAGAGAGAACATGCAAAATGCAGGAAGAATATATGTGTGCTTGAGTTCAGATCTCAGCACCCCCAGGTACTCTTGTGTTACCTGAGTGACATTGGGCAGGTGGCTTAACTGATATTTATCCCAGACCTGGGATCTGTAAAATGAGGTTAAAATATTTCCCACCCAGAGCCCCTCAACATTCAACACTCCCAAGATAACTCCTTATTGCACATATTTGTGACTATACGTCTCAGAGCTCGTCTCTTGTTTAGTCAGTGCTTAGAACAGTTGATGCCAGTGATGAAAGGGCAGTGACGGGCAAGTGTCCCAGCTTCCTGGTCCCTTAGTCACATTCTGATAAGACACTGAGGTGTGTTCTACACTACCTCCTGTATACAGAGTCTCAGTCATACTAGATGTGCACTGCTCAATAACAAACCTCATCCTTTCTCACCCTGTCTCACTTACCATTTACTGGGGCTTTTGGGGATTATCTTTTAAATAAATTACTTTCATTCATATTTTTTTCTGAAAGTCGGCTTCTGGAGGAGCCCAACCTAAAACACAGGGTTAATAACATTTCCAGGCCGGGCGCGATGTGTCACGCCTGTAGTCCCAGCACTTTGGGAGGCCGAGGTGGGCAGATCACCTGAGGTCAGGAGATCGAGACCAACCTGGCCAACATGGGGAACCTCCCTCTCTACTAAAAATACAAAAACTACCCAGGCGTGGTGGCGTGCACCTCTAGTACCAACTACTTGGGAGGCTGAGGGAAGTAGAAGTGCTTGAACCCAGGAGGCGGAGGTTGCAGTGAGATTGTGCCACTGCACTCCAGCCTGAGTGACAGAGTGAGACTTCATCTCAAAATAAATAAATGAAATGAAAAAAAGAATGACATTTCCTATGTCGTCAAATTATTTTGAGATCCTAACTCATGGAATTATTTGAAAGCACATATGAGTGCTCAATATATGTTGGGTGTTAGCATCCCTTCACTCTGTTGAACAGCGGTTGAATCTAGCAGCTAAGAAGTTAGATTCAGGAGCGAGACAGCCTGCATTCAAATCCCAGTTCCACCACTGGCTCACTCTGTACCTTGGGGCAAGCTTCTTACCCTTCCCTCATTTTCCCCATCTGTAAAATGGGGCCAATACAATTTGCCCACCTGAGGGACTTACGGTATGTTTAAGCTATATATCTAATCACCTGGGAGATTAAAAGAGTGTAAAAGTGCATAGGAAATGTCGTATGGCTGTTTGTGATGATCATTGTGACTCACGGGGCACTTCATTATTTTAATATGTGCTTGCTAGCTAAACAAAAGATATTTACCAAAGCCATGTTAGGTACTTCGGAGACAGAGTAAAAAGATACATTGGATATGGATCCCCATCTGGGCAACATTTCAGATACGTCATCTAGGTGAAAAGGAAGGTAACACCTAGGTAAGACCTCCCGTAAAGATCTCTAGTACAAGAAATTGGCAACTGATAGGAAAAAATGAAAACTAGTGTGACTTGAATGTGTATCATTTGTCATGCAGTATGTAAGACAGAGAGGGGTTCAGTAGCTTGCCCTGCCACACAAGTAGTAAGGTGCCAGGTATGAACCAAGGTGTTTTTGTTTGTTTGTTTGTTTGTTTTTGTTTTATTCTCCCCACTCCTCCACCATTTATAATTTGTCTTTCATCCCTACCACTCTACTGCACTGTTCTCTCACAACCACTGTTTCTTTTTTTTTTTTTTAATTTTAAGTTCTGGGATACATGTGCAGAACGTGCAGGTTTGTTACACAGGTATACATGTGTCATGGTGGTTTGCTGCACCTATTAATCCATCATCTAGGTTTTAAGCCCCACAAGCATTAGGTATTTCTCCTAGTGCTCTCCCTCCCCTTGCTCCCAACTCCCCAATAGGCCCTGGTGTGTGATGTTCCCTTTCCCGTGTCCATGTGTTCTCATAGCTCAACTCCCACTTATGAGTGAGAACATGCAGTGTTTGGTTTTTCTCTTCCTGTATTAGTCTGCTAAGAATGATGGCTTCCAGCTTCATCCATGTCCCTGCAAAGGACATGAACTCATTCTTTTTTATGACTGCATAGTATTCTGTGGTGTATATGTGCCACAGGTGTCTTTAATTGCGGAGCCTGTGTCCTTAATCAGCTTAAGAGCTCCCTAGCCCTACTGATAGATAAGTGCTGTGCTTCCTTCCCCAGTAGCATCTGTCATCTGGATGAGATGTGTAGTTTGATTCCTTTAAAACAATTTTAAAAACTTGTATTTTCTTAAAAAAAATTTTAATCTGTATCTTAGCATCTCTGCCATTTGACCAGAAGCTTCTAGGATGTGCCTTTTTTTTGCTCATCATTAACTCCACTAAGCCTAGAAATTGCCTTGTGTTTGGCAAAATGCAGGAAGAATATATGTGTACTTGGGTTCAGATCTCAGCACTCCCGGGTACTCTTGTGTTATCTGAATGACATTGGGCAAGTGGCTTAACTGATTTGTATCCTAGATGTGGGATCTATAAAATGAGGTTGAACTATTTCCCACTCAGAGCCCCTCCACATTCACCACTCCCACGATAACTCCTTACTGCCCATATTTGTGACTATATGCCTCAGAGCTTGTCTCTTGTTTAGCCAGTACTTAGAACAGTTGATGCCAATGAGCTGCCCCTGCATGCCAGGATCCAAGCAACGCACTGAGAAATGAGCACTGAATGTTACCGACTCATAAGTTATACTTCTCTTTCCTCATGCATCTTCTCAGAGATGTAGGAATTCAAGAGAGGGAGACTTTCTGTGGGTAAGTGGTAATGTGGAGATGATGGAAGACTTACTGATTTTGGAGTGGCCCTTGAAGGGAAGGAAGAAATGAAAATGTGTGTTCAGAGGGATCAGGCACTGTAAGAAATGGGGAGTGCTCGAAGAAAGGCAGTGGCACAGAGAGTTTGAGAGTGCCATTTTAAAATTCAGTCCGTGCTAAAATACAACTTCTGTTACTGACCTGCCATGTTATCTTGAGTAAGTCACTTAACCTCTTCAGCTTTGATTTCTTCATTACAAATGGAAACAATAGTAATGCACATCTCATGGTTATTGCCTGGGTAATATAGATAAAGAACTAGTGAGATACTCAGCAGCTACTAAATGGTCAATGCAGGTAGCTGTTGTGATTATTATTATTATAAGTCCTTGTAGAAGTGAGTGTGTGTGTGTAGTGGGGGTGATGCACTCAGTTTGGCCAGCACAAAGTGTCTTTATAGAAGAAAGGTAGGAAAAAAGTTTGAAAAAGCTCATTGGAATCCTGCTAGAGCTTCAATACAAGGTTGAGAAGAATCTATCTGGTTCTGCAGCAAAGGGACAGCACTTGAAGCGTTTGATCCAAGCAGATGGACCATTGAAACTCATTTGCAAAATGAGAAACATAAAACTATTATGATTTCCTATTGGTGTAATGGGAGGAAGAGTGGGGCTGATAATAGGAGAAAAGAGGATTGCAGAGTCTTCCGCAACAGCCTAGATGAGCGGTAATGAGAATGGGAATGGGAAGAGCCAACGGCTTCATTAAAAAGCCAGATCTTTCAGTGAAATGAACACTAGGATATGAACACTTGGTTGGTTTCTGGTTCCTCCAAGCCACACAAATAACCATGGACAAGCATGTAACATCTCTGACCCTCTAATAATGTCATGAGAGATCATGAACTGTAAATGAGGTGAGGTGTGAAAATACCCTATATTCTGTAAAGCACTATATATGATACCACTGAAACAGTCTTTATTACCTTATTACAGCCCAATACCCTCCAATGCATGCTTGCATTTTTCTTTATTTGGGTTATAGCACTAAAAATCAAGGTTAAGCCACAAAAAAATCCACTCAGATGTACAGTGATATAATGTACCTTGAGTCCTTAATTTTTATGCATGAATTAACATGCTCCCTAGGTAAAGCACAGTACTGTGGGACTTAAGGCCAAGGCTGACTTTTGGGGATTCTGTAAGGTTCAAAAGGGGTTTGGATGGTAAGCAGGAACTGCTGCCTAAAAACTAAATGGCACAGGGAGGCTTCACAATACAGAGGAAGAGACAAAAAATACCTATGCCAAGTTGCATAGGCTTCTGAGTCCTAATATATGTCAAGAATTTCTTCAGTATCCTAATCACATTCTACATGAAAACTATAGCCCCTCCAAAGCCTCCATATTCACCAGCTATCATAGGAAAAACCAAAGTATAGTGATTTGGATATCATTCCCCTGTCATGTATGACAAATTTGAACTGTACAGATACTAGTTAAGGTTCAATCAGGAAAGCAAAACTACTGTGAATCATGTAAAATAGAGGATTCATTTTAGGAGGAAGACCTTATGTAATTGTAAGAGAAGATGATGGTACAAAAGTGAGAGGGGAAATATCACAGTGATACTGCTAACAAGCCCTCTTGGGCACTGGAGCAGGTGGTCAAGTCAGATCTTGCAAGGAAGCCAGCAAGTTCAGCTGCCAGAATGGGCATGTGAAGGGGAAGCGTTTGTGAACTGTTGCCTCTAAAACTGGAGTGGACCTAAGGTCAATGTTGGTCAGTAGTGCCACCAGTTGGGCCAAAACCTGGATATGAAGAAGGAAACAGAGGACGAGCTCTCTGTTAACCTGTGTCTCTTTCTCACCAGACAAACTTACATGCAGCTTTCACAGAGTAGCATCATTTCCACCTTCCAAATCTCACACAAATTTCCTTTTTGTTCATCTCTAATCCAGATCTGGATAGGGAAGAGAAATTCTGAAAACATAGTTCTAGCTCAGCCAAGGTTGTCAGTCTAGTGAAACTTGTTGTTTCCTGGTGCAGATTTCCCCTGCTCTTCAATGTTTACCACTAAAAGAAGCAGTAGTTTAAATTGAGATGAATCCATTGATTACAGATTGGCTAAGTGTTTATGTTCTTACGACATCAGCTGCTAATCATGTGTTTCAGGTTGTCTCCTCAGATTAATAGTTTGTTTGGAGTGTCTGAGTATCTCACTGAATTAACTGATTGACCGCATTGACAGACAGGCAGACTAATCAATGAGCTTTGCTGGGCACAGTAGCTCATGCCTGTAATCCCAGCAACTAGGGAAGCTGAGGTGGGAAGACACTTGAAGCCAGTAGTTCCAGATCATCCTGGGCAGCATAGCAAAACCTCATCTGTAAAGTAGTAATAATTTAAAAAATTAGCCAGGTGTGGTGGCATGTGCCTGCAGTCCCAGCTACTTGGGAGGCTGAGGCAGGAGGATCTCTTGAGCCCAGGGGTTCGAGGCTGTAGTGAGCTATGATCGCGTCACTGCACTCCAGCCTGACTGGCAGAACCAAACAAATTAATGAGCTTTCAAGGCTGGCACATGAGGGCATAGCACAACCTTAGCCATAGAATAGTGGCATTCAAATATAACACTGCAGTTTAATAAGCATTATCCATTTGTGACTATGTTCCTTCAGTGATGCTCTTGATAATAATTTCAAAATAACAGTCAGAAAAAGTTTGATGAAACACAGCACAGAGCAATTCACTCATAATTACCCAAGGGAATAGCATAAGATGGATAAATAAAATTCACAGAAGAGTCCCAAATTGCCTTTTAGCTAAAACAAGCTGCGTTGTCCTCATATATTCTTTCATCAGAACTATTAAGAAATTGTAAAACTGTGTAACGCTTCTCATCTTAGAATCATTGGGTAATCAGAACTGGAAAGGATGGTGTGATCTCCTGGTACAAGGATTACAATTCCATTGTCTTCAAGGGACAAACAGAAAACAAGAGGCTGCCAGGCCAGTCCCTAGGCACAGATGATTTTCTGTGGTCTGAATACTCTTTGCTTTGCTTTTCTGTTCCCACATTTCTCATTTGGAGTGATTTTGACGTTGTAAAAATATAAGCAATGGGAGGATACAAAGGGTCAGAATGTCTAGCTAGATGATAAACAGAAAAACTGGCAGTTGAGTAGAAGATGGCACTTCTGAAACCAGTTCTTCAAGCCCATCTGTGCCATCAATCCTCACGTGCTTTTGGACTCTGGAAATGTGTTCTCAAACATAAAGCAAGATCCGGCTTCCACAGCTATGTCATTATGCAACAACAAATCATTTGACAAATCATCAATTCTATTTGAGAGACTAAGTGTTTGAGTAAGTAAAATAAATGTATGGCCATGAACTTAGATATATCAAGTTAAAGCCCTGGCCTCAGATTCAGTTTAGCAATGTTACAGAAAGAGGACAAAGTGGAAAAGACAATTGGCAATTAAGAAGGGATGGTGCAGCCACACAGATTTGATATTAGAACACACTTCTCCCTCTGTGATTGGTGATTCTCTGTAAGACTTTTACGAAGAAGAAGGGGTTTTTTTTCCCCTCCCTTCTGAGCTGTACAACCCCAAATGTAGCACTTTTGTGTTTGATTATAAGTGCTTTCTGAAATTCCCATGTGCACAAATACAGGTAAAACAAAACAAAACAATACAAACAAGGTTCTTTGCCCATTTTGACATTAAAGAAATCATTATTGTTTCCAGGCTCAATATTAAGAACTGATTATAGAGCTGGTCAGAATATTTGGGAGGGTTTTGTTCCTTACTCAAATGTTGTTTTTAGTTCTGTGTGTACCCAATCTGTTCTATTGTGAGCTTCTGGCAAAGTGAGCAGACAGCACCTGTTGTTAGCTGCAAGGTTCGGTAAACCAAGTTTGATTTTTTATGAGGGAGGAAAGAAACTCTTCATCTGTTTTCTGGTAAACTATTAGGTATCTTCAGATTGAGATTTTTTTTTAACTGAGTCCAAATATGTTATCTTTGTTCTTCAATTTAGTACTAATTCTGTATGAAAAATAAAATATCAAAATCTAAATTAGTGCTAAAATAGACAAAACAATTACAATATCATTTAGTGTAATGTAACATGTATAGAAAATATATATCTACACACATATACATGTACAGAACATATATATGTTTGTGTGTGTGTGTGTGTGTGTGTGTGTGTGTGTATACATATATATATATATATTCCTAAGGGCACCATGGGGTCTTGGTACTTACTTCTCTACCTTGTTTTTTGTACCGAATAAATCTGCAAAACATGGCATACTTCCACTAATAAAAATGGCTAAAAAATAAAACATAGCTCAACAGAGCAGCATGCTAGCAGTTATTTAACAACCATGTCTCTGAAAAGAATGTGGATACATATATTTGTGTGCATATAAATGTATATATATGTATATACACATGTTTATTATCAAATTTACTAATGCAATGGATGTGATGTGTAGCCCACAATTAAAAATAATAAAATATATAATATCATAATTAATTACAAATTCCATAAGTCAATTGATTTTCATAGAAGGCTTTTGCTAAGTTTTATTGAATATTTATGTCTCTAGCTAAGCTTCAGTTGCAGTTCAACCATGACCTGACAATTGGAATTGTATCCCAATCTGCTGCTAACTTTATTCCCAGTAAGCATTTGCTATCATTATATATATATATATATCATATATATATAATCATATATCATTATATGCAATATAATCTTAGACTATTTCTCACTGTCATACAAATTATATCCATTACTGAAACTCTTTCAGCATCAACACTAAGTGAGGACCTGCTTTGTAGCTTTTGCCAGTTGCTGTGGTGTAAATACTACCCATGAGTGATTTCCAGATAATAACATGACATAATTTGGGAAGAAATGCACAGTAGTTTCCATGATATGATATTTCCACCATACAAATACAATAGATATGAACAACCTCAAGACCATAAGTAATAGGAAAATATTCTAAAATAATTTGGAAGTAATGAATTTTAAATATTTATGAAATTTTGAATATAATTATTTTAATTGGATGTCTATTTAATTTTTAATAATAGCTGTGTTTAAACGACTTGCTTACAAAATTCCTGAAACTAACACTCAGCTTTCATGAGCTGCTACGAGTCAGCTCCAGCACACCCTGGCTAAATATGTCGGTAATTTTCAACTAGAGATAAATAAAAATGAGAATTATGCAAATTTAAAAACACTACCACAAATTCTATGGAAGCCTAATGGGATATCAAATTAATTTTTCTTTTTTTTTTTTTTTACGTACATTTATGACTACATTGGTGATACTCAACCTCAGAAACAGCATACTAGAATCATTTGCTTAGCTTTTAAAAGCACTTAGGTCCTTTTAAAAACACCAAGGTCCATCATGAGTAGAATGGAAAGGCAGGCTGTAAAAGATTCATACAATGGAATAATGTACTACCCAGCAATGAGAGTAAGCAAACTTGCCATTATACACAACAACTTGGATGAATCTCACAAACCCGATATTGAATGAAACAAGCCAGAAATGAAAGAATACACACTAAATGACCATATAGGTAGTGTGTATATATATATATATATATATATACAGTAAAAGTAAATTGTGTGATGAGAAGTCAGATAATGGCTACCCTTCTGTGTCTCAGCTGTGATTGGAAAGGGCTTCTGGGATCCAGCCATGGTTGCATCTTGATTTGTGTGCTGCTTACATGGGTAGGTTGAATTTATGAAAATTCATTGAACTGACACAATTTATGCACATTATACTTACTGAGATATTTTGGATTTTAATAAAAATTAAAAACTGAATGATTGGCCGGGCGTGGTGGCTGATGTCTGTAATCCCAGCACTTTGGGAGGCTAAGGCAGATGGATCACGAGGTCAGGAGTTCAAGACCAGCCTGGCCAACATGATGAAACCTTGTCCCTACTAAAAATACAAAAATTAGCCAGGTGTGGTGGCGCATGCCTGTAATCCCATCTATTCAGGAGGCTGAGGCAGGAGAATTGCTTGAACCTGGGAGGCAGAAGTTGCAGTGAGCTGAGACCGCGCCACTGTACTCCAGCCTGGGGGACAGAGCAAGACTTTGTCTTGAGGGGGGGAAAAAGAAAAACAAACGAATGATTACATTGAACACAGATAAATTAACTCTAAATTTCTAAGTGGGATTGTAGTAACAGTATTTTTTAAATGTCCTCAAGTGATTCCAATGTGAAGTTAAGTTTGAGAACCAGATTATTTTTATATAGATTAATTGTTCTGTCAATTTATACTAGATAAATATATTAAGGTATTTATTTTTATAAGATAAAAAGAAATAAAATTAATGACAGTATATTTGCCAAAATAAAAAAAAATTCTATATATAATAGTCCCGCCTTATCCACAGTTTTACTTTCTGTGGTTTCAGTTTCCCCAGTTTCAGCTACCATGCTCAACCAAGGTCCAAAAATATTAAACGCTAAATTTTGGAAATAAACAAGTCATAAGTTTTAAATTGCATTCTGGGTAGTGTGATGAAATCTCCAGTCATCCCACACCATCCTGCTCCATTCCAGTCTGTCCCACCCAGAAAGGAAATCATCCCTTTGTCCAGTGCACCCCCGCTGTGTATGCTACCCACCTTTAATCACTTAGTAGCTGGCTCTGTTATCAGACTGAAGAAACATAATGCGTATAGGGCTTGGGACTGTTCATGGTTGTAGGCATCCACTGGGAGGATTGGCACATATCCTCCATGAATAAGCCCCCACTATGGTAATTAGGCGGTAATTTGAACACAATCCAGTTCCTTAGTATGACTTACAAGGCCCTGGGTGATTTCCCCCTTTAAATTGGTTTCAGATTTTAAAGGTTAACTGTTTCATAAATTTGAGTCTGTTACTTGGGAGTCTTAAGCAAAAGGATCACTTGAGGCCAGGAGTTTAAGAATTAGCAAGACCTTGTCTATATATATATATATGTGTGTGTGTGTGTGTATATATATATATGTGTGTGTGTATATATATATATGTGTGTGTATATATATGTGTATATATATGTGTGTATATATGTGTATATATATGTGTGTATATATATGTATGTATATATATGTGTGTGTATATATATGTGTGTGTATATATATGTGTGTATATATATACACATATATACACACATATATATGTGTGTATATATATGTATATATATATAAAATTAGCCAGGCATTGTGGTATGAGCCTGTAGTTTCAGCTAGTCAGGAGGTGGAGGTGGGAAGATAGTTCAAGCTCACAAATTTGAGGGTGCAGTGAGCTATGATCTTGCCACTGCACTCCAGCCTGAGTGACAGAGGAAAATCCTGCCCGCTGCCAAAAAAAATTGAGTCTGTGTCAAGAAACAATCTTTAAATGGGATCATATCAAGTTTAAAAGCTTCTATATAGAAAAGGAAACAATCAATGAAGTGAAGAGACAACCAACAGAATGGAAGGAAGTATTTGTAAACTACCCATCTGACAAGGGACTAATAACCAGAATATATAAGGAGCTCAAACAACTCCATAGGGAAAAATCTAATAATGCGATTAAAAAATGGGCAAATGATTTGAATAGCTATTTCTCAAAAGAAGACATAAAAATAGCAAACAGGCATATGAAAAAGTGCTCAATGTCACTGATCATCAGAGAAATGTGAATCAAAACTACAATGAGATATCATGTCACCCCAGTTGAAATGGCTTATATCCAAAAGACTGGCAATAACAAATGCTGGTAAGGATGTGAAGTAAAGGGAACCATCATACACCATTGGTGAGAATGTAAATTAGTACAACCACTATCAACAACAGTTTTGGGCTTCCTCTAAAACTAAAACTAGAGTTACCATATGATCCAGTAACTAAGACTAAAACTAGGGCCCCCATATGATCCAGCAATCCCACTGGTGGGCATATACCCAAAATAAAGGAAATCAATATATCGAAGATATATCTGCATGCCCATGTTTGTTGCAGCACTATTCACAATAGCCAAAATTTGGAAACAATCTAAGTATCCATCAACAGATAAATTGATAAAGAAAATGTGGTGCGTATGCAAAATGGAGTACTATTCAGTCATAAAAAAGAACCAGATTCTGCCATTTGAAACAACATGGATGGAACTGGAGGTCATTAAGCTAAGTCAGGCACAGAAAGACAAACTTCACATGTTCTCACTTACTTATGGGATGTAAAAATGAAAACAATTGAACTCATGGAGATAGAGAGTAGAAGGATGGTTACTAGAGGCTAGGAAGGAAACTGGGACGGCGGGAGGGGGACAGGTGGGGATGGTTAATGAGTACAAAATAAAAGTTAGAAAAAATAAAAGCTAGTATTTGATAGCACAACAGGGTGACTCTAGTCAATAATAACTTAATTGCACATTTGAAAATAACAGGGCCAGGCGTGGTGGCTTATATCTGTAATCCCAGCACTTTGGGAGACCAAGGCGGGCAGATCACCTGAGGTCAGGAGTTCAAGATCAGGCTAGCTAACGTGGTGAAGCCCCGTCTCTACTAAATATACAAAATTAGCCAGGTGTGGTGGCACATGCCTGTAATCCTAGCTACTTGGAAGGCTGAGGCAGGAGAAACGCTTGAACCTGGGAGGCAGAGGTTGCAGTGAGCCAGAATCGTGCCACCGCACTCCAGCCTGGGCAACAGAGACAATAAGTACATAAATAAATAAATAAATTAAATAAATAAATAAATAAATAAATAAAAGAGTATAATTAGATTGTTTGTGACACAAAGGATAAATGCTTAAGGGACTGGATACCCCAGTTTCCCTATTGCGATTATGCATTGCATGCCTATATCAAAATATCTCATGTACCCCATAAATATATACACCTACTATGTACACAGAAAAATTAAAATTAAAAATAAAAAAAAAAAGAGGCAAGGTGCAGTGACTCATGCCTGTAATCCCAGCACTTTGGGAGGCCAAGGTAGGAGGATTGCTTGGGCCAAGAAGTCAAGACCAGCCTGAGCAACACAGTGAGAGGCAGTCTCTACAAAAAATAAAAAATTAGCCAGGCACGATGGTGCATGCTTATAGTCCCAGCTACTCAGGAGGCTGAGGTAGGAGGATTGTTTAAGCCTAGGAGGTCAAGCCAGCAGTAAGTGAGCTTTGATAGCGCCATTGCACTTCAGCCTTGGCAACAGAGCGAGACTGGAAAAAAAGAAAGAAAAAGAAAGAAGAAGGAAGGAAGGAAGGAAGGGAGGGAGGGAAAGGAAGGAAGGAAGGAAGGGAAAGAGCAAGAGCAAGAAAGAAAGAAAGAGAAAGAAAGAAAGAAAAGAAAAAGAAAGAAAGAAAGAAAGTCTGAGACTCAAATATCGTTTCTTCCTTTGCCCACTATCAAGATCAGATGAAACACTATTCATAAAGTGCTTTATAAACTCGAATGCACTAGTTATGAGGTATAACGAGTCAAATATTTGAGTTGAGTTTTTATTTTCCCTTTAAGACTAAGAATTCTACAGTTACAAATTCAACAAGTGTAAATACTATATATTTCTCAGAATGAGCATATATTTGAGAGAAATGACCTGATTCTAAGCAAAGAGTGTGGAAATGACAAAATTCTTCTTCACAGAATCAAGGTTTCAGGAGAAAATGGAAGAATATGTTACTGGGAGGATTAATCAGAATGAACATAGCATTCGAATAAGTGTGTTAAAGATTGGATTTGCCTTTAATAAATGGAAATGGATCTGAAGAAGAACAATGCAGAATATCACAATGATATAAGGAGAGACTTGGGGATTTTTAAAAAGTGCAGAGATCTTACAAGTAGCACAGTCTGACTTGAATAAAGGATACATGAAGGAGAGTAAGGGAAGGCATGGCTCATGACACAGGTAGAATTGAATTAATTGGAGAACTTCCAATATTTGTTGAAGGAAATTGAATTTGAATGCTTGATTAGACAGTTTGAACTTTATAGGAGATGGGATCTGTAAAGGTCTTGACATAGAGTAATGACAAAATCAGCCGTGCTTTATGAAGTTTTCTCTGCATAGGCATCTGTGTCAATAAGCTAAGTCTTGGAAAGGACACAGAGGATGCCTCAAAATAGAGAGAAACTGTAGGAGGCTGGTACAAATGTCTTGGGGGGAGAGGCAATGGTGGATCAACTTGACTGGTAATGACAGAACTAAAAAGGAATAAAAAAATACATCTTGAGATAAAATACAGCCCACAAGTTTAAATATTTAAATTATTTGTGACACAAAGTCAACGTGTATTTGCTACCCAGTAATACTGAAACAGCACTGGCTGTATGTTAAATGTTCTACTCCCTGAACAAACCACACTGAAGTTACCCCTGCCTAGGTCAAGTGTGTCTAAGCAAACTGTATTCGTTTCAAAAATTAGGAATAGCTTTCTACTTTCAGTATACAGCATAGTTTTTAAAAATTAAAAAAAAAATCCTAAGCCCAAAAGATATATTGTGACTAAAACATTTATGCCTAAAAGTAGATTCTAACAAGAACCAGTTCAATTGCTAAAGGTGTTTGGGAATATTGGTTTATCCCTAAGCAGTCTTGGGGTCTTATTTTGAGAGGTCAATAACGTGCTCATTTATTTTAAATATTTATTGAGTGCGTACCATGCGTCAGGCACTGTACTAGGCATCAGTGATGCAGCCACTTATACGACTCACAATATTTTAACTACATAAAACTTATATTCCTCTAGGTATAGGCAGAAAGTGCACTGGTAAACAATGTATAAATAAGTTAATTCCAGATAGCGACGAGCTCATTGAAAACAGTAAAAAAGGTTGACAAGAGTGACTAGGACCAATAGTGGGATAAGCTACTACTTACCCAGACAAGGTCCTAAGGGAACGTCAGACTATGGAGGTGACTGATTGGAGATGGGTATAATGGAAAGAGCCAGTCATAGAAAGATGTGAAGAGTGTTTCACACGACTGAACAGCACATGCAAAGACCCTAAGCAGAGAACAATCTTGGTATTTTGATGAGCATAAGAAAAAAATGTGACTCTAATGCAATGAGCAAAGGGAAGTTAAGTAAAAGTAGAGATGAAAGAGGTAGGCAGAAGAAGCCAGATTGTTTCGTGACTTGATGGAATGGCAAGGAGTTTGATTTTAAGCATCTGGAGTTGTTTAAATCGGGGGAAGAAAAATGTTATCAATCCTGGGCCGGGCGCGGTGGCTCACGCCTGTAATCCCAGCACTTAGGGAGGCTGAGGCGGGCGGAACACCAGAGGTCGGGAGTTCGAGACCAGTCTGACCAACATGGAGAAACCCCGTCTCTACTAAAAATACAAAGTTAGCCAGGTGTGGTGGTGCATGCCCGTAATCCCAGCTACTTGGGAGGCTGAGGCAGGAGAATTGCTTGAACCTGGGAGGCAGAGGTTGCAGTGAGCCAAGATTGTGCCACTGCACTGTAGCCTGGGCAACAAGAGCAAAACTCCACCTCAAAAAAAAAAAAGAAAGAAAAGAAAAGAAAAATATTATGAATCCTTCCATGCTATTTTCAAGTCATAGCATAGCTATTTTTGAGTACCCTTAAAGTGAAAATATGACCTGGTGTTATTACTTCCATAGCATACTTGACCCTCTCCTTCAAAGACTTCATGGTGAAAACACAATTACTCACATTCCATTCAACTAAGAGCCTACATTTCCTATAGTATGCCAGTCTGCATACCAATCATTTCCCCCCAGTGCTGACAAAACATAATTTTTTTTCCTACATTCTTATCAGTCCTAACAATTTCATTTAAGGTTTAAGAATCAATTACTTTGGAAGAAGGTTTGATAATCATATAACCACCTTTATCAGTAAGCATTGCATGAAAATGGTGTTTTCAGCATTTCTAAATTGGACCATTTCTATTAGAAATTGCGAAGATGTCACTTGGCTTAAAAATACAGCCTGGTGTTCCATTCTTAAAGGTGCTATTATGCTAACAATAAATCCAAACAAGACCGTAGGCAGAGTGTGGGTTGTGACGTACTCAATATTCATTCACACTCTGACCCAAAGGAATATCCAGTATGTGCTTCTGGGATCCTTGAGCAAAGCAGGTTTATTACACCTGCCAATTTTCATGGATTTGCTGTGTGATACATCGTTGTCTTTGAAGAAATCTTGGTCATAGTGAATATTTTCATTCTTCTGGTTTTCTCTCTCAGGTAGTTCGTTTGCTCTGCCTCTCAATTCAATAAAAGGCTATGTTTGAAATAGAGTGAAATTCAAGCAATCATAAATACTTTCCAATGTCCCTTTTTCCTAGGTGCCTGACTGTGAGTATTTAGAAAGAGTGACAGTTTCTCCCAGATTCACTTTCAGGCTGTGTTATTTATAAAGAAGTAAGCTATGTAAAAATACTGACAAAATAGATTTTTTCTTTCTTTATGGGTATCAGCCCTAAAAACAACTTTATTTTAGTGTTAAAAGTCAACTACTTTGGGAGAAGTTTTGAAAATAATATAACCACATTTGTCAGCAAACATTACATAAAAATGATGGCTGCAAAGACTTATTATAATTTTGAGTCTCAGTTTATTCTTCAAGAGTAATTAATACAGTAGGAGAAACCAGCTCATTAGGCCCTGTTGGCATAACACAATAATTAGAATCCCTCAAGGAGGGCTTTGATTCTAGTCTGCCAATACATGTGACTAGCTCTATGTTGACTTTCTTGAATTATTGCACTTCTTCATGATAAAACCAAGTCTCATACTGAATAACTGGTACTTCTTCAGGACTAACCAAATAGGTATTCAGTCCGTAATTTCATAAAATACATATAAAAGTCCTTAACCCATGGCAAAAC
The DNA here is from genome assembly GCF_000001405.40 of Homo sapiens. Classification (NCBI taxonomy): domain Eukaryota; kingdom Metazoa; phylum Chordata; class Mammalia; order Primates; family Hominidae; genus Homo; species Homo sapiens. The sequence continues at coordinate 1,153,097 of NC_000003.12, read as the reverse complement.
AAACACAAATGACAAAAAAGTGGTTATATTTATGAACCAAGTGAATGTTTTATAAACTACCATTTAAATAGTAGTACTTAGTTAAAATAAGAATGTTAAAAGAGAATACATTAGGCAGAAATTCTTAAGATGATATGAATATTTAGTATCAGGAAAATCACACTCCTTGTAACTACTATTCTGCTATTGTTTATTATGTTTGAGTTATAATAGCAGCCATTGACACTCACTGACACTCTTCTTAAGGACTGCAGATCTTCTAATAGTCCGCAGATAAAATTGTGCTATCTCTAACCCTGGTTAACTCATAAGAACAGATATAGCACACGATTCAACCTATTATCATCAAGTCTTTATTAAACATTTTTAATAATTATCAAATTTTTAAAGATTGGAACTAAATTTTGAAATCTGTCTAATATTTTTCAAATTGTACATAAAAGCCATGGTAAGGTGAAAGATTTAATAAAATAGAATCATCTTGTGCATTCTGAGAATTTTTCACTGTGGGAAAATGTGACAGTTAATCACATCAGTTAATCTTGGGTTTCTTAGGCAGGTGACATTCTAGGGTCAACAAAATTTGACCCTACGTGGTTTTTCAGCTTCTACCCATTACTGACATTGTTCAGTATTTATTAAAAAATAAAATATTTCTGGACCGGTTGTGATGTCTCATGCCTGTAATCCTAGCACTTTGGGAGGCTGAGGTGGGTGGATTGCCTGAGCTCAGGAGTTTGAGACCAGCCTGGGCAACATGGTGAAACCCTGTCTCTACTAAAATACAAAAAATTAGCCCAGCATGGTGGTGCGTGCCTGTAATCTGAGCTACTCAAGAGGCTGAGGCAGGAGAATTGTATGAACCCAGGAGGTGGAGGTTGCAGTGAGCTGATATCACGCCACTGCACTCCAGCCTGGGCAACACAGGGAGACGCCATCTCAAAAAACAAACAAACAAACAAACAAACAAATATATAAATAAATAAAATATTTCCTCATGAAAACAATCTGTGCATTGTCTACAAAGACAAAAAGTAGACTTACAGTTATAAGTTTTTCTCCGTTTATTAATTTGGTTATCCAAATTATCTCATTAACATATTTTTTCTACTTTAAGAAATGTAGATTTTTCAGTAACTCAGGGCTGAGAATAAACGTTCTTAGTCTATATTAAACCTCTTGATTTTTTTTTCCTTCCAGGAATTATTGTGACTTCTTAAAATTCTTTTATTTGCTCTTTTCCTCATTTTCATTAGTGAATAAGCATTTATCCCAGCAGAGTTCTGTTACTAACTCAACCTCAAAACCAAATTTTTAAAGCTGTATTAGTCAAGAACTTTTTTGTCACAAGGGGCAGAATCTCAGTTTAAGTGGACTTACTTGCTGGTTTCCCTGTTTAGACTGTCAGGTTGAAGAGGGCAGGGACTATGGACCTATTGTTGAAGGTCAACATCAAGCTCCTTGCCTGGCACATCATAGTTTCTAATATATTTCTATATTTGTTGAAGTGAATGAAGCTGCTTTCTTTTATTCATTTAGCAAATATTTAGAATCTGTGTATTAGGGGATGGAGAATCAGTAAAGCATAAACCAGATGAAATTTCCTGCCCTCACAGAGTTTCAAATACGGCATGATTTAAAACTTTTAAAACGTTATTACAATTCTATTTCTAGAAACTTATGACTGTAACTTTAATACACACTGGCAACCATAAAGGAATGAACCAGACTAACAGTTCCCCAGAGGATATTATATGACTAAATTTATTCTACTGTGATAACATAAATAGAACAAACAACATTAACTTTTGGTAATTAATTAATTCATTCATTTAACAAATATTTACTGAATCCCTACCAAGTACCAGCAAGATATAGTCCCTGCCATCTGGAAGCTTAAAGCATAGTGAGGAAGAAACTTCAGTTTCTTATGACTTCTATAAAAGTTACCAAAAATGTTATGGCTTAAAACAGTACATATTTATTTTCTTAGAGTCCTGGAGGTCAGAAGTCCAAAATGGGATTCACGGGGCTGAAAAAAGGTGCAGGCAGAGCCATGCTCAGTCCACAGATAGAGGGGAGAATCTGTCCCCCTGCCTTTCCCAGCATCTAGAGCTTCCTTCATCACACCCCATGGCTCATGATCCCTTCCTCAGTCCTGAAGTCTAGCAGTGCAGCATCTTCACGTCTCCCTCTGCTCTGCTGCCTCATTGCCTTCCCCTCTGTCAGGTCTAACTCTGCCTCCTTCTTACAATCTGGATAGTCCAGGGCTATTTTAATCTCCCCATCTGAAGATCTTTAACTTAATCACATCTGCAAAATCCACTTTACTGTATCAAGTAGCACTCACAGGTTCCAGGTATTAGGACCTAGATATCTTTTGGGGCCATTATTTAGCCTGTCATGCATATCAATGAAACAGTTAAAAAGTATATAATTATTAACTGTATTTCCTAATTAAATGGGCCTTCATTTTCTTCTAATATTTTAAAAATACTAAAATAGAACAATTAAACTTTTAAGTACTCAAAACTTTAAAAGTGTCCCAGAATCAATCATGTATGACTGTATGGATTAAGTTTCATTGTAAAGGCCTATGAGGCCATGACTATAGTAAAAGCACTAGAAGTTGTAGTTAATTTTTAGAAAATGAGGGGAGAGGTTGTCAAAAAATTTTAAGTTTTAATTTAGAGTCTAGGGAGATTTAAAGTATCAACCTGTTAGAAAAATTATAATAATTCAAATAGCAAGGAAAAAGTAAGTAATTGTGAAAGATTTGCTGGCATTTCAGAATGAATAAAAAGTATGTTTTGGAAAAACAAGATATTATCACTATGCATAGTCACAGAACTCTATCATCAGACAATCTAATTTTCTAAACTAAAATAGTATCTGCGAATAGGGAGACACACCATGAAACGTCTAACAAAACAAACAGATTTAAAGCAGTGTTGTCTTGTGTATGTCATTATCAACATCCTTACCTCTGGAGCAATGTTTAGCTTAGATTATCTCATTTAAGTAGCTATGGCTACTTAATAGATCCAATCTGTTCTTTCACAATGAAATTGTGCACCAAGGGTATATGATGATTTCTCCCATCAGAATAAAGCAACAGGACATGTTGAATCACATCCAGTTTGTATAAATAAAAGTTAATATAAGAGCTGGAGTATTTCTCAGATTTGATACGTGTTCTGAGACTAATAATTCATTTTAATTTAACACAAAAGGTCTTTTAGAGATCCTATGCTAATTCAATATACATATTTAAAGGGCAAAATGTTAATGTTGAATTTTGACAGGAAGATGAAACTTAAGGGTAGGAATATAATTCTTATTCACACATATATGATTTGGGGGCACCTTGATGAGTTTTCTCTGTCTTTTCTTAATCTATTACCAAAAAAAGAATACACTATTATTTAACCCCAAATCTTTGTTACAGAGACTTAGAGGTGTCACCAATCAAAATACTGTAATCACTTTGAGTAAATATAACTATGGCACTTCTAGCTGCTAGCTTTGCTAGTGGTAAAATTGCTTTTATTTGTATGGTTTTCTGATTCTCCTGTTTGATTTCTGCATATTTTAGCATTCTCATTCATTTTAAGATCAGCATATCTATTTCTCAGGATTGCTATAAAATATATGTCCTTTACAATTACTGTGTTTCTGCCTTTTAAATTATGTTTATTCCTGCATGTCTGTCAATGTATTACTGCTTTGTTATAAGTACGTGAAACTTCACTAGTACCTATCAACACATAGTCGGGGGGAAGAAGCATGGTATGGTAGAAGAGAGGCTTCTTTGATAATCATATGATCTAATCAATGTCCATGCTCTGTAACAACTCATGTAGGTAAGCTCAACAATTAATCTTGACAATTAAGCTCAGTAATTATGAACTCTATGATTGTAACAGACTATGGTTGGTTGTTTACAAAAACAGCCACGATTATTGCCTTTATTATTTCTATGGCCTTTTTATGGTATAATTTTGCAGCTTTTCTATCAAGAGATGTAGTGTCATTCCACATCTATTAAAGCTGAACTTGTCTTGTGACTTATAATTGTCAAAATAACTCACAGAAATGGCAATGTAGCAGTTCCAAGCGTTGGCATCAAGAAATGCTGCATTCTTCTGTCTTTTGTTTTCTTGGAACCCTGAGCAGCCACCATGTAAAAGAACCCAGACTCACAGAGGGTAACATTTGGACCACAGCCATGGCAGCACAGTTGTCTCAGTTACGAATGTTCTAGACTAGTCATGTCTCAGATGACTCAGCTCATCGAAGTTGCAGTGCACCCAGGCAAAAACCAAAAGAAGACCCATTTGAGCCCATCGTAAGTTGTTAACCCACAGATTTGTCAACTAAATACATGATTATTTGATATTTTATTACACTCACATTTGGCGTGGCTTATTACAAAGCAAAAGTTAACTGATACACAGATATTAATATGTTCAAGTTGAATAAAAGAACATGTTCTTGTCTATTCTTTTAAAATAATTAAAAAGAAAATATATCTAAGGTTATTTCTAGTTCTGAGGTAACATTCTATATCATCTTTTCTTCTAAATGAATATAGCTTTGATTTTTTTGCCATATCAATTTCTAAACATGAGAGAAATATGTATTTTAATTTTAATTTTTTAAAGACTTCACTATAATGAAAATAAGAATAATTATTCACTGTTTATTGGTGATAAAAATATTTAATTACATTCTTTTATTAAAATGTCATAGTATATTATATAATTAAATATTACATAATTACATTGTATAAAAATGTCATATTTGCCAATTTATAAATGTAATAATGTTAGTTTCCATTTAAAACTGGCATTTGATACATTTTTAAGGATTAAACTTTCCCTGTCTGAGTCATAGAAGTTACCTTCAAAACATTATCACTTAGTCATTCAAATAACATACAAATTGTGCATTTTGAAAATTGCTTCACCCATAGAAAGAAATACAATGCCAATATATTTATCAATCAAAACTTATAATAATAGAACACTTTACCTGCAGAAGAGTTTATGAGTGGCAGCAGAATTACCAGTTTCCATAGCAACCTCATTTCCACTTTCTAAGGTCAAAAATTTCTCCCATACAATCAGGTGGAACAAAACAGTCTATCTTCCAGTCAGTATCTCAAGAGTCTGAAAAAGACAAAATTGTCATGAAATGAAAAACGTACAAACACGAATATTTTAATAAGCATATTTTTGTTGCATATTAATTCAATTTAATATTAATATTATTATCCAAAATAAAGCAACCTAAATGGATGCTTTCTACACATACATTTGTTCTGCGAGTTCCAGTAATGTCAGCTCATATTTTCTTAATTTCAATTCACACCTCAAATATTAGAAAACATTATTTGTCCTAATATCACAAGAGAAAAATTAATATTGTGCTGCAAAATTTCTGCAAGAAATCAATTTCTAGCAGTGTTATCTTTCAGGTACGAGACTTGCTTTTCCTAAGGGGGTTGCATCATAATTTTCTCTAATTTATTTTGACATTTAAGCTATGCAGTGATAAATGAAATCAAGATAAAATGTTAGTTTGGCCTTTAGCCCAAAAGAGAAATCTAATAAGAGGTTCATAAAAACTCCTAAACTCATAAAAATTTAGAATAAGCTCAGAATAAACTTATCTATGTCCATGTTCTGTAACAACTCATGTAGGTAAGCTCAACAATTAATCTTGACAATTAAGCTCAGTTATTATGAACTGTATGATTGTAACAGACTATGGTTGATTGTTTACAAAAACAGCCACTATTATTGCCTTTATTATTTCTATGGCCTTTTTATGGTATAATTTTGCAGCTTTTCTATCAAGAGATGTAGTAGGTTACATTTGATAAAACTATTATATATCAAGTGATAAGATCCTTTGGAAACTTTAACATAGTGGAAACATATTTTCTTGCAACCTTAAATATTTATTGGAAGTGTATGGAGTTTAAGTGTGATGATAATAAATAATAAAATTTTTATTTCTTGATGTATTTTTAAATTGTAAAAATCATTTCTTTCTGTCATGAGTTACTTCATCTTAAACCAAAAACATTGATTATACTTAACGTTTAAATAAAATTTAAGTTAAATGCTTTCCAAATTTAATCAAAGGATAAAAATCACAGGAAAAATAAACAATATTCAGGGGTCAACATAGGTATTGAGTCAATGTTTTTCTCAAATGTTCTCATATCTGACATCATCTTTCCATTCCTTTTGATACCACAGCCTTTAATGCCTTACATAAATTAGATCATATGTTATATCTATTCATTCATTAATTATATTTTCATAAGCATTTATTTATTTGTTTGTTTCTTTATATAATCACATTCTTTGCAAGACAATGGGCACTATGGTGTTAATGGTGAGCCTAAAATCCTTCATTTCTACCTTTGAGGCACTGTTCTCTTGTGAGACATTTAACAAAAACAGAGAAACAAAACAAAAAAAACCTTACGCACACAGGAAAATATTTGTGTAGTAAATATGATAATATTAAAGAAAAATGTAATATGTATGAGATTTATAGGGTGGAATTCAGTTAGCATTTTTTAGCTGAGGCTTGAAATATGAGTAGCTCTTTGCCAGGCAAAGAGTGTGTGTACATGGGATGAAAACAGCAGAGCTGTAGGGATTACAATAGGTATGAAGGAAGGATGAGACTAGCTTCCTAAACAAAAGAGAGACAGTGGGCTCAGGTCCTATAGCAAGCCTTGAGTTGCCTGTTCAAAGATATGAGAAAGTCCGGTTTGATATTCAGAAGAACTGCGGCATGAGACAAGGTTGGAGAAAGGGAAAGAGGCTGAAATATACAAGACATTTAGGTCATGTTAATGCATATGAATGCTGTACTTTCAGATCATAATTGAGAATGTTGAGCAGAACAGAATCAAAATTTATGTTATATCTCTGGCTACCGTGGAGAATGAAAGAGATGGAGTAAAAACTGGAATTATACAGAGTAATTAAAGGCTACTTTTGTAGTACAAGAAAGGAATAATGAAGGTTTTAAATAGAGTAGTGGCTTTGAAGATTAAAAAAAAATTGGATCTCTGAATAGTCTTCCTGCCTTAAATCTCTTGTCCTTTCTACTCATTTAAATATTACCACCAAAATTTTCTTCCTAAAACAAAGATTGGTCCAATTATGCCAGTTTATGCAATGGAGACTTTAATCACTTTCAATTTCACAAACATCCAAAGTCTTTGGAATGATATTCAAGACTATGCACAATAGGTTTCTAATCTTCCTTTTCCAAGGAGACTACTACTAAATATTTCCAATCTAGTGACAAAGATCTACTTCCTGTGCACGTGCATTATGTATTATCTCTATATAGATGTCATTTAATTTGCATAGAATTCCTCCTTAGGGTCTGTATCTCCCTAAAAACCTATACAATGGTAGCATGGCCATAAATCTTTGTTTTCACTGGACAGTTTCCATGTATCCAATTGTCATGGCAGAATTATCAATAGACTCTTTTTCTCAAAAAAGCCTCAGCTTATAACGTAAATTACATGGTACACTTATTTAACGGATATTCATTATTTTTTTACCCAATAATTCTGTCTCCTTCTTGTGATAAAAGGTCTGTGACTTTCTTTTGAGGAACCATCTCCCTATGTACCATCAGACAATACAGCTGGGGAGTTATTTGCCTCCACCTTCTTGCTCCAGGGACAAGCATATGACCAGGTCATTATCAATCAGTTATCTATTTCTTTGGCTATAATATTTTGTAAAAAATTCAGCATATTGCTTAATTGAAACCAATGGCAGTCGAAGCCAGGACCTCTGTCAATATTATCAGAAAAAGTGTATAATCTCTCCATTAAGTCATCAAGAGATAATAAACCCGTTGATCTGGTATATCTCACAACTGTTATCTTGACGAAAGTTTGCAGCTACAGCTAAAAACTTTCAGTTCCCCTTCATGGACAGTTTGCTAAGACTCAACCCCAAATATATCCCTTATTAGGCTTTAATAATCCTGGGTTATAATACACATAGACCCAAATACCACAGATCTCCAAATCTCTAACACCCAAAAACAGCCCCTACTTCCTTGGGCTAGAAAATTATTTAAAATACCCAATCCTCCGGAGGCCTGCAAAGCCTAGCCATCTCTATGCCATTTTCCATTCGCAAGCTACCTCCAACAGTCCCCGCTTGCTGTAGTTCTGTTCCTGGGTACAATTTCCTGTGTGCCCTTTGCCTCATTTGGAGCTGTAAGAAGCAGAGTTCTGCTTTTTCTGTATCTGAGTGTTACTGTGATTCATTCCATCATCCAAAGAACCTAGAATCATACCCAGTACCGTAGAATCATGAAACATCTTACCTGAGCCAAGAAGACAAATTTTTGCCTAGTCCTGTTTGTATTTTGTTTTTGTCTCCTTCTACCTAAGTAATCCGACAAGCCCCAAGCCCCTTCATTCTTTTTTTATTTTTTATTTTTTATTATTATTATTTTTTAATGAGATGGAGTTTTGCTCTTGTTGTCCAGGCTGGAGTACAATGGCACGATCTTGGCTCACTCCAACCTCTGCCTTTTGGGATCAAGTGATTCTCCTGCCTCAGCCTCCCGAGTAGCTGGGCTTACAGGCACACTCCACTACACCTGGCTAATTTTGTATTTTTAGTAAAGACAGGGTTTCACCATGTTGGCCAGGGTGGTGTTGAACTCCTGATGTCCAGTGATCCGTCCATCTTGGCCTCCCAAAGTGCTGGGGTTACAGGTGTGAGCCACAGTGCCCAGTCCCCTGTATCGTTTATCTCAAATTTATATGAAGTTTCTCTTAAAGATTCTAGAGCACACTGACTCAATGTATTTCTCTTAAGGCTTGCACTTACCAAAGACTCCAAAAGCCAAGGGTTTTGCATTTTACCTTGACGATAAACACCATGTGTAACACTTACTCGTAATACTCGGCGTGGTGTCTAATGCAGAGCTCATAGCTATTCAGCAAGCATGAGCTAGGTTTGCATTTGACAGCTGAACAACCTGGTGGTACAGAGAAAAAGGCTACATTGGGAATCTAGAGATTTTGCTTCTACTATTGTCTCTTTCTCTTAACCAGCTGAGTAACATTGAGTGATTCATGTACAATCACATTGATTGTCAGTTTCCTCCTTTGAAAATTGAAGGGTTTGACCTAGAAGTCACCTTCAAGTTTCTTCCAGCTCTAATATTCTAAGATGGTTTGATTCCATCCAGTGTATAATTTCATAGCAAATGTTGCCCTTTATCATCTGATTGCTTATCAGCATACTATAATGAGGCCAAAGCCCGAAAGATGTTTTATTTGGCATTCCTCTATACTGCTAGCCTAAATAGCTAATATTTATGCATGGGTTGCCATTTGTAAAAGTTTCATTTGTGAAAGTTTAAATTGCCTGAGGAAGGAGAATACTCTGGCTCAATGACAACAATGTAGTTAAGAAAAGTGTAGTTATTTACTCACAGCAGAATCGAGTAGAAATATTCAGTGAGTAAAATTTCTGCTAGTCACTGACATGCAAAATAGCCACAGGAATTAATTCTAGGTTCCTAGAATCCTACAGGTCACTTGAGGCAAAATGGTGTAATAAAGGAAAACCAGTATATAAATCTAACTTAAAGAAACTTCTAGAACCTAAAAAGAGTCTCAAAAATGTATCACCAGCATTTTGTTTTAGATGAGGTCTTTTAAATGATAATTTGGCCCAGAGCAGTGAGTATCTTGGTTCATAAACTAACGTGTATTTACTTTTTCTTGCATGAAATTGCTCAGTACAAAAGTAATAATTTCAAACACTTCAAGGAAAGAGTATGTACAGGTCTATAATCACTTTTCTTGCAATTAAAAAGAATCTCTGAAAGTTGAAAATTACATGAAAGCTTGGTAGCAAAATTTATTTGGTGGCAGAGAACTGTCCCCAGGCAATACACACCAAGCAATGTGTGGTTGCTTAGATCTTTTTACCCAGCTTATTATAAATATTGATGTATTTTTCTGCTGAAACAGAGATGTTGGTTGATGATAAGTGTATTGTTCATTGGGCATATACATATATATATATATATATATATATATATATATATACACACACACACACAAATTTATATGTATCTTTAATGTACATATCTGTCTATAATATGTATATGCATGCAAATAAAAATACATATAAATTTGTACACACAAATTTATAAATATATAGAAATACATACGAATTCGTACCCCATTGCCTTTCTAAAGGCTAAAACAAGGGTCAGGAAACCATAGCCTGCTGACCAAATCTGGCTCTTTGCCTTTTTTTGGTAAATAAAATTTCACTGCAACCCAACATGCCTGTTTATTGATGTATTGTCTATGGCTGTTTTAGTGCTACAAAGGCAGGGCTGAATAGTTGCTCCAGAGACCATATGGCTTGCAAAGCTGAAAATATTTATTATCTGACCCTTTCTGGCTTTCGAGCTTCTGGAATTTTCTTTTGCTGATCTCTCGTTTAATGAATTCTAAACTCTAAAATATATTTGGCTGTGAAGATTTCTGTTAAAGGATTATCCAACTGTATTTTTCTAATTCAGTGTATACGTACTCAACAAGAATACCATCTATGTAGTAGAAAAAGATGCAGTCCTGTATTTTGAAGTAGCTGCAGACTGTGAGCCCTGCCTTTATACGACCTCTTCTCACCATGTATCACTGACTTGCTTCTGATCCCAGAAGGCAGATGAAAGAACTCAGCAATTATTGCTGTGACAGTGAGGTTATACACAGTGCTAATTATGCTTAACCCAAACAACATTAAGAGTTTCTTTGTTTGGTTCAGAATAATCATGTTTTTTTTTTTTTTTTAGGAATGGAAAATTGTCACTCACTCCATCTCCTGGCTCTAAAACTATTCGTCAGTCTATAAATGTGCACAATTGCCAGTAAACCAGGAATAAATGTGTAAGTCAAATAATGGCTGGACCTCAGGCATCAGGAAAATTCTGGAAGGTGGCTGCCATGTTAAACCTTGGTTTGTCCGGCAGGCTTGAGAGACAATGAGAGTTATCCTAAACAGAGATGGTACCTCTGTTATTCTCTTATCTATCTTTTACAGAGGAGTTTTCCAACTTTATTTTTTCCAGTGAGAACTAGGGTCAATTTCTTGAATAAAAAGGCAGAGTAGATGTGCATGCATAGCTCTGTAATAAGCTTCTGAAAGGTGCTCATGAAGGGTTGGTACTTCCCAACCTAACTTAGAAGCTACAGAGAATGTCTAAAATAATTTAAAACATCTTACTCTATGGTGGGGGAAAATAGAAAATTATTCTTGTCCAATTCTGTCAACATTGTGCTTTTTAATTTCTATAAATACATCTAGGTTACATGGACTTGGACGCTGGAGAATTATGTGCATTAATACATACTGTTTATGGAAATCCTCAGGTCAATTACAAATTATACCTTTTTCTTACCTCTTTTGCAGTACATGAAATGATTTTCTCACATTGGTAGCAGGAAAAGTAGAAACTACTACTAAAAGGCTTTGGTTATTGCTGTTCAAGTACAGGGCAGTAGAATGGTCAAGGAGGAATATTACTTTGAAATATTGGCCAACTTCTCTCTCTAGTTGTCTTACTGGTGTGGATTTAGTTTATCAGGACATCATTGTTGCAAGTGCGTGACTCCTCACGGGCTTCGTTCTCCCCTTATTTACAGCAACATTGCTTTGATACTAAAGGATTTCATAGTGAAGATCAAGATCCATTTTCAGTTGCCATGTTCATCATCAGAACAAATGTGTGCAGCACTAATTGCCCTTTTGTTTTTAGTTGACCAGTTAATTACACCAGATAAATTAAAAATCTCAAATTCACTTTGTTCAGGTAGCTCCACAGTTTGATTTCAGTGTGATAAACATCCATGGCCAGAAGGAAGAGAAGATTTTTAATAATTTTTATAACAGATTTCCAACTTTAGCATTCACGGAGTTATTTACTTTTAAGCTAAATCAATAATAAATTAAAAAGTGAACTATTTGTGATCTGAGAAAAATATAGTACAGACTAGGAAACCCCACCACCATTAAGTTAGGCCAAGTAGCAAGATAAATTGTGCCATCAAATTCTTTGTTTTCAGAATATAATGCTATCACTTATGATAATTGTTATGCCAAGCTCTCAAAATAGGCAGCCATAATAGATGATAGATTAGTAGAAAGACGTAACACAGCGTGTTTAATGTGATCATAGAAGAAGCAGTACTGCTTTTCCTAGAGGAGCCATGATTACATGTTAAGTTGTTAACAGCATGAAATAAATGCAAATATGTTTGTTATGGAAATAGTCAGAATCATTTCTACAATTTTTTTTTAATCAGAGAAACCAAGCTGTAGAACTTAACTCAGTCATCAAGAGAGTATCTCTCATATGCCTTTTGCTTGAGGCCATGAAGTCTTGCTGAAAGATACTAGTGTGAAGAAATTAGTTTTAAGACTGCTGAAAAATCATACTTTCAGTGAATTTCACAATTGAAAGAAACTATATAGATAATAGAAGTCAGCTTTCTATTTTCATAGCTGAGGAAACTGAGGCCTAGAGGAGATAAGTAGTTGCCATTATTTACATATATAGGTGATAGTTAACTAAATAAAATTTAGTCCATGACCTAGAACGAGACCTGGGACTTGAAGGCAGATCCCTGATTGAGGGTCCCCCCCTACTATGTGACCTCTTGATCTGGGGCACTGCACACATCACCAAAGCATAGCTCCAGCCTCTGTGTGCACCTGTTTTTCTATCTGCAATATGCAGGTAATTATATCTTATAGAAATGCTCTTTGTATTTATATAAATCAGAATACAAGAATGTGGATGAGTGACGCTGCTATAGCTTTGAGGATTTGTAGTGTTGACTTTCCGTTCCTAAAAAGGTGACAAGAAATACTTATTCATTGGACAAATCTAAGTTTGCTAGACTTTCCACAGTCAGGGAGAATACAACTTGGCATAGTTGTAATACTTTCTCAGAAGGAGAAATAAGTGGGTGATATTGTTAATATAAACTAGAAATGGCCTGAAGAAATACATATTTCTATATTTGAGTCCTTGAGGACCAACAGTAACCTGACTTAATAGGTAGACAAGATTGAAAATCTAACTTAGGAACATGTGCCTGAAACAATAGCTGAGTCTTGGCCAATCCCAGCAGCCATGTTTCAACCAGTCATACGCTGCTGAGTGTTCAAACTGTGCTCAAGTAAGGCAAATGCCAATCTGTAACCAATCCAGCTGCTTCTGTACCTCGCTTTCTATTTCTGTAAGTCACTTCCCTTTTATTTTCTACAAATTTGTTCTGATGATGAGGTATCCCTGGAGTCTCTCCAAATCTGCTGTGATTCTGGGGTTTGCCCCAGAATCAGGGGTTGCCTGATTGATGAATTGTTCATTGTTCAATTAAACTCCTTTCAATTTAATTCAGCTGAAGTTTTTTTTTAAAACAATATTTTTAGGGCTTCGTGACCTGGGTTAGGTGATTTTAAGGTTGTTCTTGCAAGATGAGGAGCTGATTAAATGTGGGTAGAGATTAGGGCATAATAGTTTTAATTTGATGAGTACAAGAAGGTCAGGCTCTTGATACAGATGATGATGTTGGTCTTGAAAAGTAAGTTTTGTCCTCTAGAAGCAAGAATTTCCTGAAGCAAGTAGCTAAATTATTTTTGCTTTCAGTGCGGTTTAGTACAGGGATAGGAATTTATGCTAGTTTCAATTCTCAGCAATGAATTCAATAACAGAATGCAGGGACTACTTACTAATGACTAAAGCAGAGATTGGGAAATCTTTTCTGTAAAAGACCATAAAGGACTAGATAGCAAATACTTCCAGCCTGGTCACTGTTGCCATTACTAAACTGTACTATTAGAATGCAAAACTAGTCTTACTCAAGACATAAACAAATGGAAGTGGCAGTTTTTTTAATAAAAACTTTATTTGCAAAAAACAGGTGAAGAATAATTAATTCATGGCCATAGTTTTCCCACCCCTGGGCTAAAGGTTGGCCTAGAGAGAAGTTTCTAGTGGTAAGTTCTCAGCCCAATCCTACTGAATATTTGATTAACCTCAGAATCACAGAAAGCTAGAAGAGATAGTGAGTATATCAGATAGCAGAAATCGGAAATATCTGGAATGAAAAGAATGAAAAGGTAGATGCATACATACAAATAGATATAACATATAATTATATAGATATATAATACATATATGTAAGTAAAATGGCAAGCAGCAGATTTTTTCAGTGTTTTTGCTTCTTCATATATTCCAAATTTTTTAAAAAACTAAACAAAGCAATAATATAGCAAGGTCCTATTAAAACAGAAATGTGTGCAAAGCACTTTCTAAAATTTTGTTTTTGGGAAAATATAAATAGATTTATCTGTGAGCAATATTAGAGTGGTAGAGGAAAAAACCCTTTTTTAATGTATTTAAGAAAAAGTGGTCACACTACAGAAAATGTTTCTTTCTCTTCTGTTTTGCTATAATTGTCAAATTAAAGAAAAAACAAAACAGATCAGTATCGGCCAAAACAGTAAATAAATAAAGATGGTATTTAATAAGAATATATACTAAGTAATGTATTTGAGTTTTAAAAATGACCTGCTTAAATATATTGGGTAGGAGTAGAGTGAGTAAAAGTGGCTTTCCTTCAATTCAAGTTTGGAAAAAAAAAAAGCAGAGAATAAAATTCTATAGTGTGAAGTTGGACCAATATTCAATGTTTGCTTTTCTTTTTACATAGTTGCTAAAAATCTGGCATGACTTAGGTTGCATTAATAAAAGCATGGTGGCCAAAACCAGGGAGGTGCTAGTTCCATCCTGACCTGCACTTGTGTAACTACACAGAGGGATTGTGTTCTCTTCCGAGCATCACGGTTTAAGAGGAACTTTGACAAATTGAAATACTCTCCTGGGGAGCAGTGCAAGGATGATGAAGTGGCTGAAAGCCATGACTTATGAGGGTCAGTGAAAAGAAATGAGTATGTTTAGCCTGGGGAAGAGAGGATTTAGCAGGCAGAGGAGAGTCATCTTCAAATATTTGAAGGGCTGTCTTGTGGAAGAAAGATTAAACTTATTATTTGTGTCTCAGGAGAGCAAAACTGGGACCAAATAGTGGACATTTCAGGGCAGCAAATTTCAGCTTAATATCAGCCCTGAGCATTTTAACAAGTAGAATTGTTTAGCCAGTGGTTAAGTGCACTGGCTTTGAAACCTAAACAGTCTGGAATTCCATTCTTAAAATCTACCAGACACTTAATAGCTTTGTGACTTTAGAAGAAGTAAATTAGTTTTCTGAGCCTGGATGACATGATAATTACAATGGAAAAAGTAGCATCTACCTCATGAGGTTCATAAGAGAATTCAGTGAGTTTGTACATACAAAGTGTAATGTTTTTTTCCATGAGATGCTTAGTTCTCTCTGACTAGGAATAGATAAATGACACCTTTTCTAGTATATTATAAATAATATTTCTGATCAAGTAGGAAGTTCAACTAGATGACCTCTTAAACACTTCTAAATTTGCAGCTCTTTATTACTATATAGGAACAGGATGCTAAAAATCCCCTGATCCAGGGGTCATCAACTGGTAGTCTAACAGATTCTTAAAAAGAGTGTTTAAAAATTGGAAAATTACATATAAAAATAAACATTTGACTTCTCATTAATTATCTGAAAATTTGGCATCACTAGTCCATATTTCCATGCGGTAAAAGTACAACAAAAAGGCATTAACAACAACAAATATCCGGAGTGACTGGCCCTTTAACACAAGTGTTTGCCATAGTTTGGGGGACACCCCCTATTGTCTCACACCTAGTTCCCTTCACTCTTTCATATTACCTGCCCAGTCTTGGAAGGCATCGTGTATACCATCTCTACACTATACCAGGTAAGCAAGATAGCTGGAAGCAGAGTCCTTTAAGATTGTGTGACAAGATAGAAAAATAGGAGGAGGAAGAGACAGAATGGGGTGCCAGGAGGTAGGCTGAAAAGGAAGATAATGAGAATAATAGTAATAATAGAATTTTTCAAATACCCAACAGAAGCGAGATTCTATGCCAGGAGTTACATGCACTGCCTCATTTCATCTTCACGGCAGTCAAATAAGAGGTATACAATTATTGCTTTCATTTTACAGGTGAAGAGACTGAAACTGGGAGGAACTAAGTAACTGGACAAAGTGCACACAGATGATAAGTGGCAGAAAAATCCCTCATTTGACCAGTATCATCAGAATCCTGAGTCCATGTTTTTCATCCCGATGGCCAATCTTACAGACTTTACAATTTTGCCGAAAGCTTACTCTGGGAGATTTTGCTCAAATCTGAACATTTGAAAGAGAAACATTTCTACTTATTAGAGGTGCAAATTGAGGACTCCCACCCTGAGTTGTTATAAAGCTAGATGGCACAGGGTAAGGCTTCCTACAGTGTGTTTATGGGGCTTAAAAAAAGCACCATGCAGCTAAATAATATGCAAAATGCAAGGCTAAATAAGGCAAAACAGTTCCTTTCCTGCAGGATTTCTGTATCTCTCCAGGGCCAGTGTACATTACAGAACTTGAAGACAGGGGTATAGCCTGCACTGTTTCCCAAACTTCCATGATCATGGGATTCGGTTTTCTGTAGTGCTTTTCCAACAGTGAACGCTTCACAGAACACACTTTGGGAAAGTCTAATCAAGGGGAAAGAGCCATGGACAAGAATAACAGAGGTCTTAGAGTCCTAATCGTGTCAATAGCTAACAATGTAGTTTGAGTAAGTCTTAGAATCTCTGTTCTTGGGTTGCCCACTGTAAATCTTGTGACCATACTACCTACCACACAGACTGCTCCTAATTTTTTTAGGGTCAATTAATAAAGGATGTAATAGAGCTCTCTAAATTTCAAAGAGCCCAAGATATCCATAAGGGATTAACTTATTAAATTTTCTCTGTCTTATAAAAGTGGTCAGGAAAATTGGGTGGGTTTTAATTGCTTTCATGCCAATCAGTGACTCTCTAACCACACACGATGGCATAACTTCTTCTATTTTGAGACAGAGTTTGGTTCTGTCACCCAGGCTGGAGTGCAGTGGCGCAATCTCGGCTCACGGCAACCTCCGCCTCCCAGGTTCAAGTGATTTTCCTGCCTTAGCCTCCCGAGTAGCTGGGATTACAGGCGCTCACCACCGTGCCCAGCTAATTTTTGTATTTTTAGTAGAGACTCGTTTCACTGTGTTGGTCAGGCAGGTCTTGAACTACTGACCTCAGGTGATCCACTCGCCTGCGGCCTCCCAAAATGCTGGGATTACAGGCGTGAGCCACTGCACCTGGCCTCATAACTTCTTTTTAATAATGCATAGCAATGTGAATTTTCTGACCTACCTAGGAAAGAATTATTGAAACTAATATATATATGTAGTGTATATACAGTGTATTTATGTATGTGTGTGTGTATATGTATATGTAGCACAATAAATACAGTAAAACCCTGCAGTTCTGAGCTCTCTCCTGAGAAAGAATGCACTTTCTTCCAAGCTTATCCATTAGGAGAAGGAAAGGGGAAAATAATCACAGAGCACTGACAGCAGGATGTACACTGATTCCATTCTGTTTCTGTTGGCTAAGGTTCACGGTCCCCACCCAGCCCCTGGACAATTGGACCTTTTGCCTTCTCTTCCATCAACCCATCCCCTGATATGTGCTCCCATTGTCAATCTTGACCTCACAGAAATAGGAGTCGCCTTGGGAGGAAAATGTGGTTGCCTGTCAACAGTGATGCTGTAAAACTCTGGGAAATTTCTCTGCAAAAGAGAGGCAAGAATTTTGAAATAATAAAAATAAAAAAGAGTGAGAAAATGCATTATTCATTTGGGAACAGGGAATGTTATTTCATCTCAGTATCTTAAGTGCCCTGGCTTTTAGAAATTGCAGAACCTTAAATCAGGCAATACTTCGTTGTGGGTGGGTTATTTTTGCAAAATACATGACTGCTGAGCAGAAATACTTTGTGCTATGGGGCATGGGGGTCCAACCTCATTCCTCAGCCCTTTGCAAATTGTATCCAAAGGAGATACAATTTGCAGGCAAAGAAATTCACCCACTGACCTCATGATACATTTCTCCAAGGGCAGGGGACTAAAATATTATCTAAGATTTTTCCACACTGCTTGTGTGCTTCCTGCATTCTTACTAACAGCAGACATTGCCACCTTCCAATATCTGGAATTCATGTTTATATAAATAGTACCCTGCTTTTGTAAACTGATTTATAATGTGAAAGATGCTTTCTTAAATAAATTGTCTCATTTGATTTTTTAAACTACCCGGAAAACAAAACAAAACAAAACAAAACAAAAAACAAAAAAAACAAAACTCAGGTTCAGGGAGATTAGCTAACTTTCCTGTAACCACAGAGGATAAATTCTTCATATTCTTTTAAAAGCATCATTTTACATTTTGGACCCTCTGAATGTAGGTGACTTGGGACAAAACTGTGATCTTAATTTGTATCCAGGTCTAGGCAAGAGTATCACGGGCTACTAGCAGTGTGGAGGGGATTATGTCAGGATGCTAAAATCACATTTAGAGGGAAGAAAAAGTACCTTCTGCAGAGCTTCCCCAAGGGCTTAGGTTCCACAGAGCACACTGTAGGAGACTAGCTCAGTGGAAAGAACACTGGGCCAGGAATCCAAAGGACTCCGTGACAGCCCTACTATCTATCACCAGCAACATTAGTTGAGTAAATGGAGCAACAACTCTGGTCTCAGATTTCCAAATTGAGATGGGAGAGCAGGCAACTCAGTAACGACAAGTATAAAAGTCGAGATGCTGTGGCCAAAAGGAGGAGGCCGACTTCCAAGTAATATAACACTACTTCAAGTAACGGATCAAAAGCACATAGACGTTATATGGTCGATCGGGGCCTTGTACCCAGATCTTTTGACTTCACAGTGAGTGGTCTTTCCATATTATTTACAGGAAGCACAGTATTATTGTTAGCTACCTGGATATATGTATTTGGAATTAGTCTGAAAAAAAAGATTAACTGGCTTACAGCACAGGAGGCCGATTGATTGTGAAGGTACTTTTGAGAAAACATCCAGGAAGGGAAGGGCTGTAGTGAGATCCACAGCAGGCTGTTGCTCCAGATACTGCCTTTGCTTCAGTCTTGATGGCTACTGATTAGACTTAGAGGATCCGAGGAAGGAAAGAAGAATATGAGAACACATGTTTCCCTAACAGTAATCCTTTTTCCCTGCATGATGTAATCAGAAGTCCTAATTCTAGAGCATAGCTACCAACCTAATCTAGGAGTTTATCTTGCATGGCCCTGAGCTCACATATCCAAGACAGCATTGACTTTGTCAGTCTACCCATGTCTGTAGGAAAATGGAAAAGAAAATAAAGTCACTGACTGGCTCCATGAGCGCCTCAAGAGGGGGCAGTCACAGCTGAGTCCATGCTATACAGCCAGGCTGCCAGTGTTTAAATCTGACCTGTGGCTCTCACTAGGTGAAGGATTTGTGTGAGTTACTTAACTCTTCTGTGCCTTAGTTTCCTCATCAGTAAAATGGGGCTAATAATGGTAGCTACTTTCCACATTTAAGGTGAGGATAAGTTTACTCATATAACCTGCTTAGAACAATATTTTATAGGCAGTCTGCACTCTCAATACATACTAGCTGCTATTATTATTATTATTACTACAAAAGTAAGTACAAAACAACCAAATTGAAAAGATCAAGTTATTTGAAGAATGTCTTATCTTTGTTTATGTTGGTCCATCTCCTTGGAATTCTCTAATTTTTATCATTGTCAAGATTCGATGACCTTATTCTACGAAATTTTCATTAAACCTTCATTTAAAAGTACTTCCACTTTCCTTTCAACTTCTAATCAATTTATCTTTAATGAATAAACAAAATATTTGCGGCACGTCTCCTTTTTCGGCATATTGCTTGGTGTATTTTTCAGGATCTTGTGTATGTGTCCTTGTATACATGATGCACTAACTTATATTTATTCAATGAATGAGTGGGTGATTGGTTGCTACTTATGAGTGCCTTAAATGTATTTCAGGTATATTATAGAAAAAGCCTCTCAGAAGCAATAATAATTTTGAGTTATTGTTCTTCTTGTTATCTTGATAGAATTCAGGAGAGTCTCCTTGAAAGCAGACACATAAGACTTTTTTAAATAAAGGGAATGAAGAAAAGTAAGTAGGCTTAAGCTGAACTAACTGTCGTCAAGTGACTGTTATTCAAACACTCTAGAAGAGGGAAAGAAGTGAAATTCTTTGTGCAGTAAAGTGACCCCCAGCAAGGATGATATCATCCACAACATCTTCACGTTATTTATTTATTTATTTATTTATTTATTTATTTTTTAGACAGAGTTTCCCTCTGTTATCCAGGCTGGAATGCAGTAGTGGGATCACAGCTCACTGCAACCTTGAACCCCTGGGTTCAAATGATCCTCCTGCCCCAAACAGGGTCTTTCTATGTTGCCCAGGCTATTCTCAAACTCCTTGTCTCAAATGATCCTCCTGCCTCAGCTTCTCAAAGAGCTGGGATCACAGGCTTCAACCACCATACCCAGCCCACATTTTAAAAAACATATATCTCTGGTGTGTCATCAATGAGATAACTGATTTTTAGGACACCAGAGTAGGTGTGTCTTTAGAAAGAAAAAATATTTTGTAATCTGCACGTAAAGTCCAATGGCATAAACTTGACCTCCCAAATGTAAAATGATATTTGAGCACATCCCATTTTTGGCTTATTGGTTGCAAACAGATTTTTAAAAGACATGAGTTTGAAAAAGTATTGATCATATTACAAGATGTTATTCAGAGTTTTTAGAGTAAAAGAAACATAAACACAGTTACATATTTTAGAAGTGTCAGGCCCAATCTGCTTGTCGATTCCCAGAACATACTAGTTTTTCAGAGGATGTACGCATATAAATAAACTAAATGCATATAGAAAAGCACATATATCTTTTCTTTCCAAATTGCTTTCCTTCACTCTACCTGACATAAACTCCCTGATGTCCTGGCCAGAGTGGTATTTTTGGCACAATATTGTTCCTGATTTCTCTATTGCCTCCTGGGGACCTGCCTTTCAAACATCTAATCTGAATTTTCTCATGAATGCCAATGATATACGGCTACATTTTTCCTTCAAACTTTCCATCCCGCAGGCACTCCAAGTACTCTGTGACTACTTTCAAGATATTCATAACAAGGTGAATAGCAATTACTTGTAACAGAAGATAGAAAAGGCAAAGGGCATTTTTATTGGTTCTAGGAAGATTTATCTACATTGATACAGCATTTACTGAAAAACTCTTATCACCCCAGAGAATGATGAATGACCACCTCTGTCTCAGCTCTATCCCTGGAGGTTCCCAGGTGCTAACTGCCTTGAGGTCTTCCTTGCCACACAGAGAAGTTAGTCTCCATTCATTCCTGCATGTTAACTTCACTTGAGTTTAGTGAGCAGTGAACACTTTATTCACTCCCAATTCAAATCAAAATAGGGGTTTAATTTGCTTCCCTGTCTTCTGGGGCTAATCTCCATTCATTGAACACTCATACTCCCATTAACTCAAGGTCAAGGAGAGCAACCCCCTAAGCAGCCTTTGAATGAGGCACTGAAGGACTAATTGTTCCTTTGGAAGCTTGCATATAGCTCCTGCTGGTATCAATGAGTACCTCCCTTTGTGTACCCTGCATTCCAGGCCAGAACTGAGTATAAGACATGATTTTATGTGACTAGTCATGGATAATTAACACCCTACTTACTTCTGAGCTCAGCACTACATTTCCAGGATGAATATCATCGTGCTTGGTGTGCCCTGCAGACCTACCATTTGCAGGTGGAATACCAGGACATCAACTCCTGCTAAGTGTCAGGAACTTTTATCACATAGCAGGTATCAGAGCAGACCTTAGCAGCAGCCAGCTTTATGGAACATCTCCAGGGTCTGCCTGTTATTTCGCTGGAACAACCTGATAGCTGTGAGAAAGAGTTCTCAGTTCCTTTGCCATTCTTAATATTCCATGATTTTGTCTATGTTATTTACACTCAAAGAATCTCTGGAGACAAAGTACAGTAAGTAAGTTCCATCTTAATTTATAAATGATGGACTTCTTGCAACACTTAGTTGAATTCCATTTCTAATAGTTGCTATAAACCAGGTTAAAGAAAGACAAATCATTCCTATTTTGACACAGACAGGCAGAAGCTTTCTTGTCTGCATATGTGCACATTTTTTCATACATGTCAATTGATGTACTGATCAAACATTGTTGTCTTCATTTGAGATCCCCCCCAAAATAGATTCTGAATCAAGGATTTGAATGCAAGTTTAGTTGGGATCCCAAGAAACATTGCTAGGATAGTGGGTTACTCAGAAAGAGAATGAAGCCAGTGAAGGTTTGTTATCAAGCCATTTGCCAGTGTCATCAACTGGATCTCAGTTCCTCTGGGGACCACTGGAAGGTGGTGCAGAACAATGCTCAGGAACTCAACAACGGGGCTAGAAAGATGGGTATTTATTTATCAATTCCCCATCTATAATTGCTTGAGAGTTGCTCTGGGGAGCATTAACTCTCAGGCACTTCTGCTTTTTCTTGCTTGGAGGAAAGCACGCTTCCTAGGCCAGAAAATAGCCTTCAGTCAGGGATACTTAGTTAGGTTTTCACCGTGTTATCTTTCAGGGTTACAGTGGCAAATCCTAGGGGTGAAGGGAGTGAGGGTAGGAGATTCACTAAGGGCATAGACAGCATCTGCTACAATGATTAAACCCCTGCCATGTTTTAGATATAGGGTTAGAAATTGGCCTTGAAATAAAGTCAATGTCCTGTGTAAAGATTGGACTTTGGCAAGGATTTTTATTACTAGAATACCAAGCTTATTACCCCTAATCAATCTTCTTGTTTTGCAATCGGCTTTTTCATTAAGTAGAGAGAATATAGAGAAGACAGGACTTTTAATAGATAAATCACACTAAAAATTAAAGATTTGCTTTTTAAACTACTTCTTAAACTCAACATTAAAAATATATCTAGATTTACCTGTATATGTATGTATCTATTCAAAAGGATATTATTTTATAAAAGTCTTGAAAAACTGTTTTTAAAAAACAAACTATTTTATACAAATGAATAGAGTCTTGATGTAAATAGTTTTCAAAAGCATGACTTGAGACGTGAAATCAATAACTATTGATAAATATATAGAAATTCATACTTAAATTCATGTAGAAGTCACATACATTTAACTTTCAGTTATAGACATGTGCCTCCAGCAGATGTCATGTAGGAAGTGTTGGATATACCAACATTGACACTGGAAACTTGCTGGAGTTACAGAAAACATCTTATATTTAATAAATATAGCACTTTGCATATTAGAATTCATTGCACATTCATATTTATGTTTAATCTCCAAAATAAGTGTGAGAAAGGCATTATTATTCACATTTTACGAAAAAATGCAAAGTGACTGTGCAGAAAGTTGGGTAATTTACTGTAGGTCACAAAACAGGAAAGGGCAAAGCCAAAAGTCATCCCAAACCTTTCCCCAGCCTGTGCCTATATGCATGAAGACGGTACAATTTCTGTATTTCACTTGGAAATTTTGGTCACACCAACGGGATCAAATTTCTCAAGTCGCCTGGGAATGGAGGATTACCCAGATGCAATACTTTGAGTGCTATAATCAGGAGACCACAGGCAAAAAGGGAAGGTGGAGCCCTCTAACTTGCACTTAAAATATGCACATTATCTTGGCAGCATATGCTGAAGTTTTTGGTGATCATACTGTCATATAGATGTTCTCTAAAGTTATAGTTCCACAATAGCATGCTGCTGGTCTCTCAAGATTGATTAAATTCTATAACTTCCTTTTTAAACCAATCTATTTCTCCCTAAGTAGTTCCCAAGCACAGCATTAGCTACATTAGTATTCTAACACCCTTCCTTGAATATAGTTCACTAATTTTTACCTTCTATGTATTTACATAAACACTAAAAAGAAAAATTATGCAAACAAAAGAAGGCATATATCTAGTTGTTCCAATATTGAAGTGAAGATTAGAGAAGATAAGAAATAAAAAAGTTACCTATCCAAAATGGTTTTATGGAACTGAATAGTACTCAGAAAGCTTGAACTATTAAAAGTGCAATATATTTCAATTTATAATTTAAATGTGTTTGGGTTGCTAAAGAGAAAATTGGAAGTTCTAATGTCATTTTTTTAAAAACTTTAGAAACAAACAGCTAACACAAGCATGTTGCTCTGTAAATAAATATATGCATCTGCAGGAGGATGTTGGCACTCAAAAGGAAAAGGAAAATAGAATAGGTGAATAGTGACTTTATTTCTCTAAAACCAGCACAGCTATGTTCTTAGTTTCTAAACTCAATGATCCCATCACTCCAGGCTTCTCTAGATAATCGTTGATTTATATACTTAAGTGTTGGTGCAGGTACCATGCCTAATTTTCTGTGTGATTTTTGGAATGTACTTTGCTTCATTGAGTGTTAGCTCTTTGACAAATTGTGGAGTGGGGAGGCAGTTGGACTAGGTGATCCTCCAATTGTGCACAGGATAAATTAGTGATGTTGACCAGATGACAAAGAACACTATAACTGTTACCTGGTTAATAAAGAAGCACAAAGTGGGGATGAGGCTTCACTCCCTCTTGGCCTCACATGTCATCCTCAGGGTATCATCAGATGTGAGAATTAAGGCCTCAGAGTAGGCATTCTGCAACAAGATGCCAAAATCACATTTATGATGCAGAAGTAATGTTGAAGGTCATGGTCTGCAAAATTATATTTGGAGATGGAAGAAAGATCACAATTTCAAAAGGATGAGGTAAAAGAGTCAAATTTAGTTACAACTGTCTCTATAATTCAACAATAAGTGAGTGAAACCAGCTCAAGGTGGGAGCTTCAAGTAGCAAAACGGAAGCCAATTGTGTAATTCTAGTTGGTATGCACTTAATTTAGAAAAATTTCTGTGGTCAGCCATTCCCTAATACAAAACTTTGAAACTGTAGGCCCTAAAGACTGTGCTCACTCAATTTAAAAGGCATATCCTTTGGTTTCTATATCTCATAGGCTTCTGTTCCCCTTGAACAATCTGTGTTTCATGTATATATACACACACACAAAATTGAAAAGCTGTATCAGATATTAGAAAATACCACATCAATTGTTGCTTTGGCCGAATGAAAGGCCTGAAAAATTTGGAAAAAAATAGAAAAGACCCTCCAGCTATATTTAGATTGTATTTTCTCAGTGTGCAAAAATTCAATCAACAAAATATATTTAATGTCTAGAATAAGTATCAAAGTAACAGATTCAGAAAGTAAAAATTCAATCAACCTATTATTTTTGTATATAAGACATGGAACTGGTTTATTGACTTCACAGGCTTCTTCTGGTTGTGTTGGTTGAATCAAATTATTGGCTAGTGTTATCATTTACGGCTTTTACTGAATCTCATTGTTATAGAAGAATACAACATAATCACTTAGAGAGGTCTATGCGTTTACATGTAATTCTGACAGCAGCTATCAGTACAGATAAATTTGACTAGGTAACTTTAAACTTAAAGAATTTATGTAATTAAAAATGGATTTTTACTTACTGTACCTGAAGTATCAAACTTATTAAATATTTATCCTTTTGTCCATTATGTAATACTGTCATTGGTATATACTAGTAACATTTATATAAAGTTGAGTTTCCAAATAAATTAACTTTTTCCTGTCTGTGGTGATTGAGTAATTATTATTAAACTGTGCTAGAATGTGTCTTTGAAGCAACCCTATTTCCACATCCCTTAGTAGGGAAAAACAGGCATTTTCAACTTTTCTATTTTGCTCGTAAATGAAATAGTAAACACTTTTACAGAAGCATGTATAAATTATATATAGCACATATAAAATATATAAAAACTAAATTTACTTTTATATAATTTGTATACTTTTATATAATTTGTATTAAATAATATTGTATTTGTATATAATGTACATATGTATGCAGATGTCTATATATAACTTAGGATATTGAGATTCCATTGACCTGGTGATGACATCTTCAGAATATTAGGAGATAATATTCAGCACCAATGGGAAATGTGTTAACTCTCCAGATGACTTTCTTTCTATCTTTTCTTCAATCATGTAGGAAGTTCCTTGGTGATGTTGGAAGAATCACGTTGAAGGGACACAGGAAGTAACTCTGAATGTAAAGATTATGACTTTCTCTTCTCTTCAGGCTTGGCTCAAGACATTGTTTCCAGTCAATAAAATGTGGTGTCTGCAGCCAAGAAAAGCTCATTTAACAAATATTGATTGATGAGTGTGCTAAGAGCTCTTCATGTCAGTGATACAAAATTGAACAAGGCAAACATGCTCACTGCCATGATGGAGCTCTTATTCTAAAGATGGTGGTGACAGACAGTAGGAAAATAGGCAGAGTTACAATTAACAAAGATTGTGATAAGTATGAAGAGGGGAATAAATGTGATAATAAGACAGTGACCTGGGGTATAATGAGATTGGAAATCATTGCTGCTGCTTTAGATAAACTGACTGGAAAAGGTCAAACTGAACATTCTCTGAGCCAAATGGACTCTCACCATTCTACATGGCAAGACAAAGGAGGGAAATTAGAGAATCTGGTTTATCTTAACCAGTAGAATCATATTTATTTTAATAAACATTTATAATTAGGACACATTTGAATACATGTATATACATGTTTTTGAAAATCACATACTGATTCAACTTTCGGTATACCTTTCCATTTTCCAGTGAGGAATGGAGGCTTAGAAAGCCTTCAAGGAAAATAAGCTAATAAAACCAGCAACTTTCTCAAAATCAGTCATTGATTTAAATATTTAGACAATCATATGGGAAAGACAAAAATACTCTGGGGTAAATAATATTGCTTGAGAAGATTCTTAGGCCTAGGAGAATTCCTACGATTCTAGCGTGTTTTGGGGTATAGTTAACGGTGGAAAGAGAGAATACAATTTGAAAAATCCTGTGAAATATAAATCCAAACTAAAGCCAAACTGAAACTAAAAGCAAACTGAAAACTACAGTGCCCGAAAAGCAGAACATTATCTAGTTCACCATCATAACATGGAGTTGGCTTTTGTCTCAAATCTTTTCTCCTAAAATGATACTATCTCAATATGTCTGTGGTTGTCATATCATCATTAGAATATATTACCGGTACTTTGATTAGATTAAGTGGAAAGCTAAGCTTTAATTTACAGAAATTCACATCACAGCCAACTCTTACTTGAAACACTTCTAGCCCATAAAGCAGCACTAAAACTTGGTGCATCTAGTAGCTGACACTCTGACTTATTTTTTAATATTTGTTAAGGGCAATAAGCAAGAACTAGTTCTTCTATCATTTTACAAGCTGAATGGCTGGTTAGTAGTCATTTTTATTCTGACCTGGTTTGAACCTGCATAATACTCACATTGCCTCTGGCATTTGACTGTGTGCAGATTACATTTTGCTTCTTTCTTCAGAAATTGGGCACTGCCAGGGAACACCAGCAATTCCTTGGAAGTCATGTTCCAAGCCCATTGATGTAAAAGGCTAAAATGAACTGCTTTCTTTTGTCCCAAATTTCCCTTCCAAATTTTGCTTATGTATCTGATAATTTATTCAAGATTTAGTTTTAAAAATTCACACTGTAAAGCTTTGGGTCTGTGTCTCAGTCTGCACAGATACTGAATCAAACATTTGAGAATTTTTAAAAAATCAGATATAGTTTTAGTCAATTAGGGCCAAGACAGATAAGTAAAGATTTAGATAACTAAAATAAAAATATTTCCATTGGTTATTTCTGTTTCTCAGGCATATCTGAGGTGTACACACATAAAACATTAACATATTTCTTAACTATCACATTTCCTGAATGTTCCAGATACAGAAAAATTTAGGCTGATTTATTCATTTATTCTTGTATTCATTCTATAACTTAAAAACAAGAATAACAAAATGACTACTTTGTGACTGGCACTGATCTGGGTCTTGAAGATACAATAGTGAGCAAATAGGAGCAATAATACGACCCTCCCAGACCTTGTAGAAATTAACACGTGATTTTAATAAACTCTGATAAGTGCTATGGCATGGGCAATGCTGGTGTTTGGGAAAAATGCAGCACAAGTAACTCATTTGGTCTAAGGAAAGTCAGAAAATCTTCATGGAGGAAGTGGCCGAAAATTGAATCATAATAAGTAAAACCAGGTGATGATGTTGGGGAGTGAAGAAGCGGAAGGGATGTTCTTTCTCTTAAAAAAAATTTCAATAATGTTTAGGATACAGGTGGTTTTTTGTTACATGTATAAGTTCTTTAGCAGGGATGTCTGAGATTTTAGAGCACCTATCACTAGACCAGTGTACACTATACCCAATATGTGTTCTTTTATCTCTCAGGTCCCTCCCAATCTCCCCCAACCCTGAGTCCCCAAACTCGATTATATCATTCTTATGGGACAGGATGTTCGGATTAGAAAAAGTACAGGTGTGGAAGATAATAGGCCAAAGGTAACTTGACTAAGAGAAGAAATTAAGTGAGGTTCAGTGTGGTTGGAGTACTGAAACACAAAGTTATGTGTTTGGAGGAGATGGAGGGGAAAAGACAGAATGACAGGCTAGAGAGATAAGGGTGGGGTATACCAAGAATAGTAGCAGGGTTGGTATAATTCAGGGTTTCTCAATCTGGGTGGTGTTGGCGCGTTGGCCTGGCTAATCCTTTGTTGTGAGACAAAGGAACGCTTTCCTCTCTGTTGTAGAACATCCAGGAGCATCCTTGTCTTCATGCACCAGATGCCAGTAGCACCCTCCTCCAGTTATGACAATCAAAAATATCTTGACATTGCTAATATAAACTGGGAGCCAAAATCACCTCTAGTCCAACAGAATATTAAAAGAATTATACATTATGGCCAATCGGGATTTGTCCCAGGAATGTAGGGGTGGTTCAACATAAGGAAACAATCAGAGGAATACCCCATCTTAATAGAATGAAGGGGAGAGAAAACCTCATATGATCATATCAATTAATGCACAGAAAATCATTTAACACAGTCCAAAACACTTTCATGATAAAAACATTCAGAAAACTAGGACTACAAAGAAACTTTCTCAAAATAAAGGACATTGGAGGGAAACCTGCAACTAACATCATACTCAATGGTAAAAGACTGACATCTGTCCCACTCTGATCGGGAACAAGACTTGAATAGTCTCCTTCACCATTGCTGTTCAACACTGTACTGGAAGTTCTAACCAGAGCAAGTAGGCAAGAAAACTGAATAAAAGGTATCTAAATTGGGAAGAAAATAAATAACAAAACCATGTCCATTTGCAGATTGCATAATCTTACATATAAAAATCTCAGTCTTCCAAAAAGCTACTAAAGGACAAATTCAGCAAAGTTGTAGGTAGAAGATCAAAATATAAAAATTAGTTTTATAAACTAAATTAAAAAACAAATAAAAAATAAGGACAAAAATTAGTTATGTTCCTATATGCCAGCAATTATCTGAAAAGCACATTAAGAAAAAAACATCAACGTATAATAGCATTCTGAAGGATAAAATACCCATGAATAAATGTAACAGAGAAAGTGAAAGACTTGTACACTGAGAACTAGAAAATATTGCTGACATTAATTAAAGAAGATCTAATAAATAGAAAGATATCTTATGTTCATGGATTAGGAGGCTTAATGTGGTTAAGATGTCAGTGTTAACTACTCATGTGATTGCAGATTCAAGGCAATCCCTGTTAAAATTCCAATGGCTTTTTTAGAAAACGGTTATGGAAAAGCTGATTTTCAAATTTCTATGTAATTGCAAGGGCCTGAATAGCCAAAATAACTTGGAAAAAGAACAAACTTGAAGGACTTATACTTCCCAGTTTTAAAGCTAAATATGAATGTATGATAATCAAAACAGTGTGGTACTGGAAACGTTTTGTGGTTTCCAAAAAACTCCACATAGAACCACCTTGTAACCCTATCATTTCAGTCCCAGGTATATACCCTAAATAACTGAAAACTGGCACTCAAACAAGTACCTGTACACACATGCTTATAGTAGCACATTCAAAATAGCCAAATGGTGGAAACAGCCCAAATGCTCAACTAACAAACAAATTGTGATATGTACATAAAATGGAATATTATTCAGCCATAAAGAGCAATGAGGTTCTGACACACGCCGAAACGTAGATAAACCTTGAAAATATTATACTAAGTGAAAGAAGCTGGACACAAAGGTCATATATTGCATGAATCCATTTATACAAAATATCCAGAACTGATAAATCTACATAGGCAGAGGACAGATTGGTAGTTGTTGCGGCCTGGAAAGTGAAAGGGAGAAAATGGGGAGAAATTTACTAATTGGTAAGAGCTTCTTTCTTTGGATTGATGCAAATGTTTTCCAAGAGGATAGTGGTGGTTGTGCAACATCGTGCCTGTATTAAATGCAACCGAATTGTCCACTTTACAACGGTTACTTTTATGTCATGGGAATTATACTTCAATAAACTGTGTTTTTAAATCACCGCTGGTTGAGAACCCCTTCTTTCCTCCTTCATTCCTCCCTTCCTTCCTTCCTTCCTCCTTCCCTCCTTCCCTCTCTCTCGCCCTCCCTTCTTTCTTTCCTTTTTTTCCTTTATTTATTTCTCTCTTCCTCTTTTCCTCTCTCTCTCTTTCTTTTTTCTTGTAAATGTATATTTCCTGCAAGGTTGGGGTCATACTGTGGTATATCTGGATATGCACATACATTCAGGGACAATATAAATTAAATTAATATACTAGTTCCATTAACCAGAACTTTAAGAAGACATTTATATAGTTTTTACATTCATTTTACTGCTGTAATTGATTTGCAAAAAAATAATTCATTTAATCTTCATGAAAAATATATGAGGCAGGCACTGTTATTATCCCTATTTTACAAATAAGAAAACTGAGGTCTAGAGAGATCAGAACACCTGCCCAAAGTGAAATAGCTGGAAAATGGCAAAGGTGGGATTTCAATACAAAAATCTAGCTTCTTTATTCTCAAGCACTTAATTATGCTGATATTCTAAATATAAATTATACAAAGAAGGAAAAGGCAATACACATGTGTTTTCTCATGTTTGGAGTCAGCTCTAAGCAAAAATGTGTGGCCTACCTAAACTCAACAATAGTAATAAAATAGGTAAATGATGGTCTTACTATCCATCACTTACTAGACTACTTCGTAGTCATTAAAATGGATAAATATGAAGGCTGTGTAGCAACATGAAAAATATTTGTAATCTTATATGTTTCAAAAAAAATCAGAAAGGCAAACCATTTCTGTAGTATGGTTATCCTTATATAAACATTCTGACTATATACAAAGATTAGCAAAAGAATACAGGCAAGTGAAATCAGTAAGGTAGGAGAAATAGATTGGTGGTGAATATTTTTAACTCTTACTTAAAGTTCTGTTATTGTAGCTCTTGTTTTAATGTGATGAAATCATATTTACAAATAAATACAAATCAAAATTAATATGGCAAACTACTCAATATCCATCTTGCAACATGAGCTTCATAACACAAAGACCTTATAAAGGAGCTATGGAATACTGATGTTTCTGTGCTTTTTTATAAATAAGAGATTCAATTTCAAAAAACTTGTAATGATTAGTTCTAACAATGTTTTCCCTGAAGCTCCTATCAATAATGATCCTGTCAATTTGTTTAACTCTGTGTTCCAATAGAGTAGCTCAGTACTACATACCTCTCAAGAAATATTTACATACATATGAAGACACAGAAAAAGGAAAGGGAGTTACATAGAAAATAAAGAGGCCAGTAACTGCACACACTTTCTTCCCAACTCAGTGACTTGGCTATATTAATTTACTTTCTATATTATTAAACAATGATCATTATGTAGTATGTGTCCTATCTACTATGTTCATATTTTAAATAAAATCAGAAATGTAGAAAATATTCAAAGGAATAATGCTAATCTCCAAACAAACTTTAGAAGACTTTATGTACTCTACCATTAGATAAAAGCTAAGAGGCTTTAAAAAGGCTTTTCCAAGTTTGTAATAAAGAAAGTAATTTAGCCAGGAATATGATCTTTCCAAAAAATGACATCAGAAAAACAAGATATCTGTATGAAACTCTACACTATCCACAAAAATCAATTTTAAATAGATCACAGAGTAAACATAAAAACTAAAACTATACAATTCTGGAAGGAAACATAGGAGAAAATATTTGTGACCTTGGGATAAGCAAAGATTTCTTAGGACTCAAAAATGACCAACCATAAAAATATAGATAAATTTGACTTTATAAAAATTAAGACTACCTGCTCTTCAGAGGCTGAGAGAAAATATTCAAAATACATATATCTGATAGAAGGTTGTGTCTAAAATATATAAAACAATAATATTAAAAAGAAGCAAATAGGCAAAATATTTTCATAAACACTTTACAAAGTAAAATATGTAGAGTCAATAGGTACATAAAAAGATAAGTCATTAGGGAAATGCAAATTAAAGCTACAATGAGATATAGCACTTCATACCCAGAATAATGACTAAAACTAAAAAGACTGACCATGCCAAACACTGATGACGAGGTAGAACAGCTAAACCTTTCGTATATTGCTGGCAGGAATGTAAAATGACACAACCACTTTCAAAAACATTTACTAAGATAAACATCACATATAACCCATCAATTCCTCTCTAAAGTAGAATGTAAGACAAATGAAAACATGTATCTACCCAAAGAATTGCTCTTAAATGTTAATAGGAATTTGATTCATAATAAGCCCAAACTTGAAAAAAACCAAACATCCATCAATAGGTGAATGGATAAACAAATTGTGGCATATGGAATACTACTCAGCAATAAAAAGGAAAAAGGTAGTGATTTGTGTAAATACATGGATGAAACTGACAATGTGCTGAACTAAATGTCCAACATAAAGCACCGTACTACATGCTTCCATTTATATAACGTTCTAGAATCAGAAAAACACTAATTTGTGGTGATCAAAATCAGATCAGTCATTGTAGGCAAGAAATGTGGTAGGATTGACTTCAAAAAAGTGTGAAAGTACTTTCTTGGGTGATATAAGTATTCTGTATTTTGATAGGGAGGAACAGGGATTTATATGGGCATACACGTTTTTCAAATTCATTTAACTGGACCCATAAAATGTGTGCATTTTGTTATATGTGAGTTATATCTTAATAAAGTCAATGACAATTTCATATTTTGGAGGGAACTAAGGGGGGTGATGGAAAGTGAATAAAGGAAAGGGTAGAAAAATGAGGAAAAAGCCATGCTTATCTAGTAACTGAAGTTCTGTTTACGCACAAGTGGAATTCTCTTTTAGTCTTGTGGCTCTCATTCTTTTGTTACTAGCCTAACAGTGTTCAACACACTGTCTTCTATGATGCTCTCTTTCAAATTTCCTCAGACCCTGGCAATAAGACAACTCAGTTTAACCAGTTCTCAGGACTATGAACCTATATGTATCTGACTATGTATAAAAATATGGTAATCATAGAGTTTTTAAGATGTCAAAGCTCGAAGAGTTTATCTGGGCCAAAGAGACATTCTCCACACACACACACACACACACACACACACACGATTTTTCTGTTATTCTTTCTCAAATGTTCCTAGACATTAATATTCTAAGGGCTTAAAATCAGACCATCAATAAATAAATAAAATTATAGTCCTATTATGACCTACATCTACCAACTTAAAAAAAAAAAACCTGAAATCACTACGTTACTAATAGTTTCACTTAAAAAATGCAGACTCAAATTGTCTCGAAGACAGAATGTAAAAAAGCCTGTGGCACACTTTCCAACAGCCTCTCCTTCAAATCTGCCACATTGACTTCTTTTCAAATTCCTTCCCTAAGTAGTTAGAAAGATGGGAGATGGATCACTGAATTTAGCCCTTTATGTATGGTCCCATAAAAAGCTAGCCACTCACCGTTCTCACCTTATGAATTCATGGATCAGAGATTACATTTGTAAATAAAAGAAAAAGGAGAGAGGAAAATGGTGTTTTTTTGTTTTGTTTTGTTTGTTTTTTTTTTTTTTAAGAGGTATTGGAAAGCAGCCATCTTATTAACACCAAGGTCTTCAGTCTGGCAGAAAACACTAACAATACAAAAGCTATGCTTATCTCTCAGATGTCTGCTGGAGTTGCCAAAATAATTTCCATTAAATTATGAATTAGAGAGACATGACTATATGAAAGACCAAGTGACCAGTACTTGAATAGAAGAAAACAACATGAATTGGATCGATTTAGGAAATAAATCTTTATTAATTCTTTCAGCAATTATGTTACCTATATTGACCACCTGTGCACCAATCATGACCTCAAGAGACAAGAATAATAAAGATGAATGATAGTTGAAAAAACTTACAGAAAAAGGACATTATTGGGGGACTTAGGACTTTGGATCAGTGAATTGTGAATCTTGGCCAAATTGTTTACCTAGACAGCATTATTTTCTTCATTTATGAAACCAGGACTTTAGGCTTTGTTTAGAAATAAAACTGTAATTGTTCTATTATGCTTCTTGCTTGTGAGCATTACTATTCCGTACAGGTCATATACAGGTTAGAAAGCTGTGAGTCATTCAGAGCACTATCTTTCCCTAGCCCCGCTCCTCACCACACGTGTTCAGTGAGTCACCGAGTCCTGTGGATTGAACTCATTTTGTGAAAGGCTTCTCTTCACCTTTAGGATAATAACTTAACTGATAATACAGGCATAAATGAACTTTCCTCGTATGCTGGCATTTAACAACCACCGCAGCAGAGTTACATATTTAGCCTTACTAAGTACGGAGCATATAATTTAATCCTCTTGAAAACATGGCATAGGTATTTGTTTAGATTGCCTTTCTTCAACAGCGGGCCTTGAGGCAAGGGCTTATTTGGGAAGTGATTACCAGAAGCACAAATCAGAGTGTGGAGAAAGTGAGACAGGGAAGGGAGAAAATTCAGTAAAATGTGCAGAATGGTGTGAATCACACTGCAAAGAACTGAAGCTCAGTTTCTCTGTAGACCCACTGAGGTTCTATATAATATACACTTTAGAATTGCTGTATAAAGGGATGGAGAACCTGGTATATTTATCAACCTACTCTTTTACTTCATCAGTTCAGGAATACCTCTGGGAACATTAAATCACTTGTTGCTACTTCCAGTCAGCATTTCTGGTTTGCCCTATGCATTGGTTAGCAAGTTCTGGGGAACCTCAAAGATGCAGGGAGCAATGCAGGAACTTGAAGGAGAGAAGCTTGGAACTCTCCAGTAGTATCTGCAGGTGAACTTAAATGCATACTAACAGGTTGTAGGTTCATTTCCTGCAGTACAAATTAAAGTTCCCAATTTTCACATATAGAAATTGATACAAAAGCTTAGAGATGTTAAAGAACTTAGTAAGGTCACACAGTAAGTCACATACCGATCAAACAAAACTAGAAAGATAGGGTCCAGAGCCTGAACCCATAACCACTATAACACATTGCTTTTCTGCCTCCTAATTATTCAGCCATATCAAACCACCTGCAGTTCCCTGAACAGGACTTACTGTTTCTGATTTTTGTTTTTAACCTTTCTTACCTCTCTGGCTACCATGTTCTTCTGTCCTTGGTCCACCTGGTAAACACCAAATGGTACTCCAAATCTTTGTCAGAGATTCATTTTTCTAATTTTAAGCAATTATTTATATTTATATAAAAGTAATGCACACGTGTGTTTAAGAAGCCAAATAAACCTGAGAACAACAAAGGCAATATAAATCTCTTCCCTAGGCCATTCCCTGTAAGCATCCACTCTATTTTCCAGTTATTCTCCCTGGCATTTACCTCCATATCTCTAAATAATGTCTATGACACGGTGATACTTTGATTCATGACTTGGCATTCCCCGGCTGGGTGCTGTGGCTCATGCCTGTGAAGCCACAGAGGGAAATTTGCGAGACTGAGGGAGGTGGATCACTTGAGGTCAGGAGTTCAAGACCAGCCCAGCCAACATGGCGAAACCTTGTCTCTACTAAAAATACAAAAATTAGCCATGCGTGGTGGCAGGCGCCTGTAATCCCAGCTACTCGGGAGACTGAGTTATGAGAATCGCTTGAACCTGGGAAGCAGAGGTTGCAGTGAGCTGAGATTATGCCACTGCACTCCAGCCTGGGCGACAGAGCAAGACCCTGTCTCAAAAAAAAAAAAAAAAAAAAAAAAGATTTGATGACTTGGCATTCTCCATTGGCATCCAATTTTAACAGGTAACAATACGACCCTCTTGTATCTCTATTCTCCACTCAGTTTTCCAATATAATTCTATATCAGGTTTTCTTTCCATCCATATTCCATATTCAGTACTTTCATGCTTAAGCCTATACAAATGTTGTCCACTGAAGATTCAAATAGTATGATCACATTTTCATTGTAAACAACTTTTGCTTTTTTATTTAAGAGTTAATAATTTATTTGTAAGTTTCATTGCTTTTATTGTTTTGGCATCTACAGAAGAGGTTTTGTTTGTTTGTTTGTTTTTGCTATTCAAGTACTCTATAAAATCGTCTTGATACAATTTTCCTCATGATAGTTCCTGTCAGATAATCCACTCATTCCTTCGATTTTGCTAGAGTTATTTCTTTGAAGCCCTTTCCTACACTACTACAATACACATTTGTTTTTCTCCAGGCCTGCTAAACTGCTATTATTAATGGACTTCCCTTAATCCTTCTCCTTGTTGACTCTCCTGTTTTACACTCCTTGTCTTTAGCTTCCTTTGTGTATTCCTGATTTTTGGAGCATGTCTTCAGATTTCTGATTACAGGGAATAAATTTTACATAATTTTGGAATACAAAAAGGATTTTTATTTTACTCTCATATTTGCTGAAGGTGTCCTCTGTATCACTATGGTTCCAAGATATGGATCATTTTATTTAGGATTAAAAATTCTTTAGCATTCTGACGTTACTGCTACTATCATCAACTTATTTTTATTTCCAGTCTCCTTTCTGGATAATTTATTCAATTTTATCTTACAATTCTTGTAATAAGTGTTGTTTTGTTGCCTTTTTTGTTTGTTGTGAGTCTGGCTATCATAACTGAAACGTCCTCAAATTCTTTCTTATTCTCTGTTGGTGTTCTTTTGTTTGTTTATTTATTTATTTATTTTGAGACAGAGTATCACCCTGTTGCCCATGTGGGAGTGCAGTGGCACTATCTCAGCTCACTGTAACCTCTGCCTCCCGGGTTCAAGCAATTCTCCTGCCTCAGCCTCCTGAGTAGTTGGGATTACAGGCATGCACCTTCATGCCCGGCTAATTTTTTTTTGGATTTTTAGTAGACACGGGATTTCACCATATTGGCCAGGCTGGTCTCAAATTCCTGACCTTGTGATCCGCTTGCCTTGGCCTCCCAAAGTGCTGGGATTACAGGCATGAGCCACCGTACCCGGCCCTTTTGTTTATTGTTTAAGCTTCCCTTTTATGATTGAAAAAGGCTTTAAAATCTCTATGAAGAAAATGGTGATGTTTTGGAACTGTTCTTAATCTTTCTTCATAATGCCAGTAATTACTTAGTTGGGGTCTTACCTTCTTTTACTGAGGACTCCTCAAATGTGATAACCCTAGCAATACATTCATTTATCTGTGCTCATCATTGTGGCTTGTTGACTTGTGGGCTTTCTTCTTAGGTTATCAAGGCTAACTCTGGTTTTTACTGGGGAATTTCTAAACATGGGTATTTAAGAGCCTATGTGCATATGTTACATTTATTTATATTTATGTGTCTTTCACCTTATACACAGAAGGATCATATAAACTCCCAGCTTTCTGCTATTTTTTTGGTCTTAAAACTGAAATTGTGCTGCTCCTGCAGCTCAATTTACCTACAAATATTTTCCAACCTCCCGTAGGTTGAGAGAAAAAGAAGGTCTAAGTGACAGACTTTCAGATGAGCCCTCTATTTTAGGTTTAAGCATTTCTACCACTGCCTCCTAAGATGCCCAGCTTCTGAGCCTTCTAGGGGAGTCTGCACAGTAATTCACTTGCTTCTTCCAGTTGTCCTCCTTTGAAAGCACTTTAGTGTGACTTTTTTCTCCTATGTTTCATTGAAAATGAAATTTAGTTTTTTGTTTCTTGTTCTATTCATTATTGAGAGTCATTTTATGGGATGACCAGAGCAAAAAAAATGTCTTTGCTCAATGTCTTGAGACTAAAAATACCACTTTTGCGAAGTATTCTTCCTTGACCATCATCAATAATTATCTTTTGCCTTTTCTGGTCTACCATTTTACTATGTCCACATTTATGTTCTCTTATTTATTACATTTATCATGATCTTTGACAGATCCCTGTGTTCCTATTGACCTGTGATCCCCTTGAGAAAGAAAATGTGTCATTTCTTAAATTTGTATCCACATAGGACTTAACACAAAAAAGCTGCTAAATATCTGCTGGCAGAATAGAATTAATAGTGGAAAAAGCAAGAGGATGCTATTCTATGTCATTACTTCTATTCATCTCTTTACTTTTCTGCCACACACAGAAACTGGGTTCTCAACATCTCCAAGGCTTGATTCATAGGATGAGTAAAGCAAGCTAATGACAACGTGCATTCAAGTGATGGCTAAATAGGAAAGAGGCCCACACTGGTGAATACAAATAAAGAATTCTTCAATTAATGTTACCAGTCATTCTGCCTTTGCCACTGCTCTTCTCCTTTCTTTTATCTTATTTCAACCCTCCCGTTCTGCCAAAGTCTGCGATTATAATGGTGTATACTCATCAAGCCACACAGAACCGAAGAGTGTATTCTTTAGTTGAATGCCACCTACTTCTTAAAGACTTCCCTGATTGCCGAGCTGGAAATCATCTCTTTCTCTTTTGAATTCTGTAATACTTGTGCTATCACAGTAGCTGCCTCTGTGCACGAAAATCTCTACTGAATGAATAAATAAAGGAATGGTGACCATGTAGGAGACAGGATTGTCCTTGCTCTGTGCCCATACTGTAGTCATGGAGAGATATCTTAGAAAGATGATTCTCCTCTACCATTTGAGTGAGTGAGAGTATTTAACTAATGTGTTTTAGTAGCATGATGCCATTATATATGAGTATTCATGAATTGTGTCTGCAACTTGATGCAGCCTATGATTAAATAGAGGTCTTCAGTTAAAACTAGAATTCTATCAGGATTTAACTAGAGGGCGTAGGACAGTAATAATCACATCCTAACTACCTGAGTCCATCCCCTTAAACATATAACACAGCATATATTCAATAGTCTCATTGCCAGAATCATTAAATTTAAATACTACAGCAGTAAATGTTTAAAATTATCTTTTAATTTAATCCTTAAGACTTTTGATGACTTTATCTTTCTTCTGAAATCAGGCCCTTTTCCTAGAATTTACAATGAAGTTGTTCGCATATTGAGCAATCTATTTTATTGCATTAATTACTCCCAGTCTCACATTTTTCATATGATAATTTGTTATTTACTTATCTTCTCAACCAATAATTAGTCCATAAACTGAATAAGTCATGATTCTGGAAAAATATACATATGCCTCTCATTTATTTGGCAGAAGAATACACAAATACAGCATCTTTTTTAGTAAGATGAAGCAAATTTGAATAACATCAATATTTGTGAATGCATTTGGTTACTAGTTAATCCAAAGTAATTAGACCTTGTGTTAATTATTCTAAAAGTCCCTGGCCTCTTTAGAAGTTACAGGCAATATATTACTTCTACCACAGCCATGCTTTCCAGTCTCATCTCTTATCATTTGCCTGAATGTACTTTTTTCTTGTCAGACTCCTCAAGAGACGTCAGAGCCTGAGGAAAGTCACTCTGACTTTCATCTCTACAACCCAGTGCCTAATGCATTGCCTGGAACGTAACAAGTATTTAATAAGTGATAGTGTAATTAGTGGGGGCTCCATTATTACCATACTCATTATTCTATAAATAGCATGCATTTGGACCTCTTTCATTCATCTCTTCTGGAAAATTTCTTATGTTTGCTTTTCTCCCCAATACAACTTCCTCTCACTTCTTAATGCTATGGCCTTTTGAATATTTATGTGACCTGCCTGGGAGTCTGGCCCCTTGGAAATTTGGTTCACACACTATATTTCAGTATGCACGTTGTGTCTGTGATGGTTAATTTTAGGGATCAATCTGATCGGATTAAATAATACCTAGGGAACTAGTGAAGCATTATTTTTGGGCGTGTCTGCAAGGACATTTCCAGAAGAAATTAGCATGTGAGTCTGAGTGAACTAAGGGGAAGATCTGTCCTCAAAGTGGGTGGGCACAATCCTATCAGCTGGGGGCCTGGATGGAACAAAAACAGAAAAGGTGAATTGGTCTCTGCCTCCAGAGCTGGGCTACACTAGTCTCCTGCCTCCGACATTGAAACTCCAGCTTTTGGAGTTACACAGAAGCACTCCAGGTTCTCAGGTTTTTGGCTTTGGACTGAGTTAAACCATGGGCTTCCCTGGTTTGGGGGCATTTGAACTTAGACTGAGCCAGGCTACCAGCATCCCAAGGGCTCCATCTTGCAAAAGGCCTGTCCTGGGACTTTTCAGTCTGCATAATCGAGAGTCTCAATTTTTCTAATAAACTTCTGTCATAATAGCTATACACATACTTAACTGATTCTGTCTCTCTGGAGGACCCTGACTAACACAGTGTCTATCTTTCTTACTATGCTGTGAGCTCTTTTAGAAAGGAATCTCTAAGTACTTGAGAAGTAACAGGTGGTTAATGAGGTTTGATGAACTGATCCTTAAGTTTTACATATTTCCCTGATAAACTGAATAATATAGTTCAGAGGTTCCCCAGCTTATTCGTATCATGATCTCCTTAGTGGATCAATCATTTTTATGGCACCCCTAGGGCAAAATAACTACATAATAGTTCCATTTTTAAGTATTTTGGCTCAAAGAAGTTATATTCAAGTGACTTACAGGATGCTTTAAAAATATAATATGTATATATTAGAGGAAAAATAGCATTCTTATTTTATTCTTAAGTACCCACTTCTACTTACAACAAGCATACTACCACTGGGCACGGCACAACTTTTCAAAACTTGGAATAAGATTGCCCAGCCTCATTTCCTGTTCTACACTGATTTCACACAGTATTTCCTTTTTACCACAACATCCGCTGGAAACCCAGCTTTAATAAATATATGATATTGAAAGAAATATAATAAGATATGTGTTGAAATGAAACTACCTCACACTCAGTAATTGACAGATGTTGAGCATCACTGTTTCACCAGAATATTTAATTACATCCTATGATCCTTCTCTGAGTTCACTGTTGCATCCTAGGGTGCTTGGTGCTCTGTTTGGGAATTAAGAATGTGGTGGTAAAATGCGTTAATTTTGGCAAAAGCCTGCCTGGTTTTGAATTCTGACTCTACAATCTAACAACTGTTTTTTCTATTTAACCGATTTACTTTACATCTCTGAATCTCATTTTACTTTTCTATAAGATGGGGAATGATACCACATATCCTTTGAGGTTTTTATGAGAATTAAATACGTTAGCCTAAAGTACTAAAGAAAGTGCCTGAAACTATATCAATTGATGGTTGTTCTTGTTGTGATTGTTACTAATTTGAACTGTATATAATGCGTAGACAATAGAAATGAGCTAAATAGCACTGGGGTTCACTATATGGCCCCAGGGGACTACTGCTTTCCGCATAACATCTACAATAGTCCCTTATTCATAATAATTTCAATAATGCTACACTGGCTGAAATTCACTACTAGTTGCTGTATGTCAGACATTGTGCTAAGACTTTTAGATTCAATAATCTCACTTAATCCTCCATACAATCATATGAGGTGGGACAACTATTATTTCTCAATTTTACACATAGGAAAAATGAGGCCAGTGAAATCAAAGTGTATGTCTCTGGCCAATCATGTAGTAAGTGGTTCATCTGACAAGTATTCAAATCCAGGTGTGCCTGGCTCTAAAATTCGAGTTCTTTACTACTGCCCCTTCTAATTAACCAAAGGGTAAGGTTGATTCTGTCATCGGACTAAGAGTCCCTGCTCTTCTCATGACAGAGGAATGCAGCAGAGGTCATGAAATCAGATGTAGATTTGAATCAGGACCTGGGAGGACTTCAACTGCACATCGTTCTAGCTTCATCTCAATCACAATCCTGACAACATTGTCAAACCTGCTCCTCATATTTTTTTTTTCAAAGTACTGACTTAGAGTAGAAGATAAGAAAACTTCTCAGGGCTGCTGAATATTAAGTGAAAATCTTAGCAAACCCATTACAACATACATCACCTTCCTTCAAGCTTCGTCTGTATAAGGAATTTCTTTTTCCCCAAATTTGCCAGCTTTGAAAGATACTATTTTAGAAATGTTCAAAGGTTAGAATATGTGCCTAGCCCACCATCCAAGGAACAATGCATGGTATTGATGTCTTCCAGCCATGCACACCTCCATAAAAGTTTATGGAATCCTAAGTCAAGAGGCAATTTTTGTCTTTTGACAGTAATACAGAAAGTACCTACCTTCCCCATGATGGTATACCTGTTTTATGTGGTTTCTTCAATCAAAAAAAGATTAGATTCTTCCATTGTTTAGCAGAGTTGGATATGTTTTAAAGTCAATCTTTTAATAAGATTGACTATTTACATTTCCTAAATCAAAAAGCAATTCTCTTCTTCTGACATTAATACTTAAAAGTGATTCTTCTATCTGTTTTTATAGGACTTGGTTCACTGCCTTTTGAATGCACCTGATGTAAATATCAGATGTGAAAAACATAAAGCACTGTTCCTAAAGAAGGACATTGGTCAGATATATATTTGGCCATGTAAAATATTCAAGCAAATGGAAAAGCTGATAAATAAATGCTCCACTAACTAGACAACAATTTTAAGATAAGATCGATGGGTAGTTCAAAACTGAGTCAGCAGTAGGGACCCAGCTATAAAGACCTGTATATAGAAGAGATATGTAAAAATAATTAAAGACTTAAAAATTATAATAAAAGGATAGAGTATGGGAAGAAGCATTTAAAAATTAAATCTCTTTAGTTTCTTTGTCAAGAAGCTAATAAGGTTGTATACACACACAAAATATGAGTGTGTATATAAATAGAAGTATGTGTCTCTTCCTTTTCTGTTCAGATGGATCTCAGAAGATCATCAACAACTTGGGTAAAAATAGAAGAATAAAAAATATATCATTTTTGCAGATATAACTAAATCTTTGCAAATATGTTAAGAGAAAATAAATAATGTAAATTTTTGTGTGTTCTAAGTTAGAATATGTGTGAATGCAAACTCAAAATAACTATATCTTTTAAAAAGTCCAAAGTAATAGAGGAGCTACTGGCTCTGTTTAGAGTTAAAAATTATTGCCACACAGAGAAACTTGTCTATTAAACTGGGAATAGAAAAACAATGGTAGATAATATTTATATTATTTTGACATTTTAAAAGTGTTTCTTTTTTGCCTTGGTAAATTGTAAACAAGAAGATTAACAATAAAAGATTAGAAACTATATTCTAAATATTACTTTCTTTTCCTCTACAATTTTGCATGCATCTCCAAAAAGGTACATTGAGTTTTTGAGAATGAATGTGGAAACCACAGCCACTGCATTCGTATATGAAAATCTGTATGTGAATTCCTGCTCTGTAGTCTCGGGCAAGTCCCTTGAATCCCCTTAGAGCCCCAGTGCTCATCGGGGATCATAATATCAAATTTATTATAATTTCAAATGCAAACGCTGTTTCCCCCTTAAAATTTTTAGCCTCATTTATATGTCTGTTATTCTTTTTATAATCTTATTAAAACAAGAAAAACTTTCTTCTCTTTTGCCACAATTAAAATTCAATTATTTCATGTTGAACAGACTAAACACACATAAACAATCAGGACTTTTGACTTACTTTACTACAATTGCTTTAAATATTTTAAATGGTAATTCTAAAATTGAATTATTATGTTCTCTTAAAGTGTCTAAACAGTCTGACAAATCAACAGTAGGTCCTTAACAAGAAAAACCTAAGAATTTAATTCTTGTATTTACCCTTACAAAATAGTAAATCTTAACTTCTTTTAAATATTTCAAAACTTTTTCTAAAAAGTTAGTTAATTTTTATATACAGTACTTTTCAACTTAAACGGGTAAGTCTAAAATCAGTTATTTATTTACAAAATTAAAAGTGCAAATACAAATCAAATCTGGCAAAGACTCCTTAGAGCCTTAAATATAACAAGCACTTTTTACACCAAACATGTAGAAACTATTCTAATTAATACAAACTTAATTCTAAACAGCTCAATGATATTACAGTTTGAGCACTCAAGAGCTCAATATCCAAAATCTGAAACGCTTCAAGATCTACAATTTTTTGAGCACCAACAGGACTCCAAACTGAAAAATTCCACACCTGACCTCATGTGACACATCACAGTCAAAATGTAGTCAAAACTTTGTTTCCTGCTCAAAATTATTAAAAATACCATATAGAAATGCATTCAGGTTATATGTATAAAGC
This sequence comes from Homo sapiens, assembly GCF_000001405.40. Taxonomy (NCBI): domain Eukaryota; kingdom Metazoa; phylum Chordata; class Mammalia; order Primates; family Hominidae; genus Homo; species Homo sapiens. The sequence continues at coordinate 1,108,361 of NC_000003.12, read as the reverse complement.
TTATATAAAATACAAATGAATTTTGTTTTTACACTTGGGTCCCAATCCCCAAGATATCTCATTATATATATGCGAATATTCCAAAATTCAGAAAATTTCAAACTCTAAAACATTTTTGGTCTCAAGCATTTTGGATAAGGGATACACAACTTCTAATACCATGAGTTTGATATATGTCATTGTCTCTATATTTTATTCTACTACCCAAGGTTAAAAAACATTTATTCTCTAAGGAATTTTGTCACCTCAAATGGATTAAATTTTTTTATTAGAAATAAAATTGAAAACGGGATGTAGATGCTGGGAGCTATCTATGTCTAGGGTAATTTTCTGCATAACACTGACATTAACACCCAGAGCCTTAATTATAATTATATTTATCATCACAACTGGAGATTCCAAATCTAAACCTTTCAGATGGAGGTAACTTTTGGGGAGTCCCAGTTATACTCTTAAATAATTTCGGGTGATTTATTTTGAAACTGCAATTTAGACCTAACTCCTTTCAGTAACCTCTTTGCAAGCTCAATTAATTGCATATCAATTTGGTATTATTCTAACCTGGCTGGACCACAACCCTTATAGATATTGGTCTGTCGTTCAGGTCACAACTCTGAAATCATGCTAATTATACACATTAGCACCTACCATGAGAGCTGAAAGGCAATTGAAAGGAGAGGAACATCATCTTCAGAAATTAGCCACCACACCTGGAGCATGGTCAAACATTAATAAACTGTTCAGCTTTTGTCACCCTGGAAAATTTAAAATTCAGAGCCATTTTACTTTGATCTTTTGGAGTCTAAAATATGATTAATGACACATTTAATGAGCAATCTAATTTTAAGGAGGAAAGGTTATTTGTTTTACCCTCTCACAATATGTGCAATAAAAAGTGGCATCTTTGACATCTACATGAATGGCAATTGCAAATGAATGCTCTTGGATTTGCCATGAATAAATATTCAGTCATGTCATAATTATCTATAGAATTGAACCAACTTAAAATTTATTCTTCAAATGAACAATCATATTTTGAAATGGGTACTCAACAATTATAATTTTAAACCATATGACATATTTTATGATCATTTTCTGGCTTTTGTGTGAAAAATACCTATTTATCAGCAAGGTCAACTGAATTTCTCTTACTAGTATCATTGTGATCATTACATTTATGTGTCAACTTGACTAGGCTATGGTTTGCCCATATTAAATAATATTTTGGACGTGTCTGTGAGGGTGTTTCCAGATAAAACTAGCATTTGAGTCAGGGGACTCAGTAAAGTAGATTACCATTTCCAATGTAGGTATCATGTAATCCATTGAGACCCTTAATAAAACAGAAAATGGAGAAAGGGAAAATTCATATATTTAGAGAGATAGATAGATAGATAATGTGGCACTATTCGTTCTATTTCTCTGAAGAGCCCCAACTAATATTTGAGTAACTCAACGCTGTTTTATTGTTATTATTATTATTGACCAAAATGATATATGTCAATAAAACAAAATAATCCCACCATGCAGTAAAAATACATGTGATAATTTTGGTTATGTTTTTGGCTTCTAAATTGTTCTGGCTAACCATGAGCCCAGAGAATATGTGAAGTGAAAGGGAAAGTTCATTGGATAGACGTCTAGCCAACATTACTTATAACCTGATATAAAAGTAACAGTCAAGTCCACAGTGTACTACAAATCACTTAAGAAATTTATAAAGGTGATTATTCTAAGCTATAAGTAAAATATGTTTGTTTCATGGCTTTAATATTTATTACTAAATATGCCAAAGTTTGAGAGAGAGAGAGATTGTGCGTGTGTGTGTGTGTGTGTGTGTATTACAGACAGGGGTCTCACTTTGTTGCCTAGGCTCGTCTTGAACACCTGGCCTCAGATCTAAATCAAACACAGGTTTGTTCCAAAAACTCTCTTTGGCAAAGTCAAACACCTTATTTCATTATGTTCTGCCAAAGTCAAATAACATCAAATATTAACATAATGTGTTATGGCAACGTAAATGCAAGCTAAAACAAAAATAAGAAGTTCTTTCTTGTTCTGACTATCTGGAAAAGCAAGTTATATATCTCACATTTGGGGAGGGTTTTTGAAGAAGAAAATATCACACACCTTGTGTATACTTTACCTGTCTGTAACATATAAATTATTTTTTAATTCAGGGATGATTACAATTTCCTTTTACCCTCAAACCTATTCCTGTTCCCCTTATGCAGTCCTGAATTTTCCTAACATACCAAATTCCTGAAGAGCCCACAATATAGATTACCTCCAAAACACAGGTCTCAAATACAATTTGTAGTGATGAAATAAATAACTACTTACATTTCCTGACTGCTTCATCATGGAGTGGATTATCATGGTTACCAAGGGCAGAGGCATAAATTGAAGTTTAACATTAATATCATCTTAATATGTGCTATTTTGTTCACCATTAGATTTAGATGACACTGTAATAGCATACTTGGAATGAGCACAGATGTATTTAATTTATGTTTCTCTAGTATACTTAGAATCTACATTCATTAAGCAGGCACTTAATGATCACACACCACAGGCCAGACAATGCTAGGTGCCGGAGGTAAAAAGTTGATAACACTGGACCTATATTTAGGAAACTTTAAGTTGTAGACTTGCTTATGACCAGATGTGCAATTAGGGACAAACACTGATTTATCTTTAATAAGACTAGAACAATAACTTTATATCACTTGTAGCTATAAAAATACATTTAGAAACATTAACTATTTCAGTTTTTATCTGACCATTCTGAGTTTGTGAAAGCCAGGTCAGGTATTACCGGCTGCACTGTGTACATTTGAAAACTGAGGTTCAAATAATTTATAAAACATTTTTCAAGGTTTCACACTTAAAATGTAATAAGTTAAATGTCTTATAAACTTGAAGAAAAGTGAAAATTACAAGTTATCTCACCGATATCTGATGAACTTCCTGAGCATAAGAAAAAATGTAAAATATCAAAAGAATAAACAAAGGACAGAGGCTGACTTCAGCAAAATGAGCAGATATGAATGGTTCAAACACTCATGAAATATTCATTCAGGCATGCATTTTCCAAAAAATGTAATATAGAGCAATACTGAAATACTGTTATCTGTGTATTTGTTTTGTAATCCAATCGGAGAGTATTTACAATTAATAATATTTAGTATTAACAAGGATGGTCACAAAGAGCACTCACCTGCCTGCAAGTACAGAGGGAGTTGTCTTCCTAAAGGACAATTTAGTAATATACACACTCACATTTTTAAAAACCCACAATTTGACATGCAAATTGTACTACTAGGAATTTGTTTTTAAGAAATAATCAGACACATATTAAAAGATTCAGGTACAAGGATATGTACCATAGCATTGTTCAATAAATTGTGTAAAAGATAAATATCTAACAATAGGTTATTGGTTTGAGTAAAAAGGGAACACCCATCTGGTGAAAAATCCTTCAGCATTAGGAGAATATTTAATGATACTTGAGAATGTTTATAAGATGTTAATTAATAAAAACAAGCTATAAAGCAGAACATATGCATTAATTTCAATTTTGTATTTTAAATGCACACACACGCACACACGTACACACATATACAAGATGACTGAAAGGATGCCACATGCAGAGTAATAGAATAACAATCTATGCATATTTTGTCTTCTCCAAATTTTGTAATAATAAACATATATGATTTTATAACTGGAAAAATGTATTAAATGATATTCTGTTGGTTATTAATTTTCCTTCACTTGTTATATACGTACTAATTTACCAAGGTTATTCAATAATTTAGTGTAGTTTGCAAATTTTGAACAAATTTTACCTTCTTAGTAAATCCACTGGTACTATTCACTTGACGAAAATGAATACCTTTCAGGGAAAGAGTTGGGTCTGTGATTAGGAAATTCCATAAACATGTGTATAATGTGAGATCCTATTTTTGTTAATCCTCTGAAAAACCCAGAATATCTCACTCTCTATAAAAACAGAGGAATAATTATTATTCTTAGTAAATATATGTTTCTTTTTATTTAGTCTTTTTGGTGCATCTCACTATGCAAGTTTACTTTACTAAAATAATCATCTTGGAATTAAATAATTTAATGGCTTCTAATGCTCATTTGTCAGGTGAGACCGAAAATTAACAATGTTAGCCCCCCTTTCCACCTGGTAGAGTTGTATACTTCATTGAATTCAAGAATACGCATCAGATGTGAATTTTACAGGAGCAGAACTCTTCTCTGTCTTGTTCATAGTTGCATCACTAGTGCCTGAAATAGCATCTATTACATAGTAAGTATTCAGCCAATATTTGTGGAATTATTACTAATATATATTGTTGAATAAAAATATTATTAATATTGGTAATTTAGTACGTTAAATTATTTATCAGAATTAACTAGAATTTTTGTACGAATTGAAGACCGTTTCATGTAGAAAAAAAATCATAAAAGAAAATAACATCCGGGGGCTAATACTCAAAGACTAACATTATTTTTGGATACCTAAAGATATATGTGAATCTTGAAACTTCACTGGCAGAAAATGAATTTTTGTTCCATGTTTCTTTGGAAAAATGACTTTTGCCTCATAAGTAAAAGGAGCCCCCTAATGGTAAAAGCAATTGGCTCAGGCATTGTGTCTTGTGTGTGTAATTTCTTAAAAACTGCTGTTTGGCTTCCTATGTTGAACTACGCATAACGAATAGATTATTTTCCTTTAAACTCCAGTCTCTCTTTTTCTATGAGAAAGTTGTTTCTGTTTATTGCAAAATCACTCCGTACATCTGCATGACAAAAGACAGAATAAGAGTGAAGTCAGTAAAAATAATACTTTTGCCACCTAAGTGCCCTAAAGAAAGCAGATAGAAAACTTCCTTCTCTTTTCTACAAACCGCATAGGCACAGTCTGCACAAAGGGACAACAAAAAAGGAAAGTCGGCAACTCTGAAAAAATTATATTTTATAAGCACCGGCTAATTCTAATAGAACCATTTTCAGCATATACTTTTGTGGTAAATTTATATATAGGGCTGTCAAAATTCTACCTGTCAGCAACACAGATTCACAACTGAGCATGTTTAGGAATTGACTAACGACATTAAATGCCTAGAAAACACCTTCATGTTCCACTTTAAACAAGTGTGTTCTATCAAGTCTAGAATAACAGAAACTTTTTCATCTCAGCACAACTTTAAGGACTTTCTTTTTTTTTTATTTTTATTTTTTGAGACGGAGTCTGGCTCTGTCGCCCAGGCTGGAGTGCGGTGGCGCCATCTTGGCTCACTGCAAGCTCCGCCTCCCGGGTTCCCGCCATTCTCCTGCCTCAGCCTCCCGAGTAGCTGGGACCACAGGCGCCGCCACCACGCCCGGCTAATTTCTTGTATTTTTGGTAGAGACGGGGTTTCACCGTGTTAGCCAGGATGGTCTCGATCTCCTGATCTCGTGATCCGCCCGCCTCGGCCTCCAAAAGTGCTGGGATTACAGGCGTGAGCCACAGCTCCCGGCCTGGACATTAATTTTGTATAAATGTTTTCTGTGTATTATATAGCCTACCTATTATTTTAATGCATGTCTATTTCTTATTTATGTATTTATTTATTTTTTGAGACGGAGTCTCGCCCTGTCGCCCAGGCTGGAGGGCGGTGGCGCCATCTCTGCTCACTGCAAGCTCCGCCCCCCGGGTTCCCGCCATTCTCCTGCCTCAGCCTCCCGAGTAGCTGGGACTACAGGCGCCGCCACCACGCCCGGCTCATTTTTGTATTTTTAGTAGAGACGGGGTTTCACCGTGTTAGCCAGGATGGTCTCGATCTCCTGACCTGGTGATCCGCCCACCTCGGCCTCCCAAAGTGCTGGGATTACAGGCGGGAGCCACCGCGCCCGGCAGGACTGTTCTTAATTTATTCTTAACTCTGTTGATAGAAAATTAGCGGCACACCTGATTTCTGAGTTTCTCTTTCATTTACTGTGCTTTAGTGATTGGGAGACCCTGATAGATGCCAGAGAGGAAAATCATGTTCTTTCACTAAAAGCTCTATTCCAGCAAGTATATTGCACTCCTGCTATTTAGAAAGATAGCTCAGCGGTCTCCATATAGAGCTCCTTACACAACCACATTAGACATACAAATATGGGAAACCAAATAAACCTTGAAACAATATGCAAAAAAGGCATTGAAAATAAAATGTCTACATTCTTTTGAGAGCTCATTCATGTTGGCCTCTTACATGCATGAATGATAAATTACTAGAAACTTCACCAAATATCTTATTTGATCTCTCCTTCCCGCCTTAAAAGAAGACTTTTAAAAAAGGATTTTAAAAGGACCCATCCAATATTCTCACTTTTATTCAGCAGAAATCATCTTAAAAATATGGTCCGTTTAGCATTCAGCTTGTACTGTGTCACTAGGAATTGCTGTGCTAACAAAGTTTTTGAATAATTGCCTCTAGATTTTAAGAATTTGCATACCATTAAACTTAAGGAATTAATAGAGCTGCCACTCCCAAAGAATATATAAACTAATAACATCCACTGGCTTGCTTTTCTAACTAAATTCTAGAGCTCCCTAACATATTCTGTCATTGGACTAAAACAAGCACTTTAATTTGTTACAGTAATGTTTGTGGAGCCAATGGAAAGACATATACAATTGACATTAACCATTTCTTATTAGATTATATACCTGAGACTTGACAATGTTTCCAGAAAAAAATTAGCAAATGTTCCATTGCCTATTACAAAATAACTCCATGAAACCATAAGAGTACCTGATAAAAATAAAATACCAGCAAGTGAGAGTTTGATGACTTTCTAAATGATGGAAAGCGGATGGGAACAAGTCCAGCCAACATGGAAGTATAGGGAAGTACACGGCACCATGCAACGTGAAGAGGGATTTCTTTTCCACTACAAACACATGTAAATGCTATGTAAGTATAAAACTCTTTAAGAAGTACACATAGCCGAGGTTAAATGTTAAAGAGGTAAGCCCTCAGAGGCACCAAATGGAGAGAAACTCAGACTGGCAAGGAGATTGTAAAGTTGGAATAACCTCCCAAAAAGGGGTCCTTTGCATTACATAGCTGACCTTATGGAAACTTGGTGATCTGGTAGAAAAAAGAATCCGAAAAAGGCAATCAGAACCCAGAATGTGTACTATGCTTGGTTGTAGGGCCCAAATTCATTCTGTCTATATGGTAATATAATTTGAAGCCAAAAAATTCACATATAAAATAGTCCAGAACCAGAGATATTTGTAGAGCCACTGTAGAATCAATAGCAATGCGATGCTATGCAAAAGCATACACAACTCAAACAAGGTTGGTCTCCCATAGAAAACAACATCTGTTGAAGGTGAATTTGTCATAAAAAAATTATGAGCACCAGGAAGAATGAACCACCATGAGGGAAATCCAGCAGACATAAGTAATAAAGAAATTTGACTCTAAAAATTAAAATAGTAAAACAATCACAATCTAAAATAAACTTACTGAAATTTTTTTGAGAGCTTAAGAATGGGAGAGAAACTATTAAGAACAAGCAGAATAGCAGGATAATTTTTAAAAGAGCAATATAAATTATAGAAATTAAAACTGTTTTTTAAAAAATAAAAGTATAAAATACAGATTGGTAGAAATTACACTGACTGCAACACTAGAAAATGAAAGAAATGCAAAGAAATCAAAGACAGAAGCCTAGAAATAATGAATGAGCATTCCTGAAGGAGAAAATAAAGGGATTTAAAAGACGCAAGATTGAAATATATAATAGCTGAGAATTTTTCAGAATGGAAGAAAGATTTAGGAGCTTGCAGAGGCCTAAATGAGATAAATTTGAAACAACTCCACAACTACATACATTGCAGTGAACTTGAAGAAATCAATGACAAAGAGAAATTCTTAAAATCTGTCCGAGTGAAAAGACGAATATTTATTCAAAAGTGTGATAATTACATCATAAACAGTCCCCTCATGAGCAAAATTATATTCCAGAAGATCATGGAACAGAATATGCAAAAATTGTTGAGAGAAAAGTATCTTCCACATAGAGTGCTCTGATGAACTACAGTATTATTTTAGAATGTGACTAACATAAGCGATTTTCAACAAATAAATTTTAAGGGAGTTTAAAACAATTTTTGAATGACCTTAAAATGGTCTTCAGAGCACAAGAAGAGAATCTAGGAGATGCACATAAATAGCAAGAATATGGTAAATAAAGAACTCAGGAAATCACGTCATAAGTCTAAAAAAACCTTGACAAAAATATTGGGGGCAGTTTAAAAATAAATAGTGCAAATATGAGCACTGGGAGAAATATCTCAGAGTAAATTTAAACAAGTCATTGTCCTGTTTATGAAGAAGATATATACACTATCTTTAGTCTTTATTTGAAAATATAAAAGTACATTTTATGTTAAAATAGTTATTTACTAAAATACGATAAAGGGAGTATACCATTTTTAACTAATAAAAGTTGAAAAAATGAATAAAGAATATTTCCTCAAACCAATAAAAGACTGTTTACTAAAAAACACTTTGGTTGAATATGAAGTAAGAAGTAAGAAATAAGTCCAACTTCATCAACATCATAGTAGGTGCGGATGAATTAAGTACATTTGTTGAAACATAGGAATTCTGAGACCAGAAATAACAAACATGAAATTGTTGACATGCAGCACGGACTTGATATTCTTAATGAAAATCTCACTTAATGTGTATAAGTTTTCAATGTATGTGATAATAGAACACTGCAATAGTGAATATTTTCAATAAATTAAATATCCCTCAATAAGGGAATGAATAATAAGAATATAAAACACATAAGGTGAAATATATCCTAGAACTGTATTTATTTATTTAAATTAATTAATTAATTTTTTGAGACAGAGTCTGGCTCTGTCACCCAGGCTGGAGTGTAATGGCTCAATCTCGGCTCACTGCAAGCTCCGCCCCCCGGGTTCCCGCCATTCTCCCGCCTCAGCCTCCCCAGTAGCTGGGACTACAGGCGCCCGCCACCACACCCTGCTAATTTTTTGTATTTTTGGTAGAGACGGGGTTTCACCGTGTTAGCCAGGATGGTCTCGATCTCCTGACCTCGTGATCCGCCCGCCTCGGCCTCCCAAAGTGCTGGGATTACAGGCGTGAGCCACTGAGCCCGGCGAAATGTGTTTATTTATAAGAATGAGTCTAAATAGTCTAATATGGAATGAGTTACACAAGTTAAATAAGTTTGCTTTCAATATACTATTTCCATAATATTTTAAAATAATATTTTATATAGGCATACATATATAACAATTATATGTAAATATACAATTCATGGTAATGTAGAATGAGGAATGGACTAGGTAGAGTTACAACGTAGGCCCTTATTATATATTGTATTAGTATTTTCATTTTATGAATACTGAAGATGTTAAATCTCCAATAAAATTTAGCATTTGGTAATTCTGGGGGTGGGAATTGGTCATTATTAAATTTAATCCTTACCTGAATACTTAAAATTTCCCACTATATATATATATATATATATATATATATGTGTGTGTGTGTGTGTGTGTGTGTGTGTGTGTGCATTACTGCCAAAAGAATTCAAAGACTTATGTAACACCTAAAATTGTCTTGTGAAAGTGTGAAAATAGGAAAAACTGCCCATCTTTAAAAAAATGGAGTCAGCAGACATGATGTTGAGTTTATAGATTCTGCAATAGAAGTCAAATATATTATTCAAATGTATAATGGTGGCCAGAAGGAAAACATTACAATAAAATAAACTATAGAAAATATCTCTGTGAAATAAGACAGGAAATCATGGAAAGGTCTTTATTTTTTATTTTATTGTTTTCTCTATAATTTCAAATTTTATTGTTGTTGTTTCCAGGTGCATACATTACTTGATTAAGGCATTATCATAAAAAAAGAACAACAACAACATAAAACAACAGGAAAGAAATGTACAAGTATTTGTGATGTTTTTCTTTGAAGAAAGAAATTCTGGCTTATTTGTTCTCGTGCTTTTCTGTTCATTGCTTTTATAATCAAAAAATCAAATATACCCTTTCTCTTTTTTTTATTTTTATTTTATTATTAGTATTATTATACTTTAAGTTTTAGGGTACATGTGCACAATGTGCAGGTTAGTTACATATGTATACATGTGACATGCTGGTGCACTGCACCCACTAACTCGTCATCTAGCATTAGGTATATCTCCCAATGCTATCCCTCCCCCCCCCGCAAATATACCCTTTTTCTTGATCATGTCCAATTGCTTGGTGTATACAGAAATACCATTTCTATTTTTAATCTAGTTGGATCCAGAGACCAGCATCTCTATATCTTCTCACCATTTTTCCTGAGCTCTATTTTAATATCCACTTATGATTTACACTCCAAATTTAATTCTCTATTAAATACCCAATACAATTGATTAGATGATAATTATAATTTTAGTCTTTTCATTGTTTTATATTATTTTTACCCAATTGATCCTAAGGCTCATATATAAATGTTATAATAGCAATAATAATATAACAATAACTAAACAACTAACACATAGAGTGCTTCTTAATTGCCAGGCTTTCTTCCAAGATTTTTTACATATTTACCTGCTGAATTCTCTTGAAAATACTGTAAAGTCAATACTAATATTATCTCCACTATGAATGGGGAAACTGAAGTACAAAGAGGCTAAGAAACTTGCCTAAGACCACAGAGCTATTCTGTGCTAGATATAGGGAAGGAAATCTACAATGGGCGGCACTTCAGCTCAAGAGCTTGCCTCCTGAATCTTGCTCTCACTATCATTTTATTGACACTGAGAAATTGCTATTTGCTTTTTAGTAAGATCATTCGTTTTTTATAATACTTCATACGACACATCATGTTCTTTTATTGCCTCTTTTAAGGATTTGAAATATAGGGAAATTCAGTTATTTATTCATTCATTTATTCATTTAATTGTAAACCTAATACATATAAGTTTTCTACTCAGTATACTTTCAAAAAGGATTTGAGTCTACAGATTTTGATTCATGTTACTATGATGTAACGTTTCTGTAAATTACCTTAGGACTCATTGCAAAATAGTTAAGTAGGCCACAGACTTCATCAATATAAACTAATAGGGGACATTATCAGAAGGCATGCCCAATGGCTCTGTTTTTCCTCTACTATGTCCTGTGTTACGCCTTTACCGTAATAAATGTTTAATACTACAACACATCATGCAGATGAACTCAGTCTTAACTAGAACAGCTCTTTTCAATATGAATACTGAGAATAACAACATTCTAATAAAATTTTCATTCAAAGAATTCCTCCAAACTGAAAGATTGCTATTTAAAACTCCTTAAATAAAGAGATTTTTAAATGTCCTCTATTGTCCCACAGAAACAATAAAGAGAAATATAAAAGGTGGCAGTGGTCGTGGTGCAGATAAAAAACGAAGCAAAAACCCTCCGTCTTCAGTGAAAATGTTAGTGGACAAAACCCCAAAACACGACTTGAAGCCCATTTCCACTGTAGCCAAATACTAAAAATCATGGACCTTTGGGGGACATCAGAGAAAACCGATCAGTACTTTCTTTTTCTCTTACTTTCAGGAGGATACAGATTGCCCAAAAACCTGCCAGCTGAGGAAATTGCTAGAGTGTTAAGAGAAGGAAACATGTATTTACAAGATCACAATACAGAAGGTTGTGCCTTAATAGGTTTATTGCAAGCTATACTATTCATTCAAGTGGCAAACAAGAGAACAAGTGGTTCTCAAATAAAGAAGATAACCAATTTGTCAATTAAAATTGAAAAGAAATTTGGATATGAAAGATGTGGAAAGTAGACAAATGAGATACAACATGTACAAAATTGGTGATCCTGAAGAAAAGAAAGAAGCAAGATAACCACAATTTGGCCACGCCCAGTTAAGGGACAAAAAAGAAATAGTACAACAAATCCTAAAATAAAAGAATCTTAAATTAATGGGGCAAACCTCAAAAAAAGTTAATGAAAATGGAACAAATCCAGGAATATTCTGTAAAAGCAAACACCCATACACACACTCACACACACACACACAACAAAAGAATCATGTAGGCATTTATCAGAAAAAAAGCAAGTCACATTCAATGACGGAAATTGCAGACAGACCTAAAAATGTTGCAAAACAACTTTCAGTACAGGAAGGGTCTCCAAAAATGTTTAAACATTTACACATTTCCAAAAGAAAAAATTAAGCTTGATCCAAGAAAGATAACGTATCTTGCATGTCTAAGGCAAAAGAAATACATGTTCAAGATGCAAACTCATAGAAAATATAGCACCTATGACTATTTCTTTGGTGGAGAGGTACTACTTACTGAAATCTAACAACCCAAAAAATAATTGAAAATAAAGAACACAGAAATGGTGAATTGGGTAGTAAAAGCCTGTTGATAAAGGATAATTCCTTACAAATTTGAAATAAGTTTAAACTGAGACCATGGGAATTCAGCCAGAATGTATGTACTCAGTAATGTAAAACTGATGTAGTTTAAATTGAGGTGGTATGGGTGGAGTTGATGACAAGTCACATTGCAAATGCATTTAACTATCATAACAAGGGTTATAAAAGTTTGTTTACTATTTAAACGTGCATCCAAAAAAATCTTCAAACTATTTCTATTTTCAAAATTTTTGGTCTTAACTGTAAGGGTATTATTCTGGACATAATATCTCCATTGGAGAGAAATCTATACATGAAATTTAACAATTTCTTCAATGTTGTTTCAACTTCTCTTTTTTCAGTTTAATTAAAATCTAAAATCAAAAATTAAACTCAATGTTTCTGTTTTCTGTTTTCTGTTTGTTTGTTTGTTTGTTTGAGATGGAGTTTCACTCTGTCACCCAGGCTGGAGGGCAATGGCGCGATCTCTGCTCACTGCAAGCTCCGCCTCCCGGGGTCAAGTGATTCTCCTGCCTCAGCTTCCTGAGTAGCTGTGACTACAGGCACACGCCAAAACGCCCAGCTAATTTTTGTATTTTTAGTAGAAATGGGGTTTCACCATGTTGGCCAGGATGGTCTCAATCTCTTGACCTCGTGATCCGCCCGCCTCGGCCTCCCAAAGTGCTGGGATTATAGGTGTGAACCACCGCGCGCGGCCAATATTTCTGTTTTTTTTTAAGTGTAGGATAAGATCTCATTCTTACAGAAGAGTATCTATTATTGACTATATTATCTAAATATTTATTATTTATTTTTTAAAAGGTGTATAGTAAGAAACCATTCTTACAAAAGTATTTATCTCTCATCTTATCTGAATTTAGGCACCAGTATGTCTCCAATGATAGTCGCCAAATTTCATGATTGTTATTTACAGGTGATGGGTTTTCCCTTTTGAACTTTTATGTATAGTTTGAGTCATTTTTAATAGGTAGAACTTATACTTCTGCATTCCAATTAATATGTTATTAAAATAAACAGTGAATAAATAAGCAAATATTTTGTATTCCTTCTCCTCACATAAAAGAATTTAAAAGGTACAAATTTACTATTATACTACTGAGCATTTTTACTTACTAAAAAAAAAACCCAGAAGTATGCAATCAATTTAATATACCACACATCCTTTTCACAACATAATTGATTTTTTTTAGAGGGGGTTCTAAACTCAGAGAAAATATGTGATCCTTTTCTAAGTAAACAAGTGAATTTGTTTTCATTAAGGAAAGCTACATAAAAATTCTAAAAAAAAATTCTGGTCCTTCACTACAAATATTCAAAGGAAGTAATGCAATGAAGTCATTTATAAATGATTGACTTTTTTGCTAAGATGTGATAAGTTATGCATTTATATAACCTCACATAAAGCTTTATATAAAAGTTTCCACATTTATATATTTGAAATCTTTGGACTGCACAGCCATGATTATTGCTTAAAAAAAGAAAAAGAAACCCCACTGAAACATCAAAGATGAAATGCTTCTGTATTTCTTTTTTTTTACACAAATTGTGTAAGTATTTTTGTATGTTTATGTTTGTTTTGTGAACATGCGTATGTTTACACATGTGTGTGAAGGAGGAGGGAAAAAGAGTCTGCTTAAACATTTCTTTCCTTATAAAATACAATGCACATAAATTGGTGAAACCTTCAACAACAAAAATAAAAAGATGATAAACCCATCAGATAAATGAAAATTGCTCAAAACAAGCAATTCAATATTCAGCATATGCTTCTTCTTTTACAGACATCTTCAGAAAACATTGCCACTGTAGATAAAATTATGAATACCTCATTTTCCAAATTGATTCTGTGTGATTCTACTGTTCACTCTATTTTTTCTCAGTATAACTTCTATTTAGTCATTCTGTGAATGTTTCTCAGAGGACATAGTCAGGATGCTGATTATTTAAACATAAGTAGTTTTCATTTGGAGAAGCAAAAACTATGAATTCCAATTTTCCCCCCAAACCCCAATGTTACAGTATCCCATTAACATAATGGGTTATACGTGGCTAATCTCAGAGCTCTTAAAAGTTTTGTTCCCAAGTCATCAACTTCTGAAAGTTTTCATAAAGTATTATAAGAACCTTAATACTGACAACTTAACTGGTGTAAATGGTAAAGGAAACTCCAGAGGCTGTTATCTAGAAGCTGGGTATAAAGCAAAATGCCAGACAAAATTTGGTGAGCCCATATGACCTCCAGTCTTGCTTTGCTCCCCTTACCAAATTCTCCCCTAGGAAACTTTATAACCATTCTTTTAAATCATCCGGTGAGAACTGCAAACCCCACCCCTCATCCCTTTGATTAAAAAAAAAAAAAAGACAAAAAACATTTAGCGATCACATTTTCCCATCTGCCGTTACAGAAAGGGCGTGTAGCCATCTGAAAGTCCCAGAATTAGCACTGTCATCCCGTCTTGCCCATTAGTTTTACTGCAGCAAAGACTAGTGAAACACTGAGAAATATACCTGTAGTCTTTCTTTCCCTGGTTTGATCCTAACCTCCCGGAATACAGATTCAATACATTTCTCCCACACAAGGAATAAATGCATTTTAAACATCAGCATCATAGAAACACAGCATCAATAAAGCAGTGACTTCTCCCCCAACCCCAGCTTTTACCTGTTATGCTAATACAAAGACATTGAAAGGAAGAAAAGCTGCAGCTTGCCCAGCAATATTCTCATTGCAGCAGACACAGCACAATTTTGTACTTACAGATCTTACCAGGGAAATGTCTCGGGATCTTTACAGTTTTTCTGCAGAACTCTGTTTCAAGCTCTCAGCCAGGCATGCTGTGCGTCCAGGCAGAACCAAGCCGTATGGAATGTCTATGCAGCTGGGAGATAATGGGACTCTTTTTCCCAGCTGGGACTGCAAGCCTTTTATCCACTGAGTATTGCGTGGCTCTTCTCTGGTCTTAAGCATGAAATACGCTCCTCTCCTGCTGCATTCCTGTCGGAGCCAGACAATCAGTTCTTGAGGCACATGTGCAAAGCTCTCGTTTGGAATATTCAAAAGGAAAATTCTTTCTACATTGAAAGCCAGCTCTATCTTCATCAACCTTCACAGAATCAGAGAGAGCTGAGAGCAGCTGCCATTCCAGGGCCATGAAAGATTAAATTCACCCTCCTCTTTCTTTGACTGGAGATAGTCACTCCTGTCGGGTCATCAGAAAATCTCTCTTATTGAAAACTGGGTCAGACTAACTACTTATTAGGTTTCCAACAGGAAAGGAAGTAATTTTTTTCTTCCTCTGGTTTCACTGCATTGTCATTTGCAAGCAAAGATTAAGCTGGTCAAGGGTCTGCACTGATTTAGACAGTATTCAAATGTAAGCTTTTTGAAGCATGCCAGTAACTCCTATTAGTGAAGGTGAAGAGAAAAGGGAAATAAAATCAAATGATTGTATGCACTATCACTAAAACCTTTATAAGTTGTATTTTTTAAATGTGTGTATGAGGCTTCTTAAAGACAGGTAAAGAAAGTGAAGTCAAACAAGTCCAAAAGAGTATTGCTGCTTTCCGAGTAACATATTTGTAATTCCAGAGGCAGAGAACAAGTGTCTATGTGTTTGCCTAAGAGCTCTGTAAGAAGAAGAATTGTTTTTGTGTTTCACCCTGGGCCCTCCAACTAAACTTTTTAATATGTTTGGGTCTTGTCATCGGGTTTTGAAGGGACTAACTGCTTGAAGGATGAAAACTAAGGAATAGGAATTACACATACATGCACACTGAGACTCTAGTGCATACAAACATAACTATAACATGAGAAAAGAATGATAGTTTGGACTTATTTTCATGTTGGCATACAAAGAAATTATACTCTTAGCATCTTAAAGTAAGTGGATACTGAGAAAATGAAATCCCCAAATCAAATGGAAATAAGTCAAAAGATATTTCTTGGCCTCAGTTTACTTTCATCTGATGAGCAAGAAGGTTTCTATGACTACATTTTATGACTATGTCCTATGGATTTCTTCACAGGGTCTAACCAACATTATAAGAGGCTTTAGAAAGGAGATGATGCTTCCTAACACAAGGTAAACTCAAAATGGGCTACCCTATTGTTTCTCCCAATTCATAAGAAGGCAAACTAGACTAATAATTTTATAGAAAGAATATCTGTTTTTATTGCCTCTTTTTTTTTTTTTTAAAAAAAATAGAAGTATTTCTTGCTCTGTAGGAATAAAAATATATTTTATTTGTAAAAATGCCAAGATGACTTTTTCTGCAGAGTTTTAAGAAAAATAATCATTATGTAGTAGGCTTTATTTTTTTTTTGTGGAAAGAAATTCATTCAAGCTTAAAGAATATCCCTTTACTCAAATCTCCAACAGTCTGACTCATATTCAAGGACAGCTGATTGCTTTGCTTTCTATTTTACCCAAAAAGGAATAAGAACCAGAAGAAAACTTCAATAAGCTCCTGTCACTACATCTAGTCACATACTTGGCCCCTGTGACCACAGACTCTCCCTTCATCTTGTTACTTGAGGTGAACCGTGCTCCCTCCTTAGACCAAGCCATCCACCTGTGCTTTAGATAGTCTTCTACTCAAGGGACCATTCTACCCACTTGTCTCTCTCTGTGGAATCATCAACTCTCCCTACCTTCTGTAGCATCACAACAAAGAGATTTGCTGCTAGTTGGCCCATTTTAAAAATCAGCACCCCTTTAACATACCGTCTTCCTCTGTCTACTACTGCATTTCCTTGCTTCTGTTTATAGTAAAACACCTTGAAGGAATTCTCTGTACTTACTGTCTCCATTCATCTTTTCTCATTTTATCTTGAATCTGCTTTGATTAGTCTTTTGTCCCCACTGTTCCACATAAGTGTTTCTGGTCATAGTCAATATTAAATTACGCATAGAATAATGCAATGGTCAACTTAGTCCTAATTTTACTTGATGTATCACTCACAAGTAATACAGTTTACCAAGTACTCCTCCTTTAAGCATTGCTTTTGCTTAATTTCTTAAATTTTCTTCTCGTTTACTACCTGCTCCTTCTCAGATCCCTTTGCTGATATCTTCTCATTTTATTAATTTTTAAACACTGGGGGAGGAGGTGTGGGTATCAAGGATCTAAAACAAGGTCTGTACACTACAGGCTACACAGAATTACTAAGGAAAATTAATTAAGACCTAAATAAGTAAAGAAATATGCCACATTCATGGGTCAAAAACACTCAATATTTTTAAGAAGTCAATTATCTCCCAATAGGTTTTTAGCTTTAAAATAATCTCAGTGAAAATATCAGGAGATTTTCTTGTAGCAATCATCAAATGAGGCTAAAATTTATGTAGCAATAAAATTAACCAAGAAAGTAAAATCGAATGATAAACAAAGTTGGCAGACATATCCTGTGATTTTTACAATTTACTACTAGTAATAGAGCGATAAAGACGGTGTGATGTTGGCAGGATAGGTCAACAAAACATAATTAAGTGTTCAAAAACAGATCAGCACATATACAGTGGATTTTAGACAAAGGTATCAGGTAATTCAATGGATATTGTGCTAATGGATATGTGCCGATTTTAGGTGAATGGATTTTAGACAGAGTTATCAGGTAATTCAATGATAAAGGCATCATAATTCAAGAAATGGTGCTTGAACAAATGAATATTCATTTGTAAAAAAGTTAACCTTAATCCTTACCTCGTACCACACACAAAAAGCTAACGTGAAATAGGTCACACACTTAAAGGTACAGCATTAAATTTTCTGGAAGAAAACCAAACACCACATATTCTCACTTATAAGTGGGAGCTGCATGATGAGAACACATGGACACATGGAGGGGGAACAACACACATCTTGGTACCCATCGTGGCGGGTGGGAGGAGGGAGAGTATCAGGAAGAATAGCTAATGAATGTTGGGCTTAATACCCAGGTGATGTGATGATCTGTGCAGTAAACCACCATGGCACTCGTTTACCTACGTAAAACCTGCGTATCCTGCACATGTACCCCGAACTTAAAATAAAAGTTGAAAAAAAAAAAAACTTCTGAAAGAAAATGTATGAGTCCTAGGATTAAGCAAAGATTTCTTAAAACTCATGTGCATACACACACATAAAAACACAGAACATAAAGAATAAATAGAAATATTGGACTTCATTAAATTTAAAAAGACTGATTTTTGAAATATATCATTAAGAAATTTTTACACCTCAATAACAAAAAAATAAGCAACCCATTAGAAAATGAAAAAAAAATGAACATTTTTAGCAAAGATATCCAAATGACATTTAAGCCCATTAAAATGATGCTCAACATCATTATTTTAAAAATGCCAATCAAAACCGCAAGACACAGCTACTAGACACTAATCAAACAGGCTCAAATGAAAACCACTGAAAATTCAGTCTGGGACTGGTGGCTCACAGCTGTAATGCTAGCATTTTGGGAGGACACGGTGGGCAGACAGCTGAAGCCCAGGAGCTTGAGACCAACCTGGGCAACATGGTGAAACCCCATCTCTACAACAAATACAAAAAATTAGCCAGGCGTGGTGACAGGTGCCTGTAGTCCTAGCTAGTCAGGAGGTTAAGGTGGGAGCATCACCTGAGCCCGGGAGATGGAGGCTGTGGTAAGCCGTGTTTGTGCCACTGTGCACCAGCCTGGACAACAGAGTGAGCACCATCTCAAAATAATAATGATAATAATAATAAAATAAAATAAAATAAAAACATTGAAAATTCCAAAAGATTTTGAGTATGTGGGACAATTGGAACTCATACCTTGCTGGTAGAAATATAAAGTGCTACAATTACTTCGTAAAACAAGCTGGCACTCTTAAAGTAATATTACTGAGAAACCCCGCTCTTATGTATTCACCCAAAAGAAATGAAAGCATATGTCCACAGAAATTTTTGCAAGGAAATTTTATAGCAAATTTTTTTTATAACAGCCAAAAGTTGGAAACAACACTGATGTCCATCAACAGGTTAATGGATAAACAAATTGTGGTGAATGCATAATTGTAATACAAGTTAGCAATAAAAAGCCAGAAATTACTGATATTCACAACTTGGATTAATTCCACAGCTATTATGCTAAGAGAAAGATATCAAAAAAAAAAAAGCAATTCTATACTGACAGAAAACAGAATGTTTGTTTAGGGATAAGGAGAAAGAGATAAATTGCAAATGGGCAACAGGGAATGTTTCGGGTAATAAAAACATTCTGTTTTTGATTGTGGCAGTGATTACAAGGGTATATGTATTGGACAAATCTTATCAACCTAGACAAATGGGTATATGTCATTTCATGTAAAGTATACCTCAATAAAGTTGATTTTTAATGAATTAAATGATGACAGACTGTAGATTCTCTTAAAGGCTTTGAAAAAATAAAATCAATAAGTCTATCATTCTACCAAAATATTGTTGTGTACATTATTATTATTATTGATTTTAGTGAAACAATCACCTCTCTAATCTCAATTTATGTTTAGACATTTTAGTTTCTTATAGATCTGAGTTAGTTTTATTCATTTATATTTTTTCTGGACAATGATGAAGACGATGATGAACATATTGATAGGCAACTTCTATAACTCAAATTATGTGTCAGGTAGTGTCTTCAGCATTACATTGGCATTAGCAATTTATTCAATCCTTATAACAACCTGATGGGTTTGATATTATTTGCAAAATCTAACCAACAAGAAAATTGGAACATAAAAAGTTTAACTAAATTGCCCAAGAACATCCAACTGGGTGACAGTGGGGGAAGAATAAAACCTAAGCAGCTTGACTCAAGAATCTAGACTAATATTGTTTTATTATTCAAATCGCTATACTCTTTCTCACATTTTGTCTACTTGACATGTCAAGTTCTGTGAGCGGTATCTTAAATATTTCCCAGAAATATTTTTCAAATGGAGCAATTATCTTTCAAGAAGCTTTGTACTATATATTCTGCTGCTAAACTGTTTCATCGATAAAGGCTACACACACACACACAAACACACACACACATATACACACTACATATATAAATATCTCTAGTGGATTTTGTTTTTATGATTATATAACATCTTAAGAATCCTTTTAAATATGTTTACATCTCCTTGACATGAATTATTTTCAGCATTTCTCCTTTCTTTCTGGTTTTTGTTTTCCTGTATATACTAGAATATTAACACTTTTTCTCACTGTTTTAGATGCCTTTCTTATAAACATCATTCAGCTTGACTGAAAAAAAATTGGCGTTGTCTTTTTATAGGGTAGCTTGTCCCATTTGTATTTAGTGTAGCAGCTAACATTTGTACTGAATATATGTTTTCCTTCTGAGGTTTGCAAAGGCATTGATCCCAACAGTTCAGTTGCACACATTCCAGTGGAATTGCATCACTTGGCGGACGCCGACATTAGGCAGAAGCTCACAAGTAGAATTTCTCTGAAGGAATGCTGTGGCAAAGTTTCTTTGCCAGTAAAATCCACTTCAGTGAACCAGGAAGCACTGCCTTTTTTTTTTTTTTTTTTTTTTTAATCCCTCAAGGCCCCAAGGGGAGCCTCTTCCTATAGCTGCTATTTCCTCTTCTCTCCTTACCAAAGAGGGGGAAAAATCCAATGTCTGTACTTTTCCTGATACTTTCCAGTGAAATACTTGGGTTGCTCTTCACTGCCAACTCTTGAAGTGGGCATTCAAAATGCTATAAACTTCAGGCTCCACAAAACCCTGATCTACTTCTGCCTCCTACAGGAAAATATTATTGACTATTGCTCTTAAATAATTGCCTTGTTGTGAAGAAACCTGTAATGACAGTTTTTTCTCCAAATAAATTAAAAGCAAAGATTAACACATAATAATTTATTGAACATGCACAATTATTTTAAAGATCTGTCATATACCAACATGAGTAATATTGTCTCGGTGTTATTTATTGCTTTGGTTTGTTTGTTATGCCCATTGGTATGTACAACTTTTCTAAATAACCATTGTTTAAAAAAATATTTTCTATAACATACTTTTCTTCTATTCACCACAGACACTTCTAATATTACCAAAATATGAATAATCTTCTATAATCTTCTGAGTGCTTCCTGTGAGCTAGACACCAAATCCAAAATCTCACTTAGTCCTGGTAACAACCCTATGAGGCAGATATTCCTATCACCTTTGACTAGCAATTGAGGTTTTTGCCAAGATCACACAACGGTAAAAAGATAAACGGGGATGTGAATCCAAGTCCACCTAACCCCAGCATTTGTATTCTAAACCTCTTGTCAAGAGTCCCCTGCTATGTCCATTGGTATATCAAATAGAAGGCGAAAATAAGTGCTATAATTTTATGGTTATTTCTAGTGTTGAAGGTATAGTAAAAAGTTTCTCTTAAATATGTAACGTTTTAGGCTATAACTGCCAAGATTTAACAATTAATTAGATAGTTAAGTCCGACATTCTTCAAAGAACTGCTTGTTTTCATGAAAATGGTCTGAATGTAATTATTTGTCTCAAACCTCCACGGTGCTTTGGTAAAGAATAGAAAATATTAAATGGTCCCAGGAAATGGAAATCATTTTTTTTTCTCTTGCCTTTTCTTTTCCTTTTTGGTGAGGGAGTGGTAGGGATTAGAGTGTCATGAAGAGAAATCCACTGCACATATCAACGTTTACTTTCCCTCAGGAAAAAGTGCATTGAAGGGAGGGTGATAACAATTTCCTTAGTCTTTTGCCCCCAAAACAATTTTTTTCACTTATACCACATATGTGTAATTTTACAGATATTCAAATTTCACTTCCCTCTGGAAAAACAAGTAACAACATTTTGCCGTGAAACGTATTCCTTTTCAAAGGGAAAATAGTAAGTGAAATGCATATATTCACCTTCTACCACATGGTAGGAAAATGTATATTTTAGAAAGCTATTGTAATACATTCAATTTAAGATCCTTGAATCTATTCATATAAAAATAGAGGAACTGTTACTTACGGCAACTTAAAATGGGGACTGGGTAAGACCTGGTATCTTATGACATGAATTGTTTTGCTTCAACCCTGGAAGGACACTGCAAAATTGTTCCATGAAACTGCCTGCCACCTGCTGCTTCCAACACTGAATTTTAATGAGTGCCAATTGCTCTGCAAGGCTTATTATTTTAGAGGTATTTTTTACCATAAAGCCCATTGTGATCTTTCTAAATTATAGAATACATTGCTTGGGCCCCAGTGAAAATAAATGTATTTCATTAATGCTATTCCTCTTCTACTCTAATTTTTTTCAACTCTGAAGATTGAGAGATGTTCCACATGTAATAATTATTACTGTATCTTATTTCCCAGGCATAATGAAGAGGTCAGAAGCCATACCCTCTAAAATCTTACTATGCATCAAGAGTGTAGTCTCTTAAATAACTTTTCTGTCTCCTCCATTTTTGTTTGTTTGTAATTTATGAAGTGTAAAAATTGTTGTGTTGTGTTTCTTTGATGTTTAGACATAGAAAACATGAGAGTCATTAGTTCCCATTAAATAGAATTTACCTATTGGCCTACTAGCATCATTACCAGAAATACGTCATAGGCTTTTCTTTCACAGGAAATATACTGATATTTCTTTTATAATCATATGGTAGATTGATTTATTAGTCTCAATTCCTCACCTTTCCCTGCACATACACTCTTGCCATTGCCTGATCATAGATGGAGTATACTTCTCTGCCCCTTGATTTGGGGCTTAAACATGTGACTTGCTTTGACCAATAACATGTGACTAGAAGTCACAACGTGCTGGCTATAAGCCTAGGCTTTAATTGTCGTTTGTGTTTCTTCTTACCTTCTTGTTACCTCTGCTATTACCATAGAAAAACTCACTTTGGCTAAACTGCAATCCATGGAGGATGAAAAGTACTTGGAACAGAGCTATTCCTGTTGATCCAAAGATCTCAGTAAACATCAGAGCTGCCCAACTAAGCACAGCCTAGATGACCTTACCCTCATCCATCTTGTATACATGGGAGAGAAATCAATTCTTCTTGTCTTAAGCCACTGAATTTTGAAATGATTTTCTATGGAACCATAACTAGTCGATACAATATTATCACTTATTGAAACCAAGCTGACTTAGTCTGGGTTCTCCCAAGAGCGGAGCTTCAGTCAAAGAGTTTTTGCCTTTTGTCACGTTAGCCACTCATTTCAAAACGTGATCTCAGAAAACAGTAATCACAGTGTGAGTTAAAAATGGAGCAAGGAAAAGCCAATAAAAGGATGTATTGAGTTTTTCAACACCATATAGGAATACGTGTTCAATAGTATAGAGACATCTTTAAAGTGTATCAAATGCCTCTCAGGGCTTTCCACCTGAATTAAGCATGGAAGAAGCATCTATCTATTGGCTCCGATACCTTAGTAACAAGGTGACCATATACCCCATTATGTAAAACAGGACAATAACCAGAGTGAAAGGAGAAAGTATTAATAATAGTAACTGAAAAAACTGGTATAGCTGAAATCAATCCTGAGCCAGTGAGACTGTGTGGCCACCCCACATATTGGTCAAAGTTTGTCCTGTGGGATATTAACTCTTCTACACATCTAGAGTACATACCTATATGAGTAAGAGTCAGCTTTGTGTGAGTACTCAGTATCAGAGAAACTGCTGGATGGGAAATGAGAATTGTGAGAAATGGATCACTGTCAGGTAATATTTATGTTAGGCTGAATGAAGCATTAGCTTGAATGTTTGGTCAGGATGAGAATATTTGAAATGATGCAGAAAAACAAGGCATAGAATATAGTTCCTCCTTTGAACCACTCAGATCTACTCATGACCTTCTTTAAGTCCAATCAGTAACAAAGTCAGATTCTGAATTGTGTCAGCCAAATTCCCTGCAATGACTTAAGGGTAACAGACTTAGAGAAAAAAATTCACAAGCTTACTGAACTTGTCTTAAGCCGTAATTCATATCCATCATTTCATTTCTTTACTTCCAAATCTAGACTTTCTTCATGCTTCACTACTAATTTTACTTTTCCAGGTTGCTTATCTATTTGAGTAATCCAGACATTTTTCCTTGAAGAGATGATAATATTGCATACTTTGCCCTAGTGAAACTATATTGCTGTATTTGCCCTTTCACAATTATTACTGTACAGTAAATCTTAGGAGATACTCCACTGAATTGCCAGCACTGCAAACATACTTCTTCCAGATGCCACTGTGTAGCAGCAAATAGGCTTCTTATGGCATTATGGGTTAATTATATCTACTCATATATTAACTTTTTTCTTTTTCTTTGGGTCTATTGGAATAAGATAGTTAAAGAGAAGAGGTAGGACTCATGGGGATGGGAGGCCAAAATTCTGCAAATGGAAAGACTAATGTTACCATTACCTGTCATTTCCTGGATCCATGTCTTCCACCCACTATGCACAGAACCATATATATTAAATGCAGGCTTAGAGCATATTTCATATTCTAGAGGACTGAGCATTAACTCTGCAGGGTATGTTCCTGGAACTCTCAACTTAGTTGAATCTTGAACAGTTTATTCCATCATTATTTTTGACTGGCTGCCTCTGAGTGACAGGGTACATGATAAAACCGTTGAAAATTCCATTGTCATTCATCCATCGTCATTCATCCTTTGCTACAAAATGGGTCCCTTGATCTTAGTTTTTTATATATATGTATATATATGATATATATGACATATATATCATACACACATATATGACATATATATCGTATACACACATATATGACACATATGACATATATACATATATGACACATATGACATATATACACATATATGACATATACATATACGACACATATACATATATGACATATATACATATATGACACATATACATATGACATATATACATATACGACACATATACATATATATGACATATATACATATACGACACATATACACATATGACATATATACATATATGACATATGTACACATATATGACACTTATACATATATATGACACATATACACACATATATGACACATATACACATATATGACACATATACACATATATGACACACACATACACATATATGACATATATACGTATACATGACATATATACGTACACATGACATATATACGTATACATGACATATATACGTATACATGACATATATACATATACATGACATATATACATATATGACATATATACATATATACACACACACACACACCACACACACACATATATCTCACCATAATGATAGATTAGGCATTCTGTTCTCAGATGGTGTTGCTGGCAGAGAAAAAAAATAATCTATACCCTGAGTAGTTTTCAGTACTGATAAGAATAAATCACTGTTCCCTTTAGAGTGGATAATGTCTATTATAATCATCAAGAGTGTGGCTGGACTCCTTGAGGAATGATGTCATATTAAGTAGTCATGATTGGTCTCTGTTGCCAGTGGACTAGGCAATCAGCAGTGGCAGTACGTCATCTTCTCTGCTTTGAGGGAGCCCATGCTGTTGAATCCATGCTTCACTACTATTCCTGAGGCCATGGACACTCAATTCATGGGCTCATTGCACTAGCACTCCTGTGGCCAAAGAAAGAAAACTGACATTCACCAAACAGGTTGTTCTCTACTGGTCAACAGCTAGGTGGTTGACCGCCTCTTTGCAGTGGGTGCCCTCTGGTGGACACTAACATGAGACACAAAGAAATGAGCAAATCATCATCAAGATTTGTTCCTTGTTTTTAACTTCCATTCTTGTCCTTACCAGACTCTTTACTAACCAGACAAACCATTCACCACTGGTCAAGAGTTGATGTGTATTTGTAACTCTGGTCACTTTACCATGCCTAAAAAGAGAACAACGAATGCACAGCTCACAGCTCCACCTTCCAGAAAGATTTCTATTTGCCACTTTGTTTAGAACCACCTCTGAGATGAAAAACAATGAGACATCAGCCCACTTTTGGCTCACAGAAACATTTCACACCAAGTGAATTGTTACATAGGCTTGAGGTATTTTCTTCCCTCTTCAGTTGGTCAGTATTTATAGGTACAATAGATATTGGCTCAAAAATCCAAAAGCCCACCAAGTAATAGGACTTGCCCTTAATAATAAGAATTATAAGATGAAATAAGGTGTTTTTCTTAATCTTAGAAGGGATGTCTTAGGATGCCATAGATATTTGGAAATCCAAAGGTATTTTTAATATAACAGTTCCAGGGCTTTTGTGGATTTATGTCCCACCATATGGCATGTTTATCTTAATAGGACATCTAAATTACTTGTCTTTCTTGCTGACCAGGTCAATTAGGATAATCTTCAGTATAGTGCAACAGAGTAATATTCTGAATAATTCAAAGATAATCAAGGTGCCCTGGACTATAATATGAAAACAAGGTAGGAGAATGTAAACAGCCCTGTAACAAGACGCTGAAAATGTACTACTGTCATTCACATGAAGAGACAATCTGCTTTTGTTCTCTTCTTCTGATGTGAGTTGCAAAAAACACAATCATTAGACCAATAGTTACATTCTAAGTTTCAAAGGCTGTGTTGACATGTTCTAGCAAAGAGAACACAGGTAGCATAGCAGATACATTTGGGGCTACACCCTTAATGGTATATGTAGTTCACCAACTGCCCAACCCACTTGGTGTTGTTATTGTTTTTGTTGTTGCAGCTCAATCAAACAGAGATACAATGGAGTACTAACATTACAATTTTTAAATCTTTTCTGGTGGTGCTAATTTGCACATTTCCTCAGGGGATGTGTTATTTCTTCAGATTTCATATTTTTGCCTGGGGGTAGGGAAAGGAAAGGATATTTAGGAATCTTTCAGTTGGCTTTTCTATCATAGCAACTCTTACTCTGTATGGTAGGAAGCCAATTTGAAGGTTTTGCTGGCTGACAATTAGGCATATCTATCCAATTTTATATTAAGGAATTGGGGAAATAACCAAATAATTGGTCCATATATACAGTGCACACACAGACTTGGGTCAGCCTTTTTTTTTTTTCAATCTGGATTCCAAAGTCCACATTAACTAGTGGACTATCATAGCTTGACAGGCGTCAGTTCAGACTTATATCCGACAATTCTCAAAAATTCTCCAAATTCTGGATATTCCTCCTTCCAGAGTACAAGTATGGTGGTAAATGGCCACAGTTCTCTCTAAGGAAGAATCAGAGGCATTTTTACTATGTACAATTGTAGTGTCATTACAGGCTCTTCCTGGTCCACCTCGAATCAGGTAGCCAAGTAGCCCTGGGTTAGAAGTGACATATGGAAATTTACAACTCAAAAACACCGTGGATTTTTCATTGTGATCTTTGATATCAGCCTTCTGCTCCTTAGCTCTCTTTTAAACTTTTGTTTTTAATATCACAAGTCCAGTAACCCCTTAGTAGACTGGCAATGTTTTACATCCAAAGGAATATCATAATCTATTAGTCGCCACTGATTCCTACAGTAAAGGCATTTTGCTGTCACTCAGGCCTTACTGCCAATTATGCTTATGGTCTTTGGGTCTTAGCCTTGGTTTTCTTCAAAGCAGAACCAGAGATAGTGGCTTCCATGTGGGTGGTTAAATCCAGAATATGAACTCAAGAAGCGTGAGGGATGGCGGAGACAAGAAAGAAGAGTCAATACAAGGATGTGTCATTGTCTATTCTATTGCTATGATGACTTGTTGCTCTGTCCCATTGCACCACTTGAAACTTAAGTAAGTCTCAGAAGCATCTTTCCCCCAGCTTCTGACTCCCTTTTTGTTAGATTTGTCCCAGAAGGTCATTAACTCCTTCACACTTCTTTTTTTTAAAAAAAAATTTTTAAATTATTTTTTAAAATTATACTTTCAGTTTTAGGGTACATGTGCATAACATGCAGGTTTGTTTCCTATGTATACATGTGCCATCTGCTGTGTGTATATGTGTATGTTAAACAGGTAGTCATGGGTATTTCACAGCTGTGAGGACACAGAAGCCCTGAGGCAGAAAACAAAGGGCACAATGCAGGACTGGAGGCAAATGCTGTCAGATGGCAGTTGTGTGAATCTGGTCAAAGACTGCACAGAATCAGCTGACACAAGACAGGAGGCTGAAAGGGTTGGAAGAGGTTCTCAAGAACTATTAACAAATGTTATGAGAAACAAAGAAATGGAAATAAAATTGTTGCATTTTTTATTATTTAGTTTTACTCTTAAAATAGGTGATTTTGGCACTTTTGAATGTGGAAGAAAAGCAAAGATTTGCTTTGTGTTTTACCAATGATTGCATTCTGCCCCTCCTCATGCTGAGCTATCCTTCCCAGATGCAAGTACTTTTAACTTTATGGGGTTTCAGTTATTTCAAATTTTATATTCAAAATGCTATGTTTAGTTTACAAATACTTATTTGTAGTTCTATTTGCTTAAGTAACTTTAGACAGCATCTTCCGGCTTCTACTAACACAAGGATTTATCAGATAACTTTTCTCCCTATATCTTGAGCTTTATTATTTTTATCCTGTTGGTTACCTTTAAATCTGCAAATACTACACCTAAACATCTCACTATTTCATCACATTTAGAAACTATTTCTACACACTCCACTATGTAAAAAAACAAAAAAAAATAGTATTCCTACTCTTCCTTCAACTTTGTCCACCAGCCTCTAGTTTCCTTTACATTTGTCAGTTGTGATAACATTGTTTTTGGTCCAGTAAACATAATTAAGACTTCTGTGGGTTTTCTACCAATTGATTTGAAATACTGAAAACCATTAGCAACATTTAAACTATTTTGGATTCACTTTTCTTTCCTGTGGTTTCAGTGTCCACTACTTCTAAGACATTTAATAAAAACTATTTCTTGAGTCACGTCCAGATAAATTGTTTATTTTCTGAACTCATCAGTTGCTTAGGATCATAGTACATTTTATTTTACTTTTTATTTGAAACTTGGATGCCTTGTATTTTTGTAATTTTCTCATTTATTTTATATTTTTCTTGTCCAGAGAAGGAAAATATTTTTCAAATATTAATTAGCATTTTCTAATTTATTATTCATTATTACTTCTAATTGACTCCATTTCATTTTCTGAAGACATTCAACTTAGATTCTTAGAATTTCCTTTTCTAAATTGGTCCCTTTTTGGGCATCATCCTGAGGCTTATTTTCATTGCACTTCTAAGTTATTGTCATTGTTTCTTGTATCTCAAATCTTCCTTTCTCTTGGTTTTCACTCTAAGTTTTTCTGGCACATACCTGCAAATATCCCGTGAGTCTTCTTGTCTGAAAAATATTTATTTTGGCATTGGTTATTTGACTGAAATAGGATTTATAGTCAAAATAATTTCCTGACAAACTTTGAAAGCATTATTTCCTAGAGACTAGTTTTAATGATGTGATATGTGATGCCAGCCTGATTCTCAATATTTTGTAGATTTCTTTTTTCTGGAAGTTTTAGCACATTCTGTTGGTGTTTTGAGATCTTATGATGGTATGTTTAGGTATGTTATTTTTAAAAATTCCTCTCACTTATCAGTTTAGATTCTCTGTATTCCTACACACATTTGTGTCTTTCAAGTGCTGGTAATTTTTTTTATTTGATGACACCTTCCCCCACTCTTAGTCTGCTTTTTGTCTCTAAAAGATTATAATAAATTTGTGTTTAATTCATCGGATTGATCCAATGAAATTTGTTATATCTTTTCTTACTCTCTGTCTCTCCTTGACTGTTTTTTATCTTAATTAAGGGATATTTTTTCAAATTTATCTCCAAGTTATTCCACTCAGTGTTTTTGTGTCTATCTGTACACATTTAATTGTATTTAAAATTTTTTCAATTTCGACATTTTTCTTTTATAGTGTAGCTCAAAATTTGACTCAGTTGATAAAAGGATCTTTTCCTCCTGACATCAAATATGCTGTGTCTTCTCCAGCTCTCTGACACTACCTGAATATCCAATAATTCAATTCCATTCTGACACTGTCTTTAGATAGCACAGGCCCACAGGTTAAGGTCTCAGTCCCACAAGACTGCTCTCACTTAATATGTCAGTAACCAATTCCCATTGGGTCCTGACCCACAGGCTATAAATCTGGGGGTTCCCATTACATTGTCTCAGATTCCATAATTTTCTAGAAGGATTCACAGAACTCAGGATAGCACTTTGCTTATAGTTACCTGTTTATTGTAAAGATAAACTACTGGAACAAAAAAAATGGAACAATGTTCATGAAAGTGTTAGTTAAATCTGCAAATGGAAGAAATGTAGCATTAACTATAAATGTCTATGTGATTATACGGTAAGAACACAACTTTAAAATACTCTACAGAGTTAATCCTCTTTTATTTGGTAGAAACATTATTACCAGAAAATGTATTTGAAATCTGAATGCTCTAAAAAGCCACTGCTATTCTTATTATCTTAGGTTGAGTGGAGTCATTTAAAGAAATTAAACATATGTTAAAAGAATTTACTCTGAAAGAAAAATACAAATTACTTCAGGGTGGTTATCCAACTTAGTAGTTCTCACTGTTGGAATTTATTAGATAATTATTCAATTTCTACTTTCTCTATTAGAATACTATTTATTTAATGATAAAACCTGACATTTTCAAATCCACCTATTATCACACCAAAAATTCCTAAAATCAAGTGAAAATCATCAATTACAGGTGAACAAACTGATTATGAAAACTGGAGTTCAAGGAACATATTTTATTCCCTCATCTAGTGCCAAATAAATACAAAGTAATTATTCTGAATTTATCGTTCATTCATTCACTCATTCATTTATTTGTTCAATGAGCATTTTTCTAGCTATTTATGGTGACATAGATTTCAAAGGGTAAAGAGACAAAGAGTTTTTGTTTATATATTTGTTTGCTTTACCCCAAGAGCTCACATTAAATATTTAATAATTTGCATGCCTACAAAATAGGCATTGTGAATTCTGTTTAAGACAATATTTCCTTCTCTGTTGGCTGCCATGATGTCAGTGTGCCTCTCTGAGGCCACTCCATGGAGGCTTCCCTGACAAGCCCCTTCCAGGTACCTTTACTGAGTGTGTTCCAAAGCTGTTCCCTGCTCACACTTTTGTACTTGGTTCTCCTTTGGACCCACGTAGGCCTACACTACAAAAACAGTGTCTTGTGAAGTATAAATTCAGTAAACTATTTTTTGATGTATCTGAGATCTCTTGACCATTTTCTTTCTGTCATGCAGCAACAGATTTGAACATTTTTAGTCCTACAATGATGTCAAAGACCAAGGAAATAAAAGGCACAAATCAATATTTGGAGCTTGTCTATAATGGAATTGCAAGCTCTTTAACAAGATAACTCACTGTCAGGTCTGACAGGAGATAATTGGACACTTTTGGGGGAAAAATGGGAGAAGGGTTAAATTCTGAAGCTATGTAAGTAGGCTGTATTTTTTGGGGTAGTTTCAAATTAATACCCATGTGTAAATTATAAATCATCATGCAAGTGTACCATTTCATAATGTCTTCAATATTTTTATTGAGGCTGTGCAGCTAGTCTATCCTCAGTTTATTTACAGCATGTATTTTTGAAAACTTTTAAAAAATTTTAACACTTTATTGACTACAACACGCTTGGTTTTTAAACTCCAGATTTTTTTATTTTTATTTTCATTTTATTTGTTCTTAGTTGTGTTGGTTGTTGCTTCTGCAACTTGGCTGAATCTAGTATCAGATAAGTGGATCACCTCTAAAATTGACTTCCTTAAGTAGAGAGGAACCAGAAAAAAAAAGCAAAGAACAAAAATGTCAGTGGATTTTCAATGTTGTACTTCATGAATCTGTAAGTGGTCACTAAAATGATTTCCCTTTTGAATGTTGTAGTGTAGAGAGGTCTATCAAGACATACATCCTGCAATAAACTGAGAGTCCTGAGTATTGCCAAATGGCTAATACCATGAATGCAAACGTCATTCAGCATTCATTCAATTATCACTAACTGAATTTGACATATGTCAGGCACTGGGTTAGGTACTGGGAATGTAGGGATATTAACTTAGTTCAGGCTCCCTAGAAGAGAGTCTGAGATGAGAATTCTTTTTTCCAGTAATGTACTGGACACGTGCTCTCTGGATAAGGGGAGTAAAAAAAGCAGGATAAGCCAGGGGGAAAAAGCTAAGTAGCTATAACCTAACTTCAGCCTGTCCAGTGGGAAGCTCCAGAGTATGGATAGTGCCAGAAAGTTGATTCCATTTTATGGCAAGAAAAACAGTCAGTCTTGGCTCTGGGCTTTGGAAGAGGGTAGGTAGAGAGCAGCATACCTTCCTAGCCGTAGGGGCTCTGGCTTGGCCGAGAAAAGACAACCATTGAGATAATACTCACAGCAGTTGATGGACAAGTGCAGACCCAGAAAAGATCTGTGCCAATCAACAACAACATCCACTACACAGCCTAAAGATCAATTTTTCCGTACAACAGCAGAAGACTTTTGCTCTAACTACATGGAGTGATTGCTCAGTAATATGAGATTATTGGTATGGGGGAGCTTACTAAGAATCGCTAATAAAAGTAAGCATATAAATATATACATTTTTAAAGTTACCATTAGTATTTCTCAGAGACACTTAAAAAAAAAACTTTTTTAGATTCTCATTAAGGGATTAAACTTTTGGCACTTAGAATGGGCTTGATTGTTTCACTATCTAAATTGTGTATTCCCTATCTAGCCACAACACAGCTTTGAAAATTATGCCCTCTCTCACTAAAAGAAAAAGCAAAACACAAAAGTATATGCACTAATATACATTTACTCTATCTTAAAATAAGCTAGTAAAGACCTACATTTTACCCACTTCTTCTCTATTTATTGGAATTTTCTGTATTCTCTTGATAATTTGGTAAACACAATGGAACTCTAAAACTGCAATATATTTTAATGAACAAATTATAAAGAGTTTTTCCTCTCACATCACTTTCCATACTTCTTCATGCTTGGTTAGCACACTGTTGATTCTGCTATGAAATTGCATCACATTTTACTTTGATGTATCAGTACCATTGAGACTGTCAGCTCCTAAAAGCAAAAGTGTCTGATTATTCATGTTTTCTCCATGGAGTAGTGCCTTCAATCTAGGAGGTACTCAATAAATGTGTGTTGAATTAGTTAATAGATTGTGGAGTAACATTTTTCGAGGCAGTTCAAGGAAAGCAGCAATTCCATAAAATTAAAATAATCCTTGAAAAGCTTATAAAACTCCCATTAAGTAACACATAAAGCTTTGTGTGTGTGTGTGTGTGTATATATATATATATATATATATATATACACACACACATATATATCTGCTCCTCTAATTCTATATTAGTAATATTTCTTTATTGCCCTCAATTTTCTTCAATTTCTTCCCTGAGAATAGTGATAATTTTATCACTATCTACTTGAGGCTCGCTTAAACAGTGAATTTTAATTCTTTCTAATGGTCAGGAAACCCTGAAATAAACTTTATACATACTTTCATAGATTTTGATAGCTTGCATTGATTGTTTTCTGTGTGATTGCATCAACTGTCTGCTTAATATGAGTAATAGGGGTGTACCCTAAATAGGGGCATACCCTATGCATAAATCTAAATTTGTTTAAGTTAAATATATTAATTTTGCATTTTTACTGTATGTATTGCTTCCTAAGTGAATATGGTTAGCCCACAGACTTAAACAAAATTTTAAAAAGAAAAATCTGTCTTGTTAGCTTTATTTAACCATCTGAATTCCCTCATGTCTTCATTTCTTTCATATGTGCCCAGCAACTAGAGAAGTATTGAGTAAGAGATTTCTTTTTGGACTGGACCCATACATTGCAATCACCACCAATAACCACAGCATAGGAGTCCAACCGGCGCATACCTATTCTCTTTCTTAACAATGACTTGATTCTCTCCATTTGGGCTGTCACATGGCTGTGTTTACAGGATTGCCTCCAGCAGCTAATTATTGTAAACAACATAATGCTATATGGTACTGATGAGAGTAAATATGATAATGACCATGCATATTCAACAGAGCTTCATCTTTAGAAAACTATTTCTGAAAGTAAGCAATTGATGACAGTTGGAATACAAAGAGAGGGAGAGGGGGAAAAATTTGATTGCTTGGTTTAGAGGTTTCAATTTGCTGAAAAAGTAAATCTCTAACATAATGACATGCAAGAATGTGGAAGAAAAGGCTCCATCACCGCTTGGACAGCTGTTTACATTTTCTTCCATCTGGAGTGCAAGTGAAAAGAATAAAATTTTGTTTGATTGTAACGACCCAGGTCAGGAAATTAGAAATGTAACAAAGTTTCCCCAAACCAGTATTGTCCACAAACTGATTTCCCCTAAGCCAATACAAATTTACTTCCTCCCCAAAACAATCAGCATTCTGGACATTGGATAAGAGAGATTTTCCAGCAGCTGTTTCTCCCCTCTCTCCAACTTTATTGTCATTCATTGTTTTCATCCAACGTACCATTTCAACCACGAGTCTCTTTTTCATATGGTAGGGTCAACCATGGGGGGAAAGCAGTATAAGTTTAGGAAAACGTTAATAGATCTTCTTTGTCTAATCACACATAATGATATAGATGTTGACTCTTGCTCAGTAAATTAAAATTACAGTAATAGAGATATGTAAATACACAAAGAGGAGTTGCTCTATGGTGAAATCAACTTTACTAAAATTCGAGAAACAAGTTGAGGCTTCTGTAAAGCTCCTTCGTGCTAACTACGAAGACGCTAACACTAAAAAACACTTATCATTAATTACAAATGAACAAACATACAGAATAAGGAGTTTAACTTCTGGGTGAGCTGAAATGGTGACCAGGAGGATTTTGTTAATAAACAAAAATGGCAATGCATCTCACTGAGGAACGAGGTATCTCTAGGCTACTTCCATATTATTCTACAAATGTCGCAGGGTATTTCAATACACATTATCCTCGTCTCATTTCATACTGCTATAAAATGGATTTAATATGGTTCGAAACTGTGTAATTCTAAATATATAAAAAGTTTTTGTGGCTGGGCGTGGTGGCTCAGGCCTGTAATCCCAGCACTTTGGGAGGCCGAGGCGGGTGGATCACAAGGTCAGGAGATCGAGACCATCCTGGTTAACACAGTGAAACCCCGTCTCTACTAAAAAAATACAAAAAGTTAGCCAGGTGCGGTGGCGGGCACCTGTAGTTCCAGCTACTCGGGAGGCTGAGACAGGAGAATGGCGTGAACCCAGGAGGCAGAGCTTGCAGTGAGCCGAGATCGCACCACCGCACTCCAGCCTGGGCGACAGAGCGAGACTCCGTCTCAAAAATAAATAAATAAATAAATAAATAAATATGTTTTTGCTTACTTTTGCAACAGAAAATATACATCTATAATACATTTTGGTTTCTGACATTCTCTGTTCAATTCATTTATTGTGTCAGCCATTGTCAGCCGTCTTCCTTCACATGATTTTCTGAACACCTGGGCATGTTTAGACTTGTATTAGTTTTTTTTTAATTGCTGCTGTAACAAATTACCACAAACGTAGTGGGTAAACTAATAAAAATTTATTACCCTACCGATCTGGCAGTCAGAAGTCCAAAATCTAGGTGTTGGCCAAGCTACATTGCACTGGAGGCTCAGAGGGAGAGTTCACGTTCTTGCCTTTTCCAGCTTCCTCCATTCCCTGGCTCTCAGGCCCTTTCTTGCGTCACACTAACCTCTTGCTTCTAAAGTGACACCTCCTATTACTAAGTCTCATCTTCCCACCACCTTCTTATAAAAATCCTAACGCTTGGTTACATTGGGTTCACCCAGATAGTTTAGGATAATCTCCTCATCTTAAGATCTTTTACTTAATTACATCTGCAAAGTCCCTTTTATTGCACAAGTTGACATATTGACAGGTTCTGAAAATCAGGACAGAGATATTTTTGGGGCTCATAATTCAGCCTACTATAAAATGTAATAGTTTAAATATGAATTGATTATCTTCCATATCATACAGTTTTGTGTACATATTACTTTAGTCTTTGCTTATTACTCATCTTCCATTTTTGTCATGTTTAACAATTTTATATAATTTTTTTATATTCCAATAATAAAAATCTCTTTCAGGTTTGCCAGTCCATCTTATCAAATGTTCTTTTTAAATTATTTCTCTTATACGAAATTAAGAAATTATTTTATAATGCTTTTCACAGATAATATATGTATTATATATATGTAGATTTATCATTTATCTTTAAAAAGTAATTTTTGTCTGGGAACTATGTTTTTATATTTGATGACCAATTTCTTTTAGTTAGGAGAAAAATTAAACTACCACTTGATGTGTACCTGCCATGAGCTAGAAATTATGGAGTTACCTTGAATTCTCAGGACAAAATTCTAAAGGTAGATATTATGCCTATTTTAAGAATGACAAAACTGAGACTCAGAGTAGACTCATGAATTCTCCACGGGTACGCAGCTCATCGATTATGGATTTACTCTTTGAATCTATACCCTGGTCAAAGATAGACTCCTGTCAGTAAAAAAAAAAAAAAAAAAAAAAAAAAAAAAAAAAAAAAAAAAAAAGGGTGAATCTACTCTGGAGATTATATCACTGATACACTTTTAGGTACTGATTATTAAAAAAAATCTTCTATATATTCTAGTCTAGCTTTTGGATTCTATTACAAATAAATGCTCCCACCACTATATCTGAGTTTATTAAATAACAATGTAATGAATGGTTTGAAGTGAACTTCAAATTTCCATGGGCACTTAAGGAGGTTATCTTCTCATTTGTCATCTCTTTTTCTTGGATCTCCTAAAAGATTTTCTTCCTAAGTTATTTCTCTAAGAGGTTGTCCCTGACTCTCTGGACAAAGCTAGTTTTGCTGCTTCTGTACAGTTTCATGGCCCTGCCCTTCATCAGCTGTCCACTGAGCAGACTGAGTTTCACTCATCCTCTTTACCTCTATACTGTAAACTTAGGGAAGGACCTTGCCTATGTGGTTTAAAAACTGAATAGCCATAACCAAAGATGCAGGTGCTAGAGTGCCTCTCCTGGGTACTAAAATCCCACAGGTACTAGATATATAATTGTTGCTAGAAGGGATGAATGAATAAGTGAATAAAGTGTGCATTTTGCAGAAATTTTGAAAATAGTTGCTAGGGATTTGGGTTGGATTATATTTAATGCTGTTATTCTATTTTTTCTTGTGATTTTCAATATGTATTTGACATATCCATGATGCAATACTGCATTAGATGTAAGCCTGTTCAGTTGTGTTAACACCCCTGAAAACTTAGACTGATAAGAAAAACAAAAAGTCTTAATTTTGGCAGTTTTTCACATAAGAATGATTACCTCAATATAAGATTAAGGTACCATTCTTCACAGAAGAATGATAGCAGTGTAGAGAAAAGAAAAGAACATTATTGGAACCTGTTTAATAGATACAATACTTATGTAAAGCCTACACTTCAACTATTGTATTTACTCAGCCAAATGAAGCGATTTCTGTTAGAAAATTAGCAGATATTTTTAAGATGGCTAATTGATTCGCTAATTTTATATTTTTAATTTTTCAATTAATATTTATGTGTTTCCCAAAGCAGAAAATGGGTCAAACTATCTGTAAATGTGCCATGATTTAAAAATTTGCAGGAAACTTCCCACACTGTCTTTTTTAAAGCAACAAATTCTTTTTCTAAAGCAAACACTTGGCTCAGATTAATATTCTTTATAAATTTGTGTTTTCGTATATATAGAACTTGCTTAAGGCAAGGTATACCTGCATAGGTAAAAACCATTTTAATCTTACATTTTCTTAGAGAAAAAAAAGAAAAATAGCTAAAAGCCATTTCTCAAGGGTTGGAAAATTATAGATTATTCATAATTGAGCTACTGCAATGCAAACAACCAAGTTATTTTTTTCTCCTAGAGAAGATAAGTTTCAGTCTTCTTTCACTTGGCAAAATCCACTTATCAGAAGAGAATTAGAATTAAAGGGGTAAGAAACTGTGCCCACATGTTTTTATATGACAAAATCTCAGGGACTTCAAAATGAAATTTCAGTATATTCATTGTTACATTTCCTTTATCAAATTTTTATTTAAGGAGCTGAGTTATGTTTTTATCTGAATTTGTGCTCAACCCAAAAACTAACCCAAGGTTTCTCAACTTTGGCACCATTGACATTTGGGTGGTGGAGGAGGGTCCCTGGCCTCTACCCACTGGGTTACAGGTGTGATAATTAAACACATGATCAGACATTGCCAGATGTCCCCTGGGGAGGCGGGGGCAAATTCACCCCGAGTTGACAACTGCTAACCTAGTCAAATGCAAGAACCAAACAGAGTCAGTGCTGTGTTTGTTAAACACAGAGACCTACTCTCTGATATTTCTGGACAGTACAGCATGAAGCAATTCATTCAGTAATGGTGAGGGTCACTGTGTACATTCTAAACTGAGGATTTTGTGCCTGACTTTGAAAACCCAAGAGATACATTATACTTTAGAAATTGGGCAGAGGACATGTACTGACATGCCCTACAAAAAGAACTTACCTATTTGATTATTTCTACTGCTGAGATTTATGACATTGGAGTCAAAACCTCCCCTGTACACCAGAAACCATAGTTATGACAGCTTGCCTCGTTACCCGAGTGAAAGCATGGAGAGAAGTCAGCCATTCTGACCCTACAGTACAGTTCCTGGCTTTTCTCAACAAATTCCAAAGGTTGCTGAACTGAAACTGGTGGAAGTATTACTCAGAAACTTGTACAACAAATACACAACAACACACAGGCACACTAAAATTTTGAATAAATGATACGTAATAAATATCTGTCTCCGTTAGGGCATTACATA
The DNA here is from genome assembly GCF_000001405.40 of Homo sapiens. NCBI lineage: Eukaryota > Metazoa > Chordata > Mammalia > Primates > Hominidae > Homo > Homo sapiens. Next base: position 1,069,032 of record NC_000003.12, on the reverse strand, counting down.
CCTACACACAACACATTTTAAATGTTTTTCTCCCTCTGATTGTATTAAATCAAGTTGTTTTGTTTTGTTCTAGTGTCCTCTCTGAATTGAAGAAATATTTTTTCCTTGTGAATCTGGTTCTTCCATTTATACTTTCCCTGAAATTCTCACAAACATATTGGCCTTTTCTAATTTATTTGTCTCCTAGGTGAAGAGCTATTTTTCACTGACTAATGATTTTCACCAAAAGGGAAGTTTCTGAAAGAACCAACACTCTCAATCTTCTGGATTTTATTTTGTTATGCTTTGTTTACAAGTAAATAGGGAGATGGGAGATAATGTTCACCTAAGGGATTTCAAGCAGGAAATCAGGAAACATTATTCCCTGGTTCTTGTTCTCTCAAGATAAGGCAGTGAGCATGTGCACAGAGCATCACCTGAAGTTACCAGAAGTAAAGATCCTGCACTTTTTAAACCAATTTGATAAAACATAGAGATAGTCACCCTGGATTATGGGTTTTCAGGCAGATTCTTCAAGTTTAGCTAGTTCCCTTGATTATATAAAGCAAAACATTTCTGTAACTTCTTTATGGTAGCCGGATAGGTGCATTTGTTGGGAAAAGGGAGAATGAGGCCAAAATTCTGCCAAAACACTTCAAAGGGCAAATCAATTTCAAACAAAAGAATTGGCAGTATTCCAGTCACCTTAAATCTCCAGTATTTTGACTGTGAAGGTATACAGTACCTTTTTTTTTTCTTGAAGACTGACAAAATTCTTAATATTCAATTGGGATTTTTTTGAGGCATCTGTTTTCTAGTAGTTGTTGCTTAACAAATTGGTTCAAACGCTGACATGTCTTCATCCTCAAGCCATGTGAGTGGTCTATATTGATCCTTTGAACATTATGCATGGCAATTATCTTACATGGTGAGGTTATCTTATAAAGCAGAGTATATATCCAATGTTATAAAAGAGGTTCAGTCTACCCAATGATGCAAATTCAAATATTATGTCAATGAAAATAATCAGTGGCTTGAAGGCATCACCTCATTTATTTCTCATAGCAACTGAGTCTTACTAACCCCATTACATAGATGAGGAAATAGAGTCCTATAGATACTTTCATAAGTTGCACATTACATGGAAGTTAGTCTTGGTTCACACAGCTTCAATATGTAGGTCCAAAACTCGGAAATATGATTTTTCTGAATTTAGAACCCACACACTTTAGTTTTTATTTTTTTAATTTAATTTTTATTTTAAGTTCAGGGGTACATGTTTAGGTTTGTTATATAGGTAAACTTGTGTCAAGGGGGTTTGTTGTACAGATTATTTCATCATGCAAGTATTAAGCCTAGTGCCCATTAGTTATTTTTCCTGATGCTCTCCCTTCTCCCACCCTCCAATGTCCAATAGGTGCCAGTGTGTGTTGTTCCACTCCATGTGTCCACGTGTTCTCATCATTTAGCTCCCACTTATAAGTGAGAACATGCAGTATTTGGTTCTTTTTCTGTATTAATTTGCTAAGGGTAATGCCTCCAGCTCCATCCATATTTCTGCAAAGGACATGATGTCCTTTTTTTATGGCTACATAGTATTCCATGGTGTATATATACCACATTTTCTTTATCCAGTGTACCTTGATGGGCATTTAAGTTGATTCCATGTCTTTGCTATTGTGAATAGTGCTGCAATGAACATAAGTGTGCATGTGTCTTTACAATAGAATGAGTTAGATTCTTTTGGGTATGTATCCAGTAAGGGGATTGCTAGGTTGAATGGTATTTCTGTTTTTAGGTTTTTGAGGAATCATCACACTGTCTTCCACAATGGTTGAACTAATTTACAATCCCACCAACAGTGTATAAGCATTCCTTTTTCTCTGCAACCTTACCAGCATCTGTTACTTTTTTGACTTTTTATTAATAGCCATTCCTACTGGTGTGAAATGGTATCTTACTGTGGTTTCGATTTGCATTTCTCTAATGATCAGTGATGTTGAGCTTTTTTGCATTTGATTTTTGGCCACACACATGTCTTGTTTTGAAAAGCATCTTCATTTCATTTGCTCACTTTTCAATGGGGTTGCTTATTTTTTTCTGGTAAATTTCATTAAGTTTCTTATCGATGCTGGATATTAAACTTTAGTCAGATGCACAGTTTGCAAATATTTTCTCCCAATATATAAGTTATCTGTTCACTCTGTCAAGAGTTTCCTTTGCTGTGCAGAAGTTCCTTAGTTTAAGTAGATCCTATTTGTCAATTTTTGCTTTCGTTGCAATTGCTTTTGGTGTTTTTATCATGAAATCTTCGCCCATTCCTATGTCCAGAATGGTATTGCCTTGGTTGTATTCCAGGGTTTTTATACTTTTGGGTTTTATATTTAAGTATTTAATCCATCTTGAGTTAATTTTTGTATGTGGTATAAGGAAAGGGTCAGTTTCGATCTTCCGCATGTGGCTAGGCAGTTATCCCAGCACCATTTATTGAAATGAGAATCCTTCTTCCATTGCTTGTTTTTGACAGCTTTGTCGAAGATCAGATAGCTGTAGGTGTGTGGCCTTATTTCTGTGTTATCTCTTCTGTTCCATTGGTCTATGTGTTTGTTTTTGTACCAGTACCATGCTGTTTGGTTACTGTAGTTTGAAGTCGGGTACTGTGATGCCTCCAGCTTTGTTTTTTGTTTAGGGTTGCCTTGGTTTTTTGGATATTTTGTTGTTGTTGTTCCACATGAATTTTAAAATAGTGTTTTCTAGTTCTATGAAGAATATCAACAGTAATTTAATAGGAATAGCATTGAATCTATAAATTGCTTTGGGCAGTATGGCCATTTTAACAATGTTGATTCTTCCTCTCTGTGAGCATGGCTATTACATACTTGAATAAAAAAACTTTAGAATTTATAGACAAGAGCTTAATTTCCATTATATACAAAGAGATTTTAAAACTCAATAATAAAATATATATGTAATATATGTACAGTGTTACTTATTGCAGCATTGCTTGGAACAGCAAAAAGTTGGAAATTTATGCTCATCAAAAAAGGACTGGTACATATATTATATGCAAGGATATCAGGTCATATTAGGCATCCATTTTAAAATGAGATTGTTTATTTTAAATTGATATAAAAACAAGCTATAAGATATATTGTAAAGGGATAAAAAGTAGAGCCCAGCCAGGCACTGTGGCAGGTGCTTAGAGTCCCTGCTACTTGGGAGTCTGGGGCGGGAGGATTTTTTGAGCCCTAGAGCTCTGGGCTGCAGTTTGCTATACTAATTAGGTTATCCACAATAAGTTTGGTATCAATATAGTGACCTCTTGGAGTGGGGGACCACCAGCTTGCCTAGGGGTGTGAATTAGCCTAGGTCAGAAGTGGAGCAGATCCAAACACCCAGGCTGATCAGTAGTGGGATCAAGCCTGTGAATAGCCACTGCATTTCATTTGGGCAACACAGTGAGTCTCTGTCTCTTGAAAAAATATGTATTTTTAAAAATAAGGTAGATCCTGGAACATAACTTATTTTAGACTAACCTAAGTATGCATTTTTGTGTATACATATGTATCTTTAAAAAGATAACCTATAAGAAATTTATAGTAGTGTTTGTGTACACTATCATACAGGGAGCTAACAGATAAAGAAGAGAGAAAAACCTTTTACTGTTAAAAGTGAATTAATTATATACTCAAAATTTAAATTAATTTTTAAAAAACAAAATATGTTGTAGAACCCATTATGGGGAAGCTTCCAATGAAGAATCATGAGGAGTTTAATAGAAAGTTAGAAGATAACTGATTTGGCAGGAAAGAATCAGTTCAGCTTGAGACATACTGAATTAGTTTACTGTTGGAATAATTGAATTTGTCATACTAAGGTATATGCAGATAGAGTTGGCAATGTGGGTGTGGAATTTTGAGACTGTTTAGCTCCACATGGTTTCAAACCTACAGCACTAAGCTACCTCCATCCCATATGTATGCCAAGACTTGTCTTCAGTACCTACCGTAGTTTAAGCCACAAACACTGACTTCTGTTTTCTAATGAATGGAGATCATTGGAGTTGAGGACACTAAATCATTGTGTGAGGTTCATGTTGAAGTTAAGAGATATTAATGAAGACCATAAGCCAAGTGTGATGTTACAGTATATAATTTTCCCTTATGTTTTTTCACTACTATGTTTCATACCAGTTGTGAACATTGACTGTATTTACTTATTTTAATAGTTTTTAACAGTTCATCTGGAATTAACACAATGATATTTCATGTGGTGAGCCATCTGTCTCTATTTTCATTCACTTTCAGGAGGGACCAACCTATATCCCTGGAACTTATATCCCAGACACGGGACTGATCTATGTCCCTGGAGCCTATACCCCAGACACAAACACAGACCTATGATGAGAGCCAGTCCAGTTCATCTCTGTGCCCACAGAGAGAGCAGCTGACTTTAAGGAATGATTCTCAAGTCTGGGACATTTTTATGTCTATTCAATTAGGGATGATCACTTTTCTACCAGGACCACTTGCTAAGATATGAGAGTGTAAGCCTAGAAATTTGGAGTCAACTACGTAGAGGGAGTGAGCTACTGGAGAATGAAGTCAACAACCAAGAAAGCAGAAGTGTGTGTAAGTCTGTGTGGGTGTGCCCATGCACATATGTGTCTGAAAGAGAATAAATCCAGATTACATTATTTGAATTCCTAAATCAAATCCAAACTACTTATGAAACATTATTTCCTGAGCTAAAAAACTCTATCTGTCCATCTGTCTATCTATCTATTGTCTATCTCTTGAACCAGTTTCAGCTGAGGTTTTATTACTTAAAAGAGATCTGACTTATACAACATTATAGTTGCCAATATAGTAGGCATAATTAGAAACTCCTCCATGATTCAAATTCTTTCTCTATTTAAGAAGACCCAATTCCATAAAATTTGTGAACATTGAATATATAGTTCTTTGCCAAGCAATTCAAATAGGCTCAAATGTTCTTATAGCTCTTTATCTCAATATACTTCAACAAATGTGTTGGATAACTACTATAGTCAAGGCTCTGCCTCACTAAAACAAGCAGCCACATAGAAGCAAAGCATAGAGTTAGCTAACTGACTCAATAAGGCTGAATACAAAACTCTAGTGCTTGAATTTTGACATGGGACAAGAACTATGTTAATAAAAGGCAGATTTTTTTGTGGTTTATCTTATTTTATTATCAACCTAGAGCTTCACTTTTCTATAATGTGTGCCTTTGAATTTCTGTTAAGCTTTAAAAGAGAAGAAAAATGTGCAACCTTCTATTAAAAAGCACAAATCTCACTTAAATTGAAGTCAAAACAACAATATATTTTAGAACACATGGCTCAGACCTATGTAACTTAAAAGTTCACTTTTCAGGGTGGCTGGCAAGGTGGCCGAGTAGGAACAGCTCCGGTCTGCAGCTCCCAGTGAGACCAATGCAGAAGGTGGGTGATTTCTGCATTTCCAACTGAGGTACTCATCTCATTGGGACTGGTTAAACAGTGGGTGTAGCCCACGGGTGAGCCAAAGTAGGGTGGGGCGCCACCTCACCTGGGAAACACAAGGGTTGGAGAACTCCCTCCCCTAGCCAAGGGAAGCCATGAGGGACTGTGCTGTGAAGAAAGGTGCATTCTGGCCCAGATACTATGCTTTCCCCATGGTCTTCACAACCCACAGACCAAGAAATTCCCTTGGGTGCCTACATCAACAGGACCCTGGGTTTCAAGCACAAAACTGGGCTGCCATTTGGGCAGACACCGAGCTAGCTGCAGGAGTTTTCCTTTTTTTCATACCCCAGTGGCACCTGGAATGCCAGCGAGACAGAACTGTTCACTCCCCTGGAAAGGGGGCTGAACCAGGGAGCCAAGTTGTCTAGCTCAGCAGATCCCACCCCCATGGAGCCCAGAAAGGTAAGATCCACTGGCTTGAAATTCTCACTGCCAGCACAGAAGTCTGAAGAAGAGGACCACCAGCAGATCTGCAGCAGAGGGGCCTGAATGTTAGAAAGAAAACTAACAAACAGAAAGGAATAGCATCAACATCAACAAAAAGGACATCCACACAAAAACCCCATCCAAAGGTCACCAACATCAAAGACCAAAGGTAGATAAATCCATGAAGATGAGAAAAAACTAGTGCAAAAAGGCTGAAAATTCCAAAAACCAGAACACCTCTTCTCCTCCAAAAGATCACAACTTCTCGCCAGCTACGGAAAAAAACTGTATGGAGAATGAGTTTGATGAATTGACAGAAGTAGGCTTCAGAAGGTGGGTAATAAACTCCTCCAAGATAAAGGAGCATGTTCTAATGCAATGCAAGAAAGCTAAGAACCTTGAAAAAGGGTTAGATGAATTGCTAACTAGAATAACCAGTTTAGAGAAGAACATAAATGACCTGATGGAGCTGAAAAACACAGCACGAGAACTTTGTGAAGCATAGACAAATATCAATAGCTGAATCGATCAAGCAGAAGAATGGATATCAGAGATTGAAAATCAACTTAATTAAATACAGTGTGAAGACAATATTAGAGAATAAAGGATGAAAAGGAATGAACAAAGCCTCCAAGAAATATGGGACTATGTAAAAAGAGCAAACCTACATTTGATTGGTGTACCTGAAAATGATCAGGAGAATGGAACCAAGTTGGAAAACACTCTTCAAAATATTGTCCAGGAGAACTTCCCCAACCTGGCAAGACAAGCCAACATTCAAATTCAGGAAATACAGAGAACACCACAAAGATACTCCTCGAGAAGAGCAACCCCAAGACACATAATCGTCAGATTCACCAAGGTTGAAATGAAGGAAAAAATGTTAAGGGTAGTCAGAGAGAAAGGCTGGGTTACCCATAAAGGGAAGGCCATCAGACTAACAGTTGATCTCTCTGGAGAAACCCTACAAGCCAGAAGAAAGTGGGTGCCAATACTCAATATTCTTAAAGAAAAGAATTTCCAACCCAGAATTTCATATCCATCCAAACTAAGCTTCATAAGCAAAGAAGAAATAAAATCTTTTACAGACAAGCAAATGCTGAGGTATTTTGTCACCACCAGGCCTGCCTTACAAGAGCTCCTGAAGGAAGTGCTAAATATGGAAAGGAAAATTGGTACCAGCCACTGCAAAAACATATCAAATTGTAAAGACCGTCAACACCATGAAGAAACTGCATCAACTAAAGGGCAAAATAACCAGCTAGCATCAAAATGACAGGGTCAAATTCACACATAACAATACTAACCTTAAATATAAAGGGGCTAAATGCCCCTATTATAAGACACAGACGGGTAAACTTGATAAAGAGTCAAGACACATCTCTGTGCTGTATTCAGGAGACCCATCTCATGTGCAAAGACACACATACGCTCAAAATAAAGGGATGGAGGAATATTTACCAAGCAAATGGAAAGCGAAAAAGAGCTGGGGTTGCAATTGTAGTCTCTGATAAAACAGACTTTAACCAACAAAGATCAAAAGAGACAAGGGCATTACATAATGGTAAAGGGATCAATGCAGCAAGAAGAGCTAACTGTCCTAAATATATATGCACCCAATACAGGAGCACCCAGATTCATAAAGCAAGTTCTTAGAGACCTACAAAGAAACTTTGACTCCCACACAATAATAGTGGGAGACTTTAACACCCCACTTTTAATATTAGACAGATCAATGAGACAGAAAATTAACAAGAATATTTAGGACTTGAACTCAGCTCTCAGCCAAGCAGATCTAATAGATATCTACAGAACTCTCCACCCCAAATCAGCATTATATACATTCTTCTCAACACACATTGCACTTATTCTAAAATTGACTACATAATTGGAAGTAAAAACTTCCTCAGCAAATGCAAAAGAATGGAAATCATAACAAACAGTTTCTCAGACAGTGCAATCAAATTAGAACTCAGGATTCAGAAACTCACTCAAATCCGAACTACCTGCTCCTGAATGACTACAGGGTAAATAACAAAATTAAGTCAGAAATAAAGAAGTTCACTGAAACCAATGGGAACAAAGACACAATATACCAGAATCTCTAGGACACAGCTAAAACAGTGTTTAGAGGGAAATTTATAGCATTAAATGCCCACAGGAAAAAGAGGGAAAGATCTAAAATTGACACCCTAACATCACAATTAAAAGAACTAGAGAAGGAAGAGCAAACAAATTCGAAAACTGACAGAAGACAAGAAATAACTAAGATCAGAGCAGAACTGAAGGAGATAGAGACATGAAAAACCCTTCAAAAATCAATGAATCCAGGAGCTGTTTTTTGAAAACATTAACAAAATAGACCACTAGCCAGACTAACAAAGAAGAGAAGAGAGCAGAATAAAATAGACACAATAAAAAATGATAAAGGGGATATCACCACCGATCCCACAGAAATACAAACTACCATCAGAGAATACTATAAACACCTCCATGCAAATAAACTAGAAAATCTAGAAGAAATGGATAACTTCCTGCACACATACACCCTCCCAAGACTAAACCAGGACGAAGTCAAATCCCTGAATAGACCAATAACAAATTCTGAAATTGAGGCAGTAATCAATAGCCTACCAATCAAAAAAAGCCCAGGACCAGACAGATCAACAGCCAAATTCTACCAGGAGGAGCTGGTACCATTCGTTCTGAAACTATTTCAAACAACAGAAAAAGAGGGACTCCTCCCTAACTCATTTTATGAAGCCAGCATCTTTCTGATACCAAAACCTGGCAGAGACACAACAAAAAGTAAAATTTCAGACGAATATCCTTGATGAACATCGATGCAAAAATCCTCAGTAAAATACTGGCAACCGAATCCAGCAACACATCAAAAAGCTTATCCACCATGATCAAGTCTGCTTCATCTCTGGGATGTAAGGCTGGTTCTCATACACAAATCAACAAATGTAATCCATCACGTAAAAAAAAAAATGACAAAAATCATCTGATTATCTCAACAGATGCAGAAAAGGCCTTCGATAAAATTCAACACCTCTTCATGCTAAAAACTCTCAATAAATGAAGTGTTGATGGAATGTATCTCAAAATAATGTGAGTTATTTATGACAAACCCACAGCCAATATTATGCTGAATGGGCAAAAGCTGGAAGCATTCCCTTTGAAAACTGGCACAAGACAAGGATGCCTTCTTTCATCACTCCTATTCAACACAGTATTGGAAGTTCTGGCCAGGGCAATCAGGCAAGAGAAAGAAACAAAGGGTATCCAAATAGGAAAAGAGGAAGTCAAATTGTCTCTGTTTGCAGATGACATATTTGCATATTTAGAAAACCCCATTGTCTCAGATCAAAATCTCCTGAAGCTGATAAGCAACTTCAGCAAAGTCTCAGGAGACAAAAATCAATGTGCAAAAATCACAAGCATTCTTATACTTGTGATTCTTATACAATAATAGACAAACAGAGGGACAAATCATGAGTGAACTCCCATTCACAATTGCTACAGAGAGAATAAAATGCTAGGAATACAACTCACAAGTGATGTGAAGGACCTCTTCAAGGAGAACTACAAACCACTGCTTGAGGAAATAGGACACAAACAAATGGAAAAACATTCCATCCTCATAAGAAAAATCAATATCGTGAAAATGTCCATACTACTCAAAGTAATTTATAGATTCAATGCTATCCCCATCAAGCTACCATTGACTTTCTTCACAGAATTAGAAAAAACTACTTTAAATTTCACAGGCAGCCAAAAAAGAGCCCGCATAGCCAAGACAATCCTACGCATAAAGAACGAAGCTGGAGGCATCACGCTACCTGACTTCAAAGGATGCTACAATGCTACAGTAACCAAAACAGCATGGTACTGTTAGCAAAACAGATATATAGACAAATGGAACAGAACAGAGGTCTCAGAAATAATGCCACACATTGACAACCATCTAATCTTTGATAAATCTGACAAAAACAAGCAATAGGGAAAGGATTCCCAATTTAATAAATGGTGTTGGGAAAACTGGCTAGCCATATGCAGAAAACTGAAACCGGACCACTTCCTTACACCTTACACAAAAATTAACTCAAGATGGATTAAAGACTTAAACATGAGACCTAAAACCATAAAAACCCTAGAGGACAACCTAGGCAATACCATTCAGGACATAGGCATGGGCAAAGACTTCATGACTAAAACACCAAAGGCAGTGACAACAAAAACCAAAACTGGCAAATGGGATCTAATTAAACTAAAGAGCATCTGCACAGCAAAAGAAACTATCATCAGAGTGAACAGGCAACCTACAGAATGGGAGAAAATTTTTGCAACCTATCCATCCATCTGACAAAGGGCTAATATCCAGATCTACAAGAAACTTACAAGAAAAAAACAAACAATCCCATCAAAAAGCAAGCCAAGGATATAAACAGACACTTCTCAAAAGAATACATTTATGTGGCCAACAAACATATGAAAAAAAGCTCATCATCACTGGTCATTGGAGAAATGCAAATCAAAATCACAATGAAATACCAGTTAGAATGGCGACTACTAAAAAGTCAGGAAAAAACAGATCCTGGAGAGGATGTGGTGGGAGTGTAAATTAGCTCAACCATTGTGGAAGACAGTGTGGCAAGTCTTCAAGGACCTAGAACTAGAAATACCATTTGACCCAGCAATCTCTTTACTGGGTATACACCCAAAGGATTATAAAATATTCTGCTAGAAAGACACATGCACACATATGTTTATTGCAGCACTATTCACAATAGCAAAGACTTGGAACCAACCCAAATGCCCATCAATGATAGACTGGATAAAGAAAATGTGGCACACATACACCATGGAATACTATGCAGACATAAAAAATGATGAGTTCATGTCCTTTACAGGGACATAGATGAAGCTGGAAACCATCATTCTCAGCAAACTAACACAGGAACAGAAAACCAAACACCACATGTTCTCACTCATAAGTGGGAGTTGAACAATGAGAACACATGGACACGGGGAGGGGAACATCACACACTGGGGCCTGTCAGGGGGAGGGATAGCATTAGGAGAAATACCTAATGTAGATGACGGATTGATGGGTGCAGCAAACCACCATGGCACGTGTATACCTATATAACAAACCTACATGTTCTGCACACGTATCCCAGAACTTAAAGCATAATTAAGAAAAACAAACTTGTTATTCATTCTAAACTTTAAAAAACTTCACTTTTTAAAATGCACATCAAATATATTATAAATTACATATTGTTATGTTTTATTCTGCCCTGAAATAATACATAACATCTACGTCTAATGGCATCTACATATTAGTAGTAGCTGAAATTGCATAGATGTGGATTTACTGCCAAAAAAAAAAAAAAAAGCAGTTATTTTGGGATCCCTACAGCTAGAAACCTCAACATAGATTTTTACAGTGCTGAGTAAGCTTGGATAAAATTAAAGCATAAAATTTCCCCACATGGCTACTTTGGTTATCTTTGGGAATATTATTCATTTGAGAATTTTTATTTCAAATAGCTAACACATGGAAGTATTTTTTTTTCTTTTTACTTGATGTGGACCAAATTAATGAAAGTAATAAAACAAGCAGACAGAAATACTCTGTCAAAGACACTTGCAACACATTTTGCATAGAAATGTCCTTGTATTTTGACATTCTGATTTCTTGTTTTCTGACAGTGCTGTAATTTGCTTTAAGAATTGTTTTAATCAGTTGCCAAATGTTTCTTGTGCCACACTGGATAGAAATAATTGAATTTTGTAAAGATGTAGCACAGTAGCTTGGACATGATTAAATTTTTTTTCATTGACCCTTCTTGCTTTCAAAGCCAAGGTCTAATTAAAAACAATGCATTCTTAAAAGAGATTATCGCCAAAGATAGTTTTAATAAAGCTTTGCAGGTTAGTTTTGATAACACTGTCATTTTCTTTGACTAGAGGGCTAATGTTGTTGCTTCAGTGACCAAACTGAGTAATTAAGCATTTTTCAGCCAGCCTATGTTTAAACTGCAGTTTCTCAGAGCTTATAAATCCATGAAAATAAATCTCTGTGGGACCATCTCAACTCAAGAAGGATATTTTTAAATGAGCTATAGAACTGAACTTTGCTCTTTCTCTAAAGTGTGTCACAGACTGCAGAATGCTTATTTATAGAACTACTTTAAAGACAATCACAGCCTCTTCTTTTGAAAGGAAAACTTTTTACTATTTTTTTTTTTTTAGTTTCACTTTGAGATGAAAGCCAGCTTCCTTCACTTATGAAATTCTATTCACAAAAGGCAGGGTTGCATTCTAAAGAAAGAAAAATATGATTTAAAAAAGTAGGAAACACCAAACCATGATCCTTTGCCAACTTCCAGAACTTTTACAACCAGAAAACGCCTCAGAAATTATCTAAAGAAAAAGATTTTTTTTGTACAAACGTTCTATTTTGCCTATTCAATATACCCTATCTTTTCTGTTAGTGATAATTCCATTCTCCTTTGCAAAATTGCTCCCCCACTGCACCCCATGGTCCATTGTATATATATTCCATATTCTATTAATTCCTACTACGTAATTTTCTATTTTGTTGATCTCTGGTCTTTCCAAGGCCTGGATTTCCATCTTTCTTTCCATCTGTAAGCTACTCTGGGTGCTTCTAATTAAGTCCGTTTTGGCTGGTGAGAACTCACGGTGGTGTCTGTTGCTTGCTCTCAAAGAGTCCTTGCTGACTTTAGCCCATTAAATGCAAGCCAAATTAGGACGAGAACAGTGTCCATTGTTGCTTCATGCCCTAATGTCCTTGAGCACAGTAAGTGCTCAAAAAACTTATATAATTAATTAATAAAACTTAGAGGAATGATGTGAGTGAAACCTCACAATCAGATTATTGGAGAGCCTGAGTTAACTTTTCTTTGGCTTTTTTTCCATGATTTTTACCCAATGCACAGCTTTTTGCTAAAACTCTCTATGCCTTTCTCTGAGGCACAACTGCTTACGTTGCTGTTTCTTGACACATGTGTCAGTTCTTTATTATCGTCAATTTACATTGTGCTTCTGGTGTTGTATCTAGGCATAAACGCATTCCAGGAAGACCACTGTGTGTCTAATTTACTAAGGGCATGATCCTTAAAATCATAAATTAAAAATTATGATATAAAATTGAATACTAATTGTTACCAATTATTTCTTCACTCATATTCATTCAACACACAGTATACCAGACACTGTTTGGATAAAAGGAAGTATAAGGTCTCAGGGTTCAGGTAACAATATAGGCAAAACATAAAGAACTTCTTGGCTTCAAAGATTGTTTTCCAAAAGGTAAAGTCAAACCTTACATATATCCCATAAATGTACCCAGCATCTGGCCTCCCTTTTCCTTTTTCACCTCAGGTTTCATCTGCTCTGAACAATCAGAGCTTCCTAGTCCCACGCCCATTTTACTACAGATCCCCCATATAATCTGGAATCTCAAAGGAATGTCTTGGGCCTCTGTTCATGTCCTTGCATGTGCTGCTGACTCTACCTCCATTGCCCTTCCCTGGGCCTTTGGTTATCACCCTTTAAGGTCCGGGAAAATACAGAGTAACTGATTCCTGTTTTATTTTTCAGTTCTTCCTCCTTTATGTCTTACAACTCTTTCTACAAACATCCATTCTACTATTAAATACATCTTACCATAATTATTCTCAAATGTTTACTTCTAACAGTATTCTACAAGCTCCTCAATGGTAAGAATTAGATCTTGTTGGTTTAGTTATTTTCCCCATCTTTCCCTCTGCTGACTACCACACTGTAGGGTCAACGTATGTCTGACAAACAGAAGTATAAATGAATTGAAATGATAAAAACCACGAACTCTTAACTCCTAAGCCAGAGTTGTTTCCATTACACCAAGCTGACTTGATCTATAACAGACAGGACAACAGATACTATGTTGTGGTCTAACTATAAATCAAAGTTATTTCCTTTAATTGAAGTTATACTTATGATAAAGAGTGGAAAGGGGAATATAGTTTTTTTTTTCTGATGGTTTAGGCTATGTATATATATGCTTCCAAATCTACTCTTTCAGTTAAAAACACTTAGTTAATGATTCCACTTCTTTGTTTTTCTTTTTGGGTGGCTATATATGAGCATTAAGCTCATCTAATATTGTGGTTTATATTCATTTAATTCCAATTATAAATGTAATTCCAACTAAATAAATAAACAAACAATATCAACCCTCAAGCTTTGCTTTGGTTGAATAACATGAAATAAACACAGCTTGTAGCCCTAATTAACCAGGTAATTGGTTCTGTGTAGACTTGGTCTGTGTTTGCTTGATAGTGTATCTTCATTCTCAAGCCATGATTTCTATTAGACTTAATTATGCCCCCCGCTACTTTAAATCGAGGGTGTCCTCAAAATGAGTGTTGCATGTATTAAATTTAATTACTTCCTTCTGTGGATCAAGTGCCTAAGATGCTGCTATTAAAAGGAAGTTTTTACTAAGAGAGGATGCTCCTGAACTGGAACATACATTTGTAAAACAACTTCCAGTACCATCACATGGCTCTGACTGGCTGTTTGCAATTCTTGCATGAACTCATTCTTTTTATTAAACATGCTTTATGGAGTAAAATGTCTCAAATAAACATGGCTACATATTCAATTTTTTTTTCTTGGCATGTCCAAATTGATAATTTGTTCATTTGTTCTCCTGGATCGATATTTCAACCGGGAAATGACATATCTATTCTAGGCATATTGTGGCTAATGGCTACTGGTACATAAACCTTCAGGCAATATATGCTTTCCAATAATTAATTTATTAGTAAACTCCCTAAGAGTGTTGTAATAGAAACTGAAAGGTGATAGAAAGAGGAAAAACACAACGGAGAAATGTGCCAACTATGTACCAAGATCTGTTATTACAAACACTTTTAACTCAAATAATTGAACTCTGGGGAATTTCATCACTTGAATTTTCATTTCAGAATTGTCTCAACTTAATTCCATTGATCTTCAGATGCTTTTATAAGCAACCTTAGCACAGATGATTTGTCTAAAGAATCTAAAGCAACATTAGAAAAACAGAACAAATACCTTACCCTATTTTCCATTAATAAGAACACTTTCTTTTGGTTATAATACGTATGTCTGCAAGTCTGTGTTGGCCATAGACTAGCTGTGTAACCTTGGGAAAATTGTTTTAGTAAAATGAAGATAATCATTATAATTCCCACCTTACCAGTCTAACCTGGTTGTCAAGATGATGAAACAAGAATGCTCTGAATTTTCCACATTAATATTAATTTAAAATACCACTGTTCAAAAAAGTATATAAGTTTAAGACAGAAAATTAAAAATCATAAAAAATGACGCTAAGCTATTTTGCACATTTGATCAAAAATGCCCATCCCATTAAAAAACAAACAAACAAACAAACAAAAAAACTGTCTACATAATTCTGAAGTAGTTTGAATAAATTTTTGCCCTAGCTAATGGTATGTCTTGGCTGTCCCTAAGACATCATTTAAAGTAACAATTATTTTTTCACCTGTTATTACTTTCTTCCAGATAATAGCACATGTCAAAAAATTAATGATCAAAAGCAGTTTTTAGCTGGGCGTGGTGCCTCGCGTCTGTAGTCCCAGCACTTTGGGAAGCCAAGGCAGGTGGATCACTTGAGGTCAGGAGTTTGAGACCAGCCTGGCCAACATGGTGAAATCTCATCTCTAGTAAAAATACCAAAAAAAAAAACAAAAAAACAAAAAAACAAAAAAAAAAAAAGGTGGGAATGGCGGCAGGTGTCTGTAATTCCAGCTACTCAGGAGGCTGAGGCAGGAGAATCCTTTGAACTCAGGAGGTGGAGGTTGCAGTGAGCCGAAATCGTGCCACTCCACCCCACCCTGGGCGACAGAGGGAGATTTTGTCTCAAGCAAAAAAAAAAAGCAGTTTTCAACATGCAAAAAATAAGGTCATTTATTGCAAATTACTTGGGCCAGTTCCAAGTAAATAATTTTACATGATCTAGGCATTTAAATGAACTGTCTGTGCTCAATTACCTGCTCCTACACCATCCTACACCATGTTCCCAGGTGCTTTTTACCATTACTCTAAAATTTTGCTATGTTTCCATATCTCTGGATTGTAAATGATTCAAAACACATTAAAATGGTAAGGCCGTTTAGTTAATGTGGAACTAGTCTTTGATCCTGGGCAATTAGAAATGAAAGATATCGTCTGTATTATGTGGGGAAGTATCCAAAGCGCCTCTTCTCTAAAGAATTGTAAACTATGGTGAAGCAGGAGGGAAAGAAAGATTTGTCCCCATGAAAGACAGACTCTTTAATTCTGCACGACTCTTGACAAGCCAAACTCCAGTTGTTGTAAGTTAAAAATAATAATGAAAACAATAATACTAATAAGAGCAATGACTAATATTTATCCAGTGTTTATATGTGCTAGGCATTTTGCCAACACTTTATATACATCTTCTAATTAAATCCTTTCAATGAAGAAACTGAGACATAGAGAGTTTGAGTGAATTGCTGAGTACCACATACTAGGATTCAAACTAAGGGTTATCTGATATAAGAGTTCACTCTTAATTTCTGTATTATAATGCAAGAAAGACAACATTTAGCTCAATGGAGCTTGATCTGAGTTCTACAACAACAGAATGAGATTGTCAGTCAGTAATTCCTATTCACAGAGATTGAAAATGATAGAGCAACAAATTTATGGATGAAGAAATAAAGTTCAGAGCTGCAAAATGTCTTTTTCATCACCACAAAACTGGCTAGAAACAGAGATGAGATAGATGCCAGGTCTAATAAACTTTTCATCATATCCTACATTTTACCCAGTTAATGCTGAGGAGTACCTGTAAGGATGTTATACAGGTGTTTGCACAAGAAGTGGTGCAGTGGACGTGCTAGGCAGTGTTATTTTTTTCCTGTTTTTACAAAAGAATGTCTTTTATATTCTTCCACCTGTAGTTTGCACTAGCCCTCTGGTCATAGCGATGAGCAATAGGAGTTAGCAAATATTATAACCTATTTCCCAGACAATAGTGGTTGGCTCAAAGGATGGATAAATCCAACTCTCTGCTTGATATTAATCCATAAGTATTTACAAATATCATGTGCTTTCCCACTGAAGTTGCTAAAATGTGGTTGTTTTAAAGCTTATGATCACTAGAAGGAAATTGAGCCAACACACAGCAAGAAACAGAAGCAAGAGAAGGTCAAAGAAAATCCCAGCACGGTTAAACTGTGGGTTCTAAATATTTAATTCATCTGCTGTTTGTTTTTTAAAAATTCTATTCGGTAAATACTCCTAAATCCCTCCTTGACTATATGGGTCAATTAATTTCTCTTTTCTTTGAGTTAGTTTGAGTTGAATTTAAGTTTCTTGCAACTGAAAGACCGAAGGCCTAGCTACAAAAGATGAAAGGGCTGAACGCTGTTTCCCTTGAGGTGTCTTCCAAGTCACTATGAGTTACTAATGGTTATGTCTGCTATGTTTAGTCATTCACCACTATTACCTATTCCACCAATTCAACAAAGCACCCAAGAAGTCAGCTGGAGCCACTCACTCACTGTGAAGTAAAATGAGAACCCCTCCAACAAGTAGCCCTGTTTCCAAATGTAAGAAAGTCTAAAACTGAATCCTAATATTCATAAAACATTTTGTTTTCTTCAGGGGAATTTAAAACACTGTAGCTAGAAACATTTTTTTAGCACCACAAACCAGCAGCATTTGAATTAATTCTTGTAAGAGAAAAATATTGTTTTCTTCAAAGAAACTCCCTTGTAAGTTTATGCACCCAGCTGTATACTCCCAAACCGTTCTCACTTTATCATGTAGATATGGAAGTTGACATGGCTATTTATTGTGCCTGAAATTTAGTTTTAATTATTTTGATGCTTCTTGGAAACAAGTCTGAAGCCCATGGTCAACACAGCCAAAATGTATGAACTTTTCACAATCATTGCAAAATTTCTTGTTCAGAATATTCCATTATGTTGAATAACAATTTGTGAATAGGTTGATGATCAACAACTAATGTCCAAATAGCAGTGCCAACCAAAGCTAGGAATCATAGGCAATTACAATATACCTAAAACATAACTGTGGCCCTCTCAGTGAGTATAAAATTATTACAATTGTAATGATGCCTACAAACTCAAAAACTCCAAATATATGTTGCTAGCTCTACTTTTCATACTCAACTAAAAGGAAATGTGTATAACATGAAAACTGACATTGGGGAACAAAAACTGGCTAAGATATGAGTCATAACAGACACTACATTATCAATCTTTATGTTGAACTGTAGTCACACTATCACAGGTTTAAAATGAATTCCAAGCCTTTATATCTATAATTATTCTTAGAGAGAAGCAAAAAAAAAACACAGAGATTTCCAGGAGCTGTCAAATAATCAAGAAGTGACCCTCTTTAGACCACTGATACCAGTTGGTGAATTGAAAGTTTTTCAAAGTCAAAGTATTGAAGAAGTGCCCAAATAGATGTGTCCATGACACTCGATGGGCTTACCCAGCTGTCTGTAATTTTAAGTTACAGACAAGACTTGTCAACAGTGGAGTGACCTTATGAAGGTCAAGGCATAGTGGGAATTATTGAATAGATTGATTATGCATCAGGCTTAGTGCAAAATTTTGTCTAATTTTCTTAAGTGCCACTTAGGCAATAAATAGGCCAGGAAGAAGTTCACAACATACTAAACACCTAATATTTCTCTATTTAGCCATCCATATACAGGTAATCATTTCAAGCACACTAAGTCATTTGAAGCCAAGGCAGTGGAATACAATTCTATTTCAATTTAGTGTACTAATGTGACACTATCTTCTCTGTAAATAATTTAAACTAATTTTTTAAATTGTAAACTGGAAAAGAAATTAAAAGCCACTATATGCTTCTCATATCTCCTTAAGTAATTAGTAATTAAAAACAAGATTCAGCAGCAAAATGTCATATGCTCTTTTCCTGGGAATTAATAGCCTCAAATCATGGTATGATTTCTGAAACTAATGTTTGAGGAAACATTAGTCAAAATGGCAAGGACAGAATCTCACTAGGCAAAAAACAATTAGCTTTCAATCTTTACACCCTTCTTTAATGTTTTATTAAAAAATCATAGTAATAGATAATTTATCTGCCTTCTTCTAACCCACTCCTTATCAAACAATCCACCCACTGGGGGCATCTTTCTTTTCCCCACCTTCCCACTTGTGTATATCTTACATGTGTGGAGACTTCTTCAAGTTTAAATAGAGATGCATATTAAAAACGTTGAATAGTCAAAGTGAATGAAAAATATTGACTTGGATTAAAAATGTCAACAAAAAATGGTGTCAAAATTAAGAAAAATGATGAAAAAATACACATCCAAATAACTTTGGTATTAATTACTATTAGGATAATCCAAATTTGTATGTCTTTATGAAAATGCTTCTCACTTTATCAGCCATTTTGATGACAATAAAGATGATACTATCAGATACAGTTTTATAAAAGAATAGAGAATAAAGTAGGTTACTGTATAGTTTGGGAATTTTTGAGGATGCTTGGGAAATAATGAATGTTTTGTTGGATTTATGATTGTCTCATCACCATTTTCCCTATAGTCTTCATCATCATCAGTCATTCATTCATTAAACAGTTGCTATTCCTGTGCCCAGCATTTTACATCATTATCTTGCTACCTTAACAAAGAAGTGAGAAGAATCAACAAGTCCACAAGGTAAGTAGTAAAATTATCTGATATTTGCATATGAAGTAAAGAGAGTAAATAAATGTTCAAGCAGATACAGATATGTGGAATAGAACTCAAGATTTAAAGCCAAACTCTTTGGGCATCTTGCTTTTAACCCAATTTCTTAATTCAGAACAAAGTTTTTTCTTAGCACTTCTCACAATGGCCAAGCACATGTACTGGTGCCAAACAATTTTTAATTAATTAATATTTTATCAAAGGAAAACAAGGAAAACATTTTGAGCATTCAATAGTGCTAAGTGCATAGAATAAACACCAGGGTTCCTGCTCCCATCACGCCAATCATGGAAGGAGAAACTTTTGGATCTTGCTTCTATAGTTCCAAATAACATGCTTATGTTGGTGGATAGATGTACATTGACATTATTCATTAAATTTTCTACTTTGGCAAGTGAGGATTTAAGCTTTCTTACTGTCTACTTTCCCGACCTTTATATTTCAAAATGTAGTTATATCACAATCTTTGCTTAATGCCATAATCAGTGTTTTAATTATTATGACATCATAATAGATATTGTTCACTATTGAGTCATAGTTTACTACAATTATACTTTCATATTTTTCACTTCCCCTGTTGGTTTCCTTATAGTTAAACATTATTCATTTTTATTGTTTAATAGTCTTTGGATCTTTTGCCAAATTTTTATACTATCCAAAAAATCCGAAAAGTCCTCCCAATAAAATGTTCATATAGACAGACCTGTCAGAAAATCTGTCAATTTTATTTTTTCCTCTGTAGATATCCTTTCTGGGGTTACTTTCATACTGCTCCAAAATATACCAGTTGCTTTTATTTAAACCTGTTGTCAGGCTCTTTTCACAATATTTCCTTTGACCTCATCTTGGGAATTCTCTTGATCTCTTTCTTGCAACAGATCCTCTGTTCTTTGAATCCTATCCTTCCCCTTTCTTTCTTTTCTCATTATTTTTGGGGTGTATCCTATATTCAATTTTTATTTAAAGGGTGCATGGAAGGAAAATGTTTGAGACAGTGAATATCTGAAAACATTGTTACTCTACCTTCATACTGAAATCCAGATTCAGTCATATTATTTGAGTAAATACATTTTAAAGAGGAAAATCATTTCTGTCTGAATTCTGAAGGCATTTTATCCATTGTCTTCTAACTTTCATTTGGTGTGGCAGATAAAGAGCCTCATGTCATGCTGATTTCCTATTCTTTGTATGAAACTTTTTTATTATCAGTATCTGGAGGATTTCAGGATATGTGTTTTATAAGCAGTATTTTGAAGAAAATGTATGACTACATGCCTCAGAGTGAATCCTTTTACATTCATTTTCTTGGACACTTGGTGAGCCCTTCTAATGTGGAGACTTATTTCTTATAGTTCTGAGATTGTTTTCTCTTGTATTATTTCCTTCTTAATTTCTTCCCCAGTATTTCCTCTGTTGTCTCTTTCTGAGACATCTCCTAGAGGGATATTGTTCTGCCTAACTCACTCAATTTTCTTATATGTTCTCTACTATTTTCTTGATTTTTATCCCCCTAATTTTCAAAAGAATTCCTGATTTATATCCTGCAAAATTTCACAGATGTTTCTAATTTTATCTACTCATTTGTCGAGTTTCTAAAATTCTTATCTTGATCTCTAATTGCAATTTTTATAGCTTTTGTATAGCTTCCTCTGCTCTTATTTTGGGTTTTCCCAAGGGGTACAGATTATACAGTTTTGAAGTGTTCTACTCTTTGTAAAGCCTTGTTCATCCTGAGATTTTTTGTAAAGCTTTTCTTTTTTAAAAAGTGTGTTTATTTGGTCATTTCCCACCTTGGAGTGTTTCCTCAAATTCTGGCCAGCTTTGGCAATTTGTTTGAACTTTATTTGTTGCTCCCAAATGTCAATTATCTATGTGTCTCTTACCTGGAGTTGTCCTGTTTAGCCAGAGAAGGATACACCTATATTCTTCCTTGAAGGAAAAGTCTCTCTGTCATTTTTCTAAAAGTTAGGAAGAAAATGAGAACTCAAGTCTCATAATTCAGAAAGCAGTGTCTGACTTCTTTGGATCCTGAAGTTGGGAGTAGCTAATTGAATTATTTCAAAGATTAAATCTTCTATCTCTTGAAATGTGGAAGATTTATCCACCTGCCCATGAATAATGGAACTTGCAGTCTTGAGTTCTTCTTGTTCTATAATCAGACTTTTAAACAGTGTCTGTTTTCATCATATCCAACACCAACTTAAATTACAGTATTTTTATCAACCTGTGCCTCAAAACGTTAACCTTCCCGGAGTAAGTCAGTGTATACTTTGTTAATATTTTCTTCACCAAGGAAGAAAATTTCACAATTGTTGGTTTTCTGCTTAGTCTATTATTATGTCTTCAGCTCTCCATCTTTTTATATTGCCATTTGAAGATACTGATTTATCTTAGATTCATTAAACCCAGAATTTGCGTTTCGGTTTCATGTTCCTCTTCCAGTATAGGAGGAGAAAGCGCATAAAATTTTTTCCTCTATTAACTTGAAACTTAAAGCTAACTAATACTGAAATTAACCAGTGGGTGCGGTAGTTTAATGGGAAATTTTAAAGAGAGAAAATACTTAAGAGTTAAGCCGTTAATAATAAGCACCTCAGCAATCTCAACCAACTCTATCCATCCAACTATTCACGATGCAAGAGGTGACACTAATCACTTCACTATCTTTGGTGGGCAGATAATTCTATCTGTGGATACAAACGTGCTGCTTTACAATCTATATTATACTCTCGAAGAAGTTTACTTGATACTTGTGGCAACTCAGATGGTAACACTTGCTAAGTGGTCGCAATTACTTATTTGCTAGTTTTTCATAATATAATCTAGCAACAAGGTTTTCAAAGGTTGGGAAAAATGATACGCACGATTTTTTTGTGGAACAGAATTATTATCAAAAAAACATAACTTTTGTAAATTATTTTAAAACCATCAATATATGTAAACTGTAATATTACATTAGAAATTATGAAGTCCTCAGGATTAGATTATTATAATACTCCAAGTTAAGCAGATGTTAAAATCTACAGGCAGGTACAGAACTCAAACACACTTTTTAATGTTTCGAAGTTTCAATAACTTCTACTGTAACTATTAGACATTGTAATGTACACTGTTGCTCACTTAATATAGAATTCTTCAAAATATCACCAATCTGTTCATAAATCAAAATTAACATTTTTTAAAAAACATGCAATAAAGGAGACACCAGCCTGACAGAGTTTTGCCAGTTTTTCAGAAGGAGAAGCAATAAGCTGGGTATTTACAGAACTTGGGGTCTGAATTTACACGTGTTAAGGAAGGTCTTTCAGGGAAAATAAATTATTGAGGTAGGACAACATTTAAGATAACAACTTAAGCTTGATGGACATAGTAAGGCAAAGGTCTTTAAGTAATCCTTGATAAGTAATTTATTGTTTGATAAGCATGCAGGTTGTTAAGGTGAGCAAATAGTTATCTAAGATACCCTTATATTCAAGAATTCCCTGAAGAAAAAAAAAAAGTATTTATATGTAGTTTTAGCTTTCTTAGGGAAAGTTTTTTGGAAAATACAATTGAGACATCTTAACCTAGGTGGTCTAATTTTTTTTTTTCTAGACAAAGTTTCCTGAACATAAAACTAAGTAATGGTGACACAGGGAGTTCCAGCTACATTTCTCTTTAAAACATTGTCCTTTTGGAGTGGATGGCCTTATTCCAAGCTCTGAGACATACATTCTGATTTCTCTGAACCAAGACAATGCACTCATAGCCAAAGCAGTGGCATCAGCAAAATGATGGCTTCAAGCTACTGTACCCCAGCTAAAACATTGGAAACCAAGCAGAAAGTGTCAGAACCAAGTTTGTCAAAACTCTGGGAGAGAGTCAAAGGTTTACAGCAGTTAGGCAAACAATGAATCAAGAAATGTAACTCCAAAATGATAGGAAAGCTTTATGACATTTTTACTTGTATTTTTGCCACCACTCTCTGGCACAGCACAAATCGAAGAGGAAACCTTGGGTTCCCAGTTTGGAATCCTGATCTCTTGCTCTGGAAAGAGCAAAGACCTTATGTACAGATTATTGTGTATTTCTATTCTAACCTGCCTGAATGATAGCGGGGAGGTTGATTAAGGACACTATTATTTGTTTTACCTACCTCTAAACATAGGCTGGAAAAGTGACGGGCATTGCTCAAAAACACTGCAAAGCAAACTAACCAACCAAGATTTCTGGGCCAAATGATTACAGTCAAAACATATAATAGACTGTGTAAGACCCAGGATCAAAAGCTGGGAGAGTATCTTCAAAAAATTAGGACATCCAAAAAGACTTGTGTGTGAAGGGAATTTAAAAAATCTATATTAGAAACCTTGTTTAGGATAAGATGCATGCTCAGAGAAAAATCTGAGAAGGTCATAAGTTTTCATCTTAAGCTAAAACTTCAGTGCAAGCCTGGCTAAATATTGAGAAAGTGTCCTACATAGACCCAAGATGCAAAGACTGGAGGAGGGTTTTTTTTTTATTCTTCTGTATATTTGTTCTTGGCTTCTGGAATTTAAATGAATCTCTTTTAAAACACTAAGTAAATACAAACAAGAAACCACAGACTGTAGGGATCACACTCAACAAGAAACCGTCTTTGCATAAAGTTTCGAGAAGTCACTAAATAAATGGAGGATAACAGCCTTAATAATATTGAAAAATGCAAACCCCTGATAAAGGGGGAGATTTTATTTCCAGGACCACCACATCATAATATTCCAATGTCCAAGTTTTAACAGAAAAATCACAAGGCCAAGGAAAGGAAAACATAGACAATATTAGAAAATATAGATAAAGAATTAAAGGACATCAGAAAAATTGTGTATAACAAAATGAGAATATCAATGAAGAGAAATTATAAAAAGAAACAAAGCAGAAATTTTGGAGCTGAAAAGTGCAATAAGTAAAATGAGAAATTTACTAGAGGCATTCAACCATAGATTCAGGCAGACAAAGGAAAGAGTCAGAGAATGGAGGGGCCCGTGAAAACCATCAAGTGAATCAATATATTTATTATAGAATTTCCCAGGTGTGGGTGGAGGTGGAAGGTGGAATATAGAAAGAAAGGGTCAGAAACTATATTTGAAGAAATAGCTAACAACTTCCTAAATTTAATGAAAGACATGATTCTATAAATCCAAAATCCTCAATACCTCCATATAGGATAAACTCAGAGACTCATATGAAGACATATTATGAAATTTTGAAATCCAAAGAAAAAGAGAAAATATTAAAAGCACTAAGAAAAATACATTCATTGCATACAAGGATTCTTCAATAAGATTAACAGCTAATTATTTATCAGAATCCATATAAGCAAGAAAACAGTGGGATGTTACATTAAAAGTGCTAGGAAACAACAACTGTCAACCAAAAATTCTATACCCACAAAATCATCCTTCAAAGATAAGAGAGAGATTGTGATATCTCACCTTAATAACATGAAAAAGTAATTACCACAAAATTTACCTTAAAACCAATGCTAAAAGGGAATCTTCACGTTGAAATGAAAAGATATTAGACTAACTAAAAGCCATATAAATAATTAAAGATCTCTGATTGTACTAAATACATAGGCAATTTAAAAAGTCAGTATTATGGTATTATCAGTTTGCAACTGCTAATAAAGCTTATCTTACAAGCTATAAAATAAAATAAACTTTTAAAAATATACAGCTGTATTTTCGGGTACACAATGTATAAATAAGTAATTTGTGACAACATGGCAACAACAACATAAAGAAGAGAGAATGAAACTATAAAAGCATAGTTTTTATGCTATTAAAGTTATATTAGTATCAACTTAAACTAGATTGTTATAAATTTAGAATGTTAAGTATACTCTCAATGATAAACACAAAAATATGTTAATAATTGTGATGGTTAATACTGTCAACTTGATTGGATTGAAGGGTGCAAAGTATTTATCCTGGGTGTGTCTGTGAGGGTGCTGCCAAAGGAGATTAACATTTGAGTCAGTGGGTTGAGAAAGTCAGACCTACCCTTAATCTGGGTGGTCACCATCTCATCAGCTGCCAGCATGGCTAGAATATAAAGCAGGCAGAAAAGACTAGACTGACCTAGCCTCCCAGCCTACATCTTTAGACTGTGCTGGATGCTTCCTGCCCCTGAACATCAGACTCCAAGTTCTTCAGTTTTGGGACTTGGGCTGGCTGGCTCTCCTTGCTCTTCAGCTTGCAGATAGCCTATTGTGGGACCTTGTGATCATGTGAGTTAATACTTAATAAACTCATATACATATATAAACTCATATATATATATATATATATATGGGAAATATATATATATATATGGGAAATATATATATATATATGGGAAATATATATATATATGGGAAATATATATATATATATATGGGAAATATATATATATATATATATGGGAAATATATATATATATATATGGGAGAGATTGTGACATTTCACCTTAATAACATGAAGAAGTACATTACCACAAAATTTACCCTATAACCAATGCTAAAAGAGAATCTTCATGTTGAGATGAAAGGACATTATATATAATTATATATATACACTCTATATAAAATATATATTATATTAGATACATATATAATTATATATAGTATATATACACATATATATACCTAATATATGTACTCTTAGTTTTGTACTTCTAGAGAACCCTGACCAATACAATAATATACATAAAAGGAAATTAGGAGGATATAAAAATAAACTAAGCACAAAGAATGCAATAATAAAAGAAATGAAGACTGATAAGAACAAAAACAAAATTATTTAAGACATAAAGAAACAAATAACAAAACATCAAAAATAACTTCCTCTCTATCAGTAACATTTTTAAATGTAAATAGACCAAAACCTCAATCTAAAGATAATGATTTGCAGAATGGGAAAAAATCCAAATATATTTTGTCTACAACAGACTCGCTTTAGATCCAAAGTGATAACTAGGTTGTATGTAAAAGTACAGAAAAAGATTTTATATGTATGTGTGTGTGTGTGTGTGTGCATATATATACTAAAAAAGAGCTATTGTGGCTATGCTAATATCAGACAAAATAGACTCTAAGTCAAAATTGTTACAAAAGACAAGGAAGGATATTATCTGTTAATAAAAGGGTCAAATCACCAAGAAGAAATAAAAATATTAACAAATATGTGCCACTCATAGATGGGAATTGAAAAATGAGAACACATGGACACAGGAGGGGGAACATCACACTCCGGGCACTGTTGTGGGGTCGGGGGAGGGGGGAGGGATAGCATTGGGAGAAATACCTAATGCTAAATGACGAGTTAATGGGTGCAGCACACCAACATGGCACATGTATACATATGTAACAAACCTGCACATTGTGTGCATGTACCCTAAAACTTAAAGTATAATAATAATAAAATTAAAAAAAAACAAATATGTGCATCAAGCAAAAGTGCATCAAAATCTATGAAGCAAACATTGTCAGAATGAAAGGTAGAAATAGTTCTATAGTAGTAATTGAAGACGTAATAATCAATGTTTAATAATGCATAGGATATCTAAATGGAAGTTCAATATAAAAATAGATTTGAATGACACTATAAACCAACCACACTTTACAGACATATAGACCACACTTCACCTAAAAACTTCAGGATACACATTCTTTTGAAGTGCATGTAGAACATTTTCCAGAACAGATTTGTTAGGTCACAAACAAGCCTCAATAAATTTTTAAAAACTGATAGCTTACAAAGTATCTTTTCCAACTACAATAAAGATAGAAATCAGTAACAGATGGAAAGTTGGAAGTTTTAAAACTACATGTAAATTAAACAACACATTCTTAAACAACTAATAAGTCAAAGAAAAAATCATAAGGAAAATTAGAAAATACTTGGATATTAATGAAAATGAAAACATAACATGCTGTAATGTAGGAGAAGCAAGGCAGGCAGAGAGTACAAGGTGTAAACACCTTCAAAAATAAAGAATAAAGATTACAAAACGATAACTTAACTTTACCCCTTGAGGAACTAGAAAAAGAAGAGAAAACCAAACCCAAAGCTGGTGGATAGAAGGAAATAATAAAGATAAGGCCAGAGGTGAATAAAATGAACAGTAGAAAAAATAATAGAGATAATCAACAAAATCAAAAGTTGATTTTTTGAAAAGATTAGCAAATCTGATAAACTTTACCATGACAGACCATGAAAACAGAGAGAAAATTCAAATTACTAAAATCAGAATCAAAGAGGGAACATTAATAATGACCTTATATAAAAAGTGATTATAAGGAAATACTATAAAAACTTGTATGCCAACAAGTGATATTAAAAAGAAATTCCTGGAAAGACATAAACTAATAAAACCGACTGCAGAAAAATAGAAAATATTTATAAACCTACAAGTAAGAAATTGGTTTAGTAATCGAAACTTTTCTCAAAGAATAGCTCAAGACTAAGGGATATTCACTGGATAATTCTATCAATCTTTTATAGAATTAAGACCAGTCCTTCACTACCCTTTTGAAAGTTTAGAAGAGGAGAAACAATTTATAACTCATTTTCTGAGGCCGTAATTACTCTGACACCTAAACCAGACAAAAACATTACAAGAGCACTACGGTCCAATATCTCTTACAAATATGGACACAAAAATCCTCAGCAGAATAACAGCAACTGAATCCAGCAGCAGCATATGTAAATGATTTTGCACAATGACAGAGCAAAATTTATCCTGGAATGCAAGGTTCATTCAACATACAAAAACCAATCAATGTAATACACTATGCTGAGGTAATAGATTAGCCAGTAAGCCAAATGAGCAGATGATTGCAGAAAAAAAAAATAATTCCATGGTAAAAACACTCAACAAACTTATAATGGAAGGTGATTTCCTCAATCTGATAAGTTATTTATAGAAAACCACAATCTTATATCATCCTAAACTGTAAAAAAAACCAGATAATTAACCCCCCAAAGCAAAAATAACACAAAGAAGTCCACTCTCACTGCTTCTATACATCATTGTGCTGGAGGTTCTAGACAGGACTATTAGGCAAGGAAAATAGAGGAAAGGCAACCAAATTGGAAAGAAAACGTTAAAATTACTTATATTTGCAGATGGTAAGATAAAGCAATCCTCCAAAAAGAAACTATTAGAGTTAATAAATGAGAGTTCAGCAAGGTTATGGATACAAGATCACTATGCATAATTCTGTTGCATTAAATCATAGCAATGAACAATCTGAAAATGAAATTTAAAATAATTATATTTACGGTAGCATAAAAAAAGTTAGAAATCAACTTAGCAAAAGAAGTCCAAGTCTTACAATGAAAGTACAAAACATTGTTGACCAAAGTTAAGGAAGTCTTAAATAAGTGGAAAAGCCTCTTGTAGTTATCTAATGGAAGATTTAACGTGTTAAGAAGGCAATACTCTCCAATAGATCCAAATAGATCTGCAGATTCAAAACAATACCTGTTAAAATTTTACCTGCCTTTTTTTTTTTTGCAGAAATTATCAAGATGGCTGTAAAATTCATAAGATAATGCAAGTTCCCCAAATAGCCAAAACAATTTTGAAAGAAAAAAAAATGGAGGGCTTACACCTTCTGAATGTAAAATGGACTACAAACCTGTAATAGTCAAGAAAGTTCAGCACTGGCAAAATGGTAGACATACGGATCAATGGAATAGAATCGAGAGTCCAAAAATAAACTTACACCTCTTTGGCCAATAGATTTTCAACTTGGGTGTCTAGACCAAGCTGGTCCAACCCACGGCCCACTGGCTTCATGTGGCCCAGGGCGGCTTTGAATACGCACAACACAAATTCGTATAATTTCTTAAAACATGGTGAGGTGGGTTTTTTGCATTTTTTTTTCTCTAGCTCATCAGCTATTGTTAGCATTAGTGTATTTGTTATTTATTGATTGATTTTTTTGAGACGGAGTCTGGCTCTGTCGCCCAGGCTGGAGGGCGGTGGCGCCATCTCTGCTCACCGCAAGCTCCGCCCCCCGGGTTCCCGCCATTCTCCCGCCTCAGCCTCCCGAGTAGCTGGGACTACAGGCGCCGCCACCACGCCCGGCTAATTTTTTGTATTTTTAGTAGAGACGGGGCTTCACCGTGTTAGCCAGGATGGTCTCGATCTCCTGAGCTCGTGATCCGCCCGCCTCGGCCTCCCAAAGTGCTGGGATAACAGGCGTGAGCCACCGCGCCTGGACTCGCATTAGTGTATTTTATGTGTGGTCCAAGACAATACTTCTTCCAAAGTGGCCCACAGAAACCAAATGGACATCCCTGGCTAGAACATTCATTGTGGAAAAAAATAGCCTTGCAAAGAATTGTGCTGGAATACTGGATATTTACATCCAAGAGTGATATTAAACCCCTACCTTGTACCATACACAAAAATGAACACAAAATGGACCACAATGGAGGCATTGGAGGTATTGAACTCTTAGGGAAAAAAAAAACCACAGGGTTAAATCTTCATGACCCTGAGTTTGGCAGTGGTTTCTTAGATTTGACACCTATAGCATGAACAACAAAAGAAAAATGTACATTAATAGGATTTTACCAATATCTAAAGCTTTTGTGTTTCAAATAATACTGTTAGGAAAGTTAAAATAGAATGCTTGAATGGGAGAAAATAATTGCAAATCATATATCTGATAAATGTTTTGTATCTAGAATATATAAAGAGCACTTGCAAATCAACAATAAAAAGATAACCCAATTAAAATATGGGGAAGCAATTAATAGAAATTTCACTAAAATTCATATGTACATGTTCAATAAATATAGGAAAAGTTGCTCAACATCACTAGTAATTAGGGAAATGCAAATCAAAACCACAATGTCACACCATTTCATATCCATATGGAATAGCTATATTCAAAGAAAAACAGACAATAACAAATTCTGCCAAGGATATGGAGAAAATGGAATAATTCTCATTTATTGCTGGTGAGAATGTACCATGGTGCAGCCACAGTGGAAAACAGCTTGGCAGTTCCTCAAAACTTAAGCACAGAGTTACCATATAATAAAGAATTTGAATTCTGCATATGCATATGCAAGAGAACTAAAAACGTATGTTCACATACAAACTTTACAAAAATGTTCAGTAGCATAATTTATAATAGATAAATATGGAAACAACCCAAATGTTCATAAACAGATGAATGAATAAACTAACTGTGGTCTTGAATGCTATTACTACTGCTGTTGCTACTACTTACTACTATTACTATTATAATTCATCCTTCTCATCTTCTCCCTACTGCTATTACTACTACAATAAAATATTACTTTGTCGTAAAAAGGAATGAAACACCGATGCATGCTACAACATGAATGAACCTTGAAAACATTACGCTAAGTGACAGAAGACAGAAACAAAAGGCCACGTATTATATGACTTCATTTCTATGAAATTCCCAAAATAA
The DNA here is from genome assembly GCF_000001405.40 of Homo sapiens. Classification (NCBI taxonomy): domain Eukaryota; kingdom Metazoa; phylum Chordata; class Mammalia; order Primates; family Hominidae; genus Homo; species Homo sapiens. Next base: position 1,037,820 of record NC_000003.12, on the reverse strand, counting down.
ACAAACCCATAGACTCATAATGTAGATAGTAGTTACAGAGGACGGGTGAGTAGATTAGAAGTAAATGCTAATGGGTATTGTGTTTTTTTGTGGGATGATGAAAATGTTCTGGAATTAGGTGGTTGCACAATCTTGTGAATATACCAACAATTTTTTAATTGTACACTTCAAAATGGCAAATTGTGTCATATATTAGTTATATCAGTATTAAAAGTAAATTATGTAAAATGAATATAAACAAATGTTGTGCTTGGTGATGTTGAACAAAACTTCTTCATTCCTAAAGAGATACCTAGATAGAAATAAACCTTTCTTCTATTGTGCATTGCTTCAGTCGTAAGTTTTGGGTCTCCAAAACCTACCTTGTAATCATGGGTATGTCTGTCCTAAGGGCCAAAGTCCACCTGCTAAAGAGGCAATGAATCTCATGAATCTTAGCTCATATTGTTATAGTTGCTGAGCCAACCATTTCGGTATCCATCACGTGTTAGGACTTCTTATACAAAATAGTTAATCTTCTTATGGTTTAAGCTCCTTCAGTTGGAGTTTTGGTTCCTTGGAGCCCAAGAGTAGTCGTATATAAATTAAAAAGTGCAGGATGGCTTACTATTATCAATTCTAATATGCAGAATTTCAATATATATAAAAGCATTCTTTTCAACACTATATCATTAAGATGTTGCTAATCAGCAAAAGAATGTGTAAACAATTGTGAGCTGATTTCATACGATGCTACTTTTATTTGGAATTAATCATAGATAACTCATTAAAATGCATTGTTTAATTAGCTAAATCATTTGTCAGTTGCAGCAGATGTTCTCAGTGCCCCACCCATGTTCCTCAGAACTCACTATTTTGGTGTGTTTCCACCAAGTTCCAATTGCCAGTAAATACATATTTGAGCCTAAGGCATTTTACAGAGCCATAGAAAGCTGTTTATCCATGTTTTATTGTAGGATGGAAGTGCCAGGGTATTAATAACCTCTGAGAGAAGGTCTCAATCAATGGTTCTAGGAAATGTATGTATAATTATCTGGCTTCCTTGGCCTGCTTGTGAAGTAATTCTGAGGTCTGTGCTTTTCATCATGGTTAAGAGTCTTCCTGTAGAACAGAGCTACAGATATTCATACGGTTCCTGGCTTGTTATCACACTTTTTGCTGCTTCTCTTCCCTGTAACACTTTCCTATAATTTTACCAATGTCATTTGCACCTGTCAGAGAAATTATTTGCTCTTAACTTCTTGTCTCAGGATCTGCTTCAGAGGAAATTCAAACCAAAGCATATATGCGCAAAATCATCATTCTGAAGATATATGGACTTATTCACAATGATCACCAGCATTAACATTTTTATTATCACATCTTCACTTTTGCATCACAGGGAAGCCTGAGAAAGGTCTGACATTTGACGAGGGCTTAGTGCAACTATTAATGTTATTAATAGCAAAGCACTGAATCCATGGCCTTCCTCAGCTGTGTAAACAGTGTGATTACCAACAGCTACTATCTAATAATAAAGCTAACTGGGTTTCTCATAGAAAAGCTCTCACTTGTAGTTTTTTGAAAAATATTCGTTATATTTTCTTGTGAAATTACATTTTCAAATTAATATACATTGCTGTTATATCTGTTCATTTGAATAACTGAAATTCATTTGTCCAAGACAAGCTTTAATCAGTGTTATATGTTGGTCACACAAATGACAAAACTGGAGCCATGCTTTTCGTGCTTATATCATAGTGGAGTGGGCTGATTTGATTGTCTGAAAATGTTGTTATTAATTCATGCAATTAACTTGCTGAAAGTATTATATTTTGAAGTCCTATGTAATTCCTTCAGAAGTTCTTTTCCAATTTGCATGACAGAATTGAATAGATAAAATATAGTTTTCTCCTATTACACTAAAAATGTTCTCCCAGAACTTGACATGTTCAGAGAAAAATCCCATTCTGCATTGCTTCAAATGGCTTTTGTGAGAAAGTGTCATTTAATAAAATCATATTATTTTGGTTAAAAACTGATTCTTCACAATCAATCAAAACAATAAAATAAGTACATGTATACATATTTTGAGAGGTGGCACTGGGTAAGATCAAAACTGAAAAACAAAATCACCTTGTCAATTTACTTCTTTATCATTTTCTTAAAGTAAGGGCAGCATACCAAGTGTATTAACTTGCTCATTTCAAGCTAATATTTTATGATACTACAATTGCTAGTCATGGGGGAGAATCTGGCAAGATGGTCAAATAGGAACAACTTCAGTCTGCAGCTCCCAGTGAGACCAATGCAGAAGGCAGGTGATTACTGCATTTCCAACTGAGGTACCTGGTTCATCTCACTGGGACTGGTTAGACAGTGGGTGTAGCCCATGGATGGTGAGTAAAAGCAGGGTGGGGGTGTCACCTCATCCAGAAAGTGCAAGGGGCCAAGGAACTCCCTCTCCTATCCAAGGGAAGCTGTGAGGGATTGTGCCATAAGGAATGGTGCAATCTGGCCCAGATACTATGCTTTTCCCACGGTTTTTGCAACCCACAGACCAGAAGATTCCCTAGGGTGCCTACACTACCAGAGTCCTGGGTTTCAAGCACAAAACTGGGCACTGTTTGTGCAACACTAAGCTAGCTGCAAAAGTTTTTTTCATACCCGAGTGGCTCCTGGAACCCCAGCGAGACAAAACCAACCGTTCACTCCCCTGGAAAGGGGGCTGAAGCTAGGGAGCCAAGCGGTCTTGGTCAGGCAGGGGGTCCCACACTCATGGAGCCCCACAAGCTAAGATCCACTGGCTTGATATTCTCGCTGCCAGCACAGCAGTCTGAAGTCCACCTGGGATGCTCAAGCTTGGTGGGGAGAGGGGTATCTGCCATTACTGAGGCTTGAGTAGGCAGTTTTTCCCTCACAGTGTAAACAAAGCAACCAGGAAGTTCAGACTGGGTGGAACCCAGCACAGTGCTGCAAAGCCACTGGAACTTGACAGCCTCCCTAGATTCCTCCTCTCTGAGCAGGGCATCTCTGAAAGAAAGGCAGTATCCCCAGTCAGGGGCTTATAGATAAAACCCCCATCTTCCTGGGACAGAGCACCTGGAGGAAGGGGCGGCTATGGGCACAGCTTTAGCAGACTTAAGCATTCCTGCCTGCCAGCTCTGAAGAGAGCAGCAAATCTCCCAGCAGAGCACTCGAGCTCTGCTAAGGGACAGACTGGCTCCTCAAATGGGTCCCTGACCCCCATGCCTCCTGACTGGGAGAAAACTCCCAGAAGGGGTCAACAGAAACATCATACAGGAGAGCTCTGGCTGCCAACAGGCTGGTGCCCCTCTGGGGTGAAGCTTCCAGAAGAAGCAGGCAGTAATCTTTGCTATTTTGCAGCCTCCGCTGCTGATACCCAGGCAAATAGGGTCTGGGGTGGACCTCCAGCAAACTCCAGCTGACCTGCAGAAGAGGGGCCTGTTGGAAGGAAAACTAACATACATAAAGCAATAACATCAACATCAACAAAAAGGACATCCATGCAAAAACCCCACCCAAAGGTCATCATCATCAAAGAACAAAGCTAGATAAATCCATGAAAATGAGGAAAAACCAGCACAAATATGCAGAAAGTTCCAAAAGCCAGAGTGTCTTTTTTTCCTCCAAAGGATCACAACTCCTCGCCAGCAAGGGCACAAAACTGGATGGAGAATGAGTTGGACGAATTGACAGAAGTAGGCTTCAAAAGGTGGGTAATAACAAACTCCTCCAAAGTAGCATGTTCTAACCCAATGCAAGGAAGCTAAGAACCTTGAAAAAAGATTACAGGAACTGCTAACTAGAAAAACCAGTTCAGAGAAAAATACAAATAACCTGATGGAGCTGAAAATCACAGCACAAGAATTTCATGAGGCATACATACGATCAATAGCCAAACTGATCAAGCAGAAGAAAGGATATCAGAAATTGAAGACCAACTTAATGAAATAAAGCGTGAAGACAAGATTAGAGAAAAAAGAATGAAAAGGAATGAACAAAACCTTCAAGAAATGTGGGACTATGTGAAAAGACCAAACCTACGATTCACTGGTGCACCTGAAAGTGACGGAGAGAATGGAACCAAGTTGGAAAACACACTTCAGGATATTATTGAGGAGAACTTCCCCAACCTAGCAAGATAGGCCAACATTCAAATTCAGGAAATACAGAGAACACCACTAAGATACTCCTTGAGAAGAGCAACAGCAAGACACATAATTGTCAGATTCACCAAGGTTGAAATGAAGGAAAAAATGTTAAGGAGAGCCAGAGAAAAAGGTCAGGTTACCTATAAAAAGAAGCCCATCAGACTAACAGCAAATCTCTGCAGAAACCCCACAAGCCACAAGAGAGAGGAGGCCAATATTCAACATTCTTAAAGAAAATAATTTTCAACCAAGAATTTCATATCCAGCCAAACTAAGCTTTTAAGTGAAGGAGAAATAAAATCTTTTACAGACAAGCAGATGCTGCGGGATTTTGTCACCACCAGGCCTGCCTTCCAAGAGCTCCTGAAGGGAGCACTAAATATGGAAAGGAAAAACTGGTGTCAGCCACTGCAAAGACATACCAAAATATAAAGACCAATGACACTATGAAGAAACTGCATCTACTCGCTCAAAACCTCACAACTACATGAAAACTGAACAACCTGCTCCTGAATGACTACCGGGTAAACAACAAAATTAATTTAGAATAAATAAGTTCTTTGAAATCGATGAGAACTAAGACACAAGGTACCAGAATCTCTGGGGCACAGTTAAAGCAGTGTTTAGAGGGAAATTTAGAGTACTAAATGCCCACATCAGAAAGTGGGAAGGATCTAAAATCGACACCCTAACATCACAATTAAAAGAACTAGAGAAGCAAGAGCAAACAAATTCAAAAGCTAGCAGTAGACAAGAAATAACTAAGATCAGAGCAGAGCTGAAGGAGATAGAGACACAAAAAATCCTTCAAAAAATAAATGAATCCAGGAGCTGGTTTTTTGAAAAGATTAACAAAATAGACTGCTAGCCAGACTAATAAAGAAGAAAAAAGAGAAGAATCAAATAGACAATAAAAAAATGATAAAGGGGATATCACCACTGATCCTACAGAAATACAAACTACCATCACAGAATAATAGAAACACCTCTATGCAAATAAACTAGAAAATCTAGAAGAAATGGATAAATTCCTGGACACATACGCCCTCTCAAGACTAAACAAGGAAGAAGCTGAATCCCTGAATATACCAATAACAAGTTCTGAAATTGAGGCAGTAATTAATAACCTACCAACCAAAAAAAAGCCCAGGACCAGATGGATTCACAGCCGAATTTTACCACAGGTACAAGGAGGTGCTGGTACCATTCCTTCTGAAACTATAACAGTAGAAAGAAAGGGATTCCTCCCTACCTCATTTTATGAGGCCAGCATCATGCTGATACCAGAACCTGACAGAGGTGTAACAAAAAAAAGAATTTCAGGCCAATATCCCTGATGAATATCCATGCGAAAATTCTTAATAAAATACTGGCAAACAGAATCCAGCAGCACATCAAAAAGCTTATCCACCACGATCAAGCTGCCTTCATCCCTGGGATGCAGGGTGGTTCAACATATGCAAATTAATAAACATATCCCATCACATAGACAGAACCAATAATAAAAACTACATGATTATCTCAATACATGCAGAAAAGGCCTTTGATCAAACTCAACAACTAAAAACTCAATAAACTAGGTATTGATGGAACTTATATCAAAATAATAAGAGCTACTTATGACAAAGAGCCAATTTCATACTGATTGGGCAAAAGCTGGAAGCATTCCCTTTGAAAACCAGCACAAGAAAAGAATGCCCTCTCTCACCACTCCTATTCAACATAGCATTGGAAGTGCTTGCCAGGGCAACCAGGCAAGAGAAAGAAATAAAGGGCATTCAAATTGGAAGAGAGGAAGTCAAATTGTCTCTGTTTGCAGATGACATGACTATATATTTAGAAAAACCCATCACCTCAATCCCAAAACTCCTGAAGCTGATAAGCAACTTCAGCAAAGTCTCAGGAGACAAAATCAATGTGCAAACATCACAAGCATTCCTATACACCAATAATACACAAACAGAGACCAAATCATGAATTAACTCCCATTCATAATTGCTACAAATACCTAGGAATACAACTTAGAAGAGATGTGAAGGATCTCTTCAAGGAGAACTATAAACCACTGCTCAAGGAAATAAGAGAGGATACAAACAAATGGAAAAACATCTTATGCTCATGGATAGAAAGAATTGCTATTGTGAAAATGTCCATACTGCCCAAAGTAATGTATAGATTCAATGCTATCCCCATCAAGCTACTATTAACTTTCTTCACAGAATAAAAAAAAACTACTTTAAATTTCACATGGAATCAAAAAAGAGCCCACATAGCCAAGACAATCCTAAGCAAAAAGAACAAAGCTGGAGGCATCATGTTACCTGACTTCAAACTATCCTACAAGGCTACAGTAACCAAAACAGCAAGGCACTGGTACCAAAACAGATATATAGACCAATGGAACAGAACAGAGGCCTCAGAAATAACACCACACATCTACAACCATCTGATCTTTGACAAACCTGACAAAAACAAGCAATGGGGAAAGGATTCCCTATTTAATCAATGGTGTTGTAAAATCTGGCTAGCCATATACAGAAAACTGAAACCGGACCTCTTCCTTACCTCTTATACAAAAATTAACTCAAGATGGATTGAAGGCTTAAATGTAAGACCTAAAACCATGAAAACCCTAGAAGAAAACCTAGGTGATATCATTCAGGACATAGGCATGGACAAAGACTTCATAACTAAAACACCAAAAGCAATGGCAACAAAAGCCAAGATTGACAAATGGGATCTAATCAAACTAAAAAGCTTCTGCACAGCAAAAGAAGCTGTCATCAGAGTGAACAGGCAACCTACAGAATGGGAGAAATATTTTGCAATCTATCCATCTGACAAAGGGCTAATATCCAGAATCTACAAGGAACTCAAACACATTTACAAGAAAGAAACAAACAACCCCATCAAAAAGTGGGCCAAGGATTTGAACAGACACTTCTCAAAAGAAGACATTTATGCGGCCAACAAACATATGAAAAAAAGTTCGTCATCACTGGTCATTAGAGAAATGCAAATCAAAACCACAATGAGATACCATCTCACACCTGTTAGAACGGTGGTCATTAAAAAGTCAGGAAACACATGCTGGAGAGGATGTGGAGAAATAGGAACGTTTTTACACTCTTGGTGGGAGTGTAAATTAGTTCAACCATTGTGGAAGACAGTGTGATGATTCCTCAAGGACCTAGAACCAGAAATACCGTTTGACCCAGCAATCCCATTACTGGGTGTATACCCAAAGGATTATTAATCGTTCTACTATAAAGACACATGCACATGTATGTTTACTGCAACACTATTTACAATAGCAAAGACCTGGAACCAAACCAAATGCCCATCAATGACAGAACGGATAAAGAAAATGTGGGACATAAACACCATGGAATACTTTGCAGCCATAAAAAAGAATGAGTTCATGTCCTTTGCAGGGACATGGATGAAGCTGGAAACCATCATTCTCAGCCAACTAACACAGGAACAGAAAACTAAACACCGCATGTTCTGACACGTAAGTGGGAGTTGAACAATGAGAACACATGGACACAGGAAGGGGAACATCACACAAAGGGGCCTGTTGGGAGATGTGGGGCACGGGGTGGAACAGCACTGGGACAAACGCCTAATGCATGCGAGGCTTAAAACCTAGATGACGGGTTGGTGGGTGCAGCCAACCACCGTGGCACATGTATTCCTATGTAACAAACCTGCACATTCTGCACATGTATCCCTGAACTTAAAGTATAATAAAAATAAAATTAAAAATAAATAATTACTAGTCATAAAACTTTCTTGATTTTTAGTAACTTCTGACACATATAAAAAAGTATCATGTTTGTATTTTTCTATATGTTGATTCTCCTACTTCTTGATCCTGTTAATTATGCCTCAGAGTAGATCACAACTTTGGTTGTGATTTTAGCTATAAGCTCATTTTTAATGGTTTCCTCCCCACCACGTCCACCCTCAACCTTACCCCCAACTATGTGAGAAGCTAGAACATTGGTAACATTTTGCCACTTGGAAAAAATATTTTTGTAGCTGACATCTTGAAGGTTTCTTTCCCCCTACCTTCTCCATTCCCTCCTCTTTGCAGATGGATGATGACACTATTAATCTGCTTGTGTTACATGTTATCCAGAATTTCTATCTACTGTTATTGGGTAGTTGTGGGTCAGGGGAGAAGTCATTCTACACCAACTCAGTCTACCATATTACTAGAAGTTATTTCATATTTATATGATATAATGGGGCTTTAGGTTTATATTTTTATTAGGAAATCGATATGTTTATAGTTAGATCAATTTTTTAATTACTAGAGTCCATTATAAAATCTAATGTGTTCAATTCATATTACAAGAATTTTAAATAGAGAAGACTATTTTCCATGGTATTCTGACTACCTTTACTTACTTATATTTAAGAATGTAATTTTTGTATCATCAAAATGTTTTTTAAAAACTTAATATTGTTAAGAAAATTCATAGTCTCATTGAAGGGTACATAATTATTTTCATTTAGTTATGTAATGTGTTTTCTCGTGAAATGTGATTTAGTATGTAATTGAGTAGATTTTCATTTCAACATGAAGCACTTTCTGAAAATCACTGACATCTGGAAATGGCAACAATTCCCTGTAAGGTTTGAAAACAATTATGTTAAAGGACCACTTTGGATTGACTTTAAGAAGTTCAAGAGTTCAGTAAATAAAGTAGGTCAAGTGTTAATCATATCTTTATACTGTAGCAAATGTAGCTGTTGGCACTTGAACACATTAATATTTCATTGAGTTCAATGTCATCAATCACACTCAATCATTACCTTTTGGTTTCTAATTAATGCATATTTGTCCTTCAGAACTTAGCTTAAATACCACTTCTTTTAGGAACTTTCTACAATCACTTAATTCTATTATGTAATATGCTTACATATTATGTGATTATAGTGTGTATCACACTTCACTGGGCTTATATGTCTAACATTTGTCTTCTCCACCACCCTGTAAACTCTTTGAGGGAAACAACTATGTTATCTGGTTTCCCTCTGTATCTTAAATTTTTAGATTCTTGAGACAGGAATGTATTCAAGAAATAGGTGTTGAATGCAAAAATGGGTGAATAAACAAATATATATTCAGAACTATTCTTACTTGTAATTCCAATACACATCATGTTATAAAGTCTTTGAGAAAAAAGCAATTTGATATAATAAAACCAGAATAAATACTACTCTCAAGTTTTGTCAAATATATTTCTGGGAACAATGAGTTTGATTGTGATGACCACAACTGTTCTTTGAGTTCTTCCTGTTCTAGCTTCTATTCTTCTCAAGGTTAAAAAATATGAGTCTTCACTAAGCCACACTGACGTTCATTTCTTTTGGATTATTTCTGGTCCTTAAGTCTCAGTTTCCTTGTATATAAATTGAGGACAATGCACAGAAATGATGGAGTATAGGGAACATTTTGCAATTAATATAATAGTGCAGAATTCAGATAATGTCATGTTTGAGTTTATGTTTTCTACAGTTATATCTTTTTATTTTCTTCCGAATATTTCAGAAGGAAGTTTAGTATATCTTCAGGAATTCCTGCCTTCCAACTGAATACTAAAAAACAAACAAACAATAATACAATACCTATAGGTCTTGACTGTATATTTTTTGTCTTTTGACATTTTTATTTCAAAAACAAACTATTTTAAAAAATCCAGAATTTTCATAACTCTTGTCCATCCAGCCTATTTGAAAGAAAGAAAGAAAGAGAAAGAAAGAGAGAGAGGGAGGGAGGCAGGGAGGGAGGGAGGAAGGAAGGAAGGAAGGAAGGAAGGAAGGAAGGAAGGAAGGAAGGAAGGAGAAAGAAAGAAAAAAGAAAAGAAAGAAAGAGAAGAAAGAAAATCGGCTCTGGGTATCATGTATCAAACTTGAGATCCCATATGGGTCCAAAAGTGGAAGTTTGAATTTTAAACTCTGAAACCTAAAGAAGCAACTCAAAGTTATGAAGAATCTTGTCATTTTAAGTTTAAAGGGAGGTTAAATATTACCTTATTCAATCATAGTCTAATTACATTTTGGATCCCATGTCTTAATATATCTTCTACCAAATAAACTACAATTTATTAACTAATTGTTAACATATTTCCTTTTTTAAATCAAAATCATTTTTACCTAACATTCTGAATTTTATTTTTATTTATTTTTTTTTTTATTTATTTATTTGAGACGGAGTCTCCCTCTGTCGTCCAGGCTGGAGTGCAGTGGTGCGATCTCGGTTCACCGCAACCTCCACCTCCTGGGTTCAAGCGATTCTCCCTCATCCTCTTGAGTAGCTGGGATTACAGGTGTGCACCACCATACCTGGCTAATTTTTGTATTTTTAGTAGAGATGGGGCTTCTCCATGTTGGTCAGGCTGGTCTCAAACTCCTGACCTCGTGATCTGCCCACCTTGGACTCCCAAAGTGCTGGGATTACAGGTGTAAGTCACCGCACCTGGCCACATTCTGAAATTTTTATCAGCCTATAATATAATTGAAACATCAGAGAATTAATTTAATTTCACCTTAAACTTTACTTTTTTGATTCAGTTTGTGCTTCTTTAATAAAAGTAAAACCTGGACAGGCGCAGTGGTTCACACCTGTAATCTCAGCACTTTGGGAGGCAAAGGCAGGTGGATTACTTGATGTCAGGAGCTCCAGACAAGCCTGGCCAAATGGCGAAATCCTGTCTCTACAAAAATCACAAAAATTAGCCAGGCGTGGTGGGTTTTGCCTGTAGTCTCAGCTACTCGTGAGGCTGAGGTAAGAGAATGGCTTGAACTGGGGAGGTTGAGGTTGCAGTAGCTGAGATCACGCCACTGCACTCCGGCCTGGGTAAAAGAGAGACTCTGTCTCAAAAAAAAAAAAAAAAAGGTAAATGTTTTTGAAATAATAAAAAGAACCAACTCCTCGCCATAACTACTGTCAAGAATTGTATTTCATAAGGAACCAAGGGCAACCTGCAACCTGCAATAGCATGAATTGCGTAGCCAAATAATTGCCACTTTAGATAAGTGAAAGCAGTGACCTGAATGAAGCAAGAAATATCACAGAGGATCACAGCTTGACTCATTGCTATGATTTGTTTCCTAATAATGTGGACTGTTGTTTCATCCTCAGAATTTTGCCCTGTGCCTGACATATAACAGATATCCAATGCAAGTTTTTTGAATAACCAAATTAAACAAAGAAAATAAAGGAATAAGTAAGTTTATTATAATGTTGTAAGTGGAAATTTGAGACTTCTGTGTTCCTGCACTGGGGGTAGAAAAGGACAATCTTTAAAACTTAGAATAAAAGAAACTTAAAAGTAATTTATTCTGACTTTTCTCATTTTGCAATCCCAACATACTGTGGTCCCATACTTAAGATCCCACAACTGGCTAATGAGGAGCATAGCCAGCACTTGAACTCAAGGCTCTGGGTATGAAGAACATAATTTTGTTTACTTTATTATTTACCTACAGCCAAGTAGCATTGCTGTATTTATAGAACAAGAAAGTGAGATCCTCCCATCTAGGTATCAATGACTAAAACATGCCTGTTTTATACATTCTGCTTCTGTTCAGTTCAGCTTCAAGCTATGAGGAACATTGTTAGTGATTGTCATAGAAGAGGTTGCAGTTGAATTTCTTGGTCATGGTGTTTATAATGCTTCCAGCAATATCATTCAGCAGGTGGCTTAGTTGATTTTGATTTTACTAAAGAAAAAAATTATCCATACAGCATTCTTGAATCATTTGTTGGCAGGCTGGCTGTTAGTTATGATCCGTATCTATTAGATTTAAGTCTGGTCAAATGGCAAAATAAGTGGAGCAGTTGAATCCTATCAATCAAGGAATAGATGGGGGATATTTTTTAATGGGACAAAACCCTTCTACGTTGAGCCAAAAATTTGGAAATTGGCTGTCTATGGACTATACTAAATCTTCTGGTCATGGGGAGGTGTTTTTGGTGGGAATTTGAAACCAATAACATAAAATGTCAGATTATTCTGCCAACAGCCACTGGGACCACTTGTGCCATTTTAACTATAAGACAAAAAGCCGATAAAGAATTACCCACTGGGAAGCTATTAGCAGGAAAGGTCCTACCCAAACAGATTGAATTATCAAAAAATTGACAATTTTATTTTCCCATTTTTTTCATGGCTCATTGATCCATGTACCCAGAGACATCTTCTAGATCACATATTTTTCACAGAGATGTTTCTCAAAAATTACAATACTTTTTTCTTTTAGTCACTGCAGGAAAAGAGAATAAGAAAACCCGTTTTCTTTCCCAAACATGCTAGAATAGCGTGGTTCGAGATAAGTCACATATTACCTCATTGGTAACAGAAGGTTGAAATATATGATAGTATGAACCATAACATTAACTTCTATATGCCAGTTTCAGTAAAAAGTCTGTAACCTAGGTGACCTCGCTGAATTGTTACAAAACCTTAAATATGGTTATCTTTATTTTATAGACATGGGCACTGAGACTCAGAATTGGTGACTTAGCTAAATCATAACAGAGACAGGCTCTGAATGCTGGTGAATGTGGTTCCAAAACCCACTATATTATATCCCACTGATATCCTGCTCACTAAGGTTGCTTGTGTTTTAGTAAGTCTTCAGATGTATATTGTAGCTTGGTATCCTTGGATATCTATAGCAAGTAAGCTAACTGACTCAGTGATTCCAATTTACAAATGGAAAACTGAATTCCAACGCAAATAGAATTTGCAAGGTTAAAAATGTAACACAAGGGTGATGTCTATACATATTGCTCAAGCTTACAGTTTTATTTTTCTGAATTGAGTAAAGGTATATAAGTGTGTTTGAAGAATATGAAGGCTTCTGTGTGCTAATGTTTTTTCAAACAAGATGTTTCTGTATTTCTAATTGGAATATTATCTTGCAAGCTTCGTCAAGTTTTCCCTGTGATCTCCATCTCATATTGTCTTCCAAAAAAAAAGATTACGCTAGAAAAATCTGGCTTGCAATAGATGGCATTAGTTAACATCAATGGTTCCATTTTGTTGTTTAATCAGAATCAATTTTCCCTTTATTTAAAGTTAAAAGAAAATTATATTTAAGTAGCATAAGCAGTGAATAAAGCTTCTAAATCCACACTTTAATTATTAACGTCCCAATGGTCTTTTCAATTGACTTGAAGCCGTACAACTATCTGTAATATATTTATGCATAATTAAAATCCTCAATTTTTACTTTATTTTGTAATTAGATGGTCTTTTTGATTGCACAAATGTGTGCATGCCAACACATGCACACACACGTTACTATGGAATCTAAATTAAACACATCTGTAGCTTCAATTAAGTAATTTTAAGTCACACATGTGTGCTATTAACCTGAACTGTAGCAGGTCAGACCTGTAAAGCAGTTTTGAGATGAAGTAGATTCTCAATCATAAGGAGAATCTCAGAACTAATCCGATTTTTATTGGTATACTGATCAGATACATGTTCCTTCTATATGACCCAAAGGGAAATACTGGATTCGCTGATTATGTTGTGATTACGACTAAAGTTCTGATTGATTCGCCTGAAAGACACAACTATAAAGTATTTTCAGAATCATGCAAAATGTTGGCATATCCAGAACCTACGTCCCTTTGACGATTTTCAGCAATATTTCTAACTTTGTTTAGACACACGAGTAAGAACAACGTGTGATTCTATCCATGGTATCATAAGTGTCTCTTTAAGTGCAGCTGTGAACGTGCAAAGAGGGTGACAGTTTTGCCACCATATTATGGTTATAATAATATTCAGATTATAACTAGTTGAAAGAAAAAAAATAAATTAAAGAGAACTTTAAAAATGAATGAAATATGTTGGTACTTTCAAGGAGGTTCCTGGAAGCCTCTCTTTCCAATCATAACCACAGAAATAAAGGAAAGGAAAAAAAAGTCTTAAAGAATACTGCTTTTATCTGAATGGAAAGACTGCAAAGCATGTAATTATAGGTGTGTAAAAAGTCAGAAAGTGAAAAAGCCAAAATAATGATTCTTGTACTATCTAGTGTCACAAAGTTGCAGTTCTATCAGAAGTTTGCTCTCAAGAGGTATCTTGGAAAGGGAAAAAAAGGCCTCAGGAAATAATAACTAGAACTTGGCAAAGAAAGCTCCTTTATAAGAAGTGCCTGCAGGGCAGAAATAATTGGAAGCAGAGGCTTCCGTTGCCCGGACAGAGGCAACTTGGTTCTACCTAGGAGTGTACTCCCTGAAAGACCCAAGCAGAGTATAATAAAAAAATCACCTGGGGATGATCTTGATATTGTATTTGGACAAACAGAGGAAAAAGTGAAGAGAGACATAAACTTAAGTGGACATTCAAACATATCCACATGGAGCTAGGAGGTCATTATTGGGTAGTTCAGGCCAAACATGCTTTAGCCTAAAGTATCCATTGGTTATTTCCTCAGATGACCAGGACAATTGCTTCCATATCCCTATCCTTTATCTTAGTGTTGAGTGGGTCTGATAAATGGTACTGTTTTATAGAAGGAACCTTTCCTCTTGGTAGCACTACAAACAGTGCTTGCCCTTTAAGAGTTCATTTCATCTGTGGGAAGGTTCAACACACTTGAGAAAATGTATGGGGAAGACAGTATGATCGCAATGGCCACCCTTTCAGCACCAGTGCTGTTTTAGCTTCCAGGAAAGCACCAAAAATTTGACTAAAGAAAAAGAGAAGTCTACATTCTTTTGAAATTTACAAAAAAAAAAAAATCTAGTTTCAGAACTTTAATATTCTTTTATGTAATGAAGCTGTTTAAAACTATTTCTCCATCTATCTTTCTCTCAATTATCTATCTATCTATCTATCTATCTATCTATCTATCTATCTATCTATCTATCTATCTATCTATCATCTATCTATCCTAACTAGCTAACTAGCTAGCTAGCTATGGAGAGAGTAATGGAAAGAGATGAAGAGAGGGAGAGATGGAACAAGAGAGAAAGAGAGAGAGACACACAAGGAGAGAGAGAGACAGAGAGAGAGAGAAAGAGAGATCCAAATAGCTGTTTTATGAACATTTTGACAGGAAGGAGTATTACATGTTTTTTTAAAGGTTTGGTTGATGACAGATATTGAAGAAAGAAACTGAGGTTCATCAAGGCTCACAATAATATTACAATGTAGAAATTTAAAAAGGTTTCAAAAAGTTGTATTTCACTCTATTCACCTTAGAACTTTGCTGTTCTAAAATAATAAATTTAGCAGAGTGATGCCTGAAGAATTTTACATTTAGAATGGATCAGAGGTTACCAGCTGGGGTGGTTTTACTGGGAGAGAATAGCTAAACTTTACTCTATTTCCCAGAATCCTATTCACTCTACGGTGACAGGTTAGATTTGGTCAAAAGATGAACTTTCATGCGATTTGGAAAGAGTGAGTGAAGTGGTACATCCATTACATTCTGTAGGTTGTCATAGTCAGATGGAGTCCTTGAGCAACTACAGAGGTGCCTGGCAAGCTCCAGGTATTCTCACTCTCATCCACTCTGTGTCTATCATTTTTTCCACGGATGGCTTTTGCCCATAGCAGCCCCAGGTCTATCACCAGATGCTTGGTTGCAGAACCACATAGGGACCAAAGTTTTCTATAGATCTCCCTTCCGTCCTCTTACCATGATGTAGAGAACAGCATGCTGAATTAGGAAGAAGAAAAGCCTATATTCCTATCCAGATTTTTCCATAGTTTTGCGTCCTTGCACAGTGGCTTACTCTATGCCTCAGTTTCTTCAATGATGTAATAAAAAGATTGACCTAGAGAAGTTCTTAGGTCCTTTCCAGGTTTAAAAATCGATCTGTGTCTTTACTCGCGTTTTCTTGGCAGGTTTCTTGTGAGGAAAGTGAATAGAGTAAATGATTTCATTACTTCCTCTGGTATGCATACATACTCGCCCCAACAAAGCCTGTTGACTCCTGAAAACAATTTAGGGCTCCATGTTTTATTTTTGCTTTGATAAAAGCAAACAAACAAAAACATTAGGAACTCTCCTGTAAGGAAATTACTGTCCTGGACATAAAAATATATGAACAGGAGAAAAATAAATATGGGTGACTTTATACCATGTAGAGATTAAATAATTGCACTGTAAGCCTAGGGAAACATTGATCTATCAGCTTTCTATATGTTTGTTTATTGTTGAACAAATGTAAATTATTCCACAGTTCAACTGATGTGTTCAGAGTTAAAATAGCTAAAGATAGCTATGGAAAAATGGATATACTGGACAATTTTGTTGTTTGGAGAAAATTGAGAGATAAGAAAAAAAAGAGATTTTAGAATATTCTTAATAAATGAGAAAGAAAACCTTTAAATGGAAACTTTTTAGGTAGAGCAGGAAAGTCATTAACAATTAAGTAATTATAATATTAAATAAAACACTAAATGAATTAATCAAAAATTTTCTTCCAAAGAGATTGTGGGTGTTTCTGTTTGTGGTGATTGAATAATATCGAGTCCAATGTGCATCTGTTGTGGTCCTAAGCTTACGCAACCTGAAGGTGATTGGAGTAATCCAGTGACCGATGCTCTATTCAGCTCAGAGCTTGGTACCGCAGTCTTTTATCTTCTTTTGTTAATAATCGTTAGCTTATCATCTATATCAAATAAGTTAGGAAAAACTGATGTGTCTAACCATTTTTTTATTCATTTTATGACTACCATGGAAGCACTTGCCACACATTGGAAATGTGCAAGGGACTCATTTAATGCATTTTCTTAGTTACTTGTCATGGGAACTAAGGGAGTTAATGTGATTATCTGCTTGCCTCATATGTAGACATCAAGTCTAATAAAGCTCAAATATTGACCAATGAGATTTAACTAGAAAGTACAGAAAAAGGATTTAAAGACCAATGTGTCTGCAAAATCCACACTTAACATTTACAGTGTTCTGGTTTTTAGTGTAATCACATGTAATACAGCATCCAACTTTAACAGTATATAAGTCTCCTGCTCATCAAAGTAGAAAACGATTCCAGTGAGGTTAAGTGTCTTGTCCCTGGGTAACATAATCAGAGGCTACAATGCACTCGAAAGAATGGAGATGCAGAATGGAGGTACAGAATAAGTTCAAGGTGGGGGCAGGGACATACTAATTGCAGTATAAAATCAAGGTTTTTTTAACCTCATTTTTTGAAATGACTAATCTCTTGTTGTTTTGTGTACACTGGTCTAAAAATGTTGTTGCTAAATATAGAACTGTGTGTTAAGAGAAGAATATTCCATCTAAAGTCAGAAAGATCAACCAGATGACCTTTCATATTCTTTCAAAGCAGGAGAATGATCTTTATATTTTTCTAAGGTTATTGAATAATTGTAAGTAAAAGTTCATGACCATCTGTTTTTATTTTTGTATTGATGCAATCAGTCTTTTTTGTTATTTTCTTATGTACTTGGATATTAGAAGAAAAATAAAACAAATAGTTACATTAACAATTACTTTCTTTTAAAAAACCTTGTAATAAACTGCTCTGTGATGCTATATCCCTATCACATTCTTAATTGGGTTTGTCTGATATGTAGAACCTTTCACATGAATCTACATTGGAATACTTTAGGCTCAGTAGCCAAATATAGAAATTTTGCAAGCAGAAGATAAACTATGTTACAATAATATTTTAGAATTAATCAGTTCACTAAATAAGTGTAATTTCTTCATCTCACTTTTTCAACCATTAACACGTCATATAAATTAAAGTAAGTACTTCTACATAAAATTGCTTTCATGAAACTTCAATTATTTACACTATTAGTACTCTACTCCTTTATCTCCACATGAGCCAAAACATTCACCTTTTTTAATTGTTGCATTTATAACATTTGTTTAACTCTTACTTTCAGCTAAACTGTGACCTCTTTTGAAATATTTTATCTGAGATTTCTAAAGCATTCTTATTCAAGCTTTGATAGAATAATTAAAAATATGTCCTTTTTGTATTCAAGCCATTTGCAATGTGACTTTATAGCTCTTCCCATCATGATGAGAGTATGTTTTTTCTACCCCCTGAATCGGGATTGGTTGCATGAATTGCTTTGTCTAAAAGATTGTGATGGACGTGAAAGATGCCAGTTCCAAGGGCCTGCACATTGCCTCTCACTCTCAATACTTGCCATAAACATAAAAACGAGCTCAGTATACTCTGCTGGACAATGAAAGACACAGGGCCTATTGTGTACTGTTGTGCCAGGTGACTGCCAGCCAAGTGCCAGACATGGGTGAGGTCCATAAAGGGACACCCACTGCCCTGTTCACCTGCCAGCTGAGCACAGATGCATGAGGAAGCCCAGCCAAGATGGGCCAAACCTGGCTCAGATCAGCAGAACCACTCAGCTGACACATAGATGTCAAAGCAATCACAAATGCTTATTAGTTTAAACCACTAAGTTTTATGGATGATGTCATGCACATTCAAGTGAATTCAAGACCATAGAAGAGCTATCTATGGAGATTTAATTATATATATATATATATATATATATATTTCTGATACACAAGATTACCTATAATAGTGGTTGTTTTTATAGAGTAAAAAACAAAACAAAACATAAGAATAAACTGCAAATCCTGCTTCTTTTATGTTAGTTACCTTGGGCCAGCCTCTTAACCTCTCTCTCTGAGTCCTCTAAATCTTAAGCTCAGAGCGTTTACCACTGTACCCTGCTATTGGACAGAGCAACATCTGAATGCTACCCTCCTACTTTGGTAACAAAGCCAGAGAACATGCACTTTTTTCCCCCATTTTCCGCCACGGGCCCAGATTTGAAAGCCTCACTCACTCCAAACTCTCCTGGACATCCCTCTTACTTTGTACCACATTGGCATTTTAAATTGTCTTTCTGGCAGTCTTGCCTTTGCCAATATGTTGAACAAGATAGAAATTTACATGAACTGATTTTTGAGGTCAGGAATGTAAATACTATTAATACATTACTTGCAGACCTGGTCAAAGCAGTATACTTTATCTTGCCTCCTCTCATGTTAAACACACGCCTGCAAAATTTCACTCACTGATTCTATCCAAACACTAAAACACATAGCAAAGTTTAACAGAAAGAAACATACTACTCTGATGATGCTTTAAATATCAATACGTTCATATTAAAATTACTGATATAAAGCAAGCAGAAAAAAGACATTTGATAACTAGTTGATCAGCAGCAATTATACTCAGTTTGGAGAGAAATTTGCAGGTATCATGCTTTTGCTTGGCTACATTTAATTATAACTATTTGCAGATTGCAAATAATCATATACATATAGATGGGCCTAAATAGCAGATAGCAGATATAAATGATACATTTCATAAATAGTGAGCTATCAGTACAAATACATTCTATATCTCTTAGCAAAAAAAGTACTTTTATGCCCAAATACTAGCTAAACAAATTTTTTAAACAGAATGTTTGACTCTCATAATTCTGGAGCACTTGTTATTTGGAACACTGAACTTGGTTTAAAACCAGTGTAAATATCCAGGGTTAGCAAAATTTCCATGAATAGAGTACTTGTTTGTGGCCATTTGGAATGCATAGGGATCTGTCATCAAGTTGTAACTCTTGTGTTTATTCTCCAGGAAATTTGGAACTGTGGAAATACAAATGAGCTTATGAAAGTCTTGAAAACCTATGAATGGTAATACCCCATCCTATTATTAGACTTGCTTGATACCATCAGATTCAACTTGCAGAGCCCTGATATTTATCAAAATTTTACTAATTTTCTCACACCAAACAGATTGCTACTCAAAGCTATGTTGATCAGAGGAGCACTGGCACCATATAAAATTTCATTTATATTATCTAGAGCTTAGGCAGCAGAAATAAATAACCAACTAGCTTGGGCTTGTGATTCTGATTAAATTAAACCACTGTAGGTAGGCAGGGTCCAATTCTTCACTTTATAGGGTCTCTAATATAACTTTCAGGTTGCCTTTGGGAAAGGGAAAATCTAATTCATTTATATCCTACTGGATGTCACTCTTGGATCCACAAAAAATCTAAGTGAGCTTATTAAAGTACTCTAGACTGGCCGGGCGCGGTGGCTCACGCCTGTAATCCCAGCACTTTGGGAGGCCGAGGCGGGCGGATCACGAGGTCAGGAGATCGAGACCATCCTGGCTAACACGGTGAAACCCCGTCTCTACTAAAAATACAAAAAATTAGCCGGGCGTGGTGGCGGGCGCCTGTGGTCCCAGCTACTCGGGAGGCTGAGGCGGGAGAATGATGTGAACCCGGGAGGCGGAGCTCGCAGGGAGCCGAGATCGCGCCACTGCACTCCAGCCTGGGCGACAGGGCGAGACTCCGTCTCAAAAAAAAATAAAATATAATGTAATAAAATAAAATAAAATAAAAATAAAAAAATAAAAATAAAGTACTCTAGGCCTAGGACAACACATGCTATTAAGTGACATATAGTTTTACCCAAAATATCATCCTTTATTGATTCTAGCATGCATATTTTGTCATAATTTAACATCTTAATCTAGAGATAGCTCACAATCAGAACATCTTAAAATTATTTTTGGCCAGAAGGCATCCATGAAGTAGTGGCTTGCACACATATAAATTTTGTCATTATTATTTGTGGCATCACTGGATACCTGTGACCTTTTGACATTTAAAATACTAAATCGCCTAAGAATCACTTGAGAACTATGTGTTTTAGATATTTCCTGAAAACCTTCTATTGTTATCATCTGGTAAAATCAGGAAAGCAGTAAAATTTGCAGAATGGATGAGATGTCAGAGCTTAGAAGAAAATCCTACAGACAACAGTGGAGGAATCTTTTAGAAATGCTGCACCAATAATGTCTTGGATGGCACAAAAGAAACTATGGTGTGGGAAAACAATGACATCAACAGCTCTGAGATATAAAGGGAATCAAGATAATTAGAAGTTAATTTTAAGATGTTTTAGAAGTACTTTAACCATTTCAAAAGTATTTATCTTTTTACATACCACACGGAAATTATTTATAAGAAAAAAACCTAAAAAACCTTAAATAATTGAATGTAATGAGTATAAATACAAATTTTAGTAATAAGATTTTATAAAATAAGGGAGTATTGTGTCATAGTTTATTTGTCAGTTTTTTTAGTTTTATATAAAAGATATATCTATCAATGGCCGGATTTAATGAAATACAGTACTCTTGATTTGAGAAATTATATTCATTTTATGCTGTAGATTATTAATTTGGCTTCCTGGTTATTAAGTGGTCAATGAAGACCCCAGCATATTGCAAGAAGCTAAATGCTATATTGCATGAATAGAAAATTATTGGTCAATCCAATTTGGGGGCATTGGAAAAATATTATTCTAACAGTAAAAGTCAACCCTTATGTTTTATTAACTTTGAATTTGAGATTTATTTTTTAAATGAAATTCTAAAAAATATAGCATGTCTTTAAGATCCATAAAGGAACTTATGTTTCACTCTACAATTCTCATAGGCACCATTTCATATACTTGCAGTCTTTATAAAGAATATTGCTTTGCTCTGAAATACTTTCTTTTTTGAGAATCTTGGATGTTGGAAAGAGAGACGGTTTTATTTTTGAATGCAAGTCTTGGATCCTCTCTACTTAACAGGCCTTCCTGTTTATTTCTCTTGTCTAGCATTTTATTATAAGCAGCAAAAAGAAGCCAGGAAGCATTTCTACACTCTACCCAGAAATCTCCTTAAATAAATTATCCATTTCACTAAGTACATTTTCTACTTACTACTTTACTGTGAGTGTAGTGTCGGTAAACTTTTTGCCAGTATGTTAACAAGGATTCCCTTTCTTCAAGTGTCAAATTTTCCTCCTTTATTATTTTTTTAAATAATCTCTCACTGATCGTCTCCATCAGGCTTCCACTCTCAGCCTGTTCAAAGCCCTTTCAACTTCCATCTGTCCCATTCATTGTCATTGTGGCTTTTTAAAGTCTTTGTTACATAGGACCCCACTCTTGGTACCAAAATTAGTTTCAGGTACTGTGATTACATTACAAGTCTCAACACTAAGTTGTTTATATTGTCTCTCATAGTTTATGTGTGTTGGAAATGTAGATAGGGTATAGGGGGATAATTAATCTTTACTCCACAGGTTTGGAGCCTTGGTTGGAAGAGTTAAAAGGCTGTGGACTGGAATCTTTGAAGTCTTGTTTTCTTACTTGTCTGGAATTGATGCTGTCTATTGATGGGGAACTTCAGTTTCTTTTCCTGTTATTTTCTCTGTGTGCTCTCCCACATGTGGCCTGGGTTGGAGTTCCTCACAGCATGCATGAGTTCCAAAGGCAAAATTCAAGAAAGCAAGAAAGAGAGACAGAGACAGAGAGAAGAGAATAATCTTTGTGACCTTATTGTAGAAGTCTCAAAGTATTACCTCTTCCATACTTATTTATAAGAGGAGTCACAGAGCCCATTCAGATTCCAGGGGAGACAACATAGATCCTATTTCTGAGCAGGTGCAGTGCCAGTCACACTTTTAAAAAACAATAATTGGAAAATGTAACCTGACTCAGGGGGTTTTGCTGGTAAATTCTCTCAATTTTTGATTTTGAAAGATGTCTTTATTTCACGTTGATTATTAAACAATTATTATTATTAAATAATAAAATTATTAAACAATATTACTGAATAATATTTTCATTGAATATTATCTAATTCTGTTTTTTTGCAGTGCATTGATATTATTCCAGTGTTTTCTGTTTTTTTGGTTGTTGTTGCTTTGGTTTTTTTGTCACCCAGGCTGGAATGCAGTGGCACAATCTCAGCTCACTGTAACCAGTGCCTCCAGGGTTCAAGTGATTCTCCTCTCTCAGCCTCCTGAGTAGCTGGAATTACAAAGGTATGCCATCACACCTGGCTAATGTTGTATATGTTTGGTAAAGACAGGGCTTCACTGCATAGGCCAGGATGGTCTTGAACTCCTGACCTCAAGTGGCCTGCCCACCTTGGCCTCCCAAAATGATGGGATTACAGGTGTGAGCCATCGTGTCGGGCCTGTTTTCTGTTTTTTATTATTATTTTAAAGAAGTTTATTGCCATTCTAATTGGGGCTCCTTTGAAGGCATCCTGTTATTTTCTTTTTTTTTTCTTAGTGCATTTATAATTTTACGTTTCTATTTGTTTTTCTGACATTTTGCTACAATATGACTAGGTGCTAACTTCCATTTATACTGCTCCATATTTGTTAGGCCTATTGATCCTGTGGATTTATGCATTCTACTTCTTTTGGGCAAGGATCAACCTCATTGTCTTAGTCTGTCCATGCTGCTGTAACAAAATACCCTAGACCAGGTAATTTATAAATAATAGAAATTTATTTCTCACAGTTCTGGAGACTGGGAAGACCGAGAACTAAGCGCCAGCAGATTCATTATCTGGTAAGATCTCACTCTCTACTCCATAGATGGTGACTTACCCCAGCATCCCATCCTCACATGGTGGAAGGGACAGACGCTGTATCCTCAAGCCCTTTGACCAGGGCACTAATACCGTTTACGAGAGCAGAGCCACCATGACTTAATCACTTTCCAAAGGACCCCACCTCTTAATATTACCACATTGGGTCTTAGGTTGTAACATGAATTTTGGAGGGACACATTCAGATCATAACATTTATTGAATATTGCTTTGCCTAATTCTTCTTATTCTTTCCATTCATGACTCTTCTATTAGACCTTCTCATCCTCTCTTATTGTTTTCTACTCAGATTTCTATATTGTGTCCTTTTGACTGTCTTAATTCTGGATAGTTTCTTCTAACATATCTCTCAGCATATTACTTGTTTTAACCAAATACTGTTTCAGTAAATCTAGCTTTTCCACTATAACATCTATTAAATGGTTTAGATTATTTTATCTATTATAGGATTTTATTTGGTTATTTTTTAGACCTGCTATATTACATTTTATTTATTTAACCTGGTTATTGAACAATATTTTAATTGACTATATAATTCTGAGTTGAGAGTTCATTACAAATTTGCAAATTTATCTGTTATTTTTTTATTTCCAGTTATCTGTAGTACCTGTGCTTCTGTGTCTCCTGTCGCTTGTGTTGCAATTTATTTATCTGCCTGGATGTATTTTATTATGTGTAGGAAATATTGAAATAGGGTTTGTAGAAATAATTTGAAAACTTGGACAATGTTATCTTTTTCCAGAAAGGATATTTGTTTGCCACCGTCAGGCACCAGGGCACTGTCAATCCTGGATCTTATGAACAAGTATTTGTGTAAAGCACCTTGCATATTTCAAATATTTTTCTGGGCTCTGAGATTCAGTAGTAAACTAAGTAGATAGAATGCATGCCCTCATGGAACTTATATTCTTCTTTGATTTTATCCAAATGTAAATACAGGGAAACCTTGTTCTACTTTTTCCATTTATATCAATTCAACATTCTTTTGGCATAAAAGTCTTCATTTTCCTTTAAATGACTACTTCTATGCATTAAAACATTTCTAATAAGACTATTAGTTATGAGAGCCTTTTGTAGTCCTTCTATAACAAAAGTGTTTTGATGACATGGGCAAGGCAAATTAGAGTAAATCAGAATATTAGTTGTTTCAAAAGAGCTTTATTTCCTTAGAAAAATATTGTGACTAATTATTTTAAAAATAACCAGTAGCTTAAATTTATCTTCCTAGGGTTTTTTTTTTTTTTTTTTTTTTTTTTTTGAGACAGGGTCTTACTGTTTTTTCCACGCTGGAGTGCAGTGGCGTGATCATAGCTCACTGCAGCCTCAAACTCTGGGGTTCAAGCAATCCTCCCACCTCAGCCTCCTGAGTAGCTGGAACCCCAGGCCATTGCCATTATGGCTGGTCAATTTTTTTTTTTTTTTTGGCAGATACAGGGTCTCGTTGTGTTTCCCAGGCTGGTCTTGAACTCCTGGCCTCAAGCAATCCTCCTACCTTGCCCTCCCAAAGTGCTGGGATTACAGGTGTGAGCCACCATGCCTTGCAAATCTTTTTAGACTTAGTATTACATTATACAATGTATATATTTGTAGAGAGAATATGTTGTTCTTTGTTAGAAATGTGAATTTGTTTAATTTTTGTAACCTCTCATAAAGAAAAATCTTCAAGTAACTTGAGTAGATTTAAAATATTTACTCAATGTATCTTTTTGTTATGTTTACAAAAATACAGAATTTGGTAATTTTTCAATTAGCTTCTTCATGGAAGAAATAAGTTCACGATAAAGTAATTAACATTCAAATTCCTGGCTACTAAATAAAATTGAAAAATATCTATCATAATTGCAAGTTATTTGAATAAAACTTTGGTTTTTTATTTGAGACACTATTGTCTAGAAATATCATTGTTTTATTCTGAAAATGTTGTTGAAGGGATGCTGTTTGTGCCTCTATTCAAGTCAATCAGTAAAGTTATATTTGTAAACTTACAACACAATAAACATGCTTTATGTTTCAGTGGAGCTTAACTTTTTGCAAAGCCTTTTATATTAATCTTCTTTGATATTTAACTCTCAGATAGGCAATGCTATTTTATGGATGAAGAGACTGATGATCAGAGAAGTTGCTTTCCAAAGTTTTTGTGGCACAGGGTTTGAGTTCAAAACATCAAACTTCTGACTTCTAGTCTTGTTCCTTTCTTAAATTTTACTAAATATATTCTGCAGACCATGAACTTGAGGCATGCAATATCTATCATATTTTTAAGGCTCTATGGAAAATTCGAAAAATTCCCATTATTGCAGATTCTTAATATACATTAGCATATTCAAAACTCAGAGGAGGCAATCATTACTGTTTAACTTTGTTTAGTGCAGACTTTATCAAGTTTACTTTTGCATGAAATCCTTTCCTTTGAAACACTTGTCACGTTCTGTATAAAAGTGTTCTGTGCTATATATTGCCTCCAAAGCAATACTGTATAATACTGTATTGTTGGTCTTATCTTCCTTTTATCCATTGTTTGTTTATATAGACCAAAAGCACTCTATGGGACTCAAAAAGCTGTGCTATGTAGTTCTACCCTCAAAGCATTTTCAATTCTCCCAGATTACTTCACTGACCTGAAACATTTCACAAATTACATTGTTACTGTGGACATAGCCAATAAATGATGTGTTTGCTGAGAAGATGGGAAGACAAAATGATCAGTAAGGGTGAAAATTTCTCAGGGATGTTTCCATGGAGAAGGCTGTTTTAAAGGTGTGCTGATTTCCATTTTAAATTTTGCCTTCACTTCTATGTGTGATCGTAAATAATTCAGTTCATGCCACATCTCCAGAATTTTTTTTTTATCCCTCTATAAAGTACTGTTTGACTAGATCAGTAGTTTTCAAACTATACCTCACAAACTTCTTGAGCCACCAGGACAAGGAGCAAGTTACAAGTTTTGTGGTGGCCAGGAGCTTTCTGATTCAACCAGAGACTCTCCCCTGCTTTTCATATTGGTCTTCTTCATCAGATGTCATGTATACAATGGGTTCATAAGATAGAAGTGACTTTGAATCCAGTTCCTTTAGAAAACCAGTTCCTTTCTATTTTAATAATCTAAGAATCTCAAACTATGAAAACGAAGAATGAAAAATCTGACCTATTTTAACTTTTCTATAATTTATAATCAATCTGATACAGTATTTACTTATTCATACTTCTCTTAAAATATTTTTAAACTTGTTGTCATTGGATGACAAAACTTTTTTAAAAATTTTTTTTAATTTTTTTATTTTTGAGACGGAGTCTCCCTCTGTGGCCCAGGCTGGAGTGCAGTGGCGCCATCTCAGCTCATTGCAAGCTCCGCCTCCCGGGTTCACTCCCTTCTCCTGCCTCAGCCTCCAGAGTGGCTGGGACTACAGGCGTCTGACAAAACTTTTTAACTGATCAGTTTAGAAAGCCACTGGGCACTCAGAAGTTGAATCTTGATATACATCAGTATTTTTCAGTATTTGTCAGATTACTGACAAAGCAAAATTGCACAGTATTCACTTATTGCCCAATATAAAGTTATATGACTAATTTAGGAAGAAGTCTTTATATATTTTGGTTTCTGGAAGTGTGGACTAATCATCTGCAGGAAGTTTGAACACTAAAGGAAAATCACTTTGACTATTCATAAAAGTAATTTAAAGAGTAGGACAAATTCCTCTCTTGAAAATGCATTTATAGCATTGTCAGAGACAAACACATGAGCTTTAAAAGATGAGATAAGATCTAGGGAAAGATTTTACTTTTCAAAGATGATTTAGGTATCCAATCATTTTCTTGGGGAGAATTAGATTTTCCAAAAGGGAACATTTCAAGATGAAGGGAAATGTGTTCATCTCTTTCAAACTCAACAATGACTCTAACTAAAATTATATCTAAATGTGTTTCTTGGAATAGGCTGGATTTGGATTACGCCATCAGCTTCTGTGGAATTTACTGGGCAGGTCAGTAAAGCTAAGTAGAAGTAGATTGTCTTTGGAGATATACTGTTCTAGCACATAATGGTTCCCTAATTACTTACCTTAATATACCTTCAAAAATTAAGCCTTTATCCCCTACCTGCTGAGTCACATAAACATTAGGGATTTATCATTCCTACAACCCAAGTTGTTTAGGATCCACTTCCTTTCATGGAAGGGATGATATAGGGAATATATGCAACTTTACTGCTAAAAATCTGTTATTGAAAAATGGTTGAGTCCCTAAAGGACCTTGAAGAAGTAATAGATATAGATATAGATATAGATATATAGATACATAAAGCAACAAAATTCATGACAACAACTTTTTGTTAAAAGATTTTCCCCAAAACAAAATTTAAGCTGTTCTCATCATTTTTTTTTGCCAATCTACAAAGGGAAAATAAAATTATTCCACCAGAAAATAACACATGCATCTTCTTTAGATTTCACTACTCAATACTCAATTGAAACCTACACTGGAATGGGTTTAATAGGCATATAGGTAAACACAACTTGATTCTATGCATGTAACCCGATCAAATTCACACAGATATGTACTCTCATTTCACACAGATAACAAACCCTATGATAGTCCCTTGTATGGGGTCCAGCACTAAACCCTATGATAGTCCCTCGTATGGGGTCCAACAATAAAACATATGATCTGTGCATCTTTGAGGCAATTCTTCTGATTTATCTGAGCTTTAGTTGCTCAATCTAAAGAAAAGCTTATGACAGGAAACCCAAGTGGGTGAAAGTGCTGAGAATGTATATGACAGATACGCAAACAAAGTATTTCTTACCCTTGGGAGGCTCTGCATTCTTTTCTGGCAAAGAAGAAACAACATATGAATAAAAATCTAAGTACAGCATATTAAAGGAACATACAATTGGGAATAAAGAGAGAGAAAGGGGGGAATATGTATTTCTGTATATGTTGTGTGGGTGCATGTAGCTGCACAATGAAGAAGGATTGGTATCCCCAAGTAATTTAGATTCAAAACTGAATAAAGGTCTGTGGGTGCAGCCCTATTGTTGCCTTACTTCTCTAAATTAATATGAAAATGTCTAAAATATTAGTCTCTCTCCTATCGCTCTTTTCTCAGTTAAGGTTCAATCCAATAAAATTTTTAAAGAGAGTAAATTGCAATCAGACACCCTGACTAGATCAAAGAAAATGCAGACCTTTATCTTTTGTGTTTCCCTTCACAGTTTAGCAGTTTTCAACCTTAGAGGCTTCAATGGCCATCTCAAGTAAAGAATACCTCAATCAAGTGTCAACAATCAACAATGTGTTAAGCATCTTAATAATAATAATGAAATTGCCTTCTTTAGTGTGGGTGAAGGTCTTGATTTGTTATTCATTTAAGAGCTTAAACCTATAGCTAAAGAAGAACACATTTTCCTCTGATTGTCAGCCCACAGTACAGTGTGCCTGTTGGGAGTATAGACAGTATCCCTTTTTCTTAAACCATTGTCATCCTTCTTTCACTGGTTAAACTAATATTTGTGGAATGCTCAAGAAGTTCTGGGCTGTGCTAAGCACTAGGATAAAACTGATTGAGAAAACAATCCATTCTTGAGAACTTCTTGAACCAGCGAGGTAGACAGCAGAGATGTGTCAATAAAACAAGACCGTTAATAGACATTTTAAAAGGTGGCCCAGAGTAAGGTGAAATGAACTCTGGTGTAGCATAGAAAGATGGTAGCAGGTCCAGGGACAGTTTTATATTTAAGGAAAGATTTTTAGGAAAACAAAGCAGGGCTTAGTTGGTCTGTTCTATCTATTTCTGGCTCTTTAGTGAAACTGAAATCCAACCTTAGTTAAAAATCACACTACACCACACATGTTACTTTTTGAAAGTTTGCATTCCAAGTCAACAGAAGTGATAAAGAGAAAAGTGCAAGTGATTTTCCAATCCTCTTACCCTGTAGGAGGAAAGAGGTCTTCTTTTCTTTTCTCTTTTTAAGTTCTGCAGTATTTCACGAGGTAGAAGATTGTGTCATCTGGTGAGATTTTAGAACTGAATCTACCACCACCATTTTTTTTTTTTTCTCACAAGAATGATTCATTGTTAAAGTATCTTCTTCTTTGTCTGTTAAATACAAACAGGGGCTGACATGGACTCTAGCCAGAAGCAAATGCTTTACTGCCAAGGTTTGCAGCTGAATTTGTGAAATGCTTTCACATTTATTGGCTATTTAGTCCTGAGAGAATTACTTAGTTCTTTGTATCTCAGCTTCCATTTTTAAAATAGGCTAATAATGGCCTCCTCACAGGACTGGGATGAGGAGTAAATGAGCTAATACTGGCAAAGTGCTGAGGATAGTACTTAGCATGTAGTAAATGCTAAATAAATGTTAGCTATTATAGTCTATATGCGTAAATCATATAGACTATATGATGGGGTTCAGGTCAGAAGGAAATACAACATTTATATATTTATTCAAACAAATATTTGAAATTTATGTAGTTAAAAATAACCATTTGAATCAATCCTATTCTTATTCATTTATTCATTTAACACTCAGAAAATATTTGAGCATCTACCATGTGGCACTTGAGATTGTGTGTGTGTGTGTGTGTGTGTGTGTGTGTGTGTGTGTGTGTGCGTATACATATATACATAACGAAATAAGCAAAACCCTGCCCTTGTAGAGCTTAAATTGAAATAGAGTATCTTTTAATTCTGATCGCAACTAATTAAAATAACTTTACATCCTATGAAAATGTTAAAACCAATAGTCCAAAAAAAATCACTATTCAAGGAGATTAAATATACCAGTGAGATCTTCATAAATTTAAAGATGTAAAAATTGCATTAAAAAGGGAGTAGATTAGCTGGCTTTTCAAATCCCATTTTACTCCTATGACTTTATGAAAATATTTCAGGAATTTATTTTCCAGTGAAATGAGCACTTACTACATGGCAAAGCTCTGTGCTGAGAATTTTTCCTACTTTTATTTTCATTTGTAACAAACCTGCAAAGAACGTATCACCAGCACTTTACCGGTGAGAAAGCATGATAAAAGAAGTTTAGGAAACAGCTAGGATTTCATAGGTACTAAGTAGTGGAACTAGAATTCAAACTTAAGAAATCTGATTTCAAGGACACATGGTCTTTACTAATTCAAACTTAAGAAATCTGATTTCGAGGACGCATGGTCTTTACTAATATCTAGTACTTTGCATTTTAAAATTCAGTGTGGCAGCGTTACAGAAAAAAAGGAAAAAACTCTCAATATTTCACTTCAGAATAAAAAGGCTATTGAAATATTTTTATATTGTTAGAATGATACAACATGTTAGCACTTGTTACTTTTTAGTACTGAGCATATGGATGCTTGTTATATGAGTCTTTATAATTTTCTCTATTTTGTTTTTTGGAAAAAATAGCATATACTCACATACAAAAGCACAAAACCATTTATCATGCATTTACATGTGCCAGGTGCTATTCTGAGTTTATTATATGTATTAGCCCACTTAATCCTCCCAAGTAGTTTGTTTGGGAAATGCTATTATTGAAACACAAATTTTACAGATGAGGAAACTGAAGCACAGAGAGGTTAAGTAACTGAGAAAGCTAGTATTAAATTCCTGGCAGGAAGGTTCCACAGCCAGCTGGTGTTCTTCTTAAACACTATCTGATATTCTCACTTGAAATAAAAGCTAACATTTATGGAACACTTACAAAATGGCAAGCACTGTTTCCCTCACGTGGCATGCAATAACTTGTTTAATTTTTACAACAACTTTATAATATAGTTATAATATCCTCACTTTATGACTTATTTATTTTTATAGATTTAATGGATGCAAGTACAGTTTTGTTACATGAGTACATTGCCTACTGGTGAAATCTGGGCTGTTAATGTAACCGTTACCTGAATAGAGTACATTGTATCAAATAGGTAATGTCTCATTCCTCACTCCCTCCCCTCCTCCCACTTTCCTGAGTCTCCAGTGTCTATTATTCTACTCTCTATATCCATGTGTACACAGTATTTAGCTCCCACTTACAAGTAAGAACATGCAGTATTTAACTCTTTGTTTCTAAGTTATTTTACTTAAGATAATGGCCTCCAGTTCCATCCATGTTGCTGCAGAAGATATGATTTCATTCATTTTTATGTCCATGGTGTGTGTGTCTATATATATATATGTATATATTTGATGGTATATATATATATATGTATATATTTGATGGTATATATATGTATATATTTGATGGCATATGTAGATGTATATATTTGAAGGTATATATATATGAGATATATGTCTATATTATACATTGCCTATATATATAGATATATATCACATTTTCTTTATCCAATCATGTTGATGGACACTTAAGTTGATTCTATATCTTTGCTATTGTGAATAATGCTGTGACAGACATACCAGTGCAGGTATCTTCAATATAATGATTTCTTTTCCTTTAAATAACCCCCACTTTAACTATAGGAAAAGGGGGCCATAGGTTTAGTACCTTGCTTAAAACTTTACACATTTGAAATACATAACATCCATAATAATTATAGCTACTTTTGAGTATTTAAAATGTGTTAAGCATAGTAATATCATTTCTTTTAAATTATTTTACTGATTTACCAAATTAACTCTGCCAGGCAAGTTCTAGTCCCATTTTGCATATAAGATAATTGAGGTTCAAAAGTTGTATGTAAATCATCCAGAGTCACAAATATAGTAATATCTAAGCTGATGTTTGAACTATTGTCTTTCTAATGCCGAAGGTCATGGTCTCAACCAAAGGTGCAGATTAACACATTTCAAGCAGTTTCAGATTTATTCTCTAAAAAACAAAGAAAACAAAGAGAGAAAAATTGTCTTTTTTTTTTTTTTTTTTTTTTTTTGGCAGGGTTTTGCTCTGATGCCCAGGCTGGAGTGCAGTAGTAGGGTCATCTTGGCTCACTGCAGCCTCTGCCTCCTATGGCTCAGGTGATCCTCCCAACTCAGCCTGGGACTGAGTGTAGCTGGGACCACAGGTAAGCACCACCATGCTCAGCTAACTTTTTGTATTTTTTTTTTTTTTAGTAGAGATGGGGTTTCGTCACATTGTGCAGGCTCATCTTGAATTCCTGGGCTCAAGCGATCCTCCTGCCTTGGTCTCCCAAAGTGTTGGGATTACAGGCCTGAGCCACTGTGCCCAACCAAGAGAAGAACTCCTAAAGTTGAGATTTAGTAAGGATCCACATCCAGGAGGAATGTTTGGGGAATAAAATACTTTGGCTTGTCTGGGAGATGTTTGCATTCAGCACTTTACCAAGCTTACCCCTAATTTTTCAGTACAGGTGTGAAATTTGGTTCAAGGTCGAATACCATTCTTAATTTTGCCTTTTGAGTATACTATGTAGGTCACCTCCTGGGTGTATAACTCCATCCATAATTTACTTACACAGTGAGATAAAAGTTCCATTACACTACAAGACTGATTACCAAGGTTTTTTTCATTAAATGAAGTTAAAAGCCCAGATTCTTTATCTAAAGACCATCTGATGGGAATTGCACTGACATGATACTTTCATTTCTGGTTGGAACTGCAGGATAAATTTTCATTACTTAGCAATTTCTTGCAAATATTCTTGGGTTCTGCTAGTGTGAACCTTAAGTCCCATTAAAGGATCTGACAAGATAAAACAGCTGTTTTCCAACTATTTCCATTTCAATCTTATATGGAAGTGATCAGAATTTTGTATAATACCTACTATCTGAGACTATAAAGGCCTCTGATGTCAGCTCTTCTATTTCCAACTAGACCAATGTGACAGACAAGAATGGGTACTATCTCCTTTATTGTCCTTACTGAGTAAAGTTTTAACTTGTCACTATTTGGGTTGCTGAACATAATAATGAATTATTCACCCAGAAATCTTAAAACAGAAATTAATTATCTGCTGGTAATGTAGAATTTTTATTTTATTGGGTGAGTGCAGCTAAGAATTCTCTTGTATTACATAGATAACCATTCTAGAGACAGACAAATTGGGGAAAGAAAAAGTCCTGCTCAAATTTGATCTTTATCGGATTGATCTGTAGGTCAAACTCAGACTGCAATGTCTTTCTGAAACTTGTTAAAATTTTAGTTAAGAATTAACTAAAAATAAAGTCATAACCAAATGATGACTCACATTTACATTCTTATCCTAAAATACATCTAAATAATGTTACGTTTGTGGGTCAAAGCTATACTCAGCATATGTCAAGTTAAATGTCAAGTTAAAGAACATAGAGTAGAGTTGGACCTATGCTGTACCTAAATTTATGTATTGACTCAAAGGACTGTGTATATTTAGTGTGTGGGTATTGCATATTTTGAGTTAACACACACACACACCCCCACATATAAACCTAGTTCTTCAGTAAGAATTTACTTTAAGTTTGTAAAAAACTAACTTTTATATTATTAACCATCTAATTGTAACAAAGTATTTAAGAATGCCTTAATGATAAGGCAGTAATAATAATAATTCTACTGCAGATGATAAAGATAATAACTTACATTTATTGAGATTCATTACATAATTTTATTCATTCCATAACTTCATTACATTCAGATTCATTACATAACTTACTTTAATTACTTTCAATGACCATCAAAACAAGGTTTGTGATAGGTAATATAAATATTTCAACTTCATAGATGGGTAAATTGATATTTGAGAGAGAAATATTCATCTAACTTATATGAGGCAAAAGTGATTCAAATCCGTTTTTGTGTAACTCAAAAGACTGTGATTTTTAACTCCATCTTACATTACAGATACGTATGAAAAATGAGACACAAAAACATGTCTGCTTATAAATCATGTTACTTTTTGTGGTGCCTCCCCACACAAATTCCTTTCAATTGTTGATCTTTATAATTATACGGTAATCTTTCTCCAACCCCAAGTTTGCTCTTGCTGTACATGTCGGTATTTTTCCTTTTCAAAACAGTACATTCTAATAAGACTTCTACTTCTGGTCATAACTTAATAACTGGTACCAGACTAGCCCATTGACCACATAAAAGTTTGTAACTTGACAAAATACATGAAGCAGTTGAATTCAGGCAGTGGTCAACATGCAGCACAAACTGTGATGACTGAGAAGGGAACCTGACAAGGTGAGCACTCTGAAAACCCACTGCTACCTGAGCATAATTTTATGATCACATCTGAGAGAACTGGAATCCAAGCATAGCTGGAGTGTTCCACTGACCTGATGGGGCAGGCACGAGAGTTTAGGCAGCTGAAGTGGCTTGAATCTGCAGGACAGAACCCAGGAGAGAAGAGAGCTGAGCAAAATGGACAGGGATTCTTAAGTTCACGGTAGGAGACTCTGGTTTAGGACTGGGCTATCCCTGTGCTGGGCCAAACCTCCTTAGGCTTCTCAGATCATGTGAAGAGTGAAGGGGTAACAGATTCCGACAAGTTAAGGCTGCATATCGTTTACCATAGAGAGCCAATTAAAAACATAAAGAGATATAGCTGCGAAGTCAATAAGGAAGTGAAATAGAATGCTAAAATAAAGAATAACCCAAGGGAAAGCAAAAAAGATGCAAAAGAGAAGAAGACACCAAAGGGTCAAATGGAAAACAAGTAGTAAGCTCGTCCACTTAAACCAATGAGATCAATCATTATATTCAGTGTAAATAAACTAAACAGTCCCAATTAATAGACAGAAATTGATAGGCTAGATAGAAGTAAAGCAGATCCAATTATACATTATCCAAAAGTGGTACAGTTTAAATATAAAATATAGATTTTTAAAGTATCAATACTAGAAAAAGATATTTAAAATTAATGATTTAAGTATTTACCTACAGAAGCTGAAAAGTACTTTTAGCAAAAGTAAACAAACAGAAATAAACAAAAATAACAATAGCAAAACAAAAAAATAAACTATAGAAAAAATTAATAAGGCAAATGTTAGTTTGTTGAAAAGATCAATAATCAATTTTATATCAATATTGATATAAGACCAATAGTATTGATCTATAATATTGATAACTTATTATTCCAAACAGGAGTAATAAAAAGAGAGAAAACACAAATTGACAATATCAGAAATAAAATGAGCATATTTCTATAAAACCTACAAATATCAATATGAACATAAAATAAAATCATGAGGAAATATATCCCAAAAATTGGAAACGTTAGATAAAATAAAAAAGTTTAGTAACTTAGTAAGTACAAAAAAGAAAAGGAATGGCTTCTTATGAGAAAAACACCAGACTCGTTCTTTCATTGAAGAATCCATTAAACATTAAATAAAGAATTTATACCAATCTTACACAAACTATTTTAGAAAACAGAAGAGGAAACTCTTTCCAACAAATGCTGTGAGGCTGGAAGTTCCCTGATATTAAAAGCTGATTATTACACATTGCCTACATGTACTACCACACATACCATCAAAATATGTACTAGTATGACATATCAATAAAAGAAAAAAATATGATTACTATTCAGTATCCCATATGAACACAAACATTTTCAATGCGATATTAGGAAATTAAATTCAATAAAATACAAAGGGAAAATGCGTCTTGACTGAAGGGGTGCTTATTAAAGGAATACAAATTTGGTTCAATATGTTTTTAAAAAATCAACCAATAAAATCTATTAAATCTCAGGGACAAAGGATACACATTTTATGATTATCTTAATAGATGCAGAAAAAGCAGTTAGAAAGTCAACACCAATTTATGATGAAAATTCCTAGCAAACTATGAAGAAAAGTAAACATCTTCAGCCTGATAAAGTACATATTTCAAAGAATTACAGCTGACATGACATGATGATTGAAGACTGAGTGCTTTTTTTCTTAATATGAGAAAACTAGATAAAAAATATTTGTTCTCACTAATTTTATACTATATGGTACTACAGATCATATTCAGTGCAATAAGCCAAAAAGGCAAATAAATTAATAGAGATAAAAAAAGAACTGCTAAAACTCTTTAGTCTGAGATTATGTGATATTCCACATTATAAAATCTTGACATAGGTACAAAAATTTCTTGCTGGAACTAAGAAATAAACTTGGCGAGTCATAGGATGCATGGTAAATATATAAATATTAACTGTATTTTTATATGCTAGCACTAACATAATTGAAAAAAATAAATTTTTAAAATACCACTTACCATAATATAAAATATAAAATAATCATAAATCAGTTTGGCAAAAGCTATGCAATAACTGTACAGAAAAACTGGAAAACGCAGTTGAAAATTTTACAAAAATAGAACCTCAAAAACATGGGCATTTATACTATATTCATGATTCAAAAGATTCAATGTTTTTAAAATATCTATTTTCTACCAATTGACCTATAAACATGAACCAATTTAAATCAAAATCCTAGTCCAATTTCTACAAAAAAATGTAGAAATTGACAATTCAATTCCCAAATTCATATAGAAATACAAAACACTGAGAATAGCAAAATCATATCTGAAAAGGAAGAACAAACTTGAAAGATCTATCTTATCTGATCTCAAAAGATGTTATACAGCTACTGTTATCAAGACAGTAGAGAATTGACATACAGGAAAATGTAAAGTACAGCATAGCATTGGTGCAAAAAATAGATCAATGGAACAGAATCAGCAAGTCTAGGAATGACCTGCACTTTGATTTTTGACAAAGGCATCAAAATAATTAACAATGAAATGGCAATCTTTTCGATATGTGTTCTAGAACAACTGTATTATGCCATCTGTGAAAATAAAAAAACCTTGACACCCCACCCCCACCCCCGCCCCGCGTGCTAGCTGCAACAGATTACCACAAACTGGTGGTCTAAAATGGCAAAAAGTTATGTTCTCACAGTTCCAGGGGCCTAAAATCTGAAATCAAGGTGTTGGTAGATTTCGTTCTTTTGGAGGCTCTGAAGGAGAATCCATGCCATACTTCTTTCCCAGCTACTGGTATCTGCTTGTGAACCCTGACATTCCTTGGCTTGAAAAGGCATAATTCCAATTTCTGTCTCAGCCTTCACATGACCTTCGCCTGTGTCCGTGTCTCAAATCACCATCTCTATTTTCTTATAGTGACCCCAGTCATTGGATTTAGAGCCCACCCTAAATCTAAGATCATCTAATCACAGGATCCTTAATTATATCTACAAAGACCCTATTCCAAATAATGTCACATTCACAGGTACTGGGGATAGGACTTTTTGAGGCCACAATTCAATTCACTACAACCCCTACTAACATCATGCGTGAAAAGTAATTTGAAATGAATTATAGATATAAGCATAAAAGGTAAAATTATAAAAATTCCAGAGACAGAAATATAAGAAAATATTGTTATGAGTTTTCAAAGATAGTACACACAAAAGCTTGAAACATTAAAAAAAAAAAAAAAAAACTGGCCTCCAAGAGAATGAAAGTCTTCTAATCTCAAAGGACACCAAGAAATTCTAAAGTCATCCCCCATACTAAAAAGAAATATTTGTAACATTTCTGACAAAATATTTATTTGTATCTGAATTATTTAATGGCCTTTTGTAACTAATATAAACATGAAAACAAACACATGGAAAGACACTCAATATCAGCAATCATCAAGAAAATTCAAATTAAAACTACAATAAGATATGATTTCACACTCAGTAGAATGTGGGAGTGGAGTCAACTGGTAATAGTTGATGACTGCCTGGAGCAGACTAACTGCAGCTCTCACACATTGCTGAGGGGTTCATAAAATGGTGGAAGGTCTTTGATAAACAGTTTGGCAGTTTCTTAAACACGCATCACTTATAGGATTCAGAAATTTCACACCTAAGAATTTACCCAAGACAAATGAAAACACATGTCCATTTAAAGACTTATACACAGAGGTTCAACAGTAGCTTTATTCATAATAGCTCCACACCAGAAATTACATATTCATACTACTCAACTATGAAAAGGAACAAACAGTTGCTATACATACAGAAGGAAAAAACCTCACAGACTTTATATAATGTGAGTGAAGTTGGACACAGAGGAGAGTCTGAGCTAGAAAAGGAACCATTGGAAAAGATGGGAAACATCAAACTGTTTTTGACTCTAATACACACAACTCACAGCTCAACACAGAATAGTTCACTTCTGCTCACCAAAATGTGTATGGATTTCTCCCCACTAACAACTAACTCTCTAGTGGACACTAAGTGTCCAATAATTCATTTCAATTCTACCACTATCATGTCAGAACTGAAGTAACTTTATGAAGTCAGAGTCAGATCCCATGGGTTAAGGGCTTAGTCCCACAAGATTCCCTCTCTTCAGACACCAATCACATGTACAATCTGCCCTCAGAATCTGAGTGTTCCATATTCTTGGATAAATAACTGAGGATCAAAAAATACAGAATTAGAGGGATGCAAGGGGCTGACGTTTTGTTTCTGGGAATTTTGCAGGGCCAATTGTGGGCTTTATCATCTGTGGATTTTGGTATGCACAAGGCATCTTGGAAGACATCAAGGGACTATTGTAATGGTCTGTCACCCATTCTTCTGACTGTCTACAGATCGCAGGTCCAGTGAATTTTCTCCTTCCTTGGTGTCTGTGAATTTGCTAGGATGGCTCACAGAACTCAGGGAAACACTTACATTTATCCATTTTTTACAAAGTGTATTAGAAAAGATACAAATGAACAGCCAGATGGAAGAGATACATAGGGTGAGGTATAGGAAAGGAGCTGAAGATTCCATACCCTCTCCTGGTGCACCACCCCCCAGGAGCCTCTGCATGTTCAGCAACCTGAAAGCTCTCCACACTCTTGTCTTTTTGGACATTTATGAAGACTTTATCATGTAGACATAATTGATTACATCCCTGGCCATAGGTGATGAACTCAACCGATCTTCAGCCTCTCTCTCCTTCACGGAGGTTGCGGGGTAGGCCTGAAAGTCTCAACTCTCTAATCATGCCTCCGTCTTTCTGGTGAACAGCCCCCATCCTGAAGCTATCTCAGGAACCCTGGCCAACAGTCAGCTCATTGGCATACAAAAGACACTCTCTAAGGGTTTTCGAAGCAGTGTGTCAGGAAGCAAGAGCAGAGACCAAATATAACTTACTTATTATATCACAATATCACAAGAGTCTATATTGTATAATCCTATTTATATTGAGTTCTCAACAGGCATAAGTAAGCTACATTGGTGGAATATTGATCAGTTTTGTTTGGATCTTGGTGTATATTGACTGAAATGGAACCCTAGGGAACTTTTTATGAAGTTGGAAATGTTCCATATTTTAATATAGGTTATATAGGTGTATACATCTATAGAATTGCTTACTGCCCAACCATATACAGAAATAAGTTCTTAGATGATATATATCATGGTTGTGCATGTGTGCTGTGAGAATCTTTACCCTTAAATAAAATAAAGAAAAATATAGTTTTTGATAATTAAAAATTAAAAGGCCTAATTATTTATGTTAGTAGATTTACTTAGAAACTTTTACCAATAATTTTTTTCAACTTTATCTAAGACTGCAATATATGGTTTTTGTTAAGTAGGGTAGTGATGGTTATTTTAATTAATGTGTTTCATAGCTTATATATATCTTATGTATTATATATGTGAATACATATAAATACATATTTGAATATATATCATTTTCTCTGTAATAAATATTTCTTAATGAATTAATTTAAGTTTTTTTAAAAAGAGTAGAACCAGGATGTACATAACCAAAAACCTTATTTTTCATTTAATGATGTTACTGAGTACCTTGTGTTGTTGTTCCAGTCTACATATTTTGTGCATGTATATTGCCATGACAATCTCAAAACAATATTTTAATAATATGTAAAGATGCTACGCTACATTTATCTATACAAATTAATTATTGAAGACAATACTGTCTAAAAGCATAGAATCACTTAAGCCACTGCACTTACTTTTTTTAAAAAAATCAGATTTCAACTTTCTGTCTCTAAAGGTAGATCATGTGACTACTAATACCCACGGATGCTGAAATCGGAATATGTTATGAGTTTTCTTTACGATTATTTTGTTCAATGAAAGAATTAGCAAGGAGTTTAACTTGATCCTGGAAAGGAATGTGCAGCAATATTTATTAAAAAAGAAAATCAAAATGGAATTTATTTCATTGCCAATGGTTAGGCTTCCCATT
Source organism: Homo sapiens (assembly GCF_000001405.40). Lineage (NCBI taxonomy): Eukaryota > Metazoa > Chordata > Mammalia > Primates > Hominidae > Homo > Homo sapiens. The sequence continues at coordinate 997,042 of NC_000003.12, read as the reverse complement.
AGCCTCTCACTTTTACAAATTTTTGAAAAAATAAAATAACGATTAGCATTACGAAATATTCTTTTGTTTCATCAAAAATTACAATGATTTATGCAACTTTTGCTTCATATCTGGGTAGTGATAATCATGCACTATATATTTTACTAATAAAATATATCACATATGAACCAAATGAAACCTATGTCACTATAAAATTCTTAAATATTCAGTTAAAATGGAATGGCTTCCTTTGACAGGCAACCTTATATGGGATTCTTCTGAATGTGTCCTTTGAAAAATATGTCCTGCTGGTATTTACATCTCCTTTCAATCTGTGAGATCTCTCTTTTAATACACATCACAGCACGTAATGCCATGCACCTGTCGCTTTTTCCTATTTCCTTTTTGTAAATTTAACTCCATAAACCGATTAATGTCTGTGTCTGACATGGAGTCATTTGTAGGGGATGATGGGGGGGTAACATAAAGCATCTGGTTAGTTGCCAATTTAAAATTATGATAAAAATTGGCTGGGCATGGTGGTTCACACCTGTAATCCCAGCACTGTGTGAAGCCAAGATGGGTGGATTGCTTGAGTCCAGGAGTTCTAGACCAGCTTAGGCAACATGGAGAAATCCCAATCTCTACCAAAAAAAAAAAAAAAAAAAAAAAAAACAACAAGCAAACAACCAAAAAACCTATGATAAAAATACTCGGTTTAGGTGCATATAGTAACAAGAGAAAAGGCAGGAATAAAATATGCACACTAGTACTCAGATTTCAAGGGCTCTAAATGAAATATCTCCAATTCCAAAGTGGTATCAAGAATGTGAATCGCTTTTAGAGACGTCATTTAAAGAAAAGCACCACTCACAATAATATTGTTTTGCAGGTTACAAACTATGGTCCCTCACATCTGGAAGGCATGACAACCCTTGAAACTCCCATGTCATGGGGACTTTGGACAGTGTGATTACATTACTAATTTTTCTAGATAATTTGACCATCTTTTTAGGCAGTGTCTTGCCTTACTAGGCTGCATTCTTGGTACTCCATCCAGGGCCTGAGAAACAATATATTCAGACCACATGGTTTTATAGATGAAGGAATAAGCAACCAATTTTTACAAGATGAAATATATATTCACATATTCCTTTCATGAAGTCCCTCTGATTTTTTCTTATTTCAGGATTAGTGTTATAATTGTGTGTTGATAAAAATAATTTAGATGCTCAGTCATCTGCCACAAAAACTGTCTTTGAAGATGCTTTTGCAAATTCTATGAAAATAATAAAAAAACTCTATAAAAACAATGTTAGTATGTTAACAACTCGGTGTTACCGGTTTCTTTACCTTGGGCTTTTATCCCCAAGACTGCAGACTTGAAGAATTTTCTTGGAATGTTATTATATACGTGTGTGTGTGTGTGTGTGTGTGTGTGTGCGTGCGTGCGTGTGTATCACTAGTGTCATCTATTGGTAAAACTGAAAAATACAAGGTGTCTTAGATTTGGATGTCTTTAAAAAAATCTGTTTACCATTCTTAGGTCCATTGAAGAAGCATCTGTAGAATATTGAGGCTAGTAGAACTGTTTTGTATTTCATTTTATCATTTTTTCTCACTAAAAAAGTGGGCTTTTTGTATCCCAGTTGAGGAACTGTAAAACTATTTTGTAAAATAAGAAATGTGATTGTTTTAGATAAGTAGATATGAATATTTATATATGAGTAATAAGAATGTCACTCCAGAAGAATATAATAATAATACCTATATCTTATTCTATTCCTGCTGCTGTAACAAAATACTTTAGACAGGGTAGTTTATAAGCAAAGAAAATTATGTCTCCAGTTCTAGACCCTGGGAAGTCTAATATCAAGATGCCAATATTTTCCATATTTGATGAAGGCTCACTTTCTGCTTCCAAGGTGGCACTTGGTTGCATCTCATCAGATGGTGGAAGGCAGATGGGCAAAAGAGGATGAATCTTGTAAAAACATGGCAGAGGAGATGGAAGGGACAGGCAGTTCTATGAAGCCTCTTTTAGAAGCGTATTTAAACACTCAGGATGGTGGTTCATGACTGTAATCCCAGCATTTTTGAAGGGCAAGGTTGGAGAATCACTTGAGACCAGGAGATTGAAACCAGCCTGGGTAACACAGGGAGACCCCAACCCTAAAAAAAAAAAATAAAAAATAGCTACTTAGGAGGCTGAGGTGGGAGGATCATTTGAGCTCACGAATTTCAGGTTACAGTGAACAACGATTGCACCATTGCATCTCAGCCTGCTGGGTGACAGAGTGAGATGTGAGACTCTCTCTATATCTATCTATCCGTCTGTCTGTCTGTCTGTCTGTCTGTCTGTCTATCTATCTATCTATCTATCTATCTATCTATCTATCTATCTGTCTGTCTGGAGATAGAGAGAGAGAGAGAGAGAGAGAGAGAGAGACTCCCACAGCCAGCTCCTTCTAGCTTTGTTTACTCCTTCCTATAAAAGAGGAGCCCTTTCTGCCTGCCCTTTGAGATGCTTGCAGATGTTATGGTCAGAGTATTCACTGTATTGCAATAGTCCTTCTCCTCTCTCTACAATAAGGCAGAGCCCTCATGACCTAATTACAACATGACCTAATTACCACTCAAAGGCCCCACCTCTTAATACCATCACTGTGAAGGTTAAGCTTCAACACAGGAATTTCAGAGGAACACATGTATTCTAACCATAGCAACTTTTCTCCCCTTTCTATTAGTAGCTATATTAATCCAGAAAGGCTGCTTTAAACGTGGACAAAGTACCAGAACATTATGCTTTTAATAGGAAGAAGAAAGAAGCATATTCAAAAATTTATTTTTGAGTATTAATTACCAGTCCCTCAAACAGTCTTCATCTAATCACTCCCCTCATTCTTAAAACCTATAAATGAGTGAAATGGGAGTGATCTAAAAATAAAAGAAGCAAGTGAGATCTGTGGGGAAACAGCCAATGCCTCTTCAAAAAGAGCTAGTACAAGAGTGGAAGCCAAGGACCTCCAACCAAAACTGGCCCCTTCCAATGTGCCAAGGGGTTTCCATCTTTCCCATTCAAAATTATCTCTAACCAGTATTATTGGTAACTACTGAAGATTTTGTTCAAAATGCAGAATTCTAATTCCCACAGAAACTTAAAAATCAGATTCTACATTTTAACAAAATTTCCAGGTAATTTATAAGAACATTAATGTTTGGAAATCATGGATCACATCACTTACCTTGTTTGAGTCACACAATGCTATGAGGTACATATTTTTATCCCCATTTTGCAGATTAAGAAATAGATTTCTAGACGTTTTTGTTTTTTGCTTTTTCACATGTCTTAAATATAGCAAGAAAGTTTCCAGCAATGAAAAGTTTGTATTAATGTACTTATCAGAAATAACATTTTCTAGGACTTTTTGCTTGCTAAACCAGTCACTTCTTAATTGAGTTTTTATCATTTCTGTGTAGAAGTTATTTTTTTACTGGACAGAAAAAGGCATTTTTATTCATCTGCATTCCTAGCCCCATGCTTGTCATGTCAACATTTTTTAACAATTTAAGAGTATGTATGTGTGTAATTGTATTAATATTCTCTGTGGCTTTGGGCAAATTTCTCAACTTCTGTTAGTTTCAGAGTCATTATACATAAATAATAATCTGGCAGTGGAATAGGAATTGCAGTTTTAAAGGACCTACAGCCCTTTTTGAGAACAAATATTTCATAATGCCACCTTTATTTTCCTGAAATTACATTTACAGCCATGTTGTCTAGCTCTACACATAATCTAGGGAAGTGGAAAACTGATATAAGGCCTTAAATTAATATAACGGAGAAACAAAAGGAAGTCAATTAAAAATGAAATATTCTCCAACTGCTTTAGTACACTAAAAGATAAAACACAGTCGTCACCTGTTTGCATTGGTTCTTCCAGAATTATCACGAATTTGGTAACCACAAATGCAGATGATACAAGTGGTTGTACTGACTGCTCATATACCACAAGCACTGCGACCATTAGGAATGCGACTTCCCCAAACGGCAAACAAACCTTACTGTGATCTTGTGGAAGGAAAATGAAATCATCCTTTGATTTACTGAGTTTATACAATTTAATCAATCTGGGAAAAGTATCTGCTGACTTGTCTGGACCAAAATTTTGTTAGGGTTTTCCCACTCCACAGACACCTGGAGTTTGACTCTCCCTTGACTTTAACCAAGCATCAGAATATAGAAGAGCTCATCCTTTAAGGCCCCTCTCAAGAGTCCACTGACACCTAGGAGAAACATTCCCCAATCAGTTGTTCTACCACACCATCTGGTCTTCACACTCCCACAGACAGCTCCTTCTAGCTTTGTTTACTCCTTCCTGTAAAAGAGGAGCCCTTTCTGCCTGTCCTTTGAGATGTTTGCAGATCTTATGGTCAGAGTATTCTCTGTATTGCAATAGTCCTTTTCCTCTCACTATAAAAGTCTTTCCGAACAAAATATCTCCTTACCTAAGTCTGGATTTGTTCCTTTTTATTTAACAGACTTCTAGAAATTCAGAAAGATATGTGATGGGCAAAGACATTCCTCCTTGAAAGGACTATACATTGTGGTCATCGTTTAAAGGCTCCATTTGATATTGTTAAAGACAGACTTCGTAACTGAATTTTAATGAATTTTCAGGAAAAAGGGAGTAAAATGTAATAAGCCACAGTTCCTATTTGAAAGCTTAGTACCTGGGGCTAGAGTTTAGTTGGCAGGTCTGAGTGCAAAATACTTTGTGTTTAAAAGTAAAGCAGAATTATGTATAAGGCTCGGGTGATTGTGAACAGATTTTTGAAAGTTGTGGGAGATATGAAAGCTTTCTTCAGGTATAAGGCTTTTCCATGCATTGAGATATATAGCAAACCTAGCCCCTGGCCACCAAATGCCTTTTAGTGCTCCCATTTATTATAATAACTAACACATGTCACAAAATGCCAAGTGCAACGGTAGATGATCTTACTGCCTCCAGTGAAAACCACTGCACGAAAAGACATTAGCCCTTTCAGTTTAAAAAATTCCAGGTTTCTAAATCATCATAGAGCAAAGAACTAGGAACTAAGAGTTCTTAGTCTGAACCAACAAATCCCTGAATTATAGAAATATGTGCATGTATATATACATGTGTGTTTATATATATAAAAGCACACATGTGTTTATACCTCACTTCATTCCGAAAAGATTTAAGAATATAACATGATTATATTTATTTAACCTTTGATATATTTCCAAGGCTGACAGATAAACAGGTCAACACAACCACCTTTTTAAAGTAGGAAATTTGATCACTTCAAAGTATATATCTAATTTGTATAAATTTACACTGTTTTAAATGTTTTATGGGTGCATATAATTTAGGGAATTTTTAGTAATTAAACCTATGGGAGAATGTTTGATTTTTTCCTCCCTTCCATTCATTCAGTCTATAACTGGATGTGTATGCAGAGGATATAGTGCTAAATAAGCTGGGAAATAATCGTGAAGCTCAAACGTTATTGGAGAATGAAAGATAAATAAAGCCACAAATGTAAAGAAAAAATAAAACTATCAAATAAATACATAAAGGCACAATAAATGTTGAGGAGAGAATTGAAATTGAACCATGATGGAGAACAATCTGGTCACTACTTCAGACTGAGTGGTTAAAAGAATCACTCCTAGTGATAGAACACGTGAGGTGAATCCTGAATATCAGGAAAGAAAGAGATATGTGGAGATCATAAAGAAAAGCTTTTGGGCCTGAGGAACAGCCTGTGCAACGGCCCTGGTGCTAAACAGGCATGAAGAACAGAAAGAACTATGGTGTGACTAGAACTCTGTGGGCAAGGCGTGGAGGTTACAAGAAGCAGCCAGAGAAGTAGGCATCATTCTGATTGTAGATTCCTTAAAAATCACACATTTGTAATAACTTTAGTAACCTAGCATCCTATATTATTCGTGAAAACTCTGAAAGTAAGTAGTCTGGCTCATCCATCCATTCATTCATCCATCCATGCATCCATCCATCCACTCATCCATCCATTCATGCATTCATTCATTCATCCATTTGTGCATCCATGCATCCATCCATCCATCCACCCATCCATCCATCCATTCATGCATTCATTCATTCATCCATTTGTGCATCTATGCATCCATCCATCCATCCATCCATCCATCCAACCATCCATCCATCCATTCATCCACCCATCCACCCATCCATGCATTCATTCATCCATTTGTGCATCCATCCATCCATGCATCCATCTATTCATTCATGCATCTATCCATTCATTCATGCATCCATGAACCCATCCATCCATCCATCCATCCATCCATCCATCCATCCATCCATTCATTCATCCATTCATCCATCCATGCATTCGTTCATCCATTTGTGCATCCATCCATTCATCCATCCATCCATCCATCCATCCATCCATCCATCCATCCATCCATTCATTCGTGCATCCATTCATCCATCCATGCATGCACCCATCTATTTGCTGGCAAAAATTTATCACATACAATGTTCTGTTTTTAAAAAACTTCTGTGCATAATATTAAATAAATTCCTAGTCACTGGTCATAAGGAGCTTATATTATGATGATAAACAGCTTATTTTGTAATCAATAGAAATCCAGGACCCCCACTTCTCTCACTTTTGTTGTTCTAAGTTCTAATGCACAACCTGCTGGAAGTTTCACTCAGTTGAGTTGTCATCCTCCTTGCAGTCACAAAGTAATGACTTTCGGTGGTGTCTAACAACAGTCAAGACTCTTATCTCCAGATAAGTCACTACATAAAGCCTGTGACTGCTGCATCAAACTAGACTAATGTGCCTCTCTTCTTTTATGAGAACACATGCCTTCAGTTATAGCTTTAGACAGATACGCTGGTGGTAGCGATAAATAGATGTATTACATTGTCTGCCTAAGTGTACAGGTGCACAAATAGATAAATTCAATAGGGAGAAAGGCAAGCCTTGGGATATCAGCACCTCATCCTTGGGAAAGTTGATTGCTAGTGCCTCCACAGAAGGAACCTATTTACTTGTAACAAGGACCATGCCAGGCTAATTTGACAACTTCTGAAGTCAATATTTTACAACCATAAGGAAGGAAGAAATTACTTAACCTCAAGTCCTTGTAAAACAAGGGAAGCTTGTGATGTGACATTTTCCCCTCAATAACTTTATGTTTTAGTCCCCCTAAGGGCACAATTATGTTTTTGTTGTTATTGCTGTTATTGTTGAGATGGAGTCTCCCTCTGTTGCCCAGGCTGCACTGCACTGGCACAATCTCGACTTGCTGCAACCTCTGCCTCCTGGATTCAAGCAATTCTCCTCTCTCGGCTTCCCAAGTAGCTGGGATTAAAGGTGTACACCACCACTGTTGGCTAATTTTTGTGTTTTTAGTAGAGATGGGGTTTCAACATGTTGGCCAGGCTGGTCTCAAACTCCTGACCTCAGGCGATCTGCACACTTCGGTCTCTCAAAGTGCTAGGATTACCAGTGTGAGCCACTGCACCCAGCCAATGGCACAACTATTAACTAGACATGATGGCTGTATTATTTAGATTTGATTTTAAGAAAGAAAACATAGTGGGAAAAAAACTACACAGCATGCTCATTACAAGGTCAATTTGTATGTTTCCTAAATGCAATTTCTGGTTTATCTGACCTCTATTTTGTTTCTTCCTATATTTTCCAGAGAAAAGGTGAGGACTTGGCTTACTATCTTTACTGTGATGAACCTGCTGTAGAGAAAAAGTTAAAATGTTTGTAGCTGAGGAATAGAGAAGAGATTCACTAAAGATATCTTGCAGTGCAAATAGAGAAATTTCTCATCATATTCTCTACCTCCTTGTAGAAAAAGATCAATCTCTTCCAAGTTTCACCTCTAAAATCTGCCGCTGTGTTATAAAAACACATTGAAATGATATAGTTGACTCTCCTGCTTGCAGTTAGTTCAGAAGTGGTGGTATCTAAATAATAGTACAGTTCAGGCTTCCTGTACTTAGAAACAAAACAGGATTTGGCCTTGTCCCCCTGCACTGTTCCTGAGATAAATCTTTGAAAGGGTAGGGGGAAGTATTCAAGCTGCTGTTAAAGGCAGATAAGCATTTTGGCTAGCATGAAAATTTAACAGCCTAGGGTTAGAGTTAAATGTTAAGTTGTTTGCCATCAGGTATAGAAGAAGAGGAAGAAGTGAGGCAAACTACTCCCAGAATTTGGTCAAAGTTGATACCCTATGTGCTATAGAAACAATGGGGTTGGCCAGGTATGTTCCTCTTTCCTTGATAAGAGTCATCTCTACCAGCTGTCCTTAGTGGCCAAGGATTTACTATGGGACCCGGATCTCTTGACATTAGATAATCAGATTGATATGGCCCATTGTGAGTGAGCTGGAAATGCCTGATCTCCCTTGATTTAATGTAGAGGAAGGGATGCAAAGGCTTAGGGAGATTTAGGTCTAGAATATATACCCTTGACCAATGCCTTGCAAAATAGATTTGTGAGGGCAAAACCTGCATCTTTGAAGAGCCCTGTAATTGCTCTTCTCAGTATGTCAGATCTAACAGTGGGAACCACAGTCACCCAACTATGAAATTTAAATACAATGGGAATAATTGGATCCCAAGGTGGCATGGGCCAAGTGGCAGCACTCAACTGTCAAAAGCAAGGTAGGCATAGCTACCGTAATGGACAGCAGAGGTAAAGTGGCAATCAGAACAGTTTGACTCATGTAGAGCTCTGGCACTGGCTAATTAATCATGGTGTTCTTAGAAGTTAAATTGATAGAGAGCCTACGGCATTCGTACTTAATTTATACAAGCAGAAAACTTCTAAGTCTAATTTCAATTATAAAAACAGAATCATAGCTCCTCAATTTCCAGACAAGCCAGTTTACAGACCTAGAATCCCTTGAATGAAGGGGAGGCTGGTCCCCCTTGAGGAAGGACTCCACTACATTACCAACAATTTATGCAAGGAATCTTTCTCTCATCCTTCCCCAAGGAGACCTCTGGCCTTCTACCGGGGTAACTGTGCATTGGGGAAAGGGAAATAACTAGACATTTGGGGGACTATGGGACACTGGCTCTGAGGTGACATTGATTCCAGGGGACCCAAAACGTCATTGTGGTCCTCCGGTTAAAGTAGGGGCTTAAGGAGGTCAGGTAATTAACAGTGTTTTAGCTCAGGTCTGACTTACAGTGGGTCCAATGAGTCCCCAGACTCACCCTGTGGTCATTTCCCCAGAGCCAGAATACATAACTAGCATAGACATACTTAGTAGCTGGCAGAACCCCCACATTTGTTCCCTGACTGGTAGGGTGAGGGTTACTATGAAGGAAAAGGCCAAGTGGAAGCCATTAGAACTGCTTATACCTAGAAAAATAGTAAATGAAAAACAATATCACATCCCTGGAGGGGTTGCTGACATTAGTGCCACCATCAGGACTTGAAAGATGCAGGGGTTGTAATTCCCACCACATCCCTATTCAATGCTCCCATTTAGCCTGTGCAGAAGAAAGATGGATGTTGGAGAATGACAGTGGATTATCATAAGCTTAACCAAGTGGTGACTCCAATTGCAGCTGCTGTACCAGATATGGTTTCATTGCTTGAGCAAATTAACACATATCCTGGTACCTGGTATGCAGCCATTGACTTAGTAAATGCCTTTTTCTTCATTCCTGTCCATAAACCCCAGAAGAAATTTGCCTTCAGCTGGCAAGGCCAGCAATATACTTTTATTGTCCTACCTCAGGGGTATATCAACTCTCCGGCTTTCTGTAATAATCTTATTCAGAGAGACCTTGATTGCTTTTTGCTTCTGTAAAACATCACAATGGTCCATTACATTGATAACATTATGCTGATTTGATCTAGTGAGTAAGAAGTAGTAAACACATTGGACTTATTGGTGAGATATTTGCATGCCTGAGGATGGGAAACAAATATGACTAAAATTCAAGGACTTCTACCTCAGTAAAATTTCTAGGGGTCCAGTGGTGTGGGGTCTGTTGAGATCTTCCTTCTAAGGTGAATAAGTGCTGCGTTTAGCCCCTCCCATGACCAAGAAAGAGGCACAACACCTAGTAGGTCTATTTGGATCTTGGAGGCAGCACATTCCTCATCTGGGTGGGTTACTCCAGCCCATTTATCAAGTGACCTGAGAGGCTGCCAGTTTTGAGTGGGGTCCAGAAGAGGAGAAGGCTCTGCAACAGGTCCAGGCTGCTGTGCAAGCTGCTCTGCCACTTGGGCCATATGACCCAGCAGATCCAGTGGTGCCTGAGGTGTCAGTGACAGATAGGGATGCTGTTTGGAATCTTTGGCAGGCCCCCATACATGAATTACAGCAGAGGCCTCTAGAATTTTAGAGCAAGGCATGTTCTGCAAATAACTACTCTCCTTTTGAGAGACAGCTCTTGGCCTGTTACTGGGCTTTGGTTGAAACTGAACATTTAACTATGGATCATCAAGTCACCATGCAACCTGAATTGCCTATCATGAATTGGATGCTTTCTGACCCATCTGGCCATAAAGTGGGTCACGCACAGCAGCACTGGATCATCAAACGGAAGTGGTCTATATGTGATTGGGCTCAAGCAGGCCCTGAAGGAACAAGTAAGTTACATAAGGAAGTGGTTCAAATACTCACTGTCTCCACTCCAGCCACCCTGGCTTTTCTCCCCCAGCATGCACTGATGGCCTCATGGGGAGTTCCCCATGATCAGTTGACAGAGGAAGAGAAGACTAGGGCCTGGTTCACAAATGGTTCTGACAATATGCAGGCACCACCCAAAAGTGGACAGCTGCAGCACTAAAGCCGCTTTGTAGGACACCCCTGAAGAATGATGAAGGGTAAAGGAAAATCTTCCCTATGGGCAGAACTTTGAGCAATGCAACTGGTTGTGCACTTTGAATGGAAGGAGAAATGGCCAGATGTGTAATTATATACTGATTAATGGGCTGTAGCCAATGGTTTGGCTGGATGGTCAGGGACTTGGAAGAAGCATGATTGGAAAATTGGTGAGAAAGAAATTTGGGGACGAGGTATGTGGATGGACCTCTCTGAGTGGTCAAAAACAAGATATTTGTATCTCATGTGAGTGCTCACCAATGGGTGACCTCAGCAGAAGAGGATTTAAATAATCAAGTGGATAGGATGACCTGTTCTGCAGACACGGTTCAGCCTCTTTCCCCAGCCACCCCCCTGTCATTGTCCAATGGGCCCATAAACAAAGCGGCCATGGTGGCAAGGATGGAGGTTACACGTGGGCTCAGCAACATGGACTTCCACTCACAAAGGCTGACCTGGCTATGGCCACTGCTGAGTGCCAAATTTGCCAGCAGCAGAGACCAACACTGTGCCCTTGATATGGCACCATTCCTCAGGGTAATCAGCCAGCTACCTGGTGGCAAGTTGATTATATTAGACCTCTTCCATCATGGAAAGGGCACTGGAATAGAAACTTACTCTGGATATAGGTTTGCTTATCCTGCACGTAATGCTTCTGCCAAGACTACCACCCATGGACTCACAGAATGCCTTATCCACCGTCATGGTATTCCACACAGCATTGCCTCTGACCAAGGCACTCACTTTATGGCTAAAAAAGTGTGGCAGTGGGCTCATGACCATGAAATTCACTGGTCTTACCATGTTCCCCATCATCCTGAAGCAGCTGGATTGATAGAAGTGTGGAATGGCCTTTTGAAGTCACAATTACAATGCCAACTAGGTGACAATACTTTGCAGGGCAGGGGCAAAGTTCTCCAGAAGCCCGTGTATGCTCTGAATCAGTGTCCAATATATGGTACTGTTTCTCCCATAGCCAGGATTCATGGGTCTTGGAATCAAGGGGTGGAAGTGGAAGTGGCACCACTCACCATCACCCCTGTGATCCACTAGCAAAATTTTTGCTTCCTGTTCCTGCAATATTACCTTCTGCTGGGCTAGAGGTCTTAGTTCCAGAGGGAGGAACACTTCCACCAGGATACACAACAACGATCCCAGATCCCACTAAACTGGAAGTTAGGATTGCCACCTGGACACTTTGGTCTCCTCCTACCTTTAAGTCAACAGGCTAAGAAGGGAGTTACAGTGTTGGCTGGGGCAATTGATCCAGACTATCAAGATGAAATCATCTACCACTCTACAACAGAGGTAAGGGAGAGTATGCATGGAATACAGGAGATCCATTAGGGCGTCTCTTAGTATTACCATGCCCTCTGATTAAGGTCAATGGGAAACTACAACAGCCCAATCCAGGCAGGACTACAAATGGCACACACCCTTCAGGAATAAAGGTTTGGGTCACTCCACCAGAAAACAAAACAAAACAAAACCATGACCTGCTGAGGTTCTTGCTGAAGGCAAAGGGAATATAGAATGGGCAGTAGAAGAAGGTAGTCATCAATACCAGCTATGATCCCAAGACCAGCTGCAGAAACAAGGACTGTAATTCCCTTGAGTATTTCCTCCTTCCTTTTTTTAAAAACATGTTTGTGCACATATATACTTGTACTAAGAAAATATCTTCATTTTATTTCCTTTTTCCTTTATCATGTGACATAAAATTTATTGACCTCATAGCAGCATTTAAGTATTGTTAACTTTCTGTAATAGTATTTGGGTTGGGTATTGGTGTGTTTCCAGTTGTACAAAAGATAGTTGTATTATGTTAGGTGTAATTATGACCTTATTATTGTCTTTATTTGAAGGTTATGTATGAGCTCAGGAGATGTGTGTGGGTTCAAGTTGACAATGGGTAGACTTGTGATGGTTAATACTGAGTGTAAACTTGATTGGATTGAAGGATGAAAAGGACTGATCCTGGGTGTGTCTGTGAGGATGTTGCCAAAGGATATCAACATTTGAGTCAGTAGGCTGGGAAAGGCAGACCTACCCTTGATCTGTATTGGCACAATCTAATCAGCTGCTAGTTTTACTAGAATATAAAGCATGCAGAAAAATGTGAAACTACTAGAGTGGCCTAGCCTCCCAGCCTTCATCTTTCTCCTATGCCAGATGCTTCCTGCCCTTGAACAGCAGACTTCAAGTTCTTCAGTTTTGGGACTCAGACTGGCTGTCCTTGCTCCTCAATTTGTGGATGGCCTATTGTGGGGCCTTGTGATCATGTGAGTTAATACTTAATAAACTCCTTTTACATATATATATATATATATATATATATATGTATCTGTGTGTGTGTGTATATACGAGTGTGTATGTGTATATATATATATCCTATTAGTTATGTCCTTCTAGAGAACCCTGACTAATACAGAGGTAGAGTTAAATGTTAGATTGTCTGCCATCAGTCATAGAGGAAGAGGGAGAGTTGAAGCAAACTACTCTCAGAAACTGGTCAAAGTAGATACCCTATGTACTACAGAAAGAAAGGGGTTGGCCAGGTGTGTTCCTCTTTCCTGGATAATAGTCATTTCTACCCAGCTGTCCTTAGTGGCCGAGGATTTATTACGGGAGCCAGATCCATTGGCAGCAGTTGATTGTATCAAGTATTAATTTTTAACACAGGTTGGATGAATCAGATTCTTTTTCCTAGGAATTTTGACCTGGAACAAGTTAACCTTTGCCTATGTTAGTGACTTGATTGCAGTAGAAATATTATAGAATCAAATGTAGTGATGGCCATTGACACAGAAACACAGAGCTATGCAGAGAAACAATGACAATAATGTTTAGGTTCAGAGAAGCAATGACCTCTCTGTACTCCTTGCCTTTGATTCCACTTAATTTCATTCATTATTTTAACTGAGTTTGAAAGGTTTATCTCTTTTGAAACTAAAGGATTTGAACTAAAACACTATTCCCATAGTTGAAGCCACAAACTTATCTTTTCCTCAATAGCCAACATTGCACTTTACCTGAAGAAGGTGTGCATTGGAATATTAAATAAGTAACTAAATTAGTATTCTTCAAAGTCAATAAACCAGGTTATCAAATGTCATTTAAGCACCTAGTATATACAAGGCCTCAATAGTTTGGTGGGAATAGTTCTTGACCTTGTAGATGGGTGGGCAGGGCTCTGGTAGCTGTCTTTTTCTAATACTGTCATGTCAACATAAAGGTATCTATATGGAACGAGAAGATAGTACAGCAAATGGATGAATTACAGTAGTCCTGATTTTACCTGGTACATTCAGATACATCCAGAGCTAGAAAAATATCCCAGGAGGTTTTAAGATCATAATAAACCAAGTTCTGTGAGAAGAGGCTGAAGTAAAATGATGTGATTAGCTCCACTGCTTACATCGACCTATCCTTGGAGAAATCCAATTTCAAATGGTTGGAGGAATCCATCCAAAGAAAACAGTCCAATAACATACCAGGAAATCTATAAATCTAAGATGCTAAATGTCAATCTACTGTTAGTTGAACATAAAAGCTTGGCAATTAATCTCTAGAGGCAACAGTTGCACGCATTAGAAAATGATTATGTAGAGAAGTGTTAATCAGACTTATTTAACAGATAATGCATTAGTTAAACTAAGGTGCTAATGAAAATTATCAAAGCCCTGGGCTATACTCATGTTTAGTAGCTTTCTTATTTGGGGCACAAGGTGTCTAATAAAAAATTTTAAAAGGATTTGGAATACATAGTTAGCTAGCATACCTTGATTAGAAATAGTTATTTGATTAGATAAATGACTAAAAACAACTAAATTTCTACTTTAGTACTCACAGAGTTGCATCATAGTTTGGTGACATTTCATATCACAGACTACTTCCAGACTTCTCAAACAAGTAATTATTCTTGGTTCATTAGACAATCTTCAGGCTAGCAGTCAAATTCCATATCTACCATTTACTTAACTTCTGTGAACTTGTTTTTTTATCTACAACATGAGGCGGGAAATAGTTATAATAGATCTCTCAAGGATCTGTTGAGTATCAAGTCATATGAGCTATACTAAAATTTTAGTAAATTATATAGTGTTATACGAGAGCTAGTTATCTTGTTTAACCTCCTATCCCACTCATTTCTTAATATTTTCTGTTTCTTATGAGGTTTGGTCTTTTTGCTGTTGTTGTTTTTGAGTCAGGATCTTGCTATGTTTCCTAGATGGGACCCAACCCCTGGGCTCAATCAATCTTCTAGCCTCAGCCTCCAAAGTAGGTAGAACTACAGGCATGCACCACCTGGGCAGGCCTCATTCTTTGGTCTTTGATCATCCTTATCAACATATGTCCATTACTTTCTCGTCTGGCACGTTCTCCATCCTCCTGTCAATTCACTGACTCTGCTCCTCTTCCACACCAAGTCAAGTCATTCCACATTCTGAAGTAAACACAAAGTCCTTTGACATAAAACTCATCTACAATTTTCTCAAGTTTCACATAATGCCCTCTTCCCCTTCCTTCATTTAAAAGAAATGTATTGTATGAAAGCAAAACAATATTTTTCTTTTGTTCTTCTTCATTAGATCTAAAACAAAGTTGGATTTCATTTGCTCCTTGATATGGTTTGACTCTGTGTCCCCACCCAAATCTCATCTTGAATTCCCATGTATTGTGCGAGGGACCCGGTGAGTGGTAATTGAATCACGGGTGCAGGTCTTTCCTGTGGTGTTCTCGTGAGAGTGAATAAATGTCATGAGATCTGATGGTTTTATAAGGGGGCGTTTCCCTGCACAAGCTCTCTCTTTGCCTGCTGCCCTCCGTGTAAGATGTGACTTGCTCCTCCTTGACTTCCACCATGATTATGAAGCTCCCCCAGCCATGTGGAACTGTAAGTCCATTAAACTTTTTCTTCTGTAAATTGCCCAGTCTTGGGTATGTCTTTATCAGCAGCATGAGAACAGACTAATATACTCCTCATTCTACTTGCTCATTAAAAACTGGGCACATTTTTAACTTCTCTGATCTTGTGCTTCTAAATTTGTAAAATATGTCATGGGGTTTGAAGATTATTCAGTTAGATGGTTCATATAAAATACTCTGTTCTCCATTTGAAACTGCCCCTCCCATTCATTGTCTAACTGGTCTCTGGAGATTAAGCTCTTGATATGGTTTGGGTGTGTATCCCCTCCAAATCTCATAGTAAAATGTAATCCCCAATGTTGGATGTGGGGACTGGTGGGAGGTGTTTGGGTCATGAGGGTGGATCTCATATGAATGGCTTGGTGCCATCCTTGCAGTAATGAGTGGGCTCTAACTATTAGTTCATGTGAGTTCTGGGTGTTTAAAAGAGTCTGGCACTCCACCTTGTCTCTCTTGCTCCCTCTCTTGCCATGTGATACACTGGATCCTCCTTCACCTTCCACCATGATTGTAAGCTTCCTGAGCCCTCACCAGAAGCAGACGCTGGTGCCATACTTTCTGTACAGCCTGCAGAACCATGAGACAACTAAATCTCTTTTCTTTACAGATTACCTAACCTCAGATATTCCTTCATAGCAATGCAAAAATAGACCAACAGAGCTTTACAGAGTGTATCATCTGGGCTCCCAGGGCTGGGACTTCTGTGTGGGATTGCCAGGTCATAGGGGGTCCTGACCAGAGAGAAGCCTTGCCTTACCACTCTTCTAGAAGTGGCTGTGTTCCTCCATGGCTACACTCCCTCTCAGGTACCCCATCCCCCACAATCCTCCTCTGGACTCTGATGGTAACTCCCCACATCTTCAGGCCTAAGGTTGTAATAGCTTCTCACTTTTGCTGAGCCTTGGGTACCTCACCAACCACTGATTTTTCCCTTACTTTGCCTGTCACTCTGCACAAATGTGCCTTCATTAAATTTTCTTCAGTTAAACTCTTTTCATTAAACCATTTTATTTTCTGCCAGAGTGCTAACTGATGTATAAAGCATGTAGCCAGCATTTAAGAAATACTAGATTTTTATGTGTAACAAAAGAACATATAAAATGACATAATTATCCATTTGTTATTATTAATCAGTGTTAGTGGATACTCCTCTTGGAAAACAATACAAAATTGGTAAATTTGAGTTTATTTCAGGATTTCTATGGACACAGAGCTCTGTAAAACCCCAGAAAGATCCACTACTTTAAATAGTTTGTTGAAACACGTAATAATCAGTACAAATCAAACTTGGCAATTTCTTTTCCAAAATTGAATTCATTGTTTTAAATCCTGTTTTAATTGGGGGATTTTCTTTTGTTTTGTTTTGATAAGCTGAGCTGATTTAGTGATCAGTTTTGAGGGCTTTTATTTGTTTACTTATTTTTTTCCCTGACGGAAAACAGTTTCCACTGGAAAGACCCCTCAAGCTGCATGTGGTAAATTAAAGGCAGTTTCAGATTCAACAAAAAGCAACTCAGATTTTAAAGACTGGACTATTATATTTGGATTATATTTGGAAAGCATTTCAGTGGATTGTCATCTCTTTCCTTTGTAATACTTTGTAACCTTACATGGGAATGTCATTATCTTCTTTGGAAAATCATCAGTTAAATAAGAATAATATAAACTACTCTACCCAAAGTAGGGAGCTGTTGTGAATAAGAGTTGAGTTAGAGTAGTACAAGTACTCTATTTAGTGTAAGGCAATTCAGTTACAGGCACTAACTGAGTACCCAGGAAAAGCCAGACACTGGAAGTTTCTGAGATGATAAGGAGAAGTCCGCACCATCTCTGTTGGTGCTGGGCAGGGTAGAAGTGCGGGTTGCCTTGGGGAAAAATTGAGTAAATAGTGTGCATTCATTTGCTAGAACTGCACTAACAAAGTACCACAAACTGGGTGGCTTAAACAACTGGGATTTATTGATTTACAGTTCTGCAGGCTAGAAGTTCAAGGTCAAGGTATCTGTAGGATTGGTTCCATCTAAGGGCATAAGAGAAGGATATGTGTCAGACCTCTCTCTTTGACTTGTAGATGGCCATTTTATCTCTATGTCTCATCACATTGTTTTCCCTCTGTGCATCTCTCTGCATCCAAATTTCTCAAGGTCATCAATTATATAGGAATAGGGTCCACTCTAATGACCTCACTTTAAATTAATGATCCCTGTAAAGACCTCATCTCCAAACATGGTCACATTCCGAGGTCCTGGGGGTTAGGACTTCAACATATAAATGGGAGGGTAGCACAGAATTGAACCCATGCATAATGAATTGAAATCAAGAAGGTGACATTATGTTGTGAGAGAAGACAGCATAGGGTGCTTTAAGAGCAGAAAGATGAGATATCTACCAGAAATTATTAATATTCTGTCTTAAGCCTCATTTTCTAATTTGTGTCTGTATTTAATTAGCTCTAAGTCATTTTGTGTTTTCTCAATATCCAGGGCTTTGCTGCATTAATCTGATGAATGTGCTTCTATTCATTAACCTACAAGTCATTAGATACTCTTTTCAAGTATTTCAATGGGACTGAGCCCAAGATTCAAGTCCTAGTTAAAGCACGAGCTCACTATGTGACCTTGGGTAAACCAGTTAACCACTCTGGGCCTCTTTTTCTCCCTATAAAGCCAAGGATCAGTTGCTGAGCTTACCAAGACACCTTTTAGCCCCAATATTCTGAGCTTCTAATTATGTTATGGATGCTGCCACACACTAACAGAGAACCCTTCTTTTTCAAAAAGTTCAGCTCTGCTATATTGGATAATAAATTTACCAAATTATATATTTTAAAAAGAGGCACAGTTTGTACTGAGAAGTTAATTGATTCATTTAGAGATAAAATATTAATAAGAAATTCTTAATCTTCTGGGAGGAGATATTCAATTAGAGTGTTCCTGGTTTCAACTTTCAATAAGATGGCTCTGCTTGATTGAAAAATAAAGTGAATACTTAGTCACATTAACTTAGGGCTTTCGAACACATCTACAATATTATTTGGGTACCTTAGTCAAAAGGTTTGTCTTCCAGAATGATTGAATTCTTTGCCTTGATTTTCTTCTTTGTGGAGTGTCATTTTTCTTGAAGGGGTTCACGTTATGTCATTGTGGCATAAGGATTATCTTGAACTAAAGGCATTTGAGAATCCAAACATGCAGGAAGGAGCTTTCTCTGCATTCCTGTTGTCTGCCTAAAAGCCAAGTGTTCCAAAAGGATCAACTGTCATAAATCCCCCTTTAAGGAAGTCTTCCTGTACCACGTGGAGTGACTCCTGTCCCCTTAGAGGAGAAGTGGGTACTGGGATGAGAAATTGCATAAACAGGACTTTCTCACTCAAATCTTACCTTCCATTAATTTCCCCCATATATTTCACAGTCATTTCTCACCATTTATTGTCCCTTGAAATCCTAATGCATCCCACTAGTTCAGATGCTATTCCAACCACTTCTTGGAGCTACATTTTCTGCAGGCTCTCCTGTATGTATATGAACATACTTTATCTTTTATCTTGCTAATCTGTCTTTTGTCCTTTTAATTCATAGGCCTCCAATACTGAATGTAAAAGGGTAGAGAAAAAGTTTTCCCTTCTGAATAGTCTCCAGATCAATCTGATGATTTAGGAAGTATTTGGCTAATAAATATGTTTAATCAGTTAATTTAATAGCTTGAGTGGAGATAGTTAAAAAAAATCATGCTTTTAAAAGCAGAAGAAAGCACAATCCCATTGTTTGGTGGCCAATATTTTTAAAAAGAAACCTTGTCTAGCTTAGTAAAAACAGTGTCATCAGCATCACAGTGTGCTCTTTTTGGCTAAGACTGTGAGACCTTCCTTGAAAGGATGCTGCTGGTATGGAGTTACAGTGATAACAATTCTGCATTTTCCTGGAGGAAGGGGATACTGCCTTGGGGAAGACAACCTTCTGGTGATGGTAATTCCACACATTACACGGACATATACATTAGCATCCCAGGTGGGTTCAGTGATCCAGGTATCAAAATATCCTCTCCTACTGTGAGTCACTGTAATAGCCCTAGGAATACAAGTTGTAACTCTAGGTTGTGCTACCTCACAACAAATTGAACATTTGGAGAATCAAATTCCTTAGAGACATTGAAGAAGCAGAAGGAAGTGTGACCAGCTGATGAAAACCATGCTGGATAATACGATAGCAATGTCCTTACTTAGTTCGTGGAATATTTTTGCACAATTAAGGAGCGGTACAGATGGGGCCCTGTGAGTAACCAGACATTAATATAGAAATGGGTTACTAGGGAGACAGGCTGATGAAGTGAGCTCTGATGAAGGTCACCTGGGAGGGGGTTTCTGATCCTAGTCCTTTCATTTTCCATGAACACGTGGTGAGACCCAGGAAACTTTAGTCAGGGCCAAGCAAGGAGGTATTCTGTCAAATTTGCCTTAAAACTCTTTTCTGATCTCAGCTTTTAATTTATCCATTCATTTTCCAGCTATTTATTCAGGATCTACTGTGTATCAAGCATTATGTTAGACATGGGAGATAAAGTAAATAAAATAGGACCACTTCCTATGTGTCATGCAGTTTATCATACTGTGGGGGCTTAATAGAGCCTTCCTGCAAAACGGAGTAGGCTATGGAATCGATGCAGTGATCAGAAATCTCATGATTACAGATCCTAAATACGCTAGACAAGGAGACTGAATCTCACATGGAAGTCAGGGATCTGTTAAAGGAATTTAAACACAGAAAAGACACGTCTTGCTCTGCATTTCATAAAGATCATTCCAGCAAGCCTTGTGGAAGGTTGATTCATTGACAAAGCAGAATAAAAATGTTAGCAGACAGAGCTGTTTCTCCCCATGAAAATTCAATTAATAATAGCCAATAATGGCACTTAAATCTTCTATGCCTTAATCTCCTCACACGTGAAATAGGTGAGTCGCATTAGTTTATACAATGGCAAACTTCAGCCCTAGGGCCAAATTTGGCAGGCCGCCTGTTTTTGTAAATGAGGTTTTGTTGGAATATGTCATGCTTACTCATTTTGCATTATCTATGGCTATTTTTATGGTACAATGGCAGAGTCAAGTAGTGGTGACAGAGACCGTATGGCCCATAAAGTCTAAAATACTTACTGTGTGGCCTTTACAGAAAAAAATTTGCCAACCCTGAACTGGATAATTAGTTGAGTTTCTTCCAGTCATAATATTGTTTGCGTCTAACCAAGCACTTTACTGAACATCTGCAGCCTCTCCTCACTTTCTCACATGTGCATTATTTATAAAGTAATACATACATATATGGAATGATTTAGGCTGTTTCAGATAATGAAATATATTGGTGAGCTGAGAGTTACACATGCACAAAACATGGATTATAAATTTTCAAATACGTACAAAGCTAAAATCTATTATTTTGGGGGGAAGTGAAATAAACTCATAATAAGGTACTTGAAAATAGAATAGGTAAGCTAAGAAACTGAACACAATACAAGTGATATCTCAGAGGGTGAATTACTAAATCAATTCCTGGTATCGCCTTTTCTAATTATCGTTAATTTAACTTCTAATCATGTTGGTGTTTTAACTGTTTGTATTATAGAAAATGTGATGACCAGACACATCTTCACAAGATCATTGAGGTTTAACAGAAGTGCTTAAGGTCCCATCCTCTCAGGGACTCACAGTTTATAGCTATTAATGAAAATATATCATATTTATATAACACCTTTCCTTGGAAGCACCCCTTAGATCATTTATTCTCTCAGGTTTTTATTTAAGATGTCATGGTTCATACTTATATCAAACATTACTTAGAAATATAGAGGCAAAGATAATTTTTAGCTTTGTTTTACTGATGTGGGAATTAAGGTAGAGACATTACCGTTCATTTTATATATTTATTTATTTCCTTATTTTTGTCTTTTAGTGACATAACTAGTTATGTGTAGTACACAAAGAAAGGATCACTTAGACTCGAGTCTACCTCGCAAACTAAAATTGAGAGTATATTTCTCTAGTTGATGTATAAGGCATCATATTTGAAAATTAGAAAATTAGTTTCCTTTCTGACTTTCACGAGTTTCTAAAATTCTCTGAGCCTAAATTCCATCAAGAAAAAGATGAACACAATGCCAATGCAGGTAAATCTCAGAGGTATTCCAAAGATGAGTGAGAACCTAATGGTTCTAAGTTAAAAGATTTTGAAGCTTTAGTGATTGCTAATTCCAACAGTGTCCTTGTTTTAACAAAGCTCTTCTTTTGTGACCAGCAAGTCCAAAGACTATTCTAAGCTTAGCTCAAACATTTTCTTCTTTCCTGAACCTCCACCAAGCCCTTCCAGGTCTAGGTAGTTTCACATCAATCTTAATACTGTCGGCAATTATTCAGTTTTCCAGGCACGTACTATATTCCAGGCACTGTATTACAGTAGTCCTCTCTTATCTGCAGGAGATACTTCCCAAGACCCCTAGTAAATACCTGAAACCATGGCTAGGACCAAACCCTACATACTACTGTTTCTTTCCTAGATACACATATCTATAATAAAGTTTAATTTATAAATTAGGCCCCAAAAGATATTCACAGCAACTAATAATAAAGTAGAACAATTATAATAATATACTGTAATAAAAGTTATGTAAATGTGGTCTCTTTCTCAAAATATCTTGTTGTAGTTTTTCATCTCTTTTCAGACTGCAGGCAACTGAAAATATGGAAAGCAAAACCGTGGATAAGGGAGGACTACGGTATCTAATCTTCATAGCAATCCTCAAGAAGCAGCTACTAATTTTATTATCACAATTTTACAGATGACTAAATTCAGCTTTGCTAGGAAGTGGTATATTCAGGATTCAAACCGGGCAACTTGACATCCAGGTCCCCACTGTTAATTGATAGATGATTCTATTTGCTAACTCGTCAGTCTGTCTACCCTCTTCATTTGAGGTTTTTTGCTTTTATATTTTACAAATCAGCCTTATAGTTTAATTTTAATTTAAATAAAGCACCTTTTCTTCCCACTCACATATTATACAGCTCGGGAAAGAGACTGTCTTATCAGCATGTGAAAGCTAGGCAGGTATGCACAAATATCTTCTGAGTGACTGAAATAAATGAATATGAATTGTGTGTAACAATGTGCTTGTGCCATGTGTGCATCTTCAAAGTCTAATGTACTTGTTAGATATTGTATACAAGTATTTGCAATCCTTACCATCCCTAAACCTGGAAGGAGTTTCTCCTCCCTTAAACAGCTGTCTCATTTTATGTGCATCACTCATCTAGAATTTTAATATCCTACCTACCATCATAGATATTTGAATGTTTTAGCTACCTTTTAAAAATTATTATCTTCTTAAGTTGAGGGCTGAAGTCATTTTTTATCTTTTCTCCACAATTCTTTAAAAAATCTTGTATGTAATCTGCAAAAATATAAATCTCTGTTGAAGAAATGAATAAACATTTTTAAATTTTATTTATTGATTTATGCAAGACATAATCTCTAGCTTTCATATACATATCCTTCTCATAATCTGGTAAGTTTTCCAGATTGTTTGCTATTGGAAAATCCAAATAACATTTTAATTGGATTTCTGCCTTTGATGCTTAACCTTGGGGCCTATAAAGAGTTGCTCTAATTTTGTGGTTAACTTCCTGCATGTAAATTGTGAATTTGACTCGCTTGAGGTGGTGTAGCAAAATTGGACTGGGGTCACAGTGAGGTTAGGAACATTATCTTCTTCCTTTGAATTTACATTGTTTTAAATTAAGTGACTCTGAATACAAAGAATAATTTGTCAGGATTCAGCTTATATCAAGCTGTGTCTACAAAAAGAAATGAATTTTGCAAACTTGTAGTGGGCTACAGAGCCATATGTCCTTTAACTTTTTCTTCAGCTTTTTTATCTAGCCATGCTTTCCTTCCTTTCTTTTTTTTTAACACTGTCTTCTGTACTTTTTTTTCTACATAGTTCTAAAACTTTTGCTTAACAATACTTATAATCTCATATCATACTTTTTATTAACATATTTTCAGGCAGAGTTTAATTTTAATTACTTCTGATACTCTGCCCTGATTATCTAACAAAGAAAATTTAAGAGGGACTAAGGATGTGATGCCTCAGTACATTACATTCTATTAAGTTTTCCAAAGAAGTATGAAGATTATTATCAGGTTTTTAAGGAGGGAAACACAGAGATGTCACCATGTTGGAAAACATCTACAGCATTTATCTTTAGAACTCACAAACGGCACTTTCTTTTCCACTGATGGTGTGGATCAGAGTACACAACTCTGGGTCAGGCTGTGGGACCTCCTCTTTCTTTCATTAATAATAAGAGCTTTCATGGAAAGTGGTGTACTTATCACATTCCAGAATTATGTATTACATAGACTATCTCATTTAATCTAGTTGATCCATGATATTAACTTCATTTAAAGTAGAAAAAGACAGATGAGAGAGGACTTAAGTCATAAAGGAAATAAGAGTGAAGTTCTAAGACTTTTTGAACTCAGGGTCTAACTTTTATCAGTAAAAATACTTGCACATGCAAAACTGATGGATGGCCAGAATTCAGGCTGGGTGGGGCATGTTTGCAATGAGCTAGTTCAGTTGTCTCATTTGATAAATTAGAATGGATCAGCAAATGCAGATGACTTGCTGAAGTATATTAGTGTTAGTGTCAGTCTAAGTCTCATTGCTAGCTGCACAGAAAGCCAATCACCGAGACAACAAATGTTGCCAGGGAGGAAGGCTTTAATCAGCTGCTGAAGCCACAGGGACAGATCAGTTTCAAATAATCTCCCCAAACAACTAAAGTTGAAGGATTTATATAGTGGGGAAGGGATGTAGCTATGTGTGGAGAGGAATTAGGGAGGGGTAAGGAAGCAATCATGATGGATGAGGGGTCTGGCATTTCATTGTCTGGATGCGGTGATCTGCTGAGTCTCATTCCCTTGCCCCAGAGTTGGTTTCTTAGGAAGGAACTCAGATATGTTTCAAGTTTTAAGATGAGGAAGATCAATTTCTATGTTGATTCAAAAACCTGTAAATATCATTTATATGGGACAATTGGGCTGGTTTCATTAGTAATTGTGTCTGTTATCTAATGCTGTGCAAAAATTTACCTCAAAACTTCCTGGATTGAATCAATAACACTTTATTATATCTAATCATTGGGGAATCAGTGCTGACTCAGCCAGATAGTCCTTCTGCTCCACTTTCTTCTGAGCCTGGAAAGTACAAGATGTGTCTTTATTCACATGAGCAGTACCTCAGCCATAATGGCTGGCCCCACTAGGGGATAGCCAGTCATCTCTCCTTTCCCAGTTGGCTTTTGCATGTGGTTGGCTTGGACTTCCTCACAACATGGCATCTCACTGCCAAGGGAGGATCCTGAAGCCACCATCCCTTTAAAGTCCAGGCCTGGAACTATCACTACTACCATATTCTATTAGTCAGAGCAAATCACAAATGCAGTCTAGATTCAAGGGGAGAGGAAGAAAACCCATCTTTCCATGGAGCAACATGGGAGGAATAAACTTAATTGTGGACATCTTGTGAGACCATCTATCACAATAGGACAACCTAGAAGAACCACATTCCTCATCTTAGTCTGCTTCTGGTTCTCTCTCATCACTTTGCCTCTCCTACATGTATTGCCACAGCATCATAGCTCTGAGAAAAGAAATGGAATTTCTAATGTCTATTCTGTGACCCAAGTTCCCTGCATCTAATGCTTTGTTACGTTATGTATTATGTACACTCAGTATTTTTTGTTAATGTTTACTTATTCTTTTGTACTATTTCTTCTCCTTTCCAGATGATATTTTTAAAAAGCTCATCTTAGGGGAAAGGAGAAGGGTGTACCCTGAAGAATACATGTTAGTTATTACTTCTTGAAAATTTGCTATCTTCCAAGAGAAATGATATGTGATTCTATCATCTATTAGTTTGTGTAACCATCACTGGAAACTAGAGGGATATAATACGGTATTTGCAAGCCAAAGAATTCAGGTCCCTTGTCAAAGTTACACACCAGAAGATAGAATCAGGAAAGAAATCCCAGTCATCTTACCTCCAAGGCCATGGTTGTTTCATATGCCAGGATGCTAAGAAAGTAGACACAGTTTGCACTTTTGAGAAGTTTGGCAATCAAGTGAGGGAAAATAAATAAAGAGGAGGGATAGAACACAGGGGAGAAAATACAAGAGGAGAAGAGAGAGGAGAGGGCAGAAAAGGACTAAGGAGAAAAAATACTTTAGAAGGATTATGATATTAGGGTAGGGAGGCTGAGCATACCTGGAAGCTGATTTGAATCATTAGAAAGAGAGGTGAAAAAACACCAGTAAGAAAATAGGTACCCAAGGGAGTAATGTCCCAGAGGAAACTAGAAGTGAATGCTGCTCTGGCAGAGATGAATGTGTTGGCCTTGGCAGTGAAGATAGGCATTTTTTCCTCCAATACAGTAAAAAAAACAAAATAAAAAGAACAGAGCTAGGAAAGGCCTGGGAACGTTGAGGTGGAAATAAGAGAAATTAGGAGATTATTTGAATGATTAGAAATCTCCTTGAGTACCATTTCAGGGAGAATGTTCAAATTTCGATACACACATAAATGTTTTTACCAAAAGCAAAGAGAAGTCTGAAAAGACGCTCTTGCGTTGTTACTGAAGGGGTGCTGGCATCTTCCCAAAAGAAGAGGAAAGAATAAATACAGCACACAACTCTTATCTCTTTACTCTTAGAACTTCTAGTCTTTACTTTTGAAATAACCCCTAATATCAGAATGAGTAGTCAAATTAGAGTTTAATATTGTTCAGTGTTAAATTCTGCAATTACTTCCTGCCTTCTGAGATTTTTTAAGTAGCAGATTAACAGTCTTCTCAATATCCAAAGCAATAAAGTATGTTTGGGAGTGAAATTAACATCCCTTATTTAGAGTGTGCTGAACAGTAAGAGGTCAAGTTCAATAAGAAAAAAACATCTCATAGATCCTCTAGTGTTACTGAACCCTCTGCAATCTTTTCAATTTTTATGCAAAGCCTCACCCTATCTTAAAGAAAAATCTATGTAACGGGTTGAACAAGGGTTTACTTTTTTATCAGATAAATCTCTTTTTAAAAAGAGCTTAATATTTCATCAGGAAAGACCAAAAAAATAAGCCTCAGGAAATTAGCCATAAAGGCATTAACCAGTCTCTGTGAGAATAGCCTGAAGCAAAGCTTTAGAGATGTCATTCACAAATCTTAACATGGGCTGACATTAATTTTGAGGTGGTTGTTGCTAATATGAATTATGTATAGCAGATTAAACTATATTTATTTGCAATCTTTAAAATGCAAGAGGATGTTTCTCCCTTTGATATATGCACTTGAACCCCCATTCATATTAATCATGCATGCTTTTTCTCTTAAGAGTGGGTGAGAAACACCTAATCACGCATAACCCATTTTTAGTGAGAAGAGGAAGTCTCATGCCTTCTTCATTCCTGATGTTAAACTCTCATTTTATCAAATGTGAGCACCACCATCTTTCCTGGAAAGTTAATGTGTGTCCTCCATCTTTTCAAAGGCCCTACACAGTGCAAAATAATTATTGAGGTTATTGAAGATACGTCAGGAATAATAGCGACATTTTCCTTGGTATGAAAGAACTCAAGAGAACATGGCTAGTAATTAAGGGAGTAGAGTTAGAATCAGACTACCTAGATACAAATTCTGGAATCACCGCTTACTATCTGTGTGACCCAGGGCAAGTCGGTTATTGTTGGTCTCACTTTCCTCACAGACAGATAACAGTGCCAATTGTATAACATTGTCATGAAGATTAAATAAAATGACACATGCAAAGTCATTACCAGAGCACCCAATATTATACATTTTTTGTTATTTTATTATCTCAACCATGTCATATTATTGAGTTTCATCTCTAGTTTTCCCCATGTGAAACAATACAGCTGATTGCAAAATAAAAAGCTCCTGCTCATACAATATCATGTAGCTTGAATGTTATTTTCTCAGTGGGGCTTATCTTATTTAAAATTGAAATGTATACTCTCACGTCTTGACCCAGTACTCCTGAATCCTCCAATCTGTCCTATTTTTTTCCCACCACACTTATTGTCTAACCTGCAATATTTATTTACCCTATTTATTGTCTTCCTCCTTCCACTAGAACATTAGCTCCTCCACAGTGGAATTAGTGTTTATTCCCTAATATATCCCAAGTGCCAAGAATAGTGCCTGAAAAATAGTAAACACTATATAAATATTTGTGTGAAGTAAGGGATAAAAGAAGAGAGGATGGAAGGAATTATATCTGATTCTGCTCAAAATGGAAAGGAAATTTAAAAAAATGAAAGATGGGTATATCAGATATATAAGGTTTCAAATATTTTAAGGAAAAAGTAACATTACAAAAATGTTCCTGGATTAACTTTTTATAGCTTCAACTGTGACAACAAATTCAAAGCTCCTAATAGTAAAAACTTATTCAATAGAAGAAATAATAACTTTGATTATATATATAAAAATTAAACATAAAATTGATGATATGAAGAAAGTCAGAGATGCTGGTTCAGACTCATTTTGCTTTTACATTTGTTCATTTTACAGATGCAATTTTCTGTAAATAAGGGGTCACAGCTATTCAGCAAATGGCTCCCTTAGAAGTGGAACTGGTAGAATAGAGAGGCAGGTCAGCTCATTCTAGTCTCTGAGCTAATGAGCAGAGCCTAGCTAGCACCTCTGATTCCTAGGTCGGGGCATGACATCAATCTCTCTCCATCAACCCAACCATAGGTTTGTTGTACTTCTTAAGGGATGAAGTGAAAGATATTCAAATTATTTGAATAACACTTGAATTGGTCTTGAGGTTGAATCATTTAGGAAGAGGAATATAAAACAATTTTATTTTAAAATGATACCAACAATTCAAATAATTGGGTGTGCCAAAGTCAAGACCATATTTATGCTTCATTTTCTCATTTGCAGTTTAGAAAGAAATTATTAAGTATCCTGAGAAAATAGTATACAAAACCATTGGGGGAGGAGGGTTCTCTATTAGAGATCATTCATTCTATCTAGTTTCTGGAAATCACTAATATGTTACATTCATGAGTAATAAAGTCTAGGCAGTTTCTTTATGCAAAGATGTTCACATGCTTCTTTCTTCACTTTCTAGTTTTTTCTGTCACACCTGCCACCATACCATACCATATATAGAAACACTCTATTTAACCAGTTGTACGATTCCCATATTTATGTAAAGATGTGGGTGAATTTTCATATCATACCACCTGAAAGTCCAGAGAGCAGATATTTAGCATGGCCATACATCCCAGTTTGGTGGGGACTGCCCCAGTTTTTGTCAATATTCCCAGGATACATACTAATAACTCTTTTCCTTCATTTTCAAAAGCCTCTCAGTTTGGATGATGAATGCGGTCATCATCCTAAAGATATTAATGTTCAGATACCAACAAAAGAGGAAAGAAACAGTTTCAAAGAGGACATATACCATAGTATGTTAATCTTCCAGGGACACTACCGATTACTGTAATCACTGGGGGATTAAGAACCTCCAGAAGCCGCCTTCACTCAGAGGTAATCCAGGCACCCACACCCTAATCTGTATTATTGCTACATCATTTAATTAAATTAAATTAAATTTTATTTTTTATTTTTTAGAGATTAGGGGTCTCACTCTGTCACCCAGGCTGGCATGCAGTGGCATGATCAAACTCACTGCAGCCTCAAATTCCTGGGATCAGGCAATTCTCCCATCTGAGCCTCCCAAGTAGTTAGGACTATAGGCATGCACCACCATGCCTGGCAAATTTTTAAAAAATAATTTTTTGTAGAGAAGGGCTTTTGCTATGTTCTGCAGGTTGGTCTCAAACTCCTGACCTCAATTGATCCACTGGCCTTGGCCTCCCAAAGTGCTGGGATGACTGGTGTGAGCCACTGCATTCAGCCTCACTTCTGCATCTTGAAAGTGACATTTAATTAATGGGTCCTAAAGCTTTATTAAAGTCTATTTATATTTAAGATTTGTCTTTGTCCAAAAAGCATGATATTCAAAAAAACTCTGAAACCTTTCTTTTCCAGTCTACTTACAGATTCTTAAACAGAAAAGATGACATCTTACCAGGCATGACTTCTACCACACATGAATCAGTGACTAACTGAATGCTCACTATCTCTGAAAAATTATATTTCCATATCGAAACTACAAAAATCTATTCATAGTAACATATATAGGTGTTTACATAGTTACAATTATTTGAATCCTGATAGAAAAAATAAAGCATATTAACAAGAAGTAAAAAAAATCAGTTTTGCACACAAACATTAAATGTAACTAGTTTATTTCCTCTATGGAAATTACTCCAGGGAGCAGGGGTGACTTTATAGATTTTCTGTAATGTATCCCACTTAAATCACCCTCTCCTCACCTCATTTGACAATCTCTTTCCTTTTTTTAAAAAAAAATAATGATCACCTCCCCCTTTGGTGGCATATTAAAACACAATTAACAAACTAAAAATTAGTTCAAACAAGGTGAACAGTCAGGCATGACAAAATCAGTCTATTGATTGTCGTTTAGCTACCGTTTCGCTCTCAAGCAGTGGGGAGGTGACAAATTGTGGGCCATGAAATCATCAGCCTGCAGGATCATGTCATTTAAATGGGAGGATTACACAAGGTTTGTATCTGCAGAAAATGACACTCCTCTCAAATTACAATTCCGGCTACTCCGGCGGCAGAAACGACCATCATCAATATGAGAACATGTTCAGGATCACGGGAAATGCTGTCCTCCATTTCTCTTCCTTCCCGATACGGCTCTCTGCTCTCCAAAATGAGGTAGCTGAGCTAGTTGCTGGATAGTTTCCTAATGATTAAAGATGCTCACCGTGTTAAACCATACGTTTTGTTGCTTGTATGTTGGGGCTCTAATGAAAAGACAGATACCTCTCTACAGGAGAAACATGTTTAGGCAATGCCCTTTCCCTGGAACCTAATTAAATCAGGATGCTTAAAAGAGTTTTGCTTTTATGATACAAGTGATTTGAGCCCTATTGGCACTGAGTTTAAACACAGCAAGCAAAATATTAGTTTTTGGTCTGCAGTGTATTCATAGCCCTGAGTGTCTCCAACAAGCTTGTCTAGAGGATTTTGTTTATGTGAAAGAAATTGCTGTGATCAATCACTCTGTAGTAAGGATCAAACAAAACGCTGAATCGAGAAATGTTTCTCCATTGGCCCTGTTCAGCTAGAGACCGGAGTACTACAAGTGAGCTGTTATAAATATTCTGCAAGAAAACTACAATTTATGTTCTACATTTTTTTTTTTCAGTTGTTGATGTGAAACCTCAGGTTTCAGGATCATTTTTTTTTCCTTCCAGCTCATATTACGCAGTCTCCGCAGAGCAAAAGGCAATTTCAGTTGCCCAACCTTGGCTGTTATGAGTATTTTAGAAGCTTATATTTTTCTTCAAATAAAAGAAAATCTCTGAAATCCTCAACGTGCATTGCAGAAATGAATTCAATTTATTTTCTTCTCTAAATCCACATGAGGGTAGCCAAAATCATGATCACCATTTCACAAATACATTGGAAAACTGGCAGAGTATTTGGGTTGTAGAAAGCTCTTCAAAGAAATAGCAAAAAGGAGAAAAGAAAACATAACTCTGAGTCCTAATTTCCAGGTATGACAATGAATCATATGGCCACATGCCATTTCAAAACTTATTTCCATGTGTCCCTTTAGGATGTCACAGGGGGAGAGCAGGCTTTTGAAATTACATGGAGTGATAACTTTTGGCTCTTTATTGTGAAGTTAGCAACAACTCTTTGGTATTTTGATTTTATACTTCTCTTTTCCATTTTTTTCAGTTCTCAGCCCCTATCTGGTCAGATACTTGGAAATTTGAGGCCATCTATTATCTCTTCTCATTCGTTTCTGTTGCCCCCATTAGATATTTGCCAATGAATTATTATCTGGTGCCATTACAACCTACCTCAGACCTATCTGTTGTAAAAGCCACTGCTTGATTGTTCATTTCAGAGCACTGTTCTGAATAATATTCTACTTCCTGAAAGCTTTGTGAGCATTTTCATGTAGAATAAATGTCAGCATTCTTATCTAGGCATTCAATGTCTTCCACTGTCTGACTGAAACTGATATTTTTTTCTAGCACTCTTCACTTTTTTTTCAGTTGTTCAGCTAACTCAACACTCCAACCAATTAACCTTTATCCTGTAGCTTTAATAATTTGTTTTCCAGATCCCAAAGTCCCTTTTTAGCCCTTGAACTTGTCCTCCACTTGATTTTTTAAGAGCTCCATTATTACGCCTCCTTTAAACTTCTTCTTAACAGCTTCTACTCCGTGCCATCATTGCCCATGTTTCTAAAGAGAAAGGAGAATATTCTGGTCTTCCATATTCCCATGGCCTATTGCCTGTTACCACACTTATCACTTTTTACATCATATCCAGGAATTTATAGGCATGCTTTAGTGTCCACGAGGCTGCCAGACTAACCATTCCTTAAAGGGAAGCTCCATGTCACATACGTTTTGCATTGCTCTCACTGATAAACAATGATTTACATATTGCTTGTGCACAATAAGGTCTTGCTAAGTGAATTAGAAGTGTTTCACTTTTTTCAATTCTATTGAACTCATCACAACTTATTTGTCATAAGTCCAATTCCCTCATAGAACTCCCTTCTCTCTTAAGAAATTAATAAACATGTTTATAATAAAAAGGTTAATGAGTTAATGTTTTATTCTCACTCCAGGCATCTGCCTTTAGAAAGAGGCTTCTTAGTGACGCTGCCTTGGATTTTTGACAGCTTTTATAACATGGACAGCAATATATATTTTTGTCTTGCTCTGCTGACCTTTTATAATGTTCCATTTAGAGGATTTTTCTTTGCTACTTTGCCCCTGAAATGCTGTGACTCCTGTGCCCTCGAGGACTCAAACTCCCAGCTCTCCTGACCCATATCTTTCCATCTTAATGAACATTTTATAAAGGTCTTCTTCTCACAGTTTAGTTTATCTTGATTAAACCCATTCTGGGGTTCATGTTCCGAACAATTCAGAGAGAGGTTTTTTTTTTCTGTTTGTAACAAAGTGAAATA
This sequence comes from Homo sapiens, assembly GCF_000001405.40. Classification (NCBI taxonomy): domain Eukaryota; kingdom Metazoa; phylum Chordata; class Mammalia; order Primates; family Hominidae; genus Homo; species Homo sapiens. Next base: position 964,078 of record NC_000003.12, on the reverse strand, counting down.
TTAAGAAACGGAATAGACAAATGGACAATAATTAGAGTGCCTATAAAAATAGAACTCTGACTCATAGTCTGCAACAACAGCACAGGCACCTAACCTGCTAGTTACAGTAACCAGGCCACAAGTCGGACCACTTTCTTCAGCAACCAGTCCAGGAAGCCAAACAACAAGCCTTGCCACAACTGGCTCAAAAAGGCCACAATTTAATTGACAGCTTCTCTAATTTTTACCCCACTTCCAACTTAGAGCCAAACAAAGATAGATAAATATGCCCCCCAATCAATCACATGGGGACCCTGTATCTAGTCAGCTCACCTCCAGCTTCCTCCTGCCAATACCCTGTCACCAAGGCACAGCTGAAGCCTTCCTTTTTTATCCACTCTAAGGCTTTTCTACTCCTCTGCCTGACTTTGAGTCTCTGCCCAAACACAAGTGATGGTGGCTGACTTTCTTGCTATAACAAACTCTCAATAAATAGCCTATGTTTTTTCTCATTGGGTTTATTTCCAAAACACACTAGTAATACTGATCGGTTTTGAGAACTTTTCTTCGTGCTCTCCTGGGAGTGCAAGCCTGGTCCTGTTCTTCATCAGTTTTCTAGGGCTATGTTACAAACCACCCCACACTTAGTGTCCTAAAATAATAACTAGTCATCATTTCTCATGATTCTGTGGTTTGGCTGAGTGATTCTTTTGCTGGGCTCACCTGTGCTGCATTCAGAAGGTGGGTTGCTTGGGGACTAGGCTCAACTGGAACTGCTGGGACAGTGGCTATCTGTCTTCATTACTCATTGGGATGGTAATGTCAGGGCAGTGTCCTAAGGCATCAAAAACAAAATCTCCAAGGCCTCTGGGGACCTAGCTCTGGATTGCATACCTTGTCTCTTCTGATAGATTGTATGGTTCAAAGCAAATCACAAATCCAGCCCAGGATCAAGGGAGTGAAATGCCTCTTAACTGAGATATGGTAAAGTCACACTATACAGGGGCATGCACACAGCGATAAGAAATATAATTAGCCAATAAACGTTCTAGCACATGTTTCTATGGCAGTGTTCAGACCACTGTCTCTACTTCTACCATTGACTAAGCAGCACCAGATTCCAAACCACTCCTATCTTTTCTACATATTGTTTTATAAATGCCTCTTTGTCACTTCATCTGTTCCTGTCTGGGCTGTCAATCAAAAGCCATGCCACTCTCAACATTATCCAAGCTATCCAATCAGACTTTCCAAATCTCTTGGAAAAGTAATTGGCCCAGGTGATCATCTGTCACAAGTAGAGCCAATTGGAATTTATTTCTTTCCCTCCCTCTGCCTCCCTCCCTCCCTCCCTTCCTTCCTTCTTTCCTTCCTTCCTTCCTTTCTTTTCTGAACAATAAAAATAATAGTTTCACTCCTCTTCTACACTTATAAATTGTAGCCTAGAGCTGCTGCATGGAGAGATGGGGAAAGGGAGCCATTTTCCCCACTGCTATGGTTTGCATATTTTTCCTCTCCAAAATTCATGTTGAAACTTAATTCTCAATATTGCAGTATTGAGAGGTGAGGCCTTTAAGAGGTAATTAGGTCATGAGGGGTCTGCATTCATGAATGGACTAATCCATTCACTGATTAATGAGTTAATGAGTTATCATGAAAGTGGAACTGGTAGCTTTATACGAAGAGGAAGAGAGACCTGAGCTAGCATGCTCCATCCTTTCTCATGTGAGGTCCTGTGCTTTCTCGGGATTCTGCAGACAGTCCCCACCAGTAAGAAGGTCCTCACCGGATGAGGATCCTTGACCTTAGACTTCTTGTCCTTCATAACTTCAAGAAATAAATTTATTTTCTGTATAAAGTACCCACTTTTAGGTATTCTGTTATAAGCAACAGGAAACTAAGACACACACCACTTAGAGAAAACTGAAAATAACTTTCAGACTCTCCAATTATTTAAGCCAGTAAATTCATTTCCCTCATTCAAGTCTGAGTAAATGTTTACTACACACCACTGAGAAAGTACCCTAATGCAGAGAACATTTTAGTTTGGAAATGGCATTTAGGAAGGACCCTGTTGAATGGGTAGAATTTCTATAGGAAAGAATGGAGAAGAAGTGCATGAATTGAGAGGGGACTGCGTAGAATCAGGCAGTGATGAGATAATCTCATTTGATCAATGCAGATGGAATACAAAGGGGAAGAATGGGAGATAAAGTTGAAAGGTGTTTTAGAATGATGAATGATCTAGAATGCTAAAAAAGAGATTCTGCATTTAATGCAACAGATACTGAAAAGCTGTTGAACATTATTGTATAGAGGAAATCACTCATTGGAAGCCAGGAGTGACTAAAGACAGACTGATCATACAGATGGATGGTAAAGTAAAGGAAAAGGACTCAAGAAAGGTGCTTTTAAATTAGTATCTATCGTGATTGGAAACTCATGTCAGGGATGAGAGTAAAATTGGGCTGGGGTTTTGAGCCTTAGATACTTTAATTAAAGAAAAATGGGGTGTAAAGAAGGAAGAAAAGGAAGGAAGGAAGGAAAGAAGGAAGGAAGGAAGGAAGGAAGGAAAGAAGGAAGGAAGGAAAGAAGGAAGGAAGGAAGGAAGGAAAGAAGGAAGGAAGGAAGGAAGGAAGGAAGGAAGGAAGGAAAGAAGGAAGGAAGGAAGGAAAGAAGGAAGGAAGGAAGGAAGGAAAGAAGGAAGGAAAGAAGGAAGGAAGGAAGGAAGGAAGGAAGGAAGGAAGGAAGGAAGGAAGGAAGGAAGGAAGGAAGGAAGGAAGGAAGGAAGGAAGGAAGGAAGGAAGGAAGGAAGGAAGGAAGGAAGGAAGGAAGGAAGGAAGGAAGGAAGGAAGGAAGGAAGGAAGGAAAGAAGGAAGGAAGGAAGGAAGGAAGGAAGGAAAGAAGGAAGGAAGGAAGGAAGGAAGAAAGGAAAGAAGGAAGGAAGGAAGGAAAGAAGGAAGGAAGGAAGGAAAGAAGGAAGGAAGGAAGGAAGGAAGGAAGGAAGGAAGGAAGGAAGGAAAGAAGGAAGGAAGGAAGGAAAGAAGGAAGGAAGGACGGAAGGAAGGAAGGAAAGAAGGAAGGAAGGAAAGAAGGAAGGAAGGAAGGAAAGAAGGAAGGAAGGAAGGAAAGAAGGAAGGAAGGAAGGAAGGAAAGAAGGAAGGAAGGAAGGAAAGAAGGAAGGAAGGAAAGAAGGAAAGAAGGAAGGAAGGAAAGAAGGAAGGAAGGAAGGAAGGAAGGAAGGACGGAAAGAAGGAAGGAAGGAAGGAAAGAAGGAAGGAAGGAAGGAAGGTAGGAAGGAAGGAAGGAAAGAAAGAAGGAAGGAAGGAAGGAAAGAAGGAAGGAAGGAAAGAAGGAAAGAAGGAAGGAAGGAAGGAAAGAAGGAAGGAAGGAAGGAAAGAAGGAAGGAAGGAAGGAAAGAAGGAAGGAAGGAAGGAAAGAAGGAAGGAAGGAAGGAAGGAAATCTTGTCCCACTTGTGAGCCCCTTAAGAGCAGGCGCCATGGGACTATTTTATTTTTAAGAAGAGAAAATGAAATGACAATCAGGTTTATGATTTGGAAACTTTGTTGGCTTCAGTGGACAGACAAACTGTAAAGAAATGAGATCAAGATCAAGAAGGTTAAGTACCTTGCTCAAGGTCACGCAGCTAGCAGGTGGCAGAGGATAACACACATCCCGAGAGTGTGGCTCCAATTCTAGCCCATCTGAATGTCATTCCACTACCTTTGTAAACAATTCCTGAGTCCTTCTGATATTAAAGTTTTCTTACCCTTAGTGCACATAGTAATAACTCACTTGGATTAACATAATAATTTTCTAACTGATGTCCTTGACTTGAATATTTAGTCTCCAGGAATCCATCTTCCACAGGGATATCATAATGATCTATAAACATACACACACACTAATGCATACAAACACCAAGTCCTCTCATATCACACATTAAAAAAACACACACACACTTCAATGCTTTCCTATCATGCAAAGAAGGTATAAGCTCATTAGCAGATACATACAGAGGTTTAAAATCTGGCTGAATTAGTCCCCTGGGTTGCCATAACAAAGTTTCATGGATTTAGTGGCTTAGACAACAGAAATGTGTTAACTCACAATTATGGAAGTGAAAAGCCCAAAATCAATGTATTGAAAGGGTTGATTCCTTCTGGGGACTATGAGGAAAGGATCTATTCCAGGTCCCTTTGCTTAGCCTGGAAGAAAGATGGTCATCTGTCCCCGTGTGTCTTCAAATCACCCTGCCTCTATACATGTCTGTGCCCAAATTTCCCCTTTTTATAAGGACATCAGTCATATTGAATTTGAACCAATTCTAATGACTTCACATTAACTTAATTATCTCAGTAAAGACTCTATCTCCAAGGAAGGTCACACTCTGAGGTCCTTGGATTTAGGATTTCAGCTTATTAATTTTTTTTGGGGGGGGGCATACAATTAAATACTGACCCAGCCAGACTTTTTGCCCAGTCTCCTACAAGTATCTGCCTTTAACTCTTATTTTAGCAACCCTGAAGTACTTGTAGTCCCCTCACATGACACCACCCCCATCCCCATTCTGTTTATATATCTTGACACCTTAAGCTTTTTGTTTGCCCTATACTACCTTGGCAGTGAGAACTTCATTATCTCCTTGACCTGGTTAACTCTTAAACATTTCTCAGAAGGCTTCCTTGATGCTTCAGCCATTTAAACGCTTCCACAAGGCCCCAGGGTTTGTGTCTACCATAGGATGTCCTACCTCTAGGAGCTGGATGAAAAGGCTGGCATTCATTTGCCAAAATCACAAGTTTGATTTATAAAAGCAAACTAGAGGTCTCCATTTAGCAGAAGTGGTAATGACAGTGATATAACGCCTGGAACCTGGTTGGGCAGTATGGGAGGGAGGTAGAAGGAAAAGTGTGAGATTTCTACCTTTTAGTTTTTATCCTATGGTGGCATATATGAATTCTCAAACATTATCTGAATAAATTTTCCACCCTTGGAAAGGTAGATTTAGCCTCAAGTTGTTTTAGTCTCCAGGAGGCTGCCAGCCCCTCCTCTTATTTAATTCTGAGTTTTGGGGGCCAGCCTAGGGGGAATTCCTTTTTTTTTTTTACTCCCAGGAGGGTAGTTGGGAGTGAGACGGTAGGCCATAAAGAATGGGACTGCATTGCACCAAAATAAATGGGAAAATTGTGGACTGAAAAGAAGCTTTTGGGAAGTGATGAGTCATTCTGCACCAGGTAATAGGGGAAAATTATGTGACCTCCAGCAAACACATGAATGGTTATTTCCTGGAGCCGGAAGCACTTGGAGGTCGTGGTAATTCCCAATGTTTTCTGTGTCCTAGTTTTACCCTTTCTAAACACTGTCCTTTTTGAAAGTTTGAATATATCCACATTCTACTGAAACCTTGAAACTAAAAATTTAGACTCTTATCGTCATCTTAAGCTCTTCATGCTACTTTTAACCTCCCGAAAAGCAGTCTCTAAGTCACATACATGATGTCTCGGGCATTTTCTCTCTCAGCCATGGAGAGCTATGAAAGGAAGAATCGCTGCTTTTCTCAAGCAAATCGGTTTCTTGATGTCTTTTGGTTCTCACTCCTTGCCTGCTCCTGATGCTTTGACCCCTTTTATAGATCAGAGTGCTCTAGAATAATGGATGGTCTTGGATGGTGGATAAATAGGGAAAGGGACAGTTAAATTGGGAGTCTTCTTACAACCTTGATGGGCTTTTTCCCCCCAAGTTTCCTTCTCCACTGAAATGCCACACCAATGCTTGTTGGATTCATGAGGGGGGCAGACCAATGTGCTGTTTTTCTTTATTTTTTTTTTAAGCTTCCCTTGAGAGAACAAATGGTAATGGAGAGAACTATTTAACAAAGTCCTGGTTTCCCTTGCAACACAGTAGATAAACTTGCCTGCTTTTATGTGCATTTTTGTAGGGATCAGCTTTGTAGACAGTATTAGCAGAGAAACGACACCTTGATCTTGGTTTGCAAGCCCTTCTCCCATCAGTCCTAGATTAGGCCCTGTTCAGCCATGCAGGGGTGTTGGTTTATGCGTGCTGCAGCAGTGGGCATAATGAATATAATTTACCCAGAGGACAAAGGTGTGTACCAAGTGAATTAAATAATTGCTGTGGATTGGCCAGTAGCTAAGAAGTGGGCTTTTAAAGAGTGTTGAAGATTGAAAAGTTTTTGTTTTATTTTTTTTTTAAAAGAAAAAAAACATTGGTTGTAGATAATGAAAAGCTAGGGTTTGCCCTCTTCATGTCTACTCTCCTTCCAAATAGTTATATCCAAAACTGTTTTCCCCCTCCCCTACTTTGTCCTCCCTTTTAAAATAGAAACAGGGATTGATTAATGTCCGGCTCCTGAATACATGTAAAATTTGTACAAAAATATCTTCCATGAAAATGATTTAATCTGTAGACTTATTACCTGGGAGATGTCTTGACGTAAAATCCCATCCTTTGGGTTGTCGGTGTTTTGTTTTCTCCAAATAAATCTGATCTATAAAGTTTAAAAAAAAATCAAATTATTGGTTTATGTATTAAAATAGAGTTTCCTTAGAAACTAATTGGCCTTAGCAGAGCAATTCTTCCCTCAAGGCAGGCCTATGTAGGATGCCAGTTAGCAACAGAAGGTTGCTTCATGAGCCCAGGATCAGAACTAAAAGAATGATAAGATCCAAATTTTGTAAGGCACTGGGCTAAAATGTCTGATAATCTTTTCCCATAATAGGAATAACTTTGCCAACTCAATAATAATAGTAAAAAAGTTGATAATATTTTATATTAACCCATGTGCAGTAAAAACTATAGGAAATGGATTATTTCATATAATCAACACAATAAACTAATAATAATTTATACTGTTATTATCCTCAAATTATAACTAAGGAAACTGACACCTAGACAGGTTAAGCAAGTTATCCAGGATTTGAACAAACTGCATTAGACTTCAGATTATTGTGTCTCATCTGCCTTCCTCTGATATAGGAAGCTCATTGGTCAAGGTACTCCCCTCTCTACTAATTAATTCTTTTATGAAAACTTCCAAACTTCACTTTTACAAATCTATTCTTCCAACATTTACCAACACACCTTTTGACAAATATGTGTTTTAGTTTTCAGTTATGTCCTGATGGCAAAGAAGTTGTCCTGTATTTATTATATGAGGCGGCTTATGTCTTGTCCCTTAAGTTTTGGTTTTAAATCTCAGATAGCAACTTAGGTTGAAGTTTTAGGAAGATGCCTCAATATATCCTCCAGGTCCTGGTACCAATACATGGTATTATAATGATCTCTGGTATGGATGTATTATGTCCTCATTGAAATAAAAGTTGCCTATATTTAGGACTCAGGAATTGATTTTTTAACTCCATCTCTAACAATGTGCCTATCAACATTGTAGAAACTACTTGTTGAGAATATCTGTGTGTGTGTGTGTGTGTGTGTGTGTGTGTGTGTGGTTGCAGACAATAGAGACCACCTCTTCCTAGCATAAAAAGAGATTCCTTTGAAAAATACACAGGGTTTTGTAGAAACAGAGGGAGGGTTTGAAAGGTATGCTTAGAAAACACACAGACCAGAGCAGCTCCAGGGGTCTGAGCTGTGGGATTTGATGTGCTGTCCCATCAAGTATTTGGAATGAATCAACTTCTACTATTTCTAATCTTTGTTTCAATCAGATCAAGATGGCCTAATCAGGGCCATGCAGCAGCCATGTGGCAATATACATGTCTGGCTACATTTACTGATATCCCTACCAGGCTGTTGTCAGTAGAGGCAAGGATAGGTCTCTCAGAACTGGAGCTATGCCTAAAGGTGAAGGAATGGGTGCTGACTACAGAAGGACACAAGTCTATGATTCAAGCCAATGTAATAATATAAAACTTTTGGAAATCTGAGCTTGGCTGACATTCTGAGATGATATTAAGCCTTTGGGGGATTTGATATATGAATTCAGAAATCATTTGGTCATGATTACTATGCAGAGTTTCGGGAATGAGTAGAAATCACAGAAGAAGAGGAAAAACAAGACTCAAAAAAAGGGAATTACAATACACAAACTGGGGAACCCACTAATTTTTAGGGAAAAAAAAAGAACAAAACTAAATAGAAAGTAGTAAACCTTCAGAAAACTATCTGAAGTTTTCACTGTGGCCCACCAGTGAATGTTAACTGCCTTTATTAGTAGTAAAAAGAGAAAACAGAATGCCGCGTTTTAGGAACTAAAGAGGTCAGGAAGCTCGATAGGTTCTGTCCTTCATTGATTGAGAAGCGTCCACCTAAGAATCTAATGATTAGATCCACTAGAAGTATGTGGTAAATATTTTTCAGTAAATGAGAAATGCTTAAAAATAGAATGGGTAATAAGGTGAGGCAAGGTTAGGGTAACCTTTCCCTAGGCTGAAGTCAAAGGAATGGAGCTGGGAAATAATGGACTTCTCCCTGCCAGCTGCCAGCTTGCAATCTGTCCTGTTATTTGTTTCAAATTCCAGAATTTGGACATCCCCCATTTTTTTTGTGCTAGAGCCTTTGAGAGAAAAATTCTGAAACTAAACTCAAACTTTTGCATAATCTGTAAACATGTTTACTTTTGGATCTCAGAAGGGAGTTTTCGAATTGAAAATGTATGTCCAAGCCTGTTTTAAAAACAAAACAAAACAAAACAAATACAGTAAGCAAAGGAAAAAGTCAGCTGACAGCAGGATTCCTCTCCCTCATGTGCACTTCCGAAACATTCCCTCCTAGAAGTCAGGAGAACTTCATCAGGATATCTTTGTGTGGAGCTGACAGGGGATCTGTCTGTTGCTTGAATTTCCATCAAAGCAGTTGGTTTCCCACCATCCATACTTCTTATCAAAAAAAAAAAAAAGTATAGAACTAACATAGAGACCAAAACCACTAGCAGAAAATGTTCATATTCCTATTAGATTTTTGATGACATCGGTGAGTTTTTAAGCATAAACTTAGTCTTATAAAAAATGAGTTATGCAAGCTGAGCTCTAGGAGCACATTAATGAAACAAATGCTATTCCCCTTTGAGCCTTTATTACTCGTCAGTTGAAGTTCTATCTATCCTTGCTTCAAGATTCAGTCAAATACCCCCTCTTTCTTAAAATCTGCCCAATCTTGCTAACTGAAACTCATCTCTATCACATAACATTTTTTTCCCTCACAGTCTACATTATCTTCTAGTGCATTTTTTTACATTCCACTAGTTTAAAGCTCCTTGAAGGCAAGTGCTTACATCCAGATTAGTATTTCTAACAGAATCAAGCATGATTCCCTGTGGAATCATGTATTAGGTACCGGGGTATAAAATTGAATTCCATTGCTAAATGATTTTTTTCCAAATCAAGGTAATATCGCTGTGTTTAACTTGGTAAGTTTATTTTCTGAATAATCAAAATCCTACTTACATAACATCTGATGTTAAGGCCCTTGGGGAAACATACTTATACAAACTTGAGGCTTCAAATTAATGAAGATGAAAGGCACATATTTATATCCATTTCTTCCCCTGTTTTCTTGCCCAGATCTACTCAATCTTAACTACGAGATAGCCGAATGCCTAAGCAGATAAAAAGGGAACCCTGGAGAACCTCCGACCTGCTCCATAAGTGTTTACATCAGAGGCTTTGGCACAGATGAGGGAAGCTGCCCAGGGCCTTGCTGGAGCATGCCCACATGTGCACTGGGGGAACAGGGTGGAGCCATGGGCAGGCAAGAGGAGCCTGGTCTCTTCAGTTTCTGTGTGGTGGCCTGGGATTTAATCTGTGAGGTTTTTTCCCTTTTTGCCTAATAAAATCCTGCTCTACTCACCCTTCAACGTGTCCAAATTTTCCTGGTCGTGTGACAAGAACCAGGTTTTAGCTGAACTAAGGCACAAAATTCTGCAACAACTATAGTGGTTGAGTAAGAAAGACCCCCAAAGGCTAACAGTACTGTGCAAATTTACTTCAGTAGCAACCAACACAGAATCCAAAAAGCCTGCTGAAATGATGTCTCTAACAAGCTCAAACCTGACATAATGCAAGCTCTTTGTTTCCATGTTGAGGAAGAGTTATGATACCTCAATATGTAATAAAAACTCTATCTTATTTCCCCATGGACTCCTGGACTTTCAGATTTTGAGAACAGGTAAGAATACTATTTCAAATCAGATCTCTCTCAGTTCATTTTAGAGATCATGAAATTGATGTAGGGAAAAATAATGTAACTATCTATACATATACATGGATATATTTGGCACAAAGCTCCCATAGCAAGAATTTATAAAGATACTCAAAGCCTGACCTTAATTAAGGGCACTAATCAGGTTGTCACCCTCAGCAGAAATGGGATTAATTATGTCCCTGCATTTCTCCCTGGCCAGGTGTCTACTTCCCACCTGATATAATTTCTATATCTCTCATCTGTACCAGACCAAAGTGGTCACCGGTTCCCTGAGAGCTCTCCAACTAGAAAAAGCCTACCTGTCTCAACTGCCATTTAACTCCAGTTGTACACGTCACCTACATCCTGTGCATGTGTCGAAGACCCGGTTAATCTGTACCTTCTGCTAAAAGATCTGTGTCCTCAATCCCTTGTAATTTTAAAGTGCTTTTGGAATGTCAGTCTGTTTTGCTGGAATTTTATGTCAATTATTTTTGGATCCCACAAATTTTACTTTCTACGAATGGCTTCTTTGCCGAGGATTGCTCCTGTCTCTGGACTTTGTTTTATGAGATGGATTAGAGCCCTAGGATTGAGTCTCAGATATTAATGCTTGATAAACACAATTACCTGTAGCATGATAGATTCTGTCTTTCATTCAATTCATTTGTGTTATTTTATGCCTCTCAGCTCAGCTAGAGGTAGTGATTAGATGGACAATGGCTGATTTCTAGTGTGATATCTGTCACTGGGACCATTTAAAGTTTTCAGAGCCCAGAGGCTGGTTAAGGTCAGAGGCAGAGTCTGCTTGCCTCATTAGGCAATTGTCTAACCAGCTTCATCAGTTCTCTGTCTCCAAGTTATTGTTGGAACCGAAGGCTTTAATAATGAACACAAATTGGTTGAACACTGGCCCAATTTATATTGATCACTAATGAAATCCTGGTGCTTTCAAAAGTGCTTCAATAATTAAACTAGGCAAGGCACATACCAGATATTGTTTGCAGGGTGCTTAAAACACTTGAGTAGGATAATTGATGATTAAAACACAAAGGTGCTGTAATTTGTTCCCTAGAATGGGAATTAGAATGCTAAAGAGAATGCACAGGCCCATAAAAGAATGACATTACACATACAAAAATAGGTCAAGATAAAAAAATTATACAAGATAATTCATTATAAACATATATAGAATAAGCTATATTTCAGCAAAATGAATGTCCATTTTAATGAGTGCAAAATAATTAGAATATCCTACATTTCTTTTGTTGGGAAGGGTACTAGAGAAGACAATCGTAAGTTACCAAAAAAAAGCTGTAAAACCACCAGAAAGACACTGGAAACTGAGTGAGGCTCTTAGTAGCAACCAGCAAATATAGTTTCCAGTCATATTTCCCTCCCATGTGTCTTAGATCGTCTTAGTTTCATAGAGTACTATGCCTCTGTGACATTACAGGAGTTGGCTTTCTGAGGTAATCAAGTAAGTCTGCTCTTGGAGAAACTCTACATGGGAGTAGGAGGCAGAGAAAGGAGCAGAAGGATAGGGAATGACACTGGAAGGTATTGCCACAATGGAGGGAGCCATTAGCCATCACCACCATGAAAAGAAAACAAACATCTTTTGCATGGAATGTAAATAGAACAGCCTTGATACAAAGACTGCGAACAGATAGTGCTGAATCTATAGGAGAATAATAAGGGAGGAAAACAGGACTTGTCTTTTTTGCTGAAATTACTACCAAGCCATCAGTAGGCCATATATTTGAAAGTCTCTTACTAGAAGTGGTAACAGGTCTGTCTTCAACCTTGCAAACCCTATATGGCTTCTGCTTTGGCTAAACAACAGCTGTTTGCAAGCTAATAGCCACAATCAGATAATACGCTAACTGCAATATCAGGAGATTAAACTGACAACTATGTTCTCTAAAATCGGCCACTTCCTGGACTGAGTTAATTCCAATATACATACGTACCTTACCTTATGCAAACACACTTTCATTCAAAATAAGTTAAATTTTTCTCCTCTGTCATCACTCCTATTTTATTTTATTATGAGTCATTTTTTGTTTCACTATCTTTATAACATTTACATGATTATAAATTCTCTGATACAGAGTCTACATCTCTTTTGTTCATCACTCTCTAGTACCTAGAATAGCATCTGCTATAGTGTAGGAATGAATAGGTAATTAATGAGTAAATCAGTCATTCTGTAATCAAAATCAAATGGTAGAAAGGTTAATTTTTTAAAAAGATTCTTTCACAGAGAGTAGGAAAATACAAATAATTTGATATTTTAACAATAGGTTTGAAGCTAAAAAGAAATAAAAGGTAATCTGTAAACTCTGTACTAGAGGAAAATAATTTTCTAACTGTAAGCCATGAGAGCCTTGGTTAAGTTTCCAACTAGAAATCACCTTATACTTTATCTGCAGCTCTGTCTGCAGATCATGATGATCGGTAGCCTCCTAAGGCTTTTGAAATATACCAAGCCCCCACACTCCTCAGCACAGCGAACCCCAAATTTATGTCCACTTCAGTCTTTGCCATTTCAGTGATAATTTACTACTTGGGCTGGAGATAATAAGCAAATGCTATATATTTCTGCTCACTTACATGGACAAGGGCCTTCGATGACTAGCATATCATTTATTTTATAATACTGTAGCTCTTGCCAAACATTCTTATCCTCGCACACCATATTTGCACCGGTGATTTAATACAAATCAATATTTTTTTCATTGCCTATTACTTTTTGATCTGAGCACTTAATGATAATTTTTATTTTTCTAAAGGGAGGTTGAAGGTTGAAAAGTATACGTGTATAAGTATAGCGTGTATGTTGGGGGCGGAAGGAGAATGTAAAAGCTTAAAGAGGGCATCTCCAGCTATAATGGAGAGCTTTCGACTTGGCCCTATAGATATGGAAAGAATGCCATTTAATATAATTTTTTTTTTTTACTAATAGTCCATGCTGCTAAATGAATCATATTCCTTAAAAATTCCCATCTACATATCATATGCTAGACCCCCTTTTAAAGGTAATCTTGTTCCAATGTCTAAATAGAGGCAGGAAAACCTCTGTAACAGTCACAAAAAGTTTTCATCTAATTGTAGTTTGAAAACCTCAGCGAATGAGGGCAAAGAACGAAAAAAGGTAATTGCATTAATCCATTCTCACACATCTATAAAGATACTACCTGAGACTGATTTACACAGGAAAGAAGATTAATTGGCTCACAGTTCCACATGGCTGGGGAGGCCTTGGGAAACTTACAATCATGCAGGAAGGAGAAGGAGAAGCAAGGAAGGTCTTCATAAGGTAGCAGAAGAGACAGAAAGTGTGCACATAAGAAACTGCCCATTTTAAACCATCATATCTCGTGAGAACTCCCTCACTATCATGAGAACAGCATGGAGGAACTGCCCCCGTGATCCTGGAACCTGGGAACGTGGGGATTACAATTTGAGATGAGATTTGGGTGGAGACACAGAGCCAAACCACATCAGTAATGGAGTGGAGATGCAGAGAACTGTTCTTGTTTACTTGGTGGACTTTGATGGTTGTGGATTAATCACAAGCACATTCCATCTATCCCCAAATGATATAATGTACACATTATGTCACCATAATATACTCTAGTTTATCTATTTCATCTCTGTTGCTCATGGCCCCTGTTTTCCCTGTCAAACCACTGCAACGCCTCACTTAGCACATGGCTATTGTCTCCCAACACCTAACTGCCTGCTTCCATGCCTATAACCTAACAATTGTTTCTTCATCTGGCCGTCAACTTATATTTTCACAAAATAAATCATCTCATGTCCTTTTCCTGCTAAAAACAATTCAGTGACTTTCTATCTCATGCCAAATCAAATCCAAATTCCTAAGGACTAGTATATTGCCTGGCTTCTTCTTATCTTCCCAAGCAGCCAGTGTTCCCATGTCTGCCCTCCTGCCAAACATAATGTCCCTGCCTGAAGGCTCTGCATAATTGGTGACTTCAGGCTGTAAATCTCTCCTTGACTTCCATTAGCTGAAACCCATACTTCTCCACAGAAGAGCTTAACTTCTACTAGCCTATAGAGTATTGACACCCTTAATCTACACGGTCACTTTCTGTCCTATTACTCTGTTTACCTTCAGAGATTTCCTTACTATCTGAAACAATTTTATTTGTTCACAGATTCATTTATTTTCTTGTGTGTTTGTTGATTTTCAATCTTTGAATCTAAAATATAAACTCTGTAACACTAAGTCAGGTCCAATTTTCCTTCTCAAGCAAACTCCAGTTGTCCAGAAACATTCCTGACTTATAGAAACTGATCAATAAGTCCTTGTTGATTGCATAAAGAAGTGAAAATTCTAGTTCAATATAATAAGCTTCTGATGATCAGAAATTCTTTATTGTGAAATGAGCTATTAGGGAAGTAGTAAAACTCATGGTATTTGGGCCTTCTAACCTCTGAATTCTTGTATTTTTTAGCATAGCAATGACACTCATCACATTGTAGTAAAACTCATAGTTTGCATGTCATTTTTACTAAACCTTGGCAGTGTGAAGGCATCAGCTGCGTATAATTCACTTCTGAATCTCCTGCGACTATCACAATAGAGACATTTCTCTGTAATTATATATGTTATTAGGAAACCTCATATTCTGCATAATAGTAGGCAATGATAAAGAAAATCTTATGTAAATGTTTTAACCAAAGCACAAGCAAACACAGTAATAAGTTTCTGCAGAGCTAACTTAGACCACCTAGGCAGGCAGCTTAGTGTAGCTGAAGGTTGCCACAGATGATTTTAGTAATTCACAAACAACATTAGTTAAGAAGATTTGGCCAGTACTGAGTCCAAATCGATGAAAATGGAGATCTCAGAGAGTGGGGCTGCTGGTGAAGTAAACCTGGAAGATAGTGCAACTTACCACTGGCTGAACAAAACTGATGGTGAACTTGGCTGGGAAGGAAGCTCCAACTGCTTGCACTTAGTTGGAATGTTCTGAAAGGACTCCCACTGCCAGGGCAGTAGCTAAGATGATGGCTTTTTCCTTTCCCACTGAAGGTTGTAATCTATTCACACTCATCTGGCTACTTTGGCTTATGAAAATCACAGGTAAACCAATGAAATTTTGTATAATACAAACATTATTCCTTTACTTGTGGATCTTATTTGAGCTAATTTGAATCACAGAAATGTGTATAGTGGCAGAGTAACTGACACTTGGTACATAGTGCTGCTTAGCAAATGGTGGTTGACTGAAAAAATGAAAGAAGACAAGGAAATTTGGCATAAAGAATATCTTCACTAGTTTCTTTTTGGCAGTCAACAGTATTTGAAAAATAAAAACAGAACATGTAATCGCTTCATCTCGGGATAATGGAGTATGGTAATAGACTCATGATCTGAGAAGTTTCATTTGGATATGAATATTGCAATATATATCTTTCATTGGGGTTTTATCCTATCATTTTGACATCCTCATAAAGAAATTTAAATTCTAAAGACACTTGAATTTTATTTTAAATTTCTGAAGACTAATCTCAGTGTTGTTAATATTTTAAAAGTTTTCCTGCTCCTTTAGAAAATGGCATACTTCTATATAATTAATATCATGAACACTACGGCTAGTGATGGTTTTTAAATGTTAACCTAAATATTATAAACTAATCCTTTTGTGAATGTTCTCACCTGTTTTGCAACTGCTCTTAATAAGATACGACTGATTAAATCATGATGGATGATGCCCCTTTATTGTTGACCTTTCAAATTATGAATTGGCTTCACATTCAACATGTTGATTAAACACCACTCTTCATTATTAAACATTCTTATGTAAAAACTATGCTATATCAAATCTATACATAAGTTTTATAATTTAATAGGTGAGTTGTTTGTAAGCTAATTAAATATATGAAAATCTAGAAGGAAAAATTAATATCAAAAAGTAGGTGTAGGTCTATAAACAGCCACCACACGTTCTTCTAGGTTGAGTGATTTGTGTTAATGAGTGGTAGGGATAATACTTTAAAATACCTTTCAATCAGTGCTATGTTTCAAATGAGAGATTACAAATTAAAATAACCAAAATGAAGGTTGTATAGAGCTTCTTTGTCATCATGTCATCAATGATACAACATTGACTCATAGATTCTTGCAGTGGAAAAGAATATTGTAACTCACTGATTAGAAGACTATCTAATTAATCACTCCCATTTATAAAACTGTTAATACATGTATATTTCAGTACCCTTTGGACACCTCCATGAATGGAAAATTGATTATAAAGCATCATATTCCATTTTCTAATACTTCAACCTGCTCTAAAGCTGACCTGAATCTGTGACCTTGCAACTTTCATCCTGACAGTCACAAAAATAAACTGAATTCCAAAAAAAATGACAATTCATCTTCTAAGTAATTATTCCATTAAGAATTACCCACTAATTTTTTCTCTTTTTCTTGTGCATAAATAAGTCTTCTTTATTTTTTTCAACTATTCCTCATAGATATTGGTTTACAGAGTCTTTCTCTTCTTGGGGATTCTTATGTAAGCACACCCAACTTTTAAACATACCACTTAATGTCTTGCCTACAATTAAACACAGTACAATCAACTCTTAATAATGTAGAAAGCTTTAGTTCTAGAAATCACTATGTATATAAAAGTATATACAATGGAGCACTGTAAAACCTATTTTTATATTTTTCACAGTGGCAAAACAACGTTTACACCTCACCAGTAGCCACATTAGAACAGAGTGTAAAAAGTGTAACTTAGACAACAGAATTCTGCAAGTAAATGAGGAGTGGACAAATGCTGTGGAGCCCACACTGTCCAAACTGAGACTGAGTAGTAGCCAGATGTAACCCAACTTAATCAAAGCCATGGGAGATAAAAACACATATTTCTCAAGCTGATGGCACACTAGGCATGATCTTTCCAGTCTGGAATGGAGTGGAGCTAGTACAAGCTCTCATTGGCACTTCCCAGAGGAAGGCAAGATTCAATATATTCACATTCTTGCTGTTTGCAGTCTTGTTACAACATCAACTCATGAGTTTGCAGCCAAATAAAATCTTTTCTCATACAGATGGCTATTAGATTCTATTTTCCCCACTCCAGCTTTTTGTTGTTGTTGTTTGTTTTCCTTTACTTATTTAACTCTTCTTAAGTTTAATATGTTGAGTCTTACTATATTTTATTAAGTTCACATTATCATTTCAACATGTTGATAAGGAATTGGATCTTAATACTGCCATTCAAAGTTGTTTTTTTTTTTGTTTGTTTTTTTTTACTTTGTTTAGAGGCATTCAGGAACATGTCAATGTCCTTAGCTAGATCATTGGTAAAATTGGAATCATTCAAGAAAAACATAGAGATCTGCTTGGGACTCGAAAATAATCAAGATCTACCTATCACATCTACTTTCAGTACAAATATAATGTTGATATTCTTAAAAGGTGAGTGGTCTGGGAAAAATAAATTAAGACAGGGTTAAATATAATCTGTCAATTGTCCACTAGTTCCATTATGAAATTTATACAATTTTATGTTTTATTTTGCTCATGTTTTCTAGATATATCTGTTGCCTCATCCTCAGATGATTTCATAGCTCGCATTTCTTCCGAAAAGACTTCTTATGTGATTTCTATGTATTTGATGCTCCTGATTCTCATTCTCTTATCAAGTATATCACAGTGTACTAGTGACAGTTGACCATCAGTAGGTGTCACATGAGCCATGCATAATTATACAGACTTCTCAGTGAAATCATTTTTCCTTATTAGCTTTACCAGGCGTGTCAGAAGTAAATGCTTTCCTATGCTTTCCAATGAAGCAGAGAAAGAGCTCCTGAAGGGTAAGATAGTTTTGACAGCATTATTCATTTTTTTCAAGCCATAAGCACTGAAAGAATAGACAAACAAATAAACAAAACCTGTCAGGTTGGCTGTCACATATAATTAGACTCTAATGGCTGCTATGAGACCTCAGTTTATTTCTAGCACAATGAGCTGGAGCAGCACTTCCCTGTGATCGTGCCAGTGGTGGATTTAACAGACCAGGCATGGAAACCTGATTTATGAGAACTGTTTTCTCTTTTCACACCCAAAGAACTTGCCAAACACTCTTC
Organism: Homo sapiens; assembly: GCF_000001405.40. Lineage (NCBI taxonomy): Eukaryota > Metazoa > Chordata > Mammalia > Primates > Hominidae > Homo > Homo sapiens. The sequence goes on along the minus strand of NC_000003.12, from coordinate 945,795 downwards.
TAATAAAGATGGCCCAGGAATTAAGGTTTGGTGCACAGCAATAGAACAGGTATGGCTTTCAGAACTCAGGAGCCCAGCATTCTTGTCTTTGCTCTGCTGCTAGTGGGTTCGGTGATTTTAGGCCAATCTTGAGGTATCTCCATTTTCATATCTTCAAAATGAGGGGCTTAGACTGAGTGATCTCTTCTCAGGACAGCTTTACATTCTATTTCTCCCTTCCTTATCTGGCAGCCTTAAAATCAATTTGGTGTTAAACAGAGAATATTCAATTGATTCCAGTTTTACTTTGCCTTTTATTGGACATTTTATCTGTGGTGGAAATCAATGTTATTTTTGTTCTTAATCTAGGGATATTAGAAGCTAGAATGGAAAATTAGGAGCAAAAGTTGATTAGAAAAAGGAAAAGATTCAAAGATGCTATTTTCCTTAGATTAAGCACAATTGGAAGTAAAAATGCTTCTACTATATACCTAAGTGAATTTAAATGTTTAAAATCTGTAAAGCCAAAGCCATCTCATTCCTCCTTACTTGCTAGTATTATGCCTTGCTGGTCATTTGATCCAAAGAGGCCTATGAGGGCTGATTGTTAAATTTTCAGGAATTTTGCAAGCCATATTATAAACAGATATGATTAAACATCAAACTATATTAATGAACAATTTAATTACATTAAATGCAAAATAATTAAAGCTCAAAATTCATCCTTTCCAAATATATTATTACCTCTTACTATTGCCTATGCTTTTGAGTTTGTTTGCATTGATTATATCTTAATATTAGAAATCCTATAGAATGTTTTGCTATTGCACAATCTCAAATTTACATTCAATGGTGTCAAGTGGGTACCAGGAAATTGGATATATTGGGAGTATTTACTCCGTGGAAATAGGCCAATGCTATAAATGAAGTCTTGAGTTATTGCTTTGTTGCTTATTTTTTTAAAGTAATTTTTTATATGAAGATTTTTTAAAAGTTTTTTTCTGCAGTGAAATTTCAGTCTTTGAAGTCAGGTACATTTTTCAAAACTTTCCAGTATGTCAACAGTTTTATTTAGTCTTCATCACAGCCCTGTAAGATGTGTACTGTTTTCAAATGATATCCTTTCAGATAAGGAACCTGAGACTTAAAACAAGTGAATGTCCTTCTCAATCTCACTCGGCTAATAAGTCCCAGGGGTCTTGGGACTCCAAATTCTTTGCTCTTTTTGTTCTTTTAACTTTTATTTTAGTTTCAGGGGTGTAGGTCCAGGTTGGTTCTATAGATAAATTGTGAGTCACAGGGGTTTGGTTTACAGATTATTTCATCACTTAGATAATAAGCATAATACCTGATACGTAGTTTTTTGATTCTCACTCTCTTCCCACCCTCAACCCTCAAGCAAGCCCAAGTGTCTATTGTTCCCTTCGCGTCCATGTGTACCCAATGTTTAGCTCCCACTTGTAAGTGAGAATGCAGTATTTGGTTTTTTATTTCTGCATAAGTTTGCTTCGAATAATTTTCTTCACCTTCATCCACATTGCTGCAAAGGACATGATCGCATTCTTTTTTTTTTTTTTTTTTTTTTTTGAGATGGAGCCTTGCTCTGTCACCTAGGCTGGAGTGCAGTGGTGCAGTCTCGACTTACTGAAATCTCTGCCTCCCAGGCTCAAGCGACTCTCACGCCTCAGCTTCCTGAGCAGCTGGGATTACAGACATGCACCACCATGCCCGGCTAATTTTTGTATTTTAGTAGACACAGGGTTTCACCATGCATCATGCCAGGCTAATTTTTGTATTTTAGTAGAGACAAGGTTTCACCATGTTGGCCAGGTTGGTCTCCAACTCCTGACCTCAGGCGATCTACCTGCCTGGGCATCCCAAAGTGCTGGAATTACAGGCATGAGCCACCGTGCCCAGCCTGCATTCCTTTTTTATGGAAGCATAGGATTCCAGGGTGTATATATATGTACATTTTCTTCATCTGGTTTACTGTTGTTGAGCATTTAGGTTGATTTCATGCCTTTGCTATTGTGCATAGTGCTGTGATGGACATACATGTGCAACTGTCTTTATGGTAGAATAATATATATTCCTTTGGGTGTATATATCCAATAATGACATTTCTGCCTCAATTGGTTTTAGGTTCTTTGAGAAATTGCCAAACTGCTTTCAACAGTGGCTGAACTAAACTACATTCCAAACAAAAGCATGTATATAAGCATTCCCTTTTCTCCATTACCTTGCCAACATCTATAGTTATTTTGATTTTTTAATAATAGCTATTCTGGCCGGTGTGAGATGGTATCTAATTGTGGTTTTGATTTGCATTTCTCTAAGGATTAGTAATGCTGAACATTTTTTTTCGTATACCTGCTGGCTGCATATATGTCTTTTTTGGAAAGTGTATGTTCATATCCTTTGCCTAGTTTTAATGGGGTTGTATTTTGCTTGTTAATTTGTTTAAGTTCTTTATAGATTCTGGATATTAGACTTTTGTTGGATATGTAGTTTGCATTTATTTTCTCCCATTCTATGGGCTATCTCTTTACTCTATTTATAGTTTCTTTTGCTGTGCAGAAGCTCTTTAATAATTAGGTCCCATTTTTCAAGTTTTGTTTTTGTTGCAATTGCTTTTAGCATCTTTGTCATAATATCTTTTCAAAGGCCTAAGTCTAGAATGGTATTTCTAGGTTTTCTTCAAGGGTTTTTATAGTTTTAGGTTTTACATTAAAGTCTTTAATCCATCTTCAGTTGTTTTTTGTATATGTTATAAGAAAGAGGTCCAGTTTCAATTTTCTATATATGGTTAGCCAGTTATCCCAACTCCATTTATTCATAGGAAGTCCTTTCTTCACTGCTTGTTTTGTCAACTTTGTCAAAGATCAGATTGTTGTAGATGTGTGGTTTTATTTTGGGGATCTCTATACTGTTACATTGTTCTATGTGTCTATTTTTGTATCAGTACCATGATGTTTTGGTTACTGTAGCCTTGTAGTATAGTTTAAATTCAGGTATTGTGTTGCCTCCAGCTTTGTTCCTTTTGCTTAGGATTTCTGTGGTTATTCCAGCTCATTTTTTTGGTTCCATGTGAATTATAGAATAGATTTTTCTAAATCTGTGAAGAATGGCCTTGACTGGTAAGCATAACATTGAATCTGTACAGTGCTTTGGGCAGTATGGCCATTTTAATGATATTGATTCTTCCAATCAATGAGCATGGAATATTTTTCCATTTTTTTGTGTCATCTCTGATTTCTTTTAGCAGTGTTTTGTAGTTCTACCTGCAGAGATTTTTCTCCTCCTTGGTCAGCTATTTTCCTGTATATTTCTCTTTTTTGTGGCTATTGTAAATGGGATTGTGTTCTTGATTTGCCTTTCATCCTGGACATTACTAGTGTATAGAAATGTGACTGACTTTTGCACATTGATTTTTTTATCCTGAAATTTTCTAAAGTCGTTTTTCAGTTCTAGAAGGCTTTATGCAGTCTTTATGTTTTTTCAGGTACATGATCATATTGTCAGTGAAGAGAGATAGTTTGACTTCTTCTTTTCCTATTTGGATGCCTTTCATTTCTTTATTTTGCCTGATTACTCTGGCTAGGACTTCCAGTACTATATTGAATAGGAGTGGTGAGTGGGCACCCTTTGCAGGTTTTAGGGTAAATGGTTCGAACTTTTGCCTATTCAGTATGATGTTGGCTGTGGATTTGTAATATATGGTTCTTATTATTTTGAGGTATGTTCCTTTGATGCCTATTCTGTTGAGTATTTTTTATCATGAAGGCATGTTGGGTTATATCGAAAGCTGTTTCTGCGTCTATTGAAATGATCATATGGTTTTTGCTTTCAATTCTGTTTATGTGGTCAATCACATTTATTGATTTGCATATGTTGGACCAATCTTGCATCCCAGGGATAAAGCCTACTTGATTGTAGTAGATTGGCTTTTTGATGTGCTGTTGGATTTATTTATTCTAAAAACAAACAAACAAACAAACAAAAAAACAAGGACTTTTTGGAAAGAATTTCATTGAAGATTTTTGCATCTATGTCCATGAAGGATATTGGCCTGAAGTTTTCTTTTTGTGTGTGTGTGTCTCTTTCCAGTTTTGGTATCATAATGATGCTGGCCTCATAGAATGAGTTAGGGAGGAGTCCCTCTTCCTCAACTTTTTGGAATAGTTTCAGTACAAATGGTAATAGCTCTTATTTATGCATTTTGTAGAATTCAGCTGTGAATCTGTCTGATCCTGGGCTTTTTCTGGTTGGTAGGCTTTTTATTACTGATTCCGTACTTCAACTCATTATTGGTCTGTTCAGGGTTTGAATTTATTACTCATTTAGTCTTGGGAAGTTATATCTTTCTAGTAAGTTATCCATTTCTTGCAGGTCATATATTTTGTGTGCATAGATATGTTCATAGTAGTCTCTGATGGTTTTTTTTATTCTTGTGGGGTCAAAGGTTATGTTCCCCTTTGTCATTTCTGATTTTATTTATTTGAATCTTCTCTCTTTTTTATTTGTTAGTCCAGCTAGTGGTCTATGTTATTTATTCTTAAAAAAAAAAAAACAACCTCTGATTTTGTTGATCTTTTATTTATTTATTTATTTTTTTTTTTTTGAGACGGAGTCTCGCTCTGTCGCCCAGGCTGGAGTGCAGTGGCGGGATCTCGGCTCACTGCAAGCTCCGCCTCCCGGGTTCACGCCATTCTCCTGCCTCAGCCTCCCGAGTAGCTTGGACTACAGGCGCCCGCCACTACGCCCAGCTAATTTTTTGTATTTTTAGTAGAGACGGGGTTTCACCGTTTTAGCCGGGATGGTCTCGATCTCCTGACCTCGTGATCCGCCCGCCTCGGCCTCCCAAAGTGCTGGGATTACAGGCGTGAGCCACCGCGCCCGGCCCGATCTTTTGTATGCTTTTTCACATCTCAGTTTCATTCAGTTTGGCTCTGATTATCGTTATTTCTTGACTTTGCTAGGTTTGGGGTTAGTTTGCTCTTGTTTTTCTAGTTCCTCAAGGTGTGATGTTGATGTTAGGCTGTTAATTTGAGATCCTTCTGCCATTTTTGATATGGGTGTTTAGCACTATAAACTCTCCTCTTAACACCATTTTAGCTGTGTCCCAGAGGTTCTGGTATGTGCTATCCTTGTTCTTATTAGTTTCAAAGAATTTCTTGATTTCTGTCTTAATTTCATTGTTTACCAGAAGTCATTAAGGAGCAGGTTGTTTAATTTCCATGTAATTGTGTTGTTTTGACCAATCTTCTTGGTGTTGATTTCTACTTTTGTTGTGCTGTGATCTGAGAGTGTGGTTGGTTCAGTTTCTTTTTTGATTTGCTGAGAAGTGTTATATGGCTTACTGTGTGGTTGATTTTAGAGTATGTGCCAAGTGCAGATAAGAGGAATGTATATTCTGTTGTTATTAGGTAGAGAGTTCTGTATATGTGTGCAAGGTCCATTTGGTCAAATGCTGAGTTCAGATCTTGAATATCTTTGTTAGTTTTCTGCCTTAATGACCTGTCTAATACTGTCAGTGGAGTGTTGAAGTTTCCCACTACTATTGTATGGTTATCTGAGTTTCTTCATAGGTCTCTAAGAACTTATTCTATGAATCTGTCTGCTCTTGTGTTGTGTTATGTCTTCTTGCTGAATTGAACCCTTTGCCATTATGTAATGTCCTTCTTCTTCTTTTTTGATCACTGTTGGTGTAAAGTCTGTTTTGTCTGAAATTAGAATGGCAGCCACTATTTTTTTGTTTGTTTTCTATTTGCTTGGTAGGGTTTTCTCCATTCCTTTACTTTGAGCCTGTGAGTGTCAATGTATGTGAGATAGATCTCTCGAAGACAGCACACAGTGAGTCTTGCTGCTTTATCCAACTGGCTCCCCTGTGCCTTTTAATCAGGGCATTTATTCCATTTACAATCAAGGTTAACATTGCTATGTTGTGGATTTGATCCTGGATATTATGCAGACTTGATAGTGTCATTGCATTATATTATCAATAATCTATGTACTTATGTGTGTTTTTATGGTGGCAGATAATAGTCTTTTTTCTCCATATGTAGCCCTCCCTTAAGGACCTCTTCCAAGGCAGGTTGAGTGGTTATGATTTTTCTTAGCATTTGCTTCCTGAAAAGAATCTTATTTCTCCTTCACTTATGAAGCTTAATTTGGCTGGATATGAAATTCTTGATTGGAGTTTCTTTTCTTTAGGGATCCTGAATACAGGCCCGCAATCTCTTCTGGCTTACAGAGTTTCTACTGAATGTTCTGCTTTTAGCTTTATGGAGGTACCTTTGTATATTACCTGCCCCTTCCCTATAGCTGCCTTTAATATTTTTTCTTTCATATCACCTTTGGAGAATATGATGATTATGTGTCCTGGGGATGGTCGTCTTGCATAGTATCTTACAGGGGTTCTCTGCATTTCTTGAATTTGAATGTTGGCCTTTTTAGCAAGGTTAGGGAAATTTTTGTGAACAATATCCTCAAATATATTTTCCAAATTGCTTATTTTCTTTCCCTTTCCTGCAGTGATGCCAATGAGTCATAGATTTGGTCTCTATCTAATCCCATATATCTTGGACATTTTGTTCATTCCTTCTTATTCTTTTTTCTTTATTTTTGTCTGACTTAGTCTGAAGAACCAGTCTTTGAGCACTGAAATTTTTTTCCTTAGCTTAGTTGATTCCTGCGGTTAATATGTGATTATATTATGAAATTATTATAGTGTGTTTTACAGCTCTATCAGATGAATTTGTTTCCTTCTTAAAATAGCCATTTTGTCTTTCAGCCCTGTTATTTTATTGTAATCCTTAGATTCCTTGGGTTGGGTTTTAATTTTCTCTTGAATCTTGATGATCTTCATTCCTATCCATATTCTGAATTCTATGTCTGTCATTTCAGCCATTTCAGCCTGATTGAGAACTTTTGCTGGGTAACTAGTGCAGTTGTTTGAAGGAAATAAGCCACTCTGGCTATATGAGTTGCCAGAATTCTTTCTCTGGCTCTTTCTCATCTGTGTGGGCTGATGTTCCTTCAATTGTGTTGGAATTTGTGTTGAAGTCAGTTGACTTCATTTCTGGATGTTTCCCGAGGGACGAGGCTTTGTGCAGCGTCTCCATTTGTAGCTGAATTCTTGTCCTTGGTTTCACAGGACAGGGATTGCAGTGGATTGGGGGTATATTGGAAAAGTATTTTTGGTGTTGAAGTTTGGGCTGTGATCTAGTAGATGGTGCTTAGGTGTAATGGCCATGTTGTAGGCTCACGCTCAGCAACATGACTTCTTTGTATTTCCTCACAATTGCAGCCATGATACCCTCTCAGTGCTCAGGAAGTGTAGGCTTCTATCTCACTTGAGTGCTGGATGCAGATCTTGGCTTGGTCCTCCTTGGCTGCACATAGCAGCCCTGGGGTAAGCTCGGGCCTTATGTTCCTTCCTCAGCAGGTCCTTAGCAGCGGTAAGAGGCAGAGGTCCTTTTAATTGGGCTCTCTCCCAGAGAAATGCAGAGCCACTACCAATGAAAGTGATCAGCCTATGCCGGGGGGCCCTCCAATTGGTAGTGGGCTTTCGGGGGCTATTACTCACAATTTCCTATAGTGGAAAGCCTCCCCTTGCTCCATGCCAATCCTGGGTGGGCAACTGTCCTATGTTGCTCCTCTCTGACCTGTGTAGGTCATATTGCTTCTTTGATGAATCCCAGCATGTCTACCTGCATATCCAGCTGAAGGGCCAGCCTTTACTTGCTACTCTTTCTCCTCTGCATGAGAGTGGTGCACATCAGCTGCTTCTAGTCAGCCAGTCTTGGCACTCTCCTGTCGCTTGTTTAGACTTAAGCGTGTTGGAGAAAACATTAGTAATAGAGATTAAAGTTAAAAGTATATCATATCAATAGCTGTTACATTGTAAATAGTGCAAAAAAATTGAGGAAATATTCTGGTATTCAGAAGATTTGGGAAAAAGCTTACTCACACTAAGTTTTTATATATGTGTTCATTGGTTCACTGCGTATCACTCATTAACTACGAGGAAAATATCTATCACCATTCTTGTTGGAACTACACTTGTGAATTGCAACTATATTTTGGCTATGGATAAAAAAGCATGGAAAAAAAATCAATGGAAGCACGCACACTGTGTAGATCATTTGGCTATACAAAATTGACAATAAAGAATACTTTATATATTACTATTATTATTTATAGTGTCCCACAAATCTTTTATATCAATAAAATGTATAATACACTTATATATGTACACACATTCTCTCCCGTCCCAGATAGTGATTTGTTAAATATCTATCAGCACACCACTGACTTTTGCCCTCGAAAGTGAATCTGAAATCATTAGAAACCTTCTTTCACAATTTTTCTTGCAGACAAGTATGGCAATTTTATTATGGTTCTGGCCAATTACACTAAAGTGATCTTGGTTGAAGGCCTCTGAGAAACATATTCTATTAATTGGTAGAAAGAAAGGGTTGTATGAGAAAAAAGTCCCTGATTCTTCTTTCCTGCCTTAGACATTTTTGTGGAAAAACTTGATGCTCAGTTTCAATAGCTATCTTGTGACCACGAAGGGAAGACTAAAAGAGTCATGCAGAAGTTACCTGGAGCCCAGGTATCATGAATTTACTAAAATCATCCCTGGTGTTACATCTCTCTGCCCTCCTTCACCTCTTCCTCCTCTTCTTTCTTCTTTTTCATTGGGTCCAGTGACCCCTTTCATTATTATTAGTAGTAATTTTGATGAAATACATGTAACATAACATTTACCAGCCTATTTTAAATGTAGAGTTTGGAGGCATTAAGTACACTCATATGTACACTACACTACACCCATCTACCTCTAGAACAATTTTCATCTTGCGAAACTGAAGCTCTGAACCCATTAAGTAGTAACTCACTGTTTCTCTCTAACTTAAGCCCCTGGGAGCAACCATTCTACTTCCTGTTTCCATAAATTTGACTACTCTCTCTCATAAGTGGAATAATATGGTATTTGTTTTCTATGACTGGCTTTTTCACTAAGTTTAATATCCTCAAGGTTCATCCGTGTTTTAACATGTGTCAGAAATTCCTTCCTTTTTAAGGCTGAATAACAAACATTCCATGTTTATATATATTATGTTTTGTTTATTCATGTATCCATTGATGGACACATGGGTTGCTTCCACCTTTATGTTATTGTAATAACCATGTTGCTATAAACATGGTTGTACAGATATCTCCTCAAGGCACACCCTTCAGTCCTTTTAGATAGATGTCCAGAAATAGAATTGTGGGGTTCCATATGTCTCTTTTGAGATATAGAATTGTGGGGTTCCATATGTCGCTTTTGAGATATAGAATTGTGGGGTTCCATATGTCTCTTTTGAGATATAGAATTGTAGGGTTCCATATGTCTCTTTTGAGATATAGAATTGTGGGGTTCCATATGTCTCTTTTGAGACTTATGGATAAACTATTATTTTGTAAGTAATTTTTATGCCGATATTTTCTTTTTTGTTGCCCAAAACATCCTAACTAACATAATGTCATTTAATTCTCATCTTGGTTTATGTTGCCCATGATTTTCAAGACTTTTCTTTCCAAACATACATAATTCCTTATTTAAGTTGGTACATTCATTTTTTTAATGCTAAAACTAAACTAGCCTTTTCCTTTTCCTTGAATACACTATGTTTTCTTCCAAAAAAGGCCATTGCAAATGTCATCTGATCTGGCTGTAACACTCCAAAACCTTCACAGTTTCACTTTCAGTGAGTTGTACATATCTTTTATCTTTAATCTCAAGATTACTTCTTTAAACAAGCATTTCCTCATCCCATGTTTTCCGCCACTATCCTTATATTTGTTGTTATTTATTATTATAAAATGATGTACTTTTTGTAGCATTTAGTTTTATATTTTATATTAATTCGTATTATTAACAGTATCTGACTTACCTATTATTTTATTAACCTTTTGTTTCTTCTATTAATGATCGAATAATTGCATTCTTACTTCTCTAGCCTCTGACCTTGTTTTTCATGTCCTCAACTCTGAAATAATTTTTTAACTTGTCATCCAGGACACCATATATTTTTTATTCTTCGATGAATGTCTAATCTTTCTCAGTCTGTTATGGTGGAATAATCTCTGCTTCTTGACCTTCTAATATGGAGTACCCTATTGCACATTCTTTGTAATTCCTCATTTCTTGATATGACGCTAAGTACCTTTGGGATCTTTGCCAATCTAATTTTTTAAAATATCACCTATGGCAACTCTACCTCAGACTATTCCTCTCAACTCTAGACTAATGAAAATCTCCACTAGGATCTCAAAATCAACCTGTTGAAACAGAATCAATAATTAACATTCCTCCGTGAAATCCTTCTCCATCCACACTTCCATGTCAATTAATGGCAGTTCCATCCTTCCAGCTACTCTGGCCAAATAGATTTGAGTCGAACTTGACTTATCTCTTGCTCTCTCATTCTAAGACTGATTTATCAGGAAATTCTATAAATCCAGTCGTCAAAATATATCTAGAATGTACCTACATCTTTTCAACTCTGTCACTTCCATCACTTTCATCCTCTCTCACTGGATTACTGCAATTGCCTCCCACCTGCTTTCCCTTCTTCCAATTTAGTCCTGTTCAGGCTTTTTCTATATAGCAGAATTTGGCTTTCACTCTAAAGAAGGGAGGGATTCGGGGAGGGCTTATGCAATGGTTTAGATATTTGTCTCCTCCAAACCTCATGTTGAAATTTGATTCCCAAGGTTGGAGGTGAGGCTTGATGGGAGGTGTTTGTGTCATGGGGGTGGATCCCTCAATACAAATTGATTTAGACAAGTTATGACAAAGACTTTATAATGGCCTACAAGATACCAGATTTTGTGGTGTCTTGCAGGCCATTGTAAAGGTATCCTGCCACTCTCTGGTCTCATCTGCTACCACTCTCTCTCTTGTTCCACTCACTCTTCAGTCACAGACACCATCCTGAACCAGAGCCTTTCTCACTGGCTATTTCTTCCAGGTATCTGCCAGATAGCTACATGGCTCACTCCCTCACCATCTTCAAGTTTTTCCTCAAGTTTAAGCATCTCAGAAAAGGCTTTATTAGCCACTCTATTTAACATTGCATACCTCTTGCTCCTGATACTCCCTTCTCTGCTCTATTTTCTCTCCAGCACATTTTGTCTTTTTGCATAATGTATTCATACAAATGACTCATTTATTTATTTATTATGGTTTTCAATAACAAGAACCTCCACATCATAAGGAATGATTTTTATTTTTATTTCTTTGCAATGCTTTATTCCTAAAGCTTAAAACAGTGCTTAGATTACAGTAGGTTTTCAAAGAATATTAGTTGAATAAAAGAGCCAGAACTATGTTTTTTCAAAATAATATATCCCAGTGCTGAACTTAGTATGTGACCCATAATTGATTCTCAATAAATATTGTTGAATGAACAAATTACCTGCTTAGTATTGAGATATCACTCAATAGATCCTTGTTGGCTGATTAATTATTTATGCTATGGGTCTCCTTGACTACTCAAGGTGACTCTAAAGTGGGTTACCTCAGGGTCATACTTGAAGATACACTGGGCTAAGGGCAGGGAAGAAACATTAGAAAGAAGGAAAATCTCCTTTATAACTTTTTTGACCGCCCTCCTTTATCTGAGGGTTTCTGCTTGAGTTGCAACTCACACACGTGATGCCCATATGCATCAGCAACATGTATGTGTTTTCTGTTATGTTTTTAATCTTGGGTGTTATTGCTCAGTAACATTAGATGTGAAACACTTCTCTCAAATCCATAGGATGGTACCTGTGTCTTTCATAGAGAATAGCAGACGAACAACCACTTGCAGCTTACCATCCACTTTCAGAGCCAGTACAACACAGCATCAATTCTAATGTTACACAAAGAAACCATTTGTGCTTGTCTTCATGTGACTAAATTTAAGTCTATTTATTTGATTTTTGAGTGTGCAATATCAATTTTCTTAATCTTACCAAAATAATGATTGACTCTCATAAAATAACTATACTTTTCTCATCACACTGTAACCTTTTCCTCCTTGCATCCTTTCTTACTCTCTTTTTTCCCTCCTCTTTTCTTCCTCCATCCTCCCTCTCCTTTAACTCTAATTCTGCTTCCTTCCAGCTTTGCCTCTCTTTCTTTCCTTGCTTGTGCTCGGATTAAACTGTGGACATGCAAGGGTATGGATGACAGCAGGCATCAGCATCTTTCATGTTATACACAGGGTTCTGGGCACAGCATGCCTTTGGCCCAGGCAGGTGGGGGAGCTGAGAGAAGCAGGCTAGCCATCTGGAGACGAACATATGGGTGGTGTGGCATACATTCTCACAATTGCTGCTGGGAGGCTTAGAAATAGAAAGGGGTGGTTTGAGTCCTTCTATTAAAAAAAAAAAAGGAATTTGAAAGGGGTACCAATATAGAGGGATCCCAGTTAAAAGCATAGCATAGTTTTTCTAAATGTTCATAGCTACATAAAATCTAAGGGTTTTAAAAATTTAGAAGTATTTCATTTTTTATGTAATGATTGAGTAAATTGACTTTCAACTCTTATATTTTATTATTGTTCATTTAATATCTTAACATGATATAAGTTGCATAGTACAACAAGTCTATACATTGTAAGGTTTAAAAAGTTAGTTTAGGATTTTTTTTTCTTTTTTTTTTTGCTACTGATTGCTAGTTTCTAACTCAGATAAGGTGAAACAACATCTTGGATAATGGGCATAAAATAGGAAAAAATAATGTGAAAAACAGAATACTTATTTTTTAAAGCCTCTTACAGATATGATTTATTCTAATTATTAGCCACCTTTGGTGTAATTTTCAGAATTCTGGTCTATAAATCAGGAAAGCTATGTTCCAGTTTCAACTTTGATCTTTGTGGAAGTTTTAGAGAAATAATGTTGGTTTCTTTTAACTTCCTTTCCTCATCTCAAGAACAAGAAAAAAATCAAAATAAAAGAACCCAGTAATGAGATATTCTGTGGTGGGGTTCATGATTCTAAGTTTAGTCATAATTGACTCAAGTGGGTAAGACAGAACTACTGTGTAAACTAAAACAAACTGGGAGTTATGTCAGAAAAAGGTAAATAAATTCCCTGATAAAACAGATTAGGGTGCCTAGCCTTATAATAGAAATGTTTATGGCTATTTTATTAGCTAATCTACCATCTACAAAATTGAATGAACATGGACTTCAGTGATGTATGGAGGGTAAAAAAAGAAAGGCTTGTTACTTAGAGAATTGGGTTCATTTCTAGGCACCCAATTTTCAGAGTTTTCTATATTTTATATAGAATATGAAAAACATGTGCAGGGCAAGACAATCAGGATGACAAAGGGTCACTAAATATTTAACATGAAAATGGTTAAATAAATTCAGGTCATTTTATTTCTGAAGTGAGAAAGTCCAAGTCAGAGTGGGAAGTATGATGCTTCTCGGGATTGCCTGAAGAACTATTAGGCCAAAAATGAATTACATTTCTTTCACATGAACTAAAGGCAGTTCACTCCAAAAACATTTATCAAATACATATTATGTGTCAGATGATAAACTGGATGGCATGGATCAGATATTGAGCAAAAGCAAATATGGTACCTCCCTTCATGGAAATTTCAGCTCAGAATCTAATAAATTCTAGAAATAAATGTGAAGTTACAACTGTGATAAGTGCTTTGAAGAAAAGAAATTGGTCTAGTTAGAGAGGTCAAAAAGGGTTTCCCATGGAAGAACACATTGAATGGGATTCTGAAACAAATGAATGAATAAGAAAAAAATTAACTTTGCGAAAGATGATTGTGTGTGTGTGTGCTCGTGTGTTTGAGGGTATGAATGAACGATGGTGTTCTAGGTAAAAGAAATAGCATATGGTGAAGTCTTATAATAAAATTGACATGGTCCAATGTGGTTTGGGCAGAATCTGTAAAAAGGAGCTAAGACATTGTAGAGTTTATAAGTCACATTGATTGTAATGAGAATCCATTGAAGTGTTTCATATATGAGATGGAGCACATGATATCATTTCATATCTATTTAGATAAATCCAGTGTGAAAACCATGTAAAGAGACACAAAAGTTTCTAGGATTAACCAGTTAGGACACTCCCGTCTCCAGAAAACAGATAGTGACTATTTAGTTTTGAGTAGTGCTGATGGCCATGGAGGTGGGGAGAAGTGGGTAATCATAGAATATTTAGGAATGAATACGAACAATGAGAGAGGGAGGGAGTTGTTCAAAAAGTGACTCCTGGGTTTCTGGCTTGTGTAAGAGCTGGACAGTCATGTTTCTCCATTCATTGATAAGATTACACTGAAGTAGACCAGGTTTGAAGACTTGTGTCGAGAGATTATAGGTTTGAATTGGTCATGCTGAGTTCATGCATCATGTAAAAAATATTGAAATCACCAAGTAGTTAACATATAAACACATGAACACATGAAGTCCAGAGTCAAGTCACAGATCAATATGCAGGAGAGCAGGAGTTGCTGGAAAGTCTGGGAGAGAAAAGGCAAATGAAGGAAGACCTTTGCAAGAGCAGCTTGGCTCTTCTTAGCCCTGATCTTGTTTTAAACCAATGCTGAGACAAACATAAAAGAAGTCCTCAGCAAATATTCAGCAAGTATCCAGTGTGACATTACCCAGAGGTCTGTATTCAAGGTTCAAAGTGGTAGCAGAAAAAATAAGCTTGTCTGTGTCTTTCTTGCTTGGCACTAAGCCTCAGTGCCTGCTGATAATTCAATCTGTTAATAAAAAGAGGGCAACTTTTTTCCCACATCAACATGAAATAAATAAATAACATACCATATGAAGAAATGAATAAAGCAAAACAAGTAAAGAAATAGCTGAGGAAGGAGAAAACACAGTCAATAAAAGCTATCGATCAGAGATGCTTTAAGAATGTAAACATTCAATATTGAAAAGAAAACCGAAGCATAATTGTAGTAGCTGTTTAATATTTGCACAGCCTTCATTAGAAAGCTCACTACAGTTAAAATTACTAGAAGATCGTTTCTGCATAAACACAGGGTCTGAACCACCGAATAAAATAACTCTCAATTCCCACTGACCGCTAGGACCTTTAAAAGTTATTGTATTTAAAATATAAGTTGTAGGATGTTTGTAAAGTTTTACTGTTGATACACAATTCTACTTTTCATATCTTCAAGCTTTTAAAATGTTGATATTGGCAGTGCACTATGCAGTGAATAAAATCTAGCATGCCTTTCTCAAATATCTTGGGTTTATGACAGAAAGATATCCCTAAGAAATCAATCATTCTTCAGCTTGTGTCTTTTCCAGTTTTGCCTTAGAAGTGTCAGCAACTTGAAGCTCTTAAAATGATTCTTTCTTTGATAGCTTTTGGGCTGTTAAACCTTGCAAATACAGTAATTAATTGATACAATTAAACACACAAAGCAACACTTGCAAAATTTGATTTTCTGAAAATTAGCTCAAGTTTTAAAATAAATAGGCCATTAATGTAAAAGAGGATTTAAAAAGTACATATTAAGTGTGTTCACGTGCACGCTTGTGCATGCCTTGTGTGTGTGTGTGCATGTGTGTGTGATATTACCAAAGCTAAGGGAAGGTTTTGTGTGTGTGTGTGTGCGTGTGTGTGTGGTATTACCACAGCTAAGGGAAGGTTTTTTTAATTGACCTTTTTGGTGGACATGAGAACAAAT
The DNA here is from genome assembly GCF_000001405.40 of Homo sapiens. Lineage (NCBI taxonomy): Eukaryota > Metazoa > Chordata > Mammalia > Primates > Hominidae > Homo > Homo sapiens. The sequence goes on along the minus strand of NC_000003.12, from coordinate 930,092 downwards.
AACATAAACATATATGCATTAGTCAGGGTTCCCTAGAGGGACAGAACTAACAGGAGATATATATCTATATCTATATATGGGAGTTTATTAAGTATTAACTTACACAATCACAAGGTCCCACAATAGACTGTCTGCAAGCTTGAGGAGCAAGGAGAGCCAGTCCAAGTCTCAAAACTAAGGACCTTGGAGTCCGATGTTTGAGGGCAGGAAGCATCCAGCACAGGAGAAAGATGTAGGCTGACAGGCTAGGCCGGTCTCGCCTTTTCATGTTTTTCTGCCTGCTTTATGTTCTAGCTGCGCTGGCAGCTGATGAGATGGTGCCCACCAGATTAAGGGTGGGTCTGCCTTTCCCGACCCAGTGACTCAAATGTTAATCTCCTTTGGCTACACCTTCACAGACACACCCAAATCAATACTTTGTATCCTTCAATCCAATCAAGTTGACACTCAGTATTAACCATGACAATATATAATATGAACTAATCAGTTTGGCATATGGAATACTAAGCTAAATTATTAAGCCTAGTTTTCTGACATAACTTTAATTGAGAAGAAAAACCTACAATGAATTACAAAAGGGAAAGGGGTTTTTTTGAACAAAAAGGGGCACGACACTAAGGATTAAGTTGCAAGCAATTGTTTTTTGTTTTTGTTTTTTTTCAATCTCTGGGCCCCAGGAGATAGATCAATTGTCACCTCTCCCAAATCATCCCTGATGCCATATCAAAAGTAGCTCAGGCTATCCATGTGTTTTAAACCATGCTGGTTGCTATTAAGCTATGCACATTTTATTTGCTCAACAAGTTTTTCTTCCATTGGAACAGAATCTTATCACATTCCTGATATGTCCTTGTTTCTTAGAAAATGATTAGCACTTTGTAGGGGCTCAAACAATATATATTTTTTAAAATAAACACTCATTATATGCCAGGCATTATCCTAGGTGCTTCACATGCATTTTTTCTTATAATTCTATAATGTGCTTCACATATTACAAACACTCAATAGAACAAGTTTGTAAAAATAAAAGATTCTTCCAGTGCAAAAGTTTGCTTAAATTCTAGTTATATCCACCTAACTCTACTGGCTGAAATATTTCTAGTTTATCAATAAATGACAATTTGACCAGATTTACTACATTTTTTGCTATATTCCATCAAACATATAGTTAACAATAGAATAGATAAGTAACTATATTTTATTCATATATGTATCCTTAGTTTCTGAAATTCAGTAGGTACATAATAAATGTTTTTTCAGTGAATGAAAAAAATAGTTATAAGTAATCTATGTTTGCAGCTATGGGAATAGTTACTTGGTCCTATGAGGAGAAAAATATCAAATTTATACCTGCATCTCCTGATTATGTCTAGGATCATAGACACTTATTTATAGAAATAAATATTCATTAAATGTGTAAGAGAAAAAAATGAAAGTACACAAAAAATGGAGGAGACACAAATGAGTAAATTCTGCATATGACAACTTGCTAAAGTAGGTATTATTATTTTTCCCGTTTTATTGATAAATAAATTGAGGCACAGAGAAGTAAAGTATCATGCCTAATGTTGTAGAGCAAGGAAGTGGTAAGGCCAGGATTTGAAATTAGGACAGAATAACCCCAGAGTCCACCCTATTAACCATTATACCACAGTGCTTCTAGGTATCAAGTGGGTAAAGTGGTGAAGATATAAAGACAATATTCCAAGCAAGGAATCATAGAGGAATGAAGTACGGCACTGGAGACACAGATAAAGGTGAAATCAGGCATGGACTTTTTAAAAATGCCCAATTTTCCTTAGGTCAAAAGTCGTTGAAAGCGTTTAAGCAAAAGATATGATGGGGAAGTGACATTGTGAGGTGTGAATTATGAAAAGTCCAATCTGGATGCAGCATTTGTGTTAACAATATTGAAAATACTTGAACTCAATAGCAAAATAAATATGACCACTTGGGGTCCCCTTGAAATTCTTATCATTTCCATGAGCCCACTCATTATCCGGAATGTTACTAAAAAGGAGGCTGTTAATGAGGCAAACTGGCATAACTTCTCTAAAGCATGGTTTAAAAAGTAAGGTTTGCCTGCTTAAGCATTGGTTATGGCAAGTAAATATGGAATATTATTTTCTCTTTGTTATGGTAACAAATTACCACAAAGTTAGCAGCTCAAAACCACACAAATGTATAATTTCACAAGGGTCCCAAGTCTAGGTACAGTGTGGTGTGGTTGGTTCCATAAGTGCTATACAGTCATAGGATTAAGGCCTTCATTTCACTACTGGCTCTGAGAGGCGATAAATCTAGGCTAATTCCCATCACCCTCAAAGCCAGAAATAATGGGACTTTGAATCCTCTGACTTTTCTCTTTTTGCCTCGTATCTCCAATGCATCTCTACTGACTAAATATTCTGCGTTGGTTTCTGCGTTTAAGGACCCATGTGATTACACTGGACTCACATGGATAATGCTAAATAATTCCCCTAAGTTAAAGTCAGCCGATCAGTGATTCTAATTCCATCTGTAATATTTCTTTACACAGACATCTAGATTAGTGTTTGTTTGAATAACCAGAAAACAGGAGTATTTGGGGGACTTCGTCAGATTCCTCTCTACCACATATGGTCTCCGTTTTCTGTGCATATATCACTTAGAATTAATTATATAGCATGGGGAATGTTTCTGAACTGATGTTTTATATATACGTATTTTCATTTTCCCTTTAGTTATAAAACAAAAGTCACATGAAAATATATTCTCTTGAAAGAAGTAATAATTTGTAATGGTAGGGATGGATATGTCATTATATCTGGAGCCAACGTATACGAATAAAGATTAAAAGCCCAGAAATAAATTTCATAATATGATAAATTAAGTTATTCCACTCGTTCCAATTATCTTTTCAGCAACTCATCATTTCTCTAAGATTCATATTACTAGTTCAGATACAAATGACATATTTTATTCATGCCCACCAGCATTAATAATTTCATAGCAAAATATGACAAAAAACAAGTACTTTATATGATAGATGATGAAATTTGAAAGTGGAAACACATTCTGATTTAACTTATTCTACCATCTATGGCAATACCTCTAGCAGTGAAGGGAGCAAGGGTATAAAATGGTAAATGTATGATTTCTAAGCAAGGAATAATTAGTCAATATTAGTATTTTATGGGAGTATTCATGCTTCATCTAAATCAATCTTTGCAAACACATTAGATGTTTCAGAGGTGCCCTTAAGGCAGCTATGAAATGATATCCCTGATTTTGAAGGAGTTAATGTGTATCTCTTAGAAAGGACTTTATCTGAAGGTAACTGAGGTATTTAAGAAAACATTGCTCTAGAATACAATAAATATAAATAATGACTAATTGTGACATTTAATTCTCCACCCAGATAAAGGAATAAATTAAGTATTATTTAGTGGATTCCAAATCTATACTACTTTCCATTTAGGGAAAAAAAATCAGGCAAGATTTAGAGAATAGCTACCCATTTTTGTAATTTCAAAGAGCTTTGAAAAATAAGTGAACACTTTAACAACTAATAGGAAATTAAGTTTAAAACAGAAACAATAAATATAGGAGCCAGAATGAATAGCTGTTTCAAAATTTACCCTACAGTGCTCCCAGAGTCTTATGTCTCATGTTCAAAGTGAGCTCTGTAGGGGATCAGAAATAATGCACAGAAGATGCTAATTATACGGTCATTATAGAATCTACAACACGTTGATTACTAGACACTAAATGTCTATGCAAATAAGAAACCGAGGGCCAGAAGTTATGAAACACAAGAATGTAAATGAGGTCAAGAATTCCACATGAGTCTCCTCAACTCTGACTCTTGAACCAGTAAGTGGAGAGATTATGGAGTTTAGCTGAGTTTCCTTTTGGAGTTCATGCTAAATACACAATGTAACTAAAATGGCATCAAACTGTTTCTCCCATATTATATGGAATACTGTATTTAAGTATAACAAGTATTTAGAAAGCATTTAGTGGTGCTGTGGGAATATGTCTTTGTCATCAGCCAAATCCCTGTAACTTCTATGTTTCTCTAGAAGAAATCTATAATTTCTACCATCAACTGCAAAGTGTGTTCTATTTCCAAATAGGTAGAGGATTTCCAAGCATACATGCTTATATTCTTTTAGAAAGTCCAAATGCAGTCACATTTATACAGGGTTGTACAGAATCATTCATCTTTCATAATATAACTACTTAACACTGAGAAATATCTAGGTAACTGACAGTGTCGACCTCCTGATGCACAATGAGGTTTACATTTCGGCTTTAAAAATGTAGGTCAATTTATCAATACTTTGATGTGCAGTGTACATCCAATTCACCTCACAGACTATTCCTGCTAGCTATAACAGAAGTTTCTTGCTTCAAGTCTCATGCATGAAGTTGAAATGATATATAGTATTAGTATATATCTTTCCACCATTTGAATGAAACGCAAACCTAAGGGTATCAAATGATCAATGCTTCCAGCCTACAAGGAATTTAATAACACCACTGGAGCCAAACACTTTATAATTTATTTGGGCCTCAGTTGTGTGAGTACTCAGAATAAATCAGGGGAGTAGATTGCTATTTATGCTTTCTCCAATCTTCTACCAAGCTCAGGAGAACAGCCATTTTTACTCATACCATTTTTTGAGTTGTTATTGCCCTTATAAATCGGGACGCTCCCCCCAAAAAAATACAGAGCCCAAATAAGCACCACTTTGCAACAGCATTTTCTAAAAGAGAATCATATTTAAGTAAAAATGTATTTTGCAAAGTACAGGTTCTCAGATATTCACATTTTTCACAATTGCTTATCAGTATTTGGATTAAATAAAATCACAGCTATGTTACTAATAGGGCAGGAATTCTGTGAAAAATCATACAAGAGAAAGTGAGGTGTATTTGTTGGAGAAAATGAAGAGCAGTGTGTCTCCTAGTTTCAATGTGGGATAACTCACAGGCTCCTGAACACTCCTCTACTGAAATTCTTGGATATTTTCTATAGAAGCTAACAATTTACAAACAATTGTTTGTAAAGCACAGTAGGACAGAAATATTTAGGTGATCTGTTTTTACTTTTCTGCTAAGGGAAAGCAAACTTTTTTGTTGTTTTTTTTGTTTTTGCCCTTCTGGCATTAAACACAGGCAAAATTTGAGAGGGCATGTGATTCAGAGGAAAACGATTCTAGTTTCTCCTCCTAGTTTTGTTATTACCTAGCTATGTAACTTTAATTTACAAATTTATCAATTTACAAATTTGATAAAGCAATTAAGCATATACTCCCTGGAGAAAGAAAGTTTGGATTTCCTACCACTTAATAGGAGTGTAACCTTATGCTATAAATACATATAATAACTATATGTCCTTGTGGAACTGCTGAGGAGATTAAATGAGTTAACATACATGGAGTGTTTAACAGAGTGCTTGGCACATATTAAACACTCAATAATATTAGCTATTAATATTGATAGAAGCAGAAACATAGCAACTTTAAGAAAATACATGTTGCAGTCAGCAGCTAATTGCCACATTGATGCTAGAAGATTTTGTTGGTTTTTCATATCTATTTTATTGAGAAATTACAACCTGTCTACCTTTGAAGGGACTTCAGGCAAATTAAAAAATAAAATGTAATAGAGGATAGAATCAATTTGAATAAAATCATGTTCAACTATTCTTTATTTTCCCCTTTACCAAGTACAAAGCTCTGCACATAATTGCCATGCAAGAAATGCTTGATGAATAAGTAAATAAAGGAATGGAAAGGTGAGTGTAAGTATGCATGCATAAATGAAAAGGATTCCCGATCATCTGAAAGATACAGAAGGATTATATTTCCAACAGTTGATGAGCAGACTACCACATTCTGGCAATGATTCCAAAAGTAAAGCACAGTAGGACAGAAATATTTAGGTGATCTGTTTTTACTTTTCTGCTAAGGGAAAGCAAACTTTTTTGTTGTTTTTTTTGTTTTTGCCCTTCTGGCATTAAACACAGGCAAAATTTGAGAGGGCATGTGATTCAGAGGAAAACGATTCTAGTTTCTCCTCCTAGTTTTGTTATTACCTAGCTATGTAACTTTAATCTCCCTAGAACTCTGGATTCCTCAGTTGAAAAATGAAGAGGTGGGACAAGAGTATTTCTAAATTCCTTCTACCTTCAAATTTTGGTGAGTAATTTAGATAAAAGTAACTGTCTATAGCTACTGTATCGAGCAGTAGGAATGAATTATCTTGTTAAAAATGCAACCTTAATGAGTAAAATCCAGTCTGCTCTAGTGGGATATAACTTGTGATTCTGGGATCTGGGTCATTGCCAATGAAAAAGAATCATTTACTCCCTCATTAGCTGGGAATCAATGGAACTCAGGCTCTATATACAGACCCACTGGCTGTAAATCCTGGCTCTACTACTTATTAACTGTGGCCAGACAACCTCCCAGTTTCTTCTCACCTTCATCTTGTAATAAGGAAATAATCAGAGTATAAATGCTTTCAAAGCTTGTTATAAGGGTTCAGTTATTGTTATTTCTTTAAGAGTGTACCATAGTTAGTGCCGATAAATGCCCACAATTAATATTGAAGCTCAGAGTTGTTCTGAGGAATTTTCTAGCAGATGGATGGTCAACTGGTTTGTGTCTTTAAGCCTATCCTACTAGACACACATACCTTGATTGCAGAGGCCATGTATTTATTTACTATTCAGCACTAATTTACCACAAGTATTTGCCAAACTCTATGTCCCAGCCAATGTTTTCAACCACAGATGACGCATTAGTGAGCACATTCGTACATGGATCCAGCCCTCAAAGAGTTTATCAGGGCAACTAATAAAATAATTGCATAAGTAAACATCTTAATTTGATTAATTTATGGTAATTGTTTTGGTTTTAGTGCATAAAAGTAGCAAATATAAGAGTTTATAACTAATGTTACACTTATTTATATTTAAGAAAAATACAATAAAAATAAATTAATTCTTTTATAGGGATACTTACATTACTTAAATTAATAGAATAGATTGCTCTTCCTTCTGCCTTCATAATTAGTCTAAGAAAATTAACCTGGCCCACATTCTTCAAGACCACCTTGAGAAACCTCTCTGGAATATAATAGCTGAGTATTCATCCATTCAACCAATATTGTTCACCATTGTCCTAAATACTATGGATGCTTCAATGAACAAGACAGAAATGATTCCTATTCTTGGAGAATTTATATTCTATTTTGAAGAGGCAGAAAAATCACCAGCAAACAAATAAATACAAAAATAAGTAAATAGAAGACCTATCTTATAGTTAAAATGCTTTGAAGAACATTAAAAACTAGGTAAGTGATAATATGATATATACTTGTACGACTCTGTTAGAATGAATTATTAAGAAGAAGCTTCTTGAAAGAAGTGACATTTGAACTGAAACCTGATTGATGAGAAGGAGACATTCATGAAAGGCGTTCATGAGAGAATTCCAGGCAGAGAACCCAGCTAGCTCAAAGGGCCAGAACTGAAAAATTAGCATGTTGGAGTAAGAGAAAGCTCAGTGCAGCTGCAGTTCAGTGGGCCAAGAGCGAGAAGAGAACTGGTAGGCGGAGGAGTAAGAATCCAGATTATGCAGAACTTTGTAAGAGAAGGTAGGGAGTTGAGAAAATTCTAAGAGAAATACATACCCATTGGATGATTTTAAGCAAGGAAAAGATGATCTGATATGTGATTTAAGAAGAATTTTCTATAACTTAAGAAGACTATAAAGTTGTAAAAGGGTAAAAAAAAATTGGCAAGGAAATCATTAGGAAGTTGTTTCAATGCTTCAAGCAACATTGGTGGTTTCAGTGGACATTTTAAAACTAGATTTAGGGTTTATTTTCAAGGTAAAGCCCATATGAACTGCTGATGTGTTGGGGGTAGTAGGCAAGAAAAGGATGAACATTAAAGACAATTATGAGAATTTTGACTTGAGATATAAACTTAAGGTAGTGTTATCAACTCAGATAAATACGTACTTCAAGAAGAGCAAATTTGGTATATAGGTCAGCTGTTGGCCAACTTTCTATAAAGAGCCAGATAATAAATGTTTTAGTATTTGCAGACTAAAGAGGTCTCTGTGGCAGTGTGAAATAAGCTATAGACAAATGCAAACAATTGGTGTGGTTGAGTTCCAATAAAATTTTATTGAACAAAATTATGTGACCCAGATTTGACTCACAGCTATAGTTTGCCAGCACCTGGAATAGAACAAAAATGTTGTTCAGGACATGTTAAATTTGAAATGTTTATCAGACATTCAAATGGAAATATCCAATAGACATTTGGATATATAATTCTGGAATTCTGAGGAGAAATCAGGCTTGAGATTGAGATTTGGGACTTTTTAACACCTTGTATTGAATGAAATCACCAGTCCTGAGTGTGTAGACAAAAAAAGGAAAGGAGACCCAAGGATAACGTCTTGAAACATTTCAAGAGTTGGAATTCTGAGATCAAGAAGGAGAGGTTAGAAAGAAAAAAACCAACATTGTTTAGTGTCAATGAAACCGAGGATAAAAAAGCTCCCAGAAGAAGGGTGTAGCGATCCCTGTCTAAAGCTAATAAAAGATTGAGATAGAAGTAAAAATGACACTATTTAATTTGGCAATCTAGAGATTATTGGTGGCTAAGAGTCAAGTCCCTGTGGAATGTAAGTAGAAGTGATGAGAACAATAAAAAAATTATTTTACAAAGTTTTGCTGGGAAGCAGAGTAGAAAATTTAGGTTGCCATTACGTGTGGGGTCAAGGTATGGCTTTTTATTAAGAATGTCTGATGGCAGAAACTGTTTATTAGCTATTGAAAATGTGTCAGCTGAGAGAGAAGATCCAATATAGCAGAATAAAAAGATAACACATGTAAGAGTGAATTTCCCAACTAAGAAAGACCGGGTTCAAATTCAGTACACAAAAGAAGGAGATTGACCTTATCTCATAATCTGGAGATCTTGGAAAAGTTAATTTCCTTCCTCATTCTAGAAGGTTTGTATAACCAGCAGTGATGGGCCAGAGCCTGTTTGAATCAGTTAGAGAACACCAATGTGAAGAATTCAGGAATTTTAACTTTTTGATAACTTGAAACTGACCATGCTGTGAGTATTTACAACAGAAAAAAATAGGCAAATCATACAAATTAACACATCTTCTTTTTCTTTAAGAAACTGAAGTCTTTGCAGAACTCTTTTTTTTTTTTTTTTTTTTTTTTTTTTTTTTGAGATGGAGTCTTGCCCCATCATCCAGGCTGGAGTGCAATGGTGCCATCTGGGCTCGCTGCAACCTCCGCCTTCAAGGTTCAAGCGATTCTCCTGCCTCAGCCTCCTGAATAGCTGGGATTACAGGTGTGCACCACCACACTCGGCTAGTTTTTTGTATCTTTTGTAGAGACGGGGTTTCACCATGTTGGACAGGCTGGTCTTGAACTCCTGACCTCATGATCCACCTGCCTTGGCCTTTCAAAGTACTGGGATTACAGGAGTGAACCACCATGCCTGGACTTTGGCAGGACTCTTAGTGACCTGAACCTGTTATGGTATCAAGAAACTGTTATAGGAATCCCTTCAAGATATGTTAGTAATGTAATTTCCTTGTCAAAATCCCACAAAATTCCATGTGCTACTACTGCTGGTACAGAAGGGAACCCTGAAACCAACATTAGAATTAATTAGATCTCAGAGCAGTGATTCCTCATAGTTAATTGGGGTGCATCAATAGAAAGGGACTTTGAGACTTAAAAAGTGTTGGAACTGTCTGTCTAGAATGAAGATGAATCAGACACTCACTTTCACAGCAAAATCTTATCCTAATTCCAAACCTGGGCTTTTGACCTCCAATTGGCCAATGAATTCTGAGTTCCTTGCTTATATTGTTTAAATATTGCCATTCCTCATTGGCAGCTGATGCAGACCACTTCACCCTCTGTACTTTAATTTGACTTCCCAAGCTGAATTTGGGGTGCTTGGTCATGTTTCTTATCAGCTATCCCTATTCTAATCTCTAATTGGGCTTTTCAATTCTCATCTTGTTGATAACCTATACTGATGGCGTTTGAGACACAATTCCCCCAGGGAGCTGCAGGAGAAGTTCTAAACAATTATGTTCAGATTTGCTCATACCTTCTGTTTTACACATGGAAATGTTGATTATGTATGTGATACAAATAGAAAGCAAACTTATTTTTATTTATTTTTTTATTAATGGGAAGTAAACTAAAAACTAAGTGCTACCAAGTCTTCAAATGTCATAGAGGATCTCATGCCAGAATAAACAGATGGCCTCCAAGTATCCTGCAAGAAGCACGTCCCACCATAGGCAGTATTCTATGGCATACAAATATGTGGCATAAGGAAACTTAAAAGAAGCTATTTAGATCTGTGATTCTGCACATTATGGGCTCTCAGGTTTAATGAGGTTGGCATATCCCGTGTGTCTAAGTCAATTATGCCTCTAATAGGATAGTGGGAAGAAGCAGTAGCAGGTAAATTAATTCTCCAGAAAGAGTATCATTCCTCTAATTTTTCATAGATTTTCCTAAGATTTCTCCCTGAATAAATAACTGGATAACAGAGAACATTGGAAATTATGAAGACCAATGTCTTATCTGTTTTTCTTTTCTCAATAAGAACTTTATATTTTAGATTAAAAAAAACTGTGAAGCAATATAAGTAATTACTATTAGATATTAATGAGCCATTGATCAGATGTTGTGATTGGACAATGAATATAATTTCACTGCCCAGGGTCAACTATATTGTTCTATTAACTAACAACAGTCTTCAGAAGTGGTAAAAAAAATTGTCTTCCTTACTTGTATTTTTTACTCATTCCATAAATTTCCTCATTAACTAAATTTATCAAGTTTATTATTATAATTTTATATTACATAAACCATTGGAGAAATAAAGAATGGCAATAAAGACATTGCTAAACTAGGGGTAAAAAGAGGATTGGAAATAGGAAATCAAAAAGGGTCACAGAGATTTTATTTTCTTGCATTTACTCTATATCTTTTGTGCTTTATTGATGAAAAACTAGAAGTCTATAAGGAAATGTGAGGATCCATGGAATTATCTGCTTTTAAAATACATTATTGATTATTATAATAGCACCTTATGTTTTTACATTATATAGTGTGTTTATATTAATTATATCTGTTATTTATAATTTACAAATAAGAATCAAAATCTAAAAATGCGGAACAACTTGGCTAAAGTAAAAGAGACACAATGGCTAAACCAAGAACAATGTAAGGTCTTCTCAACACAGTGTCCCTGATCTTTCCTTGAAGTAAGCTAGTAGTGAAAGATCCTAAACCCTTACATTATATATTAATTCATTTATACTGAAGTAATGGTTAAGACCCCTCATGTGTCCACCCTGTACTTGTAGTAGACATACAGTGGTGAATAAAGCACCGATGCTCCTTTCCTCATCGGGATTTAGAGCCTATTTGGCTGTAGAGAAACCTCCAATAAGTAAATGTCTAAACATAGCAAAACAATTCAGATAAACATTATATAAGATGAGCAGGGTGCTATGAGACAATGAATCGGAGTAGGGCCCCTTTGCAGTGGTAAATAATAAGTGCAGTTCTTTCTGATGATGTGAAAATTAAGCAGAAATCTGGAAAATGAAAACAGCCAAGTATGTGAAAAGTGGAAGTAAAAATACTCCAGGCAGAGAGAACTAGTGGCAAAGAAAGAGTTCAGTCTGTTTGAAAGACTGAAAGTTGTCAAGTGAGACCAGAAAGGAAAGAATAAGTGGGACAATGTAAAGGAGAGAAGCTGGAAAGGTGATCAAGGCTATTAGAAGGTTAAGTATTGCAGGAAATGGTAAGGAGGTTACATTTTATTCTAGATTCAGTGGGAAGTCAATGCATTGTTTCCAGCAGAGGATGACATGATTATTTTATGTGATCCTCTGATTCACATAATAATAATTATACCTATATGATATATATGTATATATAATTATACCTATATAATATATACCACATATAATACCTATATAATGTATACCATATATAATAATACCACATGTAAAAATATACCACATGTAATACACACATGGTTAAGTAGGAGAGGCATTATACCTGTGGACTATAGCACAAACACATAAGGAGAGCTTTAGGTAACTTGTCAAAATTATGTGTTTAATCACAAACATCTCACCCAAGTTTCCCTACCTAGCCTGTAAGAAATACTCAAGCGTTAACATGAGAATGAGCAACTCATGGTTTAAAAATAGCTAAACAGTTTCTACAACTCTACTGTCAAAATCCATATGTCCCAAGCAACAGAGAAAAAGTCAACTTTCAGCAGCAGGTTGCACTCTGAGCTTTATGGAGTTTAAAAATCAAAATAGGTGGATTTTTGTTAATGGACACACTGTTTATGAGGATTGCCATTTGTTTTAAAAGAACAGGCATGTTTAATACACGAGCTTTACTAAAGGCTTAGTTTCATGAGGATTAACATGCTGAGGATATAGAGTGCTAACACATTCATATATCATGTTCTCGCTGCTCTAAATCAGATGCCTGAAGATTGGAATTTGTTTAGAATGTTTCCCTTCCCTGAAATACAATCTTAAGTTTTCTGCCTCTGTGCCTATAAGAATGCCTGACATAAAATGTATTCAATAAACTTGTGTTTCATAAATAAATTAAAATCTTTGCAAAAACCCTTTGAAAAAGTTACATTATTAACATACTGATTATTTTGAATTTAATTGCTTTTCTCTATCACTGTTTATGTCATTTACACTGTTCTCTGCATACAGAGTGGTGAAAATTAACTGAATATATATGGAAGTGTTTGTGTGTGTTTAATTTACTCTGCACATTGTGAAACAGTGGTGGGGGGAGGAGTGTCAAGATGTCAGTGTCCTATTTATTGCACTGGCTTTCCACACATTGATTTGTTTTCTTCATGGCGATGATGTAAGTTATAACTGAATTTTCTGTCTACTTTCTGTCTGCCCCAGCAGAGTGTAAGCTCCATGAGGACAGGAGCCTTGGTCTTCTTATACTTGCTTCATTTTTAGAGCCTTGAATAGTGCCTAGGCACAAGGTACTCCCTAACTATGTGGAGAATGAGCCAATAAATGAAATAATGAGTAACTAGGTTTAGATACATAACTAAGGATTCTCTTGTTTCATATATCCTCACACCACTTCTGTTAATTCTTTAAACCATTCATTCTTCATCAAATATTTTAAAAGGTTTCATGTATCAGATATTATATCAGGCTTAGCACAAGATGGATATAAGCATGGACCTTGGGGAGACAGCTTAAAATAAAAAAACACATATAAATAACACGATCTTAAATTATAACTCGCATACTACACGTGTCTTTTTCACAATCTATTTGTTGTTATGTTTGCTTTTTGCATTGTGCTTTTTAAATGCAGTTCTTTCTAAATGCAAGAAGACGGTGCTACGTCTTATGAAGAAAATAATGTGTGCTAGAAAACCTTCATTCAGGAATGAGTTATGATACTGTTGGCTGTGAGTTCAACCATTAATGAATTAATACTATAATAGTGTTAAATACACTATGTATAAAATAAAGTGTATTCAAACAGAAACATGCATAACACAAGGTTGTGTATTGATTGATTTATGAAAATGTTTTAAGTAGAGGTTCTCAGTAACAACTATTTCCTCTAGGGGCAGTGATTCTGTGTTCCTTCATTCAGTGCTGTCAGTAACTTTATAGAATATGAGTGCTGCAAATAATGATAATCAACTCTGTGTGTGTGTATAGATAATTAAATGTATATATTTATATGTATACTTTATAAATGTAGAAAATGTAACATTTTATAACACTTATGCATACATATTTATTATGTATATATTTTGCTTGATTTGGCAACCTGCGTGTAGACCATGCTAAAGAGTTCAGATGTATTCTACATTTCTATGCTTGATTAAAAAAACCATTGAATGTTTATCAATACAAACCTAAATTCGTATATGTTGGGGGAGGGCAAGTTTGCAAGTAGAGAGAACAATCAAATGTATATCATGATAGCCAAGGGTAAGACTGATGACAAACTACTTTAAAATAAATCACTGTTGCTGGAAATAGAAAACTATATATATATATATATATATATATATATATATATATGTAATACTTTATTTTGCAGGTAGAATAAGCTACGGGCAAGCAGCCCCATAACCTTGATGAATGTAAACCACCAAATGCATACATATGAGTAGGCTGATGGGAGAGAAAATTAGAGATGGAAGTAGCACTGGCCGTCATTTTAGTGGATTGCTTTGAGAACAAAAGGAGATAGTAATGTGTTAAAAAGGTGGTATAATTTGCACTCATCGGAAATGCACAAGAAATGTTAAACGGAGTCTCTCATTGGTTTCATCATTCCCCAGATGATCTTATACTTTGGACAATTATTGAGATAATTGAGAGATAATTTCAGATTCACAAAAAGTGAATTTCCTGGACTGTTATTTTTAAACAGCTCATATGACATCTTTTTAGCATCAGTATATTTTTCCCATCTATGAGAAATTATTTGCACATGATTTGGATGCAATCTTAGGCTTAGTGGTATAGGCACATATTTGTCAAATGTCCAAAGATTTCTTAGAATTCCCCAGGCATAAACATGTAAATACTCAGATGTTCCTCTTCTTGGCCAGCATCAGCAGCATAAGGCATCAAAGAAGTCTGCCATGTGATCCAAACCTTGTAGTCTTTAATTCAATACTAATAGTTGAAATATAAGAGCAAACACTTGTTCAGGTTCCAGAGTCATCTGCTATTAAATCCACTTGGCAGGTCAAGTTTGGAAAAATGTTGACATACAAAATGTTAAATAAAGGTTTGCTTTAAACCTCCATACTTCACAGGGTTCAAATTGAGTTTCTGATTTATGAGTGATAAATACATAGGATCAGATGTTATAAAAACCTTCTCATTTCTAGCAGGCAAATGTTGGAAGAGTCTAAAGAATATAATGGAACCTTTTCAGATACAAATATAGGGGATAGAATGTTAGAAGGCAGTTTGGTTTAAGATTAGCTCTATGTTATGCTGGGCTTCATACCTAGGTGATGGGTTAATAGGTGCAGCAAACCACTATGGCACACGTTTACCTTTATAACAAACCTTCACATCCTGCACATGTACCTTGGAACTTAAAAACAAAAATTGAAAAAAAGAATATAATATATTTGAAGAAAAAATTAGTTCTTTGTTAAATGAAATTGTTTTGCTGAACCAATTGAGTCATTCCACAATTAAATACACACACACACACACACACACACACACACAAACATTAATCCAAATCATTTTATGTATGCAATGAGTAGCTTAATGTAAAACAATTTTGAAACATTAAAGTGGGAACAGAGAGAAAAAGACAGATGGAAAAGAAAACTTTATTCTTTACATGTCTGCTCAAAGTTCTCTCAATGAAGAATCTCTAACAACTCAAGGGAAAAGAAACCATCAGAGCCAGGACTGTGGCTGACACCTGTAATCCCACCACTTTGGGAGGCTGAGGTGGGCAGATCACCTGAGGTCAAGGGTTCGAGACCAGCCTGGCCAACATGATGAAACCCCATCTCTACTGAAAATACAAAAATTAGCCAGGTGTGGTGGTGCCTGCCTGTAATCCCAGCTACTCGGGAGGCTGAGACAGGAGAATTGCTTGAACCCAGGAGGCGGAGGTTGCAATGAGTCGAGATTGCACCACTGCACTCCACCCTGGCTGGCAGAGTGAGAGTCTGTCTCAAAACAAAACAAACAAACAAAAAAAACAATAAGAAAAAACCCAAAACATCAGTTATGTCTACCAATTCAATTATTTACACAATCAGTAGAGTCAGAGGGAAAAAGTAAAATTCAGTTTGTTGTGTGCATGAATGTGCATGCACCTGAACATACATAGAAACTGAACAAATGTCAATGACTGCTGTACGAAATAAATTTATGAAATCCTTGTTTTAGAGTAAGTGCCTATACTTGGCCCTGTGAACTCCGAGTATCTGAGATAGGTCTCAGTTAATTTAGAAAGCTTATTTTGCCAAGGTGGAGGATGTGCCCCCATGACACAGCCTCAGCAGATCCTGACAACATGTGCCCAAGGTGGTCGGGGCACAGTTGGTTTTATACATGTTAGGGAGACATGAAACTTCAACCAACGTATGTAAGATGAACATCGGTTCGGTCCTGAAAGGTGGGACAACTAGAAGCAAAGGTGGGAAAACAAAGTGGGGAGGGGCTTCCAGGTCATAGGTAGGTAAGAGACAAATGATTGCATTCTTTTGAGTTTCTGATGAGCCTTTCCAAAGCAGACAATCAGATATGCTTTTATCTCAGTGAGTAGAGGGATGACTTTGAATAGAATGGGAGGCAGGTTTGCCCTAAGCAGTTCCCAGCTTGACTTTTCCCTTTTGCTTAGTGATTTGGGGACCCTAAGATTCAGTTTCCTTTCACAGCCCCAACAGACTATAACAAACCAGAACGGATTCACTCATGCTAGGTGCTACATAATCAAACTGAACTTTGAAACAAGCCAGTATTAAAAAAACAAAAACAAACAAACCAAAAAACCCACATTATTCACAGGAAACAATCAGGGGCAGCCCAGTTTATCTGAACCAGTGTAATAAGGAATTCCCTGTTTTAACTCTATATCGATAGTAACTTTGAAATGACTAATCTGCTTTTTGTTCTGTTTTCTTCAACTCTTTTCTGCCTACAAAGCCAACCTCCTCTGCTCAGCTTGTTAGAAACAAATGCTTGTTCTTCGATGCCGAAAAGACGAACTAGTGCTCAAACAAATAATTTTCTCTCAGCAGGGTAATTTTACTTCTGTAGTAGGGTGCGACTCATGGTTGGAGCAATGGCGAGAGCACACCTGAACGAGGGAGGGGAAGGGGTTCTTATTGCCCCTACTGCTGTGTCGTTCCCCTGTTGGCTAGGGTTGGACTGCACAGTCTAAGCTAATTCTGATTGGGTATTTTAAAGAGAGCAGGGGTATGAGCCAGAGTGGCGGGGTGAGCAGTTTGGTGGGACAGAACCGGTGACTAAAACTGACTCAGGTCAGAGCAGGTGACTGGGATGACTCAGGTCAGAGCAGGTGACTGGGATGACTCAGGTCAGAGCAGGTGACTGGGATGACTCAGGTCAGAGCAGGTGACTGGGATGACTCAGGTCAGAGCAGGTGACCAGGGGAACAGATGTGAACTACTGATTAAAACTGGTGGGAAAGGTTGCTTACTGAAACTACGAGGAAGTTAAACTTTAAAATGGAGGACAAAGAACTGAACATACTGACATACTGATTCTTTGAAGAGAAGTTTAGAACTCACTGTATCCAACAAGCTCATCGGAGTTCTTATTCTATTTTATAAAATGAGATGCTGCCCACATTCATGAATTGTAAATAAAAGCCAATTAAATATCTAACCTAAATTTGTTGTAATTTTGTTTTTTTGTTTTAAATGGGTTGACAGATTACATTTCAATTCGAGACATGGAATGTTGCTTTTGTTGGCAGTGTTACAATCTCACATTCAAGTCCAGGTAAAACTTTACACAGAGTGAACCTACCTTCTTGAACAAAAAGACGTCACTAGATATAGAAGGGCAGTGATAGTCCCTTCAAGCTTTTTTCAAGAATGTTCAACATTTTATTTGACAAAAAAAGACATCATCAGTGGATGGAGTGTCACCATGAGTAAGTTTGTGCATGGAGCAGAGAGGGAAGAGGCAAAAGATAAAACTTCTGTTAGGTACAGATATTCACAGATATTTGTGCACAGACTGAAGCATTTCAGCGTCTTTTGATTCTCTTTCTCAAAATGTTTATACACAAAGAACTATTTTCTTCTCATTAAGCCTTATTAGCTTTAAAATTATCACATTTAAACAGAATTTTTGAGGTTTCCAAGGAATTCTGTTACACATTGGCTCATGTTATTTTTCTGCTCCAAATTCACACCACTAAGCATTACCCAACTTCTGCTTTCTCTCTCCTTTGCCTTGCTTCATACTGTCAGGCCTCTGAGCCCAAGCTAAGCCATCATATCCCCTGTGACCTGCACATACACATCCAGATGGCCAGTTCCTGCCTTAACTGATGACATTCCACCACAAAAGAAGTGAAAATGGCCTGTCCCTGCCTTAACCGATGACATTGTCTTGTGAAATTCCTTCTCCTGGCTCATCCTGGCTCAAAAGCTCCCCTACTGAACACCTTGTGACCCCCACACCTGCCCGCCAGAGAACAACCCCCCTTTGACTGTAATTTTCCTTTACCTTCCCAAATCCTATTAAAGGCCCCACCCCTATCTCCCTTCGCTGACTCTCTTTTCCGACTCAGCCCACCTGCACCCAGGTGAAATAAACAGCCATGTTGCTCACACAAAGCCTGTTTGGTGGTCTCTTCACACGGACGCGCATGAAACTAATCATATTTAATCCTCCACTCAACCTGCTTTCTTTCCCAGTGTTTCTTTCCCAATGTTCTTTTCCATCTAACTCTGGTTCGAAGAGTGATCCCTCTGTGTCACCAGCACCTAGGAACCTGTTAGAGATGCAAGTGATATGGCTCTAGCTTAGATCTCAGAATCAGAAACTCTGGATGGTCCCCAGTATTTCATGTTTTAGCAAAGCCTTCCTGTTAATTCTAGCACACAGTCAACTTTCAGAACCACAGATCTCTTTTTCTGAGACCCAGCTCATGTGTTACCCTCTGCAGGAATGTATTTACAAATCCATTTCCCTCTTTCTTGTGCCCCCATTAACCTGAGTACATCTACGCACCAATCTTTATCGTTGTTATTGAAATTATTCTCTTGCATTTCTATAGTAGGGATCATGGTGCATTTGCTACAATTCATATGTGTAACAACAAAACAATGACCACAAAAACTTTATTTTCCGTCACTGGGTTTATTATGCCTTAGGTAGGCAACATAGCATAGTGGCTGGCCGGGCTCAGTGGCTCACACCTCTAGTTTCAGCCACTCAGGAGACTGAGGCAGGAGGATTGTTTGAGCCCAGGAGTTTGAGGCTGCAGTGAGCCATGATTATACCAATGCACTTCAGCCTGGGCAACAGAGTGAGACCATGTTTCTAAATAAAATAAAAAGAAACAAAGCTTAAAAATAGCATTGTGGCTAAGAGCCTGAATTAAATTCTGGCTCTGAAACTTACTAGCTGGATAACTTTGTGTAATTTGCTCAATCTCTGTGGGTCTCATTTGTGAAATGGGTATAATAATTTCACAGGGTTCTTGTAAGGATTAAATAGGTTAATATATTTGAAACACGCAGAATAGTTCCTATTAGATAGTAAATGTTGCCTAAGTATTTGCTATTATTTTTTCTTGCTCAGTATTGGGGAGAAAGACAAAAATCCTGAATGGATCTCTTCAAGATATTTCTGTTGCTTCCAGTATAAAACAGTTTATTTCAGGTAACCTCAGCATCATTTGGATAACTGCTTGGTATTTCAGGTTTCTCCCCCTTCTACCTCCTCTTTGCCCTTTTCCTGGGTGTTACCGTATTCAAGGTAAGTTTACTCATTCTCATAGAAGAAGCAAGGATCTCTGTGTTAGGCTGCTCTTGCATTGCTATAAAACATACCTGAGACGGGGTAATTTATAAAGAAAAGACGTTTAATTGGTTCACAGTTCTGTATGCTGTACAGGAAGCATGGCACTGGCATCTACTCAGCTTCTGCAGAGGCCTCAGGAAGCTTCCAATCATGGCAGAAGGTCGGGGGGACAGGCCTCTCACATGGTGAGAGTAAGAACAGAGTGAGATCGGAGGGGAGGTGCCACACTTTACAACACCTAGAGCTCTCAAGAACTCATTATTAAGAGGACAGCACCAAGCCACGAGGGATTCACCTCCATAACTCAAATACCTACCACCAGGCCTTATCTCCAATATTGAAGATGATATTTCAATATGAGATTTGGATGGGGACAAATATCCAAACTCTATCAACCTCCATGTTCATTTTGGCTTGCTTCTGTGACCTCTGATTGGAGAACACCATATGTCACTTGAGTTATGGACATAAGTTCTGTTCTCTCTGGGTCTGGACTGATGTGTCTGTAGCTACTGTCGTGTGTTGATTGTTCCTGAGATCCGCAAGGGTGTGGATAGACAATAATAGTGTTCATGGAGCTTAGCCAGATGGCCCAATGACTAGGCCTCCATCTTGAATCTTGCTGACTCTGCTGGCTTTCTGGGACTCTTTAATCTCCCACATTGGTAATGTCCACCACCAGCCTCTGCCATGGTACTTTTGCCCTGAGCCTTATTCTTTTCTTACTTTTTTTTTTTTTTTACTGAGACATGGTCTTACTAATTCTGCCATCCAGTTTGGAGTATAGAGGCATGATCACGGCTCACTGCAGCCTCGGCCTCCTGGGCTTAAGTGATACTCCCACCTCAGCCTACTGAGTAGCTGGAACCACAGTCACACACCACCACCCTCAGCTATTTTGTTTGTTTGTTTTTGTTTTTTATAGAGAAGGGGTCTCACTATGTCGCCCAAGTTGGTCTCAAACTTTTGGGCTCAAGCATTCCTCCCGCCTTGGCGTCCCAAAGTGCTGGGATTACAGGCATGAACCACTGTCCCCAGTCAGCCCTATTCTTCATTCCCCACTACCTTCTGTGTATTGATCCTGTCCTTTCTGAGTTTCCACCATACGTCTGCTGACTGTTTCTGCCATATACCTGCTGAGGAGAGCTAACACTGACCAATGTCTGTAGAGACCATCTTCATCTACCATCTATGGCACTACAGGCTCATACTATATATTTCTGCGAGTGAGAACAAAGGTGCCCCACTTGGACATGGCAAGTGGACTCAGCCTCTCTCTGACTTAGAATAAGATGCTGCTTTCCCAGGTGTTGCTGGTTGCAGAACCCATGGCACCTATGAGAAATGAACCCCTCCACAAGTTATAGAGGAGCTCTTCCCATTCCATTGCTTCTCTTCTGCTGCTCTCTGCTGGTGGAGTAGTGGGAGGCAAGGCTCAAGCAACCAGAGCCCTGACAGTATTTTCAAGCATTTTCCTTCAGCCCTTTCCTATCAACTCACTCACCTTGCTGCCTCCTCGCCCCTTCTTCTGTGGCTAAGAGCCTGGGGAAGGGGAAATCTTGGGTAATGAAAGCCTTCTCTAGAACAATAAACTTTAAATCTCTCTCAAATCCTGGACGACGACTCCTCAAAGCAGAGGCATTTCCCGGTGCCTCCAAACCCCCACTCCAGATGGCATGTTCTCCCTTCACACTGTGGTTTGACATAATGCCCCATATATATTCATAATATGTGAAGGATTTCTTGTGGATTTAAAAAATTACTCTTCTCCCATATATAAAAGCCTGGAATTAAAGACTTACTTTATGGTCAAGACCTGGTTCTGCCGTCCCAATGAAGCAACATAGGCCATCGATTCAACAAGTGGAAGTGTTGGAATAATACGGCTGTAGAAAAGGAAAAAAAATACACATGTGAACTGCCCATTAAAACAACAATGAAATATGCACCTGTTAGAATGGATGTATCACATCCCAACACATTGCCAACACCAAATATCGACAAGGAGGCACAGCAACAGGAACACTTATTTCTTCTGACAAGATTACAAAATGATACAACCATTGTGGAAAATGGTTTGGCAGGTTTTTATAAATCATAACGTATTCTTACCATATGACCTAGCAATTATGCTTTTAGGTATTTACTTGAGTGAGGTGAAAATCTAACATCCACACAAAAACCTGTTTACAGTGGCTTTGTTTATAATCACCAAAACCTAGAAACAACCAAGATGCCCTTCAGTAAGCAAATGGATAAACAAACTATGATATATTAGTGTAATGGCATATCAAGAAGACAAAATGAACTATCAAGCCATGAAAAGACACAGGGAAACATCAAATGCATTTTGCTAAGTGAAAGAAGCCCATCTGAAAAGTCTATATACTGTATGAGTTTAACCATATGGGATTTTAGAAAGAGAAAAACTATAGAGACTGTAAAAAAAAAAAAAAAAGAAAATCAGTCATTGCCAGAGGCTTGTGAGGAGGAAGAGAAAGGATAAATAGGTGAATCACAGGTGAAGCTATTTTTCATGAAACTGTAGGTATATGCAGTTTGTATATCAACACCCATAGAACTGTATGATAAAAGGAATGAAAATTAATGTAAGCCATGGACTATAGTTAAAATAATATGTGACTATTGGTTCTTTAATTGTAACAAATGTACCACACTAATGCAAGATCTTAGTAATAGATTTGTCATTGGCTATTTTGTCTCTTACGCAGGTCAGTTTAATTGCATTAGTAGAGAATTTATACATGTCAAGTTAGTCTAGCAGGAAGAGAGATGATTAAAACAAACACCTAGGTTGTGAGGAGACATCTGGTCAAATAGGAATAGAATTGTACTAGAGTTTATATTTCTTAGAAATAAACGTATACACTTTTTCAATAGGTATATATTTATTAACATGTTATATTTCATAATGTAGCATATGTATTTACATATCAATTAATAACTTAGAAGTCTTGATACTCTGAATTTTAAGTCATTCATACCTCTTTCAAAGTAAATTATGCAATTTATAAACATTTGAAAATAAGTTTAGTAGAGATTGTTTTCCTAAAATGCCATCTTCTTAGAAGATATATTTCTTCCCAAGTTCTATTTTTTCCTTTTTCTAAATTGACACATTATATTTGTACATATTTATGGGGTACCATTTGATTTTCAATACATGTATACATTGCATAAATATCAAATCAGGGTAGTTAGCATATTCATTACCTCATGCATTTATCATTTCTTTGTGATGAGAATGTTCAAAGACATCAGTCCTAGCTGTTTTGTAATGTTAAAAGAAAAATCTTAGACAAATTCAATTTAATAAAGTTTAATTGAGCAAAGAACCATTTGCAAAGCAGGGAGCCTTCTGAGCCAGAGTAGGCTCAGGGGACTCCAGTGCAGCCACGTAGAAGATTTATGGACAGAAAAAGAAAAATGAAGTACTGAAAACAGAAGTGAGACACAGAAACAGCGAGATTGGTTACAGCTTGGTGTTTGCCTTATTTGAACACGATTTGGATAACTGGCTGCTTTGATTAGCTGAAACCCAGTGATTGGCACAAGGTTAAATTATAATCTGGTTACACATCCACTTAGGTTACAGTTCACTATGTAGGAAGAGACTCTTAGGCTCAACTTAAAATATGTAAGAATGCAGCTTTAGGTTAAATTTCATTTAATGTCCAGGCATGGTGGCTTACGCCTGTAATCCCAGCACTTTGGGAGGCCTAGGTGGGTGGATCAACCTGAGGTCAGGAGTTCGAAACCAGCCTGGCCAACATGGTGAAACCCATCTCTACTAAATATATGAAAAATTAGCTGGGTGTCGTGGCATGCACCTGTAGTCCCAGCTACTCAGGAGGCTGAGGCAGGAGAATCCCTTGCACTGGGGAGGCGGAGGTTGCAGTGAGCTGAGATTGCACCTCTGCACTTCAGCCTGGGTGACAGAGTAAAGCTCCATCTCAAAAAAAAAAAAAAAACAACAACAAAAATTCATTTAACAACAACTTACTGTTAACCTTAGTAACCCTACCATGCAATCGAACAACAGAACTTATTTCTTCTATTTAATTGTAACTCTGTGCCCATTGACAAACCTCTCTCCATTTTCCCCTTCCAAATCATCTCTGGTAAAACAGTGTTCTACTATCTACTTCCGTAAGAGCAACGTATTTATTTAGATTCTACATCTGAATGAGATCATTTGGTGTTTGTCGTTCTGTGTCTTATTTATTTCACTTAACATGATATCATATGGTTAGGCTGTGTCCTCACCCAAATCTCTTCTTGAATTGTAGTTCCCATAATACCCTGTGTTGTAAGAGGAACCAATGGAGATAACTGAATCATGGGAGGCGGTTTCCCCCATCCTTTCTGGTGATAGTGAGTTAGTTCTTACAAGATCTGATAGTTTTGTGAAGGGCTTCTCCCTTCACTGGGCACTCATTCTTC
Source organism: Homo sapiens (assembly GCF_000001405.40). Taxonomy (NCBI): domain Eukaryota; kingdom Metazoa; phylum Chordata; class Mammalia; order Primates; family Hominidae; genus Homo; species Homo sapiens. The sequence goes on along the minus strand of NC_000003.12, from coordinate 905,982 downwards.
TCCTTGCTGTTGCCATGCGAAGAAGGACGTGTTTGCTTCCCCTTCTGCCATGATTGTAAGTTTCTTGAGGCCTCCCCAGCCATGCTGAATGGTGAGTCAATAAAACCCCTTTCCTTTATAAATTACCCAGTCTTGGGTATATCTTTATTAACAGCCTAAGAACAGACGAATACATTTAAAGTCCTCCGTATTCAACCATTTGGTCTGAAATGACACAGTTTCATTTCTTTATTGCTGAATAATATTCAATTGTGTAAATATGTATACATTTACTATTTGTTGAACATTTAGGTTGATTCCAAGTCTTGGCTATTATAAATAGTGTTGCAATAAACATGGAAGTGCAGATGTCTCTGACATATTGATTTTATTTCCTTCGTATGTATATATTCAGTAGAATTTGTGGATCATATGGTCCCACATTTAACTTTTTTAGGAACCTGCATCCTGTTTTTTGTAATTGCTTTACTACTTTATATTACCACCAAGAGTTCTCTTTTCTCCACATCCTCACCAACCTTGTTTTCTTTTGTCTTTTTAATCATAGCCATTGTAATGGGAGTTAGGTGATGTCTTTTGAAGTCAAGTAATGTGATGCCTCTAGCTTTGTTCTTTTTGTTTAAGATTGCTGTGGACATTTTGGGTCTTTTGTGGTTCCACATAAGTTTTAGAGATTTTTAAAAAATTATTTCTGTGACGCATGTCATTGGTATTTTGATATAGATTGCATTAAATCTGTAGACAGTTTTGGGTAATATGGCCAATTAAACAATATTAATTCTTTCAACCCATGAACACAGAGTTTATCTTTTCATTTCTTTATGTCCTCTTCAATTTCTTTCATTGATGTTTCATAGTTTTTAGTGTAAATACCTATCAAGCCTCTGGTTTATTCCAAGGTATCTTTCTGTTCTGTTGCTATTGTAAATGAAATTATTTTCTTGATTTCTTTTTCAAATAGTTAACCTTTGTCTATAAAATCACAACTAATTTTTGTATGTTGATTTTCTGTCCTGCAATATTACTAAATTTGTTTATTAGTTCTAACAGTTTTCTGGTATAATCTTTAGTGTTTTCCTTCTGTAACATCATGTCACTTGTAAAAAGAGAGATATTTTGCCTTTCTCCTTTCTAATCTATATTTATTTATTTATTTATTTTATTTCTGTTGTCTAATTGCTCTAGTTAGAACTTCCAGTACTATATTGAATAGAAGTAGTGAAAATGAACATCCTTGTCTTATTTCTAATCTTAAGGGAAAATCTTTTGGGTTTTCCCCATTAAATGTGATCTTAGCTGTGAGTCTGTCATTTGTATGGCCTTTATTGGGTCGAGGTACACTGCTTCTGAACCTAATTTGTTGAGAGTTTTATTATAAAAGGATGTTAAATTTTGTCAAATCCATTTTCTGTGTCTATTGAAATGATCACATTGTTTTTGTCTTTCTTTCTGTTAATGTGTTGTGCCACATTTATTGATTTGTGTATGTTATGTTAAAACATCCTTCCATCCCTAGGATGAATCCCGCTTGATCATAGTGAATGATCTTTTTGATGTGCTGTTGAATTTAGTTTGCTATCATTTTGTTAAGAATTTTTGCATCTATGTTTGTTAGGTGTATTGACCTGCAGTTTATTTATTTTTTTTCTTGTGTCTTTGTCTTGTTTTTACATCAATGTAATGCTGGCTTTGTAAAATGAATTTGAAAATATTCTCCCCTCTTTAATTTTCTAAAATAGTTCAAAAAAACCTGTTATTAGTCTTCTTAAAATGTTTGGTAGAATTCATCAGTGAAGCCACCAGATCCTGGGCTTTTCTTTGATGGAAGACTTTTTACTAATTCAATTTTCTTGCTCATTATTGGTCTGTTATGATTTTCAACTTAATTTTGGTAGGTTGTATGTGTCCAGTAATTTATCTTTTCTTTTTTAGGTTACCAAATTTGTTGGTGTAAAATTCTTCACAATAGTCTTTTATGATCTCTTGTATGTCTGTAGTATCAGTTGTATTGTCTCTTTTTTTATCTCTGATTTTACTAATTTGAGTTTTCTCTTTTTTCTTAGTCTGGCTGAAGGTTTGTAAATTTTGTTTATTTTTTCCAAAATAATCAACAATTCTCTTCAATGATCTTTTGAACTGTTTTTCTTGTGTCCATTTATTTATGTTTTAGGCTTTATTAATTTTTCCCTTCTACCAATTTATATATTTTTTTCTTGCTTTCCTATTTCTTTGAGGTTCATCGTTAGGTTGTTTATTTGAAAGCTTTTTCTTTTTATGTGATAGGTGTTTATTACTATAAGCTTACCTTGTTTGAACTGCTTTCATTGTATATCATAGGATTTGAAACGACGTGCTTTCATTCTCATTTGTCTCAAGGAATTTGTTAAATTTCTTTTTAATTTATTCCTTGATCCATTGGTGATATAAAAGCAATTTGTTTAATTTCCACATATTTGTAAAGTTTCTAAAATTTTCTTGTTGTTCATTTCTAGCTTTATACCATTGTGTTCAAAAAAGATACTTGATATACTCTCTACCTTAAATATGTTGAAACATGTTTTGTGTCCTTGAGAATGTTTCATGTGCAACTGAGAAGAAGGTATATTCTGCAATTATTGGAGGGAATGTTCTGTAAGTATATGTTAGATTCATTTTGACTATGGTGGAGCTTAAGTTTGATGTTTCTTTGCTGATTTTATATCTAGACAACCTATCTATTGTTAAAAGTGGGAAGTTGAAATTTCCTGTGATTATTGCATTGTAGTCTATCTCTCCCTTTAGATCTGATATTTGCTTTATGTATTTAGACACTCTGGTGTTGTGTGCATATATATTTATCATTGGTATATCCTTTTGTTGAATTTCTCCCTTTATTAAATATAATGACCTTCTTTGTCTCTTTTTACAGTTTTTGACTTAAAGTGTACTTTATCTAACATAAATATGGCCACTCCTTTTGCTTTTGGTTTTCTTTTCCATGGAGTATCTTTGTTTATCCTCTCATTTTCAGTCTGGGTTTATCTTTAATAGTGAGTGTCTTGTACGCAATATACAGTTGGTTCTTAGTTTTTCAAAATCCTTTCAACAATGCAATCTTTAAATTGAAGAATTTAATCCATTTACATTTAAGGTTATTATTGAGAGGCAATGAATTGCCCTTGACATTTTGTTAATTGTTTTCTGATTGTTGTATAGACTCTTTGTTCTTTTTTTCTCTTTTATTATTTACTACTATGGCTGGGTGGTTTTCTGCTGTGCTAAGCTTTGCTTCCTTTCCCTTTCTCATTTGTGTACCTGTTGTAATTTCTTTCTTTGTGGATACCATGAAGCTAACATAAAGGTTCTTGTAGTTATAATCGACTATTCTAAGATGAGAGCAACTTAATTTTGGTCACATAAAAATACTCTAGACATTTTTTCCTGACCCCTCCCTGTAATTTATATATTTGTTGCCTTAATGTGTGTCTTTATCTATTGTTTTTCTTAATGACTAATTGTAGAAGTTGTTTTTTGACCCCTTTGGTTTTTAAACTTTATATCAGAAGATTAAAAGATTGACATAGCACTATTATAGCACTGGGATATTCTGATTTTGGTTATGAGCTGCCCTCTACTGGTGAGTTTTATATTTTCATGTGTTTCCATAATAGTAATTATCTTCACTTTCAGTTGTAGCACTATCATCTTAAGCATTTCTGTAAAGACTAGTGTAGTGGTGATGAATTCCCTCAGATTTTGCTTATTTGGGAAGGTTTTTATTTCTCCTTCATTGCTGAAGGACAGCTTCGCTGATATAGTATTCTTGGTTGCCAGTATTTTTTTTTTCTTTCAGCACTTTGAATATGTCATACCATTCTCTACTGGGCTGCAAGGTTTCTAATGATTGATCTGCTGACAGTATAATAGAATTCTCTTATATGTGACTTGACACTATTCCATTTCAGTTTTCAGAATTCTTGCCTTGTCTTTGACTTTTGATAGATGGATTATAATGTACCTTGGAGTAGATCATTTTTGTTGTAATCTAATTGGGAGTCTTAGAGTTTCTAAATCTGGTTGTTCATATGTTTGCTAAGACTGGGAAGTTTCCACATACTATTTCAATATTTCTGCCTTTCTTTATATCTTCTCCCTCTGGCATTCTTATAATGCAAATATTCATTCACTTAATGGTGTCCCATAAGTAGACTTTCTTTATTGCTTTTTATTTTTGTTTACTTTTTCTCCCCTCTAATTAGGTTACTTTAAAAGAACTGTCTTCAAATTTAGAAACTGTTTCTTCTATACAAATCATAAATACATATGCTGCCAAAATGGCTAGTATGTTGTTAAACCTCTCAGTTGTACTTCTTTTATTCATTGAATTCTTCAGCTCCAAGATATCTGTTTTGTTCTTTTTTTATATCTGTCCCTCTGTTGAATTTCTCATTCAGATAATAAATTATTTTTCTTATTTCATTGAATTGTTTGTCCATATTCTCTTATATCTCATAGTTTAAAAAGAATCATTATTTTAAATTCCAGGAATTGCATAAATTTTTTTATGGGGGGCTGTTAATGTAGAATTATTATTTTCCTTTGGAAATGTCATGTTTCCTTACTTTTTCATGTTTCTTATATCTCTGCATTGATATCTGCATATCTGGTGGAACAGTTATCTTTTCCAACTTTACGGGCTAACTTTTGTAAGGAGAGACTTTTTCCTATAGGTGTGTCTAGGATGTCAGTTGAGTATGATCCATTATCTTTGGTTCTGTGTGGTTCTCTGCAGTTTCATTAGCTATAATTCTCATCAATGATGTCTGCAATTTCATCAGTGGCCTAGGCTACAGGAGTTTGTGATTGTAATGGCTCAGTTTTGTTAGGGGCAACGCTACCAGCCTCACTGTTTAGACAGACTTGCATGGTGGGCCAGCTGGCTATGTAGTGGACTTTCCAGGGCTGCAGGGCCACCCCTAGTCTGGCTGTCAGGCATGGCTTACATAGGTATAGTGGGCTGGCCAACTCTGAGGTGGGTTCTTCAATGGGTGGGGCTGCTGCCATCCTTCCTGTTGGGTCAGGCACACAGGCACCACAGGCCAATCAGCTGCTTGTTGGCTTTCTTGCTGTGCAGATATGCCTGTTTCCCAGGGAGGAGGGGATGTTGCATGGATTTGGGCCATTCCACTGGGCCTAAGCTTAAAGTAGCTGGGGTTGTAGTTCTGTGGCCTTCCTTGTGAGCATGGTGGAATGATGCTGGGGCCTCAGGGATGGAGAGACACAGTGGCTACTGGCCCCCAGAGTAGGACATACTCTAGCAGTCAGTCTGGTTTCAGGATGGTACTATGCAGTTCCAACTTAGGTCACGGGAGTTGGTGGGTATACGAAATGGGCTCCTAGTATAGGGCAACACAGCTATGTGAACTCCAGAAAGCTCCCCAGATAGAATTTGTTGACTGTGAGGCTTGCAGGACCCTCCCGTAGCAGCCTGCAGGCATCTGCAGTAGTAATGGGGACAACTGGTGTCTCCAGCTTACCTTTTCTCGATAAGCAGTAGCCCCTCCTGGCTATGAGCCAATCCCAGTGAGGGAACAATTTGGTAGAGTTTGTGTGTCTCCCTCTTCTTTTATGGTTCTATCCTGAGTTTCTGTGCTTCACAGGGATTTTTTCACTCCCCTTATGTTCCCCAGCATACTTCCTCAGTAACTTCCACTGAAATATAGTTGTTCATTTGTTATGTTGGAGGGGAACCCCACAACCCTTTTTGTGGGGATGAGTGCCAAACAACTCTGATTGACCATCTTGCTAACATTACTCTCCCTGTTCTATTTCTAAATTAAATTTAAAATGTATAGAAATAAATGCAAGATTTAGAAACTACATATTGGCAAATCTGCCTTCTCACTGCCAATAAGACACACACTCGAATTTAGTCTTCAGCAAGGGTGTAATATACAAAGGGCTAGACCTCAGAAAATATGCGTTTGAGTCCTAATTCTGGCCCCAATTTTAAAATCAATTATCCTTAGAACTTAATCTTTCTGAGCCTCTTTTTTTCTCCTGTGGTATGCAAAATGAATGTGAAGTTGATGACTATTAAATTATAAATTTCATTTATTCTACGCTAACCCTATTTTAAAAATCAATAAATATGTTACCTATGATTCAGCAAAGAACACTAGTATCAGTCAGTTTAATGTATTAAAGGATTCTTAAGTCTTTCATATATTAAAACTTATTTTCATTCTACAATGGTTATTGTTTTGTGTTTTTCTTACTAAACTATATCTTAATTTTATGTCATGTAATTGCATTAATTTTTATCAAAAATAATTACTGCAGAAAAAAGTTACTATAATTTTAACATAATTATTAAACTTCAGCTTACTATTTTAAAAACTACTTATTTATTTTGCTGTCAGACAAAATAGCACTTCTTATTTTTAGGCCTTAGTTTTTTTTTTAATTTTATTATTATGATACTTTAAGTTTTAGGGTACATGTGCACAACGTGCAGGTTTGTTACATATGTATACATGTGCCATGTTGGTGTGCTGCACCCATTAACTTGTCATTTAGCATTAGGTATATCTCTTAATGCTAGGCCTTAGTTTTAAACAGATTAAAATAATATTTTTAAGTGGTAAAAGAATAGATAGATAGATAGATTAGATATCTATATATATTCAGAAAGTAATTAGTATAGAAGTAAAAAAAAAGTGACAGTGTAGTGTTATACCTTTCTTGGCCCATTAGAAAAAGAATAACATAATCTAAGTTTTCATATTTGCAAAATTGGCAAAATCATTCTAAGCTTTGGGGTCAGGTGATACTAAGGGGTATTCTGAATGATGTAAATTCTAAAAATGTGACATGTTGTTGCTTGTAATGTTTACATTATGCTTCATTCACATTCCAAGATAGACTCTATTACCATGAGGCTTAAAAATTATATAGGAATAGAGATCAATGTCTCTAAAAGAGGGCTTGTTAACCTTTGCACTATTGATATTTTGGGGCAGTTACATGTTTTGTTTTGTATTGTTTTGGTTGAAAGCTGTCTTACCTACTGTAAGATTTTTACTAGTATTTCTGGCTTCTACCTAGTTAATGCAAATACCCACTCCACCTCTACTGTTACAATCAAATATGTCTTCGGACATTACGAATGTTCCTTGTGAGACAAAGTTAGGCTTGGTTGAAAACCACTGGTCTAGAATATACTGAACTGAAAATAATTTTAATGCCATTTACAGGTGGATGAGATTGAATGCAAGTTTTAGTTAAAAAATCATTTTTGCAGTTTTATGGATAAATAATTTATAATTTATCAAATAAAGTGTATAATTCAGTGGTTTTTATTGCATTCACACATTTGTGCAACCATCATCAAACTCTGGAACATTTGTATCACTTTAAAAGGAAACACTTGTCCTCATCAGCAGTCATTCTCATTATTCCCCCACCTTCATCTATCAGTCCCAGGCAAGCACCAAAATACTTTCTAACTCCATGAACTTACTTATTACATACATTATATAAAAATGGAATTTTACAATATCTTTTTGTAAGTTTTTGTCTAGGGTGTGACTGGATTTTCACTTAGTTTTCAAGTTGAATTTATGTTTAATGTAATATGTATCAATACTTCATTTATTTTTATTGCAAAATTATATTTCATTATATGTATATAACATATTTAATTTATCCAATCATCTTTTGCTTATTCTTTAGTTACTGAGAAAAACTGCATTATTCAACTATGACTGTAAATGTAGCTATTCATTATTTTTCTTCTATTGTTTATTTATTTTGTACTTTTTTGTTTTATTCATTTTGAGATTAGGTTATTAAATGCTTACAAAGTTATTTTTGTCATCTTTTTCTGTTGTTTTATCTTTTTATCATTATAAAATTTCAAACTTTATGTATAAATATTTCTTGCTTTTCAGTATAGTTTCTTTAGAATTACAAGCTTTGTTTTGATTAGGTTTATCATGTTCCGTAATTCTACTTTCAGTCTTTCTTATTTTTGTATTAAAGACACATCTCTTATCAGCAGAACACAGTTACATTTTGTTTCAGTATTCAATTTTAAATTGTTTGCCTACGAATTGCAGGATTTTGTCCATATTAACTTAATGTAATAGCTGAACTATTTGAGTTTAAATGGACTATTCTATGAATTTTTTAAAAATTTGTCCTATCTGCATAGGCATGAGCAAAGACTTCATGACTAAAACACCAAAAGCAATTGCAACAAAAGCCAAAATTGACAAATGGGATCTAATCAAACTAAAGAGCTTCTGCACAGCAAAAGAAACTATCATCAGAGTGAACAGGCAACTAACAGAATGGGAGAAAATTTCTGCAAGCCACCAATCTGACAAAAGTCTAATATCCAGAATCTACAAGGAACTTAAACAAGTTTACAAGAAAAATCAAGCAACCTCATCCAAAAGTGGGCCAAGGATATGAACAGACATTTCTCAAAAGAAGACATTTATGCAGCCAACAAACATATGAATAAAAGCTCATCATCACTGGTCATTAGAGAAATGCAAATCAAAACCTCAATGGGATACCATCTCACACCAGTTTAAATGGTGATTAAAAAGTCAGGAAACAACAGATGCTGGAGAGGATGTGGAGAAATAGGAATGTTTTTTCACTGTTGGTGGGAGTGTAAATTAGTTCAACCATTGTGGAAGACAGTGTGGTGATTCCTCAAGGATCCAGAACCAGAAATACCATTTGACCCAGCAATCCCATTACTGGGTATATAGCCAAAGGATTATAAATCATTCTACTATAAAGACATATGCACATGTATGTTTATTGCAACACTATTTACAATAGCAAACACTTGAACCAACCCAAATGCCCATCAATGATAGACTGAATAAAGAACAATGTGGCACATATACACCATGGAATACTATGTAGCCATAAAAAAGAATGAGTTCATGTCCTTTGCCAGGACATGGATGAAGCTGGATGCCGTCATTCTCAGCAAACTAACACAGGCACAGAAAACAAAACACTGCATGTTCTCACTCATAAGTGGGAGTTGAACAATTAGAACACATGGACACAGGGAGGGGAACATCACACACCAGGGCCTTTTAGGGGGTGGGGGGCAATTGGAGGGAGAGCATTAGGACAAACACCTAATGCATGCAGGGCTTAAAACGTAGATGACACGTTTATAGGTGCAGCAAACCACCATGGCACATGTATACCTATGTAACAAACCTGCACATTCTGCACATATATCCCAGAACTTAGAGTAAAATAAAATAAAATAAATTGTCCTATCTGTTTTATATTGTCCTACTTATTTCTTTTATATTGAGAGTAGTTCATTATTACATTCTTCATTAGTTTACTATTATATAGTACATCCTTTTTGTTTTCTATGGTGAATTTCCTTAAACATACGATATATATCCTTATTCATTTCTAATATAAGATAGTAGTTTAAAGCTTCCGCAAAAATGCAAGGCATTTAGATGTTAACTCAATTTCACTCCATCTATTATGCTATTGTTGCCATGTATTCTTATTCTCTCCATATTTTAAATCCTATGTGTCAGGCCTCTGAGCCCAAGCTAAGCCATCATATCCCCTGTGACCTGCATGTACACATCCAGATGGCCAGATCCTGCCTTAACTGATGACATTCCACCACAAAAGAAGTGAAAATGGCCTGTTCCTACCTTAACTGATGACATTGTCTTGTGAAATTCCTTCTCCTGGCTCATCCTGGCTCAAAAGTTTCCCTACTGAGCACCTTGTGACCCCCACTCCTGTCTGCCAGAGAACAACCCCTCTTTGACTGTAATTTTCCTTTACCTACCCAAATCTTATAAAATGGCCCCACCCCTATCTCTCTTCACTGACTCTCTTTTTGGACTCAGCCCACCTGCACCCAGGTGAAATAAACAGCTTTATTGCTCACACAAAGCCTGCTTGGTGGTCTTTTCACATGGATGCACATGAAATTTGGTGCCATGACTCAGATCAGGAGACCTCCCTTGGGAGATCAATCCCCTGTCCTCCTGTTCTTTGCTCTGTGAGAAAGATCCACCTACGACCTCAGGTCCTCAGACCAATCAGCCCAAGAAACATCTCACCAATTTCAAATCTAGTAAGCAGCCTCTTTTTACTCTCTTCTCCAATCTCCCTCACTATCCCTCAGCCTCTTTCTCCTTTCAATCTTGGCGCCACACTTCAATCTCTCCCTTCTCTTAATTTCAATTCCTTTCATTTTCTGGTAGAGACAAAGGAGACACGTTTTATCCATGGACCCAAAACTCCGGTGCCTGTCACAGACTGGGAAGGCAGCCTTCCCTTGGTGTTTAATCATTGCAGGGATGCCTGATTATTCACCCACATTTCAGAGGTGTCAGACCACACAGGGACACCTGCCTTGGTCCTTCACCCTTAGCGGCAAGTCCCGCTTTTCTAGGGGAGGGGCAAGTACCTCAACCCCTTCTCTCCATGTCTCTACCCCTTCACCGCCTTTCTGGGGGGCAAGAAACCTCCAACCCCTTCTCCTTCACTCTTAGCGGCAAGTCCCGCTTTTCTAGAGGAGGGGCAGGAACCCCAACCTCTTATATCTCTGTGCCCCAATCCCTTATTTCCACACCCCAACCTCTTATATCTCTGCACCCTGATCCCTTATTTCTGCACCCCGACCTCTTATATCTCTGCACCCTGATCCCTTATTTCTGCACCCTGACCTAATATCTCTGTGCCCCAACCCCTTCTCTGCTTTTCTGGAGGGCAAGAACCCCCGACCCCTTCTCCGTGTCTCTACTCTTTTCTCTGGGCTTGCCTCTTTCACTATGGGCAAGCTTCCACCTTCCATTCCTCCTTCTTCTCCCTTAGCCTGTGTTCTCATGAACTTAAAACCTCTTCAACTCTCACCTGACCTAAAATCTAAGCATCTTATTTTCCTCTGCAATGCCAGTTGACCCCAATACAAACTTGACAGTAGTTCCAAATAGCCAGAAAACGGCACTTTCAATTTTTCCATCCCGCAAGATCTAAATAATTCTTGTTGTAAAATGGGCAAACGGTCTGAGGTGCCTGATGTCCAGGCATTCTTTTACACATCAGTCCCTCCCTAGTCTCTGTACCCAGTGCAACTCGCCCCCAATCTTCCTTCTTTCCCTCCCGCCTGTCCCCTCAGTCCCAACCCCAAGTGTCACTGAGTCTTTCTAATCTTCCTTTTCTACAGACCCATCTGACCTCTCCCCTCCTCCCCAGGCTGCTCCTCACCAGGCTGAGCTAGGTCCCAATTCTTCCTCAGCCTCGGCTCCTCCACCCTATAATCCTTTTATCACCTCCCCTCCTCACACCGGGTCCTGCTTACAGTTTCATTGCACGTCTAGCCCTCCCGCACCTGCCCAGCAATTTACTCTTAAAAAGGTGGTGAAGCTAAAGGCATAGTCAAGGTTAATGCTCCTTTTTCTTTATCAGACCTTTCCCAAATCAGTGAGCGTTTAGTCTCTTTCATCAAATATGAAAAACCCAGCCCAGTTCATGGCTCGTTCGGCAGCAACCCTGAGACACTTTACAGCCCTAGACCCTAAAAGGTCAAAAGGCCATCTTATTCTCAAAGTACATTTTATTACCCAATCTGCTCCCGACATTAAATAAAACTCCAAAAATTAAATTCCGGCCCCCAAACCCCACAACGGGATTTAATTAACCTCGCCTTCAAGGTGTACAATAATAGAAAAAAGTTGCAATTCCTTGCCTCCACTGTGAGACAAACCCCAGCCACATCTCCAGCACACAAGAACTTCCAAACGCCTGAATCACAGCAGCCAGGCGTTCCCCCAGAACCTCCTCCCACAGGAGCTTGCTACAAGTGCCGGAAATCTGGCCACCAGGCCAAGGAATGCCTGCAGCCCAGGATTCCTCATAAGCCGCGTCCCATCTGTGCAGGAACCCACTGGAAATCAGACTGTCCAACTCACCTGGCAGCCACTCCCAGAGCCCCTGGAACTCTGGCCCAAGGCTCTCTGACTCCTTCCCAGATCTTCTCGGCTTAGCGGCTGAAGACTGATGCTGCCTGATCACCTCGGAAGCCCCATAGACCATCACGGACGCCGAGCTTCGGGTAACTCTCACAGTGGAGGATAAGTCCGTCCCCTTCTTAGTCAATACGGAGGCTGCCCACTCCACATTACCTTCTTTTCAAGGGCCTGTTTCCCTTGCCTCCATAACTGTTGTGGGTATTGACGGCCAGGCTTCTAAACCTCTTAAAACTCCCCAACTCTAGTGGCAACTTAGACAATACTCTTTTAAGCACTCCTTTTTAGTTATCCCCACCTGCCCAGTTCCCTTATTAGGCCGAGACACTTTAACTAAATTATCTGCTTCCATGACTGTTCCTGGACTACATCTGTATCTCATTGCCGCCCTTCTCCCCAACCCAAAGCCTCCTTTGCGTCCTCCTCTTGTATCCCCCCACCTTAACCCACAAGTATAAGATACCTCTACTCCCTCCTTGGCGACGGATCATGCACCCCTTACCATCTCATTAAAACCTAATCACCCTTACCCCACTCAACGCCAATATCCCATCCCACAGCATGCTTTGAAAGGATTAAAGCCTGCTATCACTCACCTGCTACAGCATGGCCTTTTAAAGCCTATAAACTCTCCTTACAATTCCCCCATTTTACCTGTCCTGAAACCAGACAAGCCTTACAAGTTAGTTCAGGATTTATGCCTTATCAACCAAATTGTGTTGCCTATCCACCCCGTGGTGCCAAACCCATATACTCTCCTATCCTCAATACTTCCCTCCACAATCCATTATTCCGTTCTGGATCTCAAACGTGCTTTCTTTACTATTCCTATGCACCCGTCATCCCAGCCTCTCTTCACTTTCACTTGGACTGACCCTGACACGCATCAGGCTCAGCAAATTACCTGGGCTGTACTGCCGCAAAGCTTCACAGACAGCCCCCATTACTTCAGTCAAGCCCAAATTTCTTCCTTATCTGTTACCTATCTCAGCATAATTCTCATAAAAACACACGTGCTCTCCCTGCTGATCATGTCCGATTAATCTCCCAAACCTCAATCCCTTACAAAACAACAACTCCTTTCCTTCCTAGGCATGGTTAGTGCGGTCAGAATTCTTACACAAGAGCCAGGACCTCACCCTGTAGCCTTTCTGTCCAAACAACTTGACCTTACTGTTTTAGCCTAGGCCTCATGTCTCCGTGCAGCGGCTCCTGCTGCCCTAATACTTTTAGAGGCCCTCAAAATCACAAACTATGCTCAACTTACTCTCTACATTTCTCATAACTTCCAAAATCTATTTCCTTCCTCATACCTGATGCATGTACTTTCTGCTCCCCCGGCTCCTTCAGCTGTACTCACTCTTTGTTAAGTCCCACAATTACCATTGTTCCCGGCACGGACTTCAGTCCGGCCTCCCACATTATTCCTGATACCACACCTGACCCCCATGACTGTATCTCTCTGATCCACCTGACATTTATCCCATTTCCCCATATTTTCTTCTTTCCTGTTCCTCACCCTGATCATGCTTGATTTATTGATGGCAGTTCCACCAGGCCTAATCGCCACACATCAGCAAAGGCAGGCTATGCTATAGTGCAAGCCACTAGCCCGCCTCTTAGAACCTCTCATTTCCTTTCCATCGTGGAAATCTATCCTCAAAGAAATAACTTCTCAGTGTTCCATCTGCTATTCTACTACTCCTCAGGGATTATTCAGGCCCCCTCCATTCCCTACACATCAAGCTCAAGGATTTGCCCCCACCCAGGACTGGCAAATTAGCTTTACTCAACATGCCCCGAGTCAGATAACTAAAATACCTCTTATTCTAGGTAGACACTTTCGCTGGATAGGTAAAGGCCTTTCCTACAGGGTCTGAGAAGGCCACCGCAGTCATTTCTTCCCTTCTGTCAGACATAATTCTTCAGTTTAGCCTTCCCACCTCTATACAGTCTGATAACAGACCAGCCTTTATTAGTCAAATCAGCCAAGAAGTTTTTCAGGCTCTTAGTATTCAGTGAAACCTTTATATCCCTTACAGTCCTCAGTCTTCAGGAAAAGTAAAACAGACTAAAGATCTTTTTAAAACACACCTCACCAAGCTCAGCCACCAACTTAAAAAGGACTGGACAATACTTTTACCACTTTCCCTTCTCAGAAGTCAGACCTGTCCTCAGAATGCTACAAAGTACAGCCCATTTGAGCTCCTGTATAGACGCTCCTTTTTATTAGGCCCCAGTCTCATTCCAGACACCAGACCAACTTAGACTGTGCCCCAAAAAACTAGTCATCCCTACTATCTTCTGTCTAGTCATACTCCTATTCACCATTCTCAACTACTCATACATGCCCTGCTCTTGTTTACACTGCCGGTTTACACTGTTTCTCCAAGCCATCACAGCTGATATCTCCTGGTGCTATCCCCAAACTGCCACTCTTAACTCTTGAAGTAAATAATCTTTGCTGGCAGGACTATGCTGAATCTCCTTAGGGACTCTCTAATCAGATGTCCTGAGTCGTCCCAATTCTTAGACCTTTTATACCTGTTTTTCTCCTTCTCTTATTCCATTTAGTTTTTCAATTCATACAAAACTGTATCCAGGCCAACACCAATAATTCTAAATGACAAATGTTTCTTCTAACAACCCCACAATATCACCCCTTACCACAAAATCTTCCTTCAGCTTAATGTCTCCCACTCTAGGTTCCCACGCCACCCCCAATCCCGCTGGAAGCGGCCCTGAGAAGCATCGCCCATTATCTCTCCATACCATCCCCCAAAATTTTCGCTGTCCCAACACTTTACCACTATTTCATTTTATTTTTCTTACTAATATAAGAAGACAGGAATGTCAGGCCTCTGAGCCCAAGCTAAGCCATCATATCCCCTGTGACCTGCACGTACACATCCAGATGGCCGGTTCCTGCCTTAACTGATGACATTCCACCACAAAAGAAGTGAAAATGGCCTGTTCCTGCCTTAACTGATGACACTGTCTTGTGAAACTCCTTCTCCTGGCTCATCCTGGCTCAAAAGCTCCCCTACTGAGCACCTTATGACCCCCACTCCTGCCTGCCAGAGAACAACCCCTCTTTGACTGTAATTTTCCTTTGCCTACCCAAATCTTATAAAATGGCCCCACCCCTATCTCTCTTCGCTGACTCTCTTTTCGGACTCAGCCCACCTGCACCCAGGTGAAATAAACAGCTTTATTGCTCACACAAAGCCTGCTTGGTGGTCTCTTCACACGGACGTGCATGAAACTATGTAATTAATAATGTTGCTTTGTATGGGAAGTATTCTTTTAGATGTTCCCACATAATATCCTTTTCACTGGTTTTCATTCCTTTCTGCTTATATTTCAAAACATTCTCATGATGGCTGAAGAGCTCTTTAGTGTAGTTCTGCTAGTGATAAATCCTATGACTTTTAGTTTAAATGAAAACATTTTAATTTTGCCTTCACTTTTTCAAGTAGATATAAGCTGCTTTATTTTTTATAATAAAACTTAATTGGCTGTTGAGCTCACCTGGAAATAGGGGAAAAAATCTTTGTAATTCTAAACCGTTCAATTTCAAGTTCATTCTCCATTATTTGTCTTTTCATTTTAAAGAATGTTTTTGCCAGGAATAAAATTCTAGTTTGGCAATATGGTACCTGCCCCCTAAGAAAAATTCAAGGATCACAGTTTTTGACTTCTAGTTTCCAATGTTTCTTATAGTAAATCAATTAAACGTGTTATAATATTGTTGCAACTTTAAAGGTAGTATGACACTTTCTTATCTAGCTTATTTAGGATTTTTTTTTTCATTTTACTATTTTCCATGATGTGGTAGGTATGGCTTATTTGAATTTATCCTTCTTAATAAATGCAGTGTTGCATGAATCTATTACTTGTTTTCTATTGTCAGTTTTAGAATATCCCTAGCCATTATTTCTTTAAATAATACTTTTTCTCCATTCTTTTTCTGTTCTGAACCACAATAAATATTTTTGACATTTATTCACTATGTCGTATGTGTTTCTTATGCTTTTCTGAATCTTCCATTTTTTTCTCTCTGTTTTTCAGTATATGTTGTCTCTGACCTACTTAGCACTTTACTCATCCTCTTGTCAATTATATCTAGTCATATCTAGTCTGTTGTGCTTTGAACCTCTTGAGTCTTTAATTGTATTTGTTATATTTTAAGGTTCAAAAATTTTATTTATTTTGATAGTTTACAGTTAGTGTTGTCAAATAAAGGGCACCCAGTTGAACCTGAATTTCAGTAACAATAAACTTTTAGTATAAATATATCCCAAATATTTCATGCGATATATTGTATAAAGTATTTGCTATTTACTTGATATTTAAAATTAACTTGGAACTCTATATGTTTATTTGGTAAGTCTAGCAATCCTAATTTCTGTTCTCTAATGAACATTTCCATGGCCATCTAATTTTTTGAATATTTAAAACATTTAAAATACTTAACATATTAAATATTTATTTCGAAATTACTTAAGATAACCCCAATATCTGGATTTCCCATGAACTATATATTTTTTTCTTTTTCTTTCTCCTGGTTTTGGTTATGTAGACTTCATGGTAGGCAGAATTCTAAGATGACTCCCAAGATGTCTGGTTCCATGTGCATAAACCCTGCATAATCATCTCCCCTTGAGTGTAAGAGGAAACTGTGAATATGAGGGGATATTACTGCCAAGATTGTTATTTTATATAGCAAAGCGGTTTACAGATGTAATTAGCATCTTACTCACTTGACTTTAAATTAACCAATAGAAAGCTGATCCTTATTAATCTTATGTTTAGGTCAGTGTGAGTCTGATCTAACGAATTTAGCTTTTATTAAATGCTGTCAAGAGGTTAGGGACAAGATAAGTCAGATTTAATGTGAGAAAGATGCTCTTCTGCTCGTCTTGAAGACAAAGCAGTCTTCTATGTTGTGAGAAGTCCTATGATGGAGGACACTTGGCATGGGATTGTGAGCATAATTTAGAAGCTTGACATATCCTCCGGCCAAGAGCCAGAAAGGAAACAACTTTGGTCAGTCCTGTAGCCACAAGGAACGATAACCTGAACATGTGTAGGAGAGGACCTCAAGCTTCAGACGAGATCGCAGTCCCAATGACACCCTGAATACAGCAAAACTCAGCTAACCTCTGCTGAAACATGGATATTTTGAGATAAGAAGTTTGTGTCTTTTTTTCTAGAGATTTTTGGTGTGAAAGTTGGTCTGCAGCAAACTAGCCTACCAGTACCAGAAGCAAAGCAAATGTCAAATACTATTTTAACAATTCTAATTTTAAAAATACACTCAATCCCAATAGATTGACTCTAAGTATGTCATCATTTTAAAAAATTATTTTTGATGCTACAAATGTAAAAGTATCTAAAATTCTCAGTTTACGAAATACAAGAAATTAAAAATTTGCAAATAAATATAAAAAGAAAATTTCAAGAGGATTTGTAGATTTATAGAAAGTTTTCTTTCAGGATTTACTTAAAAAATCATACTCTCTATGTTGAATTCAATATGGTAACCTAGGCATATATGTTTCCTTCATTACTGAGATCCCACAGAAGTAAAAGTAATAATATAAATAAATGTAGAAGTGCAAATGCAAAAAAAGTTTACAAAAAAAGTCAACAAATTTCTAAAAATTGGAAAATAGATGAAAGAGGTAAAACAAAACACTGCAATTCAAAGTGGGAGAGTCTGCTAAGCAGAACCTCTGCCATCCTGTGACTTCAGATTGAGAAGGTGCTGATCGTTTTGAGAAGACAATGAGGGTCAAAAACTGAAATTAATTGAAGTGCTGTGTGTGGACCAATTTCACAGCTTGACAGAAATTTCTCTCTCAAAGCAGTAGAGAGTGTAAATGGCAACCATGTTTATCATGAGGGAAATAACATCCCAAAAGTAATTAATTTTTTTCTAAAAGCACTGCATTTTGTCTTTGGGGAAAATGAAGATCTTTGATGAGTATGCTGGTTCTCACCTAACCTTAGCATTTGGGGAATCTGTGACCAACATCACTGTCCTTCTACAACATGAATTGACAGCTGGAGATCACTAAAGAGAGTGAAAAAGAAAAATACATGGAAAAGCTTGTTCCAAAACAAACAGACCCAATTTATGGAAAGAAAACAATTTTAAAAGTGATGCTCTGTAAATAAACATTCAAAAATATATGACAACCATTAAAATGTAGACCATGCTATAAAAAGTTAAATACAAGAATAGTCACTTAGAGAATAAAAATAGGACTTTAAAATAAAGCTGAATAATTCTTATAAAATATGAAGAAAGAAAAAAATACAAAAAAGGAACAAATTCAGATGATTCGGTATCTCAGTAAGAACACAGATGAAGAATAGATAGTACAAGAAATAATTGAAGATAATTTTGCAGAAATGAAGAAGGACATAAACCTTCTGATTTGAAACCTGAGTATCCAGCAAAAGGAATTTAAAAAGAACCCAGGCATACTGTCTTGAAATTTCAGAACACTTAAGATAAAAAGAAGCTCCCAAAAGCTTTCTCATTTTTGAGAGAAAAACAGCAAGTTCACTATTAATGAGAAGACCATCAGATTCCTTATTATCTATACTGGATGACAAAGACAATGGACAGATGATTTTAAATTTGGGAGGAGTGATAAGAGAAGAAGGAAGTGAAAGAGAAAAGAGGGAAAGAAGGAAGGAAGAAAGGCGGGAAGGAAGAAAGGAATGAGGGAGGGAGGGAAAGAAGAAGGAAGGAAGGAAGAAAGGAAGGAAGGAAAGAAAAGAAAAGATACTTTCAGATGCACAAGTAGAAAAAATAATTTCTTCTTGTCTACATTTTTATATAAGTAGCTCTCATAAAAATTAAAATTATAAACAGATTTTGCTTTTGGGAGAAAAAGAGATTGAGGAAAGACCACTGTTACTGTCATTTTGTTATAAATCTTTTTGCATCCTTAGATTTTTAATCAGTATTAATCCTAAGCATGCATTGATTTAAGGCAATTACATTTATTATTTAATTAATTTGATATAACATCAATTTTACCTGAAACATTTCAGTCCAATAGAAACTACTATTTTTCATTATTGTATAAACAAATAGACTAGTTATGATTGATCATTTAATTGTACTACTCTCTCCTCATTTTCTCCAACCCTAGCCCTGATGTAAGTTATTCATAGTAGTCGGCCTGGCTCATAATTATCCACCAACATAAATCCTTACTTTGGAATACATTCTTTGTTATAAAACTCGATTCTAAAGAAATTCTCTTCATCATGCTTGCCATGTGATGTCCATGGTTAATGTTACAAGACAACAAAGAAAACATGCATAGTAAAGGTTGCTAGAAATCTTATTTGAAAAAAGTCTATTTTATCATCACAGGTAGCTGGTTATTGCATCTTGTCATAAAATCTGAATGATGCGTCCAGTGCTATTATAGAATGTATTTGCAGCAATACAGGGCTGGTACTGTCGTCAAATACCATGTTTCGCTTTCACACTTAATTGACTTCCAAAGTCGCTGATAATCTTAATCCAAATAAACATGTTAAAACGCTGTTGTTATACAAAAGTACTTCAAATGGGGTACGATAATAGTTTGTTTTATTGTTTGATCTTTGAGAGACCACTGGGATTATCTAATTCAATTAATCTACGTTTCTCTTGTCTGAACAACTGATTACATAACCATATTTAGATCTTCACAAAAGAGCCTATGTATAACGCAGACTCTGCCAAAAGTAACCAGTTTCATTATTACTTGTTCTCATACGCAAAGCACTTTTTTACCCCATAATATAACAGTGAAGAAAGTAGATAAAGTATCTTCACTGATGGAGCTTCCATTGTGTAACAGTAATTGTGGTTTTGCAATAAAACAACAAAAACCAGCAAAACAGTAGGCAAAAGTAGCCCCATGTTAAAATAAAAGTACAACCTATTTGCATTTCTGGAATAGAGCATTAATCTGGTTAGTAAAATAAAAAGCCCAATTTCTGATTTTACTTGTGGAACATATTCAAATTTGCCCTCTCAAATGCAAGGATCTTCTAGTGACTACAGAATTTCTCTGAGCTAGTTGAAAGCCCAAATATTCTTCAGTTCTGAATCAAATTCAACTCTTCCTTGACAGCACCCTTGATCTTTCTAGATGAAGAACTTGTCCCTCATCTTCATCCTTACATCTTGTCTCTCATATAGAAAATATTACATACAGCAACATCCATTAGAAATCAGTAATGATACTCAATTTCTTCAATTGTAGTCAAATTTCCTTGAAATTCAGATGTATGTTCTCAAACTGAAATAGGCCAATTGATATGGTTTGGCTGTGTCCTCACCCAAATCTCATCTTGAATTGTAGCTCCCATAATTCCTTCATGTCGTGGGAGGGACCCAGTGAGAGGTAATTGAATCATGGGGTTGGGTTTTTCCTATGCTTTTCTTGTGATAGTGGATAAGCCTCACAAGATCTGATGGTTTTATAAAAGGTAGTTCCCCTGCATGTGCTCTCTTGCCTGCTGCCATGTAAGATGTGACTTTGCTTCTCCCTTGCCTTCTGCCATGATTATGAGGCCTCCCCAGCCATGTGGAACCATGAGTCCATTAAACCTCTTTCCTTTATAAATTACTCATTCTTGGGTAGGTCTTTATTAGCAGCATGAGAACAGACTAATACACGAATAGAGTGACAGATACAGTTTAATAAGCCCTAGACTCAACTCTGTATTCTATCACTAACAATCCCTGTGATGACACTTAAAACCTTAATGATTCAGAATCTCAATTTCCCTTCTATAAAGTAGAGATGCTTCATTAAGATAATCGTGTGATTATATTTCTACTTCATAGCAGCTAACATAATACTTTTACTATAGTCAACTTTTGTAAACATTTGTTAAATATTAAATGAATTTACTTCAGGAGTAAATGATTTGGGGTGATAAAATGAAGAAGATATAAAATATGCACCGAGGGGAGTGTGTCTCCAGGTCTGGTCCTGACATTTACTGGTTCTATAGGTTTGATCAAGTTTCAATTTTTCTGTAAAGTGGGCATAAAACCTAGACCTAATTCAAATCCCTCTGTGTACATCAAATAAAGACATTTGCAGTGGAACTTTCCTTTGACATATATGTCTCATTTTGCTCCCTTTGCATATTGCCCTTTTCCATTCAATGAGCTTGTGCTTATTGAATCAGTAGATAGATATAGCAGAGAACACACTTGAAACAGTCAGAGGCTTCCTGGTTCTTTCTCAGCCTCTGTGTATAAAGAAAATGCACTGGGCATAAACAACGTGCTTGACTCAGAAATAGGCATGTAGGTGGAATACTAAGCAGCCATAAAAAGAATGAGTTCATACCCTTTTCAGGGACATGGATGAAGCTGGAAGCCATCATTCTCAGCAAACTAACACAAGAATAGAAAACCAAACACCGCATCTTCTCACTCATAAGTGGTGGTTGAACAATGAGAGCACATGGATATAGGGAGGGGAACATCATACACTGGGGCCCGCTGGAGGGTTGGGGAACAAGGGGAGAGAGAGCATTAGGACAAATACCTAAGGCATGCGGGCCTTAAAACATAGATGATGGGTTGATGGATGCAGGAAATCACCATTGCACATGTATACCTATGTAACAAACCTGCATGTTCTGCACATGTATCCCAGAACTTAAAGTAAAATAAAAAGTCATGTAGAAAAAAGAAGGGAAGCAGTGAAAACAGGATAGCAGGCCCAGGGCTGAGCTGTGAAAGAGGCATCGAGACTTGAAAAAAAGGCTACGTGCTTTGTAGAGACAGAGAAACAGAGGCTGTACAAAAAAACCCAAATAGAGAACTGTGACCCTTCACGTTATATCTATTAACTCGTGCAGTCAGATGACTCACTGAGCAGGGCCTGTGCCCCTTCTTGGCACTGTATATAATTTCATGTGCATCCACAACAGGTTTTAAGTTTAGAGAACCCCTGCACACACACACCCACACACACACACACCCATAAGGTTAAGCTTTCCATATGCTTGGTGGGATTAAAATATAAGTGGTCTAAACATGTATATAACTGATTTTTTTGCATACCAATATATGTACACTGAGATTCATATCTTCAAATGTGAAAGATATCTATAAACTGCACATTGCTACTGAGTAGGAGTTACTATTTTAAAGTGATGATTAAATGGGCACATTGGATGTAATTTAAACAGTTTCTGCAGTATGGTATGTACTAAGTTATTATTCTTACCATTATTGTCACTGTACAAACAATAGAGATGCACTGTAGTTGTAGAGGCTGCACACACATGAAATAGTAAGCATTAAGAAGCTGCACACACATGAAATAGTAAGCATTAAGAGGCTGCACATACATGAAATAGTAAGAATTAAGAGTGAGTCTCTTGTGCATTCTCTTGAAGAGCAAAAACACAGCCACATTTACTTATATATTATCTACCATTCTATCTTTGTCTACAAAGAGCTAATGAGATCTGGATTGACACAAAGGTGACAATGCATGTGGGGAATGAGGCAGATGGGGACAACTGACAACCTGTACATCACTTCTAAAATAATTGTGAGTTTACAGGGGTGAACACCTGTACCATCTGCAAAAGTAGTTCATTCACAAAATGCCTTACAGAATGTTGTAGCTTTATTTAGGCAACCTGCATGCCATTTACACCTTCAAGACAATATTAGTGGAGACTAAGAGATTCAGCAAAAATGACTTGCTGATTAAACCAATATAACAGGCAGTGACTCAATACACGTAGAAGACTTTCTACAGAAAATGTCATAATACTGTTTAGTATAATTTACCTCCAAATTAAAACACTGAACCAACAAATTAATGTCACAGTCTAAGTTTCTGATCATTTTATTTAAAAACAGTTTCTCCCTTCCCATCTGTGCCCCAGTAGGGATACTATAAAACCATAAATGAGTCTACCTAGGCATTTTTAATTTTGTTTTTATTTTCCACTGGGTTAATACCTTCTTACATCAGAGTCACAGATACTCTAGCTCTTTCGTGTGCAAAGCTTGTTATACAGATCTGACGGTGGGATCTTTTGAACTTTGTTAATCTGAACTGCTTCTCTACATACCTAACGTGACTCTAAGGTAACTGAAAGACTTCCTATCTCTTGACTCACTCAATTCTTTGTTTTTTGTTTTTTTTTTTCTATTGCTTTTCCAACAGCAATCTCATGGGAAAACAATGCTTAGATTTAGCCACTTCTCCATGAATCATGCTTACTAATCTTTGGATATAATTATAAAATACCACATTGTCATGCTCACTTCCCATGTAGCATTGTTATTGTTTTTTGTTTTCATTTTAGCTGGGGCAGGGTCTTGCTCTATCACCCAGATTGGAGTGCAGTGATGTGATCATAGCTCTCAAAGCAGTCTCAAATTTCTGGGCTCAGGCGATCCTCTCACCTTAGCCTCCCTAGTATCTAGGACTACAGGCATGCGCCACCACACTTAGCTCCATTTTGCTTTTAAAAATGGTGTATTACAAGAACCAACTGAAAGATCTCCCAGTGGTCAAAGCAAGAACAATGTGAGTAACAAAATAAGTATTGGATTGTAACCCAAACTATACTATAGATATTTATATGTTTATAATAATATAAATAAGTAGTGATTCATTTACATTGTATCAAGACAAGTATATAAATAAATGAAATAAACAAATACCCTTTGTATAAGAATATGAAATAATTTATGTAGATACTACTTCACTCCCTCAAGGAGGTGGAAGATAACTCCCCACTTTTTAAGTGTGGGTTGTACATAATAACCTATGTCTAAAGTATACAGTATTGTAAACAGGGGAATATAATTTCACAGTGGCATACCTGAAAAACACTACTTCAGCCCAGTGTCCATGGTCAACATCAACAGCAATAAGTCATGTCAATGGCGTATGCCCTTGAGATGATGTGATAAGAATGCCACTTTATCTGTCTGGTCTTCCTCCCATAAATGTGTGTCCCAGTTTAATCAAAAGGAAAACATCACCAGGCACAAAAAGTCAAATATTGCATGTTCTTGCTCATAAGTGGGTGTTATAAAACGTGTAGACATGGATGTAGAGTGGATAATAGACAATGGAGACCCACAAGGGTGAGGGGGTTGGGGGGGTAAATGAGAAATTACTTCAATGTACACTGTACATCATTTAAGTGATGGATACCCTAAAGCCCTGAGTTAACCACTGTGCAATATATGCATGTAACAAAATTGCACTTGTATACCACACATGTATACAAATGGGAAAAATATTTTAAAGAAAAACATCAATCAAGCCTCAGTTGATGTGTAGATTACAAAATACCTAACCAATTCTCATCCAAACTGTCAAAATCATCAAAAACAAGAGAAGTGTGAGAAATACTCACAGTAAAGAGACGACTAAAGAGACATGACTGCTAAATGTAATGTGGTATCCTGGATGAGATCCTGGAACAGAGAAAGGACACTTCTTAAAAACTAAAGGACTCTAAATGAACTACAGACTTCATGAAATCGTAATCAATGGTATCACTATTGTTTCATTAATTAAAACACTACACAACACTAATGTACAATGTTAATAGGGGAAACTAGATACAAGTATAGAAACTCTTTGCAATTTATTTGAAAATACAAAGCTATTATAAAATTTTAAAGAGATCTGAAGGTTTCACATTCTTCTTTCCATATAATCATCTGCACATTGTCTTTCTGTGACTACATCTGCTTTTACTGTCCTAAATAACATTAACTAAATTTTCATTCTTACTTTAATCATTTTTCCTTTTTTTTTTTGTTTTTTTTTGTTTTTGAGACAGAGTTTCACTCTTGTTGCCCAGGCTGGAGTGCAATGGCAAGATCTTGGCTCACCACAACTTCCACCCCCCGGGTTCAAGCAATTCTCCTGCCTCAGCCTCCCGAGTAGCTGGGATTACAGGCATGCGCCACCATGCCCAACTAATTTTTGTACTTTTAGTAGAGACGAGGTTTCACCATGTTGGTCAGGCTGATCTCAAACTCCTGACCTCAGGTGATCTGCCCGCCTCGGCCTCCCAAAGTGCTGGGATTACAGGCGTGAGCCACTGCGCCCGGCTTCTTTAATCATTTTTCTTCTGTTTTGTTTGTTTGTTTTTAATTTCCTTTAGTAGTCATTAAGGCCAAAGAATCAATTTATTTTTCAAAAGGTGATGTTGATCTGAGAAAAAGAGGACTTAGATTTGAGACCCATCTTGTTTTCTTCCCAAGCAGAAAATTGCCAAATCTTGCCAACTACCAAATTCCACAGAGGCTCCCCTCCCCACAGAAATAGCAAATCCACTTTAAAGATTTGTTTACAAGGCGGAAACTCAAATCCCCTGCCGTCTAACTGCCCCAGCTGCAGGGAATTACCTCAAAGGTCTTAATCCCCTAACAACTAATCAATTCCAAACTGAAAACTTCATTTTGCCTTTAAAAGATGAGCACCGCTCAATTATGCTTTCTTCATTCTGCCTACACAGATTGAAAATAGATACTGGCATGTCCATGCAGTTCAATTGATTATAACATTAATTCACGTAAAGGGGCGAAGAAAATGAGTTTGATTATAGTTTTTACTTTCTAGAGTATGGCAAAAGACAAAAGCCTAAAGGATTTGGAAATGTATTCAACAGGGCTGATGACAGCACACCGATCTGAGTATTACGACCTCATGAAACAGGAACAGCTTCCTCTTAACACTATATCCAGAACGGGGTTTTGTTTCTGGGAAGAAACTTCTTGGTATATTCAATGCTATCCTCTACTTTAGAAACGCAGATTCCATGTGGAAGTATAACACTAAGTTGACTTCCTTTTAGAATTGTATGGTCCGTGCCAAGTCACTGCCATCTATAGTTTTGAGGCCCCTGTGATAAAGGAGATGTGGAAGAAGGCTAGGCAAGGAGCTGGGTGCAATGGCAGGGAACTGACTCCTGAGAGGAAGTCTTTGACGTCCTCTCACAAGTCAGACTACAAAGATTCAACTGCTGAGAGAAAAATGTCTCTTTAAAGAACAGCTCTCTGAATTTTTAAGAATTCTGAAAGAGGGTGAAAGTTCAAGAGCTGCCAGTTCTCTTTTCCTCTGTAGCTGCTTCCATCAGTGTGCTGCTTGTGTAAAACTGCTATAATCCAGGCTCTAAGATTCTATATTTTGCCCACAGTCAGGACCTTGAGAGAGAAAATGGTGAGGAGAGTCAGCATCACTGTGGCTTAGAACAGGGCTTTGCACTCTGTAGTCTGGCTCAGTGCTCTTCACAGTTTGATGTGCATAGGAATCACCTGGGGTCTTCTGAAAATGTGGATTCTCATTTGTTAAGCAGGGAGTGACACCGCCAGGTCTCTATTTCTATCAAGCTCCAGGATAACCTTGAAGCTGATGCTTTACAAATCACACTGTGGGTAACAAGAGGCTGGCTAATTTATTCCTATGCATCATACAAAGGATTAGAGTCTGAATGCCCAAGACTTGGGAACATCTGGAGGGCACCCTCCATGGACCTAATGTCTTTTTAAATATCAACTCCCTTTCTCCTCCCAGTCCACGAAATTTTTAAAAATTCTTCTTTTCTTGATGTTTCTTTCTCTTCACATATTTATAGCAGTTAACACTCCTAGCTTCTTTTATCTTAGAGGGTTACTTTCTTTATTTCCTCTGTATGAATATATATGTTCAGAAATGTTACTGAATGATTTTCAGCCTTTTCCAACCACCCTCTCCAGAGTCATTTGAAAGCTTGATTTCGTTCCTTTCTCCATCCCTATCCTTAGTATAGTTTTGGTAGTTTATTTTGATAAAACCGTATCTATCTTCTATGTACCTTTAGGTTTCTATTACAAAATACTATTCTATTAGCTTAACTTGGTAGGTGTTCTAATTTTTCCTTCCCCCAATTTCTAGAATTCCAGATGACTAACATTGCAACACTGATGTGGTAAGCAAATGAGAATCATTAAAAACAAAAACAAAACCTTTTAGAAAGCATGCATATATGAATGGGTCACTAGGTTAGTTTTTATTTGTTTTGTTTCATATTACAAATAAGTCAGTGAGTATTGTGAAAGTGTAGGCATTCAAATCATT
This sequence comes from Homo sapiens, assembly GCF_000001405.40. Taxonomy (NCBI): domain Eukaryota; kingdom Metazoa; phylum Chordata; class Mammalia; order Primates; family Hominidae; genus Homo; species Homo sapiens. The sequence goes on along the minus strand of NC_000003.12, from coordinate 878,807 downwards.
TTGCTATATTATTTTTCTATTAGAAATGAGAATGGGCAAGTATAAGTAAATATGAATTTCCTATTCTTAGTGACTTTATGGTGTGGAAGACTTGAAATGATATAGAAAACATTCATGCTGTTGTAACTATTGTGTTGTTTCTGTGATTATATGTTGGAGAAGTTTAGTGTAGAGTTCTGAAGATGACAGATCGAATTGGTAGACTACGGAATCTGATTAGGGCCTCAGAGTTGCTTTTTTATTTCTAGCACAGCATGTTAGGGGTAAGAAATGGATTTTAGCCGGGCACGGTGGCTCATGCCTGTAATCCGAGCACTTTGGGAGGCCTAGGCAGGCAGATCACGAGGTCAAGAGATCGAGACCATCCTGGCTAACACGGTGAAACCCCATCTCTACTAAAAATACAAAAAATTAGCTGGGCGTAGTGGCACACACCTGTAGTTCCAGCTACTCGGGAGGCTGAGGCAGGAGAATCACTTGTACCTGGGAGGCGGAGCTTGCAGTGAGCCAAGATCACACTACTGCACTCCAGCCTGAGTGACAGCCAAGACTCCATCTCAAAAAGAAAAAACAAAAAGGATTTTAATGGCTTTAGAAGAGGCTTGCACTTTAGCTCTAAAAGACTTTTTCTCACACGCTCCACTTTCTCATATCCACACATGTTGCCCATTGTTTCAATCCACTCGTGTTTATTACCTGTTTTGTGTTTAAAGTATTTAAATGTGCATAGCCATTATATAGTTGGGCTCAGTAAAGAACTGGAGTAAACTCCAGTGCATCTGCTGATGGCATCTGCTGTCCCAGCACAATGGGCACTGGGGTTTTTAGTCTTCGTTAACTTTCTGCATAAATTTGTCTGTTTGTTTTTATTTAAACCAGGCTCTTTAGCCACATAACAACTTTTCCAGTGGGAAACAGACCACCTAATACAAAAAACTGATCATTCAGTCCCTTCTTTTCCTTGTTAACTTAAAAGCATTCATTAAAAATCCCCTTCACATACCTAAAAGTTGAGGGGGACCTCTAAACTATTCCAAACTCACTAGACTTTACTTATCTTGCCTTTCATCAACATGTGTATAAATTAACAATGGTGTACTAAGGGCTAGCAAGCCTAACTTTATTAGGAAAATTAGTCCAATAATAGTAATTATGTTCTTTCTCGTTTATACCCTGAACTGAGAATTAACTTTTCCATCTACAAGGAAACTGCTGCAGACTGATCTTAATAATCTTATTAATTATATTCAGAAAAGCAATATGAACAAGGACTCCTCAAAGTTCTTCTAGAGTTTAAGGATAATTATTGAAAAGTTCTATCATATTTTATATGTCCAACTGAACTGTAAGTCATCAGTGGATTATCTATGTGGTAGAGATATTTGCCCCAGACTTTACTTTCTATTTGGCTAACAAATTCATTTTAAAATATCTATTATTTTGTTCTGAAAAATGCAGTGTGCTGGGTTCTATACAGTGGCTGTCTCTTTTGCTATGAAAGTCCTCTTGTTTCATACATTTTTCTTGTTCTTATTTTTGGCAGTTATACCCTATTCAGGCAATGGAAAACAGTTATCGGCTGCAGGAAGTAGTGAGGTGAATAACTGGTCTGTGTGTGGTTTTTCAGTGGTAGATGGAATCTGTTTAAATCCTGGCTCTGTTACTTGTGATACTATGTAAATGACTCAATATGCACAAATTTCTTCATCTGTAAAATGTGAGTTATATTAGCCCCACAGTATTATCAGTTGAATTGTATCCCCCCAACAACAACAAAAAGATATACTGAAGTCCAAACACCCAGTGTTTCCTAACCTTCAGTATTACAAAGTGTGACCTTATTTGTAGAAAAGGTTGTTGTGGATGTAAGTGGTAAATATGAGGTCATACCAGAGTAAGGACGGTTCCTAATCCAATGCGACTGGTGTCTTTGTAAGAAGTGGCCATGAGAAGACCAATATACACACAAGGAAGGAACAATGTGGCAACGAAGAGGCTGGATTTTGCAGCTTCAAGGGACAGCAAAGGTGTGCAGAAAACTGCCAAAAGCTATGAAGAGGCAAGGAAGGTTCCTCTATATACACCAGAGGGACCATTGCCCTGTCAGCAACTCGAGTCAAGGAAGGGTTCCTCTATATACACCAGAGGGACCATTGCCCTGTCAGCAACTCGAGGCAAGGAAGGGTTCCTCTATATACACCAGAGGGACCATTGCCCTGTCAGCAACTCGAGGCAAGGAAGGGTTCCTCTATATACACCAGAGGGACCATTGCCCTGTCAGCAACTCGAGGCAAGGAAGGGTTCCTCTATATACACCAGAGGGACCATTGCCCTGTCAGCAACTCGAGTCAAGGAAGGGTTCCTCTATATACACCAGAGGGACCATTGCCCTGTCAGCAACTCGAGTCAAGGAAGGGTTCCTCTATATACACCAGAGGGACCATTGCCCTGTCAGCAACTCGAGTCAAGGAAGGGTTCCTCTATATACACCAGAGGGACCATTGCCCTGTCAGCAACTCGAGTCAAGGAAGGGTTCCTCTATATACACCAGAGGGACCATTGCCCTGTCAGCAACTCGAACTTGGACTTCAGGCTTCCAGAACAGTGATCCAACAGCATTTCTGTTGTTTTAAGCCACTCGGTCTATGGTACTTTGTTATGACCATCCTAAGACTCTAATATATATATTTAAATGAGATAATGTTTTCAGTGTTCTCAGTAGAAAATTTGATACCAATGCTCAATAGACAATTTCTGCTTCATATTTGTAGCTGGTATTTATTTTTCTCTAGCATGTGAAACAAAATGAACCAGAAAAAATACGTGCAAAGATTTGAGGAAATCGTATTTTAAATACTTTTTAAAAATCTATTTAAGAAACGTGAAATTTCCTATTCAACATATGAATGGGGAGAAATCCAAATGTAAAAACAAATAGGTTGGGTATTAGCTTTTATTTTCTCCATAGTCCAGTCTTTAAAATGTTAGTTCATTTGTTTTCTCTGAAGGGAATGTACATTACATGCTGAAAACTGACTGACTGAAGACACAAATAGACATGAAGCATGTCCATTGTTCTCATCTTTGGAAAAATCCCCTCGCTCTCATTTCATGTAATTTGTGTGGGGTTGACTCTACTTCATATACAATCAAGTCACTAACTTGACCTTACAAACCATAAGTGTTCTTAGAATAAATGACCACTACGATATAGACCTGACTGCAGTCACCTTTTTCAGCCACGTGGAGGAAATTGCTTGTAGTTGAAGAGAATGTAGTTAACACAGAGAGAAAAATGAGTCACAAAAAAGGATAGAAAATTCTAATATTGAGGAGGAGCCAAGATGGCCGAAGAGGAAGAGCTCTGGTCTACAGCTCCCAGTGTGAGTGACACAGAAGACAGGTGATTTCTGCATTTCCAACTGAGGTACCGAGTTCATCTCACTGGGGAGTGCCAGACGGTAGGTCAGGAAACAACAATAGGAACACTTTTACACTGTTGGTGGGACGGTAAGCTAGTTCAACCATTGTGGAAGTCAGTGTGGCGATTCCTCAGGGATCTAGAACTAGAAATAATACCATTTGACCCAGCCATCGCATTACTGAGTAACAGTGGCTCCTGCCTGTAATCCCAGCACTTTGTGAGGCCAAGGCAGGTGGATCACAAGGTCAGGAGGTCGAGACCATCCTGACTAACATGGTGAAACCCCATCTCTACTAAAAATACAAAACATTAGCTGGGCGTGGTGGTGGGCACCTGTAGTGTCAGCTACTCGGGAGGCTGAGGCAGGAGAATGGTGTAAACCCGGGAGGCGGAGCTTGCAGTGAGCCGAGATCCTGCCACTGCACTCCAGCCTGTGTGACAGAGTGAGACTCCATCTCAAAAAAAAAAAAAAAATTTCCTCTGCATGCATTTAGAACCACATCAAAGTTATAATTTTTTCTTCTACCATCAAACATATTTTAGAAAACTCAACAAATCCTACTGTATTTACAAAAGTTTTGCTTACTGTATTGTTTCTTTCTTTCAGATGTTCCAAGATTTTTGGAACGTCATTTCCTTTGTTTAGAGAACAAATTTCTTTAGCCATTATTTATGGTAGGTTTGATAATAACAAATTAATGTTTTCTCATCTGAGAATGGCTTGATTTCCCCTTCAATCTGGGAGGACATTTTCACTGGGTCTAGGATGCTCAATTAAAAGGCCTTTTCTTTCAGCATTGCATTGTGCCACTTGTTTCAGGACTCCATGGTTTCTGATAAGAAATCTACTGCCATTTGTATTATTTATCTCTAAAGGTACGGTGTGGGTTTTCTCTGGCTCTTCAAGATTTGTAAATGTCTCTTGGCATGGAATTCTTTGGTTTATCTTACCTGGAGTTCACTCAACTTATAAGTGAGTGCTGTATGTGTGTGTGTGTGTGTGTGTGTGTGTGTGTGTAACATTGGAAATAGTGCTATTAGAAAAGCTAGGGATAAACTCATGTATCTAACCAACTGAAAATTGCTACATAAGATATATTTAAAGAGCTCATGCAAACTAATAATAGAAGAAATGCCTGCTCATTTGAAAAATGGGTTATTTATGGCATAGGCTATTCACAGTAGAAGAAACATAACTGGCAAAATAGTCACATATTACATTATTTATCCTAGCCATAACTAAGTTTCTTTTTTATTCAATGAAAAAAGTGGAAAAAAGCTTTTGTAAATGAAGGAAGAAAAAGAACAACACTGCCTCATTTAATGCAGGTACACATTTTATGATTATTTGAATGCAATGAATTTGAAAATAAAATAATTTTGAATAAAATCACAGTTCATGAATAAATTGAGCAAAATATGTGAAAGGAAAATAAATCTCAGGATTCCAAACTCCCTCAGTCAAAAGGAAAATTTAAACTGGGAACTGCGTCATGCAACCTGCCTCCCATTTTGTTTCTAAGATGGCTAAAAACATGAAAAAGCTACATAGCTCCCTCATAATTTTCCCAAGAGCAAATTCCTTGTGGGCCCCAAGATCTTTATCCTGAGACAGTTATGTTGAATTTTACCCTGACCATGTACATTGATAGCTTGTCTTCACAAATACAGGACAAAGGACAGAACTCAAAGTCTTCACTTCGCTCATCTGAGGTAAATGCTTATCTGATTGCTTCTTCAGCCTTAAGTTTATTTTATTTTATGTAAAAAATGTAGATTCACTGAGCTAGATGAATGCATAAGTGACGATTTTTCTACCCTACTGTCACATGTGAATGGCTGATCAAAGACTCAGAAGAATGCAACTGCTTGCCTCTTAACTACCCACAGCTTTTAAAAATGTCTTTCTCTCTCTCCAGCATTTGCCCTTTCCCCTTTAAATATTGAAGCCCTCAAAATCATCTTTGGAGAAAGACACAGTCTTGTCTCCCAAGCACTGTCCTTAACTTTGGCAAAATAAATGTCTAAATTAATTGAGACCAGTCTCAGATAGTTTTTGGTTTGCAGACAATATAAAACTTTCACATTAACATTGTATTAAGGGTCATAGAGCTTCCAAGCTTCGTGGTGGAATAAATTGTAACTGGATTTAGTGCAACTTCCACATAGGTCTGACTCTTTAAGTAGTGAAAAATAATAGTTATCATTCTTTATTAGAATCAGTCTTGAATGAGGCAAGTGTTGACTTATTGGAGTGTGATATTATGATATAATAAGAACTATCCATTTGCTCTCTGACCCTGGTTCCTGTCACACAGCTCTGAAAACCCTTGGAATTTCTAGAGTGATGTGTCTTTGCATATTAATGAGATGATTGGTGGTTTGGGACCCTTAGATAGCTTCAGGACTGGGCTGGTCACCAGAAGGACCAAGGCATAATTAGAGTTGGAGTTGTCAGCCCCACCCCAACCCTCCAGGGAAGAGAGAGGGAGTGATGTTTGAGTTGATCACCAAGGACAAATGATATAATCAATGGCGTCTATGTAATGTTGCCTCTATAAAAAATCCAAAAGTCGGGGTTCCCTGGAGGTGCCTGGGAGGGTGGGTAAATAGCTTTCATACGTTGCCCTGGCTCTTTTAAAAATGCACCTGTTCATCTGTCTTGTTCATCTATATTCTTTGTAATGTATTTTATAGTGAATGGGTAAACTAAGTAAAGTGTTTCCCTAAGTTCTTTGAGCTTCTCTAGCAAATTAGCTGAATCTGAGGAAGGGGTGATGGGAACTCAGATTTATAGCCAATCACTCAGAAGCACAGGTCAAAACCCCAGGCTTGCAATTGGCATTTTAAATTGAGGTTAGTCCTATGAGACTGAGTGCTTAACCTGTAGCATCTGATAATAATTCTAGGTAGATAGTGTCAAAATTGAGCTAAGTTATAGTATACCCAGTTGGTATCTGTTAGAGAATTAGCTGCTTGTTGTGTGTCACGGGGAACCAATACATCTGGTTCATAAATTTGAATTGAATATGAGAGCAAGGAAAACGCTTTTTATTTTTCTTATCTCACATAGGGAATCTTTCAGAAAGTATACACACATAAAGAATCAGCTCCGTTATATGATGTATTCCTAAAATTCACCTTGCGATGCAAATTTATGAAAAAAAAATTACATGGCTTATGGGGAGACTGGTGTTGGGAAACAATAGTCAAAAACTTTTTCAGTGACATACACAGAAGAAAATCATAGGAACCTAATAAAAATAGTAGCATACTTTTATCCATATTAAGTGGTAAAGAAATATATAGTTTCATAAAAGAAATATGACACTTCCTTTTTGAAGAAAAACTAAGGTTTGCTTGTGGAAGTGAGTATTGAAAGGGTTTCAGCTTGGGAGGAATTGCAAAGTGGTGAAATAAGAATTATCTGAAATCAGACAGAAAGCTGTAACACCAGATATAGATGGGTGGTCTCATCACACCTGTGCTGAGCTGAAGTAGCTGTTGGATGTTTGAGGTTTGTTTATGCTTACATTTTATGTATTGCTACATGGCTTTGTTCTGCCAGGTGCCATTTTGTGCATCCGCCTAGTGTTTCTCAAAGATGAGGTAACACATAGGCAAACAAGAAATTTGTGTCATGCTCAAATTGTTCCTTAATATATAAATAGTTTTGGAGCTAATTCATTTTTTAAAAAACAAGCCTTTTAAAAGAACTTACTGCACTGCCTTCTAATCAGATACATTTGTTTGCAGGTGCATAATTTGGCACAGACTTTGTGCAGTTTAATTTAATACAATTCCTTTTAAGTACTGAATAAATCCCATTAAATCTGTAGAACATTTGATCCAATATATCAGCCTTTGGGATTTTACTAAAGAAGTAGAAACATTTTTATTGCAAAAATATTTAATATGAGTATGATTCATATACAAAATTTAGATCCTTCTTCAATGTAAAAATATAGGTGTTTGTTTAAAAAAATTATGTATAGCCATATAATTAACTACCATGCAAATATAAAAACAGTTTTTCAGAAATTATCTTTTGAAATTGAAATATATTAAAGGTGTATTATGAGAGAAAAATATCGATATTAAAATAATATGTAAGATAAAATATAAATCACATAATATATTTGTTTTTATATAATAAATGTATCTACAAGAGTATCAATAACTTGTCGTCTCTGGCTGAGTGGGATTATATTTATTACTTAAATTCATTGTTTCTTTTGTTTCAAAATATTTAGTGATTATTTTCTCTAATGATATATACAATTAGCATAATCATAACAAACATTATAGCTTATGCAACTTAAAATGTAATCTCAAAACAATTCTATGATATATTTTTATTAAATGGTTTACTCATGGTCCAAAATTGGACCAGGTACAATTACTTTGTTAGGCGTATGGTCCATGACTCTCCATCTTTTTCCTCCACCAGGGTTGATTCATAACTGTCATGCATACCACATGTTTCTACTTGGGCCCCTGGTAGATGTTGCAAATTGATCCCTGATTTATAACTTTTATCAACATGATATTGATATAACTGTGACTGAGCAACCAGAATTGGCACGTGAGCTGTATCTATTTGCCTCCTCTATTTCATCATGCCGGCAGAGAGCCAGTAACATGTATTCCCACTTGAACACCCATTGTCTGTATCAATTGTATAAAATTTGGCTTGGTTACTTTTAGAGCTGACTAAAATGCACTATGTATTCACTGCATTGTAGCATGCATATATTTGAAATGGAGATGTGTCCTACCGAAATATCAAGAAATGATCCATTTTTCCAGCATCTAATACTTAGGTTGCTCTAACATATCCTCAGAGGACTCATTTTCAAATCCCACTCTTGGACAAAATATTGCCTTTCTCTCCTTCACTGGTGACATTGAAATAAAATTGCTATGATCCAAGGACTAGAGAAATAAATACTGTATGCTTTAAAGAAAGGCCAATTTGGCAGCAACTGGGGGATGGGGGAGAACGGAATACTGCTGTGCCAATGTCAGAAACATCCCTTCCTCAAATCCTATCCTTTTTGCAGTGCAGAGCAACCTTCATAAGTTGTACTTCTCTCACACCCTGAAGCCAAACTTAAAAGTTTAATCCTCATGAGCAAAAAATGAAATTCTTTATAAAAATAGCTCCTGGCTGAAAGACTCTACAAAAAAAAAAAAAAAAAAAAAAAAAAAGGAGGAAGAAACAAAGAAAGAGCAGACAGCAAATGGGATAGTAAGCCAACAGAATTTTCCCACAGTAACCTTACCACCTTGCATGCAAGGATCCTGGGCAGCCAAGTGTCAAGCTATGTGAAAAGGAAGCATGAGTCTCTGGTGCTTACAAATTCAATTCCATTAAACGAGTATTTATTGAGTGTCTTCCATGTGCTCAGCAATGCTTTAGACACTGTGAAAGAAACAAAGGATGTATAAGACAGTTACTACCCTGAAGGACTTTGCAATCTTGTTGAAGAGCTTTCTCTGGAAAACAATTTGATGCTGAATGAGTAAGAAACACACATGATTCAAAACACCCTGTGGACAGAAAAACTATTCACATGTCATCCAGATGTCATTTTAATGGAAGCTCAACCACCTCGTTTTTAATTTACCAAAGGAATCAACCCAGGGCATACGTATGTATTTAGCCTTGTCCACATTTCAAGTGGATCATTCTAAGCAAACAAACTTTCTTCTATACCAAGAATGCTGCTGATGAAATGTGCTGGGGCTGCCTGAATTTGCTCCTTGACCTTGTCTGTCAAATATGACAGTCATCTTTTTCTGGGTAATGCATTATCACCATGTCCCATTGTGATGATGTATTATACTTACACATCATTGAAGAAGCAATTTGCTTTGATGATGTACAGACATGCAATAGATCATGGCTCAGAAAGAGTGAGAGCAGGAGCACCCTGGAGATCTATATTTCAAGCAGTGATGCCATCCATACAAGAACACAGACATCATTAATTTAAATTATCTGGACAGGAGCTGGGCTAATGAAAGGACTTTTGACCCTTCCCAAATGTAAAAATAGATATATTAAAAATGCTTTCTCATGGTTGTCAAACGGTAGCATAGGGAATTCCTGTGGTGATGGAACTTCTCAGTGTCTTGACTGTGATGGTAGATACATAAACCTACACATTAATAAAAATCTATAGAATTTATACATGTACATGTGCACATACACACACAAATGAGTCCAAGCCAAACTGGGGTAACCTGAGTAAGTTGGACGGACTGTAAAATGTCAATATTATTGTCATGATATTACACTATAGTTTAACAAAATATTGTCATTGGGGGAAGCTGGGCAAAGTGTATACAGAATCTCTTTGTATTATTCCTCACAAATGCATGTTGTTCTATAATTATTTTAATAATTATTCACATGTAACCCAGATGTCATTTTAATAACAATGAAACTATTTTTAAATGGTTTCCCAGATAATAAAACATTATCAGACTCAACTTTTATAGTATGACCAAAGTTTTCTTCTTTTTAAGACATTATAAAGAAAAAAAGACATCCACACACTTTAATAAAAAATCCTGTTGTAAAGGGAGATATTGGCAAATATTTAATATTAATCCATGACAATTATATTCACATTAACACTGAATTAATGTCCAACACAAAGAAAGGATTCTGTTTAATGAAAGAAACTAATTTGTAGGATTTAAAATATTTTAGAACGTTATTTCAGTTCACATATATAAATATAAAAAACCTTAGTGTTGGTCTTTGTCATAAAACAGAATAGCTTGAGAGGGTAAGATCTATGAAGACAAATTTAAATAAGTTTAAACTAAGGCCTAAAGGTGAAATCCATACACAGGTTTCTTTAGAATTAGAGTTCTTAAGACAGAAATTATATCCATGTTACACCAGAAAAATCTTTTGATAAGTGTATTCAATAAGTGGACATCTTTATCAATAGTCATATTTACATGAAGCTGAATTTATTTTGGGGATGCATAGAAACTAGGGGAGTGCTTATTTATGTTACAGTGATGTTAGGCTAAGGGGATGGTTTTGCTTGCTAGGAACACAATGAAGATGAACAAGTACCAAAGACACAATTATGAAATGCAAATTGAGCAATGTGATGGGATCCAACATATAACACATATTGAGAAATGTGTCAACTTCCATGAGATTCCCGTAACCACAAGACATTAAAATAGAGAATAATTCATAAATCTATTAAGAATAGGAGAAAAGGAAGATACCAGGAGACAAAGACATTCCTTGCAGTAGGAAGGCAAATGATATCACATTTAGGAATGAACTGAAATGCTCATAGACTTAGCAGAAAAAGGAGTCAGTGAAGGAGAAAGCTGCTCTTCACAAAAGAGTCCTTGGAAGTTGGTATTTACAGAGATCTCAGATTTGAGAAGATGGGTATATAAATTAGATAAACTATTCTGCCTTCCAAGCCATATTTGCAATGGGGTATTTTCTTTCATGCTGAGTCCAGATTAATATATTCTAAAGAAATTGATCGATCTGTCTGCCCAAAATTGGGGATCCAAGAGTGGGCATGGAGACATGGAACAGAATCCAAATCATTTTTAATTGAGGATACACGTAGGCTGGAGATAGGGCATGTCCATTCCTTGCTCACATCTCTGAAAACTAATACTTGCCAATAATTACTGACAGTTACTTCTCATGTTCTGGGGTAGAGGCAAGTATGTGAAGAGGACATCCACTCAAGCTGCCTAAATTAGTTTGTTCAATTATTCATTCCTAAATATAAACATAGAACTAAGGAACACAATATATTTTGGGAAAAAAAGCAGAAAAGAGATGAAAATTTAAACATGTAAATATTTAAATTAAAAATGTAAAAATTTGAGATTATCAATTCATACATACATATAAAATCGATCTAGTGTTTTAGTTCTAGTAACTGAAGAGATAAAGAATGTAATACATGCTATGCCATCAATGACCTCAAAAATTTGATTTTTTAATAACATCTCCAAAATTCTGAAAGGCAGTATATCATATAAAGAAGATGCAGACCACAGTGGGCTTGATCAGCTTTCATACTGTTGCTTTCTTAAAGCACTTTAACATTTGATTCAGTTTTTTGACATGATAAACATGAATATATTGCCTGTCTTATACAGTGAAAGACAAATTTAAAGAGGACTAAATAAAAACAAAATTATTTGTAATATTAAATATTTTCAACAAGGATATAAAGGCTAATTGGCCTGAATTCTATTGTTTTACTTTATTTGGATAAAAACCATTACACTGATAAATAAGCAGAATATTCAAGTCAAGAGAAGTGTAAGTGACTAGTAAAGGGTTCAGTGCAAAGTTGTTTGTGCCATTGTAAGGATGTGAGCACCTAATAATGTGTGTGTGGGTGGGTGTGCATGTGCATGTAGGAAAAAGTGATTCCAGATCAAAACCACATTTTATTTTACACTGCTTTGGAAAAAATTATCAATGAAAGATGCAAACAATTTCACTGCTAAATCCAAATGCTGTTAGAATTGACTAAAGTGAAAATGTGTTGCCATGAGCTGAAGCCATATGATAATATAACAATAGAGAAAAAATTTCCGTTTTTTGCTAATAGCCAGAAGTCAAGTTTCTTCATGTTAGAAATCATACTCAATTAACCAGGAAGAATGATTTGAGGCAAAACAGGAGAGAAAAGTCAAGTAGGAGGCCATTTCTACTAGGAGCTACTCACAATTTAAGTTTTCCTTATAATGTCACTCTTATATTTTCAAAAAACTAAGGATAAATATAAGAAAGTATGTGAAAGAGAGTAAAATGCTGCCAGGCGCGGTGGCTCACGCCTGTAATCCCAGCACTTTGGGAGGCCAATGAGGGCGGATCATGAGGTCAAGAGATGGAGACCATCCTGCCAACATGGTAAAACCCCATCTCTACTAAAAATACAAAAACTAGCTGGGAGTGGTGGCACGTGCCTGTAGTCCCAGCTACTCGGTAGGCTGAGGCAGGAGAATCGCTTGAACCCAGGAGGTGGAGCTTGCAGTAAGCTGAGATCAGCAACTGCACTCCAGCCTGGCTACAGAGTGAGGCTCCATTCCCCTACTCCCATCCCCCATTCCCGCCAAAAAAGAAAAAAAAGAGAGAGAGAGAGAGAGAGTAAAATGCTTCTAGAATGGGGACCACAGTGAAAATGGCTAACAGATCATGTCACAGTATGAAGGACTTATAAAGAACTCTTGAAAAGCTCAAACTGAGAGACAAATTAATTAGTTCTTTCATCCAATCCTCCAGTGAAAAAACTCACCTTTTTATCTTGCTCTTAGTTACCTAGTCTCTACTTCTTTTTTTTTCTTTATTGTTGCTTGTTCCTTGTTTTTTCCCTCTTGCAGTTTTATTTTCAGGATAAAAAAACACATGAAGGAGAAATATGAAGGAGATATATTTGGCCATTTTCTTTCAAATAATTTTCAAATTTATGTAACACATATTTGAGTAGCAAGGAAAGATGGTGGCACCAATTCATTAAGACCACTGACTTCTGAGATATATTGGAAAGATGGTTTCAGAAAGAAAACAAAGATTTGTTCACTATATTAAACAGTATTTGGATTTGGAAACCAAAATTTATACTGAAACATAAGAAATCCTGAATAGTCAAACCAATCTTGAGCAAGGAAAAAAATGCTGGAGGCATCCTACTTCATGGTTTCAAACTGTATTACATAACTATAGTAATCAAAACAGTATTGTACTGGCATAAAAGCAGACACACAGACCAATGGAACAGAATAGAGAACCCATAAATAAATTCACACCTATATGCTCAACTAATCTTTGACATGGGTGCCAAGAATACACAGTGGGGAAGGAATATTGTTTTCAATAAAATATGTTGGGAAATCTGAATATCCGCATGCAAAAGAGTGAAACTGAAACCTTATTTTATACCATATACTGAACAAAAACTACCTCAAAACAGATTAAATATGCAAATATAAAACATGAAACTGTAAAACTAGTAAAATAAATCATAGAAAAAAATGTCCTTGACATTGGTCTTGGCAATTTTTTTTATATGACACCAAATACACAGGCTACAAAAGCAAAAATAGACTAGTGGGGCTACATCAAACTAAGAAGCTTCTGAACATCAAACAAAACAATGAATAGGATAAAAACACACCTGAAAAATGGGAGAAAATATTTTCAAAACATCAAATAAGGGGTTCATATCTAAAATATATAAGGAACACATACAACTCCATAGTGAAAAAAATGAAAAACCCTATTAAAATATGGGCAAAGGACCTGACTAAACATATCTCCAAAGAAGACATACAAATGGCCAACAGGTATAGGAAACAAATGTTTCATATCACTAAGCATTAGGGAAATGTAAATCAAATCCACAAGGAGTTATCACCTCACATTTCTTAGAATGGCTATTAACAAAAAGATAAAAGATAACAAGTGTTAGCAAAGATGTGGAGAAAAGAAAACCCAAGTAAACTATTGGTGGGAATGTAAGTTAATACAGTCAACGTGGAAAGCAGTATGGAAATTCCTCAAAAAATAAAATTAGAACTCATAAAATGTAGCAGTTTCATTTCTGGATGTATATCCAAATGAAATAAAATCACTACCTCAAAGAGATACCTCCACCCCGATGTGTATTGCAGCATTAGTCACAATAGCCAATTCAGGGAAACCTAAATGTTAATGGAGGAATGGATAAATGACTCCATGAAGGATTCTACGTGCATGCACACACACACACAAATATATTGGAGTATTTTTCAGCCTTGAAAAAGAAGGAAATCCTGCCATTTGTAATAACAAGTATGAACCAGAAGGAAATGATACTAAGCTAAATAATCCAACAGAGGAAAAAAACACTGCATAATCTCACTTACATGTGAAATCTAAAATAGTCAAATTTATAGCAGCACAGAGTAGAAGGGTGGGGTTGGGGGAAAGGAAAATAGGGAGATAATTGCCAATAGGGTAGGTGTTAAATATTCTCATTACACACACACACACTCACACACACACAGAGTTAACTACATAAAGTAATAGATATGTTAATTAACTTGATTGTGATAACCATTTCAGAACATATATGAATAGCTACACATCAACTCGTAGCACACAATTTCTATTTGTCAATTATACAGCAATAAAGCTAGAAAAAAACCAAAATAAACAAAAAAAATCAAAATAACAAAAACTAAACTACCATTTACAGTAGCAGATACAGTTAAGAACCTGAGAATGTTTAAGATGGAATAGACATAACTCATAAATGAGGTGGGGGAAGAGGAATAGGTCAAATATTAAAGAATCATTATATAAAAGACAGAGAAGACTTTGCTATAATCTCAAGTAAAACAACTGGATTCAAGGACAGAAACACAAAGGAAGCATTCTTTTATTTCAAAATAAAAAAGATTTCCTCAGGTTTTGGTGAGTTTCTGGCCACGAAGTTTCTTTTCAAAAGTGCTTCAAATGTTTCATAGGTTTTCTGTTCCCTTAGAAATCTAAGAGCTCATGATTCAATCACAAGCAATGATAACTTGAAAGAAAGTGTTTACAAGAACAAAGATAATACAATTCACTAAAACCGATGGTGATTGATTACAAGTTTCACAGGATAGCTTGCCAATCATACCTGCTGAGTTTTAAGTCACATGCCTCAGCCAAAATCTTGGTAGCTCTTTTAAGAAGCCAAAGTGCACCTCGAAGAGTCTTTAGTTTGGTCCAGCTTTGCAAACCTGATACTCCTAGGATAATGAATATATGAGTTTTTCTAGAGAGAGAAAGGACATGAATTAAAGGAATGATTGCTGAAGCAACACTCATGTACTTGGTGAAGGAAGTGGCTGTAGAGCTTATTGGAAACCACCAACTAAACCAGCCCTAATTTATTGCTACTTAATTTAGTTCTGCCTTAAATTTTCCCTCTTTTAGTTTTTAAAAGTTGAAAATGTTTTGTTCTTCATTGTGATTTTCTTTCCCTACTGAAAATGCATGATAAGCACTAAGGCCACAAGAGCTTACTCTGTTGAGGGTGAAGTTAAAACGCACGTTTCTCTTAGACCGGTGATATAATAGAAGGTCGGTTCTTTTTTATCTCTACGTGATTATTTTGAGTGAAAAATTTAAAGCTCTTTCACATACCATTGGCTTGTCTTCTGGAGAAAGGAACAGCATATATAGAGGATGAAAAAATAAAAAATCCTTTCTAATTTTGCTAGCCAAAAGTGCTCCTTTAAACAATACCATATTAAAAGTCCAATGCCAGGGTTATTTATTCTATTTTCAAGAAGCTCATCAGTTCAAAGAATACAGGTCCCTATTCGTTTTGTTTTTCAATAGTCTAACACAATACAGCATTGTTTTAATAAAACAAAGAAAGTTTGAACATTTCTTTGCTATTTCTTCAAAATTAGTTAATGCATACTAAAGCAACCAATTTTCTATATGTACTGGAGGTCATTTTTCTTTTTTTTTTTTTTAAATATTAGGATTTAGTAGAATGAACATATCACAACAGTTCCATAGCTATGGCAATATAGCAGTGGAATTTTATATTGACTAATATGTTAATCTTGTTAATCATCCTATACTGTTGTTTCATTTTGGATAACTTTTTTCACATTTTTATTTCATTCATTTCAAAATAAATTAATTGAAAATCAATATAATGCATATTTTGATGAGTTAAGAAAATGTGGCATAGAAAATTAACTTAAAGTTTGAGAGATTGTCTAAATGATTTTTCAATTAAGGATTGTCTATGGCTAACATAAAAAATCTATATCAAATAGTAATTATATATTCTCAGAAAAGAAGAAGAAATTGGGCCAGAAGTATACAATTTGTTATATTAATATATTTCCTATTATTATTTATAATTTTCCCAGTATGAAAAACTGCTAAATTATGAAAGCAGTATATGAAATTATAACATTAATTCCCACCTATGTTAATTTTGCCATTGACTTATGAACTAATTTTCAAATTTATTTTGAAATTAATCATACCTTCTAGTTCAAGGACCTTCATGGATTCTGAATGTAAAAGAATCCCAATGATTTTATCTCTTCAGAAAACATAAATATAAATTGTATTCAAATATGCATATTACACAAAGATGCATTACACATATTGCAAGAGACATTCACACATATTTTTGGTTGGTGATTTAGCCTGAATTTGCTAACAATGGCATGGTGTCTACTTTGATTTTGTTTAGCTGGAATAATCAAGTATTAGTCCATTCTTTCACTGCTATTAAATACCTGAGACTGGGTAGTTTATAGGGAAAAGAAGATTAATTGGCTGAAGGTTCTGCAGACTGTATGAGAAGCATAGTGGCTTCTGAGAAAACCTCAGGAAAGTTAGAATCATGGTGGTGTAGGAGGACTAGCCACAGACAAAACCACTCAGACACCGGGTTAAGAAGGAAGTGGCTTTATTTGGCCAGGAGCATCAGCAGACTTGCATGTCAAGAACTGAGCTCTCTGAAGAAAGAGTTCCTGGCCCTTTTAAGAACTTACAACTCTAAGGGGTTCACGTGAAAGGGTTGTGATAGATTGACATTCAGAGATAGCATATGTGATTAGAGGGGGGCTAATCTTTAACCTCTCTCTTCATTCCCCCATTTGAGAACCTTACTCACTAGTGGGAGGTCTCACTCTCATCTTCACTACCCAGGTCTTTCTGCAAGACAGATCGACAGTGATTCATGTAATACACTTGTGTATTACAAGACATTCATGTAATACATTTGTGCTGAAGTTTTCTGATGAACCAAGGTAGTAACAAAACTTCTTAGAAGTTGGAGAAATATGGGTAACAAACAAAGGAGCAATAGGAGGGTTGCAGCTGGAGATCTGGGGAGGAGCTGGTGTTTTTTAGTTTGAGGGTCATGCAGCTATAGACCCTGGGAGGAGCAGGAGTTTCTTTAGTTTGAGGGTTGGGCAGCTGCAGAACCCGGGAGAATCTGATGTTCTGGTTTGAGGGTCCTGCAGCTGGAGACCCAGAGAGCAGCTGGTGTTTCTTTAGTTTGATGGCCGTGCAGCTGTAGAACCCAGGGGGAGCTGGTATTTTTCTAGTATGAGTGTCCTGCAGCTGGAGACCTGGAGAAGAGCTGATGTTCTAGTTTGAGGGTCGTGCCGCTGAAGACTCAGGGAGAAGCTGATGTTCTCGTTTGAGGATACTGCAGCTGGAGACCTGGAGAGGAGCTGATGTTATTCTAGTTTGAGGATCATGGAGCTTGAGATCCACAGAGGAGCAGGTATTGTTCTAGATTGAGGTTCATGTAGCTGAAGACCTGGGGAGCAGCGGGTGTTTTTTAGTTTGAGGGTCATGCAGCTGTAGAACCCGGGAGGAGCTGGTGTTTTTCTAGTATGAGTGTCCTGCAGCTGGAGACCTGGAGAGGAGCTGATGTTGTTCTAGTTTGAGGGTTGTGCAGCTGAAGACTTGGAGGGGAGCTGATGTTGTTCTTGTTGAGGGTCTTTCAGCTGGAGACCCAGAGAGGAGCTGATGTGGTTCTAGTTTAAGGGTCATGGAGCTGGAGACCCAGAGAGGAGCTGGTGTTGTTCTGATTTGAGGTTCATGCAGCTGGAGACATGGAGAGGAGCGGGTGTTTCTTTAGTTTGAGATTCATGCAGCTGTAGAACCGGGGAAGAGCTGGCGTTTTTCTAGTATGAGTGTCCTACAGCTGGAGACCAGGAGAGGAGCTGATGTTCTAGTTTGAGAGCCATGCGACTGGAGATGCAAAGAGGAGCTGATTTGGTTCTAGTTTGAGGGTCATGGAGCTGGAGACCCAGAGAGGAGCTGGTGTTTCTTTAGTTTGAGGGTCATACAGCTGTAGAACCCATGAGGAGCTTGCATTTTTCTAGTGTGAGTGTCCTGCAGCTGAAGACCTGGAGAAGAGCTGATGCTTTCAATTGAGGGTTGTGCAGCTTAAGACTCAGGGAGGAGCTGATGTTCTAGTTTGAGGGCCATGAGCTTAAGACCCGGGGATGAGCTGATGTTGTTCTGGTTTGAGGTTCATGCACCTGGAGACCTGAGGAGGAGCGGTTGTTTTTTAGTTTGAGGGTCGTGCAACAGTAGAACCTGGGAGGAGCTTGTGTTTTTCTAGTATGAGTGTCCAGCAGCTAGAGACCCAGAGAGGAGCCGATGTTCTAGGTTGAGGGTGGTGCAGCTGAAGACTCGGGAAGGAGCTAATGTTCTAGTTTGAGGGCCGTGATCTGGGGACTTGGAGAGGAGCTGATGTTGTTCTAGTTTGAGGGTCAGGCAACTGAAGACCCGGGGAGGAGCTGATGTTGTTCTAGTTTGAGGTTCATGCAGCTGGAGACCTGGGGAGCAGCGGGTGTTTTTTAGTTTGAGGGTCATGCAGCTGTAGAACCCGGGAGGAGCTGGCGTTTTTCTAATATGAGTATCCTGCAGCTGGAGACCAGGAGAGTTGCTGATGTTCTAGTCTGAAGGTCGTGCAGCTGAAGACGGGGGAGGGTTCTAGTTTGAGTGCCCTGCAGCTGAAGACTCGGGAAGGAGCTGATGTTGTCCTTGTTTTACGATCTTTCAGCTGGAGACTCAAAGAGGAGCTGATGTTGTTCTAATTTGAGTGTAATGGAGCTGGAGACCCGGGGTGGAGCTGATGTTGTTCTAGTTTGAGTGTTGTGCAGCTGGAGATCCAAGAAGGAGGTGGTCTTGTGGTTCAAATCTGAGGGTCCTGGAGCTGGAATCTATGGGAGGAGTCAATGCTGCCACTGATGTCTTAGATTGTGCAGCAGAAGACCCACAGAGGAGCCGGTGTTGGTGTTCTAGTGTGAGGGTGTGGATCTGGAGATCCATGGGGGAGTGACGTTCTTCTAGTTTTTGGGTTGTGGTGCTGGAGACCCAGGGAGGAGCTCATGGTGTTCTAGTTGAGGGTCGTGGTGCTGGAGACCCAGGGAGGAGTCGATCCTTCTGTTGTTTAAGTCTGAAGGTCATCGAGCTGGAGATCCGGGGAAGAGCTGGTGCTGCGGTTCAAGTCTGAGGGTCCTGGAGCTTGAGACCCCAGGAGGAGATGGTGCTGCCACGAATGTCTTAGGTTGTAAAGCTGGAGACCTGCGAAGGAGCCGGTGTTGCTGTTTTAGTGTGAGGTTTGTGGAGCTGGAGTCCCAGGGGGAAAATGGTGTTTTTCTGGCTTAAGGGTCATGCAGCTGACCCTCAGATGACCTCAAACTATAACAACACTGCTCCACCCTGGATCTCCAGCTCCAAAATCCTCACAATAGAAAAACATCTGCTCCTCCCTGAGTGTCCAGCTCCACGATGCTCAAACTAGATTAAAATCAGCTCCTTCCCAGGTGTCCAGCTGCATGACCCTCAAACTAGAAACACCCGGGGAGGTTTTATTAGTTTGCTGCTGTTTTTCTAGATTGAGGGTCATGCAGCTGGAGACGTGGGGAGGAGCTGATGTTGTTCGAGTTTGAGGGTCATGGAGCTTGGAGACCCAGGCAGGAGCTGGTGTTTTTCTAGTTTGAGGGTTGTGCAGCTGGAGACCCAGGGAGAAGCTGATGTTGCTCTTATTTGAGAGCTGTGGAGCTGGAGACCTGGAGAGGAGCTGATGGTGTTCTAGTTTGATGGTTGCAGAGCTGGAGACCCAGGGAGGAGCTGTTGTTTTTCTAGTTTGAGTTTCGTGCAGCTGAAGACCATTGGAGGAGCTGATGTTCTAGTTTGAGGGTTGTGCAGCTGGAGATACAGGGAGAAGGTGGTCTTGCAGTTTAAATGTGAGGGTCTTGGAGCTGGAATCCATGGGAGGAGCCAATGCTGCCACTGATGTCTTAGGTTGTGGAGCTGAAGACCCGCAGAGGAGCCAGTGTTGGTGTTCCAGTGTGAGGTTCGTGGATCTGGAGACCCACGGAGGAGCAGGTGTTGGTGTTCTAGTGTGAGGGTCATGGATCTGGAGATCCATGGGGGAGTGGTGTTCTTCTAGTTTGTGGGTTGTGGTGCTGGAGACCCAGGGAGGAGCTGATTCTTTTGTTGTTTAAGTCTGAAGGTCGTCAAGCTGGAGATCCGGGGAAGAGCTGGTGCTGCGATTCAAGTCTGAGGGTCCTGGAGCTTGAGACCCCAGGAGGAGATGGTGCTGCCACTAATGTCTTAGATTGTAAAGCTGGAGATCTGTGGAGGAGCTGGTGTTTCTGTTCTAGTGTAAGGTTTGTGGATCTGGAGTCCCAGGGGTGAGCAGTGTTGTTTTAGTTTGAGGGTCATGGAGTTAGAGACCCGGGGAGGAGCTGATGTTGTAGTTTGAGGGTCGTGCAGCTGGAGACCCAGGGAGGAGCTGGTGTGTTTCTAGTTGGAGGGTTGTGGAGCTGGAGATTCACAGATGAACTGGTGCTGCTGCTGTTTAAGTCTGAGGGTCATGGAGATGGAGATCCAGGGAAGAGTTGGTGCTGCGGTTCAAGTCTGAGGGTCCTGGAGCTGGAGCCCCTGGGATGAGTTTGTACTGCCACTGATGTCTTAGGTTTTGGAGCTGGAGACCTGCAGAGAAGCCGGGCTGGTGTTCTAGTTTGAGGTTCATGGAGCTGGAATCCTGGTCAGGAGCCAGTGATGCTTTTTAAGTCTGAAGTTCGTGGAGCTAAACATGGAGCAGATGTTGGGGAAGTAGAGAGAGAGAGAGAGAGAGAGAGAGAGAGAGAGAGTTTACAGGACACCACTTGAAACTGTACATGTAGCTGAATCCCAAGCAAGTTAAGCCTGGGAGCTTCTCAGTCCTCGTGATCAATGCATTCTTCTTTCTCTTACACAGTTTGGATTTGTTTTTTGTCTCATGAGACAGAAAGACCCTGATTAATACCCTCAGGAATTGAACAGCTTAAAAAAACTAAATGATATTGGTATAATAATAATAGAAATTAAACTATGATTATCCTGACTGAGACAAAATCACACACCACACACAATATATATCTTTTCATTCAGTTAGTAAAATAAAATATAAATTGAAAAATCGACCCATGTAAAGCTATAAAAAGTTATTTAATGGAGAAGCGATGGATGACATAGACTAATCTGAGAGTTACTATTAATGGAGAAACTTACAACTTACCATTTTTCCTGTGAAGTTTCGGTGCTGTTACTGATATTCTGTGAGTTCGGGCAGCTGAGTCCATTCGCACAGCCTGGTGACACAGCAGGTGTCACAGAAGGACCCTGTCCCAGCTGGTCCTGTTCCACTGCTATGATGAGGGCAGCCTCTGATCTCTGACTGTCTTGAGGGGAGACAAGGCCCTTGATCACAAGCGTATCCATGGTGAGGTTCCGTGGATGGAACCTCATGGATGTTCCTGATGTTCCTTCCTGAGGTTCATTTGCCATCTTGCTATTTAATGCATTTTGTTTATGATTGTCTTCTAAATGTTGAATAGAAATAAAGCATTTGTACAATATGGGTAAGGTATAAAGAATACAGACACATTGGACACAGAGGACCTCCACCAAGTTTAGGGAATAGAATCTGAAGAGACATAACTTTGGATGCTCCCCGGAGGCCCTGCCTGAGCCCTAGCCCCTTCCCTTCTCCTACAGAGGGAATCAATTCCTCTTTTAGTCTTTATTATTCCCATATTTTTCTTCATAGTACATTTCTTCCACCACTTATGTGTACATCCCTAAAAAATATGCCATTTAGTTTTGGAACTTTCCATTGTCTTTTTGAGACAGGGTCTTGCTCTGTTGCCTTGGCTGTAGTTTTGAACTTTGATGTGAGAAATTCTCCTGTGTGGCTGCTCCTACACTGCATGGCTCTGAGCATCTGCTCGATGTCTATTTTTGTCCTCCATTCTCTTCCTGAGACCCACCCACATTGACATGATTCATTTTTATTGCTGCATGATCTCCGGTCATATGAGAGGAGCATGGGAAATGTCTTCATTTCCCTGTTGATGAGTGTTTGGCCAGGTTGGGGCCTTTAGGACTCTGTTTTGTTAGGAATGTTCTTGGGTATTTCTTTTGTACAAAAGTGCAAGTTTCTTCTGGTCAATAGCTTCCAATGTTTAAAATTTCATCCCAGGTAAGAAATGTAATTTTTCTCATAACCCACAACACACACCCTTTCATATAGAAGCATAACAAAAATATATTTCACAACCGTTCTTAGCAGTGCCTGGTGTTCCTGCTACTCTCCATTCTCCCTAACTCTTGCATGGATTGGGTTGTGGGATTTTTGCCAGTCTGGTGGGTGTCACGTGACATCTCCCCCTGTTAGGCTGAGACCCTCTTCGTGTTTTTATTAGCTATTCCTTCACATTTCCTCTTTTGTGGAGGGCTTTGCCCAGTTTCTGTTGTTTGAATTTTTGCCTTTTTCTTTTATTATTACTATTATTATGTTTTTGTGGCAGTCTCACTCTGTCACCCAGGCTGGAGTGCAGTGGCGTGATCTCAGCTCACTGCAACCTCCACCTTCTGGGTTCAAGTGATTCTCTTGCCTCAGCCTCCCGAGTAGCTGGGATTAACAGCATACACCACAATAACTAGTTAATTTTTGTATTTTTACTAGACACAGCATTTCACCATGATGGTCAGGCTGTTCTCAAACTCCTGATCTCAGAATATTTTCACTGGATATAATGTTCTAGAATGAAAGTTTTTTTTCCTTCAATTCTTTAAATATGTCATGCCACTCTCTCTTGGCCTATAATGTTTCCACTGAAAAGTCTGCTGCAAGATATACTGGATCTCCTTACATGTTATTGGTTTCTTTTCTCTTTCTTCCTTCAGAATTCTTTCTTCATCCTTGACTCTTGGGAGTTTGATTATTAAGTGCCTTTGAGGTAGTCTCCTTTGGGTTAAATCTACTTGGTGTTCTATAACCTTCTTGCAGTTGAACATTGATATCATTCTCTAGGTTTGGAAAGTTCTCTCTTACTATCCCTTTGAATAGATTTTCTATGCTGATCTCTCTCTCTACCTCCTGTAATGCTTAGATTTGTTCTTTTGAGGCTATTTTCTAGATCTAGTAAGTGTGCTTCATTGTTTTTATTTTACTTTATTTCTTGATTTATAGTTTTTAATTCTTTTTTATTTTGTCTTTTCTGACTGTGTATTTTCAAATAGCCTGTCTTTAACCTCACTAATTCTTTCTTCTGCTTGATCAGTTCTGCTGGTAAGAGATCTGATGCATTCTTCAGTATGTCAATTACATTTTTCAGGTCGAGAATTTCTGCTTGATTTTAAAAAATTATTTCAATCTCTTTGTTAAATATATTTGATAGGATTCTGAATTCCTTCTCTGTGTTGTCTTGAGTTTCATTGAGCTTCCTCAAAGCAGCTATTTTGAATTTTTTCTCTGAAAGATCACATATTTCTGTCACTCTGAGATTGGACACTCATGCCTTATTTAATTTTGTGAGGTCATGTTTTCCTGGATGCTCTTGATGCTTGTGGCTATTGGTCAATGTCTGGCCATTAAAGAATTAGTTATTTATTATAATCTCCACAGTCTGTGCTTGTGTGTACCCATCTTTCTTTGTTTGTTTCTTTCTTCTAATACAGAATCTCACTCTGCCACTCAGGCTGGAGTGCAATGGCATGATCATGGCTCACTGCAGGCCTCAGCCTCCTGGGCTCAAGCGATCCTCTCACCTCAGCCTCCCAAGTAGCTGGGACTACAGGCACATGCCACCATGCCCAGCTGATTTTTGTATTTTTTGTAGACACAGGATCTCAGTATGTTGCCCAGGCTGGTTTTGATCTCATGGATTCAAGTGATCCTCCCTCCTCAGCTTCCCAAATTGTTGGAATTATAGCCATGAGCCACCACATCTGGTCTCCTTCTCCTTCTTCTTCCTCATGGAATTTCACTCTTGTTGCCCAGGTTGGAGTGCAATGACACAATCTCGGCTCACTGCAACCTCCACCTCCCAGGTTCAGGTGATTCTCCTGCCTCAGCCTCCTAAGTAGCTGGGATTACAGGCATGTGCCACCACGCCTGGCCAATTTTGTATTTTTAGTAGAGACGGGGTTTCTCCATGTTGGTCAGGCTGGTCTTGAACTCCCCACCTCAGGTGATCTGCCCACCTTGGCCTCCTAAAGTGCTGGGATTGCAGGCATGAGCCACCATGCCCAGCCTCCCATCCTCCTTGAGAAGGCTTTCCCAGTATTCAAAGGGAATTGAGGGTTGTGATCTAAGTATTTGGTCACTGCAGCCATATCTGCTTTAGAGGCATCTCAAGCCCAGTAACACTATGACTCTTGCAAACTCACAGATGTACCACCTTGGTGGTCTGCAGTAAGATCTGGCAGAATTCCCTGGATTATGAGGCAGAGGCTCTTGTTCTTTTCCTTCACTCTCCCCCAAACAAATGGAGTCTCTCTCTCTCTCCATGCTGTGCTGTCTGCATTTAGGGGAGGGGCGACATAAGCACTCCTGTGGCCACCAGCACTGGGACTGTAGCAGGATGAACTGCAGACAAAACCCCTCAGATACCAGATTAAAGAAGGAAGAGGCCTTATTCGGACTGGACTATTGGCCGACTTGCATTTCAAGAATGGAGCTCCCCGAAGAAAGGGTTCCTGGCCCTTTTAAGGGCTTACAACTCTAAGGGGTTCCACGTGAAAGGGTCATGATAGATTGAGATCTATAGGTAGCACATGTGGTTAGAGTTGGGGGTTAATCTTTTAACCTCAGGCCTGGTCATCGGTGCACTGGCTGGTCTTGCCACTGATTTCATTCCTGTTGTTTTTCAGCTTTTACTTCCTCTTTCTCTTCAGAGACAGGAGACAGTAAGATAAATGGCCTCTCTCCTCATTCCCCCACTTTGAGAACCTCACTCACTAGTGGGAGTTCTCACTTTCATAGTCACCACCCAGGTCTTCCTGTGAGACAGATCAATAGGGATTCATGTAATACACTTGTGCTGAGGTCTTTTGATGAACTAAGGTGGTAGAAATATGGGTAACATACAGGGGAGTAACATGCAGGCTCCTAACACTATTATTATTAAAAGGTCTGAAACACTGGTTTGGGAAAGAGCCTGTGGACCTTCCTTTGCACTTAAATATTTACTTGGGGATCCAGTCCAGTTCCATTGATTCCTAGGGTTACATACTCTCCTGTTTTCCAATGGTGATCAGGTAGTTCTAATGAGTTACAGTGACCACTAGTGCAGGAACAGTTACTCTTTCCTTTTTGAAGGAGGACAGGGTCCTTCTTATCTTTTTTCCAGGTAGCCTAAATGACACAGGACCAGTAACTATGTTCATCACTATACAGTCCTAATTCATTGCAAACATACTTATTTTCTACTATATAGCCACTTTCCCAATCTAGACAGCCGCATCTTATTCTATTTCCATACGGGTCACTGTTGATTGCCACACAGGCATCAAATTTTAAGATAATTTGTTTGGGAACTCCTTTCTCTTCTGTTTTAGATATTACTTTACTCTTATCAGCTTTTCCCCAGTTGCCAGTCCTCAATCTTATTTGGAAAACTGTAGTCATAGGGGGCTCAGATGGGTTATAGCACACATCAGGCTGGTCACTTCCTGGCATGCATACCTTGTACTGGGTGGCATTATACAAACAAGTCCCTTTTAGAGTTCCAGTACCTTCATAATAATTATAAAACAGAAAGACTGTTTTAACTTTTCGCCCTACCTCAGTAACTTGATGTCACTGGGAACAGTCCTCAGTCTGAGGAAGATCAGTTGAAGTACTTACTGTACAAGTCTAAAATTTAAGGAAAATGAGACCCACAATGAGTTTCCTTATGCTTCAGCCAGGCATGGACCAGCCAGCTTCTGGGTGTAACAGGAGCAGGGCTTATTGTCTTCTTCAGCATCACTTTGCAGGGGTTGTCCTGGCTTGGTCTTACCTCCCAGGTCTCAGGTGCTGTAGGTTTTATATGGCTGTGGTGGATCCAGGCTGGGATTCCCTCTACCTTTGTGGCTGTGGTCAAGATGACGGTCTGGGGTCCTTTCCACAATGGCTGCAAGGGGGTTACGTTCCAATCCTTGATCCACACCCGATCACCTAAGGAGAAAGGGTGAACTGGGGAGAATAAGCTGATGGGGCACCTCTCATTTACCCAGGCTGAAATTGTTTGTGTAATTTTCCTTAAAGCCTGTAGCTGTCACTGTAACTCAATTTCACCTAGCTCTTGAGGAGTGCCTGGGAATCCCCGTAGTATGGGAGGGAGCCTATGATATAATAGTTCATAAGGGGAATATCCTGTTCTTTTAGAAGGGGTACATCTAATCTTAAACAATACCATAGGGAAAGCTTGTACCCACTTTAATCCTGTTTCTTGACACACTTTCCCTAAATTACTTTTGATAGTCTGATTCATCTGCTCCACTTTTCCAGAACTCTGTGGTCGGTAAGTGGTATGTAGTTTCCATGTGATCCCCAATACCTTTGCTGTCTTCTGTACCAAGTCAGCCACAAATGCCAGCCTGTTGTCCGAGTCTATTTGTAAGGGCAGTCCAAACCTAGGGATGAGATCTCGGAGAATCACACAGGTTACTTCAAGAGTTTTCTCAGTTCGTGTTGGACAGACCTCCACACCACCACCACCACCACCCCCAGAGTATGTACACACTAGAACTAGCAAATACTTGTTACCTCCACATTTGGGCATCTTGGTGAAGTCTACTTGGAGATCTTCAAAGGGGTCTGCTCCACAGGCTTGTATGCTGGGCGGGACATTTGCATTTTGCCTACCTTTCTGCTGCCAGCAGGTGACACACTGATACACCACTGTTTTGGCAAGGGCTGCCGGATGTGAGTTGTAGAACTACCAGCCTAACAACTTTTCAAGTGACTCTTGGCCTAGGTGGGTGGTCTCATGAACAGCCAGTACGACTGCAGCTCCTAGCAGTTGTGGCATGGCTATTCTTCTATCTGATAACTGGATCCATCCCTCTTCTATCACCTGCCCTCCCTCTGCCTGGAGAAAGTCCTTCTCTTCTTTAGAATAAGTAGGTACAAGGTCAGGTGCCTGAAGGAGCAGGGGGTGCTGTGACTGATGCCCGGTAGGGGGTGGATGCTGCTTTTCAAGCCTCTGAGTCAGCTCGGGAGTTCCCCAAGGCAATCAAGGTGAAAGATTGTTGGTGTCCTCTGCAGTACATGACTGCCACCTTTTGGGGCTTTCACACTGCCTCTAATAATTGCAGAATCTCTTGCTGATACTTTGTGTCTTTTCCCCCAGAGTTCAACAGGCCTTTTTCTTTATACAATGCCCCATGCACTTGCAGGGTTAAGAAGGCATACCAAGAGTCAGTATAAATATTTACAGTCTTATCTTCACTTAGCTCTATGGCCCAAATTAAAGCAATGAGTTTGGCCTTCTGGGCTGAAGTACCCTGGGCAATGATTTGGCTTCAATGACAGTGCCCAGCATTACCACTGCATATCCTGCACATCTCTCTCCCTGTGGGTTGACGAAGCTGCTCCCGTTCATATACAGCTCCCAGTCTACTGATTTCCAAGAATGGTCTTGGAGGTCGGGCCTGCTAGAATAAACTGAGTCCAACAACTCTACACAGTTAGGTTCAACTGGGCTCTCTGATACCAGGAGTAAGGTGGTGGGGTTCAAGGTGTTGCAAACGTCAATGGTTATGTGGGGATTTTCATAGAGTAAGCTTTGGTACCTAGTTAGTCTAGCATTTGTTAGCCAATGATGTCCTTTGGTATTCATTAAAGTCACCACAGCATGTGGGGCCTCAAGAACAGCCAGTACGACTGTGGCTCCTAGCAGTTGTGGCATGGCTATTTTTTTATCTGATAACTGGATCCGTCCATTGGCAGTTGCAGCCAAGGCCCTCAAACATGGGGGCCAACCTTTAGAAACCCCATCTAGTTGTTTAGAGATGTAGGCCACCAGCATTGGCCAGAGCCACATGATCTGGGTCAAAACTCCAACCACCGTCTTCTCTCTCTCTGACACATATAGTGTAAATGGCTTTGTCAGGTCAGGCAGCCCCAGGGCGGGGGCTGACATGAGTTTCTCTTTTAACTCATGAAAAGCTCATTGCTTTTGGGACCCCCATTTGAAAGGTTCCTTGTCGCTCCCCTTTGTGACTCTGTACAGGGGCTTGGCCAGTACTGCAAAGTTTGGGATCCATAACCTGCAGAACCCCATGGCTCCTAAGAATTCTCTCACCTGCCTTCTGGTCTCGGGCTCCGGTAGGTTGCAAATGACCTGCTTTCTTTCTGATCCCAGGCTGTGCTCCCCCTATCAGATAGTAAATCCCAGGTAACTTACCTGCTGTCTGCAGATCTGAGCTTTCTTCTTGGGCACCTTATACCCACAGTCCTCCAGGTGCTGGAGTAGGGTATCCGTTCCCTTGGCACACCCGACTGCCGTGGGGTGTCCCAACAGGAGGTCATCGATGTACTCGAGCAGCAAGCAGCCTAGGTCTCTGGTGGGAAACTTCTGGAGGTCTCAAGCCAGCACCCCCCCAAAGATGGTGGGGGAGTTCTTGAACCCTTGGGGAAGCTGGGTCCAAGGTACTGAGTGGTGACACCTGACTCCGGATCCTCCCACTGAAAGGCAAACAGTTTCTGGCTCTCAGGAGCTAGCCTGATGCTAAAGAAAATGTCCTTTAGGTCCAGGCAAGTGAACCAGCTGTCCTCAGCTGGCAGCAACCCCAACAATGTGTACAGGTTAGGTACCACTGGGTGCAAAGTCACTGTAGCTTGGTTGACCAAGCGCAAATCCTGTGCCAGCCTGCAGTCCATGGCCCCTGGCTTGGGAACAGGCAGGAGGGGATTGTTCCATGGAGACTGACAAGGGACTACAATTCCAAAGGCCCTCAGGCACTCGAGATGGATCCAGATACCTTCAAGAGCTTCTCTGGGGACCAGGTACTGTTTTTGTCTGACTGGCTGGGCCCCAGGCTTAACTTCTATGAGTACGGGGGCCTGGTTGATTGCCAACCCTAGAGCGTTGTCTTCCACCCACACCTTTGGCCAACACTTAGCCAGAGTTGCTCCTATCTCTTGGCCTGGCTCAGTTAAGAAGAGTCTCCATTCCTCCTCCCAGGGAACCATAAGGGCCATTATGACTCCCGTTCCAGGTAGCTTTAGCGGTAAAGAGCCGTGCTTTGTAAAAGTGATGGTGGCTCTCAGCTTGCTAAGTAGGTCCGTTCCTAGCAAAGGCAAGGGGCAGTCAGCCATGTACAGGAACTGATGAATCACTTCATGCCCCACACAGTGCAGGTCTGGGGGAAACAGAACGTTTGCTTTGCCGAAACCCCTGTGGCTCCGATTATGTCAATAGTCTTTTTGGATAAGGGGGCGACTGGGGTGGTTACTACTGAATGTTCAGCACCAATATTGACAAGAAACTAAATGTCCTCGTACCCGACTGTCATCCTGACAATGGGCTCTTTGGGGGCACATGAGCCTGGTCCCCCTCAGTCCAGTAACCCTTCTGCCCGATTGAACAAGGCCCCTTCATCCTTGTCTGAGGCCTTCTGCTCAGAGTCACCTTGTTTCCCTTTCAACTGTGGGCACTTGTCCTTCCAACGTCCTATTTCCTTACAGTAAGCACACTGATTACGCTGCAAGCGTGGATGGACAGACTGGGTATTTTTCCTGGGGCCCCCCTTCTCTGGTCTCTTTGGGGGGGCCCCTCTTATAGCTGTGGCTAGCAGGTCGGCGTTTCGCCGGGCTTGGCGTTCACTCTCTCTGCAGTTCTCTCTGTAGCTTACCGTGTCTCTATTCACAAACACCTGCTTGGCTATCTCCAGTAACTGTGAAGTATTCATGACCGTGAACCCAGCCTGTTTTTGAAATTTTCTTTAATGTCTTCTGCACTTTGACTAACTAAAGCCATGTTAATCATGTGCTGATTTTCAAGGCTACTGGGATCAAAGGGGGTATACATACGATAGGCCTCACGTAGTCTCTTGTAGAATTGTGCCGGGCTCTCATCTTTTCCTTGAATGGCCTCAGAGACTTTGTTAACATTTGTGACCTTCTGAGCTCCCTTCTTTAACCCTTCCAGAAGGGCTTTCCTGTACCGGTTTAGCCTTTGCATACCCTGTCTTTCATTTGGGTCCCACTCGGCATCTGTTCCTGGTAATTGGATCCTCATATACTCTTGGGGGTTTTGGTAATCAGCTGGAACATGTTCTAAAGCCACTTCGTTGCTGCTTGGAGCACTCTCCTCCTTTCATCTGTGTTAAAGAGGCATATGAGCAACTAGTGGCAATCAGCCCAGGTGGGGTTTGTGGGTCTGGATAACAGTTTGGAGCAAATCCATCAGAGCTTGTGGCTTTTTGGTATAGGATGGGGTATCGGAGTGGGAGACCTTTCTTCTTGGTGGAAAGGGGGCCACTGGTGCTGTTTCTTGCCATGAATCCTCTGGTGTTGGATCAGACAGGACTTTAGGAGCTGACTCCCTTAGGTTGGTGGAGCAGGATTCTTCCTTGGCTGTCTGTCCCTTTGCCACTAGTACTACTGCTGCCTGTCCTCTTAACCACTGTGGTGGCTCTAAAACCAGCTGTAACCAAGTGTCTATTTACGGAAACTGGTCTGGGTGTCTTGGCTTACCAGTTACTTTGTGCCATACATTTAAAAACAAGGGACCCATCTAGGTTTCCTTCTGATGCCCAACCCACTTCCAATGCTGGCCAGTCTATTTCACACAAAGTCCTAAGTTTTCCTGGTGTATAGTAACTCCATAGTCTCCATTAAATCCTTCCTTGAAATTTTTCAACATAGTTCCTAGCAGAGTGGGCTTACTTTGCATAACACCCATTTTCCTCCCGAGACAAAACAACACTCACACCACAAGAAGGAAAGGGTAAAGAGGTCACTCGCTCACCTCGCACATCTAAAACTCAAGCACTCACTCACTTTCACTTTCCTTTTTGCAAACAGGTCAAGCCAAATCAAAATCAATACTGAGACCAAAGTGCCCATAAGGGCACACAGTGGGTGATCAGGCCACGCTTCCACTCAAATGCAGTGGGCAAGTTCCCAGGACCGGTCCTTCTGTATTCCAGATGTCTGGACTCCAAGCAATGGTTCCTTCCCAGTGTTCAGACATTGCATTGATCATCTGCGGGGGCCTGCCATGCACCACTCTGACGAGGAGTTCTACCAGGACAAACACCTACCCAGGAGCGGTCTCAGGATCCCCATCGCTCAAGCTGGCTGGAGTTCACTGCAGGGATGCTCTGCAGGGCAGGTGTAAGTCACCTAAGGGGCTGCCTCAACTGTCCGTTAATCACCTCACTTCCTGGTCAGGGAACCAAGAAATGCAGCAGGATGAGCCACAGACAAAACCCCTCAGATGCCATGTTAAAGAAGGAAGAGGCTTTATTTGGCTGGGAGCGTCAGCAGACTTGCATCTCAAGAATGACGCTCTCCAAAGAAAGAGCTCCAGACCCTTTTAAGGGCTTACAACTCCAAGGGGTCCACGTGAAAGGGTCTTGATAGATTGAGATTTATAGACAGTACATGTGATTAGAGTGGGGGGGTTAATCTTTAACCTCTCTCTTCAGTGGAAGGTGAAGGTGAAGAGAAAGCAGGCAAATCTTACCTGGCCAGAGCAGGAGGAAGAGACAGATGGGAGGTACACATATTTTTAAACAACCAGATCTTCAGAGAACTCTATCACGAAACAGCACTTCGGGGATGGTGTTAAACTATTAGAAACCACTCCCATGATCCAATCACCTCACATCAGTTCCCATCTCCAGCATTGGGGATTACATTTCAACACGAGATTTGGGCAGGAACACAAATCCAGTCCCAATCAAATCACCAACGAGTCAGGTCATTCAGTTTTTCTGTAGCATTATAATCTAAGAGAACTAATTTATTAAAATTCACTTCTCTTGCAAAATAGAAAAATATATGTAGATATAATAGAATCACAAGTATCTACATTATTTGCACCAATTTTAAGCATGACAATTTTTAAGGAATAAAGACAAAATGGAAACTATTTGATGGTGATAAGCAATATGATGAGAGAGACTTCTGATGCATGACATATTACTGGTTGCTGAATGAAGTCTCATTTAACTTGGCATACAGATGACTAGAGTATATGCCAATGTTGTATACAACACAAAAGAGTGTAACTGGGACTAATGATGAAAAGTTCCAAGTGATGCCATGGACTTCCCTGGAACAATTGTTAGTTTGTGGGTTTTCATTTTCTCAAGTTAGAGGTGTTTTAAAAGTAGGCAAGATAGCAATTGGCAGGGAACATGTAGAAGAGCTGGCTCTACTGATTCTTAATATTCACGTTTCTGAGTAAGGATAAAAGTGAAAGATTCCAAGTATAAAACTTAGTATATATCAAGAGAGTGTGTCATCAAAAGAAAACTTGACTGCATGTAAATCTAATTTTTAAAAATATATTTTTCACAGCTTTCAGGTAACATATTTGAATATTATAGGTACCTACTGAAGCCTCACAGTGAATTCAATTCAATATATCACATATTCAAACATAGCGAAGGGTCATATACATATTTTTGTTATGAGTAATAAATAAGATAAATAGCATTTTATTGACTAATAATAACGATATCATGTATGCTGTTCTAAATTATCTCACCCAATAACTCATTGAATTATTAAAATCAAGGCATTAAAAAGTCAGCTAGCTGCTCAAATGTCATTCAGTAAATTGTAGAATGAAAACTCAAGCTTCATGGAAGTCATTATCCTCAACAAACTAAAACAGGAACAGAAAACCAAACACCGTAGGTTCTTATTTACAAGTGGGAGCTGGACAATGAGAACACATGGACACAGGGAGGGAACAACAAACACTGGGATCTGCTGCAGGGGCAGTGGGAGGGAGCTAACGCATGTAGGGCTTAATACCTAGGTGATAGGTTGAGAGGTGCAGCAAACCACCATTTCGGCACATCTTTACCTATGTAAGAAACCTGCACATCCTGCACTTGTATCCTGGAACTTAAAATTAAAATAAAATAAAATTTAAACCACAATAACAACAAAAACCCTCAAGCGTCAGTTTATCTGAAACACATGGGTCACTTTTCCATAATTTAATCATTTTAACCATGCTTGCTTTATTTTTTCGCTTATTTTACCATCAAAATTATTTTAATATCCACTTTCTCTCATATATGGTTAATAAAAAAGGAATTTGGATCAGGAATATGTATGATGAATTTCACTAAAGTGGTATAATCAGTGTAAAACATGTCTGTAACAGAAAGACCATGAAGACAAGGAATTGCTATTATATTTCATATAGTAAAGGTAACAATAATTGTTGAAGAATAACAAAGAATAATAAAACAAACACTATTTTAGAATTTGGTAAAATATTTTGTTGGCTTTTGTCTTTTGGATGGGTCGTATGTGAGTCATGAATATTTTGACAAGATCTGTGATACTTCAACCAGCATGATGAATGAGTCTTTTCAAGATGGGAGGCAATTGGCTCTGATTTTTAGCCCTGGGAAAATCTATGAGTCTTGACGTTGTCTGCCTTTTATAGAAAGCAAGATTTTCCTTGAGACCTTTGACTCCAGATAAGTTTATTTGCTTACCTTTCCTTGCTCCCTAAAGACTTCTCTGGGCAGCAAACTTAGTCCCTTTCAGTCAAAAAATAAAAGATCACACATGATTTAAAAAGTCTGTTATAGTTTAATACATGTGCTGGGTGATCGAGATAATATCATTTTGTGTGCCCTTTTCTCTACATGAAAAATAAAAGGGGATTATTGAGACCACTCTCTAGGTAACTCAGGCAAAGGCTATTACAATTAGGGCTCTGAATGAGTTACCAAGATTAAAGTGATGATTAACTTTGGTCAGTAGATCATGTAACTATATAAGTGGTATAGTCATAATTTGCATTTTTTATTCCAACCTGATAGATGAAACTAGCTAAACTTTGACACAAAAGAACAAAATCATAAGATACCAAAAGCAACAATGATTTACTCATTGGATAGCAGTAAAATGTCAGTGAATTATTAGAAAAATCTAGATAAATTACAGTTTTCTGCAAGGAGAAATAGATACAGGCAAGGATCTGAAATATTTACAGATCAGGCAGCTGATTAGTGTTAGGGCAAAAGTCTATGTAATTTCTCATGAATTGGGATTCCCAAGGAACAATAGCTCAGTGATTTACTATCCATGGAGACAAAATGCATGTTTTTTCCACCCTTTCAAACTTCTTTTTCCTGAGGTCAATAATAAATACTATAATTAGAGTAGTTTGTGAAATATGAATGGAGTGGGGTGAAAACAGAGGAATTGCACAGGTGGGAAAATGCCCATTAAGGTTGTACTCCAAGAATGTGCAGCGTGACAGCTCGTTGTATTGAATCCCAACCACCTGGGCATCTCTGCACTTGCTGAAACACCCTATACATACTAAATGGCTTCTTGGTAATGCTGAAAATTTATGATTTGGGCAAAGAATAATTTTAGGCATTATAAATAATTTTATGGAATAATCCTCTTCTATGATTTAAAAGTGACTCAAAGCCAAGATGTTCTCTCCAGCATCATAAATAGTTTTTCATTAAGTTTTCATGTTTGCCTCCTCTCTTTATCAAGATGACCTAGAAATAGCACCATCTGGCCAAAAAGATACAGTTTATTCCACCATATGCTTTCTCTGTCCTAATCTATGTGTTAAAATCTAAATACTTTTATTTTAAAAGTGGTTATAAAAAATCTGGTGTACGTACTTAGATAGGACCACTGTTAGTTAGCTTCTAAAAAGTCTTTGTGTAAGTTGTGTATTATTTACATTGCTATAAAATAGAAGCACTGCTTGTCTGTCTGCTTACTTAAGGGTCAATTATTTTTGTCAAGAGTTAATAATTTGGTGCCAAGAAAATTCAATGATTAAGAGAAAAACTTTAATAACCAGTTTTGAAACAACTGGGTAATTATATTGAGAAAAAAAATGAATCGTGACATTGCTTTACAGACAAAAATAAATTTGGGACGAATTATAGACCTAAGGGTGAAAATTTGAAACATAAACTTGCTAGAAGAAAACCTAAGAGAATTTAGTGACATTGAGGAAGGCAACAGTTTCATAGGACACAAAAATGCTAATCATAAAAAAAGTATACAACTGGAATTCACCAAAGTTAAAAATTAAAAATCAATCAAAAGACATTATTAAGAAAATGAATAGGTAAGCTATAGACTGGAAAAATATCTATAATACTTAAATCTGAAGGAGAACTTGTATCAAGAATACAGGTAACCCTTGAAGAATGCAGGCGTTAGGAGCGCTGATCCCCTGCACAGTCAAAATCTGTGTATAACTTCTGACTCCCAAAAAACCTAACTATTAATACCTACTGATTTTTGTTGCTGTTGTTGTTGTTTGTTGTAGTGTTTTGAGACAAGGTCTCACTCTGTCTCCCAGGCAGGAGTGCAGTGCAGTAGTGCAATAATGGCTCATTGTAACCTCCACCTTTTTGGCTCCTATTGTAGGTTCCTGAGTAGCTGGGATTGCAGGCATGCACCACCATGATTAGGTATTTTAATTTTTTGTGGAGATGGGGGTCTCACTATGTTACTTAGGCTGGTCTTGAACTCCTGGGCTCAAGCGATCCTCCACCTCGGCCTCCCAAAATGCTAGGATTACAGGCATGTGTCACAACACCTGGCTGTTGCCTGCTGTTGAGTGGAAGCCTTACCTATCACTTAAACAGTAAACTAATACATACTTTGCTTATTATATGTACTATGTACTGTATTCTGGCAATAAAGTAATCAAGAGAAAAGAAAGTGTTATTAAGAAAACCATAAGGAAAAAATATATTTACTATTCAACAAGTAGAAGTGGATGATCATAAAGGTCTTCATTCTCACCATCTTCAAGTTGAGTAGGCTGAGGAGAAGGAAAAAGAGGAGGTATTGGTCTTGTTGTCTCAAGGGTGGCAGAGGCTGAAGAAAATCCACCAATAAGTGGACTTGTGTAGTTCAGATCCATGTTGTTCAAGTGTCAACTATATATTAAAGCTCCTGATAATCAACAACAGAAGAAACAATAATTCAGTAGAATGATGGTCAAAGCCTTGAAAAGAAATTCTTCACAGGAAAAGATACACAAATGGCCTGATAGAGTATGAAAATTTGCTCAACATCATGGGTCATCAAGGAAATGCAAATTAAAATGATAATGCTAAACCATTTCACACCCACTAGAATGACTAAAACTAAAAAGATTGGCGACAGCAAATGTTGGCAAGGATGCATATTAGTTTTCTGTTACTGCTAATACACATTTCCACAAACTTAGTGGCTTA
Source organism: Homo sapiens (assembly GCF_000001405.40). Lineage (NCBI taxonomy): Eukaryota > Metazoa > Chordata > Mammalia > Primates > Hominidae > Homo > Homo sapiens. The sequence goes on along the minus strand of NC_000003.12, from coordinate 842,091 downwards.
AAACAACACAACTTTTAAATATTATGTTATGTGGTCAAAAGTCCTAAAAATCAAGATGTTGGGAGGTCTGGGCTTCTTCTGAAGGCTCTAAAGGGATAACCTATTCCCATGCCTTTTCTACCTTCTGGAGGCCACATTCACTCCTTAGTTCATGGCCTCTTCCACCATTTTCAAAGCCAGCAGCAGAGCATCTTCTGCTTTCTCTTTCTCTCCTTCCCCTCTGTGTCTGCCACCATTATTATATCTCTTTGACGCTGACTCTCTTGTCTTCATCTTACAAATACCCTGTGATTATACTCGATTCAGCAGATAATCCAGAATAACTTTCCCATCTCAAGATCCTCAAACTAATCCCATCTTCAAAGCTCCTTTTGCCATAGAAAGTAACAAATTCATAGGTTTTTGGGATTAGGACTTCTCTGGGGGCCATTATGTTGCCTAACATACAGAACAACTTGCATTCTCAAAAATTGCTGGTGGTGACAAAAAATACTACAACACTATTGGAAAACACTTTGGCAATTTCTTATACAGTTAAACTTAAATATATACAATCTAATGTTATGATCACTCAATTGTGTTCTAGAGTCTTTATCCAAATAAAAATAAAACATACGTCCATAAACATGTTATATAAAAATGCTTATAACAGCCTTAATTACAGTAGATAAAATAGAAACAACTCGAATATCTATCAACAAGAGAATGGATTAATACATTTTGATATTTTCCTATAATGGTGTACTATTTAGCAATAAACTAACAAATTAATGATACATGCAACCATATGCATGGATCTTAACGATATTATGTTGAGTGAAAAAAGTCAGACACACAAAAGATTACACACTACATGATTCAATTTATAAGAATCCAGGACTATGCAAAACAAACTGATATGTGTTGGTGGAAATCAGAAAGTAGCTCCCACTTCTAGGTGGAAATTGAATAGAAAGGCATATAATGTAATTCTAGGGTGATACAAATGTTCTATATCTTACTTAGGGTGTTTGTTACAGGAGTGTATAAAATTATCATAACTCATCAAAATGAACATTTAGGATGTGTGCACTTTATTGAATGCAAATTATATGGCCATAAAACAATTTTTAAAAGCAAATATGTTTTTAAATTCTTCTATTGACACAACTTCAAGACTCTATGTTACATTTTTCTTCTATTGGTCTCAATTTTGCCTAAAGGTGGTACAAATTTTATTACATTGAATCTGTGTCAAAGCAAAGAACCACCACCACAAAACTTTGTTAATTCTGAACCTACCTATGCATAAAGAGTCTATTCTCCTTTTTCCTGATTTCTTCTGTCCCTTTTCCTGGATAATTGATTATGATCACTGAAAAGAAGCAACTTGACCTGCTAGTAAATGGGAAAATATTTTTCTTAATTTTAATGTACCATGAAAAGCCCTATGGCAAACTATTTTTATTACAGTCAATTCTAACAACATTTGGATTCTTAAAAAAAATTTCTTGCATCTTTGATCGATGATTTTCTTTTATATTAAATTAAATAAAGACATGGTATAGACCTAGAATCAATCTTTATTTCTATCTCTGTTCTCTATTGCTGTTCTATTTATCTAACCTTTTATATACCTATAAATCTATATACAAAACATAGTTTATTGTAAGCTTATAGTTTTTCATTTTGCACTGAGCTTTCTGTTAGTTCCTTTCAGAATATTCTTATGATTATTCCCTTTATTTATTAGAATTATTTATTCCACCTAAAGAAAGAAAACAATTAGTAAGAACCATACTAACTGTTCCCTAGATCCTTTTTAAAACCATTTGGACATACAAAGAGATTTTGTTTTCCTTTAACCCACATGGACTTCCTACAGTGAAATGAATTTTGTTCACTGAATTACGCAGCTGACATATTCATGTTAATCACTTCAACAAAACCAAAGCAAACATTCCAGTTCTCCAAGAATGTCTTACATTGAATGCTGATCATTTAACTTTGATGTGCAGGTTTTTTTTTTTTTTTTTTCCTGTGGCCTCTATTTAACTCAATATTGTCAAAATAACAGTGTCTTTTACTTGTGCTTTTCCAAGTTACTCTAGTTAATGATGCTTTCATTGTTTCTGAAATTATCCATCAAACATGATTTTAGTGACATCTGTATAAGTTCACAGAGCTGAATTGCCTTCTAAATTATATCCACTCATTCCCAGGGATTTAATTATACATCTCAAAAATTGAATAATAAAACCAAAAGACATCTGAAAGTTTTTAGTAAGGCGAAAACTTACTTGATGCAGCTGCTCTCATTGTGAGAACAAGAAAGATCACTTAATTGATAATAAGACCTATTCTATTATTATAATTCAATAAAGGATAGAAAAAGGAAGCTAGGTGAGTAAAGGAAACATGTCTGTTACTCAGATGCCTCTTCTGTCTTTTAGATTGAAGAAGTATGGCCTATATGTGCCTAGTGGACTACAAGTATCTTTCACATGACCAAGTATCTTTCTGTTTACAAGTAGCATTGTGACTACTGCCATTTTTTTCATAATCATACAATTATTTGCAATAATTGTGATGACTTTCTCAGAAATTTATTTTTTAAACTGTAAAATTAAAGAAAACTATATCCTAGACTTTTTATACATTTACAGTGGTCCAGTGATATAAGAATATGATGTATATTGAGTTATCATTTTGACACCAAAACATACAGTTTTGTAAGAATGAAACTTCGAATCCAAATCAAGCATTTTTTACCAAATACAATGTCAATAATTGTTCTTATTATTATAGATCATAGAAAAAAATCATTAAATATAGAATTGCACCAAGAAATGCAAAATATTTCCCAACCTGTGTGTGTCCCTCTGATTCTAACTAGATAATGTTATTTTGGATAACTATTTAAAATTAGTTAATACTTATTCAAATTCACCTGTTACTGGAAGTTGTATCTTGTCCGAAAAAATAAACCTTTAGTTTATAAGATATGCATTTTATAACTGATCCAACCCCAAAATTAATTACAATTCAAAGCTAGTTTTCCCAGTTAATAACAGTGAGGGAAAGGTCTGTTTTTCAATCTATGCAAGCTTTATTGTTTGCCATAATATTCTGTAATGTGCACTTAAATTATCTTGCTCTTAAGAGTGTATTCATCAAAGACATTGCCCATGCCATTACCAAGGTATTACCCTCTCTGTCTAACTTTCTAATGAGGGCCTTAACCCCCAGAGAAACAAGAAGGGAAACTCTGGATAGATTGGCGAAACCCTTCACCATTGATAGGAAAACGACATCAAAGGTCGTTTATTAGGCTGGGTCCAATGTAGCATGTTCATCTCTAGAGGGCATTACATGTGTAACAATACATAGCATAAACTATCATTATCCCTCATTAGAAAATTGAAATTGTCTTTTCTCTGGCCTATATAGCTGTAGCTTTTAGCCTTTCAAAATTATCATCTTCTCTGAAACTCATGCTCTCTTTAATAAAAAAAAAAATAGAAGAATGTAACTGCCTTGAATTAAAAGACAAACTCTATATTATTATATGCTAAGAGTTTGACTCCTTAGCTTATTCACAAAATGCCTAGTTTTATTAGACTTTTTCTTTCCTTCTCATTTCTCTCCATATGTTTTTATAACTAATTGTTCCACCTTTTGACAACTCTACCTCATTTATTCAGCATAGTATGCAAGTTTCTTGGGACTGCTGTAGTAAGTTCCCACAAACTGGGTGGTTTAAACAGTAGAAATTTATTCTCTCACAGTTTAGAAGCTAAAAGTCTGAAATCCAGGTTTCGGCAGGTTTGGTTGCAACTTGGGGATTCTGAAGGAAAATGTGTTTCATGCCTCTCTCCCAGCTTCTGAGGGTTTTGAACAATCTTGTGTGTTCCTTGGCTTGCAGTTGCCATCACTCACATCTCTTCCACCAAAGTCACACGGCTGTCTTCCTTCTCTGTGTGTGTCTGTATTCTGCCATGGTGTTATTTTCTTTCTGTATATGTCTCTTCTCGTCCCTTCTCTTTTTTTTAGCACATGAGGTGTATTGAATTAAGGGCCTCCAGCATGACTCCATCTACTAAGTTACATCAGAATTATATCTTCAAAGATCCTATTGCCCAATAAGGTCCCATTCACAGGTACTGGGGTTAAGACTTCGACATATTTTGGGGGAGAACACAATTCAACCCACAACAAATGGGATAGCATTTAAGCTCCCTTCTATTTTTGCTTATTTTCTTTTTTCACTCTCTCATGTCTTATCTCTATTTCCATTAAGACAAGCTTCTTCTACCTGATCTTTAAATTCCAGATCAAATATCCATTCTTTTTATAGCTTCCCATACCCTTCTTGAGGTAGACCCATTCTTTTGTCATATGAATTTTAACATGATAATTTTCATACAATCCTCAGAACAAGAGTTACAGTACCATGTCTAGTACATAGTATGTTCTCAAAAAATGGTTTTTAAATAAATAAATGGCACTTATATTTCATTATACTTACAATAATCTATTTGGATTTGTGCCCCCACCCAAATCTCATGTTGAATTGGAGGAGGAGACTGGTGGGAGGAGATTGGATCATGGGGGGAAATTTCCCCCTTGCTGTTCTCATAATAGTGAGTGAGCTCTCATGAGATATGACGGTTTAAAAGTGTGTGATAATTCCCCCCTTCACTGCCTCTCTCTCCTGGCACCATGTGAAGAAGGTCCTTCCTTCCCTCTCACCTTCCACCATGATTGTAAGTTTCTTAAGGCCTTCCAGTCATGCTTCCTGTTAAGGCTGTGGAACTATGAGTCAATTAAATCTCTTTTCTTCATAAATTACCCAGTCTCAGGTAGTTCTTTAGGCAGTGTACAAATGGACTAATACAGCATGTAAGACTATGTCTTATATATATACTTATGACAATTCTTAATAATATTTATCCATTCAAATTAAATAATTGTGTAAAAATTATTAATGAATCATTTATCTGTACATTAAATACTTAAGAATCACCTTTCCTATCTTTTTTCTAGAAATGGACAAAATTATTTCTCACAATTAAAAACATGTGCTTTTAGAGTCTTTACCTTCCTGCCATGTCTTTCACTTTAGTAGATTTGTCTGTTATTTTAATTGAAGATAAACAATGAACATAATGTTTAACTTATGCCAAAATATAATCTGGAAAAATGCAAAATATTATTTAAGTATCTGTATTGTATGAAAATCATTATGACCATTGTTAAACAGAGAATTATTAGAGGAGTATAAACCACAAAATGTTATTAGGAAGTTATATGATTATGGGTGTGTCATTCATAGACCAAACCAATTGCAAATGCACCATTAGAAGTGGGCATTAGCAATTTATGAGATGGATGAGAAGGTCCTGGTGACTTTCTTTTTTAGTCAATGACTCTGTGTGAAATTTAAGTTTCAGTAAACTGAAGTTTAGAGAAATATTTTTCCCCACAAGGTTAGACGTTACCATAAAATCACTGATTCTACCTAAAAAGTTATACTAAGTGTGTGGGCATTGAATAGCCAATTATAATGTTTATTCTAAAACAAATTACATTTGACATAAAAATAACAAGTAGCAATGTTTTCAGCTTATCAGTCTAGTTCACATGAATTATCTTTTTTAGTGCCTTAGCTAATTTTCAAAAATAATGGCACCAGTACTAGTCATATTTTGAGCCTACTAGTATACTACATACTATAAATTTATATGCATTATACTATAAAAGCATATAACCCTGATATTATACAATTATCATATATTTACTTGAATGTTCTGAGTATAACACTGATGACTATCTATGCCATAAAGTTTTATATTTATATTGTAACAGGTGATTCCAAGTGTAGATTTCTCTAAATTTATCCTCCACAGTCCAAGTAGTTTCGTTTCATTTAAATGAAATGTACTCTATATGTATATAAATATATATGTATGCTCTGTATAAATATGTATACATATGTATGTGCATGCTGATGTCCATATGAGTGTATTTTTTCATGAAAATGTCATCTAATTCTTTCAAAAATCTTTAGTCAGCAAACTTATTGTCTTAATGGAACACAAACTTGACTAGATATTTAAGGTCTGGGCTCTCCGATTTACTGGTTAACTTCTCACCATCAATCCGCATGCAGTAAACAAAAGCACTTACTGTTCCCATCTCCTTCATTTTGGGTTTGTGCCCACCAAAGTCTGACTCCCTCTCAGTGGACCCTTTCCAATGTTACCTCTTCCTTGAAATCTTGATTAATCTCCCCAAGTAGACTCAGGGTTTTTCTCCTTTAAATATTCTCCATGCTTCAGTCTAGCTTCATGCATTTGGAACCCTGCTATACTTTATATTAATCATAACAATCAACACATCTCTGCTTTGTAATTGTACACTCCTGCAGGATAGGGATTGTCCTAGTCATCTTTATGTTCCCATATGGTAGCACAGTGCCTCGACTAGAGTGGATATTCGGTAAATATTTGTTGAAATGAACTAGATAGAAAGACTTAATGCAAATTCTAAAACCACCATCTATTAGTAAGGACCTGTGCCACAGGGAATCAGCCTCAAGTTACTTAGGCAGAACTTTCTATGTATGTCTAATATTGAAACCAAGAAGTTACAATTAGAAATTAGAACAGACCATTTAATAATGTGTATCGGTAAGCAGTATTTACCTTTCCTTACTTTACCTGACAGGACAGAGTCTGCATTGTAATATTCTGCATTCTGAGTCATTCTTATTGTTAGGATTCATAATTATGGAATCTTAGAAACTATGCTTACAGTGTGTGGGTATTCGTGAGAATGCACAGAGGAAGAAAGTACTGCCGGGTCTTAGATGTGAGACTCACACAAGGAATGTAACGTTGTCTTAGATTATAACTCTATTTATTCACCTACTACTTTCTCAGAGTTAATTCTTAAATTATAAATCCAGAGGCCTCAAAAGGTGTTTCTGATCTATTTTCATTTTAGCAACAAAGAAAATAGGCCAGAGCATTGAAAGTAGTTATACCAACTAATCTTAGGATTTAACAAAGGCATAAAATCTGTCATAATTCTACAGAAAACAGACAGTGCATTAATTCTCCTTTGTGGAAAAATTTACCTTTAGTCATCCAGGTTATTTTTACCTCAATCAAAGAGGATTATAATACTAGCAGAGAATCTACAGAGAGCAATTCTGAACAAAAACCACTTATTCCTCATTTACCAGAAACAATTGATGCTTCATGTTAATACATGTTAGAAACGCTCAGGTAATTATGAATCCAAGACCTCTGGAGCAACCAGAATCATATAGGAACATGGCCAATATTTTATATGAAGCCTATGAATATCTATAGTGACAATTCACTAGTAGTCCACTGTAATTTGAGCAAAATTGAATAACTGAAGCTATGCATAGAAGTTACTCATCTAGATGTCTTCGTTTAGATGTAGATGCTTTGAATGGCTGATAACACAGTCCATTACGTTGAGGAAGAAGTTTGGCACAATCTGTAAAGTTACTGATATTTGTTTTCTTTTGTTATATGTAGAGTCACCTATGTCAGATATTTTCAGGATAAGAATTTCAGGTAAACTGAATGATGGTGTCGAATAAAATCAATGTAATCTTAAATACAATTTAAGACACATTTTTCTTTGCATTATAAAAAGATAATGATATTTAATTAAAGCAGAAATTTTTGGCTTTTTGTTTTTTTAAATTTCCAATTCTTATTTTAAGTTCAGGGGTACATGTACAGGATGTGCAGGTTTGTCACATAGGTAAACAAGTGCCATGGTGGTTTGCCGCACAGATCACCCCATCATCCAGGTGTTAAGCCCAGCACTCATTAGCTATTCTTCCTGACGCTCTTCCTCCCGCAGCCCCACCCTCTGAGAGGTCCCAGTGTGTGTTTCTCCTCACCACGTGTCCATGTGTTCACATCATTCAGTTCCCACTGATAAGTGAGAGCACGTGGTATTTGGTTTTCTGTTCCTAAAGCAGAACATTTAAAGGATAGGGACATTCATCCACTTCCATGACATCTGATTAGAGATGGATAAGATATCTTACAAGCAAACTTACAGGTAGGTTTTACAATCACATGCTCCTTTGAGAAAGTAATTCACATTGAGTACAATTAAATTACTTAGAATTTTGCGATCATAATGTTAAACTTTCTTAATATTGGGTTGATTAGATATTATTTTTTAAATTAAATGACCTTAATATCACAAATTGCTATCATTTATTATATTTGAACTTACATAAAGTAAAATTTATTTTCTGATAGCATCCAGAGTTACGAGTTTTAACGCAAGCATATATTCTTGTAACCAGCCTTCCTAACAAGATAGAGAACAATCCCAACACCCTATGGAGCCTTGGATACTACCATTTGCAGGTAGACAGTCCCACCAAACCTAACCACTGGCAACAACCAATCTGTTTTCTCTTCCTAATAGCTTTACCTTTTCAGAATGTCATGTAAGTAGAAACATACAGTATGTTACTTTAGAAATGGCCTTCTTTCACTTAGCATTTGGGACTCATCCAAATTGTTTTGTGTAAAAATAGAGTGTTCCTTTTTCTTGCTCAGTAATGTTTCATTGTATGGGGATATAATGCAATTTGTTAATCCAGTAATTCTTAGAGAAACATTTGGGTGGTTTCCAGTTTGGGGTGATTGTAAGCAGCAGGTTTTGTGTGAACATAAGTGGGATTGCTGGGTTATACAGTAAGTCTATGTTTAACTGTACAAAAACACCAAACTGTCCCAGAGTAGCTGTACCATTTATATTTCTACCAGTGACATATGACAGTTCCAGTTGTTTCATATTCCCACTAGCCTTTGCTACTGTCATTTTGTTTTTGGATTTTAGCCATTCTAGTATGTTTTTATTAGATGTTGTAATTAGCGTTTTTATAATGAATAATGAGGTTGATCACCTTTTCATGTGCCTTACTGTCATTCATATAGCACCTTTGCTATCATGTCAGTTCAAATCTCTTGAACATATTTTTACTGTGTTTATTTACTTATTGTTAAAATTTGAGATTTCTTACATTTGGGTACAAGATATATGATTTTAAAATGTTTTCTTATGGCATGTGGGCTGTTTTCTCATCCTCTTTTTGACAACAGAGCAAATTATTTTAATTGGTTCAAATCCAGTTTATCATCTTTTTCTTTCATGGATTATCCAAGGAGTTTCTTTTTAAAATTTTTGAAAAACAGTTTGTGGGTACTTAGTAGGTATATACATTTATGGGGTACATGGAAAGGTTTGATACAGGCATGTAGTGTGAAATATGTACATCATGGAGAATGGGGTATCCATCCCCTCAAACTTTTATCCTTTGAGTTATAAACAATCCAGTCACACTCTTTAAGTTATTTAAAAATGTACAATTAAGTTATTATTGACTACAGTCACCCTGTTATGCTATCAAACAGCAGGTCTTATTCATTCTTTCTAACTCTGTTTTTTAGTATCCATTAACAATCTCCACCTCTCCCCCAGTCCCCTACTACTGTTTCCAGCCTCTGGTAACAATTCTCCTAATTTCTATGTCCATGAGTTCACTTGTTTTGATTTTTAGGTTTCACAAATGAGTGAGAACAAGTAATGTTTGTTCTTCTATGCCTTGCTTATTTAATCTAACATAATAATCTGCAGTTCCATCCATGTTGTTCCAAATGACAGATTCTCATTCTTTTTAATGACTGAATAGTAATCCATTGTGTATAAGCACCACATTTTCTTTATGTATTCATCTGTTGTTGCTTCCAAATCTTAGCTGTTGTGAACAGTGCTGCAACAAACATAGGAATGCAGATATATATTTGATATACTGATTTCCTTTCTCTTGGGTATATACTCAGCAGTGGGGATTGCTGGGTCATAAAGTAGCTCCATTTTTAGTTTTATTTAGGAACCCCCAAACTCATCTCCACAATAATTTACATTTCTACCAACAATATACAAGAGTGCCCTTTCCTCCACATCCTGGCCAGCATTTGTTATTGCCTGTGTTTTGAATATAAGCCATTTTAACTGAGGTGATATGGTATCTCATTGTAGTTTTGATTTGCATTTCTCTGATGATCAACAATATTGAGCACCATTTAATATGCCAGTTTACCATTTGTATGTCTTCTTTTGATAAAGGTCTATTCAAATCTTTTGCTCATGTTTTGATCAGTTCATTATATATTTTTTTCTATAGAGTTGTTTGAGCTCCTTGTATATTCTGATTATTAACCTCTTATCAGATGGGTAGTTTGCAAATATTTTCTTGCATTCTGTGGGTTGTCCTTTCACTTTCTTGATTGTATCCTTTGCTGTGCAAAAGGTTTTTAACTTGGCATGATTCCATTTGTCCATGTTTGCTTTGGTTGCCTGTGCTTGTAGGGTATTGCTCAAGAAATCTTTGCCCAAACCAGTGTCCTAGAGATTTGTCCCAGTGTTTTCTAGTAATAGTTTCATAGTTTGAGGTCTTAGATTTAAGTCTTTAGTTAACTTTGATTAGACTTCTGTGCATTCCAAGAGATATGAGTTGATGTGGTTAGGCTTTGAGTCCTCACCCAAATCTCATCTTGAATTGTAATCCCCATAATCCCTGTGTTTCAAGGGAGAGACCAGGTGGGGGTAATTGTACCATGTGGGTGGTTTTCCCCATGCTGTTCTCATGATATTGAGTTACTTCTCACAAGATCTGATGGTTTTATAAGGGTTTGGTAGTTCCTCCTGTATTCATTCTCCTTCCTGCCACCTTGTGAAGAAGGTATTTTGCTTCTCCTTCCTTCCTGCCATAATTCTAAGTTTCCTGAGGCCTTGCCAACCATGCTGAACTGTGAGTCAATTAAACCTCTTTCTTTATAAATTACCCAGTTCCAGGCAGTTCTTTATAGCAATGTGAGAAGAAACTAATACAGTAAATTGATACCAAGGTAGTGGGGCATGGCTTTGACCAAAATGCTGATAGTGATATGGACAATGAAGTCCAGGCTAAGGTAGTTTCAGAGGAGATGAAGAGCTTTTTGGGGACTGGAATAAAGGTGACTCTTGTTATGCTTTAGCATTTTTCCACAGCCCTAGTGATCTGTGGAGTTTTGAACATGAAAGATAATTTAGGGAATCTGGCAGAAGAAATTTCTAAGCAGCAAAGCATTCAAGAGCTTGGGTGCTCTTGAAAGCATTCAGTTTTATGCATTAACAAAGAGATGGTTTGGAATTGAAACTAATGTTTAAAAGGGAAGCAGAGCATAAAAGTTTAGAAAATTTGCAGCCTGATGATGCAACAGAAAAGAAAAACCTATTTTCTGAAGAGAAATTCAAGTCAGCTGTAGAAATTTGCATAAGCAAAGAGGAGCCAAATGTGAATCACCAAGACAATGGGGAAGATATCTTTAGGGCATATCAGAGGTCTTCACTGCAGCCCCTCCTATCACAGGCCCGGAGGCCTAGGAGAAAATAATGGTTTCATGGTCCTGGCCCAGGGCCTTGCTGCTTTGTGCAGTCTTCGGATTTGGTGGCTTGCATCCCAGCCGTGGCTAAAAGGGGCCAGTGTAGAGCTCAGGCCATTGCTTCATAGGGTGCAAGCTCTAAGTCTTGGTGGTTTACACATAGTGTTGAGCCTGTGGGTACACAGAAGTCAGGAACTGAGGGTTAGGAACCTCCACCTAGATTTCAGAGGATGTATGGAAATGCCTGTATGTCCAAGCAGAAGCTTGCAGCAGGGGTGGAGCCCTCATGAAGAACTTCTGCTAGTGCATTGTGGAAGGGAAATGTGGGGTCTGAGCCACTACACAGTCCCTTGTAGGGCACTGCCTAGTGAAGGTATGAGAAGAGGTCACTGTCCTCCAGAGGCCAGAATGGTAGATCCACTGGCAGCTTGCACTGTGTGGCTGGAAAAGCCGCAGACAATAAATGCCAACAATTGAAAGCAGCCAGAAGGGGTGCTGTACCCTGCAAAGCCACAGGTGTGGCACTGACAAAGGCTGTGGGAGCACACATCTTGCATCAGTGTGACCTGAATGTGAGACATGGATTCAAATGAGATCATTTTGAAACTTTAAGGTTTGACTGTCCTGCTTGATTTGGGACTTGCATGGAGCCTATAGTCCCTGCATTTTGGCCAATTTCTTCCACTTGTAATGGGTGTATTTACCCAATGCCTGTACCCCCATTGTATCTAGGAAGTAACTAACTTGTTTTTTATTTTACAGGCTCATGGGTAGAAGGGACTTGCCTTGTCTCAGAAGAGACTTGGACTTGGACTTTTTGGTTAATGCTGGGATGAATTAAGACTTTGGGGGACTGTTAGAAAGGCATAGTTGGTTTTGAAATGTGAAAAAGACATGAAGTTTGGGTGTGACAGGGGCAGAATGATAAGGTTAGGCTTCGTACATTCCCATCCAAATCTCATCTTGAATTATAATCTCCATAATCCTCACATGTTGAGAGAGGCCAGGTGGAGGTAATTAAATCATAGGGGTGGTTTTCCCCAGGCTCTTCTCATGATAGAGAGTGAATTCTCATGAGATCTGATAGTTTTATAAGGGGCTCTTCCCCCTTCAGTCTGCCCTTCTCCTTCCTGCCACCTTGTGAAGAAGGTCCCTGGCTTTCAGGCTTTAAACTGTCTTTGGCTAGAAGGTGGGGTTTCACCCAGGACCTGCCTCTGTCTGCCTAGGATTTTTCTACCTCTTATTGCTATCACTTCCTTCTTTCCTTCTTGTCTTCCTTTAGTAAAGATGATTTTTCTCTGGTGATATGATTTAGTTTCTTTCTTTTTATTTTTTGTGTATGCATTGTATGCTTTTTTGTTTTGAGGTCACCATAAGGCTTGCAAATACTATCTTATAACACATCATTTAAACCTGATAAAAACTTAACACTGTTTGCATAAACAAGCAAAAAAACAAGCAAAAATAACCTCCAAAATCTCTACACCTTAGCTTCATCTCCCTCCTTTTTAATATTTGTTGTTTCTATTTATACTATATTGTGCTGTCTTAAAAAGTCATTGTAGTTATTTTCTTTTTATTGGTTCACCATTTAGTTTTTATACTTTAGGATAAGAGTGGTTTACACCCCACTGCTACTGGGTTATAATATTATGTGTTTTTCTATGTACTTATGATTACCAGTGAGTTTTGTGCCTTCAGGTGATAACTTATGGCTCATTAATGTCTTTGTCTTTCTGATTGAAGTACTCAGTACTCCTTTTAGCATTTTTTGTAGGACAGGTCTGATGTTAATGAAATTCCTCAGCTTTTGTGTGTCTGGGAAAGTTTTTATTTCTCCTTCATGTTTGAAGGATATTTTCGCTCAATCTGCTGTTCTAGAGTAAAAGCATTTTTCCTTTCATACTTAAATGTGTTATACCACTCTATGCTGGCCTGTAAGGTTGCCACTGAAATGTCTGCTTCCAGATTTATTGGAGCACTATTGTAGGTTATTTGTTTCCTTTGTCTTGTTGCTTTTATAATTCTTATTTTTATCCTTGACTTTTGGGAGTTTGATTATTAAATGCCTTGAGTTAGTCTTCTTTGGGCTAAATCTGCTTGGTATTGTAGAGCCTTCTTGTACTTGGATATTGATATCTTTCTCTAGGGTTGAGATGTTCTGTGCTATTATCCTTTTGAATAAGCTTTCTACCCTTATTTCTTTCTCTATGCCTGCTTTGAGGCCAATAACTCTTAGATTTGCCCTTTTGAGGCCATTATCTAGATCCCGTCGGTGTGCTTCATTGTTTTTTATTCTTTTTCTTTTGTCTCCTTTGACTGTGTATTTTCAGATAGCCTGTCTTTCAGCTTACTAATTCTTTCTTCTGCTTCATCAATTTTGCTATTAACAGACTCTGATGCATTTATCACTATGCCATTTGCAATTTTCAGTTTCAGAATTTCTGCGTGGTTATTCTAAATTATTTCAATCTCTTTGTTAGATTTTTCTGAGAGAATTCTGAATACTTTATCTGTGCTATCTTGAATTTCTTTGAGTTTACTCAACAGAACTATTTTGAATTATCTGTCTGAAAGGTCATATATCTCTGTTTCTCTAGGATTGGTCCCTGGTGCCTTATTTTGTTCATTTGATTAAGTCATGTTTTCTTGGACGGTGTTGATGCTAGTAGATGCTCTTTGGTGTCTGGGCATTGAATAGTTAGGTATTTATTGTTGTCTTCATTGTCTGGGCTTATTTGTAGCCATCCTTCATGGGAAGGCTTTTCAGATATTTGAAAGGACTTGGGTGTTGTGATGTAAGCTGTATCTGCTTTAAGGGACACCTTAAACATAGCAACACTGTGGTTCTTGCAGACTTGTAGAGGTACTACCTGATGGTCCTGGACAAGAACCGGGAGAATTCTCTGGATTATCAGGAAAAGACTCTTGTTCTCTTCCTTACTTTCTCACAAACAAACAGGGTTTCTCTCTCTGTTCTAAGTCACCTAAAACTGGGGGTGGAGTGACACAAGCACCCATGTGGCCACCACCACTATGACTCTTCTGGGTCAGACCTGAAGCCAACACAGCACTGGGTCTCACCTAAGGCCTGCTGTAACCTCTCCTTTGCTACTGCCTATATTTGCTCAAGGGCCTGGGGCTCTACAGTCAGCTACTGGCAAAGCCAGCCAGGCCTGTGTTCTTTCCTTCAGGGCAGTGCCTTCCCAGGCCTGAGGTGGGTCCAGAGGTGTCATCCAGGAGTCAGGGACGAGTCAAAAACCTAATAAGTCTACCTGGTGTTCTGTTGTACTATGGCTGAGCTGGCACTAAAACCGTAAGAAGTAATCCTTCCCACTTTTTCCTCTCCATTCCAAAGGCAGAGTTGCCTCACCCTGTAGCTACCTCCACCGCAAGCCACAAGGAGTACTGACAGACTACCATTGATATTTCCTCTTAAGTTAGCTTGTGGTGAATGGTGAATTCTGCCTGGTATGGGACTCACCCTTGATAGCAGTGGTCTCCTCGCTGGCTTAGGGCAGGTCCAGAAATGCCATGCAGAAGTCAAGTTCTGTCATCAGGGACTTCAAAAGCCTACTCGGGGCTTGTCTCCCCCGTGGCCATGCTGGTACCTAAGGTGCAAGACAAAGTCCCCTTTACTTTTCCCTCTGCTTTTGTTAAGCAGGAGTTTTGCCCCACGGCCACCATAGCTGGTAATGTGCTGAGTCACACAGGTCCCTCAACATAGTACTTGGGTATACTGCTGGTTATTCAGGGCCCAAGGGCTCTTAAGTTAGCAGGTAATTAATGCTGCCAGGACTGCATCCTTCCTTTCATGGCAGTGGGTTCCCTTTTTGTCCCGAGTGTGTCTAAAAATGTCACCTGGATGCTATGGCCTGAAACAGGTGCTTCATCCCTTCTGCTGTGGCTGAGACTGTATCCAAGATGCAAGACAAAGACCTCCCCACTCTTTCCTCTCATCAAGCAAAAGGAAAGGGTCTGTCTTGAAGCCATGAGCTGTGCAGCCTGGGATTAGGGGAAGGGTGATGCCAGAACTCTCTTGACTACCCCACTTGATGTATCAGTATGGCACATGCTCCTTCAGTCCATTGTCCCTGGGCCCCGTTCAGCACTAGGACTCACCTAATAGTTGCAGTCCTATGGCCTAGACTGCCTTTCAGGTTTACATGGAGAAACAGAGCACTGTAGCCCTCTGTGGTGAGGTTTGTGGGAACTCAAGTTTGGACCACTGGAATTTGTGATTCCCCTCTGGCTAGGAGTGGTTTAAATGGTCCCTCCATGTGCAGGTGTCAGCTGAGTTTAGTCCAGTTTTTCTTTCAGCTCTAACAGAATAGCATTTTTAATGCCTCACAATTGTTGTTTTCTCCCTTCCCTGGTGTCCAGGGGTGCTCTACACACCATGCCACCACTTCCAGAGGAAGGGCATTGGGTGAGTAATGCTGGCATTCAGGACAGTTTTTTCTATCTCTTCAGTGCCTCTTTCAGCAATATGAAGTTAAAACCAGGTACTATGGGTGCATATCTGACTTTTGGCTCTCATAAAGGTGTTTTTTTTTTTTCTGTGTAAATAGTTGTTAACTTGATGTCCTTGAAGGGAGGATGATTGATGGAGCCTCTTATTCTGCTATCTTATTCTGCCTCCTCTCATCAAGGAGTTCCTTCTATGTTTTCTTCTAAGATTTTTTTTTCAGTTTTATGTTTTGCATTTAGATCTATGATCCATTTAAAACATGTTTTTGGAGAAGAAGGAGCTGTAGATCAACATTTACAGTTTTGCACATGAATATTCAATTGTTCTACAATCATTTCTCAAAAAGATTTTTATTTAATTACCTTTACACCTTTTTCAAAAATCTGTTGGCCATATTTGTACAGGCTATTTTGTAAAACTGTACTTTGTTCCATTGGTCTACATGTCCAACTTTTCCTGGGCTAAATTTTGTATTTTGTAATGTCAAGTAGTGTAAGGCGTTCAACCTTGTTCTTTATCCAAATTGGTTTGCCTATTCTACTGCTTTTAACTTTCCGTACACATTTCATAATAAAATTGTCGATATCTAAAAAGAATCCTGAGAATATTTTAATTTAAACTGCCTTAAATCTAGAAATCAATTTATAGAAAATTGCTTTTTAACTATAATGAGCCTTCCAGTTCATACCTGTGGTATGTCTCTCCATTTATTTAGGTCTTCCTTAATTTTTTGTTAACATTTTGTAATGTTTACCATATGTATTAGTTCATTTTCACACTGCTATGAAGAGACTATCTGAGACTGGGTAATTTATAAATAAAAGAAGTTTAATTGACTCTCAGTTCTGCATGACTGGAAAAACCTCTGGAAACTTACAACCATGGCAGAATGTGAAGGAGAAGCAAACACCTTCTTTACAAGGCAGCAGGAGAGAGAGGAAAAGAGCAAGGAAGTGCCACACTTAAAACCATCAGCTCTAGTAAGATCTCACTTATTATCATGAGAACAGCTGAAGTAATTGCCCCCATGATCAAATCACCTCTCACCTGGTCCCTCCCTCCACACTTTGGGATTACAATTCCACATAAGATTTGGGTGGGGACACAGAGCCAAACCATATCACCATATATATATCTTAAATATGTTTTGTTATATTCATACTTACATATATCATTTTTAAAGAAATATGATAATTAGTATTAGTATTTTGGTTTTCAATTGTTAATTATTAATATATAAAATAATGATTGATTTCCTATGTCAAACTTTTATGCCACAAACGTACTAAACTCACTTACTAACTCTGAGAGCTTTTTTGTAGATTTTTTTGAGATTTTCTTCATAGATGATCATCTAGTCTATCACTGGGGATTTTTTTTTTACTTCTTCCTTTTCAATTTGCATGCATTTTAAAATCTTTTTTCTTTCCTTATTGCACTTACTTGCACTTGCTAGGACTGGAAGCACTGTAATATTGAATAGGAGTACTAAAAGTGTATTTTCATTGCTTAGTCTTTCCAATAGAGGTAGTCATTCAGCAGTTCTCCATTAGGTATAATGTTAGCTGTAAATTTTTAAATAGATATTCTTCTTCATATTAAGGAAATCACCTTCTAGGTTTGTGGAGAATTTTTTTTAATCATACATGAATTTTGAGTTTGTCAAATGCATTTCTTTGTATATTGATATGATTATGTGTTGTTTTCCTTGCTTAGTCTGCTTTTATGTGGATCACATTGAATGATTTTTTTTTATAGTTGAACACCCTTGTCCCAGACTGTGGTCTATTTGGTGAACGTTCCATATGCAATTGAAAAGTGTATAGATAGATAGATAGACGATAGATAGATAGATAGATGATAGATAGATAGATAGATAGATATTGCTTTTGTTTGATGGAATGTTCTCTAAATGTCAATTAGGTCAAGTTACTTGACAGTATTTTTTAAGTCTTCTATATCTTTGCTGATTTCATTTGTTTGTTCTATAAATTACTGAAAAGAGAGTGCTGAGGTTCCTAAGAATAATTGTGCATTTGTTGGTTTCTTCTTTCAATTGTATCAGATTTTACACGACGTACTTTAAAGCTCTGTTGATGGATACATACACATTTAAGTAAAGTGGAATAAACAATTTTTTAAAAGAACTAAGTTGGAAGATTCACATTAAGTGATTTATTAAAGAGGCATAATATGAATAATATTAATAATTAAGACAGCATTGTTTTAGCAAAAGGACAGACACAAATATGAATGTATCAGGAATACACTCACCCATGTACGATCAATTTGAAAAAGACACAAAGGCAAATCAGTGGCTAAAGAACAGTCACCAATAAGTTGTGGTGAAAGAAATGTTCATCTATATGCAAAAATAAAAATAGTAATGAATGAAAGACAAAAAGAAAAGGACTTGATCTATAACACACAAAAATTTAAATCAGAATAAATTGTACATCTAAATATAAAACAGAAAATTATATGTATTAGCCCATTTTCACACTGCTGATAGACATGTCAGAGACTGGGCAATTTGCATAAGAAAGAAGTTTATTGGACTTACAATTCCAAATGGTTGGGGAGGCATCGCAATCATGGCAGAAGGCAAGGAGGATCAAATCACATCTTACATGGATGGCATCAAGAAAAGAGAGAGCTTGTGCAGAGAAACTCCTGTTTTTAAAACCATCAGATCTTTTGAGCTCATTCATGGTCAGGAGAACAGTACTGGAAAGACGAGCCCCCAGGATTCAATCATCTCCCACCAGGTCCCTCCCACAACATGTGGGAATTATGCGAGCCACAAGATGAGATTTGGGTGGGGACGCAGAGCCAAACCATGTCATTAAATAACTTCGAGAAACAAAATACTCAGAAATATTTGTGTGATCTTATGTTAGGCAAATAATTCTTAAATATGACACCAAAATTAAAATTCATAAAAAATATTGATAAATGGATCTTTATCAAAATTTAAAACATTCATTCTTTAAAAGATATTGTTGAGAAAGAAATGACCCAGAAAATATTTGAAAAATGCATACTTAATACAAGATGCCTATTAGGAATATGTAAATAACTTTTAAAACTCAATAATGAGAAAAATAATCCAATTAAAACCTGGCAAAATATTGAACTGACATTTGACAATATATAATAAGCACATTAAATGATACTCAATGTCATTTGAAAAATGCAAGCTACAATCACAATGAGATTAATGTGGTACCATTACACAGCTTTAGAAAGTTAAAGGGAACAAAAAAACCCCTACAATACTAAGTTCTAGTGAAGATGTGGAACAACTGGAAGATGCGGAACACTGCTGGTGGAAATGTAAAGTGGTAAAAACAATTTGGAAAACAGTTTGGTGATTTCCTAGAGTTTTTATTTGACTTCATAAAATCTTAGAAATCCTATACCTAGGCATTTTCTCAAGAACAGTGAAAACATATTTAGGAAGAATCTTGTGCACAATTTTTAATAACAATTTATTCATATTTGTCAATATGTAGAAACATAAATATATTTTTTATTAATATATTTTAAGTTCTGGGGTACATGTGCAGAACGTTCAGTTTTGTTACAAAAGACATATAGGTGCCATGGTGGTTTTCTGCACCCATCAACTCATCATCTAATCAGGTATTTATCCTAATGCTGTCCCTCCCCTAGCCCCTCAGCTCCCGACAGTCCCCAGTGTGTCATGTTCCCCTTCCTGTTTCCATGTGTTCTCATTGTTCAACTCCCACTTATGAGTGAGAACATGCGGTGTTTGATTTTCTGTTCTTGTGTTAGTTTGCTGAGAATGATGGTTTCCAGCTTCATCCATGTACCTGCAAAAGACATAAACTTATCCTTTTTATGGCTACATAGTATTCCATGGTGTACATGTGCCACATTTTCTTTATCCAGTATATCATTGATGGGCATTTGGATTTGTTCCAAGTCTTTGCTATTGTGAACAGTGCCACAATATACATAAATGTGCACGTGTCTTTATGGTAGAATGATTTATAATCCTTTGGCTATATACCCAGTAATGAGATTACTAGGTCAAATGGGATTTCTAGTTTTAGATCCTTGAGGAATTGCCACACTGTCTTCCACAATGGTTGAACTAATTTACACTCCCAAAAACAGTGTATAGCGTTTCTATTTCTTCACATCCTTTACAGCATGGGTTGTTTCCTGACTTTTTAATGTGCGCCATACTAACTGGCAGGAGATGGTATCTCATTGTGACTTTGATTTGTATTTCTCTAATTACTAGTGATGACGGGCTTTTTATGTTTCTTGGCCGCATAAATGTCTTCTTTTGAAAAGTGTGTGTTCATAGCCTTTGGCCACTGAGTTTTTTTCTTGTAAATTTGTTTAAGTTCTTTGTAGATTCTGGATATTAGCCCTTTGTCAGATGGATAGATTGCAAATTTTTTCTCCCTTTCCGTAGGTTGCCTGTTAACTCTGAAAATAGTTTATTTTGCTGTGCAGAAACTCTTTAGTTTAATTAGATTCCATTTGTCAATTTTGGCTTTTGTTGCCTTTGCTTTTGGTGTTTTAGTCATGAAGTCTCTGTCTACACCTATGTCCTGAATGGTATTGCCTAGGTTTTCCTCTAGGGTTTTTATGGTTTTAGGGTTTACATTTAAGCCTTTAATCCATCTTGAGTTAATTTTTGTATAGGGTGTAAGGAAAGTCCAGATTCAGTTTCTTACATATGGCTAGCCAGTTTTTTCAACACCATTTATTAAATAGGAAATTCTTTCCCCATTGCTTGTTTTTGTCAGGTTTGTCAAAGATCAGATGGTTGTATATGTGTGGTGTTATTTCTGAGGCCTCTGTTCTGTTCTATTGGTCTGTATATCTGTTACGGGACCAGTACCATGCTGTTTTGCTTACTGTCACCGTGTAGTATAGTTTGAAGTCAGGTAGCATGATGCCCCCAGCTTTGTTCTTTTTAGTTAGGATTTTCTTGGCTATGTGGACTTTTGTTTTTGGTTCCATATGAAATTCAAAGTTTTTTTTCTAATTCTGTGAAGAAAGTCAATGGTAGCTTGTTGGGGAAAGCATTGAATCTATAAATTACTTTGGGCACTATGGCCATTTTCATGTTATTGATTCTTCCTATCCATAAGCATAGAACGTTTTTCCATTTATTTGCGTCCTCTTTTATTTCCTTGAGCAGTGGTTTGTAGTTCTCCTTGAAGAGGTCCTTCACATCCCTTGTGAGTTGCATTCCTAGGTATTTTATTGCCTTTGTAGCAATTCTGAATGGGAGTACACTCATGATTTGGCTATTTGTCTGTTATTGGTGTATAGGAATGCTTGTAATTTTGGTACATTGATTTTGTATCCTGAGACTTTGCTGAAGTTGCTTATCAGATTAAGGAGATTTTGGGCTGAGATGTTGGGGTTTTCTAAATATACAATCATGTCATCTGCAAACAGAGACAATTTGACTTCCTCTCTTCCTATTTGAATACATTTTATTTCTTTCTCTTGCCTGATTGCCCTAGCCAAAACTTCCAATACTGTGTTGAATAGGAGTGGTGAGAGAGGACATCCTTGTCTTGTGCCAGTTTTCAAAAGGAATGCTTCCAGTTTTTGCACATTCAGTATGATATTGGCTGTGGGTTTGTCATAAATAGGTCTTATTATTTTGAGATCTGTTCCATCAATACCTAGTTTATTGAGAGCTTTCACCATGAAGCGTTGTTGAATTTTGTCGAAGGCCTTTTCTGCATCTATTTAGATAATCATGTGGTTTTTGTCATTGGTTCTGTTTCTGTGATCAATTACGTTTATTGATTTGAGTATGCTGAACCAGCCTTGCATCCCAGGGATGAAGCCAACTTGATCATGGTGCGTAAGCTTTTTGATGTGCTGCTGGATTTGGTTTGCCAGTATTTTATTGAGGATTTTTGCATCGATGTTCATCAGGGATATTGACCTGAAATTTTCTTTTTTGTGTGTGTCTCTGCCAGCTTTTGGTATCAGGATGATGCTGGCCTCATAAAATGAGTTAGAAAGGATTCTCTCTTTCTCTATTGTTTGGAATAGTTTCAGAAGGAATGGTACCAGCTCCTCTTTGTATCCCTCATAAAAATCAGCTGTGAATCTGTCTGGTCCAGGATTTTTTTTTGGTGGTAGGCTGTTAATTACTGCCTCCATCTCAGAACTTTTTATTGGTCTATTCAGGGATTCGACTTCTTCCTGGTTTAGACTTGGGAGGGTGTAGGTGTCCAGGAATTTATCCATTTCTTCTAGATTTTCTAGTTTATTTGCATAGACGTGTTTATAGTATCCTCTGGTGGTAGTTTGTATTTCTGTGGGATCAGTGGTTATATCCCCTTTATCATTTTTTATTGTGCCTATTTGATTCTTCTCTCTTTTCTTCTCTATTAGTCTGGCTAGCAGTCTATTTTGTTGATCTTTTCAAAAAACCAACTCTTGGATTCATTGATTTTTTGAAGTATTTTTCATGGCTCTATCTTCTTCAGTTCTGCTCTGATCTTAGTTATTTCTTGTCATCTGCTGCTTTTGAATTTGTTTGTTCTTCCTTCTCTAGTTCTTTTAATTGTGATGTTAGTGTGTCAATTTTAGATATTTTCTGCTTTCTCTTGTGGGCATGTAGTGCTATAAATTTCCCTCTAAACACTCTTTTAAATGTGTCCTAGAGATTCTTGTACATTGTGTCTTTGTTCTTATTGGTTTCAAGGAACATCTTTATTTCTGTCTTTATTTTGTTATTTACCCAGTAGTCATTCAGGAGCACATTGTTCAGTTTCCATGTTGTTTGCTGTTCTGAGTGAGTTTCTTAATCCTGAGTTCTACTTTGATTGTACTGTGGTCTGAGAGACTGTTGTGATTTCCATTCTTTTGCATTTGCTGAGGCATGTTTTACTTCCAATTATGTGCTCAATTTTAGAATAAGTGTGATGAGGTGCTGAGAAGAATGTATATTCTGTTGATTTGGGGTGGAGAGTTCTGTAGATGTCTATTAGTTCTGCTTGGTCCAGAGCTGAGTTCAAGTCCTGGATATCCTTGTTAATTTTCTGTCTCATTGATCTGTCTAATATTGCCAATGGGGTGTTAAAGTCTCCCATTATTATTGTGTGGGATTCTAAGCCTCTTTGTAGGTCTCTAAGAAGTTGCTTTATGAATCTGTGTGCTCCAGTATTTGGTGCATACATATTTAGTATGGTTAGCTCTTCTTGCTGCATTGGTCCCTTTACCAATATGTAATGCCCTTCTTTTTCTCTTTTGATCTTTGTTGGTTTAAAGTCTGTTTTACCAGAGACTAAGAATACAACCGTAGCTTTTTTTTTGCTTTCCATTCGTTTGGTAAATCTTTTTCTATCCCTGTATTTTGAGCCTATGTGTGTCTTTGCATATGAGCTGGATCTCCTTAATACAGCACACTGATGGGTCTTGACTCTTTATCCAGTTTGCCGGTCTATGTCTTTTAATTGGGACATTTAAGCCATTTACATTTAAGGTTAATATTGTTATTTGGGAATTTGAACCTGTCATTATGACACTAGCTGGTTATTTTACATGTTAATTGATGCAGTTTTTTCATAATGTCGACGGTCTTTATAATTTGGTATGTTTTCGCAGTGACTGGTACCAGTTGTTCCTTTGCATGTTTAGTGCTTCCTCCAGGAGCTCTGGTAAGGCAGGCCTGGTGGTGACAAAATCTTTCAGCATTTGCTTGTTTGTAAAGGATTTTATTTCTCCCTCACTTATGAAGCTTAGTTTGGCTGGATATGAAATTCTGGGTTGAAAATCTTTTCTTTAACAATGTTGAATATTGGCACCCACTCTCTTCTGGCTTGTAAGTTTTCTGCTGAGAGATCTCCTGTTAGTCTGAGGGGCTTTCCTTTGTGGGTAACCCGACCTTTCTCTCTGGCTGCCCTTAATAATTTTTCCTTCATTTCAATCTTGGTGAATCTGACAATTATGTGTCTTGGGGTTGCTCTTCTTGAGGAGTATCTTTGTGGTGTTCTCTGTATTTTCTGAATTTGAATGTTGGCCTGCCTTGCTAGGTTGGTGAAGTTCTCCTGGATAATATCCTTAAGAGTGTTTTCCAATTTGATTCCATTCTCCCCGTCACTTTCAGGTACAACAATTAAATGTGGATTTAGTTTTTTTCCACATAGTCCCATATTTCTTGGAGGCTTTGTTCATTCCTTTTTATTCTTTTTTCTTTAATATTGTCTTCTCACTTTATTTCATTAAGTTGATCTTCAATGTCTGAGATGCTTTCTTCTGCTTGATTGATTCAGCTATTGATACTTGTTTATGCATCAGGATGTTTTAATGCTGTGTTTCAGCTCGATCAGGTCATTTATGTTCTTCTCTAAACTGGTTATTCTAGTTAGCAATTTGTCTAACCTTTTTTCCAGGTTCTTAGCTTCCTTGCATTGGGTTAAACATGCTCCTTTAGCTCGGAGGAGTTTGTTATCACCCACCTTCTGAAACCTACTTCTGTCAATTTGTCAAACTCATTCTCCATCCAGTTTTGTTCCCTTGCTGGCCAGAAGTTGTGATCCTTTGGAGGAGATGAGGTGTTCTGGCTTTTGGAATTTTCAGCCTTTTTGCACTGGTTTCTCACTATCTTAGTGGATTTATCTACCTTTGGTCTTTGATGTTGGTGACTTTCAGATGGGGTCTCTGAGTGGACGTCCTTTTTGTTGATATTGATGCTATCCCTGTTTGTCAGTTTTCCTTCTAACAGGCCCCTCTGCTACAGATCTGCTGGAGTTTGCTGGAGGTCCACTCCAGACCCTGTTTCCTGAGAATCACCAGTGGAGGCTGCAGAACAGCAAAGATTGCTGCCTGTTCCTTCCTCTGGAAGCTTCGTCCCAGAGGGGCACCTGCCAGATGCTAGCCAGAGCTCTCCTGTATGAGGTGTATGTCAGCCCCTACTGCGAGGTGTCTCCCAGTCAGGATACATAGGGGTCAGGGACTCACTTGATGGGGAAGTCTTACCCTTAGCAGAGCTGAAACTCTGTGCTGGGAGATCTGCTGCTCTCTTCAGAGCTGTCAGGCAGGAATGTTTAAGTCTGCTGAAGCTGCGCCCACAGCTGCCCCTTCCCCTAGGTGCATTGTCCCTGGGATATGGAGGTTTTATCTATAAGCAGCTGGGGCTGCTGCCTTTATTTCAGACATGCCCTGCCCAGAGAGGAGGGATCTGGAGAGGCAGTCTGGCCACCATGGCCTTGCTGAGCTGCGGTGGGCTCTGCCCAGCTTGAACTTCCCTGCAGCTTTGTTCACTCTGTAAGGGTAAAACCACTTACTCAAGTCTCAGCATTGGCAGAGGCCCCTCCCCACACCAAGCTTGAGCATCCCAGGTCAACCTCAAACTGCTGTGCTGGCAGCGAGAACTTCCAGCCAGTGCATCCAAGCTTGCTGGCCTCCATGGGGGTGGGATCCCCCGAGCCAGACCACTTGGCTCCCTGGCTTCAGCCCCCTTTCCAGGGGAGTGAACGATTCTGTCTCACTGGTGTTCCAGGCGCCACTGGGGTATTGAAAAAAAACTCCTGAAGCTAGTTTGGTATCTGCCCAAACAACCACCCAGTTTTGTGCTTGAAATCCAGGGCTCTGGTGGCTTAGGCACCAGAAGGAATCTCCTGATCTGTGGGTTGTGTAGACCATGGGAAAAGTGCAGTACCTGGGCCAGAGCACACCATTCCTCATGGTGCAGTGCCTCACTGCTTTCCTTGGGTCGGGGAGATAATTCCCCCAACCCTTGTGCTTCCTGGGTGAGGTGATGCCCCATCCTGCTTTGGCTTGCCCTCCACGGGCTGTACCCACTCTCCAACCAGTCCCAATGAGATGAACTGCTTACCTCAGTTGGAAATGCAGGAATCACCCACCTTCTGCGTCGATCTCGCTGGGAGCTGCAGACTGGAACTTTTCCTATTTGGCCATCTTGTCAGCAAATCCCCACATAAATATCTCTCAATGGACAAATGGTTAAACAAACTTTGGCCTATCCATATAATGGAATGATAGCAATAAAAAGTGAAAGGCTCAACCTACTAAATAAGCAACAATATGGATAAATCTCAAATACATTAAGTTAGTGAAACAATACGTACTTAAAAGGCTATATCCTTTATGATTCCGTTTACATGAGTTTCTAGGAGTCAAGTTGAAGGACAAGAAATAAGTCAGTGGTTGCCACTGGCTAGGACTGAGGGAGATGAATGCCTACAAAGAGGCAGAAGGTTACATTTTCAGGTGATGAAAATGTTCTATATATTGATTTTATTTGTAGTCACATGACTATATACGTTAGTAAAACTCATAGAATTATACATCAAAAAGAGTAAATTTTATTTTATGTAAATTCTACCAAAACAACCTGTGTTTCAAAATGAAAGATGGCTGAGAGTTGAATTGTTGAGGAGTTTGGAAGACAGGCAAACCTGATTTGACTTGTATTTTGGAAGTATTGAGAGCCACTTGAGGATTCTGAGGAGTAATTAAATGAGCAGGGTTGTGCTGAGCAATGATCGCTCTGTTAGAAACATGCAGGATGAATCATTCTATAGACAGATATATGATTAGAGGTAACATGTGCTATAATTTTCCTGTGACTGCTGTAGCTAAGGAATATCTTGACTAGGAAACTTGTCTACTTTTTTGTTCTGAAAGATAAGAAAACATAACAAGGGGCCTATGTATCTATCTACACATCCATCTTAGTTTATGCTACTTGTAATTTATTTATTTATTTATTTTTATTATACTTTAAGTTTTAGGGTACATGTGCACATTGTGCAGGTTAGTTACATATGTATACATGTGCCATGCTGGTGCGCTGCACCCACTAACTCGTCATCTAGCATTAGGTATATCTCCCGATGCTATCCCTCCCCACTCCCCCCACCCCACAACAGTCCCCAGAGTGTGATATTCCCCTTCCTGTGTCCATGTGTTGTCATTGTTCAATTCCCACCTATGAGTGAGAATATGCGGTGTTTGGTTTTTTGTTCTTAAGATAGTTTACTGAGAATGATGATTTCCAATTTCATCCATTTCCCTACAAAGGACATGAACTCATCATTTTTGATGACTGCATAGTATTCCATGGTGTATATGTGCCACATTTTCTTAATCCAGTCTATCATTGTTGGACATTTGGGTTGGTTCCAAGTCTTTGCTATTGTGAATAATGCCGCAATAAACATACGTGTGCATGTGTCTTTATAGCAGCATGATTTATAGTCCTTTGGGTATACACACAGTAATGGGATGGCTGGGTCAAATGGTATTTCCAGTTCTAGATCCCTGAGGAATCGCCACACTGACTTCCACAATGGTTGAACTAGTTTACAGTCCCACCAACAGTGTAAAAGTGTTCCTATTTCTCCACATCCTCTCCAGCACCTGTTGTTTCCTGACTTTTTAATGATTGCCATTCTAACTGGTGTGAGATGGTATCTCATTGTGGTTTTGATGTGCATTTCTCTGATGGCCAGTGATGATGAGCATTTTTTCATGTGTTTTTTGGCTGCATAAATGTCTTCTTTTGAGAAGTGTCTGTTCATGTCCTTCGCCCACTTTTTGATGGGGTTGTTTGTTTTTTTTCTTGTAAATTTGTTTGAGTTCATTGTAGATTCTGGATATTAGCCCTTTGTCAGATGAGTAGGTTGCGAAAATTTTCTCCCATTTTGTAGGTTGCCTGTTCACTCTGATGGTAGTTTCTTTTGCTGTGCAGAAGCTCTTCAGTTTAATTAGATCCCATTTGTCAATTTTGTCTTTTGTTGCCATTGCTTTTGGTGTTCTGGACATGAAGTCCTTGCCCATGCCTATGTCCTGAATGGTAATGCCTACGTTTTTTTCTAGGGTTTTTATGGTTTTAGGTCTAACATTTAAGTCTTTAATCCATGTTGAATTGATTTTTGTATAAGATGTAAGGAAGGGATCCAGTTTCAGCTTTCTACATATGGCTAGCCAGTTTTCCCAGCACCATTTATTAAATAGGGAGTTCTTTCCCCATTGCTTGTTTTTCTCAGGTTTGTCAAAGATCAGATAGTTGTAGATATGCGGCGTTATTTCTGAGGGCTCTGTTCTGTTCCATTGATCTATATCTCTGTTTTGGTACCAGTACCATGCTGTTTTGGTTACTGTAGCCTTGTAGTATAGTTTGAAGTCAGGTAGTGTGATGCCTCCAGCTTTGTTCTTTTGGCTTAGGATTGACTTGGCGATGCGGGCTCTTTTTTGGTTCCATATGAACTTTAAAGTAGTTTTTTCCAATTCTGTGAAGAAAGTCATCGGTAGCTTGATGGGGATGGCATTGAATCTGTAAATTACCTTGGGCAGTATGGCCATTTTCATGATATTGATTCTTCCTACCCATGAGCATGGAATGTTCTTCCATTTGTTTGTATCCTCTTTTATTTCCTCGAGAAGTGGTTTGTAGTTCTCCTTGAAGAGGTCCTTCACATCCCTTGTAAGTTGGATTCCTAGGTATTTTATTCTCTTTGAAGCAATTGTGAATGGGAGTTCACTCATGATTTGGCTCTCTGTTTGTCTGTTGTTGGTGTATAAGAATGCTTGTGATTTTTGTACATTGATTTTGTATCCTGAGACTTCGCTGAAGTTGCTTATCAGCTTAAGGAGATTTTGGGCTGAGACAATGGGGTTTTCTAGATATACAATCATGTCGTCTGCAAACAGGGACAATTTGACTTCCTCTTTTCCTAATTGAATACCCTTTATTTCCTTCTCCTGCCTAATTGCCCTGGCCAGAACTTCCAACACTATGTTGAATAGGAGTGGTGAGAGAGGGCATCCCTGTCTTGTGCCAGTTTTCAAAGGGAATGCTTCCAGTTTTTGCCCATTCAGTATGATATTGGCTGTGGGTTTGTCATAGATAGCTCTTATTATTTTGAAATACGTCCCATCAATACCTAATTTATTGAGAGTTTTTAGCATGAAGGGTTGTTGAATTTTGTCAAAGGCTTTTTCTGCATCTATTGAGATACTCACGTGGTTTTTGTCTTTGGCTCTGTTTATATGCTGCATTACATTTATTGATTTGCGTATATTGAACCAGCCTTGCATCCCAGGGATGAAGCCCACTTGTTCATGGTGGATAAGCTTTTTGATGTGCTGCTGGATTCGTTTTGCCAGTATTTTATTGAGGATTTTTGCATCAATGTTCATCAAGGATATTGGTCTAAAATTCTCTTTTTTGGTTGTGTCTCTGCCCGGCTTTGGTATCAGAATGATGCTGGCCTCATAAAATGAGTTAGGGAGGATTCCCTCTTTTTCTATTGATTGGAATAGTTTCAGAAGGAATGGTACCAGTTCCTCCTTGTACCTCTGGTAGAATTCGGCTGTGAATCCATCTGGTCCTGGAGTCTTTTTGGTTGGTAAGCTATTGATTATTGCCACAATTTCAGCTCCTGTTATTGGTCTATTCAGAGATTCAACTTCTTCCTGGTTTAGTCTTGGGAGAGTGTGTGTGTCCAGGAATTTATCCATTTCTTCTAGATTTTCTAGTTTATTTGCGTAGAGGTGTTTGTAGTATTCCCTGATGGTAGTTTGTATTTCTGTGGGATCCGTGGTGATATCCCCTTTATCATTTTTTATTGCATCTATTTGATTCTTCTCTCTTTTTTCTTTATTAGTCTTGCTAGTGGTCTATCAATTTTGTTGATCCTTTCAAAAAACCAGCTCCTGGATTCATTAATTTTTTGAAGGGTTTTTTGTGTCTCTATTTCCTTCAGTTCTGCTCTGATTTTAGTTATTTCTTGCCTTCTGCTAGCTTTTGAATGTGTTTGCTCTTGCTTTTCTAGTTCTTTTAATTGTGATGTTAGGGTGTCAATTTTGGATCTTTCCTGCTTTCTCTTGTGGGCATTTAGTGCTATAAATTTCCCTCTACACATTGCTTTGAATGCGTCCCAGAGATTCTGGTATGTTGTGTCTTTGTTCTCGTTGGTTTGAAAGAACATCTTTATTTCTGCCTTCATTTCGTTATGTACCCAGTAGTCATTCAGGAGCAGGTTGTTCAGTTTCCATGTAGTTGAGCAGTTTTGAGTGAGATTCTTAATCCTGAGTTCTAGTTTGATTGCACTGTGGTCTGAGAGATAGTTTGTTATAATTTCTGTTCTTTTACATTTGCTGAGGAGAGCTTTACTTCCCAGTATGTGGTCAATTTTGGAATAGGTGTGGTGTGGTGCTGAAAAAAATGTATATTCTGTTGATTTGGGGTGGAGAGTTCTGCAGATGTCTATTAGGTCCGCTTGGTGCAGAGCTGAGTTCAATTCCTGGGTATCCTTGTTGACTTTCTGTCTCGTTGATCTGTCTAATGTTGACAGTGGGGTGTTAAAGTCTCCCATTATTAATGTGTGGGAGTCTAAGTCTCTTTGTAGGTCACTCAGGACTTGCTTTATGAATCTTAGTGCTCCTGTATTGGGTGCATATATATTTAGGATAGTTAGCTCTTCTTGTTGAATTGATCCCTTTACCATTATGTAATGGCCTTGTCTCTTTTGATCTTTGTTGGTTTAAAGTCTGTTTTATCAGAGACGTGGATTGCAACCCCTGCCTTTTTTTGTTTTCCACTGGCTTGGTAGATCTTCCTCCATCCTTTTATTTTGAGCCTATATGTGTCTCTGCATGTGAGATGGGTTTCCTGAATACAGCACACTGATGCGTCTTGACTCTTTATCCAATTTGCCAGTCTGTGTCTTTTAATTGGAGCATTTAGTCCATTTACATTTAAAGTTAATATTGTTATGTGTGAATTTGATCCTGTCATTATGATGTTAGCTGGTGATTTTGCTCATTAGTTGATGCAGTTTCTTCCTAGTCTCGATGGTCTTTACATTTTGGCATGATTTTGCAGCGGCTGGTACTGATTATTCCTTTCCATGTTTAGTGCTTCCTTCAGGAGCTCTTGTAAGGCAGGCCTGGTGGTGACAAAATCTCTCAGCATTTGCTTGTCTGTAAAGTATTTTATTTCTCCTTCACTTATGAAGCTTAGTTTGGCTGGATATGAAATTCTGGGTTGAAAATTCTTTTCTTTAAGAATGTTGAATATTGGTCCCCACTCTCTTCTGGCTTGTAGGGTTTCTGCCAAGAGATCCGCTGTTAGTCTGATGGGCTTCCCTTTGAGGGTAACCCGACCTTTCTCTCTGGCTGCCCTTAACATTTTTTCCTTCATTTCAACTTTGGTGAATCTGACAATTATGTGTCTTGGAGTTGCTCTTCTCGAGGAGTATCTTTGTGGTGTTGTCTGTATTTCCTGAATCTGAACATTGGGCTGCCTTGCTAGACTGGGGAAGTTCTCCTGGATAATATCCTGCAGAGTGTTTTCCAACTTGGTTCCTTTCTCCCCATCACTTTCAGGTACATCAATCAGATGTAGATTTGGTCTTTTCACATAGTCCCATATTTCTTGGAGGCTTTGCTCATTTCTTTTTATTCTTTTTTCTCTAGACTTCCCTTCTCGCTTCATTTCATTCATTTCATCTTCCATCGCTGATACCCTTTCTTCCAGTTGATCGCATTGGCTCCTGAGGCTTCTGCATTCTTCACGTAGTTCTCGAGCCTTGGTTTTCAGCTCCATCAGCTCCTTTAAGCACTTCTCTGTATTGGTTATTCTAGTTATACATTCTTCTAAATTTTTTTCAAAGTTTTCAACTTCTTTGCCTTTGGTTTGAATGTCCTCCCGTAGCTCAGAGTAATTTGATCGTCTGAAGCCTTCTTCTCTCAGCTCGTCAAAGTCATTCTCCATCCAGCTTTGTTCCGTTGCTGGTGAGGAACTGCGTTCCTTTGGAGGAGGAGAGGCGCTCTGCATCTTAGAGTTTCCAGTTTTTGTTCTGTTTTTTCCCCATCTTTGTGGTTTTATCTACTTTTGGTCTTTGATGATGGTGATGTACAGATGGGTTTTTGGTGTGGATGTCCTTTCTGTTTGTTAGTTTTCCTTCTAACAGAGAGGACCCTCAGCTGCAGGTCTGTTGGAGTACCCTGCCGTGTGAGGTGTCAGTGTGTCCCTGCTGGGGGGTGCCTCCCAGTTAGGCTGCTCGGGGGTCAGGGGTCAGGGACCCACTTGAGAAGGCCGTCTGCCTGTTCTCAGATCTCCAGCTGCATGCTGGGAGAGCCACTGTTCTCTTCAAAGCTGTCACACAGGGACATTTAAGTCTGCAGAGGTTACTGCTGTCTTTTTGTTTGTCTGTGCCCTGTCCCCAGAGGTGGAGCCTACAGAGGCAGGCAGGCAGGCCTCCTTGAGCTGTGGTGGGCTCCACCCAGTTCGAGCTTACAGGCTGCTTTGTTTACCTAATCAAGCCTGGGCAATGGCAGGCGCCCCTCCCCCGGCCTCGCTGCCGCCTTGCAGTTTGATCTCAGACTGCTGTGCTAGCAATCAGCGAGACTCCGTGGGCGTAGGACCCTCCGAGCCAGGTGCGGGATATAATCTCGTGGTGCGTCGTTTTTTAAGCCCGTTGGAAAAGCACAGTATTCGGGTGGGAGTGACCCGATTTTCCAGGCGCTGTCCGTCACCCCTTTCTTTGACTCCGAAAGGGAACTCCCTGACCCCTTGCGCTTCCCAGGTGAGGCAATGCCTTGCCCTGCTTCGGCTCACGCACGGTGTGCGCACCCACTGACCTGCGCCCACTGTCTGGCACTCCCTAGTGAGATGAACCCGGTACCTCAGATGGAAATGCAGAAATCACCCGTCTTCTGTGTCGCTCACGCTGGGAGCTGTAGACCGGAGCTGTTCCTATTCGGCCATCTTGGCTCCTCCCCTGAATGGCTTGCTACTTGTAATTTAGCAAACAAGGAAGAAGTATTGTTTTATTTTTATTGCTTATCATTACTCCATAAAATTTAAAATTTAATACTGAAGTATATCATTATTATTATAACTACACCCCTAAGAGTACAACCATTCAATAGATATTTTGAGGACTCAGGTCTTGGTGGGAGGTACCATGGGTTATTGGAGAAACTACTACATTGGAGAAAAATGACAGGTGGTCTTCCCAAGGCCTTGGGCAGCTCTGCAGCTCTGCCTCCATGGCTTTATTTGGTGAAGCCCATGTGGCTGCTGTAACGGGTTGGAGTTGAATGCCTGTGACTTTTCCAGGCTCAAGGTATATTCTGGGATCTGAAAGGTGGTGGCCCCATTTTCACAAATCCACTAGGCATTGCCCGGGTGGTGACTCTGTGTGGGGGCTGCAACCCCACATTTCCCCTTGGCACTATCCTAGTATAGGCTCTCTGCAAGGGCTCCACCCCTGTAGCAGGCTTCTGCCTAGGTACCCAGCCTTTCCAATACATCCTCTGAAATATAAGTGGAAGTTACTAAGCCTTCACTCTCGTGCTCTGTGCACTTACAGGATTAACACCATGTAGAAGCTGCCAATGCTTACAGTGGCTTGAACTCTCCATAATGGGAGCTTAGGTATACCCAGGCCCTTTCAGCTTTGGTTGGGGCTGAAGCAGCCAGGATATAGGGCACACTCTCCTGAGGTGGTGCAGAGCAGTGGTCTCCCAGGCATTGTCCCCAGAAGCATTCTTTCTTCCTAGGCCTCTAGGCCTGTGATGGCAGGGACTCTCCTGAAGATTTCTGAAATGTCTTCAAGGTCTTTTTTCCATTGTCTTGGCTATCAGCACTTGGTTCCATTTTAGTCATGCAAGTCTCTCTAGCAATTGGTTATTTCTCAGCTGCTTCTGCTTTTCTCCTGAAAACTGTCTTTCTTTGTCTACCTCATGGCCAGATTATGAATTTTCCAAATTTGTACACTCTGCTTTGCTTTTTATTATAATTTTTAACCTTAAGTAATACATCTGTTCCAACATCTTGTTGTAGTTTGTTAGAAACAGCCACACAGCCCCTTGAATGCTTTCTGCTTAGAAATTTCTTCTGTCAGATATCCTAAGTCAACACTCTTAAGTTAAACATCCCATAAATCCCTACAGCATGGACACAATGCAGCCAAGCTCTTTGCTAGGATGTAACAAGGGTGAATTTTGCTCCAGTTTTCAAAAAATTCTCATTTTCATCTGATACCTCATCAGCCTGGCCTTTACTGTTTATATTTCTACCAGCATTTTGGTTACAACTACTTAACAAGTCTCTAAAAAGTTCCAAATTCTCTCTTGTCTTCTTTCGAGACCTTCAAACTCTTCCA
This sequence comes from Homo sapiens, assembly GCF_000001405.40. Taxonomy (NCBI): domain Eukaryota; kingdom Metazoa; phylum Chordata; class Mammalia; order Primates; family Hominidae; genus Homo; species Homo sapiens. The sequence goes on along the minus strand of NC_000003.12, from coordinate 807,988 downwards.
ACCTCTGACTGTTACCCAGTAACAAAGATGCTTCCACATTTTCAGGTATCTTTATACAAGAGCCCACTCTTAGTACCAATTTTCTGTATTAGTTTATTTTGCATTGCTATGAAGGAATACTTGAGGCTGGGTAATTTATTTTTTAAAAAGAGGGGGTTATTTGGCTCACAGTTCTGCAGGCTATACAAGTGGGGCACCAGCATCTGCTCAGCTTCTGGTGAGACCTCAAGCAGCTTTTACTCATGGCAGGAGGCAAAGAGGGAGCAGGCATGTCACATGACAAGAAAGGGAATGAGTGAGAGGAAGAGGTGCAACACTCTTTTAACCCATTTCTCATTTAGAAAAAAAAAGTGCAGCTCACTGCCAGTACTCATTTAATTTTACACAAACATGCTCTTTGAGGTAGGAGCAAATCTAATTGATTTTCAATGTGAAAATAAAATCTAAAAACTGTTCTTGGAGTTATTTGTAAACAGAACTTGTCTCTAATCTTAATGTAATAGAAATGTATATGACGATCAGTATTTAATAATGTTTATCTGTTAGTAAATTTCAAATTTTGAAGCATGGAACAACACAGAAAATGTCGAATTCTATGTTGTATAGAATTTGACATTTTCAGCAATTGAGAATTACTATATTTTGTAAATAGAAATACCACTACTAAAAACAGAATGCTATAAATAGAATGATGTATTTTGTTTCCCAAGTTGATATATTAGAGCAATGTGAAAATAATAATAAAATTGAGATATTCCCTGGCAAACTTTGGGGGTAAGGTTAGAACTGTAACCCACGAGTTATCTCAGGGTAAACTCTGCAGCCACAAGCACCACCAGCGAATATTCTTGGGGAGAATGGGTTAAACAGCAACTCTCAGGTAAACTAATAGAAGGAGAATTCACTCATTACCAAAAAGATGGCACAAGGCTATTCATGAGTGATCCACCTCCTGATCCGAACATCTCCCATCAGGCTCCACGTCCAACACTGGGGACTATATTTCAACATGAGCTGATTTAAAAGGGACAGATATCTAAACCCTATCAAATATTATCTGTATTTAATAAATATTTCATTACCACTGAGGAATAATCATTGTGTGTGTCAAAGTTATGAACCAGAGGTACACTAAGGCATAATGATAGATCCTTGTTCAAGGATCATGAAAAGTGTCTACTATCAGATTTTAAGTCACTGTTTACTCCCCTTCAGCTCATCCTTCAGAAATATTTTGAGAGGTAACATTTTTGGGGGTCAAGTCCAGAATTGCTTATAGTAGGTCCTCTGGCAACTACTGTTTATTTATTCTAGAATGCTTTAAAAAGAGAACGAAATAACATGATATCTCTTCTACTCTCATGAAAGCCATTTAAGCTTTTATTTATATCTTCCTAAGAGAGGAAAACAAGGCTATTGTTACAGGTGCCTGTGTGCATACACACGCATGTACATTTGTTTTTTCATATCCTCAAATAAATATTTCATGTTGAATTACTTGGTTTTGCCACTTGGATGTCTCAAATTTGTTGCATAATCTTTAGTCTGTTTTTCTAGGCAATCTTAAATAAGACTGTATAAAGCCTGATTGATTACAATGCTGAGCTTATATGATGAGCTTAACAAATACACGTTCAATTGAATAAATCCTGATGCACATAGCCTTATTGATGGAATAGATTTAAACTATGTAGTTCATTAGGACAATGGCATGAGTAATCCCAATAGTATAGGGATTATCAAACTATGTTTACATCAGGCCAAATTCAAATCTTGCTTGTTTTTAATAAATAAAGTTTTATTGGAACACAGCTAAACAGACACGCCATTCACTTACATGTTATTTGTGGCTGCTTTTGCCCTATAATGACAGAGATTAATAGTTGTAGCAGGGATTGTATAGTTCCCAAAGCTGAAAATATTTACTATCAGGTCCTTTACAGGAAAAGTTTGCTGTGCTCTGCTTCAATATATTTGTTTTTTATATAACTTATTATAGTAAAACTGTAACCTTGGTCTTTACCTATATAAGCTTAATTCTTAAAATATCGAAATATAAGAAGTAAGATTCAAATGATGGTCTAAATTACACAAATCTTGATAAATATATAATAGTATGCATTGTTTTCATATTTTGTTTTCTGCCATCACATTAAATTTTAAAATATACCTTAAATAAGTAAGATACATATTGAAAATAAGGAAGTATAAGGAAGCAATCAACATGAAGAAAGCAGAAAATTCTATATGCTTCATTTTTTTTAACTTAACATTTGATTATAATTTAGAGCTCAGGCCTTAAACTCATTAAAGTGTTACAAACATGATTACCTAGGGGATGGTACTGACTTTTTTTTTTTTTAAATTTAAGCATGTGTGTGTTGTGGCTAAGCATTAAAATAATGTTTTAGTATTTAGGACATATGTAGCAATAGAATGAGCTCCATATGTTAAGTGATTTTTCTGTGGCTGAAGATATTCAAGCCCAGCTGGATGCAAAGAGACTATTACGGAGGAGAAATCAGCACAGTATGGAGGGTTCCTAAGATTCCTTTTGGTTCAGAGTCTGCAACTTGATGAGAGTTGGGTGAAATAAATAGGACTGAAGAGCCTCCTCTTAAAGAAAGTGTGAGAGTGTGTCTGTGTGTATGCAAATCTCATTACATCCTTAAGATTTTCTTTTTAATCTCACAGGTATTTATTTACCAAATCATTTTTCTCTGCTAATATAGTTGCTGTGGGAAGTACAAATTGTTATAGATTCTTCCCTTAAGGAGCTTACATTTGGTTTCAAGAATTGGAAAGAAAGATTATTTTACATTAGCTGGTATGTTCAGGAAAATAAAATACAAAGCATAAGAATTTGAATGGTTATTTGAAAAGCTAGGATTTACATAGAGAAAACATACAGAAACAAAAACAAGGATAGTACATTTTCACAAGAAAATAATTCAACTACTCTGATTGAGATCAAAAGAAATGCAAGTCAATCATATAAGATACCTGGAAGTCTATCATTTTAAAAAATTACTATTAATATTTTGGCATATGACCTTGTGGTCTTTCATTATATCTGTATAGTTCTATAAAATGTAGACATATTGAATATAAAATTATGAAACTTGCTTTTTGCATTTAGCAAAATAATTAAATATTTTCTTTTATCATTAGATATTCTTTTTAGTTGCATACTATATATTATAGAGTTGAATCATAATTTACTCAGTTAATCTCCAGTGTTTTGAAATTCCTATCAAGGTTGTTAAAAGGAAGCATGATATAAATAAATTTGCATTGTCCATAGAAGAATTGAATATTTGAATTTAGACTGTCCTAGACAAATTTTGACATAGGACAAGTGGCACTGTTAGTTTTGAGCAGTTGATTTGCTTTACAATTTTATTTGTTGTGAAGGAGATTAAGGCAAAGAATTAAGAGGGAGAACAATGGATATATTGACTTTGGCTTGTTTTACATTTGAATACCAAGTGTAGCATATTATGGTAGATGTTATCTTAAAAGTATCATTTATCTTAATAAGCTCCTTTGTTATAAGGCTGACAGGACATAGTTGTTTTTTTACTGATGTCTGGTACGAGAGATTCAAGATCCCATTATCATTCACACTCGCTTGGATTGTGTGAATACAGAGGGAATTGCTCACTTTTACATATTCTTTTGGTATTAATACTGTTTCTGTCTGAAGAGAAGGAAGATGCATTGTATGCTTGTCCCTTTGTCCAAACTTTTCTCCTAAGTCCCATCACAAGCCTATAAGCTTTGTATTCTTTTTTTATACTTTTCTGAGATTTCATATCCTGTGTACTAGGAAAATAGTATCTTTCGGAGAAGTATTCTATCTATATTTTGTAGAACAAAATAAAACAGAAAATGTATTTTTCCAAAGCTGTTTTAAAAATATATATTCATAACTTAATGGAGAACTGATACAAATAAAAAATAGTTTAAGATAATGTGTTTTAAAAGATTTTGGTTGTCTTCAAAAGAGGAAAATTCAGAGTTAAAAAAACTACATATATTTTATTGAGTCTCTGTAGCACTTTCATGTTCTTTAATCTCTTTTTCTTTCTTCTATATCACTTGGTTTTTGAAAACTTAATTCTCTGTGCTGTACTTTGGGCAGTAAAAAGTATATCCAGAATGAGAAAACTTCTTAAATTGTGCTTTTTATTAGAGCAAAGATCTTTGAACGGAACAGGAGAGAAACAAACCTTATAAGATTGATAGGCGAAGAAAAAGAGAAAGAGAAGTTGAAGAAACTGAACCGCTAATGATGAGCATTTGTTTGTTCCCAAGCTACAAAGCTTTCTACAAAGCTGAGCGCAAACGCCTCATCCTCTTGTTCTAGGTCAAAGAGTCTCATCCTAATCCTACCATCGGATATTAGCATTTATAGTTTACTACCAATAAATGGGGAACCAATATTAAATTAGAAGTTAAATTTCTGATCAATTTTCCTGTATTCCAAAAGATGTTTTTGGCACATGGCTTTCCTTGGTAAATTAATAACATGTAATTCTAATTTGCTTTCTGGTATGATATACGTGATGATTTGATTTAAAGTCAGATTAAAAAGTAGTATGTTGGCAGTTATTAAATAGCTAGATAAATCTCACAGGGTAGATCTGCCAACCTGATGTTGACTAAGAATCACTGTGCATATGTTTGGTGAACTATATTGATTTAGTTTTGATGCTTGTCCCCTACAGATCTTATGTTGAAATATGATCCCCAGTGTTGGAGGTAGGGCCTAATGAGAGGTGTTTGGGTCATGAGGTCAGATTCTCATGAATTGCTTGTGCCCTTCCTACAGTAATGAGTGAGCTCGGGTTCACGTGAGAGCTGGTTGTTTAAAGAGCCTGGCCTGCCTTCTCTCTTCCTCTCTTTCTCCCCATGTGACATGTCTGCTCCCTGTTTACCTTCTGTCATGAATAAAAGCTTCCTGAGGCTTCACCAGAAGCTGAGCAGAGGCTGGTGCTATGCTTGCACTGCCTGTAGAACTGTCAGCCAAATAAACCTCTTTTCTTTATAAATTACCTAGTCTCATGCATTCCTTTATAGCAAAGGAAAATGGACTGATCATATATCATTTAGGGTAGTCATGGTCAAATCTTGCTGTATTCTAGGTGTAACATTTTGGAGCCCATGTAGGTTTCATTTGAATTATGCTACTTATAATAAACCAGTGACAGGCAGTATGACATTTTTAGTAAATTATTCTATCTGTTAACAGTTTGTGATTTCTTTCCTGTTTCTTTTCTAGGCACACTAGATGGATCTTAAAAGCAGATTCAATGGATCTGCAATGCTCTGCTCTAGGCACTGTGCTCTGTATGTGGCTATGCAAAACCAGGAATGATTCCTTCTTATTTACCTGCCTTATGTCACCTACAATTCCAAACTGTTGTCTTTAATTGCTTGATTACTAGAACCCAGTTGGTTAGTTCAGGCTAGACAGTTAGGACCTCTGATTCAATAAGATGATTTATTAAACATAGTGTTCATGAAAACAGATCTGATTTCTTATTAAGCACATAAATCACAATTACCAGGCTGGTACTAGAGGGGATATGCTAGCTTTGTGATTTCTGGATTTGGATTCAGATTTTAAATGTACCTCTGCTGATTAATAGCTATGTTAAGTCATTAGCCTCTCCAACACTTGGTGTCTCTTCTATAAAATGAAGATAATAATATCTAATGTATACAGTTGTTCTTAGGAGTAAATAAGATAATGCCATGAACCATTAATCTACAGTAACTCAATGTATGGTAGATTTTCAGCATCCTTTCTTGAAACTTCCTCAATTCCAGGGGTCTTATCACACTGATTTAGCAACCTCACTGGATGATGTCATTTAGGCTGGGGGTCACGAGGCTAATTTCCCAAAATGAACACCAAGTAAATTGAAAAGACAAATTTTTATCCACTTCAGGTTCTGCTCACCTTTTAATCCTTAGTTTCTTTTAAATACACTTGGATTTTATTTATTTCTGGCCTCACAGATGTTATCTTAGGTGGGACTTCAAAAACTTTTTAAAACATAAAATTAAATTTGGAAATAGCTACAAATAGCACTTTGACAGAGCTTATTTCTTTTTTTCTCATTAAAAATGTATGAATACATATGGAGAGTGTTTCTTTTTCCTTAATCTTTTTCTGGTGTTAAATATCTTCAGTAAACAAGAAGAATATATATGATTTTCATCTATCACTTCTAAGTATCTGTGAAATTGCAGGATATGACACTCACACTTAAGTCATAGTTGGGATTTTCACATAAAGATATAAAGCTACATATATTATTATTACTAATAAGTTGTAAGTTGAAATAAATTGGATCCTGTGAATAATGGTCCTATGTGCCAAAATATATTTAAAAGTAAGTAGATCAAGAAAAGAGTTTCTCTCCACATGCTTGTTGATTTGCCTTCTCTTACAGGATATTAAAACAAATTTTAAAACATATTCTCGTCTAATAGTCATATTCCATATTGTGATCAGCTAATTAAACTACCTATGTTTTAGTAAGCATGGAGGCCAAGTCTGCACTAACAAAATGTAGTGTTATTAAAATCTAAATCTTAGATAAATTATGTTTATGTAAAAACAATTTCAGATTATTTAAAAATGTGCTTCTTAATGCAATGAAAAAATAAAACTAATTCTATTGATACTTTTTAGAAAAGTTAGCAGATTATAAGTGGTGATAAACTAACATAAGATAAATAAATAATAATCTATAGTACACCATAATCCTTATCAATAAATTGATAATAAAGTGTCACATCCTAGCTAAGCATAGGTTAGAAATTATTTGTTCTTCCCTAGAGAACAGAACCATAACAGAAGCAAATGAAGGTCATTTTACATCAAAATGATCAATTTGGCTTCTCTGCCATCAGTCGAATTTGGGATGCTTAAACACCATTATTGATGTGTTCAACCAAGAGTTGCAGCTTAGACAGGGGCCTATGTCAACTTAACCATGATTTTGCAACATTTGGCTAAATTTAGCATAATGTGAAAACTCTTGAATATTAGCACTATATCTCTGGATTCTTGATTCCAAGCTCTTTTTAAGGATAATTATTTTGTGATGAAGAATAGGAAGATTCCTTTGGTACAACCTGGCTAACAATTGCAACAATTGCATTAGAAAATTAGTTGTATACCCTATGCTTCCTTTACCAGCAATGACAATACCGTAAATATTGGCTACTTGTCCTCACTACCATGGCAACTACCCATTGTGGCTACCATTCTTGATTGCAGTTTTTCCTATGAAGGAGAAAAGGCTAGTAGATGTGAACTGCGATGCTTTGAATAATACTCAGACTCCTTATAAGTCTTGGCATGATCTGACTCTTAAGTCTCTTTCCAACTTCATCTTATACTACTTTTCCTCTTCTTCACTATCTGTGCCAGTGTTTTCTGAGGTTCTTAGACAAATTAACTAGTTCTTTTCTTGGGATTTTGCACATGACACTGAAGGGGAAGAAGCCAAGCAAGGGTATGATTTCAGGCCAAGCCCTATTAAATGTAGCTTCATTCTGATCTCATCAGATCCTGGGACTTTATACTTCCACAACATACAGCCACTGATTGAAGTCCTCAAGGTGAGAGACTGATGTAAACTCCCAAGCACTTCTGGTTGCCCATGACTATGGGAAGTGTCCCAGTTGCCCTAGGAGAGTGTGCCAAATATGACTTTGAGGTACAGCTGATTGAGATCAATGACACACTGAAACAGGAGAAAAGACACTCAGAAATGAGAAATGAGCATAAGGGGTTCTGCACAGTATACAGAACCTGTGGCATCCATCTATCCATCCATCCAACCATCCATCCATCCATCCAAAGTGTTTATCTTTAATAATAATCTTTTACAAAAGTTTGCCCTTTCAGTTATACTCTGCTTAAAAGTGTTATGCATCATTGAATTGCCCAAACAGAATTGGCAATTGGCTACAACATTGAATGTGTGAAATAGAAGAAGATAAAGAATTTAAACACAGAGGGGGAATCAAAGCATTCTCAACTGCAGTAACAATGACAGCAAGAGTGATATAAAGAACAGTAAAAGCACCCTCCTTAAAAATCAAGGGTAAAATAAAGGAGAGCTGAAGGGGGTCAATGAAAGACTAGTCTGTCAAACTGACTCCCAGCTCAGAAGACCTTTTTCTCTGCTAGAAGGAACACTCCTTAATCATCCTGATAGTCCTGTGAGCAAGAGAGATATGCTAATTGGATACCTGGCCTAGTTTTCTAAGACTGAGCAACACTACATTTCATAAGCTCTTTTCACAAAGTCAATATAAGCAAGGAGAAAAACAACACTTAACTGTTACATATTTCAGGCAAGAACTTCTTGGAATATAAAAGAGAATTGGTAAGGTATACCAAAAAGAGTAAGAAGGCAGGGTTACTGTTTTTCCTTTCCTGTCACAAAATACCACAGGCTGATACACAGGGACTGACTAAGGTAATTCTGGGACTTGGCTAGGGTTCTAATATTTTCTTTTTGAGCTCTACCACCCCCCTCCCATTCAGAACCAGGGTGTTATCTAAGTTCCATAGTCTCTCATTTTTATTTTATACTTTTTGCTAGAGCTCTGGTTTCAGTAATTGCATAGGTAATTGTTCTGCATTCCACTTTCTTTTGGAGGTGGCACACTAATCTCCTCCTGGGGAGTAACTTCACTCCCATTGTGAGCAATATGGTGGACTGTCAGTCAAGGTGATGTACCTCTCTTAGCCAAGGAGTGAATATGTCATTCAAATTAGAACAATCCATCCCGTTCCCCAGCCCCTTCTAGTTTCTGAGTCAAGTGGAAGAATTCAAGAACAGAAAAAACAAGAGTTGGAGTTGATATAGTCTAGTGTCAATGCTGAGGTTAGGCTGACTCCTACGACCTGGATGATTGGATTAGCCGTTGTTTCTACCCTAACCAAGCCTGGCATCTCAGCCATTTCTTTGGTTCTATGAACTACACTATAAAATTAAAGTTAATGGATATAAATAGCAGATGTAGTTAGTGGTTTAATTAGACCATATCCTGTCTGCTAAGATTCAAGCTAAACCTGAGTATCAACACTTTTTAATATTTGATGTAATTAAATCTTAAATGGGTTTAATTCAAGTTTTAGACCCAGAATGTGTGACACTATAAGGAAGTTTTGTGAGGGCATTACTCTATACCCGGACTTTTGTGGAACACCTGTTACATAGCAGATGATTAATAAATAGCACATTTCATAATAGTAACTTATGAAGAGAAATAAAGATCACATGAATTATCTTGATCAAGTGATTTCATGCTCTGAACATTTGTTTCCTGAGCAATGAGATAAAAAGGCTGAATTTCAAGGTGCAAATTTCTATGCCATGTTAAAATTTCCTCCTTTAACCCCATTGTAGCCAATAATTATTATGCACTATGTACTTGGCCCTAATCTTAATTATTTATATGTATTGTTTGATTTAATCCTGTGAAAAAGACATTAGAATCCATTAGAAATTCATTTGGCCACATCTGGGTGGAGTGAGTCACCCTGTAAACCCAGCACCTGGGAGGCCAAAGGAGGATGATGGCTTGAGGCCAGGAGTTCAAGATCAGCCTGGGCAACAGAGCCAGACATTGTCTGTACAAAAACAAAATAAAAAAAATTAAAAATTGGCCAGACATGGTGAAAAGTACCTGTAGTCCCAGCTACTTAGGAGGGTTAGGTGGTAGGATTGCTTAAGCTCAGGAGTTGGAGGCTGCAGTAAGCAATCATATGTCATTGCACTCCAGCTTAGGCAATAGAGCAAAATCCTGTCAAAAAAAAAAAAAAGAGAGAGAGAGAAAGCAATTAATTAGGCCACAAATGGCAGAAGGCCACTTCTACTGGCTTAGACCCATTATTTTTTCTTATGTCACACAAAATTTAAAGGTTAAGCAGCTGACATCTTGTTTATATCAAAGTTAGAACTTTTGCAATTCTCTTGTCCTTTCCACTACACCTACCTCCACATGCTCACAATATTGCAGACCTGGCTTTTTGCACTGCGTCCTTATTTGAAGCAAGTAAAACAGAGATAGGTAGGACAGTCTAAACCATATCTTCTTTTTTTGTTGTTCATATCAAGAAAGAGTAAGCTTTCTCAAAAACCCACAGCCAACTTCCACTTACACCTTGTTGGTTGGAACTGTTACATGGCAACCCTTAGCTTTAAGGCAGCCAGAAAGATGTAGTATACATTTAGCTGATCATATTTCCAGACCTCAAATTGGGGTTCTGTTGGCAATGAAAAAGGGATGAATAGATGTTTGGAAGACAACTGACATTTTCAACTGCAGTACTTTTTAAATTTTTATTTTATAGTTGAAGAATGAAGGTCTCAAAATGGGAATATCAGTGTCACACAACTAACAAATGCTGAAGAGAGGCATTTAAAGATGAGCAGTCTAATAAAGAATACATACTTTTAACAAGGGTAGGGTCAACACAACAGAACCACAAAGGGGCAGGCAAGTCTATTTAGAATGTTCAGCTTTAGTAATTGAGTGTGCAGAAACCAATTGGATCAATGGGGCCAGATTTTTTTAGAGATGATTTATAAATCTGGGTTAATTATGGTAACAGCTATTTTTAAAAAATCATCTTAATGTGGGTAGTGAGTGTTAAATCAGTTTTCATTCAGGTAAATTGCAGTAAATCTTTCAGGTCCCTATTTTGTAAGATTACTAGTCACATCCCTACACATGTCATAAGCTTTTGGAGATAGAGTGTGGTGAGCTATTTTGAGAAGCCAAAAGTTAGGCTTGAAGCAATGGCATATTTTTATGTGAACCTGTGTTAGTTAAAAAGTTTCAGTGAGCCTCAGTTTATTCATGTGGGAACGCAAATGGATAAATCATTTCACAGAATAGATAAAAAGCATAAAAATTTCTGTCAAATTACACAACACATTGTAGACAATGAAATATTATTTAAAAAAATTATTTGTGGATACTTCTGAATTTCTTATCATCAAAAAAATATATATATACATTATTGCAAGTGTTTTCAATGCAAAAAGTAGATTAAAAAATCTGTAATCTCACCATAAAGCAATAAAGGCCATTATTATTTTTTCATATAATTCCATCCTTTTTTTTCTATTTCAATATTTACTGGAGTAATAGATGGCCCTGATAACTAATCAAAACTGTACAGAAAAACTCACTATTAAAAAGCTACAGTTTATTGCCTCCCTCTTCTTCAACTTGTGTTCCACTGTTTAGAATGAAAAACCCTAAAAATCTTAAGTAATATAATTATACAACTATTTCTTGATCTGTCAATTGTACAAAATTTCTACTTTCTTCCCAGTGTGCACAATAAGGATTTGATTTGCTCATACTACTTTTAAAAATTTTCTTCTCCAATACTACTATATATATAAAAATAGACATTATACATTATATTATATATAATAATACATATAAATATATTGTAATGAATTATAATTTGGTTAAAATTTTAACATTAAAATACTTCAACTGCAATTTTAATTATTTACATTATGACTATTAACACAGTATTTTCTCTTGGCATGATCTTTCCTTCTCCTCTCTCTTCCATGTAAATACACTATCTTATGTCAGTCACACTTCAACTTTTATATTGTTGAGGTATTGCATATTAACTGTTACTTTATATTCCAACTGCAAGCAGACTTAACACACACTGTCCTTGGGTTAATGCTAAAGTCTGTTTTACTTTTTAAAATTATATAAGTATTTTTTGTTGTCCAAGAAAGTATTATAGGTAGATTGCATTTAATTGTCTCTGATCCAATTTCTGCACTCTTGTGTCACACACAGGAGAATTTTCTTAGCATCACATTAAAATAAATCATCTTTCATAATTGCCTGAAACCATCATGCAGGTTACATTGCTTCAAAATTGGACCATGACTTTTTGTGAAATGTTACATTTTTCCAAGAATTTATAACTGTTTTTTTCTTTCTTTCCTCTTTTTTTTAGTCATGATTTGCCTTATGTATTTGTGTTTTCCTAAATGTTTGATCTTACTAGCCATTCTGTAGTTTCACGTTTTCTGTAAACCTCTTTCATGAAGAATCGCTTCCTCTTGTTTTAATCCACATGGTTGTGATTTAGGTCACAAGTTCAGCTGCCATTTCAGTGCTTCTCATCATAACTCTGATGGTTGGATCCACTGTTTCCTGACCTTGTGTGTTCCCCTTTTCTTGAAATACTCTTTGATTTTTCCAGAGCGTATCCTGATGTAATTTCTTTCTTTCTTTATTTATTTTTAGAGATGTAGTCTTGCTTTATCTCCCAGGCTGGAGTGCTGTGACCATTCACAGATGTGATCATAGCTCACTGCCACCTGGAACTCCTGGGCTCAAGCAATCTTCCTGCCTCAGCCTCCTGAGTAGCTGGGATTACAGGAGTGTGCTACCAAGCCAAGCTCTGAAGTAACTTTTAAAGAATGGTTTTGTTAAAACAAAGGCCCAATGTTATTCTACGTATTGCACATTTTTTAAGATTTACATTTGATTTGTAGTCTGACTATTATAGAATTCTAAGTTGAGAATAATTTTCCTTCAAAAAGTTGCAGTTCTAAAACTTCATAAAGATATGATTAAGGATGATTGACTTTTTAAAAAATGTATGTTTCTGGGCCTTTAAAGCCCTTTGAATCTAAATTTTAATACCTGTTTTCAGCTCTAGGAAATTTTCTTTCATAATTTATTTGACAGTTGGCTTTTTTTTGATATATGATTCTTATTACTCAGGGACCTCCTTTGTCAGTCCTTTACATCTTATATTTTTATTTGTATTTTTATCTTTTCCCCATTCTTTAAAAATTTATCCCTTAGTATTTTAAACTGGGACAGTTTTGTTGCTATCTGATTTTTTTTTTACATACCAAACTTTTTCTATTTTAGGAATGCAATACTTTCTCAAATTTTTAATTATAGACTGGATTTTACTAAGTTCTCACTTGTGTGCAGAGTTATTTGTTTTCTTTTAGAGTAGACTTATATCTGAGTTTCTTGATACTGCTAGATCTTTTCATAAGCACAGCTTAACTGTAAGAAATAAGAATGTTAGGTACTTTCTTTGTTGCTTTAATCAGTAGTACAGTTTCTATTTGATTTTCTTTACTAAGTTGGACATTTGACCAGGCTGTGTACATGGTGTTTTATGAGGTCTGACCTGGACCTGTTAGCTAACCAGCTATTACACTTTCCACCAAATGGCAGAATGACTATATCCTAGTGCATTTTGTACTGCTGTAACAAAAATAACAGAGTGGGTAATTTATAAAGAACATAAATTTGTTTCTCACAGCTCTGGAGGCTGGCAAGTCCAAGATCAAGGCACCTGCATCTGGTGTCCAATGAGGGCTTTTTGCTGCATCCTCACGTGGAAGAAGGTGCAAGAACAAACAGAGATTAACATTGTATCCTCATGTGGCAGAAAGTGGAAGAGAAAGAATCCACTCCTGAAAGTTATTTTTTAGTGGTATTGCCATTATAAAAATAAAAATAATAATCCATTCATTAACACGGAGCCCTATGACCTAGACATTACCCATTAGGTCTCACCTCCCAACACTGCTGTATTGAAGATTAAATTTCACCATGAGATTTGGAGGGGATAAAAACATCCAAATTGTAGCAGACCATGATCTTACTGTTAGAACCAACACCCACACTCGGAACTTAACTTTCCTCAAACTGTTTATTGCTTTGCAGAAGAACCCAATTTGGAGTTTCCCTTGAGGATAACAAATGCCTATAGTCTAAGAGTGGGTATAGGATTGCTACTTGGCTTAGTTCTATATGATTACTATTTGGGGCCTGTTTGCCCAGTGCCCTCTAATTGGCTTACTGTCTTTGACTCCATAGCCTTCAGAGACCCATTAAACAAACTCATTCCAAAATCCTTCCAAGCTCCCATATTCTGGGATATGTAACTTTCTTTCTTTTTTTGGAGACAGGTTCTCACTCTGATATCCAGGCTGGAGTGCAGTGGTGTGATCTCAGCTCACTGCAACCTCTGCCTCCTAGGTTCAAGCAATTCTTATGCCTCAGCCTCCTGAATAGCTGGGAATACAGTTGTGCACTCCCGAACCCAGCTAATTTTTTTGTATTTTTAGTAGACATGGGGTTTAACTATGTTGGCCAGGCTGGTCTCCAACTCCTGGCCTCAAGTGATCCACCCGCCTCAGCCTCCCAAAGTGCTGGGATTACAGTCATGACCACCAAGACCAACCTTGAGATGTGTAGCTTTCTTCACACTTGTTTATCCATTTACCTATTCCCATCTAGTTTTTAGTTCCCATTCAGTCATAATTATTCTCTAATTTTCATTGTTAGTATAGAATAATTTTATATTACTTTGAAACATACAAAATACTCAGTGTTGAACTATATTTTACTAACAAAAATGGTGATTTTAAATGGCTCAACCATTTAAAGCTTACTTTCTGTAAACTATGCTTTCTCCTCCCTTTTATTTTAGCCGACCCAAAGAGAAGATGGGAAGCAATGATTATGCAAAATTATACATTTGAATTGGAAGCTTATATTATTTTTAATGGAAATATGCAAAGGGATGTAAATTTTGAGCCCTGCTGGAATATGGACTTGACAGAGCCACTTCCTTCCACCTAGCAAGGCTGAAAGTGGTCATATGGTAAGGAAGAGTACTTTTTCTACTCGGTATTTTTTTTTTCACCTAAGACCCTGAATATTTTGCAGGTCTTACTTAAAATGACACTGGGAAACTTTGGCCTTGGAATCCTTCTTTATCAAAACAACACAAAAAGAAACCCCAAGTGCAACACACAATAGCTTTGTACTTCAAGTAAATGAATTTTTTACAAAAATTAGGCTCTGATTAAGTCCAAGGATGAAAAATATAGACTCTCCTTCTTGAAAGGAAAGCATAAACATAACTTATTGTTCTCTCAAATATACACAAATAGAAAAACACACCAGGATGCAACCATGTGGTTAGAAGCCAAGGACAGAAAGCAGCCTCCCGCTCCTATTGCCTGCACGATGAACATGCCGTGAATAAAATGAGGCCGGCACTGATTGGCCAGGGTGTCAGATTTACGACTCCGACACGAGGCTGCCCTGCCGTATCTCCAGATTGCTGTGCATGATTTGTAGCTCTGCTCTACTTTCTGCTGCCAATAAGAGAGACAAGGGGGAGGCAGCTTTGAAGAAGACAGTATATGTTTGCATGTTTATAACCTTAGAACTACAATAGCCTCCCCAGATGCACTGAGCAAGAAGGCCTGATATGCCTTAGTATTATCAGTTCCTGTGCCCTGAGAGTCTCAGAACGTCAGATCTGTAAGGATGTAGCCTTCCTCACATTCCAACAAAGGGTTGAGATACTGAGTACATGCTAACCTTTCATTCATGGATACATTTATTTGTATTGAGATGTTATTTTTCACTTACCTTAGGAATGAATTCTTCAAAGATCAACCAAACCTCCCTGTTCTAATTTTGAAGACGTCTAAAATCTCAGATTAAACTTTATTTTTCTGCCACAATAAAGTAGTGGTCTTAATCTAATTAACTGTCTAAAGTATGAATTGATGTCATATTCAGATTTTTTAAAGGTGGGGGAGTGACACTGAAAATATTGATCTAAGATTGCAGCTGTGTTGTGGATTCAACAGCTTTGTAACGAAACTATTTTAAAATTGTTAAC
Source organism: Homo sapiens (assembly GCF_000001405.40). NCBI lineage: Eukaryota > Metazoa > Chordata > Mammalia > Primates > Hominidae > Homo > Homo sapiens. The sequence continues at coordinate 792,231 of NC_000003.12, read as the reverse complement.
AGTTGTAATAGAAATCTGTTGCTTTTGCCAATCTACTTTTCCTGTATTCTGGTAAAAGCTCCCAATTTCACTTTGATAGATGGACCATTTAGCAAAATTATCCATCATGAGATTCTGTGCTTTCCTAGAAAGTAGGTGGGCAAGTGATTCATGTTTGTCCAGTTGCACTTCCTATAGGATCTAACCTGGAGTGGAGTAATTAAATACTGAAGATCATTTTAGCTGATTTATCCCATAGAGAGTGTGTTACATAATTTAATAATAATGTTCTATTCCCTAGATGCCTGAAGTGCTCTTATATTTGTCCAGCCCCACAACTGTTCTTCAAATATTTCTTTAATTTTCTGAGCTACCCTTTATATGTCAATACATTTATTTTCTGCTTAAGAAACAGAGTCAGGTCCTGAGGAACTTTACAATATGATTACTGATTTAGACTGGGATGCACAGTGTTCAGAAAACATGGAGACAACTCTGCTATATAAAGCTTTTCTTCTCACTTTCTTTCTTTCCTCCACCCTCCTCCGCCCCAGACAGAGTCTCACTCTGTCACCCAGGCTGGAGCGCAGTGGCATGAACGTGACTCACTGCAGCCTCAACCTCCCAGGCTCAAGCCATCCTTCTGCCTCAGTCTCCTGAGTAGCTAGGATGATAGGTATGTATTACCACACCAGGCTATTTTATTTTTTATTTTTTGTAGAGACAGGGTCTCACCGTATTGCCGAGGCTGGTCTTGAACTCCTGTGTTCAAGCAGTCCTCCCACCTTCTTCAGCCTCCCAAAAATCTAGGATTACAGGCATGAGCCACTAAGCCCAGGCAAATTATCTTATTATGGAATATTTTGGCTATTTGCAACAGTGTGCAAATGCATCGTATTTACACATGTGATATATGTGTCACACGTGTAAATGGGTGAAAAAGTCATAACCAAGAGAAAGTAAGACTCTAGAAAAATGTTACCCAAGGTTTTTAATTCCTTGTATAAAAAATAATTGATATTGACAACAAAAATGATATTATTCTGTAAATGAAATTATTTTGTAATATTATTATGTAAAGAAGAGCAGAGCTAAGGCTAGTGCATACACAGGAAAGAAATGGGGAAAGAGGACAACTTGTACTTCCCCAGGGACTGAGAGTACATCTGTCTTAGCCTGTTCAGGCTACTGTAATATAAACACCATAGCCTGGTTAGCTTACAAATAATAGAAATTTACTTCTCACAGTTCTGAAGGTTGGGAAATCCAAGATCAAAGCACTAGCAGGTTCAGTGTCTGGTGAGGGCCTACTTTCTGGTTCATAGACGTTGCCTTCTCCACTGTATCCTCTCATGGTAGAAGAAGAAAGGCACTCTATGGGGTGCCCTTTCTAAGTTCACCAATCTCATTTACTAGGGCTTCCTTCTCATAATTGAATTACTTCCCAAGGCCCAATCACCTTGGTGATTAGGTGTTCAACATATGAATTTTAAGGGGACATAAACATTCAGCCCAAAGCAAAATTAATTCATACAGATCTAAAAAAAGAAAAGCAAGACCCTGCCCATCAACTTTTATTTCAGCAAAGAAAAAATATTCTCTCTGGAGAATATTTTCTCTGGTAGGAAAATGGCTTGAATACCAGGTGCTATACAGACAAATGGAACAGTATACTAATTTACTGGTTGTTTGAGGTATGAAAGTGGGATGAGTTAAACATTATCAAGGCCAAGCACGATGGCTCATGCCTGTAATTTCAGCACTTTGGGAGACCTAGGCAGGTGGATCACTTGAGGCCAGGAGTTCAAGACCAGCCTGGCCCATATGGCGAAACCCCATCTCTACTAAAAATACAAAAATTAGCTGGATGTGGTGGTGCATGCCTGTAATTCCAGCTACTCAGAAGGCTTGAACCTGGGAGGCAGAGGTTGCAGTGAGTCAAGATCATGCCACTGCACTCCAGCCTGGGTGACACAGCAAGACTCTGTCTAAAAAAATAAGAAAAAAATATTAAACATATTATTGCATTATAAAGGCAATCTGAGCATCTGTTGACCTTAACAAAGTAGGGTAGAGTGTTGCATTTCGTGAGTCTTTTCTATTAAAATTCACTGATTATATTGCTTCAAACTCCTTAAATCTTTTTCTGTAGCGATCTATATTAATATATATTTTCTATATAATATATGCCATATATTTTCATATGTATATTATATGTATATAGTGTGTGTATATATATACACGTATATATATATACGTGTATATATATACATATATATATACGTGTATACATATACATATATATATATATACACCTCTTACAAGTATGTGACCTTGGGCAAATTTCTAATTGCTCTGTTTCTTCATCTCTAAAAACAAATTAAGTATAATACGGTGGACTCTTGAACCGGGAGGGTCCACTTATACATACATTATTTTCAGTAAAAGTTACAGGAAGTGTGCTTGCCTCTCCTGCCTCTCCTTTCACCTTATTTGCCTCTTCCACGTTGGCCGTCCCAGAGACAATAAGACCAACTCTCCTCCTCCTCCTCCTACTCAACCTGAAGAGAACAAGGATAAAGGCCTCTATGATGATTGACTTCCACTTAATGAACAGTAAATACATTTTCTCTTCCTTATGATATTCTTAACAACATTTTCTTTTCTCTAGATTACTTTATTGTAAGAATACATTGTATAATACATATAACATACAAAATATGTTTATGTCACCCATAAGGCTCTAGTCAACACTAGGCTATTAGAAGTTAAGTTTTTGGGAAGTCAAATGTTACATGTGAATTTTTGACTGCATGAGGGGTCAGCAACCCAACCCCCTTGTTGTTCAAGGGTACCTTGAACTCTATTTCCCACACTGAATTATTGTGAGGATTAAATAGGCTAGCATATGAAAACTGCTTAATATTCATGTTATTATATGAATGATACACCTCATTTTACTTTGGCAGAAAATGTTTCTGATTTCTTTCTTATCACTTGTAATATCGTGATAAAAATTAATGATAGAAAAATAATTACTATTTCATTGAAATTTTTATGAAATATAACTTGGCATTTTGTATTGTGTAGCTCTCTCTCTCTCCATTTTTTTTTTTTTTTTTGAGACAGAGTCTTGCTCTGTCGCCCAGGCTGGAGTGCAGTGGTGCAATCTCGTCTCAATGCAAGCTCCATCTCCCAGGTTCATGCCATTCTCCTGCCTCAGCCTCCCCACTAGCTGGGACTACAGGCGCCCACCACCACGCCCGGCTAATTTTTTGTATTTTTAGTAGAGACGGGGTTTCACCGTGTTAGCCAGGATGGTCTGATCTCCTGACCTCTTGATCCACCCCACCTCAGCCTCCCAAAGTGCTGGGATTACAGGCATGAGCCACTGCGCCTGGCCTGTATCGTGTAGCTCTTAAGATAGTAATAGACCAACCTGATAAATGCATTCAATCACCCAAGTAAGCAATTTTAGGTCCTTATTTTGTGTTTATTCTGTCCTATGCAAACCAGATGCAAATAAATAAATAGATAAATAAAACCAAGTACATCTGCTCCACATGCTCATGAGTCATGGCCCAGTAGTTGAGAAAAAAATACTCAAATGAGAGAATTTAGAAAAAAAAACTTCCGTATGCTGTGTGAATATAATTCATGTATGCAACTTGGTGTTTATGAGATTTTGGCAATGAAAAATATCAAGCTATCTATCCTAGGAAGACCTTTTGATACATTTATTGTCACTTTATTTGAAACTTTATTTTAAGTATCAAGAATTGGCATTAAAAATAAAGGTTGACTCCGTATGTTAAATGAAGAATTGTAGGTTTTAAGTTCCCAAAACATTACAGGTAAGCTGTGATGCAGTTGAAATGAAGTGAGTCCTTGTTAGAGCATTTCTACAAACAAAGACATTTCTACTATGTATTAAAAATATATCCATTAAACTGGTTAATAACACTTCCCCTTTATCAGTTATAGAATATTTTATTTTCCCTCTGATTTCAATGACTTCCTTTTAGATTTGCTTCCAGTTCTTAGAAAGGTGCTCATTACAACAGAATGGATTTAACACTAATCTGAAGTTCTGAGGGTTCCACAGGTGAAGATAAAGAGAAGGCTTTAACCTTCTGTTTAAAAGTTCCACATTGTCTATTTATATTAACCAAACTAATTGATACCCAAATTATATAAACCATGTAATCATACGTTTTAGTATTTTCATTGGACACCATTTTCATCATCATTTGTTTGCTTGTTTCTTTCCTAAATAAACGATATATTCTCTTTTCCTATGTTTGAGGATCTTGAGGATCTTCAAAGTGATCCTCAAACACAGGAAAAGAGAATATATCATTTATTTAGGAAAGAAACAAGCAATAAATGACTGATACATAAATGACTAGGGAGCTGAAAATATGAGACACTTGTTTACTGCCTATTTCTTGAGCCACATTATTCAGGCTTCCCCATCACCCTGAGAAGCATCTAATATCTATTTAATGAATCCCTTTTCCACTTAAATCAGCTAGAGCGTATTTTAGCTGGTCGCCAATAAAAAATGACTGATATTGAAAGAAACAAATATTTTCTATGTTCCTACTATGTGCTAGGAACTGTTAACATTATTTGAAACATATTAACAACAATAAATAATACTTTGTGTATTGACTATTTCACTACTTGTAAAAATTGTTCATTTCCACTGTGCTCATTCTGAAATGACATAGACTTACTTTAAATTATTACAAAAAGATTATAAAAATTTGTTTCATATTGGGCATACCAAAAGCTTTCTCCTTTTCCAAAAGGCTAAGAGTATAACAAACTTTGCTAAGAGTATACCAAGTTGTGTACATGAGGAAGGGAATTTTTTTTTAAACACTGAAGGCTAAAGCATGCCCCTTGCTAATATTGTTACAATAATTTTTTAGTTTTGCCAGCAAATTTCCATTGTGGTTCTTCTTAGAAAGAAGGCTGGGAAATTTTTGCAAGAGTTTATCAATTTTCTGTCTCTCTCATGAATTTTGAACAGATAAGTGACTTGCTATGCCATTCAGTTATGCTGAAAAGTTAAAATAAAGTAGACCCTTGGGGTTATTGCACAAATATCCACCCACAGGTTTAGATGTGGAACAATTCTGTACAGCTTGTATTTTACATTCACTACTCATTTCCAGTGCCTGACCTCAGCTGATAAACATTTTTCACTTTTAGTTGAAAGTAAAAGAGCTGAAAGAAAGCTGGTCTCATTTAGGGGATGTTGTAGTCACATCCACTTAACATTCCCAGCACTTTTTTCACACCTAGAAATGTGTGAAGCTACCTTGTTAGTGTGCTGGATAGTCTCAGCCATTTATCAGTATACTTATCCACGTGTCTTTCTATCAATAAGAAAATGAAATTTTTCTTAAAAATCACTGATGAAGCAGATATATCCTTCTAATCATCTTTTGGTAAAAGCATGCTAAAGTTATGATTACAGGTAGCTGATTACTTCTGTCTAGAACTCTCCCCTTTTTCTTTTTTGGAGCAAATTTTTCAGCTCTCTTGCAAAGGATTTCTGAATTAGGGCTTAGGCAACATTTTCAGATTCAGAATCGAATCTGAACTAAGGAAAAACCAAATCAAGTGCCTGGAAGGGAGAAGATAGAGTTGCTCCTGAAGGCCAGCCTTCCAACTCCCAACACCTCACGCCATGTTTCTCTTAACACTCCAATTATTTTGTAATCGTGGGTGGAGCACACACAGTATATTGAGGCAGTCTTGGAGAATGCCAATGTGTTTGCAGCTGCAACACAGGAGGAGGAAAACTAATGGCTGTACTAGAAAACTCCACATTACCTTCCTGACATATTTAAAACTGGGATCATTCAATTCGCCATGCTATTTAAAATCTGCACTTAGTCTGAGTTGATTTTGCAGTGAATCAGTAGCTGCAGAAGGAAAAGAGAAGACTCTCATGCAGGCAACAGTGAAGAGAGGAGGTGTTTGTAGCAAGCAGCTTGAGGAGCTTTTATATTTGGGGGGATATACAAAAATCATGTTTTAAAAGACTGTAAATCTCCAAATCACCCATTAGCACACCAATTTGGAGCTAGCAAAGGTATCAAGTTGGGGTCAGTTTTTATCTAATATCAACTTGATGGAGCAAGGAACAGATTGCATTTAGGATTAGCATGATACTTTTTGACCACAAGACCAGAAAGGCAGATTGTGATGAACAAGCACAGCATATTTCAGCATGGTGAGAAATATTTTTGCTGATCAGTTTTACCATGAAGACAGTTTATCCACTGAGCTATGGAAGCAGAAACCTTGTCTCATTCTCATAATTAGCTGATGATCAGCAGATTACATTCTAGGTAACAACAAATATATATTTGAGACCAAGATAAGTTAATTAAAATAACTTCAAAACAATGGCAAGGTTTACATTAAAAACTACTGATGCCATCAAGTTTTGGTGAGACTCTAGAGCAAATGGTAGTCTTATATTGGAGACAGTGTAAATTGACCTAGTTCAGAAATTGTTTACCATTGTCTGCTAATGTCAGACCTATGCACACTTTATGACCCAGAAATTTTACTCCTTAATAGATAATCAATAGAAATATGTACATATTATGATTTGTAACAGCCATGTGTTAGAGTTCTCCAGAGAAAGAGAACAAATATGTGCACACACACACTCTCTCTCTCTCTCTATATATATATGGAGAGAGAATTTTCAACCCAGAATTTCATATCCAGTCAAAATAAACTTCATAAGCAAAGGAGAAATAAAATCATTTACAAAGAAGCATATGCTGAGAGATTTTGTCACCACCAGGCCTGCCTTACAAGAGCTTGTGAAAGAAGCACCAAACATGGAAAGGAACAACCGGTACCAGCCACTGCAAAAACATACCAAATTGTAAAGACCATAGATGCTATGAAGAACCTGCATCAACTAATGGGCAAACTAACAAGCTATATCATAATGACAGGAGCAAATTCACACATGACAATATTAACCTTAAATGTAAATGGGCTAAATACTCCAATTAAAAGATACAGACTGGCAAACTGGATAAAGAGTCAAGACCCATCAGTGTGCTGCATTCAGGAGACCCATCTCACATGCAAAGACACACATAGGCTCAAAATAAAGGGACTGAGGAATATTTACCATGCAAATGGAAAGCAAAAACAAAAGCAGGGCTTGCAATCCTAGTCTCTGATAAAACAGGCTTTAAACCAACAAAGATCAAAAGAGAAAAAGAAGTGCATTACATAATGGTAAAGAGATCAATGCAACAAGAAGAGCTAACTATTCTAAATATGATTGCACCCAATACAGGAGCACACAGATTCATAAAGCAAGGTCTTAAAGACCTACAAAGAGACTTAGATTCCCACACAAAATAGTGGGAGACTTTAATACCCCACTGTCAATATTAGACAGATCAATGAGACAGAAAATTAACAAGGATATCCAGGACTTGAACTGAGCTCTGGACCAAGTGGACCTAATAGACATCTACAGAACTCTCCACCCCAAATCAACACAACATACATTGTTTTCAGCACCACATCACACTTACTCTAAAATTGACCACATAATTGGAAGTAAAACACTCCTCAGCAAATGCAAAAGAATGGAAATAATAACAAACAGTCTCTCAGACCACAGTGCAATCACATTAGAACTCAGGATTAAGAAACTCACTCAAAACCACACAACTACATGGAAACTGAACAACCATCTAGGTAAATAACAAAATGAGGGCAGAAATAAAGATGTTCATTGAAACAGGTTATATGATCAGCTCAGGCAAGTTTGAACTCTACAACACCTTTCACATCTTCCATTTCAGCTCCCTTCTCTTCCTGTCATATTCTGAGCTTTCTCCTGATAGCTCAGGTTGCCTATGACTTAATGATTTATAGTCTGAAGACAGACTGCTCACCTTCACTATTACCCAGGTTAAGTTTTTACCTGCCTCGACTCTCAGCCATCCACTTTTGCCACCTCTAGTTAAATTTACAGTTAAATAATAATATTTATATTATAATCATGATGACTAATTTAAAAAATTGTTGCCCCAACTATAGAAATATTCTTTGACTCCAAAGCATTGTTTAGTTTTAATAATGTAGATATTTTATGTAATGGGTATGTGCTATGGCTCATGACTTAGATGGCCTAGATTCAAATCCTGGCTGTGCCACTTATTCACAGTTAGACATTGGAAAATTAAACTTTCTGATCTATACCCTGCTTATTCATCTGTCAACTGTGGATAAATCAGGTACATCAAAGTGCCTACATCACAGAGTTGTTGTAACATGAATGAGTTAATGCAGAAAAGCTTTAAAAGAGTGATTGGGGCTGGACATGGTGGCTCACACCTGTAATTCCAGCACTTTGGGAGGCCGAGGCAGGTGGATCACTTGAGGTCAGGAGTTTGAGACTAGCCAGGCCAACATGGTGAAACCTCATCTCTACTAAAAAAATACAAAAATTAGCCAGGTGTGGTGTTGGGTGCCTATAGTTCCAGCTACTTGGGAGGCTGAGGCAGGAGAATCGCTTGAACCTTGAAAGCAGAGGTTGCAGTGAGCTGAGATCCCGCCACTACACTCCAGCCTGGGTGACAGAGCAAGACTCTGTCTCAAGAAAAAACAAACAAACAAAAAACAATGATTGGTACATCCAAAACATTTCACACCAATTAGGTATTTTAAAGGTATAATTATGCAAATAAGAATCGTAGACATAATGATTAAACATAAAGGTTAACAGAAAACAAAAAATTCTCTTTGATTCTCTACGACGTGTTGGGCACTGTGTTCTTTGTTAGATTTTAGAGATATACTGATATGTCTTAAAGGAGCTAATAATTTAATGAAAGAGAAAGATAAATAGATCAGAAATTAAAATGGAATATGGTGCATGCTAATAACTTTATGTTCTACTTGTTATGAGAACACGCCAACGAGGTGCAACAGATTTTTCTTTTAACTTGGAAACTATCTATTGTTACTGGGTGTGATATTTTCTTTATTACTCTATGGTAGAGAAATTGTTCAATTAAACCAATGAAGTGATTTTTACCAAGGTCTGACTGTCCTGTCACTTCTCCTTATCCCATTCCTCCTCACCTAGCACTTTCTTGCCCAGACTATCAGATGGATGCTTTCAACTATTACATTTTATAGATGGATGAGACCCTTTAATATCTGACATTGGTTTCTGAGAAAACTACTGTGTAATTTAAAGTTAGTTTTGTGCAGCGAGAATGAAATTTGAGGTTGGTATTAATTCACTGTGCTTTGAAAACACTATGTGTGTGTGTATATATATGTATATTTATTTTATAATAAGACACATTTTACTTGTGGATGTCTTAAGCACACATTGTAAGTAATGTATTACAAACTCAATCTGTTTTATCGCCTGCTTTAGCTCAGCAATTCTATTTTTCACAGTTTCTAAACAAAACACTTGTTGGTCAGTAAACATTTTTTTAAATCTTAAATTGCTTTCTAATCCATGAAACACACAAGAAGGAAAACATGACAAAGGTGTTTTCATATTGAAACCCACCTTTTTAAAAATAATAAAGACATGCATGCATTTTAAAATATCAGTTTATAATTATCAAATATAATGTCCCAGGCAGGAAAACACATCTTGCACTCTAAACTTTAATATGTCATATAAGTATCGCCATTCATAAGTAAGGTTCAGAGCAGTCAGTTATTTGCAATGTTGGAATAGAAGTATTGCCTTTAATGTTTAACATCCACACTTATTTGCTTTAGGCATTTGGTAGAACTCCAGTAAATTTAAAGACAGTGTAAAATTATCAGGGTTATTTATAGGCGAATTTTCAGAAACATTTTCAAAATACCCCACTAGGCCTAACTCTATCTTAAAGAGTAAATTCTAATTTCTTAACAAAAGATATATATAGGCCTGGCACGCTGGCTCACGCCTGTAACCCCAGCACGTTGGTAGGCAGAGGCGGGCAGATCACCTGAGGTTGGGAGATCGAGACCAGCCTGACCAACATGGAGAAATCCCGTCTCTACTAAAAATAAAAAATTAGCCAGGCGTGGTGGCACATGCCTGTAATCCCAGCTACACTGGAGGCTGAAGCAGGAGAATCACTCGAACCGAGGAGGCGGAGGTTGCAGTGAGCCGAGATCACGCCATCGCACTCTAGCCTGGGCAACAAGAGCGAAACTCCATCTCAAAAAAATAAAAGGTATATATGTATGTGTATATATATATATATGTATGTGTATATATATATATATATATATATGTATGTGTATATATATATATATATATATGTGTATATATATATATATATATATATATATGTATATATATATCTGTGGCTAATATAATGTATAAAGAATTCTAAATTTGCCATTTATTCTCCCATGACACCCCTAGGGAGGCCTGGAATAAAACCCAGCTTGGGATATTAAAAGAGGACATGTTTTGGAGTCATGAATATTATAAATGGGTGAAGATTTATTTTCCACATCCAATACTAGGTTCATGGCTGAGGCACCTGTAACAAAAGACAGATTAACAAGAGGAAAACATAAAAATATATTTGATATAAGCTTTACATGACATGAGAGCCTTCAGAAATGAAGACCTAAAGAAACAGGAAACCTGTTCGTCTTTATGCTTAGGTTTGACCCAAAGTGGACAGTTGTGGGAAAGTGTGATGAACAAAGGGTCTAGGATGTAATGGTAATAAACTTGTTAAGGCCATTTGTTCAGATTCTTCTCTGTCTTTTCAGAGATAAGGATGTTTCTTTCTGCCAGAATACCTCTCTAATGAGGGTCTTGTGACCTACTTCAGGGGAGAAGGATGGGAGAAGGTCAGAGACTGACCTTCCTCATTCTGCTGTTTTATCAAAGGCCAAGGAGCCACATTCTGGGGCATCATGCCCTGAACCCCTCCATATATAAGTTGCTCAAATGTCTTCCTATTAACAGAATAAGTAATGCAATTAGAGAATTAATTCACTACGATTCATCCAAATTCACCATTTATTTTACTTTTGTATCTTCAGCATCCTCTTCTAATACTTTTCATAGCCTTAGCTATCTATAAATTTAGCTTTATGTAAACTTTCCATGCATAGTTCAAACAACAGATGTTGCCCTTTGAAATCGGCTTCAAAATCTGTCATGAGATATAACCAAAAGTAAGCAGGTGGAGAAAGAACGGCAGACCTTAGTTTGCTCTCTATTTTACAATTGCATAAGGCTATGATAAAAGCAGCATCTCTTACTCTTATTTGGTTTGAAAGACTGACCTCTCTGTAGCAATTAAAGAAGAGTGCGCGGTTTCTGTTGTAAAGAGTTGTAAATTTACTGTTAAAGTGCATGTTTGCTGAGTAGTTTTAGGCCTGACCAGTGCTATTTTCTATTTTAATTCAAGTTAATGAGAGAGGATTTTGAGTCAACAATAAGAAATACAGATGTGTTGTCAGTATAAACAATACAAGATGTCTTTAAGCGGCCATTATGAAAGCAGAAGTAACACTGGCCACAAAAGAGTTTGTGAAGTCTTAGTAAAGGTGTGACACAGGTTGTCAATCTTTTTTTCATATGAAAGTTACCATTTTGAACATAATAAAGAAATGTTTCAGCAAATACTTGACTTCATTTTAGATTCCCAGCTTTAAATCAGGTTTGTATTATTGACATCATTGAAGTACCATTGAAAGTTTAAAATCAATCGAAATGTTATCACAAATGATAACAACCTTAACATCAAAGTTGTTTATCTCTTCTGGTCAAAAGTCTGTATTTATCAAGCAAAATGCTTAAGACAGTTGTGGGGAATGACTGGGAGTGACCATTTTAAGCCTGATGGGGGCCTGTTTTTTGAAGTTTCCGTTTTGTCTGGGCTATTGGTCCTGGCTTCTCTGGCTTAGAGGGAACGTATTGACTTCCTTGTGGTGGCCTGACAGGTGCTCAGTCTATCCCTCACAATAATGTGGAAGACTGCTTCATACATATCTCATGATGAGATGGTAGACAGATTGTACCATTTTGTTCAGTTGAGTAGGTAATTTCTAATTGTCATTCTGGGAGGATTAAAATCCCAAGACCTATCTATGGTCTGTGATGTGTTATTTTTTCTGAGTAGGTTTATAAGGTTGTCCTGGGTAGAGGGAACAGCTAGAATAAGGACATGGAAATTACAGTGTTGGTGGGACCTCAGGTTTGACTAAGAGACTGACAGGACATGAAGCAATGGTACCATGAGGGCCAGATCATGGAAGGCCTGGCATACCAATCCAAAGTTTAATTTTATTTTATAGCCCAGTGTTTCCCAAACTCGAATAAGGTTCAGACCCATTTTAAGAGAAACGATTCTTTCAAACCCCTGATTTTGACTTGTTATTTACATTATAATATTACTTAAATAAATCCATTCATAAAACTTTGTAAAAATAAAATAAACTGAAAGACCCAAAGAATATCAAATGGTATTTAAACTTACATGATATTTTCTTGTTAGCAGTGTTTAGACTGAACAAAATTTATTTCAGATATTAAAAGTTATCATGAATCAACAGTTTGGTGATGCCATCTTTTGTAAAAGATTTTTAAATATTCTATCTTATTTTTGTCAAATATAATAACAACTCAGTATAATTCCAGTTTTAAGAAATGAAAATAGCACACATTTTACAACTTTATGTATTATTCTCTACTAGCATTCTTAATACATGTATATTTTATGTAAGGTGAATTTTTGTATTTGTATCTTTTAAAAGCTATGTAAAGGGGAAAATAATAGATTTTTGTCTGTTTTTTGTTTCTGTTTTTGTTTTTCTTTTGAGATGGAGTTTTGCTCTTGTTGCCCAGGCTGGAGTGCAATGGCGCGATTTCGGCTCACCACAACCTCTGCCTCCCGGGTTCAAGCAATTCTCCTGCCTCAGCCTCCCAAGTAGCTGGGATTACAGGCATGCACCACCATGCCCGGCTAATTTTGTATTATTAGTAGAGACGGGGTTTCTCCATGTTGGTCAGGCTGGTTGTGGACTCCAGACCTCAGGTGATCCATCCATCTCGGCCTCCCAAAGTGCTGGGATTACAGGCGTGAGCTACTGCGCCTGGCATTTGTTTTATAATTTTGTATTGTTTTCATGATTTCTATAAATGCTACCTTCCTGTTCACAGACCTTAAATGCCATCAAAAAAGAGATATGCATGAAATATATCCGTAGACAAAGATTTTGAAAGGTCTGAAACTATACAAGGAGAATGTAGATCTAAGGATGTTTGGTCAACAATGGAAAAGAGTAGGCATTTATGAGAGTTATCAACACAAACTATAACCTGTGAGGAGAAAAATATAAGTTCTTTCCAAGATTTGAAAGAGTGCAGAGATGGGATGAATGGGTCTAAGAACCTTGTGATGACTGAAGCTCCCTTGAAATATTATGTGCTGCTTTCTAGGTAAAAACAAGTCACCTGCCACTAGAGGAATTCAAATAGATACTGGATGTCAGTGATTAAAGCTATGTAAATCTCCCATTGGTTTTCTAACTCTGATGTCCTGTGATTCCATAAGCTGAGCCTAGGATTTGTGGCACAAAATCATCATCCAATTTTAGAAAATGGTTAAATTACATTAAATTGATTAAAACGAAATGGTCTTCTAAAATTGTCCCATTTTGGTTTTAAAAAGATATCAATGAGTAAGGGAATATTTACTATACTCTTCTTCTTTCCGTCTTCCCCAACTTTCTTGAATAAGAAAAGAGTAAGGTTAGTCCTAAAGTGTAAATAAAGAATTGATCATCAAGATCCCCACAGGTAATTCAAGACTCATTATCAGGCAGTTTCAAGCGATAGAATCATTTAGAACCTTTTCGCATCCTCAGCTTTTGTTTGTGGGTGTTAGATACAGCCTGTGGAGGCCTACTTTGCTAAATGTGGCATCCTGTTGAGAAAAGTCTGGCTTCCATGAGGTGAGCACCAATGTAAAAGTGGCTCATATTATATGATTTTATTAGTGGAATAGCCAAGGATTAAAATAAGACTGTCATATCAGGACAGTCCTCCCACTTATTTTAAAATACATTTTAATATTGGCTTTTGGTTTATCTCCATTCTCTATGGAGAGCTAATGTGTGAAAATTATGTCATAGGGTGTAGAAATCTGTAAGGAGAATCTTGGGATTATATTATTTTCATATCTTTCTGTACTTTTTAAAGAATCTAACTGAGAAACTAGTGAAGACAAATGCCCAGTAAAATCACTAAAAGACATTAATGCTCTGCACAGAATGCATGATGAATGGGGTTGCTTTTATCTCCTGACTTTTAAAAATGTTGGTGTGTTCTGTATAGTGATTCTTTGAAATTCACCACCTCTTCAGATCTTCTCAAAGACTTTTCGTCAGGTAGAGAAGAAATAAATATGTGGAATGGGAAAGATAAAGATTAAGCTAAAAAATTTAGAAAGAACTTATTCTAATATTTGCATTGGTGGATTTACTATATTTAATAACAATGAGTTTCCTTCAAATTGTTTTAAGACACTCTTTATATTCCAAGGTAAATGATGGTCTAGCCAGGAGCTGGTATGTTTGTTAACCAATAACACGCTTTATTGCGTTATTGGTTTAAACATGGTGTTTAATATTTTTTAAAATGACAATACTGTTCTAAGCATCACAATTAAAAAGCCCTTCAAAATGCCACAAAGAAATCATTTGTCTAGCAGAGTATATTTTTGTATAATTGATGATAAGTGTGTAATGATGTAGTAAGCTGGCAATTAGGCATAATTTGCTTATGCAAGTGAGCTGAAAAAAATGGGGATCAATATTCAATCTATACCTATGTGGAAAGCAATTAGTTTAATTGATGGGGGAGAAAACCCTCAACAATGGCTAATTATGCCAAAATGACCTGAAACACTCATGAAAATTAGTAGAATTAATTATACATGAATGATTTGATTATATAAATCATTTTTAAAACGTTGAAGTTTCTATAGTTAAACATTCATAAAAGGTAGTAGAAAAGGTGGTTTAATAAATATAATGGATGCAGTTCAGAGCATAATCATCAGGTTTGCCTATAATCTGTTGGCATAATGGCATCTCAAAATGCACAATAGTGAATATAAAGAAAATACACACCATAATTTCTCACTCAAGTACAATAGTTTAACAAAAAAGCATTTATCCAATAAAACACTATTTTGTATAATTATTATTTCTCTCTCAGGTCCTACTTAGTGTCTACATAAATTAATGAAAAACTTGTAACATTTCATATTTCCTTCAAAGATAAAACACAAATGCTTTGATATACTTACCACCAGCCCTGGATTTTGTTTATGAAACACATGAAGATTTATTCTGTTTTTATTCTGCATTCTATTCTTCACATATCCATGTCATTCTCATCATTACTTACAAGAAGGAAGCAGAGTTTCATGAGTATCTAAAAGCAGTGTATTTACTCTTCACCTAAAATTAATTTTAATTCTGGATTGATTCTCATTATCAGAACATCAATCTATTACCCAAATCCATATGGATTCACTGCCTGACTTTATTGAACTCCAGTGACAGGACTAAATTCAAATAAATCGGGAGCAATGCCACAAACAAAAGCAAGTACTTCTGTTTGGCTTCATTCTCAGATGTAAAGTTATAAGCTGAGATCCTGTTGATACAAGAAATTTATTTCAGCCACAATTGTTTCTGGCATATATAGACAATATTTTTAGGAAGAAAAACACACACATGTATGGAAAATGGTGACGTCCTAACGCAGGCTGCCTATTTTGATAGGCACTCTACTTTATTGAATACCTGCAAATTTATCTCAATACTTTTTCTATAGAAAGTCAATGAACACTCCTCATGTGATTAATTTTCCTATAAGCTTGCCTTCAAAATGTCAGTCGAGTCTCATTCTAAGATATGCCTAAATGTCTTTAACTATTTTAAGTTGTTGTCAGTTGCTTTACCTCCAACCTATCAATGGCCTCTATAAAACCTTGCTTTTTAACTTGAAATTCTAATCTTTATCTTTGCCTTCTACATCATTGTTCTATCCTTATGTAAGTTGGCTCTGTGGTGCTGCACTGTGTCATAACAAAATGTTATTAGCATGCTGTAAGGACTCTGCACACATTCTGCACAAATTATAGAAAGGCATTAAGCATGAATCCTCAGAATGCCCAAGTGCATTTTATAACAGCTCTGATAACACCCGGAGCTATATTACATTTTTGTTCTGAACAGGAGCCCCTCAGAGAGGAGGTACAAAGTTATCAGCTGTCAAAAGCCTTGATGTGTTTCCTGTCATGGAAGCTTCACACTTGAAAACTGAGCATAGTTTTGTATGGAATACTCTGACCTTCTCTAGAGAATGAACTAGTATGAACACAAAGAACAGAAAGCGCCGGGCTCCAAGCTGTGCCATTGGCTTTGGCTGCTGATCATTGCAGGTCTTCTCAGTGCTGGTTGTTGAATCCATAAAGCTTACAATTAGCAACCTCATGATTCACCAGAGACATGTGTCATCTAGACCTTGGAGGGTAGCCAGGGGCAAAAGTTCCTTACCTAAGCATTGCAGTAAACATTTCACATTCTGATTACCTTTCTGAATACATGTCTTTCTGCAGTACAGTTGTCCCCCTATGTTTCTGAATTTCTGTTGGAAATCAGTAGGTTTGAAAAAATTTATTTTATGTTCTTATAGTAAGTATATATCTTGAATGTACTTTATTTTGATTTTCTGATACTGTCTTTACTGCAAATATAGGACCTGCATACAGCATTGTATATGAGCGCTGTTGAGTCATAGTTGAAAAAAGAAAATAAAACCGAGACTGAGTAAATGACTTTCTTAGGTCACGTAAACTGTTGGCCCCATAACTAAGACTAACTTATGACACTTTTCCTCTGGATGTCAATGTTGTGTGCTAGAATGGGCTGCACATCTAAAGGGTTGGTCTAATTTGCTTAGCTCGGCAAGCAAAGATCCACAGTCAGTGTCCCTACATCAATCCCACATCCCCAATATACAGCTTACACACAACATATCGAACCATTCCAATCTTTAGAACTGGCTTTTGAATTGTAAATTTAGAATTTAGAAAACAGAAGATATCTTAAAGAATATCTAGAGCAGTGGTTCTCAACATTGACTGCACAGTGGGATGCTGTAAATATTGATACCTGGGCTCCATGCACAGAAATTCTGATTTAATAGGTCTAGAGTGCAGACTGAACATTGGGAATTTTTAAATCTCTCTATGTGATTCATGTGTACAGCCAAGGTTGAGATCACTGATCCAGAGGCAATATGGCAGGAGTTACAAACTTACATGCCTATAGGAGCCAGCAAGTTCACATAAAAGAAGAATCTAGGAGAGGCATGAGAAAAATAACATATTTCAGCCTATTGTTAATTTTCTCACTTTTATTTGAAATATGGGTAAAAAGAAGTATTCCACTTCTTTTATTTGAAATATGGGTAAAAAGAAGTTCCACTATAGATGTAAGAAGAAAACAATAGTGCAAGCTCAATGACAAATCATAATTGACACACTGTGTGTTTGGAGGTGATAGGGAGAGCTGGGGATTACATTTAAGTGGAGAATGCATGAATATCTAAATGGGCAAATGCATGGGCAAATGTTCTTAAGGTCCAGCTAAGTTTGGGCAGAGAAGTTCAAGACCTACTAAGTTTTTCAAAATATTATAAAAATTATTTTAATGTAAAATCATTTGATGTTTTAGATGTTGGCTCATTCTTTTAAAACAGAATGTATATCTAAGAACATATATCTTTGGGCCATATATCATCAATGGGCTCACAATTTGTGAACCCTTGATTGAATACTGGCTATGAACCTAGCTGTTGACTAAGATAAATATAGGTTGGAATCTTAATACCACCCTTTGACTGAGGCAGTTTTCAAAACTCTGTTTGGGCTTTAGTTATCACCTAAAAAGTAAGGATAATATGATTTAACTCATAGGAATATTTTAACTATTAAATGAGACAATTCAGGTAAATAGTTCAGCATATGTATTAGTGCTTGACATATAGCATGCAATAAAAATGTTTATTATTATGAAGCTGAGAAATTTATCTATATCATAGATGGTAAAAATAATCCCATATTCATGCTAAGGTGTATCTTAAGGTCATGGGGCATAGTAGAGATGGTGACAGAATTAGAAATGAAGACTCCTGGTTCCTAGTTTGATGTGATATTTCATTATCAATGTTTGATTACAAATTTACTATTACAAATTTACTATCTATAAATCTACCAGAAATGCTCCTCTATTTGTATGTGTCTATATTTAAAGTGAGAAAGAGTTTATACAGTATTGGGTTGGTTTTGAATCAGTTTCATGGCTCTTTATCAAATGCAAATATTATATAGTTTCTAAGGCTCCACAAAATTCAAACCCACCTAAAGTACTACTTTTCACATCTTCAAGTTGAGAAATATGACTAGTGCTTGAAAAATATGTTGAAAATCTAACACTCGGTACCTGTGACTGTGACTAATTTGGAAACAGCATCTCTGTAAATACAGCCATTAAGATGATGTCACACTGGATTAGAGCGGCCCCTAATCCAATGACTAATGTTCTCTTTATATGGGATCTAATTAAACTAAAGAGCTTCTGCACAGCAAAAGAAACTACCATCAGAGTGAACAGGCAACCTACAAAATGGGAGAAAATTTTCGCAACCTACTCATCTGACAAAGGGCTAATATCCAGAATCTACAATGAACTCAAAATAATTGACAAGAAAAAAACAAACAACTCCATCAAAAAGTGGACGAAGGATATGAACAGACACTTCTCAAAAGAAGACATTTATGCAGCCAAAAAACACATGAAAAAATGCTCATCACCACTGGCCATCAGAGAAATGCAAATCGAAACCACAATGAGATAGCATCTCACACCTGTTAGAATGGCAATCATTAAAAAGTCAGGAAACAATAGGTGCTGGAGAGGATGTGGAGAAATAGGAACACTTTTACACTGTTGGTGGGACTGTAAACTAGTTCAACCATTGTGGAAGTCAGTGTGGCGATTCCTCAGGGATCTAGAACTAGAAATACCATTTGACCCAGCCATCCCCTTACTGGGTATATACCCAAAGGATTACAAATCATGCTGCTGTGAAGACACATGCACACGTATGTTTACTGCGGCACTATTCACAATATCAAAGACCTGGAACCAACCCAAATGTCCAACAACGATAGACTGGATTAAGAAAATGTGGCACATATACACCATGGAATACTATGCAGCCATAAAAATGAAGAGTTTATGTCCTTTTTAGGGACATGGATGAAACTGGAAACCATCATTCTCAGCAAACTATCGCAAGGACAAAAAACCAAACACCGCATGTTCTCACTCATAGGTGGGAACTGAACAATGAGAACACATGGACACAGGAAGGGGAACATCACACTCCAGGGACTGTTGTGGGGGAGTGGGGGGAAGGATAGCATTAGGAGATATACCTAATGTTAATGATGAGTTAATGGGTGCAGCACACCAACATGGCACATGTATACATATGTAAAAAACCTGCACGTTGTGCACATGTACCCTAAAACTTAAAGTATAATAATAATAAAATAAAAAAAAATAAAATAAATCTGTTAAAAAAAAAAAAAAAAAAGAAGAGGACATTTGGACACAGAGACCCACAGAGGGAAAAAGACATGTGAAGATGGAAGCAGAGACTGGAGTTTATGCTGCCATAAACCAGGGAATGCCAAGAAGCTTGGGAGAGACAAGGAAGGACCATCTCCTAGAACTTCAGGAGGAGCATGGTTCTGTCAGTCAACACCCGAATTTCAGAATCAGACATCTTGTCTCTACAACTATGAGAAAATAAATTTCTGTCCTTTCAAGTTATACAGTTTGTGGTTATTCCTAGGGCAGCTGTAGAAAACTAATACAACACTCCGACATCAAGGATCTCAGCCTGGTTGCTTCCATGCCCATGCTTATTTCTGTGTCCTTTCTCCCACTGTGCATTGTCTTTAATTTTATCTAAGTCTTTTCCATCCTTCAAAGTCCAGCCCAAATCCTTCGTGTTTGTGTCTTAATCTATTCTTCTCTAACACTTGAGTATGAATTACATCATTTAGTATTTAATTTATACTTCTCAACTTATTTATGGTTTGTTCTTATTTAATTTACCTCCTTCAGAGAATAAAATACTCCATTTCTGCTTTTCTGTCCTCTCCCATACCAAAGATGTTGGTACCTTTAAGTAGAAAAATTTACATTTTAAGTATACAACATGAATGTTTTTTGAAGAATGTTTCATTTTCTTGTCCAAATCCATGGAAAGCGACCATGGAGATCAAACATTTAATATCTGGTTGCAACAGAACGTTACTTTTACTGACACCCAGCTGCAGCGTTGTGGTTAGTTTGTTTTGGTTTTGGTTGGTAGTGGCTTTTTTTGTTTGTTTTTATTTTGCAGAACTATAGCACACACTGTTAAAATTTTATCTTCAAACATCAAACATGATTTACAAAATTCAAGAGGAGTGGGGAATTTTTCTGTATTTACCCAGATTGTTTTTGTTCTTTGTTGTTCTTCTGTCCTAATGTCCCAAGATTTTTTTTAACATTTCTTTTTCTTTTTGAGAACTTTCTTAAGACTTTTTGGATAAATCTACTGGGGAGAAATTCTGTTAGCTTTCCTTGATCAGAGACTATCTTGATTCATCTTTCTTGAGAGATTTTTTTCTGGTTGTAGAATTCTGGGTTGACAGTTCTTTTCTTTCAGTACTTAAAAACTATTGTGTCATTTCCTTTTAGTCTCTATGGATCTGATGAGAAAACCTCTGTCATTAAAATTATCTTCCCTGTGTAGGGAAAGTGTTAGTTATCTCCTTTAAAATTGTTTTTCATGATATAGTTTTCAGAAGTTTAACTCCAAGGCATCTTGGTGCAGATTTCTATGGATTTATCCTATTTGAAGTTTGCCCAGTTTCTTAAATCTGAAGGGTTTAGCCTTTTATTCAAATTTCCAACTTTTTAGCCAACATTACTTTGAATATTCTTATAGCTTCATTCTCCTCTTTTTCTGAGACTCCAGTGACATAAATGTTAGATCCCTTGTTATACTCCCGGATGTTCTTGAGGATTTGGGTTTTGTTATTCTTATTTTTTGCTTTATTTTTGCAGTCTTTCTGTTGTTTAGAAGTGTAATTTCTTTTGTCTCTGAAGATCCTATCAGAGACCTTCAAGGTCTCTAATTTTTTTTTCCCCTAGTCCTCTTCATTCTGCTCTTAAGCTCGCCCACAGAGAGTTGAGTTTTAGGTTTTGTTTGTCTCAGTTGTAATATTTTCAAGTTCTAAAATATGTCTTAGATTCTTGTTCTAAAATGTGTGTTTGGTGGTAAAAGTCCTGACTTTCTACTGAGTCTGCTCTGATAGCACCCAGTTGAAACAGGGAGGAGAATATCATTAATGCATGATTGGAGTGGAAGTCCAGGCTCCATATGTTGTCTCTATTGATCCTGCAGTGGAAGAAGGGAGCTTATTGTCTGAAAGGAGTGAGAGACCTATGTTCCTACTCTGCCTTCTCTGACACCATCATGATAGGGTATTGGAGTATCTTATTATACCCTTGTAAGCAGGAAAATCTAGCTCCCCACTTGGCTTCTGCTGATGGGTATGGGACTATGATCTTTTTAGTGGTGTTTGGCTGGAGTAAAGCAGCTATTATCTAACAGCTATCTGTCTCACTATATTTTTTCTTCATCTTTTGGCTAGAGAGATTAGAGTTTTGTTTAGAGTTTTTTGTTGTGTTTTGTTTGTCTACACCTATTGGTATTTCTGGGTTTCTGGCTTCTTTAAGTTTGTGATCTGAGTAAAAAAAGAAAACCCAGAGAGCATCCTATTATGTTAGTGTTTGGGTCCTAAGGCCTTTAGCCAGTTGCCTTCCTCCTTTCACATTTCAATCTTCTTATGTTTATTTTATATATAATATTCAGGGCTTTTAGCTGTACTTAGCAGGAGGAAATAGGGAAAATATGTCTATCCCACCTTTCTGAAACTAAAACTCTAGTACTATATGATTTTATAAAGACGATTCTGGAATATTATTTAGCAATTACTAGTAACATCTAAAAGCCCAGTTGATTAAAAAATCCTTTTCTATGTATATGCTATTTTTTTCTTTTAAAAACTTATGATCATTTTCTACTTATGATTAGTACTTAATGCTTACAAAATGCTTTAATCTCAGTGTCTTGCCTTTGGTTCCACAGTATGAACCTAGGGGCTTCATCTCACTATTACAGTCCCTGAGAAATTTTCCCACAGCAATTTTTGTTTACAAAGCTCATTGACACCATTACCCTGACTATACTGAGTTGGACTATGTAAAAAGCTCTGAATTTCTATGGCAGTCTCACTCATTTTTCCTTACACTGATATCTAAAATTTCAGGGAGAGCAAACAAACTGAAAGAGAACCAACCAGAGCAAGTAAACTATAACTTAAGATTTTTAGTCGTATTTAAACCATATAACATCTGGCAAATACAACTTCTCATTGGTATTAAGCCACAAAAAATGTACACAATAAAAATCATACCATAATACTTTTATAACTTCTATTGGCAAAATATACTATAAAATCAATAATCCAGATACAAACTCTTTCACAACTTCAAAATCAGCATATCATGTCTTATTTATGTTCAGTGTATTGCCACACAACTTTAATAGCATTGTAAGTTTGTGAGTGTCTCACTGCCTAAAACTGTGGATTCTGTACCCGAAACATTGCCTGCCTCAATATAGAACATCAATAAATCCCTGTTAATTGAATCTTGAATCAATTCAACATGTTTTGGTACCCTACTTCCCAGGTTCTCATTCCAGTATTAAAAATGATCCCCTCCCTCAACATTCCAGAGTACTACTCGAACACTCATAGCGTTGGCATTCAGTAAATGCTTCAAATCACATACCATGCTATATTCCTGACTTAAAGGTCCCCCCTCTTTATTCTCTGTCTCTCGCTTTGACATCATCCTGGATGTGTAAGTTCCTTAAGAAACAATACTTTTCACATCTGATTTGACCTTTCTCTTGATTTTTAATTTTATGAGTCTTTAATGTCTGCCCTCACTAGTTTTATACTAGCATACAGACTCTCAAGATTATTTCATTCACCTATCCTGTTGTGTCACTGTGAGTCAAGAAGTATACTCCTGGGGAAGACTATTGAACTCTTTTGACTGAGGCTAACCTTCCATGTCAATGAGTAGCAAGACCAAATCTCTCATGAGCTGGAAATACACAGCAATCATGCACCTTCTTGATGTCGTAAAGGCACACAGAAAGAAAAATGTGATGACAAGCCCATCTCAGGAGACTCAGTAATGCTATCATTCAGCTTTATGAGGTGATTCCACTTTTAGCAACAAAAATACAAAAGGGTTTATCATAAATATTTTTAAGGGTCTTTTTTGCTGAAGAGAAATGAGACTTGTGCTAGATATTGCCAAAGGTAGAGTTTATGTCAACATATGAAAACTTCAAGTGGATAAACAAGCTTGATATGACAAAGAACTTTGCAATTGAACAAATGAACTTTTTGTAGAAGGTACTCCTTCAGAAGGCAATGAGTTCTATCACTAAAGTTCCATTAAGTTTAGGGTCAAAATCAAATTCCAGAGGTAAAAATTAGTTGCTTCGAAGGGAAACAAGTCTAAACAGGAATTGGCAACATTAGGTTAAACTTCCTCCTAATCTCAGTATTCTGTGATTTTGTTAAACATGGCCCAGACTCTCAAAGTTTGTCTGGAAATTCTTATAGACAGCAAGAAACAGGAAATAAAGCAAAACATAAAAAACTGAAAATAGATGCTAACATAGAAGTAACACCTACTCTACAACTAATTGCTGGTCTTATTCTCCTCTAATTACACAGCTGTGAATGTGTCTTTTCTTTTTAAATCTTCTGCCAAGGTAGCCGAATCCAAGCATGGTTTACAACAGCTCTAATAGGGGAGTATATTTTGGAGTAGAATTTGTTGCATTCCTGTCGGTACCTGTCATTATTTTATTTGATTTTATCGACTTCAATAGCATTCTCAGGTGATATTTCCCAGATTAATGAGGGAATTGTTTGCAGAGATGAAAGTAAACACTTTTCTCTTAATGAAATGCGTTAAAGAATTAACTTCATGTCAGTTCATTTTATAGAAGTGGTATTTCTATGTCCTGTTAAGATTGTTGTATAGAATTCCTAAATGTCATAACACGTTAGGAGGTAATCACATTAGATGTGGCCTGCTGAGCCAGGCAAGACTTGGTCAGTAGTTTAAAGGAATTGCTCCAATAACATAGTCAGATTACTAGTAGCTGGGTGATTCTAATTGAAATAACCTCGCTACATTATTAGGCCAAATGAGCACTTCAATCCATTTATGCCTCATTTGATACCAAGACTAGGATGATGTCACTTATAAAAATGAGTTTTATTATAATATTACTCTCAGGGGCCAGGATAGTGTGAACATATTATAGGTGAACCTCATACTGATCCAATTTTTAAAAATCACTTGTCTGTTAGTTTTTCATTACAGGTAACTGATCTGTGTAGCAAATCATTTAAAAATCATTTAAAATTATTATTTTATAATAAATTCCAATATGTCCATTTCAACTGACCATTAGATGAAGATCCAGCAGAATGTATGTTGATACTCTTGGCAAAGCCCACTCCTCATGTTGTATGGTGGAGATTATGCCTTAATAACTGTGGAAGCTAACCTCCAAGTTGCTCCCGATTACCCCCACCTCCTTGTGTTCAGACCCTTGTAAAGTCTCTCACATTGTACCAGAATAGGTCTGCGTCACCATAGAATACAGAAGAGTTGATGGCATAACTCTTTGAAGATTAGGCTGGGCTCTCACTCTTCTTGGATTGCTCTTCCTGAGTGAAGCTAGCTGCCACTATGTGAGGGTACTCAGGCAGCCTATGGAGAAGGCCATATGGCAAGAAAGTAAGGTGTCTGGCCCTAGCAATTTCGTGACATAATAAGTGTTTGCTGTTTGAGCCTAAGCTTGGGATTAATTATTTATGCAGCAATAGATGACCAAATTCAGATTGTGGCACTCAAATGTAGGATGCTGTGATAAAAGACAGGTATTAATAGAAAAATGTGCTTAAAGGCCTGGGTAATCCAGCTAAAAAATTTTGTAGCCAAAGTATTAAAAGGGTCCCCTCAGTTTTTCCTTGCTGCCTCTAAGGAATTGTGAGAGGAGAAAGAGGGATAAACTAAAGGAAGGACTGTTGAACAAAAAAAAGGCCATTATCATGCTAATACTATGCTAATAAATATATAAAGAAAATAGATGACATGACAAATTCATTACAAATATGTAATAAATAGAATATTTTAACAGACTAATTAGAATTAAGTAAATTTAAATTGTAGCTAAAGACATGTTTTCCATCTCAGAAGCAGCCTCCCACCAATAGAAATTAATAGTAATAATTATCATTGTATTAATAGTTTTTTTTTTTTTTTTTTTGAGGCGGAGTCTCACTCTGTCGCCCAGGCTGGAGTGCAGTGGGGCTATCTCAGCTCACTGCAAGCTCCGCCTCCTGGGTTCATGCCATTCTCCTGCCCCAGCCTCCCAAGTAGCTGGGACTACAGGCGCCCGCCATCACGCCCAGCTAATTTTTTGTGTTTTTAGTAGAGATGGGGTTTCACCGATAAATAGTTTTATAAATGAGAATTACCAAACTATCCAGAATATTTTTTTTTTACTAGGGATACCATAATAAATGACCACCTACTGGGTGGCTCAAAACAAGAGAAATTTAGTCTTTCAAAGATCTAGAGCTAGAAGTCTAAAAGAAAGATCTTGGCAAGACCACGCTGCCTCTCCTTCTGGTGGTTGCTGGATATTTCTTGTATTGCATCTTCTGAATTCCAAACTCTTCCTGTTGTGACATGGTCATCTTCCTTTCGTGCGTTCATGTCCTCACACAGCATTCTCCTCGATATGCATTTGTCTGTTCGCCTCTTAAAATAACATCAATCAGGGTAGATTAGGTCCACCCTGATGACCTCATATTAACTATATCTGTAATGTCTTTATTTCCAAATAAGGTCATATTCATAGGTACTTGAGGTTAGGATATCAACGTATCCCTGTGGGGGGGCACACAATTCAACCCATATTAATATGCCTGCTAGATCCCCAACCCACATCTTTTCACATACAAAATACATTCACCCCATCCCAACATCCCCCAAAATCTTAACCCATCCTAATGTGACCTCTAACACCAAAATGTCTTCTAAATAAAAGTAACTCAACAACTCCCAAATCTCATCTTCTAAAACTTCAGAATCAGATATGGATGAGATGCTGGGTAATGTTCATTTTGGGGCAAAATTCCTCTTTATCTGTGGACCTCTGAAATAGAGAAAACAAATTACCTTTTTTACAAAATGCACTGGTGGAATAGGCATAGAATAGATATTCCCATTCCAAAAGGGAGAAATTCAAAAAAGAAAAAAAAGAAAGGGTCACATATCCCAAGCAAGTCTGTAACCTATCAGAGAAAATTCCATTAAAGTCTAAGTTCTGAGAATAATTCTCCGTGACTCTTTCCATTGAACCCACTGAGATGGCTCCCTATCCCCTTCTGGTATTCAATAGCAGTGGCCCTGCCCTCTTGATCCACAGTGGTAACCATCCCACCCTCCCAGACATTGAAAATCCCACTGGCATCTGAGCCACCCTTAAAAATTTTCTTATTTTTTTCTTGAAGGCTAACAGAGGTTGCTAGCCAAGCAGCTCTAGCTGCCCATTTTCTGTTTGTGGAACCAAAAAGTCCAACAGCCTTCCTGCCCTTTGTTCATTTCTATCATCTTTCATCCAAGGTGACCGTTTCTACTGAGATAGTTGATTGGATCCATGAGTCACACGCTTAATCTCTGTAGCAAAAATTTATTCAGACACACCTATGGTGTTTTCTCTCCAGAACATGCTTTCCCATTCTTTGAAATATGAATAGCTGAGAATTTTCCAAATCATCAAACTCTCAATTATTTTATAAATAGGGTTGCCTTTTCTCCGGTGTCCAAAACATGATCTTCATTTCCATCTGAGACCCCACCAGAACACCTTTAATGTCCAGATTTCTACCAACAGCCTCTTCAAGACAATCTAAACTTTTCTAGAATATGCTTCAAAAACACTTCCAGACTCTATTTACTACACAATTCCAAAGCCACTTGCACATTTTTAGATATTTGTTACAGCAGTATCCTACCTCCCAGTGCCAAAATCTGTATTAGTTTCCCAGGGCTCACATAATTAACTACCACATACTGAATGGCTTAAAACAACAGAAATGTATTCTCTCATAGTTCTGGAGGCTAGAAGTCCAAAATCAAGATGTCAGCAAGGCAATGATCTTTCTTGGCTTCTGATGGTTGTTGCAACCTTCGATATTCCTTGGCTTGTAGCTGCATAAATTTAATCTCTTCTTGGTTATCACATGGCTGTCTTCCTTTGTATATCTGTCTTCATGCAGCATTTTCATCGGTGTGTTTTTGAGTCCATTCTCATCCTCTTAAAAGGACACTAGTCACATTGGATGTGGACATACCCTAGGGACGTTATATTAACTTGATTACATCTGCAAAGACCTTATTTTCAAAATAGGTCACATTTATAGAACCCGGTGGTTAAGAATTAAACATTTTTTTGGCAGATATAATTCAGCCTAGAGAACATGCATTTTACACATTTCTTTTTTGGAAATTAAATAAAGAGAAAAAGCTGTCAAGATTAATTTAAAAGTCTAATATAATTTTTATTTTAAAATTATGTTCTATATAAGATTATGTAAAATATTGACTATACTAATTATATAAGAAAGTAAAATTTTAGCCACATTTTGCTTATTAATAGAAATGCTAAAATCTACAACAAAGCATTATTCAAACTAATCTAATAGTACATTTAGAAAAGTTATAATGCATTCTGATGAATTAGGGTTTATCACCAAACTTCAAAGACATCATTAGATAGGATAAAGGTTTAACTGAGGTAACAACAACAACAAAATTTCAGGGACTTACATAGATAGAAGTTTATTTTTATCTCATGGGAGATTCTGATTGGTTCAGGATGGTATGACATGTCAACACTTAATTTATGGCTTCTAAAGTCACTCCAGTTATTGTCATGTCTAGTCAAGAAGGGAGAAATGGTCAATGTCCAGGGCCACTGTTGTGTGTTGAGTTGGAGATAACCTGTAAGTCACTCACAATAACTTTACTATCATTCTATTTCCCATATTTAGTCATATAACTCTAATTAGCTGCAAGGAAGGCTTGCTTGAAATATAAGCTGTACCTGGATGACTTGTATCCACAGATGATAAACATTAGAGAATCCATTAGTATAATTCATTATAGTAATAGATTCCTGTAAAAAATAATTTCAATATTCAATATTCAAATAAATCTTTCTTTAAACATTTGGGACAAAAACATAATAATCTGTCAGCAACCTATAAAATCTAAAAAAAAATTTCTGAATGTAGTGAAGCTTATATAACAGAAATGTATGGTAAGTAGAAAACAATTGTGATCATTTCCTTTACTAATGAGAAAAAAGAATGCTGGCTATAACAATATTCTTTATTGGCATGCATGCTAAATACCCTATAACCTGATCAATTCTGTAGGAAAAGAAAGAGGAATGAGGTGTTAAGTATTGGAAGGAAAGTGATAATACTGTTATTATTGGCAGATGATATAATACCTATTTCAGAAAAAGATAGCAATACAACCAACAAAGTATTAGACATGGCTGCATAAACCATCATTAATTTATACAAATTAATAGTTGTTCTCAGCACCAAAAATAAATATAAAAGTGAAATATATAATTGATTATAACAATAAAACTACAAAGTACTAAGTTTAACCATGTGAATTTAACAATAACCAACCCTTTTATAAATAATAAAAATGATATATTCATATGGTTCAACCTACTATTTAGGAATCAACCAATCTAATAGTTAAGAATATCACGGATAATATTTTTAACTAATGGAGGACAGAGACTTTGTTGTTTAATATAGAGATATTTAATGAAATGACATGTAAATATGCCAATTATTTACATAATCCCCTATAAATGTAATGCAATCTCAGCCAAAATCTCTGATTAGTGTTATGAAGATATCAATAAAAATAACTGAAAAATTATATGGAAAATACAGATCAATGATTGTTCTCAAATTTGAAAAAGAAATACAAAAGGAGGAGATATAGCCTAGAGTATTCTGTGAACCCAAAGGAATAAAAAAAAGGATGACTCTCTGTTTGTCTGTTATTGGTGTACAAGAATGCTTGTGATTTTTGTACACTGATTTTGTATCCTGAGACTTTCCTGAACTTGCTTATCAGCTTAAGGAGATTTTGGGCTGAGACAATGGGGTTTTCTAGATATACAATCATGTCATCTGCAAACAGGGACAATTTGGCTTCCTCTTTTCCTAATTGAATACCCTTTATTTCCATCTCCTGCCTAATTGCCCTGGCCAGAACTTCCAACACTATGTTGAATAGGAGTGGTGAGAGAGGGCATCCCTGTCTTGTGCCAGTTTTCAAACGGAATGCTTCCAGTTTTTGCCCATTCAGTATGATATTGGCTGTGGGTTTGTCATAGATAGCTCTTATTATTTTGAGATAGGTCCCATCAATACCTAATTTACTGAGAGTTTTTAGCATGAAGCGTTGTTGAATTTTGTCAAAGGCCTTTTCTGCATCTATTGAGATAATCATGTGGTTTTTGTCTTTGGTTCTGTTTATATGCTGGATTACATTTATTGATTTGCGTATATTGAACCAGCCTTGCATCCCAGGGATGAAGCCCACTTGATCATGGTGGATAAGCTTTTTGATGTGCTGCTGGATTCGCTTTGCCAGTATTTCATTGAGGATTTTTGCATCAATGTTCATAAGGATATTGGTCTAAAATTCTCTTTTTTGGTTGTGTCTCTGCCCGGCTTTGGTATCAGGATGATGCTGGCCTCATAAAATGAGTTAGGGAGTATTCCCTCTTTTTCTATTGATTGGAATGTTTCAGAAGGAATGGTACCAGCTCCTCTTTGTACCTTTGGTAGAATTTGGCTGTGAATCCATCTGGTCCTGGACTCTTTTTGGTTGGTAAGCTATTGATTATTGCCACAATTTCAGAGCCTGTTATCGGTCTATTCAGAGATTCAACTTCTTCCTGATTTAGTCTTGGGATGGTGTATGTGTCAAGGAATTTATCCATTTCTTCTAGATGTTCTAGTTCATTTGCATAGAGGTGTTTGTAGTATTCTCTGATGGTAGTTCGTATTTCTGTGGGATTGGTGGTGATATCCCCTTTATCATTAATCATGAGTGAACTCCCATTCACAATTGCTTCAAAGAGAATAAAGTACCTAGGAATCCAACTTACAAGGGATGTGAAGGACCTCTTCAAGGAGAACTACAAACCACTGCTCAATGAAATAAAAGAGGATACAAACAAATGGAAGAACATTCCATGCTCATGGGTAGGAAGAATCAATATCGTGACAATGGCCATATTGCCCAAGGTAATTTATAGATTCAATGCCATCCCCATCAAGCTACCAATGACTTTCTTCACAGAATTGGAAAAAACTACTTTAAAGTTCATATGGAACCAAAAAGAGCCCACATAGCCAAGTCAATCCTAAGCCAAAAGAACAAAGCTGGAGGCATCATGCTACCTGACTTCAAACTATACTACAAGGCTACAGTAACCAAAACAGCATGGTACTGGTACCAAAACAGAGATATAGGCCAATGAAACAGAACAGAGCACTCAGAAATAATGCCGCATATCTACAACTATCTGATCTTTGACAAACCTGAGAAAAACAAGCAATGGGGAAAGGATTCCCTATTTAATAAATGGTGCTGGGAAAACTGGCTAGCCACATGTAGAAAGCTGAAACTGGATCCCTTCCTTACACCTTATACAAAAATTAATTCAAGTTGGATTAAAGACTTAAACGTTAGACCTAAAACCATAAAAACCCTAGAAGAAAAACTAGGCATGGTAATTCAGGACATAGGCATGGGCAAGGACTTCATGTCTAAAACACCAAAAGCAATGGCAACAGAAGCCAAAATTGACAAATGGGATCTAATTAAACTAAAGAGCTTCTGCACAGCAAAAGAAACTACCATCAGAGTGAACAGGCAACCTACAAAATGGGAGAAAATTTTCGCAACCTACTCATCTGACAAAGGGCTAATATCCAGAATCTACAATGAACTCAAACAAATTTACAAGAAAAAAACAAACAACCCCATCAAAAAGTGGGCGAAGGACATGAACAGACACTTCTCAAAAGAAGACATTTATGCAGCCAAAAAACACATGAAAAAATGCTCACCATCACTGGCCGTCAGAGAAATGCAAATCAAAACCACAGTGAGATACCATCTCACACCAGTTAGAATGGCAATCATTAAAAAGTCAGGAAACAACAGGTGCTGGAGAGGATGTGGAGAAATAGGAACACTTTTACACTGTTGGTGGGACTGTAAACTAGTTCAACCATTGTGGAAGTCAGTGTGGCGATTCCTCAGGGATCTAGAACTGGAAATACCATTTGACCCAGCCATCCCATTACTGGGTATATACCCAAAGGACTATAAATCATGCTGCTATAAAGACACATGCACACGTATGTTTATTGCGGCGTTATTCACAATAGCAAAGACTTGGAACCAACCCAAATGTCCAACAACGATAGACTGGATTAAGAAAATGTGGCACATATACACCATGGAATACTATGCAGCCATAAAAAATGAAGAGTTCATGTCCTTTGTAGGGACATGGATGAAATTGGAAATCATCATTCTCAGTAAACTATTTTAAGAACAAAAAACCAAACACCGCATATTCTCACTCATAGGTGGGAACTGAACAATGAGAACACAAGGACACAGGAAGGGGAACACCACACTCTGGGGACTGTTGTGGGGTGGGGGGAGGGGGGAGGGATAGCTTTAGGAGATATACCTAATGCTAAATGACGAGTTAATGGGTGCAGCACACCATCATGGCACATGTATACACATGTAACTAACCTGCACATTGTGCACATGTACCCTAAAACTTAAAGTATAATAATAAAAAAAAGGATGACATTGATGTAATGCAAAAGATACATTAAAGGATCAAAATAAACACCCCAAACACATGTGCACTCATGTATACACACACATGCACACATTCAGGAACGTGAGATTCAATAAAGGTGTAAAACAATTTAACGGAGAATGAATAATTGTTAGGTAAATGGTGCTGAAAAACCAGCTTACTTAAAAGGGGAAAACAAGGATAAGGATATCTCTACCTATCAAAATACACACAATGGTTTTTAGATAAATTAAGGGCATTAATTTTTTAAAACATTATTACATTTATAAATTTATTAAAAGACAATTCATCCTTACGGCCTAGGAATAAGAAAGGCCTTGTTAAACAAAACTCAAATTACAGGATATCTGTGGAACAATAACACATTTTATCACACTAAATAAGTATTTCTGTAAATTAAAAAATTATGTCAACAGGCATAAAATGTTATGAGGAATATTTCTATTGTACAAAATGGCAAGGTGTCTATTATCTAGAATCTGTAATCAAACCAACAAAAATAATCAAGATTACAACCAGAAAGTTTAAAAAATATGTATTTTATAGAAATGGAAATCCCAGTTCTAAAAAGAATAGACAGAAGGCACAAAGTCATTTTCACACATTAGACTGCCAACCATTAGAAAGTTGGCATGGTGGATGCTATGAATTGGCTCTTTCAAAATCCTTTTCATACATGGTTTTAATGTGCTTTTTTGCATTATAGAGGCCAGAAAACCCCTATTTTCCCCATACTCCTTTGCAGCTAAGATTCTAGAAACAAATTGTATGTTAGGTGAATGCTCATAAAATTGGTAAATAGAAAATGACAAAGACCTTCTTCTTGCCTTTTTTGCTATTTTCTGCTAGCAGAAATCAGTCCAGAGATCTGAGCTACTCCTGCAGTGATGATTGATTCTCCAGCATTCTGAGTGTCACTTAGGAGATACCAAGACGTATTTGTATCTGTAGTGATAGTGAGAGCTCCTTTCTAGTTGTAGTTTCCTTAACTTAGCAGCTGCATCATATGTTGTTAAGCTCAAAAGTTCCATGGTGGTCTCAAGGTTGAAACTCTCTTTAGAAGATATTTGATTATTTTTTTCTGACATAATTCTTAGAGGCCCAGTCTAGACTTGCTTTTGCATCCCATCCACTGATTTTTTTAAACCAAGTACTTACTTGTATTAAACCCCTTTATAAAACATACAAATTGGTAAGTATTTTCAGCATTTAGAGTTTTTGGAAGCCACTGAATAATGCTGAGTTTGGTAGATGATGAAGATAAACAAGCCTCATGTATTTCTAGAGGGGAGTGTAGAGACATTTTGGAGAGCCATTCATCAGTATCTAAACAAGTATGTAAATAACACATTCAAACTCATTCTCATTCTGGTTTCAGGTGTATAAGCCAAATATATACTCATACAACTTTTTAAGAAGATGTTGGCAGAAATATATTGCAATGATATTTGTGGTGGGTGGGAAGCTGGAAGCCAAATTGTTATCCATTAATAAGAAAGTGATTAAGTAAATTGCAGTATATTCTCACCCTGTAGAACCACACAACAATAGGAAGAAATAAACTAGATGTTTCCGTGCCAATATAGGAATACCAAGAAAACATATTTGTTTCTTTAGATAACACAATACGACTTAGGCAACCACTATTTTGCACACAAAACAATAAAACAAATCTATGAAACACACATCAATAAAAGATATCTATCCAATGCATTAAAATTTGGCTTTGTTAGAGTAAGGATAATGGAAACTGAAAAGTAGAAATAAACTGAATTTTTAAAAACTGCCTTGAGGAAAGGCTTCAAGATGGCTGACTAGAAGCATTTTAGGCTCACTTCTACTTAGAAGAACTGAAATAGTATACGGATAAGCACAATTAAAACACATTATTCAAGAGAGAAAACTCTCTCTTTTCTCTTAAAAAAGTGAGAGAAAATATGAAAAGCAAGGAAAGAGAAAGAAGAAAGGCAGCCTGCTTGGCTGGGGTTGTCTAGGGGCAGGAATTGGGTGGGAGCCAGGAGTGAGTTCTCCATGCTAGAATGGGTAAGTGAGAGGCTTCTAGCAGCTTATATTCCCACAGTGGAATCATCCAATCTTAGCCATGGGAAAGTCCCTCTAGCCCTCTAAGCCCTGAAACTAACACAAGAAGCTGTCAGGGGATCGTAGAATGAAGCTAACCCAGGGAGGGCGCTCATGCTGGGTCCTACACCCTTTCTGACATCTAAGTGGCTAGAGCAAGGCACCATTTTCTTACCTAGCACTTGGATGACTGCACAGTGTCCTGGGGCTTAGCAGTGCTTGGAGTGAGGTGTTAGGGAAACTCACAGTGTCACTACTTAGAATAGATTGTGAGCTGTGAATGAGCCACTGCCCATGGCACACTGGCTGCCCAGTGGCCTGAGAACCCACCCACCTACCTGATCCACCACTGCCTGCCACTACCAGCATTCAAGCAAGCCACACATAGGCTCGAAATTTGGCTCTCCAGTAATCGCCAACATGGGGGCTAGTGTAAACTGCCTTGGGGTACAATGCTAATGGCATTGGGGCATGCTCAACCCACCTTTGTTACCACTGAGGCCTGAAGACTGACCTACCTAACATCCCAGTCCCTAGCACAACTTCACCACAGCCTCCACTAATAATCACAACTTAAGAGGAAATCACAGGTAGAAGTAACACTGTTTACTGCCAAAGAAATCATACAGAGACTACAGTATTGCACATAGCCAGAATCAAAGCCAAGGTGTCCTACTCACCGTACCATGAATACAGAAAAAAAGTACTCCTCTACAAAGTAAATTCAAAAATAGAAAAAGGTGACTGATACATCTGATGTGCAGATATCAACATAAGCAAATAGGAAACATGAAAAAGCAAGGAAATATGACAATTCTAAATAAACAATAATTCTTTAGCAATACACTTTAATCAAAAATAAATTTTTCAAACTCCAAATTAAAAAATCACAATGCTGATTTTAAATAAGCTCAGTGAGAAAAAAAAATCTGAAAAATTATGTGAAGAAATCAGAAAATCCGTTCATAATATTAATGAGAAATTCACTAAAGAGATAGATATTTTTGAAAAGAACCAAATAAAAATATGGAATTGAAGAATTCATTGAAAGAAATACAAAATATAGGTTGGGTGCAGGGGCTCACACCTGTAATCCCAGCACTTTGGGAGGCCGAGGCAGATGGATCACTTGAGGTCAGGAGTTCGAGACCAGCCTGGGCAATATGGCGAAACCCCATCCCTACTAAAAATACGAAAATTAGCTGGGTGTGGTGGCGCGTGCTTGTAATCCCAGCTACTCAGGAGGCTGAGGCAGGAGAATTGCTAGAACCCGGGAGATGGAGGTTGCAGTGAGCTGAGATTGGGCCACTGAACTCCAGCCTGGGTGTCAGAGTGAGACTCCATCTCAAAAAAAAAAATTAATAAATAAAAAATAAAAAAAATAAAAAATATATATAAAAAATCAAAAACTTCAACAGTAGACTAGATTAAGAGCAGAAAGAATTTCAGAACTTGAAGACAGTTCTTCTGAAATAATCCAGCTAGACAAAAAAATAAGGCAGAAAGAATAAAAAAGAATGAGGAAATCCTTTGTGATTTGGTATGACATAAAGTGACCAAATATTTGAATTATTGGTACCTCTCAGAATGAAGAGAAAATAAAAGAATTATAAAATCAATTTAACAAAATAATAGATGAAAATAGCCCAAGTTTGGCAAGAAATTTAGACATTCAGATATGTTATTTTGAGATCTAACATTTTGAAGTAGGCACATAGCACTAAAGACATGAAAACACACTCCTCAAAAGAAGACATATAAGAAGCAAACAAACATATGAAAATATGTTCAGTAACACTAATCATAAGAAAAATGCAAATTAAAACCACAATAAGATAACATCTCACACCAGTCAGAATGGCTATTATTTAAAGGTCAGAAAACAACAGGTGCTGGCAAGGCTGCAGAAAAAAGGGAATGCTTAGACATTTTTGGTGGGAATGTCAATTAGGTCAGCTATTATGGAAAGCAGTTTGGAGATTTATCAAAGAACTTAAAACAGAATTACCATTTGGCCACCCATTCTATTACTGGGTATATTTCCAAAAGAAAATGAATCATTTTACTAATAAGACACATGCATTCACATGTTTATTGCAACACTAATCACAATAGCAAAGACATGGACTCAACTTAGGTGCCCATCAATGGTGAACTGGATAAATGAAATGGTATGCATATACACCATGAAACACTACACAGCCATCACAAAGAATAAAATCATGTCATTTGCAGTATCACAGATGCAGCTGGAGGCCATTATCCTAAGTGAGTTAACATGGAAACAGAAAACCAAATGCTGCATGCTCTCACTATAAGTGGGAGCTAAACACTGGATACTCAGGGCACAAAGATGACAAAAATAGATACTGGAGACTACTAGAGGGAGGGATGAAGGGGGAGAGAGAAGGCTGAAAAACACATTGTTGAGTAGTATGCTCACTACCTGAGTTATGGGATCAATCGTACCCCAAACTTCAGCATCATGCAATATACCTATGTAACAAACCTGTACATGTACCCACTGAATAGAAAATAAAACTTATTTATAAGAAATAAATATTTTTAAAAGAATCAACAAAATGATAAGTGGATTCTTTGAAAAGATAGACAAAATAGATAAACTGCTAGCTAAACTAATAAAGCTGAGAGAGGGCTCAAATAAACAAAATCAGAAATGATAAAGGAGACATTACAGCTGATGCTACAGAAATAAAGAGATCATCAGAGACTATTATGAACAACTATACTTTGGCAAACTGGAAAACCGAGAGGAAATAGATAAAGTATTGGAAATACACAACCTACCAAGATAGAATCGAGAAGAAACAGAAAACCTGAACAGACCAATAACAAGTAGCAGGGTTGAATTAGGAATAAACAATCTTCTAACAAAGAAAATCCCAGCACCAGATGGTTTCACTGCCAAATTCCACCAAATTTACAAAGAATTAATACCAATCTTCCTGAAACTATTCCAAAAAATTCCCCCTTGAAGAGGAGGGAATCCCTCTAACTCATTCTATGAGAGCAGCATCACCCTGATATTAAAACCAGACAAAGACACAGCAACAACAAAAGAAAACTATAGACTAATATTACTGATGAACATGCACAAAAATTCCTCAACAAAATATAAGCAAACAAAATCCAACAACATATTAAAAAGATAAGATAACACAATTGAGTGAGATTTATCCCAGGGATGCAAGGATGGTTCAACATATGCAAATCAATAAATGTAATACATCACATCAACAGAATGAAGAAAAAAATATGATAATCTCAATAGACAAAGAGCAAGCATTTGATAAAATTCAACAATCCTTCAGGATAAAAACTCTCAAAAACTAAACATAGAAAAAAACACCTCACAATAATAAAGGCCATATATGACAAACCCACAGCTAACATCAAACTGAATGGGAAACGTTGAAAGCCTTTCCTCTAACAAATGGAACAAGATAAGGGTGCCCACTTTCACCATGCCTATTCAACGTAGTATTAGAAGTCCTAGCCAATCAGGCAAGAAAAATAAGTAAAAGGAATCCAAATTGGAAAAGAAGAATTCAAATTGTTCCTCTTTGCTAATAATATGATCTTTTATTGAGAACAACCTAACAACTCTACCAAAAAGCTCTTAGATTTGATAAATGGATTCAGTAAGTTTGCAGAATACAAAATCAATATACAGAAATCAGTAGCATTTCGGCCGGACGTGGTGGCTCACACCTGTAATCCCAGCACTTTGGGAGGCCGAGGCGGGTGGATCCTGAGGTCAGGAGATCTAGACCATCCTTGCAAACATGGTGAAACCCTGTCTCTACTAAAAATACAAAAAATTAGCCGGGCGTGGTGGCGGGCACCTGTAGTCCCAGCTACTCGGGAGGCTGAGGCAGGAGAATGGCGGGAACCCAGGAGGTGGAGCTTGCAGTGAGCCGAGATCGCGCCACTGCACTCCAGCCTAGGTGACAGAGCGAGAGTTCTTCTCAAAAAAAAAAAAAAAAAAAAAAAAAAAGTAGCATTTCTATATACCAATAGTCATCTATCTGAAAAAGAAATCAGGAAGCCAATGACTTTTATAATAGCTATAAAAATTAAAGCCCCTAGGACTAAATTTAAGATCTCTACAAGGAAAATTACAAAACATTGATTAAATAAATAGAAGAGAACAAAAATGAAAAAATCCCATCCTCAAAGATCAGAAGAATATCACGAAAATGACCATATTTCCCAAAAAAACCACAGATTATGCAATCCCTATCAAAATACCATCATTCTTCACAGAATTTTTGTACAAAGTTCTAAAATTCATATAGAGTGAAATAAAAGCCTGCATAACCAAGTAATCCTGAACAAAAGGAACAATGCTGAAGGCATCACATTACCTGACTTTAAAATATATTACAAAGCTATACTAACCAAAACACATGGTATTGGTTTAAAAATAGACATATATCCCACTGGAACAAAATAGAGAACCCAGAAACACAGTCACATATTTACAGCCAACTGATCTTGAACAAAGCTGACAAGAATTT
The DNA here is from genome assembly GCF_000001405.40 of Homo sapiens. Classification (NCBI taxonomy): domain Eukaryota; kingdom Metazoa; phylum Chordata; class Mammalia; order Primates; family Hominidae; genus Homo; species Homo sapiens. The sequence goes on along the minus strand of NC_000003.12, from coordinate 753,312 downwards.
ATATTGGGGGAAGGACACCTTCTTGAATAAATGGTGCTGGGAGAACTGGATAGCCACATGCAGAAGAAAGAAACTAGATCCCTATCTCTAACCATATACAAAAATCAACAAAAATGGATTAAAAACTTAAATGTAAGACCCAAAACTATAAAAATACTGGAAGAAAACCTAGGGAAATCTCTCTTGGGCATTGGTCTAGGCAAAGAATTTATGACTAAGATTTCCAAAGCAGAGACAACAAAAACAAAAATGGACAAATGAGACTTAAACTAAAGAGCTTCTGCACAACAAAAGAAATAATGAACAGTGTGAAGAAACCTATTGAATGGGAGAAAATCTTTGCAAACTAAACACATGACAGCAGACCAATATCCAGAATATACAGGGAAATCAAGCAACTCGACAGAAAAAAAAAGATGAAACCCATCTCTACTAAAAATACAAAAATTAGCTGGGTGTGGCGGCATGTGCCTGTAATCTCAGCTACTCAGGAGACTGAGACAGGAGAAACGCTTGAACCTGGGAGGCAGAGGATGCAGTGAGCCAAGATCGCGCCATTGCACTCCAGCCTGGGCAACAAGAAAGAAATTCTGTCTCAAAAAAGAAAAAAGAAAAAAAGTGTGCAAAGGACATGAATACATATTTCTCAAAAGAAGACATGCCCATGGCCAAGAGTTATATGAAAAATTCTCAGTGTCACTAATCAGATAAATTCAAATCAAAACCACAAGGAGGTATCATCTTACCCCAATCAAAGTGGCCATTATTATAAAGACAAAAAATAATGAATGTTGGCAAGGATGCAGAGAAAAGGGAGCACCCATACACAGTTGGTAGGTATGTAAACTAGTAAACCACTATACAAAACAGGATGGAAATACCTCAAAACACTAAAAATGGAACTATCATTTGATCCAGCAATCCTATTACTGATATCTACCCAAAGGAAATCAGTATACCACAGGAATACCTGTATTTGCATGTTTATTATGGCACTATTTATAATAACAAAGGTAGATAACAAAGATAAGTGTCCATCAGTGAATGAATGTTTAAAGAAAATGTGGTATATACACAATGGAATACTATTTGTCCATAAAAAGAAAGAAAACATGCCATTTGACATAACATTGATGGAACTGGAGGTCATTATCTTTAGTGAACTAAGCCAGGCACAAAAAGGCAAATATTGTATGTTCTCACTTATATGCTGGAGTGAAAATATTTGATCACATGGAGGTAGAGAGTGGAAAGAAAGATAATAGAGATTGGGAGGAGTGAGTTGGGGGAAGGGGGAGTATAAAGAGAAATGAGTTAAAGGGTATAAACATGCAGTTAGATGGGATTGATTCAATGTTTGATAGCAGGGTAGATTATAGTTAACAAAATGTATTCAGACGATGGACGCCCTAAATATTCTGACTTGTTTACTACACACTATACACATGTAAGAAAATTCACATGAACCCCACACGACAATGTGTACAAATAAAAATTCACAGGTACCCCATACATGAAAATGTGTACAAATAAAAATTAAACTGAATGAAATAAAAATGAATTGATGGATTTATTTATCAGAACATAAGTATGATCTTACACATATTTAGGAGTACACTTATGTATCCCTTTATACCTAAAGTCAAATAATGAGAATTCTACATACCTAGCACAGAGTAGTTACATACTAAAACAGAGTTATAGTACATATTGAGGTTGTGTGCATAGAATTAATATACTATTCCCCATTGCAGAACATCCTTGTAGTCATATGAGATAGACAATTTCTCTATAATGGGGAAGTATATCTGTTCAATGCAAACAGGATATTCCATTCCCCCTTACCATGATGACCACTGAAGCTAATCCAAGTCTATGTGCTTTACGCTTGGCTACAGGATGGTTTCATGGCTATTTCAACCTATTGGAAACTCAGGATTTATGCTGTGAACTCTGGGTCACAGATTTCCCGAAACTGCCATTGACCTTTTGCAAGCACAAGGCATGCCCACAGTAAATCTGGCACACTTGAGGACAAATCTAGGAAACTCACAAGAACAGTGACTCTGGACTTTTATGTTTTCATCAGCCAATACATTTCTTTTAATGTTTAAAGCAGTTTGAATTGAATTGCATGAAAGAGAGAACAGCTTAATTTATCCAGCAAATACATATTACTTGGTCTCTGGTTCTTTTGTTCTTCCTCTCACTATCCACTGGTATGTGTGTTTGTACATAAGTGTGTTGATAGGTGCACGCATATATACTTATAGGCAGCAGTGAGACTGTGTAGTACAGACAGTACCAACCTTGATGTCTGAAGAACAGGCTCTGACATGCTGCTACATTTCTTACTGCTTTTGCAATTGTAAAAAAAAAATTATAATTACTTGTAGATTCTCTGTGTTCTCATTGGGGAAAACAGACTAAAATCACCGATTTCTTATGTGAATAGGACTGTTTTAAGGTTCCAGTACAATCGTATCAGTGAAAGGGTGTTTTAAACTCCCGGCTATTCCATAAGTACAGCTATTATTGTTACCTTGTGTATGATGCATCTATAAGGACATTTTAAAAAGTAAAATCCTCAGTGTCCTTGAGTTTATCTTGTACTCAACTCAACTTCCTTCATTTTCAGTATAGCACAAGGGAAGGACAAAATGTCATTCCTAACTTTGGATTCCCTATCTTTTGTCAGTGTGTTTCACAACCTTAACTTCATTTCAGTATCGTTCAGTGGTAAATTTCTATATATAAAACTGCACCTTCAAGTTGCTTAAAGATATCACATAATTGGATGTACCTTTAACCTAATGGTTTAAAATCCCAAAGGAATGGTGTGCACACAACATCTTATAGTATTAAATAGCCTGAGATCAAATAAAATGCAATGAGCAATGTCTGCTCTTACTGAACTGGAAATGTTGTTAGTGAGACACTGGACAAAGATGACAGGACTAACCTCAAGAAACATAATGAGGGAGTTTTATCAAGCTGAACCTTTTAAAATGTTTGAACTTCATAAAAACCTGCAGGCATGACAGATTAAATGTAATGCTTACCTCTGATTCTGAGCTGCAGCTTATATCGTCTAATTCCTGTAAAGAAGAACAGATGTGCTGTTAGAAGGTTTTGATTTGTGTTTTTATTTTTCAAAACCCATCTAGCATAGTGCAGTTTTTCCATTTGGGGGATGGTGGAAAGCTTTGTTTTCTTGCTCAAGCATGTCAAAAATGGGAAAACAAGTCTCACTCATCTCCATCCTATTAAAAAGAGAAGCACAAGACAATGTGTGCTTTAAAAATGGGTGAAAAGACACTGATCTATTCAAATATATCTTCAAATATTTAGGGCAAGAGAAAAACATTACCTTAGCAAGTTTCAAAACATAACAATTGTGAGTTTCAGCTTGTATCCGCGTTATAGTGGCAACAATGTGAGAAGTCAATAGGCACCTGGAACAAGTAAACAGGGTAAAGATACTGCAGGCACCCCACTTCCGAGCAAGCCTATTGCTCCTATAAATCATAGACACTCTGCTTTAAGGATACATGTTATTATTTTTAATAGGGTGATTTCTTTAGCAAAACATAGAAGTCTAGACTTTAGCACATATAAAAAATGTAATTTACAAGCTTGGTCTTGTCATTTCTGTTGATGACAGTTTCCTGAGAGCCTCACAAATCAAACAGTTCACAGACACAAATTTAAATAAAGTAAACATGAATAATGCAACAAAGCTTACATAGCGTCATGAATAACAGGGGTTCTATTAGGATTAGAGTTACGTAGCTGCAAGTAATAAAACAGTACAGAGAAGTGTCATAAGTAGAATTTTTCTGAATAATCCAATTTAATCCATATATTAAAATTATGAAACAGAGAATCTCCAGCTCTCTTCACATGATACAACAAAAATAAATGAAAAGTAAAATATCCAGCTTTCATAGACATTTTTTTCTTCCTGTAACAAAACGACTTTGAATGTTACTTTTTTAAAAAATAAAATCACCAGTTTCTTTTGGTAATATGTGGATACAGCTTTTGACCATGTGTATGCATTCTATTGAGAATGATCATTTTTAATTGTAAACAACCATGAATATAGGTAAAGTATAATTTAGCCAGAAAATAAAAAGCCATTTTTGTTACTGTTATCATTGCTGTTTAAACTCTTTATAAGAGGGCTAAAATCTATTTTGAGTGATATTGAGGAAAACAATAAATGTTTTCATGGATTGTTCAGATATGGATAATATCTGATAGTTCAGATCATGGATAATATATTTGATTTTATTCTATGAGACCCCACTATCTTTGGATTACAATACTACAGAAATGCATGAGACTGAACAGGCAGTTTGTCGTGACAGTGCTACCACTTGAGATGGTTAATTGCATACATGCTGTCAATGCATGATATGAATTATGAGCCCAATATCTGTCGACTTGGCAACCCCAGTTCCCTACAAAATGGAACAATCACTAATTACTCCAGAAATAGTTGCTAAATAAAAATTTCTTAAACTACATAATTGAAAGCTGCTTACATACAGCAGTGTGATGGTCTAGAGCATAGGGATTAAAAAGTTTTGGCATTAAAAAGGCTTGGCTCTGAGACCATTTACCAGCCACATGATTTTAGACAAATTTTCCAAGTGGTTATTTGTCATTTTATTAATCTAGCATCTACCGTCTACCATGTACCACATAGGGTTGCTAGGGAAATCAAATAATACATTTAAAGTGCTTTGCACTGTACACTCCAACAAAGGTTAGCTGTAATTAAGAATAATTACTATTAGTAGTAAATCAGTTCTCCCTAGTCTTCTAATAAAGCTATTAATTATTAGATTTCATGATTATTAATAACTTATTCCTTATCTAAGCCTGACTTCAACACAGAGAAGGTTTATCTTAGAAGGTGGACTATCATCTGATAAAGAGAAAGAAAAACCTCATTAACCACTTTCACACAGTCATAGAAATTGGTTAGATCTACAAAACAGCAATTAAATGAGCATTTACATTTTGCCTGTTCTGAGTTCACAGTCTGAGTAGCCCTCATTCCACACACAAGCATATATGTTCTACAGATAAATTGTGAGACAAAGGCACTTGATGAGACATTTTAGGATTAAAAGCAACGATTGTCAGAAAGGATACCATTATGATGACAAAAAGCTCAGATGACTTTTATATTTGCCTTTTCAAATATATAATACAGTCATACGGATTAAAGTCCAAAAACATAACAAAAGTATAGAAAAATCTTCCCCATCCTTGTCCTCCATCTGCTCAGTTTCCACCCTGAAAAAAAAATAATCTTCCCACCAGGATCTAGTATTTAATATCTAGATTTCCTTTAGGCCAAAACATGAAAATATGAATATATATTATTATTTCCCATTCACGTACAAAAGATTATCTAACACTTATGGAGTGGTTTCTGTGTCATGTAATTTGTCAAGAAGTTTAAATTCTTCACTTCATGTCATTCTTACAGAAATCCAATGAGACACACTCAATGTTCATATGATTGTGGAGGTAAAATCTACCTGCATCTAAGCCATACATGAATATCTAACCCTACATGACATTGTCTACTGTGTCTAATCACCAACTAAAGTCCAACATGAATAGAAGAGAATACAAATGGCCTCCACCCCCAAATCTTGCTAAAGGGATAAATGTACTCAGACTAGGACCCTTAGGGCACAGCAGGTATATTAATAGAATTACCTTAAAAAGATGAAAACATTTGCATGTAAGATACATCCTGGAACCCTCTTATAATATAGGACAACTTCATTAATTAAAGCTTAGTCTTCATACATTGGCTGATTTTCTAATGAACTAGAGAAAAACACAAGATCACTACTAAATGAGGATTTTCCTTCTTTTTCTTTTCTAAATATACCTCAACAAACATTTTTCTCCTTGTTCTTATGTGCAATACTCAATGATTGGGAAAGGGAAACCTATTAACCTGAAGGGAAAATAGAAATTGGATAGGGAAGCTTGTTCTCTGTCTCTAGGCACACATTATAAGCAATGATCAATAAAATTAAATCTTACATGATAATCGGCAAACAGTGGTACCTTATGAGTAGGGGGTAAAAATGAAAATGTTAGCTATTGGAATAGCTTGAAAATAGATCCACAGATTTAAAAAAGGAGAAAGATAACATAATTAAAAACTATATTGTAGCAATTTGGAGAAAGCTATATTTTTAGTTACATTTCAAATATTTCACCAAAATCATAGTTTAAATTTCATCATGAGAATACTCACATATGCATTTTTCCCTACCCAAGACAGTCAGACTTCTCCATCAAGATTAGTTTCCCTCAGGGTGAATTTGTGACAAGGAGAGTGAAGATTATATAAAATGCTCCCATGATGCCTCTTTGAGTTGATGGAGAATTGAAATTATCAGACTTGTGTACACTCTCATGCTTTCAAAATTAGCCATTTTTATTTATGGTGTTATATTGCTTGAAGCAGTTTACATTTTCAATAAATAATTAAAATATATCTCTTCTACAACTTATCATTCTGCTTCTGGGAAAAATATTGCTAGGAAACAAATAGCACTTATATATTTTACCTTGGAGCTATAGGAGGAAAACTAAATATACAATAAGGAAAAACTAGGTCTTCACCAACTTTAAAAAAGAAAGGAAAACTACCTATTTGTCCTAGAGTCACCACTGCAGTTTCCTTCTGTTATGGACAGTGTTCTGAAATGTGTGCTACATGATCTAGGTTCCTGCTAACTGTATTTCCATTTGCCGTTTTTATTAATTCCTTGAAATCTAACATGAGCATTATTACTCCATGCAAACTCATTATGTTATGGTTTCAAATTGTTAACCTATTTCATCCCCACCAAATGACCTTCAATTCACACCACTCTGTTGAATTTACTCTTGTAGACATACGTAACTGATGGTGTTCTCACCTCTAAACTGAATGGCTTTTCTCACTCTTTATGCTCTATGAACTGTACTCCATCTCTAGATTTGTAATTGCCAAAATGGCATATCTCTTTAAATTTACGAGTGAATTTAACCAAACTTACTTTTAATTCAAACTGGCTTCTTTAACTAAACTTATTCAGTTTGTCTGTGATAACATCATTTGTCAGGGTATCCCAGGCTAAGCATGTGAATTAATCTTGACTATTTTTTGCTTTATCTTCTGTGACCTGTCAGTGTCAAATAATATTTTCCTTTGAAATATGTCTCCAAGTAATTCTCTCTTCTCAGTTTCTTACTACTCTCACTCTTCTGCAGGATAACACAAAACTCATGATTGCTTTTGGATCCCTCATTTTTCAAACTCCCTTACAGTCTCCAGTGTTTACTGCTATCAAGCAAACCTTCCTGACTGACAACTCTACAGTGGTTCTCAGTTGCTTCCTATATTAAAAAATTATCCTCCTTCACTGGTTCCATAATCTGGGAACCACCTTGCCTAGCAAATCAGTCTCTTGCTGATTTCAGCAGCCTGGTCTCTGCACATCATATATTATGTTTTTTAACATTATTTTGCTTGCCCTAAAGATTAAGTTTATACTCTCTAAGGGCAGACTCACCAGGATAGAGTCCTGGCTCTACCAATTGCATTTATATCACTTTCGGTGACAGTGTCTCTTTTTTTCGTCCATTAAGTAGGGTTGTGAAGATTAAAGGAGCTGATTTGTATAAAGCCCTGGCATATATTGATTCACAGATGTTAGCTACTATGATTAGATAAATCCTAGTTGTTTTCACAGTTTAGCTCAAACTTCAAAGAGCAAATTGACTTAAACCAGTTGGTCAACGTCTAAGATTACTGGCTCCTGAGGTGAACTGGCTGGATAAAAAATCTGGCTCTAATATTTTCTAAGCTGTGGCCAAGAGAAACTTCTTTAGCAGTGGTCTGTGACTCAGTTTTCTTATTTGTAAGATGGGGATAATATCAACATTAATCTTACAGGGTTTTTCTTTTTGTTTTGTTTTGTTTTGAGACAGGGTCTCACTCTGTTGCCTAGGCTGGAGTGCAGTGGTGCGATCATGGCTCATTGCAGCCTTGACTCCCAAGCTCAAGCAATCCTCCCACCTCAGTCTTCCCAGTAGCTGGAACTGCAGGCATGCACCACCACACGCAGCTAATTTTTTATATTTTTGTGGAGACAAGGTCTCACCATGTTGCCCAGGCTGATAACCACTGGGTTCAAGCAATCCTCCCGCCTTGGGATTATAGACATAAGCCAACTACCCAGCCTTAAAAGATTTTTTTCTAAAAGAAAAATAAGATTGCCCATGGGCTGAAATAAGTACCTGGTACTGTCCTAAATTTTTACTCCCATTTTTATATCTCATGATACCCAGCTCTATGTTAGTTTCTGGGCTTGTGTTTCTGTGAGGTCTATTTATTATTAAACTATGCCTTTCTTTAATCTAAGTTGAATTAATTGTTTCCTCTGCTCTGTAACAGCAAAAGACATACAAAAAATAATAATTTTTGCTGACTATGGATTCCGCCCTTAGTTGGAAGTATCACTATCAAAGTCAGGCCAGGTTTGCATTGATATTCAAAGAAAACATTTGGTGAACATTCATCATTATGTGATAGTATCTTAATATTGCATTTGTTTACTTCAACTTTTTACACACCTGTTCCCAATAATTTTCTAAGACAGGGTCAGCCAGCTATGACTGTGGCTCAGATATGATCTACTACCCACTATGTAAATAATGTTTAGATGGAAGACAACCATGCCCACTCATTTACACATTGTCTACAGGTGTTTTCACCCTATAAAAGTAGAGACAAGTCCTGTGACAGAGACTATTTATCCAGCAAGGCCCAAAATATTTACTATCTGGTTCTCTATGGAAAAAGTGTGCTAACCCCTGCTCTAAAACATTAATTTATTTCCAAAGGCAGAAGGAATGTTCATCCAGGAAAAAACTCTCAAATGTGGGTGGTCAATGACTCAAAAATGGCTCTAATTTTTTTGTTGCCCTGATGTTTGCTCCCACTGTGAATTTACGCACTCGCTCTCCTATGCTAAGTGTTTTGTTTGCATTTAAACTTACCCTGAACCACCCAATTAACTTAAAAAAATAGTCGTTAAGTCAATTTTAAAGATTGAAAAAAAATCAGGAAAGCCATTTGCCTGGCACCAGCTAGTAAAATAAGTGATTGATTGAAAATGTTTTCCTGATTGCTCTCATGTGCAGAAACAAGCTTAGAGAGATATATACCAGCGATCAGCATTTATACTAAAATTTTTTAATGATCCATAAAGTCAAATGGATAGTAAAGCAAATCAGAATTATTAGGCTAGTATTCATGTCCAAACAAGGTATTTTTAACCACATCTCTCAATTTTCCCCTACTCAATATTTACTCCCATCCTTCTAGACCCTCCCCTGAAGATGAGAGCAGTTCATCATTTTTATACCTTCACTAAAATTATTCTTTGCTTGAACTTTTCTTCCTAACACCATTTTTATTCCTAAAACACTCTGTTTATTCAATCCCCACTCAAAAGCCATTCCCTCCATGATATTTTCTACCAATTCAGCCAATATTATTTTTATGATACTTACTTCTGTCTACATTGTGTTGTAGAAACTGATGTACCTGCCTCTCTTCAATGATTACATTGCAAATTATGAGGGCAAAGGCCATATCTTTTAGACATCAATGGGATTCAAACACTAGAAGTCTAATTCCAGAGCTCATGCTTATAATCCTCCTGATAACCCTGAGGAGTGGGAAAGAAATAATGAGAGCCTAATAGTCTCCATATTAGGGGATAAGAAATACAAGAAATATCTAAGAAGTAAAAATTTGATGTGGAAGGAATCACTATGTAGCTTGAAATTAGTAAAAATCTCCCTAAAATGATCTAGACATCATTATAGAGGCTCTAATGGAGACATCTGCTCAGTGTTTAACAACAGACACATCAATAAATATGATTGTTAGACTCTATTCAGCCTTAGACTTCACAACTTTATGCAAAATAATAGTGATTTTCTCTATGAACGTGGGTTTACTTTAGCCAAGTAGTTTAAAAAATACAGCTGAAGTAAAACAGAGATATAAAGATTTCTTTCTGAAAAGAACATTAGATATCTGGAGCTCTATTTTTGTTTTATCCCTTCTAGGCAATTTTTTAAACTTAAGTTGAAAAATGACAACACACACACATATATATACACTTATATTGTGTATATATATGTGTGTATATATTGTGTATATATATGTGTGTGTGTGCATATACATATATTTATATTTATATTCCATAATACACATTCACTTAAAATAAATACAGATATCTGTGAGGGATTGATTCCAGGACCCCCACAGATACCAGAGTCCATGGATGTTCAAGTCCCTTACATAAAAGAGCGTAGTATTTGCATATAAACTACAAACAATCTTCCATATACTTTAAGTCTTCTCTAGATTACTTATAACGCCTGATACAATGTAGATTTTATGTAAATAGTTGTTACACTGTATTGGTTAGAAAATTACAGGAATTTTAAAAGTGTGGTACGTGTTCAGTACAGTGGCATTATTTTTCCGAATGTTTTCTATTCACGGTTGGTTGAATCCATGGATGAAGAACCCACTACTGACACAGCAGGACAATTGTACTTAAAAATACTAAATAAAAAATGAGAAAATCAGTGTCATGCATAATGCCACCATGCCGGGATATTTACTGCTAATATTCTGGTATGGATATGCCCACAGTTCTGATTCTGTCCCTTTCCAAAGCTTCCTCACAAACCTAGAGAAGAGTGAAAAGAGGACAGTCCAGATCATTGTGTGCTCCTAGTAACACCACCATCCCTCCCCTCCAACACACATTTGCCAGTCTACCACACTCTGTCTCACAGACTATCAGAGCTCATGTAATCATGTCCCACATCTCTGTTTATGTTAGTTGTTGCAGGGCCCTTTTCCCCATATGGCACTGACAACCTCAGTCTGACCCCACCTCCCACTCTCCTTGACTCCTAAAGCTGTTCTGTTCTTGCTCTGCCCTGTAGAATTCATAGTTCCAATAAGTTAGCTCATATTTTCTGTTTTTTGTTTGTTTGTTTTTCTGAACATCCCTCTAACGACTTAGCTGTGATTGAATAATAGCTCTTCCCCGAAGACGTGGCTTTGCCTGTGACCCTCTCTAAGTTGTGAATTTTTTTCTCCCATTCCCTGGTCCTGAACGTGGAATATAGTCTCTTTGCTTTTCAATGCTCCTTTCAGGCCATGATTTCTTGCAGCTCCCTACAAATGCCCTTTTGTAGCTCATGTCATCACATTCTACAACTGCCTCCCTTCCTTGTTTTACTCAGTGGCACCCCCTTGGGTTTTCTCTTCCACATTGTTGAGGGTTATAGCACATGGGCCTACTGTTACTCTCTCAACCCCAACTTCTGTTATAATTCTTGGTGATTTTAAAAATATGTGCAGCCATTTTAGAATCCTGTTGTCTCATTTCCTGGTCCTTCTGTCCTTTCATAATTTTGCCTCCCATGCTGTCTTAGTCACCCACTCTCATGACCATAACCTAGATGTTTTACTGTCAATAACTGCATCTGCTTCATAATCTTAATTTCAAGTATTCCATTTTTCAGTCTTCGTTTCTTATCTATCCAGCTTCAGTGATCTTTCAACCTCACAGGACCTATTATCTATTGATCCTAGTGACTTTTGCTGTTCCAAGGTTCAACAATATAATTTCTCATTTGCATAAATCCTCAACTCCTTTTTCAATCTCTGTTTTTCTTTCTGTTTCAAACCCTCTTCTCATCCTCAGCTAAAAAACTGCTTCTCATTTTACTGAGGAAATAGAATCAGGTAGAAGAGTACTCCATTAGCATCAATAACAACTTCTCAAAATTTGTCAGTAACTGTAACCCATACACTCTATAACCAGTACTACTATTATGGATTATTTGTCTGTAGTCTCAACAAAGACCAACTTCTTTGCTTCTGCAAAGGAGTTCATTCCAGAGGATTCTGAAAAAGTGGTGGCGTAGGAAGCACCAGGAATCTGTCTCCCCACCTAGATAACAATAGCACTGGCAGAATCTGTCTGATGTAACTCTTTGGAACCCTGGAGTCTATTGAAAGTTTGCAACTTCCAGGGGAATGCTGGGATGGAAAATTGCAGTTAACTTCCATCAAGTTTAGCACTCAGTACAGCACCTGCTACCCATTCTCCGCATACATCGCTGTGGTAGACAGCTATGCATATGTTCCTGAAGCAGACTGGACAGAACTGTAAGGAGCCAGGGTGAGCACAAAGGACTCTGTCCTCCAGATATTTGGGGTTGTTCTTCTGACAGCTGCTTCTTATCAGAGAGGTGCAGACAAGCCACGAGCTGCCATTGATTTTTCACGTCTCGCCATTGTTGAAAGCCCCTTTACCTCTGGCTGAAGTGACTTTCCAGTGCTTCTCCAACTAATTTTTTAATTTTTTTTTCTTTTTTCTCTTTTGAGAGCCAGGCATTAAACACTGATATATTTAAAAGCAATTGTATATATTGGGGAACATTAAAAAGTGACTGTGCATGTTAAGGAAAAGGCATAGATTCAGAAAAGACTTGACAAGAATTTATTATTTTACCTCAGGCTGATCCCAGAATGAGAGATAGCCTACAACAATACAAAAAGCAAAACGATAAATAAAAAGAATATCAAAAACTGACAAACTCTGAGGAAGGGGGAAGGGTCAGATTACCAGGGTTACCACATTATTAGATTCAAGTATCCATTTTTTACAACAACACAAAACACACAAAGAAACAAGAAAGCATGGCCTTTCAAAGGAAAAAAAAATCAACCGACACTATACCCAAAAAGACTTGATGGCAGATCCATAGACAAAACTTCAAAATGTCCATCTTAAAGATGTTAAGGAAGATATAGAACTAAAGGAAGATATAGATAAAGTCAAGAAAACTACCTAACAGCAAAATGTAATTATCAATAAAGAGATAGAAAAAAAGAAATTCTGAACCTAAAGTTCTGGAGCTGAAAAGTACAGTATTTGAAATGGAAAATTTACAGAGGGATTCAAAGGCAAATTTGTGTAAGCAAAAGAAAAAATCAGCAAACTTGAAGATACAACAATAAATATTGATTCTGAAAAACAGGAACAAAAATATTGAATAAATATGAACAGAACCTAAATGATATCTGGGAAACCAACAAATAAATTAACATATGCATTGTAGAAGTCCCAGAAGACAGAGAGAGTGAGTGAGCGAGCAAGAGAGACAGAAAGAGAAATTATTTGAAGAAATAATTGCTGAAAACTTCTCATATGAATGTAAGTATCCAAGAATCTCAAACTTCAAAGAGAATAAAAATAAAGAGACCCACACATAGACACATTAAAATCAAACTTTTAAAAGCCAAAAACAAGGAGAAAATCTTTCAAGTAGCAACAGAGAAGTGACTTATACACAAGGAATCCTCAGTAACATTATCCACTTATTTCTCATCAGAAACTTTGTAGGGCAGAAGTTAGTGGACCAAGATACTTAATGTGCTGAAAAAATATTTTCAAATTGTTAGCGAAGAATTCTAAATCTGACAAAACCATCCTTCAAAAGTGAGGGTGAAACTGAGATTCCCAGATAAAATCTGAGGGAATTTGTTTCCACTAGACCTACTTTGCAAGATATGCTTAAGTGGGTTCCATAGGGTGAAATGAAAGGAGAGTAGACAGTAATTCAAAGTCATGTGAAGAGATAAATACCTCTATAAAGGTAAATACATGGGCAATTACAAAAGCTAGTATTATTGTAACAACAATAATTTGTAACTTTACTTACAACAGTAAGTTGTAACTTTACTTTTTGTTTTCTACATGATTTAAGAGACTACTACATTTAAAAATAAACAGTTATTAATCTAAAAGCTAGAATAATTGTAACTTTGGTTTGTAACACAACATTTTGTTTTCCACATATTTTAAGAGACCAATGTATTTAAAAGAATTATCAGTTTATGTTTTGGGGCACCGGATGTATAAAGATGTAATTTTGTCACATCAACAACCAAAAGGAGTGGCAACAGGGCCATTAAGTGGTAAAGGGTTTCCTATGTTACTTAAGTCGGCATAAACAAAATGAGAGTGTTATAACTTTAGGCCGTTAAATGTAATTCCCATGGTAACCACAAGGAAAATAGGGATATAATATACATAAAAGGAAATAAGAAAGGATTTTAAATATTTCGCTGTAAGAAATCAGCTAAACACAATGTAAGACAATAATTCTGGAAATGAGGAACAAAACAGCTATAACGTATATAGAAAACAAAGAGCAAAAACACAGAAGCCCCTCCTCGTTTCAGTAATTACTTTAAATGTAAATGGAATGTAAAAACAGAGATTGACAGAATAGTTAAAAACACATGGTCTGTCTATGAGAGATATACCTAAACCCAAAGAAAATGTGATGTATGGGTATAATGGAATGTTATTTAGCATTTAAAAAAGGAGAAAATTCTGATACATGCTAAAACTTGGATACATCTTAAGGGCATTTTGCTATGTGAAATAATCCAGTCATATAAAGAATGATACTATAGGTTTTGCTTATAAGAAGTATACTGATAGCAGTCAAAATCATAGAGACAGAAATTAGAATAGTGTTGGTGAGGGGCTTCAGGATGAGTGCATAGAAAATTATTGTTTAGTGTGTATAACAGAATTTAAGTTTTAAAAGAGGAAAAGAATTATAGAGATGAACGGTGGTGAATGTTGCACAACATTATGAGTATATTTAATACCACCGAACTGTAAACTTAAAATTGTTAAGAAAGCGAATTTTATGTTGTTTATTATACCACAATAAAATTATAGAAAAAATTGCAGGACAATAAGACAATCAATGGTTTTCAGGCATTGGGTGGGGATGGAGGGATGACTAGAGCACAGAGGATTTTTAGGGTAATAAAATTATTATTTATGATACTTTATGATAAAATATTTTTATCATAGTTATTATTTATGATACTTTGATAATAAAAATTTATTTATAGATACATGCCATTATACATTTGTCAAAACCCATAGAATGTATGACACCAAGAGTGTACCCTAATGTAAGCTATAGACTTTGAGTAACATTGACGTGTTAATGTAGGTTTTTAATTGTAAAAAATGTGTCACTCTGGTGCAAAATATTGATAGAGGAAGATGCTATGTGTGTGGGAGCGGGAAGCATACAAAAATTCTCTGTACTTTCTGCCCAATTTTTCTGTCACTCTAAAACTGTTTTTAAAAAATTCTGTTCAAAAAGTAAAAATAAAGACTAAATTAGATAATATAAAAATTATTAGCAAAAAATGGTATAAATTATCTTTCACCTTCTTTCCCCCTCCTGCCCCACCTTTCTTCACCATGGTACCTTGCTCTTTATTTTTTGCTCTTGAAGTACAATGCTGTACTTATTCTTAAAAATGAAAGAAATTTGACTCCTCAGTTGAAATAAACAAACAAGAGCCCTTGTCTCACCCTCTCCTGGTTACTATTTTTTCTATTTTATGTAACCTTAATTTTCCTACTTTACTGGATTTTTGTCATCAGCATATAAGCAAGCTATAATATCTATCATATAAAAACCTACCTTCATCTCATATACCCTGCTGTCTACTATTCAGCCTCTGCTTGCATACAGAAAATCGTCTCACTCTTTTTGTGTCCTTTTCTTCCATTGTCTCAAAGTCATTTCAATTAGACTTTCATTTTCCATCATGAGACGTTCATACAAATGCTACCAATAATAGTCATACTGCCAACTCATGTTGTCAATTTTCAGCCATCTTATTTGACTATAAATTGTATTTGATAGAGTTGATTAAAATCCCCCTTTAAATACCTTCACTTGGCTTCTGGATGCCACTCTTTCATTTTTTTTTTTTTTTTTGAATCTCAAAAATTACTTCTTTTCTCTATTACTAGCTAGCTCTGCCTCATCTTGCAAGCTCTACCTATTGGATTACTCCAGGACTTGATCCATAGATGCCTTCTGTCTCTGTCTACTTACTCACTATAGATGATCTTTCAAGGTCATTACTTTAAAAAGCCTTTAATAAAATTTATGCACTGATGCTTCTAAAATGTATCTCTTCACTCACGTTTGTATACCCAACTGCTTCATTTACATCTCCATTTGATGCAAAATAGGCAACTCAACTTTAATATGCTCCGAAGTAAATTTTTGATTTTCTCATAAACCTACTTCTTTCTGTCTTTTCAATGCAGCCTTTCACTTGATCAAGGTAGACTTGGATTACTTTTTAATACCTTTCCTTCTCTCACTCACTGTATCTAGTCCATCAGCAAATCTTAATTTTTTAACCTTAAAATTATTCCATATTTTTCATTACTATTATCCTATCCCAAGTTACCAACATCTCTTATTTTGCTTCAGGAAATAGTCATCTACCTGGTCTCCCTGCTTATATTATTTTCATTTTAATCAATTCACCACAAAATAGGTAGAGAGATCCTTACAAGTGGTCATCCAAGTAATTTTACTCTTTTGGTCAAATTCATCAAAAAGGCTCAAATTTGAGTGAAGCTCTAAGTTCTTATGTTGGCCTACAAACCATCTATGATTTAACCTTCATCACCGAACCTCTCATTTTTCTCTCTCTAGCCAAGTATGTCATGACCTCACTGACATTTTTTTCTCACATATACCCAACATGCTCCTAACTGAAAGTCCTGTGTTTATTTTGCTTTCTATCTGTAACAGAATTCCACTGTCTTTCTGTACCATGATTTACTGAACTATCTCCTATTTACAAACATTTCTAAATTTTTAGTTTTGAAAATGCTGCTACAGTGAATATTCTCAAATATATATCTTTGTATACTTTTTGAATGTTTCCCTGGGATATATTTTCTATTTTTAATTTTCATAAACGTTTTAAAATTGATCCCCTAACTACTTATAGATGTTCTAGGGAAGTTTGCTCCCTTCAAGTCTGCCTCTTGCTATTAATATATTTCAAAATGTTTTTGACAATTGGTAGGCAGAATATATACTTGATTTTTAAATTTTCATTTTTTGAGAAGAATAACAGTGAACATTTTTTTCAGAGGTTTACTAGATTTGGGTATTCATATTACGATTTGAGTGACTATTCACTTTTTTTCCTGGTTTTATATGATTACGTTTCCATTATTTAAACATTGATTTGTAAATATTTTTAATAGAGTAAGGGTGTTGACCTCTGTCATAATATGCAAATATATTTACCATGCTTTAAAAATCTATTTATTATTTTTTCTTTTTAGGACTTTATTTTATTACAGGCACATATATCTGCATATTCCATTATGACTTCTTGATATTATCCCAAGTCAACAAATTTGTTCTTGACTTCCAAATTATATATGAGGGAAAATTTTCTATGAACAAAAATATAAAGTTTATTCAATGAAGTCTACCCCATTACTAGTTTTTATTAATATCAAGTTCTTCTTTTCCTCTCCCAAAATTAAAAATTGCATTTATTACCCTTCTTTTAGTATGTTGGAGTCATGTGATTAGTTCTGGATAACGGGCTGTGAGGAAAAATATCCTATTATTGTTAGCTTGAGGAATGAAAAAGCTGTGTAAACTTTTTCAGACATTTTCTATGTCATGGGGACAAAAACGCCACATGTTTAAAATATTGCAGATACAAGGAAGCACAGCCTCTTCCATGCTGGATCTCTCTGTATATATATTTCTGAGGATATCTGAGTCCAGATAGTCAATGTTATGCGAAGGTAACAAACAATTCTAACAATCTCAGAAGACAAAACAACACAACTTTATTTTTCTCTTGTACAATATATCTCTTGTGAATCTGAGGCAAATCTCTGCTCCTTATGGTACCTCAAAGATGCACACTGAAGGAATAGTTACCATTTTCAATGTTACCAATTGTAATGCCAGAGAGATGATGTCTGGAGGTTCTCACACCAGCAATTAAATGTTGCAGTGCAATGCCTGCAACTTCTGCTTACAGGATATCTGGAAGAACTAATTAATTGCCCAATGTAATTGCAAAAAAAGCATGCATGTGTAATTTTACCATGTGTCAGAGGGGGCCGGACCAGTAATATTTGCTTAATAGCACTAATAGCATCAGAATGGAGCAGAGATCCCTGCTGAGCCATGCTGGATATGTAGTATGGCTGAAAAATAAACTTTCACTGACTGCACTATGCCACTGTGACTTTGGCATGTTCATTTGTTAATGCAGCATAACCTAGTATATCTTGATTAATACAAATGGGAAATACACAAATGAGAGCAAAACAAGTAATTTTGAGACGGGAACACGTGATCGGATGTCATGAGTTTAGAACTTTGTCTCAGAAAAAAAAAGAATGATATATTAGACTGATTAAGCTAGAAAAAGTTTACATAAGTAGGTGAGACACCAACCTAAAGATGAAAAATTGTTAGAATGCTACTTTTATCCTAGTAATATAAAAGGTTCTTATTTATAAAATTAATTTTATACCAACTGTGTAGGATGAAAAATAAATTGAAATCCAGTATGTATTGTCTCTAGAAATTGTCTTAGGAATAAAGAGATCTGAATTCTCATTCAAATTCTGCAGTTAACTTGTGAGATTGGGGAAAAAGTCCTATATTTTCTCATGATTGCAGTTTATATGAAAAAATAGAATTTTAAAATAGGATAATGCAAACTTAAATATTCAAAAGAATTAGCTGGTAAGCTTATACAAAATGCAGAGCCTGAGATTCTGCTCACAAAATTTTCTTATTCAATAATTCTGGGTAGTGCCAACAAATCCATCATTATTATTATTACTACTACTATTATTGGAGACAGGGTCTTGCTCTTTTGCTCAGGCTGGGGTGCAGTGGTGCAATCATAGCTCTCTGCAACCTCTGTCTCCTGGGCTCAAGCAATCCTCCTGTCTCAGCCTCTCAAGTAGCTAGGACTATAGGCATGTGCCAGCACGCTTGGCTAATTTTTGTATTTTTTGCAGAGACAGGGTCTCATATTGTTGCCCAGGCTGGTCTCGAATTCCTGAGCGCAAGTGATTCTCCTGCCTCGTCCTCTCAAAGTGCTTGAATTACAGGTGTGAGCCACTGCGTCTGGCAAAGAAATCTATTTTTTAAAGACATTTTCCAATTTATTATCATGCAGTAGTCTAAGTATAACACTTTGAGAATCACTGGAAGAGACAATGTGTAAGAAGCCTTTGATCATTAAAAATAAATAGTAATTTAGAAAATGTTGAGTTTTCAAACGATGACAGTCTATTTCTACAGGAAAGTCCCTGAATTTTTTTTTCCTTCAATCATAGGTCACAGCTATTTTTTTATTACTTACAAAAATTACAAGCTATTTACTGTCATTTTCCCATGGGCTGTTAAAATAAATTGCAAAAATAAACATGCTATAGTGCTCTAAATCACAAATACTTCTGATTAAAGTCATATGGCCAAAGGCTAAAATTGAACAGCCTTGGTGAGCAATAAAATAAATGTTTTTGTTCAAAATGAAACATTTAATTATATCACGGACCATAATACTGATTGAGACAGAAAAGAGAAAATGCTTGAGCAGGTAATAATGTATTCGTTAATACATAATACCGGGGGTGGGGAGAGACAAAATATTTACCATTGAAACATGTCTGATTGCTCAAGTTTTCTGCGTTACATAATTACTGTAGGGCTGGGCCAACATTTACCATTGAGAAGGTTAGTATTAATTTACAAACCGTCATATATAGCAGAGTCAGCAGAAAATGATCACATCCCTCCAGGGCTTATAAGGGCAACATTGCAGAGCAAGCACAATCTATTTTTGATGTAATATTTATATTAAATATGCAAAACTGCTCATCACAAGAGTGTGTTTTTAAATTAGCAAAGACATATCATTTCAACTGTGGCCATGACCTGTGATTTCCACCTGCTTGTGTTCTGAGGTCCCATTTTGAATACGTACAATTGTGAGTAGGTGGGATTTTGCTGTAATAGGGATATTTGAAGACAGAGAAAGTTTAAACTGTGAAAAGAATTCCCAAATATTGTACAGCTTCCTATTGTGAATTTTTGTTCTCTCAAATATGTGTGATATCTAGGTTTTATTTAGTTCTTCAGAGCCACTGTGGTCTTCCCTGTTGTGGAAGATAATTATAGTGATAATATTATTTATAGTAATCAAAATTTAGAAATTTACTATTTAAGTTAAAAGCCAGCTCTGGGGCTCAAGTATTACATTTCTTAGTTGTTCACTTTGTCAACAATATTGGTCCTTTTCTGATTATTGTGGCTACATTTTGTGACCCATAAAGCAAGAAATATCTAAAAATATGTATTTTTTTAGAGAAAAAGGTCATTTGGTTCTGAAAACAATAAAAATTTTTAATGTAAATAATGCACAAAATATTATTCATATCAATAAGAAACTACCCCAAACTGTAGCATGGTAAGTCATCATCTTAGCCCTACAACTGATTTTAGAATTCAACCCACTCTGTCTTCTCATTTTACAGAAGTGAAAACTAGGACTCAAAAAGCTAAAGTGATATGCTCCTCAGCGATGAAACTGGGAATAGAATCCAACTTCCTTGAAACTCTTTCAAGTAATATTTTCAGTTTCTCATTTACAGAAATTACTCTTAGTTTTGAGAATTAAGAAGTTTCAGTACATTACCAAGAAAAGAAGACGGTGGTCAGATGAACCACTGTCATGATTTTGCCTCAAATTTGGCAGGCCACAAAAACCAGCATCCTTTTGTACACTATCTCTTTTGATGTAGTGTAGTGGAAATAAATTGGGTGGATTGGGTGGGTTTCAGTGTATTCATGTAGTGATATGGTTGGCTGTGTCCCCACCCAAATCTCATCTTGAATGGTAGATCCCATAATTCCCAAGTGTAGTGGGAGTACCCGGTGGGAGGTAATTGAATCATGGGGGGCAGGTCTTTCCCATGCTGTTCTTGTGATAGTGAATAAGTCTCATGAGATCTGATGGTTTTATAAAGGGCAGATCTCCTGCACACACTCTCTTGTAAGATGTCCTTTTGTTCTTCCTTCCTCTTCTGCCATGATTGTGAGGCCTCCCCCAGCCATGTGGAACTGTGAGTCCATTGAACCTCTTTCCTTTATAAATTACCCAGTCTCGGATATGTCTTTATTAGCAGCCTGTGAACAGGCTAATAAATATGGTCATGTAAAAAGCAAACTTGTAGCAACAATTAAGAAACATTCAAACATTAGTAACGTTTTTGTATCAGATTATATAGTGGGAAAGACTGCACAGATCTTAGAAACTGAGTCCTACTTCTTTAGGAAGAAATATCCTCAGAGTAAAGGAGCTCTCTTTGCTAGAGAACATAGAAATACCCCTTAAAACCCTCAAATCCCTTTGCTCGCAAAATAAACTTCTGGCCTATAATTTGATAAATGGAATGGATTTTCCCACTAGAAGGTTTATGCCCTGTGAAGACAAATAGTTCTGCATCTTAGGCCACATATATCTTCAATTTTAAATCAACTGCCATTCTGGTTTTTTAAGGTAGTCTCTGGTGAATCAGATCTGTTTTGATCCCTCAGATGATTGCTGAAAAAACTGATGGTACAGAACTTCCCAATATGCAGTCATTTTACCAACTCTTGGAGTGATTTACTACCATATTGGGCAGAAAAACAGTAAACAGAATTCCTATGCTTGGCAAGTTCATAGAATCAATGAAAGACCATCACCCAGCAGTAATGCACAAAAGCCTCCTGCAATGGGAAGAATATTTAGATTACTTTCACAGGTTTTCAAATTCTGAGTTCTCGTAAGAGACAAGAAAAATCATAGTTAAGAATAAGTGCTTCCTATTAATGACACATTATGTAATGTATAAAATGAAATGAACTTCAACCACTGACATCCATACTGCTTAAATTATAATCTAAATAGTACTCATTTAAGATAAGCACAGACACTGAAAAATAAAACTCTCTAAAAGAGATGTCTAGTGTTTGATTTTATATACACTTGTACAAGATCACAGTAAATCTTAAGGTTATATTTATATTTATGCAATAAAAACGTTAGTTTTTTGGTAGTTTTTTTATTGTTTAGTGAGTAATAAGTGGGTTTATGCACATAATTAATATACTTTATTTGCAGTGTGACACATATTATATAACTTTAACTTAACGGTATGAACATAATAATCATTTTTTCTTCTTTTATACTGAGGAAATTGAAGATAAGCAAACTTAAATGGTGTCTAGTGTCACACAACGAATATATATTGGGGCCAGCAGGTTAAGTCAGGCATTGTGATGCCAAACTGGTGTTCTTTTCACTAACTGAAGCAGCCCAAGATCCCCTAGCCAGTAAAGATACAACTAGGTCTTGTTTCCAGTTTTATAATTCTCATTTCAAGGGTGATTTCACCACTCTCTGCTATCTCATATTTGGCTTCCAAATGTATAGACACAATATCTCCAGTCTTTTAGCAGAATTTGGATGTAACAAATTCAAAGTAAACAAATGTGTTACGTGCAATTCTGTCTCCAATTTTGTCCAAAAAGCATCAGAAGATCTGAGCTTTTCCTAATTTTGAAAACTAATTTTATTATAAGTGTAATATACATTTAAAGCAACAACAAAAACGAAAATACAAAAGAAAAATATAGAAGAAAGGCAAAGAAAATAAGGAAAGAAGGAATAAGGAAAGAGGGACGGAAGGAAGGAAGAACGGAAGGAAGGAAGGAAGAAAAGAAGGAAGGAAGGGAGGGAGGGAGGCAGGAAGGATACTTTGTCATCCAGGATGGATGGAGTGCAGTGGCACGATCTCGGCTCATTGCAACCTGCACCTCCTGAGTTCAAGTGATTCTCCTGCCTCAGCCTCCCAAGTAGCTGGGATTACAGGCGCCCACCACCACGCTCGACTAATTTTTGTATTTTCAGTAGAGGCGAGGTTTCACCATGTTGGCCAGGCTGTTCTCGAACTCTTGACCTCAAGTGATCTGACCACCTCGGCTTCCCAAAGTGCTGAGATTGCAGGCCTGAGCCACCACGCCCAGCCTGAGAATTTAGTTAACTAGATTTTAAATTGTAAAATTATCTAATGATCAAAAATCTCAAAACATAATCATGAAGTCAGAATTCAGTCTAACATTGTTCTTGGGAGGTATTCTATCATTTTAATTAAAAATTTTAATTAAAAATAGTATAATTTGTAAGCCACTAAAAAAGTAGGGAATATGGATGTTACAAATTCATAGTAAACAAATGTGTTATGTGCACGTTCTGTCTCCTCCTCTATTTAAAAAGCATCAGAAGATCTGAGCTTTTCCTAATTTTGAAAACTAATTTTATTATAAGTGTAATATACATTTAAAGCAACAACACTAATGAAAATACTTAAGAAAAATATAGAAGAAAGGCAAAGAAAAATACAAAAGAAAGAAGGAATAAGGAAGGAGGGAAGGAAGCAAGGAAAGAAAATAGGGAAAATACTGATATGTAGACATATTCAACCACCATTTCCTAAATATTTGTCTTATTCCATATATGTTACAAGTCCCTACACCACAATATTACAGACACTGACATAGACAGACAGACAAATACAGATAGAGATAGACAGAGCAGGGGATAAGGATAGACAGAGAGGGAAAGGGTGAAGGAAGAGAGAGTATAAAGAGATTTAACTCTTCAAAGCTTTATAGGAGAATGTACACATAGTAGGCGAACAACCAATATTTGTTGGATAAATTACTTTAGATTAGATGTTTTAAAATATCTTCATTGTCTAGATTGTCAATCACAGTATTTTTTTTGTAATAATGAGAAATTGAAAAGGAAATTAATTTCCAACAGACAAGGGTTGCTTTAAAACGTCTATGATGTGACCATCCATTGAAAATGATGTTACAGATGTGCATTGACAGACACAAAAAATATTTAATACACTAAAGATAAAAGGTACATTAAAAGCAATACAAAAATTATCATCTCATTTTGATGCTTTTGGAGAGCTTTGATTGTGTATTCAAATCTCCCCAGGAAATTTAAAGTTAGAAGTGTATCATTTCATTCACACTTACATATTAGCTATATGAAATGTACATATAGTACAATATTTGTAGAAGAAAATGGTATTATAATTAAAACATGCAAGTATATCCTACTAATTTGATAATTTAGAAACTCCATTTTAATTTTATTATATATTTGATTACTTTATTGTAACTACGAGTTTATAAGTTTCATAAACCAAGGATTGTATCTAATTTATCTGTAGAACCTTGACAATGTTCAGGACAACATCACAAACAACTTTTTGGGTGTTTTATAATGGTGTTGAACAAATGAAAGATAGAATGAGTGAACAATTAAGTAAAGTATTTGGAAAATCCTCAATGTATTTTGAATATTAGGAAGTTGTGAGTCTTGATTCATTCAGAAAGGAAGAGCATGCGTGAAGGCCAAAACAAATTGATAATTGGTATCCAGGCGCAAAGAACAGACTCAGTAAGATTAAAGGAAGACATATACCATTGACAGTGCAATTAGGTTGATGTTAAAAGTTTAACAGGAGTGTTTAGAATTTAGATTTTAATAACTATCTCTTGTAAGAGAAATGTCAACACTTAACATTTTGTCTGAAATAACAGAATGCATAGAAAAAAAATGATGGGCTTCTAAAAGTCTCCAGAACATTTACCTTATAATATAAAATAAAACATGTCATGTAATGCCATGGGACATAGAGTGAGAGAGATAACACAAGAGACTGAATTACTTACAAATATTTTGTTTTTTGATTTTAAATTATATATACACATATGTCTTGATATTTTAATATATTTATTAGTCATCCATTTATTAATTTGTTTATTTATTCAAACACTCTTTGTATGCATAATCATGCCGGTCATTCAGTCATTCTTCTATCCTGAAGAAACTCAATAGTCTTCCTGAGGGAGGCAGCTCTTAACCAAATAGCCATATAATGAATGGAAAATTAAGATTTTTGATATGTGTCAAGAGGAAAAAGTAAGTGTTGCTCCAAGAGTATAGAAGTAAGAAACTTGACATGTTGTTAATTTAATATGAACCTAATACATCATTCTTCCTAACCACCTCATAGCTAGATAAGATGGTGAACAACATGTAACATGGTGACATTTCATAAACAAGGCAAAATCAGTATGGTGCTGCCATCCTCTGTCTTTTGTTCCTTCACAAAAATAAATCAGTCTCCCAATATACAGATTTAAATTTAAGAGATTAAAAAAAGAATAGGTTTGATGGGTGCGTAAAGAGACGCAGAAGATATGCCACCCTTTAACAACAATTTTTTTATTAACATAAGTATCTATTTCTACTAGTTTTAGACCTGAACTAAATTCAAAAGGCACAATGATTTAAAACTGAACATCATCTATTATACATACTGAATTTTTTTTGAGGGGGGGAAGAAACTGATTCAAACTTACAAGTCACAAGAAATGGGTTTTCTATTGTGTATCTATACATAAATACAAGAAAATGTGCATTAGGAATGTATTTGCATTATTTTTTAATGTTCTTAAGGTAATAACCAAAAGCTAATTATTATTACTGTGTAATTAATGGATATCATAATAAGAAGAAACTTTAGTTATCATAAATATGTTATATATCTTCAGCATAATGACTTTGTTTATTAGATAAGGGATGTCATGACCAGAGAGGCTAAAGATGATTACTAGAAATTAAAGTCTTCCACAAAGGATGAAAAAGAACAAAGCATGATGGAAAAAAATATGTGTCTAGGAGCCAAGCAGATCTAGTTTAAGTGCTCCCTCTGTCACCTATAATACTTTTTGTCTCTTTTGAGAAAGCCCTTCCAAATTGCTATTTGCCTAGTGAAAACCTTTTCGTCTGTCAAGATTCATCTCAAGTCAAATTTGTATTATAACAATTTTGTCTCCACTGCTTCTACCTTCCTCTTAACTCTACTCTTTATTTGCGGTTAGTAGTTGCATAAGTATCAGTTTTCCCTATCAAGAACACAGGGGAAAGGTGTTTGTCTTATTGTGGCTTATTGTCTTATTGTGGCTATTTGTCTTATTGTGGCTTATTTGTCTTTGTACTCATTTTTACTTCTCTTGCAAATATAAAATGTCTCAAAAATATTATTCAATTCATGACTAATAAGAAAAGAAGATGTTAAAACTGGTTCTGAAAATATTTGAAGAGATGGGTTTTTCTAGACTATTTAATAAAGGTATGTTAGGATAAGAATGATGGGTTAAATATGGACCTGATTAACATCCAACAGGGGAATAAACCGTTATCTTCTATGCTTACCACTAGTCAGTTATGCATACGTTTACCAAACAAACATTTACATTTTTTTTTTTTTTTTGAGACAGAATCTCACTCTGTTGTCCAGGCTGGAGTGCAGAGGCACAGTCTCGGCTCACTGCAACCTCTGCCTCCTGGGTTCAAGAGATTCTCCTACCTCAGCCTCCAGAGTAGCTGGGATTAAAGGCATGTGCCACCATGCCTGGCTAATTTTTTTATTTTTTGTACAGATGGGGTTTCACTATGTTGGCCAGGCTGGTCTCAAACTCCTGACCTCAGGTGATCCACCTCCCTCAGCCAACCAAAGTGCTGAAATTACAGACATGAGCCACCATGCCCAGCAACATTTACAATTTAATATGTCAATTCACTACGTATGGGCCTATATTTAATGAAAAAAATGATTTACTATACATTACCTAATATTTGGATGAGCTTATATCCATACCTGATATTGAAAAAAATCATTTACATTTTTGTCTTATTTCAGAATTTGATTTTTTTTTCAAGAAGTCTTACCTAAATATAAGCGTTTGTTAAATGGATGAATGAACAAATGTGTCAACAAAGTTTAGGGAAAAATATATATATATCCAAACTCGTTTCCTTACCTGTAATGAAAAATCATACATTTTACCTTATAGGCAAAACAGTAGATTATAAATGAGTATCACATGCCTAATGCTTGGCTCTCAGTAAATGTTGCTTGTCTCTTGCTTCCCTTTCTCATTCTTAGTCCCCACCATGCCTTCTGCTGCACTATGAACTGCCCCCTAATGAGTGGCATGTATTTTTTATTAATAGATAAAGTTCAGCTTTATCAAGCCTCTACTTGGTCACAGAAACTCTTAAAGTATGAAACACATGAAGTTGAGAGACCTGTAGCAACGTATATTACATCTGTAAGTTATTAGCTTATTACTGCTGCATCTTGACACTATTTTCTTGCTTCTTGTATTATCCACCCAAGGCTATCCACGTTTTTTTCTTTTTCCCTTCAATTTCTCTACCTGTTAGTTCACTCACATATCCCACAGGGTTTCATCTCAGCCCTATACTACTTTTTCTTAATTTATTATACTCCTAGCTGTGAAACAAGGATGGCCTGAAGCAATTTTAAATCAGGGGCACGTGATGAAAATTATTTTTTCCCTCATGTTTTGTCACTAGTACAACGGAGCCTCCTGTTATTTTCCCATTAAACATATGGAGATTCTAGTCATCAATTCACAGTATCTGTATTTTCATGGGAGGGGATTGTGGTGTTGGTAACAATTAGTTGGTCATTAACTCTTGCAATATGCCTAGGCAGCTCACTTCTATTTGCGTATTAAACTAATGACTGCAAGGGCAGAGTGAAGAGGGCATGAAGGAGATCATTACTTTGGAATAAAAAATAATGGCCTTCCTTCTTGGAGAGAATACTTTTCTTAGTATTTTTTAATTGTGTCAGAAGAAAAAAGCAGGAATGAGAATCATGAAAGTATGACAAGAATGAGACTCTCAAAAATAATCTAGGTATTATACAAGTTTCTTTAAAAAGTCTAAACCTTTTGCCTTTTTAAGGAAAAGTTGATAGTTTTGAACCAAAACAAAACAAAAAGCAAAAAATAAAAACAACTCATCTCATGCCCATTAGAATTAGCTCTACAAATAATATTTTAAAAGTCTGTTACTTAAAATATTACAGAGATATACACACATATAAGGTGTTACTTTCAAGTAACTTTGTGATTTATTCAAACTTTCATGAGCATGGTACATATATATTTTCTTTAACTTTTATTTTTAATTATTATGGATATACAATAGTTGGAAATATTTATAGGGTACATGTTATATTTTGATGCATACAATGAGTATGTATACATGAGTTTGATACATACTAGTTGTACGTATCATACTAGTTCTATGTATCAAAGTATAACATGTATGAACAAGCATACAATGAGTGATGATCAAATCGAGGTAGTTGGGGTATTCATCACCTCAAGCATTTATCTTTTTTTGTGTTAGAGACATCCTAATTCCACTCTTAGTTATTTTGAAATATACAACAAATTCTTGATAATTATCCTCTATTATGCTACCAAATACTAAATTTTATCCCAAATATCTAATTGTCTTTTTGTACACATTAACTGTCTCTTTATCACCCTCTCTGCCCGACCCTTCCAAACTTCTGGTAACCATCATTCTACTCCCTACCTCCATGAGATCAGTTTTTTTTTTTGCTCCCACATGAAAACATGTGATATTTATCTTTCTGTGCCTGGCTTATTTCGCTTAACATGTTGTTGCAAATGACAGGATTTCATTTTTTTATAATGGCTGAATATACTCTATTGTATATATGAACCACATTTTCTTTATCCATTCATCTGTTGATGGATACTTAGGTGGATTCTATATCTTAGCTATTGTGAATAGTGTTGCAATAAACACAAGTGTGCAGAAATCCCTTCCATAAATTGATTTCCATTATTTTGGATATATACCTAGCAGTGAGATTGCAGGATCATGTGGTAACTTCATTTTTAGTTTTTCGAGGAACCTCCACACTACTCTCCATATGGCTATACTAATTTACATTCTCACCAACAGTGTATGAGGGTTCCCCTTTCTTCACATCCTCGCCAGCATTCACAATTGCCTGTCTTTTGGATAAAAGCCATCGTAACTGCTGTGAGACAATATATCACTGTAGCTTCAATTTGCATTTCCCTTATGATTAGTGATGTTGACCATTTCTTATATGTCTCTTGGCCATTTGTATGTCTTCTTTTGATCTAAATGTCTATTTAGATCTTTTGTCCCTTTTAAATTGGATTATTATTATTTTTTCATATTGAGTTGTTTAAACTCCCTATATATTCTGTTTATTAATCGCTTGTCAGATGGGTAGTTTGCAAATATTTTTTCCTATTCTGTGGGTTGTCTCTCACTTTCTTGATGATTTCTTTTTCTGTACAGAAGCTTTTTAACTTGATGTGATTCCACCTGTCAGTTTTTGCTTTGGTTCCCTCCGTTTTTGAGATCTTCCTCAAGAAATCTTTGCCTAGACCAACGTCCTGGAATGTTTCCCCAGTCTTTTTCCTAGTAGTTTTATAGTTTGATGTCTTAGATTAAATCTAATCCATTTTGATTTAGTTTTTGTATACTGTGAGACATAAGGGTCTAATTTTATTATTCTGCGTGCGGATATCCAGGCTTCCCAGCACCATTTATCAAAGAGACTATGCTTTCTCCAGTGCATGTTCTTGGTACCCTTGTCAAAAATGAATTGACTGTAAATGCGTGAATTTATTTTTGAGTTCTCTATTTTGTTCCGTTGGACACTGTGTGTATTTATGCCCGTACTGTCTGAACATGGTACATATTTAACCCCAGATATTAGGTAGCCATGATAGAGGTATAGATGGCTTATAAAATAAAACTAATTGTCTTTTTTTTTAGATTTAAAAAAAGACTAACAAGAGGAAAAATTTACAGCAGGGGAATGGTTAATGTTTTTAAAACTATTTGGTAAAATTCAGGAGTGTGGATATGAAGAACAGAGAATTTAGGGGCATAAGAATTAGAAAACAAAATAAAAAGAGTATTTATTTTGTATTCTTAAAGTCCACAACAAATCAGGATGCTTACATAAGATTTATATTTTGCACAAACTTTTACAGGTGAAATTTAAATTGATTTCCTTCTTCTCTACAATAAAATGGTGAATAGTTGATTATCATAAAATAAGTCTTTCAGATACTTGGAAACAGTTAAGTATCCTCTTAGCTCTCTTTCTCCAGTACAAAATTACTTATAAACTAACTTATGAATCATGCACGTACCTTTAGAACAAGCACAGTACATAAATTAGCAACTCCCCTTGAGGAATAAACTCATGCATTCTTTTAAAATATATGCGACACTTTCCATTTATATAACATTTTTCTGCCAAGGTGCATGGGGAGCCTCACATATATCATTCTAATAGCAGTACTTTGTTTACATTTAGCATCCTTATAGAAAGAATGCAAACCACTTTGGAGACAAATTCACGCTTTACAACTGCTCTCAGAGATAGGAAAAATTCTCTCTGAATTTAAGAACGTTATTAGTGTTTTCTTTTATAGATTGCCATGGATCAAAATTCAAGACAAAATTCTACAGTGGAAAGTAGGATGAGAAGGAAGGCAGAAAGAACAGAAGGGAAACAGAAGATAAAGTCTCAAAAGAAAAGTAAATACTATATAATTTTTTCCTCACTATCAATTATTTTATCTTCTTTCTGAATCTTATATCTTTCCTGTTTTGGTGATTGCTCTGATTTTTCCATGCCCCCAAACTTACTCCTTCCAGAACTCAGACTCCTTCTCAACTTACATGTCATCACCTTTCATTTCACTGTATAATTTAGAGTGTAACCTCTACTTCCTCAATACTGACTAAATTATATGATCATAGCTCACTACAGCCTCAAAATCCTGGGCTCAAGTTATCCTCCTGGCTCAGCCCACTGAGTAGCCAGGACTACAGGTGCTCACTATAACACCCTGCTCATTAATTCCCTGTACTTCTTGAAACAATCTAATTCAGTTTTCTATCTACTTTCCAGGTCACTCATATCTCTTCTAACCCCCAGGTTCCTTGATTCTCCAGGACAGCCATAATAGATAAAAGACTTTAATAAATGGTAGACATTAAACCCATTAAAAATGAAAAGATTATTCAAAAAATAATGTTGTATGCCGTATTGGATTTCCATTGCTGCTGGAATAAATTACCAAAAAGTTAACCCCTTAAAACAAAACAAATTTATTCTCTCACAGTTCTGTAGGTTAGACCTCTAACACAGTTCTCACAGGGCTAAAATCAAGGTGTCTGCAAGGCTCTGCTCCTTTTTGGAAAGTCTAGGGGAAAATAAATTTCCTAGCTTATTTGAATTATTGGCAGAATTCAGTATCTTACAATAGGACAGAGGTCCCAATTATTTGGCTGGCTGTCAGCTGAGGGCTGTTCCCAACATCTAGCACATTGCTTGGAACATGGTTCCTTCTTCCATCTTCAAAACCAGCAACAGTAGGTCAAGTTCTTCTTGTTTCTCTTCTCTTGATCCAGCTGGGACATTTTCTTTGCTTTTAAGAACTCATATGATTAGACTGGTCCCATTCAGATGATCTCTCTCAAGGTCTGTATCCTGAGTCAACATTTTGCAGGTTCTTTTTGATATGAAAATCACATATTTATAGGTTCTGAAGATGAAGAAGAAAATTTTGGGAAGATAGTGTACTTATTATTCTACCTACCACAAATCTGTTGGTCACCTATTTGAAAAGTCACTTATGACCAACTCCATGCATCCTATTCTAAAAAATGTGCCACATGTGAGTCGTAAAAAAAGAAAAAATGTATATACAGATATTAACTTGAGCCGGGAGATTTCCCAGATAGAGAATACTGGAAACGATAAAGGAAAAGATAGTTTGGTTTGACTTGACTTCTGTAAGATTTTTTTTCTGAATGATTTTAGATCCCTCTATTCCCATGACATTTTCCCCACTCCTGATTGACCCCAGCTGGAAAATGTCATTTATCCCTGAGAAGTGAGTGATCATAACCTTCCTAAAGGAAGTTATGAGATTCTTTTGGTCTTCCTCACACCAAAAACATCCTATTTGCTGAAAATGTGCATGCCAGAATGCATAAAATTTGCTGTTTTTCATTCTCAGGATTTCTTCTGCTTTTCCTCAGAGTGGCTCATCCTCCCAAATTTTATAAAACCTCCTCCCTGTGTAATTGCTTTGAAGCAGTTTCTTTGAAGGATGTCTTCCTTCCTGTATGTCAGCCAGTTTAAAAAAATGCATTTTCCTTCAGATTCCCTTGGACACTTCAAAACTACATATATATATATATGTATACATTAAAACTATGAACACAATTATAAAGCAAATAAAGGCCGGATGCGGTGGCTCACACCTGTAATTTTTAGCAATTTGGGAGGCCAAGGAGGGCGGATCATGAGGTCAAGAGATCGAGACCAGCCTGACCAACATGGGGAAATCGGATCTCTACTAAAAATATAAAAATTAGCTGGACGTGGTGGTGCGTGACTGTAGTCCCAGCTACTCGGGAGGCTGAGGCAGGAAAATCGCTTGAACCCAGGAGGCAGAGGCTGCAGTGAGCCAAGGTCGCGCCACTGCACTCCAGGGTGGCGACACAGCAAGACTCTGTCTCAAAAAAAAAAAAAAAAAAAAAAAAGAAAAGAAAAGAAAAAAGCAAATAAAAATTAATGAAAACTTGCAGCAAATATTCATTTAAAAGTCAACAAACAGATATATTCTTTTCAATTAGTTAGAAAGAAAAACTCAATAAGGCCTATAGAAACAAATGGCAGGTGAATATATATGGTAAAATACCTGGATAAACAATTTCCAGAAAGGAAAATATAAAATCTAAATAACCTATTTTAACATTTGATTCCACTTGTAAACAAAGAAATTCAAATGAAATTAACAAAATTTCATTTTTACTAAAACTGGTAAAACTCAAGAGACATGTTAATTATCAAGTTTAATGAGAATATAGTTAGCAATACTCCCTCATATATTGCTGAAGATGATACAACTATTTTGGTAAAGAATATGACAATGCGTAGGGAAAGAAAGTCTTTGAAAGCATGATTTTATCTCTAGGAACCTATCCCAGAGATATCATCA
The DNA here is from genome assembly GCF_000001405.40 of Homo sapiens. NCBI lineage: Eukaryota > Metazoa > Chordata > Mammalia > Primates > Hominidae > Homo > Homo sapiens. Next base: position 720,222 of record NC_000003.12, on the reverse strand, counting down.
TAAGTGAGGAACATGATTTATGTCCAATATGTGCACTATAGGATTAATAAAAATAGTAAAATATTGGGGGGTGGGGTGAGGACCTCTAATGTTCAAAAATAGAACATGCCCTCCTGCACCCATCCCTAGTCATATTTCTAGAAGCCAACTTATCTTCTTTTTTATGTTAAGGGTGTGCTCGTTCTCCCATGCATTAGCAATCAGAATTTCTGTATCATCTTTGATTTTGTATTTCTATATTTATGTTTCCAAATTATATTGCTCACAGTAACAAAATATTTAGCTTACCATTCCCTTCATTATAATTTTAACAAACTAGTTTAATTCCTGTTTTTTCTCTTATTATAGTCAATCTTGATATCCATACATCTTGCTTTTCCCTTTATCATTTTATACACAATATTTCTATATTAATTTTCTAGACTACAAAAATCCAATGTTTTTGTTCCTTCCATATTAAATACACATTATTCACCCTGGCATGTATGGCCTTCAGTAGTATGTTCTTAATGTTTATTTTTAGCTTTATCACCTATTATTTTCCTTATATTTCTTACAATTATAGATTTAGTGCTGCTCTGTGAAAATATCTGGCACTTTTCTTTTATACATTCTGTATCTTCCCCTTTGACATGTTTAAAGGGGAAGATAGAGTTTGGGTATGAAATGTTTCCCCAGGAAAATTCTCCCTTTGTCATGTTTAAAACCTCTGTTACTAGTTGCTATTCATTAAAATCATATCCTGAAATTAATTGTATTTTTTTCTTTTTTCTTGTTTATTATACTTTAAGTTCTGTGGTACATGTGCAGAACGTGCAGTTTGTTACATAGTTATGCACATGCCATGCTGGTTTGCTGCACCCATCAACCCATCACCTACATTAGGTATTTCTTGTAATGCTGTCCCTCCCCTAGCCCCCAAAACACCCCGACAGGCGCCGGCGTGTGATGTTCCCCGCCCTGTGTCCATGTGTTCTCATTGTTCAGCTCCCACTTACGAGTGAGAACGTGGTGTTTGGTTTTTCTGTTCTTGTGTTAGTTTGCTGAGCATGATGGCTTCCAGCTTCATCCATGTCCCTTCAAAGGACATGAACTCATCCTTTTTTATGGCGTGTCTGTTCATATCCTCTGTCCACTTTTTGATGGGATTGTTTGTTGTTTTCTTGTAAATTTGTTTAAGTTCTTTGTAGATTCTGGATATTAGCGCTTTGTCAGATGGACAGATTGCAAAAATTTTCTCCCATTCTGTAGGTTGCCTATTTAGTCTGAAGATAGTTTCTTTTGCTGTGCAGAAGCTCTTTAGTTTAATTAGATCCCATTTGCCTATTTTGGCTTTTGTTGCCATTGCTTTTGGTGTTTTAGACATGAAGTATTTCCCCACACCTATGTCCTGAATGGTATTGCCTAGGTTTTCTTCTAGGATTTTTATGGTTTTACGTGTTATGTTTAAGTATTTAATCCATCTTGAGTTAATTTTTGTATAAAGTGTAAGGAAGGGGTCCAGTTTCAGTTTTCTGCATATGGCTAACCAGTTTTCCCAACAACAAAGTTAAATAGGGAATCCTTTTCCCATTGCTTGTTTGTGTCGGGTTTGTCAAAGATCAGATGGTTGTAGATGAGTGGTATTGTATCTGTGGCCTCTGTTCTGTTCCATTGGTCTATGTATCTGTTTTGGTACCAGTACCATGCTGTTTTGGTTACCATAGCCTTGTAGTATAGTTTGAAATCAGGGATCTTAATGCCTCCAGCTTTATTCTTTTTGCTTAGGATTGTCTTGGCTATGCAGGCTCTTTGGTTCCATATGAAATTTAAAGCGGTTTTTTCTAATTCTGTGAAGAAAGTCACTGGTAGCTTGATGGGGATAGCATTGAATCTATAAATTACTTTGAGCAGTATGATCATTTTCACAATATTGATTCTTCCTATCTATGAGCATGGAATTTTTTGTTATTTGTTTGTGTCCTCTCTATTTCCTAGAGCAGTGGTTTGCAGTTTTCCTTGAAGAGGTCCTTCACATTCCTTGTAAGTTGTATTCCTAGGTATTTTATTCTCTTAGTAGCAATTGTGAATGGGAATTCACTCATGGTTTGGCTCTCTGTTTGTCTGTTATTTGTGTATAGAAAAGCTTGTGATTTTTGCACATTGATTTTGTGTCCTGAGACTTTGCTGAAGTTGCTTATCAGCTTAAGGAGATTTTGGACTGAGATGTTGGAGTTTTCTAAATATACAATCATGTCATCTGCAAACAGAGACAATTTGACTTCCTCTCTTCCTTTATTTCTTTCTCTTGTCTGATTGCCCCGGCCAGAACTCCCAATACTATGTTGAATAGGAGGGGCATTTTTAAAGTAATATTATGGGCATTCAACAAATGCCCAAAGTGTTCCCAGTCCCCTTAAAGAAATGTCTTTTCTCCCTCCCTTGAATACACACTTTTTATTGTTTTTTTTTAGAGGTGAAGTACCTAACTGTCATATACGTTTGTATATTCCTCTAATTCCCTTTATTAAATCTTAAAGTCATTATGAATAAGGATGTTGGGGTAATGTACACTATTCAATAAATGATTGTGGTGTTGTGATGTACCTCTACTTCGCTCGTAATCATACACAGAAAAAAATGAAGATTGAGGCTGAACCACTTGTTCTGTTTTTGTTTTTGTTTTGTACTGTGTCCGTCTTTAGTTTAGATTTGTGTGATCAAAGACTAGCCTAGGAGATTCAATTTCCTAGATGCAAATTTTAAGTTCCTCAGCAAAATGCTTATTGCTCTGGAAGAGAAAGGCACACACTACTGCCACTGCAGTTGGGAGTCAAAATCAAATTCATAGACACCTCTGTGGTTTAACCATGCCCCAAATTACACTTTTAAAGAAATTACAGTATTACACACGTATTAATGCTTATATCCTGAAAAGTACACCTGCAGTTTTCCAGCATCCCAGTTTGTCTCAGCCATTTTCTTTTGAAGTCTGTTACAGAGAAGGTTTACCTGATACAGTTCTTCAGGCAATTGTTTTTCTTTGGAGCCCAACATCATACTACAAACTACTTTAAAATGTTGCTGAAAGTAATAAATCATTAATTTAAAATGAATCTTCATTACAAAAGCTTGAATGTACTTGAAGTATCTGAGAAACTCTTGACGTTATGAATATATAAAACCTCAGAGCTACTCATTTTATAAATATAAATCATTAAATTTTAATCAAAAGAAGATTTCTTCAAGGCAGGTTCCTAAATGTTTTATATCTGATATTCAGTGAAAGGTTTGCTGTTTTTGACTGCTGTATCCTTGATGCCCTGCTCATTCTATTTACCTTAGTCTCAGATACTATTTCAGCTTGTGTATATAATTGATTTTATGGAACTTAAAATCCTAACCTTGCATCCAGCATGACTTATACAGAAAACACAGCAGCTCATCTATTTTGTTCTCAATTTACATGGTTACTTAATTATTTTTTAAAACATACCCTTGAACTTCCAAAAGAGAACTTTGGAAAGAATAGTTTGAGATGAGATTGCTTTTTAAAGTTTGGGTGAGTTATAGGATCTCATAAGATTCATCTAGCAGGAGAAAGCATTGAAATTGTCAAGGTTTTCTATTTCAGGTGATAAAAAGCCACATTTGCTTAGTATTTTCAGAATAATACTATTTTATTACCAAGAATGTAGACAATTATTTATTCTAAAAGACGTACCTTAAAGTCACATATTTGCAGCCAATTTCTTAATTGATATATGGAGTGTAGTTACAAATATTTAAACATATTTTTATACATTTTTAAGTCCATTAAAATACATAATAATACAGACAGCTTATAGGAAATATTTTCCATATTTCATCTTTATATAAAATGTTTTGTTTTACAGAATTCTCCTTTTAATGATGCATGAAATGGAAAGACCAGAAAACCAAAAACATAAAAGCTTTAAAAATTAATTGAAAAATAACTGCTATAATATTAGACTATCCAATGAACACCATAGACTTAAAACTATTATTACATGAATACACATCCATGATTGTAAGTAACTCTAGAATTTTAAAACTGTTCACAATGTAGCTATACACTAAATAAAACTTTATTTTTTATGCTGATTTGAATATTTTCTCATAAAAGGTCAGCATATATGGCCCTAATTAATTTTGTAAATACACAGAGGCTATAAAACCAAAGGCAAAATGAACTGCGCGTACGCACTCTAGTTGGGAAAGTTGTTTCCCATGGGGATACAAGTAAACAATTCAGGAACCCATATACATGTATACAAGAACTGAGCAAGTAAGTAAATCAATGGCAGCTAGCAAGGGATAGGTTTCGCTCATTGTTGGGATGGGAATTAGAAACATGAAAGGGAGAACAACTTAGAATAAGCCATGTTATAATGAATTACAGTAGAAGGTATCAGTACAATTCACGTTTAGCATGATACACAGGGAATTATTTTTGATATGTGTACACACGTGAGCTAGTATACACATATACATCTCTTTCTCCATCATCTGAGGGGACATAGAAGGAACAACACCCTGGTAGCAGTGAGCACCTCTAGCACCCAGATCTTGGCTTCTCGACTAAAAGGAACTAGAACCCCTTGGAGAAATGGTTGATTTGGGAGCTTGGACAGGGAATACATAAGATTATCCTGGGATAGTTTGTATTCCCAGAGAACAAGTGCTAGAAATAAAGCAAAAATAAACTAACCAACAGAAAACAACAATGGGGATATGTCAAAAGGACACAGTAGTCAACTGAAAGAGCTTCTAATGGCTGTAGCTAGCACAATATGAGCAACGAAACTTAAAATGTGCTATTAGATTATAACCCAAAGTATAAAATATCTGAGTCCATAGTGATATAAATTAATGATTAAATTAATGCATAAATAAACAAATGAAGGAAATAGACAAATCCTCTGTTTACTCCAAATAATTTGTGTAGGTGTTCCCCACTAAACAAGGCAGGGCATAACTCCCCACTCTAAGCTTCACATAGTGACTTCCTCCTAAAAAGTATTTTACAGACAAGGCAGGAAAGAATAACTTCACAGTGGACAAATCTGACAAACACTAAGTCAGTTAAGTAATAAAAGTCAACAACAACAGTGATTTGTCATGTTGATAGCATATGGTCTCGATATGATGTGATGAGAACGGCACTTTATCTCTGTAGTCTCTCTCCTAAAAACACATGACCCCAGTCTAATCATAAGAAAATATCAGATAAATCCTAAATGAGAGTTATTCTACAAAATAGTTGACCAATAGTCCTCAAAGTCATCAGGGTTATCAATACCAAGGAAAGTCTATGAAACTGTCACAGACTAGAGGAGCCCGAGGAGACACGATGACTATACGTAAACATGGTATCTTGGATGAAATGCTGGCACAGAAAAAGATCACAATGCCGTACTAATGCAAGATGCTAACAACAGGGAATATACTGGGTGGGTGGAGGGTACATGAGAACTCGCTGTACTACTAACTTTTTTCTAACTCTAAATCTGTTCTAAATAAAAAGTTTATTTACAGTTAATGATGAACCATTTGGGTTATGGAAATTGTCTTGATTCTCATGTTGTTTACATGAGTTTATAAGAATTCATAAAACTGAACAAATAAGAAGGTAAAATTTATTCTATGTAAATTATATATATATCCCAATAAAGTTAACTTTTTTAAAATGAGAAAAAAAGAGGGTTCTCATAGCATGTGGCTCTCAGGAATGCTGTGAATGCAATAAAGACCTCAGAATATAATCCTCTTTAGATAAGAATGATGAACAACAACAAAAAAGGGGTAACGCTTTGTTGCATGACCTGGAGTGCACTATGGCAGTGATTAGATCCTAGAACTTTCAACTGATTTTGAATACATCACATATAGACTTAATTGTCCGGGACTAATTTCAAGTACTATCCATTCATTTTACATACACTGCAATGCAGAGAAATGCTTAAGAATACAGTGATAAAGCCCATTTCCCCTTAGATTTGAGTTTCAGTTCTGGCACTTACTAGCTGTGCAAACTTGGGCAACTCATCTTAATCATCAAAGCCTCAAGTTCCATAACAGCACAATGAGCATAATACTACTAGGATTGTGCCAGCCTGGCCAACATGATGAAACCCCATTTCTACTAAAAATATGAAAACATTAGCCAGGCGTGGTGGTGCACACCTGTAATCCCAGCTATCCAGGAGGCTGAGGCACAAGAATTGCTTGAACCCAAAGAAGTGGAGGTTGCAGTGAGCCGAGATCGCATTGTTGCACTCCAGCCTAGATGACGGAGTGAGTCTCTGTCTCAAAAACAAACAAACAAAAAAAAAAAACTTAGGTCGTAGACTATTTGAAGGATTAAATCAGATAAATCAAGTTTAGAGCTAAGTATCATGCATAAATTGGAGGAAGTGCTCTATTAATGACAGAGCACCGTGATGTTTATTATGTTGTAATGTTAAGTTTGTAATCGTGTGAGTATGTATAATGGTAAGTAGGGAAGCAGAGCAGTGTGAAACACCAATTAAAGGATAGGCCAACCACTTCTAATAGTTCTCACAATATAGCCTGCTTCTTACCCTGGTTTCTGATGTAATATTTAGCTAAGGACTGCTCTGCTAAATGCATGCTGGTCAGGTGGTAACAATCCCATTTCTGTTTGGGAGAATAAACAGCCGAATTAGTGAACTTTTACAATGACCAATTTGCTTCTCCTGGAAATCTAGACTAAAGGGCTCACTTACTGGTTTTTACCGACACAAAGGAAACTATTTTTTCCTTTCTGATAAATTGTGTAACTCAAAGGTCAATAATAGTGTCATGCATCACAAGTCCCTTCTCATGCCTCACAGTGCCTCAGGGCACACATTCTAATGTGATCTGTCAGCCCCTACCTAACAGATTTAGTACTTACTTGTAATATAGTAATAGCTTCATTTTTAGATTTTGCTTTCTTCTCAAATAGCACTAAGAAATTGATTGCCAGCTCACTGAGTTGAGAATGGAAGCAGATTGTTGAGCATGAATTACGATCACGAAAATAGCATCAAGATTGCAGATTTGAATATGATAAATACGAGATAAGTTACAAAGAAGGTGGGGAGCTAGTCAGGGTGGCTTTACTGTTAGAAATGGAAGAGATGGGGCTTTCTAATATGTTTTAACCTTCAGAAAGAGTTGCCAAAGCATGTAATAAGACATTTCTATCTACCTCAAAATGTGAACGTTTGTTTTTCCTTCTTTACAAAAGTATAGTGGTTTTCACAGGTCTTTAAAATTTAAATGAAAACAAGCAGATCGTCATTTAATCTACATTAAGTAAAAGAGAAGAACATATATTGGTTAGGGAATTAAAAGATCTATATTCATATTCTGCCTTCATTACACTACCAGTATAACATCATAAATGGTAAAGTCGTTTCACCTGTCTAAATTAGCAGGCCTTTTACAGTCTGTATCAGAAGGATTTTGTGAGATTTAAATCAGTGAACAGTGTTTGGGAAATGACATTACACAATCATAATAAAGCATTATGGCTCATTAACCTAAATTTGAATCAAAATTCTACCACTTTCTAACTGTACACATTTAGAAAAAATTATTCAAATTCTCAGTTTCTTAATTCATACAACAGAATTCATAACCACTTCACTATGTTGTTTAAGGATCAAATAGGACAAATAGGAGAAAATAGAACGTTGTGAGAGTTCATTAACTATTATTTATTATTATTTAAATTACAGATCCATTATTCACCTTTGAGTATCTTTCTTTAGAATACGGAAAACTTGACAATATCTAACACACACTATTATAGGTTCCGATGTTTTTAAAGTTCAGACCCTAAACAGTGTTTTAAAAGGACAGTGTGGCAATATATTTTGTGGATATCAGAGAATTTCTAAAGTTTACATGGAGAGGCAAAAGACTCAGAATAGCTGACAATACTGAAGGAGAAGAACAAAGTTGGAGGCCTAACACTACCTTACTTTAAAGATAATAGACAAATAGATCAATGGAACAGAATAGAAAGCTGAGAAACAACCTGCACAAATAAATTCAATTGATCTTTGAAAGTAGCAAAAGCATTACAATAGAGAAACATAGTCTTTTAAACAAATGGCCCTGGAACAACCGGACCTACAAGTACAAAAAAATGAATCTGGACATAGACCTTACACCCTTCACGGAAACTAACTTAAAATGGACCATCGAGCCAAATGTAAAATGCAAAGCCATAAAACTCCTATAAGATAATACAAGAGAAAAATATAAATTACCGTGGGTGTTGCAATGACTTTTTAGATGTAACACTAAAGGCACAGTCCATGAAACAAAGAGTTGATATGCTGGACTTCATAAAATTAAAAACTTCTACTCTGAAAAAGACAGTGTCGAGAGAGTGAGAAGACAAACCACAGACTAAGTGAAAATATTTGCAAAAGACATACCTGATACAGGACTGTTATTCAAAGTATACAAAGATATCTTAAAACTCAACAATGAGAAAATGAACAACCTGATTAAAAAATAGACAAAACACCTTACTTTAAAACTATCACTAAAAAAGATATACAGATAGCAAATAAGCGTATGGGAAGATGCTTAACATCATATGTCATTAGGAAATTACAAATTAAAACAAAAAGGAGATACCATTAGGGATCTATTAAAATGGCAAATGTACAAAACAGTGACAACATCGAAAGCTGGTGAGGAGGTAGAGCAATAGGAATTCTCATTTGTCAATGGTGGGAATGGAAAACGGTTCAGCCACTTTGAAAGAGAGTTTGGCAGCTCCTTACAAAACTAAATATGTTCTTACCATAGAATATAGTAATTGTGCGCTTTGGGATTTACCCAACTTTGTTAAAAAACTATGTCCACTAGATAAACTCCACATATATGTTTATAGCAGCTTTATTCATAATTGCCAAAACTTGGAAGAAATAAAGTTGTTCTTCATTCAGTGAAAGGATAAACTACATGAACATTCAGAAAAAAATTAGCTAAGAATCCGTGAAAGGACGTGGAGGACACTTAAATGTGTATTACTCAGTGAAAGAAGCCAATCTGAAAAGGCTACATACTGTATGATTCCAACTATATGATATTCTGGAAAAGGCAAAACTATGAAGACTGTAAAAAGATCAGTGGTTTCCAGTCATTAGGGGAGAGAAAGAAATGAATAGGCAGAGAACAGAGGATCTTTAGGGCACTGAAACATTTTTCCGATACAGCGATGGTGGATACATGTCATTATACATTTGCCAAAATTCATAGAACACACAACACCAAGACTGAACCCTAATGTAAACCATAGACTTTGAGTGATAATGATGCCTCAGTGTAGCTTCATCAATTGTAATAAATCTGCCACTCTGGTGTGAGACTCTCACAGTCAGCCAGCCTGTGGGTATTCAGGGGCAGGGAGCCCATAGGAGATCTCTGTATTTTCCCTCAACTTTTCTGTGAAACTAAAACTGTTCCAAAAGAAATAATCTATTTTAAAAAGAGTTGGAGTGTGTACATCACCTGCATTAGAATCAACTCATGACAATTTTACTAGTTTTTAATGCAGACTCAAACCTTACCCCAGACCTACAGAAACTCAATCTTCTGACCTGAGATTAGATAATCTGAATTTTTAATGAGCTTCCCAGATGATTTTCATGAATAGGGTAGCCATATAATTTATCACCCAAAGTGGAGATTCTGAGAATAGCAGGAAGTACTGTGAATAATTACACCAGGACTCACTTAAGGCAAACTAGCATGTGTGGTTGCCCCACTTAAGAATATGAACCTGAGAAGTGCTGCCGACAACAAGGGTTCTCATTCCCAGATGCACACTGGAATCACCGGGGGTGCTTTTAAAAATAATATTTATACTCAGGTCCTCTCCAAAGCAATTAAATCAGACACCAGCATTTTAAAATAGCCCCCCCAATAGATGATTCTAAGTGGAATTATCTGATTCTTATTAAATCCATGTTTATCTTCAAAAGAAAAAAAGGAAGAAAGATTTGTTAGAAAAATAAAAATGATATTGTCACATAAAAAAAGTCTGGGGACTACCAGAGAGTGGAGGGAGGGAGGAAGGGAAAGGTTGGAAAACTACCTACTGGTACTTTACTCAGTGCCTGGTCATTCATACCCCAAACCTCAGCATCATGCAATATGCCCAGGTAACCAACCTGCACATGTACCCCCTGAATCTAAAATAAAAAAATAAAGTCAGGATCATCTTGCCCAAAGTTATTAGGTGCTTCCAATAGCTCATAAACCTAATGTATGTAAATCAGGAGAATATAATTTTAATACAGTACGGCCAGAAGGTGCCTGTGGTTACCTGAGCTTCATGGGCTGAGGTAACAGGAACGACATAAATCTGCCTTCTAGAATCAGAAGAAAACATCTGGGAGCAATGGCACTGAATAAAGAAGACCTCCTTTGCTCAGATAAATCACTTTTTCAGGCCTCTGTGGAGATCTGTGGCAAGAGAAACAGAAGGGCTGTTGATTGAAGGTGTACGGTTAAAAAGGAGACAGAGAATTACTCATAGGTGTGAAGCCAAGTTTCTCAAGGAAGCGAAGAGCCTCATGGAGAAGCAGATGGGAAAGAGGAAATGGTAGAGGTGGCTGCTTCCAAAGGGAGCTCATGATCACTTCATAAGGCCTGACATTGAGTTTCAGAGTCACGCAGCACCCGGGGGCATGAGTGAGTTCAGAAACTCTTAGCTCTGGTGTGAGGTTTGGTGATTACCTAGTAAAATCTAGTCCTTGACTTCTAGTCTCTTAAGTAATATCTCTCTTCTCTTGTCCACCTAGGGTCAAACAATGGAAATATGTCTGAAATTGTAGGTGGTTTGAGGGTGGAATTTACGATAGGGAATAGAGAGGGCAAGAAAATTGGGCATTACCCTTAAGACCAGCTTTGAAGAAAAGCAAAGGTGGGTTCGAATGTTGACTCTACCATGTATAAGCTATGGGGTTCTTAGCCTTTTGTTTTCTCTGTGGCAAAACGGTTAAATTGACCTCTAGCACAAAGTTGTTGAAAGGGTTGAGATAAGCCATAAAAAGTGAATGGCATCACGGATGCTTAGCTAATTAACAGTATTGCTATTCCTAAATAAGAAAAACACTTCGGGAATCTGAGAGTGATTTAACAGAAAAGACCAAAGCGTCACCAAGTGTATAGAAAGTAACTTGACAGGTCAGGCATGGTGGCTCATGCCTGTAATCCCAGCACTTCGGGAGGCCGACGCGGGTGGATCACCTGATGTCAGGAGTTTGAGACCAGCCTGGCCAACATGGCGAAGCCTCATCTCTACTAAAAATACAAAAATTAGCCAGGCGTGGTGGTGTGCGTCTGAATCCCAGCTACTAGGGACGCTGAGGCAGGAGAACTGCTTGAACCTGGGAGGTGGAGTTTGCAGTGAGCTGAGATTGCGCCACTGCACTCCAGCCTAGGCAACAGAGCCAGATTCCACCTCAAAAAAAAAAAAGTAACGTGACAATCAAGAATATGAAATGAACAGGAGATGTCAGTGCCCAGAGATCTGAACTAACAGCTCAAGGAAGACTTCCTCAGATAAAAAAATAATTGAGTGCTCATAACTACACCATCCAAGTGGTGAATGTACAATCTTAGGAAGTAGAAGAATGAAGTTACCAGTTGATTATAACACAAAGGGTCTGTGAAAAATGTATATTTAGAAAGCAGTATGTCAAAATGATTCTGACTTATTTTTCATTATTGTTTTAGGACTCTAAATTGATTTATGGCTAACAGTTTAATGTGTTAAACACAAGTATTTTGAGATCCACGGGCAAAAACCTTTTCTGTTATCAAAAGACCTATCAGGGAAAATGATTCATTTAGAAGTATTTTCTTAGAAATTTATGTGCTAAAGGGTCTGAGAAGGCAAGCAGCAAAACTTCATAAAGCGCTTACCAAACCTTGGGCCCCAGCATGCTCTTTTCAAGCAATGCTTACGTATTTCTCAAGCACTAGGATACCTGGGGCCATTACTTTAGAAGGAACCCAGTAGGTCATCGGGTCTAGATCATTCATTTGACAATTGAGTTTCTCTACCTAGATTTAGGAAAATTTATTCTAAAACTGCATCATTAGCTTTAACCGTAAGTTCTGTCAAATCAACATAGAGACAATTTTTTTTCATTATTTTTGTGTTTTACAATAGAATTCATTTTGCATAAAAGTGGCCCATATAACTCAGCACTATTTAGAGTAGCATATGGCTGCTTATTTTTCTTCTACCCTTAAATATTTCTGTACTTCTTTATACAAACCTTTGTAAAAAACCAGGCTGGCTTTCTATATAAACTGAATTTTTTGAGAATATCCTAGTCTTCTATTTTTTATATGCCTTGATTTAGCATATTCATATTCATTATCTCTATTGATGCACTTAACATGTCAACAGCATAATATGTTTTTTCTTCTAATATGTAAAATTGGCATTTTTTATGAAGTTGCCAGAATTTTTCTTAAGTATTCGTTTTCATCTCATTTATAATTGGCAGAATTTCTCACTTCATACAATTTAGAGATGAAAGACTTTTCATTATTCTTTATGGTAAATGAAACAGCTTTCTGTGAGTTTCTAGATCTCACTTATTACATCCATTAGTTTGGGAGATTTTCATTTGCTTGGTTTGACAATTATGCTCATATAATCTTCTCAAGAAATATTCTGCTTAGTTGCAAAGAAGGAGCTAATATAATAGAGCTTCTGTCTTGAACAATGCTATTTCTATTTAATTAGATGTATTTGAATTTTTCCCCAATTAACAATTTCTCAGATATTTTTATCCTATTCTCTTATTCCACTGCCTAATCTGCTGAAAATATGGGCAACACCTGCTACTTCCATTGCTCATTTGTAACTCTGTTAATAGGTCTTTGTCCTTTGTACTGACACTGCGTATCTACGCAAACAATGAGCTTCTATGTTTGTTTCCTATTGCTACTGTAACAAATTGGTACAACTCAGTGGATTAAAACAACACCAACTTATTTTCCTACAGTTCTGTAACTTACAGTTCTGTAAAACTTATTTTCTCAGAAGTCCAAATTGGATCTCACTGAGCTAAAATCAAAGTGTCAGCAGGTCTCTGTTCCTTTCTAGTAAATTCATTCCCTTGCTTTTCCAACCTCTAGAGTCAGCCTGCATCTTTTGGCTTCTGAAACCTTCCATCTTCAAAGCTAGCCAACCAAGCCTTTCTCACCTTGAACCAGTCTGATGACTCTTCTGCTGCCCTCTTTCACATTCTTTCACATATAAAGGACCCTTACGATTACATTTGTCCCATTTGGATAATTCAGAACAGTCTCTCTATTTTTAAAGTGAGTTGATTATCAACCTTAAGTCCATCTGCAACCTTAATTCTCCCTTGTCATTTAGCATAACATAAACACTAATTTCAAGAATTAGAATGTGGGAATCTTTGGAGGCCATTATTTTGCCTACCTCAATTTTTTATCACCAAATTTAGTCACCTTTATCCCCTTCCTCTTAGACTTTCTTCACCTAAATTGATTTCCTTTCTCTTATAATTCTCTAGTGGATATATTCTCTTCATTCGTATATTGTTATATATCTTTTGCCATTCATGATAATTCTTCCTCTGTTTTTGGAATTCAGTTGTGGATGTTCTCTGAGATTTTCTTTAATATTCCAATCTCCTTCCCTTATATTTTCTTTTTTGAAGAAATTCTATATTTCTTCATATGAAGATATGATTTTTCTCTCTAATGTGGACAATCCCAAAATTTATATTTTTACTCCTGTTTTCTCTCTTGAAACGAAATCCTATATCTTATAAATTCTGTTGGATAACTTCTTTTGGTTATTCTGCAGTCATTCTCCAGTTTCATAGCTGTGTCTCTTTAGGGCCCAGAGATAACTTAAAAGAAGACAAGAAACTGAGGTCAGAATCTCAAAATAGCTTATTGATAGAATTGAATCTAGAGCAGCACAGGATATTACCGTTTAACTCAAACATTTATTTAGGATAAATATTTTAATATTTCCATCTGTCTCTGCACAATTCTTTACAAGCAACATAACATCCCAAGGTATAAGTTAGGGGGTAAATAGGAACATTTCAATCAGGGATGAGAAACGTTGTCTTGCCCCAGCTTACTTTTCCCCTTCATTCAGAAATGTTTGTCTTTCGAATATCCGGATTTCTTCACATTGTGTACTCATAATATGTCATATTCTACTAAAAAACACTAAAGTATTCAGGTGCATTAGTTTGTTCTCATGCTGCTAACAGACATATCTGAGACTGGGTAATTTATAAAGCAAAAGAGGGTTAATGGACTCACAGTTTCACATGGCTGGAGAGGCCTCAAAATCATGGTGGAAGGCGAAGGAGGAGCAAAGGCACATCTTAACATGGTGGCAGGCAAGAGAGCTTGTACAGGGGAACTCCCATTTATAAAACCATCAGATCTCATGAGATTTACTCACTAACATGAGGCCAGTATGGGGGAAACTGCCCTCATGATTCCTGGGTCCCTCCCATAACATGTAGGGATTATGGAAACTACAATTCAAGATGAGATTTGGATGGGGACACAGCTGAACCATATCACCAGGATTCACTAATTATCTTGATGTTTAATTCTCTCTTGCATGTCAACCATCAAAAGATAAGAAAAATACTAACCAAGACATGATTTTGCATAGCATGTAGATGAAAGCTGACATAATCCATGCCAAAGGAAGTTTTTTTTTTTTTTTTTAAATCACCTTTTAACTCTTTACTGAGTTAGAAAATGCAAGATGGAAAGCTGGAACATGATGCAACCATCAGCAAGTTTTGATACCAGACAATTTAGGTGGAGGCATCAGAATAAGTCCACAATTTTAAAGCTCCTAAATTATTTGCAATATTCTTCCACAAACAATCTCACTGTCTTGATTTGGTCAGTTAAAGTATTAATCAGTGTGACATTTTATCTTCTTATTCAGACATGGACTCTCTTGCCAGTTTTTACTACTTTCTTTCAACCTCCTTTTTCCTCCTCATCCACATCCATTAATCATCATGTCCTATGAATTAATTACTTCTCTTGGTGGCTTCCTTTTACATAGATCCCTTCATTCTAATTTTTAATTATTTTTCAAAATTGAGATATCACAATAGCTGGTCAATTGATTCCCTTGCCTCTATCATTTTTCCTTATCTTTCAAATAAAGTCTAAATATGATTGTCAACTAATTTTTGTAATGCACCAATTCTTCATTGTTCTACTTTAAAAATCTTTAGTGGCTCCCCAGTATTTAGAGTATAAAGCTCCAAATATTTAGACTGTTGTTTGTGAGTTTTCGCAATTGCTCAGAATTACCTTCATAATTTCATTTGTCATTATCAAATTATAGCAACTGCGTTCTTTAGATTATTACAAAGTTCCTGTAAAAGCAAATCAAAGAAAACAAATTAAAAATAAAACATGTTCCAGCAAATTGGGAGAAATAAAGATCTCAGAAAAATTAGACAGGCTTCTTTACTTGGGTATACTAATATGTATTATGAAAATTCAAGGTGTCATTCTGATAAGCAGGGATTTCTGTACATTTAATTTAAAAAGCTTATTTTGTTCACCAAACACTATTGACATTTTTGAGTGATGCTAGTATTCCAAGGAAAAAAAATTGAGAAATCGTCTCCACTGTACACTTGACTGGTTTCACCTCTTTGTGCCCTGCATGATCTGCTGATTCCTGAGGTGCCTGCAGTTTGATGCAGCTGGTTTGTCTTCACAGTCACTTCTTCCCGCTTATTAGTTGCCTGTAGACTCCCATCTTGGGAACAACATAAAATCCTACTTAAATGAGCAGCAGTAAAAAGTTATTTGTTTTTTTAACCATAAAACTCTTAGACTTTGACTCAGTACTACCCTAACACACTCTGGTGGTTTAAAAAGAGCCTTACTCTCTCTCACTGTTAATCACTGGATGTTAAAGCTTCGGTGAATACCATTTTAAAAGCAAGTACCAAGTAAACAGGCATAATTTTGAGAAAATAAAATCAAGGATATTATATAAGTCAAACTGAAATTGACTATAGAGATTGTTATCTCACACACAGGGAATACATATCATATCTTTAGGTCCTTAGGCAATATGGAGCCTACAGAATTACTAATGATAACTACTATTCACTGTGCTGAATGCCTACTATGTGTGAGAACTGTGCTATTGTCTTTGGTCTTTGCTAACATTATTTAATTCTTATAAAAATCCCATAAAATCAGTAACATTGTCTTCATTTTACAGAATTACAATGAAAAATAATGGTTCATTAATTTACTAAAAGTCACACAACTACTAAATAGTAGAGTGGACTATGTCTTTACCATTTTTTAAACCACCAAGATTCACCAAGTGCTGAGTTTTGGCCCTCCACTATTGAAGAGGTACAAGGAGATTCTGGTGATAATTCAGAAGAGAGTTCAAATTATGATACAAAGAAAATATATGAAAAGGCTAAACAAATATTTATCTAGCTAGAAAAGGAAGGGAAAAAATTAGAGAAGAAGTAAGCATACCATACATCCAGCAATGGTGCCAAAAGAGTATAGTTTTAACAGTCATAGTTGTCAGTTGCTGCAGTAATTGACTATGGCAGAATTAGCCAAAGAGAATCCATTGAATGGATGTTTGATTGATCAGAGTACTATCAGGAAGTCCAGAGAACTGAACTCAAAGATGGAGAGGATTAAGAAAAAATAGGCAGCCAAGAAGACCACAATAAAAATCTTTTCATAAAACTAAATCAGTGAGGATAACTACATTTAGTTTCTGAAGAGCATATGCCACAGACTTCAAAGCTATAGCTACCGCAGTGATCCATTTACCCTGTTGCTTCTGAAAGTCACATGTTTAGGCTGCCACTGTCTACCTCTGCAGTAGATACTCAGTCAATCCTTCAGCTTGGTGATTCTTTGCACCATCACCTCCTAATTTCAAGATCAGTTGGAAGCATCCCATTGACTGACATTGCCCTAGTTTCAAGGGATGAATAAAACGTTGGTATGTGCTAATTTCAACTTCTACAGAGTCAATCTCTGCCATCTACTTACTCTTAAAGTGGTGAATTATCCAAAAAAAGATATATGGTATAGATGCTAAGTGATGAAAAAAAGTAACAAACATCCTTTACACTACATGCTGTCTTATGACTTCTATTTATGTAAAATCTAGTACAGAATCCATGGGTCTAAGTTGCAGCCACCACTTGAGGGATGTGGATAATTCATTCCACTCTGTTAACACTGTGATCTTCTAATACATGTTTACAAATCAGTAATTTTGAACTTAGAAACAATTAATAAGTAGCTAAGCTAACTCTAGCTTACACTTAAGATAAAATTAAGTTTTTATTAAAAGGGATTTTTTTAAACATTTATATAGTACAAATATAATTTAAACAAATAAATGCAAATATGACAGACAAAAAATACTTTGAAAAACTTACAGAAAGTGTGTAAAAGCTAATATTATATAAACCAACTTCAAAAATATTTAATAATTCTCTTCACCCTGAGATGTCAACCTTTTACATACAGTGAACAAATATTTAATGAATAATTTTTGTATAAAAAGCACTTAAAATGGGTTATGAATGTAAATAGAAAGAAATGTGAAAGACAAACATGAATGTTTCACTCAAAGAGCATACTTTTAGGGAAACCGAAAAATAAAAAATGATGAGTATCACAAGAAAGATTCAAATAAAATAATGCACAGGAATTAATTTTACATGGTAGAGTTAGAAAAGGCTGCATAAAATGTGGCATCTAAGAGAAATCCTAAAATGCATACAATTCAAATTAGAAGCAACAGAGAATTCAAGGCAGTGCAAACAGCATGTGGAAGGCATAAAGTAGGAGCTTGTGTGAGGCTCAATAAATATCTCCATATAGCTAAAGAATAGTGTTGCAAGGAGTTACTGAAAACAAGATTAGAGTCACATTGTCTTGGCCTTTGAATAGCTTGTTAATGAATTTGTATTCCAAGCTTCCAGAAAATGGTGGATAAGAGATAAGACTAAGGTGCAGCTCCCACTTGGATGGACAGAACAGCATGTGGAGGACTCGCATTGTGAACTTTTGCTCCAAAACCACTGCAGGAACATATCAGGAAAACCCAAAAAAGTCACAGACCCTTTGAAAGAAGTAGCTTGCTGCTGCAAACTTTGAAAGACAGCTGAAAAAAAACGTGTTTCCAGAGTGAAAGGAGAAAAAGTCTGATCCCAAACACATCCCAAATGGGGAACCTAAAGGTCCAGGTCACAGGAGAAGGATTTAACCTTACCTAGAGCTGAAATGGATTTAGGAATCAGAGTGAAATATAAAAGCAGAAGAAGCAGCAGGAAGAGCCCTGTAGGTACTACCAGTCCCCGTAGGTACTACCAGTCCCCACCTTGAGCCCAGGGAAGCCATTCCTGGTTTTACCTCACAGGGGTCCTTGGGGAAGGCAGCCAGAAGAATTTAGAAGGTGTCACAGGTTGAAGAAAACTTCGAGCTGAACTTCTTAATAATTTTGACCGAGCACAACTTTTTCTGAGCAGACTCTGGGTGGGGGTGGGGTGAACAGTAAGTGCAGATATGAGTGTAGAAGCCACAGCTGATGGTACAGGCAGGTGGGGAGAGGTGAGGCCTGAGAGCCTTGCTTGTTTTCTCAGTGGGGATGCTTGTAGCCTGGGGTGAGATCTCAGCCCTGCTCTCAGGCTGCTTGGATATAAACTCAGCGCTGTTGGTGGTGATTGGTAGTACTGAGACTGGCCTTTCTGGCTGCGTGGGAGCTGGGTGAGGCCACTTCCAGGCGACTTGTATGATGCAGCAGAGGCAGGCATAATCCCCCCAAGGAACACAATTCTATTGGCCAGAAAACCATTCTCCCATCCTCCACAGTGACTGCAGCAAGCCCCACCCAAGGAGAGTCTGAGCTCAGAGCAGCCTAACCCTGTACCCAACTGATATCTTCTCTTTACCAGCCCTGGTAGCTGAAGACAAACAAACAAACAAACAAACAAACAAAAAAACCTCTTTGGAGCTCTATGGCCCTTGCTATCACCTGAGAAACCCAAGTACTTACCCTGGCCAACATAGGGCCAGGAATATACAGGAATATACACTTGTATACTCCCCTTCTGCTAACAGAGCTGGTGCTCTCTTGAAATTAATACCTCCTGGATGGAGGCCAACCAACTCAAGCCATTATTGTAACTCATAACAGAACAAGCTTGCTCCAAAGAAGGAGAACAGCCAATTCCACCTCCTGCAACACCCTGGCTAACCAGAGGTCATAAGTCTGTCCATGTGACAACTACACATAACCACCGACCAAGAAAAGCAGTGCGCTAAACAAAACTACAACCAAGGACTCCCACAAAGTCCACTTCACTCCCTTCCCACCTCCACCAGTATAGGTGCTGGTAGTAGCTTGGAGACCTGAAGATGAATCACATCACAGGAATCTTTGCAGACATTCCCCAGCACCAGTCTGTAGCCCAGTAGCCCTGCTGGGTGGCTAGACCCAGAAAGGCAACAACAACCATTGCAGTGTGGCTCTCAGAAAGCTCTATCCCTAGGGAAAGGAGGAGAGCACCACATCAAGGGGTCACCCCATGAAAAAAGAAATCTGAACAGAAGCCCTTGAGTTCCAGATCTTTTCACTGACACAGTCTACCCTAATGAGAAGAAACCACAAAAGTAATTTGGGTAACATGACAAAACAAGGTTCTGTAACACTCCCAAAAGATCACACTAGCTATCCAGCAATGGATCCAAACCAAGAGGAAATCTCTGAATTGCCAGATAAAGAATTAAGAAGGCTGAATATTTAGTTGCTCAAGAAGGTACCAGAGCAAGGTGAAAACCAACTTAAAGAAACTTAAAAAACAATATAGGATACGAATGAAAAAGTTTCCATAGAAATTGATATTTTAAAGAAAAGACAATCACAACTTTTTAAAATGAAAGATACACTTAGAGAAATGCAAAATACACTGGACAGTTTCAAAGATAGAATATAACAAGTAGAAGAAGATCTTCCGAGGTCAAAACAAGGCTTTCAAATAAACCCAATCCAACAGTGATAAAGAAATAAAAAATAAAAAAATAAAGCCCCCAAGAAATTAGGGATTATGTTAAACAACCAAACATAAGAATAATTGGTGTTCCTGGGAAAGAAGAGAAATTTAAAAGTTTGGAAAACTTATTTGAGAGAGTAATTGAGGAAAACTTCCCTGGTCTTGCCGGAGATCTAGACACCCAAATACAAGAAACTCAAAGAACACCCAGGAAATTCATTGCAAAAAGATCATCACCTATGCACATAGTCATCAGCTCATCTACAGCAAGGCAAAGGAAGGACTCTTAAGAGCTGTGAGACAGGAGCATCAAATAACCTGTAAAGAAAAACCTATCAGATTAACAGCAGATTTCTCAGAAGAATCTCTACAAGCCAGAAGGAACTGGGGTCCCATCTTTTGCCTTCTCAGACAAAATAATTATCAGCCACGAATTTTGTATACAGCAGCACAGCTTCATAAATGTAGGAGAGATAAAGTCTTTTTCAGACAAACAAATGCTGAGAGAATTCGCCACTACCAAGACAGCACTATAAGAAATGCTAAAAGGAGTTCCAAATCTTGACACAGCCTCAAAATACATCAAAATAGAACCTCTGTAAAGCATAAATCTCACAGGGCCTATAAAACAATAACACAATTAAAAATAAACAAGGTATTCAGGCAACAACTAGCATGATGAATAGAACAGTACCTCACATCTCAATGCTAACATGGAATGTAAATGGCCTAAATGCTCCGTTTAAAAGATACAGAATGACAGAATGGACACAAATCCACCAACCAAGTATCTGCTGTCATCAAGAGACTCATCTAACACATAAGGACTCACATAAACTTAAGGTCAAGGGATGGAAAAAGATATTCCATGCAAACGGAAACCAAAAGTGAGCAGGAGTAGTTATTTTTATATTAGACAAAACAGACTTCAGGGCAACAACAATTAAAGACAAAGAGGGATATAATATAACGATAAAAGCATTAGTCCAACTGGAAATTATCATAATCTGAAATATATGTGCACCTAACACTGGAGCTCCCAAATCTACAAAACAATAACTACCAGATCTAAGAAAGGAGATAGATGGCAACATAATAATAGTGGGGGACTTCAATACTCCACTGAGAGCACTAGAAAAGTCATCAAGACAGGAACTCAACAAATAAACAATGGACTTAAACTATACCTTACAACAAATGGACTTAAAAGGTATTTATACAACATTCTACCAAACAACTGCAGAATATACATTCTTTTCATCATCACATGTAAATTTCTCCTGATAGACCATATGATAGGCCACAAAGCAAGTCTCAATAAATTTAAGAAAATTGAAATTATATCAAGTACTTGCTCAGACACAGTGGAATAAAATTGGAAATTAAATCCAAAAGGAACCCTCAAAACTATAAAATACATGAAAATTAAATAATTTGCTTTTGAATAATCTGTGGGTCAACAACGAAATCAAGATGGAAGTTAAAAAAAATTTTTTTTATTATACTTTAAGTTTTAGGGTACATGTGCACATTGTGCAGGTTAGTTACATATGTATACATGTGCCATGCTGGTGCGCTGCACCCACTAACTCGTCATCTAGCATTAGGTATATCTCCCAATGCTATCCCTCCCCCCTCCCCCCACCCCACCACAGTCCCCAGAGTGTGATATTCCCCTTCCTGTGTCCATGTGATCTCATTGTTCAATTCCCACCTATGAGTGAGAATATGTGGTGTTTGGTTTTTTGTTCTTGCGATAGTTTACTGAGAATGATGATTTCCAATTTCATCCATGTCCCTACAAAGGACATGAACTCATCATTTTTTATGGCTGCATAGTATTCCATGGTGTATATGTGCCACATTTTCTTAATCCAGTCTATCATTGTTGGACATTTGGGTTGGTTCCAAGTCTTTGCTATTGTGAATAATGCCGCAATAAACATATGTGTGCATGTGTCTTTATAGCAGCATGATTTATAGTCATTTGGCTATATACCCAGTAATGGGATGGCTGGGTCAAATGGTATTTCCAGTTCTAGATCCCTGAGGAATCGCCACACTGACTTCCACAATGGTTGAACTAGTTTACAGTCCCACCAACAGTGTAAAAGTGTTCCTATTTCTCCACATCCTCTCCAGCACCTGTTGTTTCCTGACTTTTTAATGATTGCCATTCTAACTGGTGTGAGATGGTATCTCATTGTGGTTTTGATTTGCATTTCTCTGATGGCCAGTGATGATGAGCATTTTTTCATGTGTTTTTTGGCTGCATAAATGTCTTCTTTTGAGAAGTGGATACAAAATCAATGTACAAACATCACAAGCATTCTTATACACCAACAACAGACAAACAGAGAGCCAAATCATGAGTGAACTCCAATTCACAATTGCTTCAAAGAGAATAAAATACCTAGGAATCCAACTTACAAGGGATGTGAAGGACCTCTTCAAGGAGAACTACAAACCACTGCTCAAGGAAATAAAAGAGGATACAAACAAATGGAAGAACATTCCATACTCATGGGTAGGAAGAATCAATATCATGAAAATGGCCACTCTGCCCAAGGTAATTTACAGATTCAATGCCATCCCCATAAAGCTACCAATGACTTTCTTCACAGAATTGGAAAAAACTACTTTAAAGTTCATATGGAACCAAAAAAGAGCCCGCATCGCCAAGTCAATCCTAAGCCAAAAGAACAAAGCTGGAGGCATCACACTACCTGACTTCAAACTATACTACAAGGCTACAGTAATTAAAAAGTTTTTTGAATTGAATAATAATAGTGACACAATTTGTCAAAACCTCTGGAGTACAGCAAAAGCAATGCTAGGAGGAAAGTTCATAGCAGTAAATGTTTACATCAAGAAGTCTGAGAGAGCACAAACAGACAATCTAAGGTCTCACCTCAAGGAATGAGAGAAACAAAAACAAACCAAACCTAAACCTAGCAGGGGAAAAAATACATAACAAAGATAAGAGTAGAACTAAACGAAATTGAAACAAAAAATACAAAAGATAAATGAAACAAAAAGCTGGTTATTTGAGAAGATAAAATTGATAGACCATTAGGAATATTAATGAAGAAAACAAGAGAGAAGATCCAAATAAGCGCAATTAGAAATGAAATGGTACATATTACAACCAATACCACAGAAATACAAAAGATCATTCAAGGCTACTATGAACACCTTTACACAAACTAGAAACTCTAGAGGAGTTGAATAAATACCTGGAAATACACAACCCTTCTAGATTAAATCAGAAAAAAATAGAAACTGAACAGGCCAATAACAGGTAGTTACATTGAAAGAGTAGTACAAAAATTGCCAACATAAAAGTCCAGGACCAAATGGATTCACTGCTGAATTCTATCAGACATTTAAAGAAGAATTTGTACCAAACTTACAACTATTCCAAATGATACAGAAAGACGGTATCCTCCCTAAATCATTCTATGAAGCCAGTATCACCCTAATGCCAAAACCAGGAAAGGATATAACAAAAAAAGAAAACTACGGATCAATATTCCTGATGAACATAGATGCAAAAATTCTCAATAAAATACTAGCTCACCAAATCCAACAGCATATCAAAAAGATAATACGCCATGATCAAGTGGGCGTCATACCAGCAATGCAGAGATGGTTTAACATATGCAAGTCAATAAATGTGATACACCACATAAACAGAATTAAAAACCAAAATCATGGTGATCCCACTAGACACAGAAAAAGCATTTGAGGAAATTCAGCATCGCTTTACGTTTGAAACCCTCAGCAAAATTGGCACAGAAGGGACATACCTTAAAGTAATCAAAACCGTCTATGACAAACCCACAGCTAAAATTATACTGAATGGAAAAAAGTTGAAAGTATTCTCCTTGAGAACTGGAACAAGACAAGAATGCCCACTTTCACCACTTCTATTCAGCATAGCACTGGAAGTCTTAGCCAGAGCAATCAGATAAGAGAAATAAAGGGCATCCAAATCAGTAAAGAAGAAATTAAACTGTTGCTGTCTGATGATTATATAATGCTATACCTAGGAAACCCTAAAGACATCCTAAAAGCACCTAGATCTGATAAATGAATTCAGTAAAGTTTCAGGATACAAAATTAATGTATGCAAATCAGTAGCATTGCTATATACCAACAATGACCAAGCTGAGGATCAAATCAAGAACTCAATGCCTTTTACAACCACTGCAAAAAATAAAATAAAATACTTAGGAATATACCTAACCAAGGAGGTGAAAACTCCTTGTTTCTACAAGGAAAACTATAAAATACTGCTGAAGAAATCATAGATGACACAAACAAATGGAAACACATC
This sequence comes from Homo sapiens, assembly GCF_000001405.40. Taxonomy (NCBI): domain Eukaryota; kingdom Metazoa; phylum Chordata; class Mammalia; order Primates; family Hominidae; genus Homo; species Homo sapiens. Next base: position 695,742 of record NC_000003.12, on the reverse strand, counting down.
CCATGCTCACTGATGGGTAGAATCAATATTGTGAAAATGACCATACTGCCAAAAGCACTCTATAGATTGATTGCAATTCCCATCAAAATGCCATCATCATTCTTCACATCATTCTTCCAGAACTAGAAAAAAAAAATCCTAAAATTTATATGGAAGCAAAAAGAGCCCACATAGCCAAAACAAGACTAAACAAAAAGAACAAATCTTGAGGCATCACATTACCCAATTTCAAACTATACTACAAGGATATAGTTACCAAAACAACATGGTACTGGTATAAAATATAGGCACATAGACCAACGGAATGGAGTAGAGAACCCAGAGATGAAGCCAAATACTTAGAGCCAACTGATCTTCAACAAAGCAAACAAAAAAAAATGAAGTGGAAAAAGGACACCCTATTCAGCAAATGGTGCTGGGATAATTGGCAAGCCACATGTAGAATAATGAAACTGGATCATCATCCTCCATCTTATACAAAATTCAACTCAAGATGGATCAAAGACTTAAATCTAAGTCCTGAAACTATAAAAATTCCAGAAGATAGCATCGAAAAAACTTCTAGACATTGGCTTAAAGAAAGATTTATTGACAATGAACCCAAAAGCAAATGCAACAAAAGCAAAAATAAATAGATGGGACCTAATTAAAATAAAAAGCTTCTGCACAGCAAAAGAAATAATCAGCAGAATAAACAGAAAACCCACAGAATGGGAGAAAATCTTCACAAACTATGTGTCTGACAAAGAACTAATAGCCAGAATCTACAAGGAACTCAAACAAATCAGCAAGATAAACACAAATAATCTCATCAAAAACTGGGAAAAGAACATGAAGAGACAATTCTCAAAAGAGCATATACAAATGCCAACAAACATATGAAAAAATGCTCAACATCACTAATTATCAGGGAAATGCAAATCAAAACCACAATTAGATACCACCTTATTCCTATAAGAATGGCCACAATTTAAAAATCAAAAAATAATAGATGTTAGCGTAGATGTGGTGAAAAGGGAACACTTTTACACTTCTGGTAGGAATATAAACTAGTACAACCACTGTGGAAAACGGTATAGAGATTCCTTAAAGAACTAAAAGTAGAACTACCATTTGATCGAGCAATCTCTCTACTGAGTATCCACCCAAAACAAAAGAAGGCATTACATGAAAAAACACTTTCACACACATCATGTTTATAGAAGTACAATTGGCAATTGCAAAAAATATGGAACCAGCCTAAATGCCCATCAACGATGAGTGGATAAAGAAAATGTGTTGTATATATACCATGAAATACTACTCAGCCATAAAAAGAGCAAAATAATGGCATTTGCGGGAACCTGGATGGAGTTGGAGACCATCATTCAAGTTGAAGTAACTCAGGAATGGAAAACCAAATATCGTTATGTTCTCACCTATAAGTGGTAGCTAAGCTATGAGGATGTAAATGCATAATAATAATATAACAGACTTTGGGGGCTCAGGGGAAAGGATGAGAGGGGTGAGGGATAAAAGATTACACCTTGGGTACAGTGTACACAGCTACTGTTACGGGGGAACGAACATCTCAGAAATCACCATGAAACAAGTCATCCATGTAACCACAAACCACCTGTTCCCCAAAAACTATTGGAAGAAAAAAACAGTTATTGGTTTTATGGATTTTTGTATAAATTTTTGCATCTCAATTTCATTCATTTCTTCTCTAATTTTAGTTACTTCTTTTCTTCTGCTAGCTTTGGGATTAGTTCTTTTTTCCACGAGTTCCTTTAGCAGCAAAGTTAGGTTGTTAATTTGAGATATTTCTAATTTCTTGATGGTGTTTGGTGCTATAAACTTTCCTAGCAGCATCCCAGAGATTTTGGTAAGTTTTGTCCCTATTTTCATTAATTTCAAATAATGTCTTAAAATTTCGGTCTCAATTTAAATGTTTGCCCAGGAGTTACTCAGGAACAAGTTGTTTAATTTCCATGTTATTTGTATAGTTTTGAGAGATAGTCTTGATATTGATCTCTATTTTTATTGCACTGTGTGGTTTGTATTATTTCAATTTTTCTGAATTTATTGAGACTTGCTTTATGACCAGGCATTTGGTGCATTTTAGAATATGTTCTATATGCAGATGAGAAGAATGCAAATTCTGTGTTGTTGGGTGAGATGTTCTTTACATGTCTATTAGGTCCAATTAGTTAAGTGTCAAATGTAGTCCAGAGTTTCTTTGTTAGTTTTCTGCCTCAGTGATCTAATACTCTCAGTGGGGTGTTGAAGTCCCCCACTTTTATTGTTTGGTTGTCTAAGTGTTTTCTAGCCCAAGAAAAACTTGTTTTATGAATCTATGTGTTCCAAAGTTTGGGTGTGTATATTTAGGGTAGTTAAGTATTCTTGTTGGATCTTACCCTTTATCATTATGTAATGCTCTTCTTTGTACTTTTTAATTTTCATTGGTTTAAAGTCTTTTATCTGATGCATGAATAGCATCTCCTGCTCTTTTAGTTTTCTATTTCTATGGTAGATCTCACTCCATCCTTTTACTTTGAGTCTGTGGTTGTCCTTACATGTGAGATGGGTCTCTTGAAGATAGCACATGATAGGGTATTGTCCTTTTATCCAGCTTGCCACTCCAAGCTTTTAAGTGGGGCATTTAGACCATTTACATTCAGGGTTAGTGTTGGTGTAAGATTTCGATCCTGTCATTGTGTTGTTAGCTAGTTGTCGTATGTACTTGACTGTTTAGCTGCTTTATAGTGCCTGTGGGCTGTTTGTTTAAGTATGTTTTTGTGGTAGCAGGTGTCATTGTTTTATTTCATCCTTTTTATTTTTTATTTTTTTTGAGACAGACACTCGCTCTGTCACCAAGGCTGGAGTGCAGCGGCAAGATCTCAGCTCACTGCAATCTCCACCTCCTGGGTTGAAGCAATTCTCCTGCCTCAGCCTCCCAAGTAGCTGGGATTACAGGTGCATTCCAGCACACCGGGCTAATTTTTGTATTTTTAGCACAGACAGGGTTTTGCTATGTTGGCCAGGCTGGTCTCGAACTCCTGACCTCAAGTGATCCACTTACCTTGGCCTCCCAAAGTGCTAGGATTACAGGTGTGAGCTACTGTACCTGGTCTGTGTTTATCTTTACCACTCCTTTAAGGTATTTTTGTAAAGCTGGTCTAAATGAAATGAATCCTCTCAGCATTGGCTTGTCTGTGATGAATTTTATTTCTCCTTCTCTTATGAAGCTTAGTTTGGTGTGATATGAAATTCTTGGTTGGAATTCCTTTTCTTCAAGGATGCTGAAAATAGGGCCCTGGTCTCTTCTGGCTTATAAAGTTTCTGCTGAGAGGTTTGCTGCTAGCCTAATGAGGTTCCCTCTGTATGTAGCTTGTCCCTTATCTCTAGCTGCCTTTTTTTGTGTGAGTGCGTTGACCTTGGTGAATTTGATGACTATATGCGTTGGATATGGTCATCTTCTATAGTATCTAGCTGGGCTTGTCTGTATTTATTGAATTTGCATGTCAACCTCCCTAGAGAGAATAGGGAAATTTTCATGGACTATATTCTCAAATATATTTTCCAAGTTTTTTATTCTCTCTCCCCTCTCAGGAATGCCAGTGAGTTGTAGATTTGATCTCTTTATGTAATACCATAATTCTTGGAGAATTTGTTCATTTAAAAACTTCTTTTTTCTTTATTTTTTTCTGACTGAGTTGATTTGAATAACTGGTCTTCAAGCTCCGATTTTCTTTCCTCAGCTTGGTCTGTTTTCCTATTAGTACTTCTGATTGTATAATGGAATTCTTGTAGTGAACTTTTTAGCTCTAGAAGTTCAGTTTGGTTGTTTCTTGAAATGTTATTTCATCTTTCAGCTATTGGGTTGTTTTACTAGATTCCTTAGATTTAGTTCAACTTTGTCCTGATTCTTGAACTTTCTTGCCATCCAGATTTAGAATTCTACTTATGTCATTTCACACTGGTTAAGCACCATTGCTATGGAGCTAGTGGACTCATTTTGGGGTAAGGGGACACTCTGCCTTTCTAAATTGCCAGAGTTCTTGTCCACATTCTTTCTCATCTGGGAGGGTTGCTGTTCCTTTAACTACAGTATAAGTTGAGTATAGCCAATTGGCTTTGTTTCTGAATGTTTTCAGATGGTCTAGGCTCTGTACAGGTCTTTATTTGTGGCTGAATTTTTGTCCTTGGTTTTACAGCAGGGTATATCAGCAAAACATTTTTGGTGTTATTGTTTGGGCTGTGATCCAGTGGATAGTGCTTAAGAATAATGGACAGTAAATAGTCTCTTACTTAGCCACCCAGCTCCTCTATATTTCCTCATGTTTCCAGCCACACTCTGCAGTGCAGTGGGGAGAGAGGTAATTCCTCACCAAGTCTGAACTTGGGCCTTGGTGGAGCCCCTTCTGATCACTGGCACTGTGCCTGCATTACTTTCTTTAGCTGTTCTGGGACGTGAGGCTCCCTGGGCAAAGAACGTAGCAGGGAGATAGGTAACACTCTTTCCTGGTTGGCCCTGAGGAAGAAGACATGTTCTGCTTCTATTCCAGCTCATGAACTGACACAAGTCACCCCTCTTAGTCCTCTAAGAGGGTGGGCTCTTCTCCCACTTGAGTGCTGGCCACAAATTTCAGCTCTGCGCTTCTGAACTGCACACTGCAGCTCTGGGGCACCAGGATTGGCTTGCAGCTCCATCCTCTGGACCCCTAGATTCAGGTTCCAGGTGTAATGGGAATCCAAAGTGCTCCCAGGCCACCGGGAACATAATCAGGTGGAGCAAAGCAACCAGGCTGGGCAGTGGAAGCTGAGCCATGCATACTCTCTTGGAGAGCAGCTGGACAGTGGCCCTTGGAGGGGCTGGTGGGCAAGAGGGCCTAAAGAACAGACACGTACCAGTCCCACAGAGAAATCAGCCCAGCTTCCTCCTAGCCTGGTGGTCAACTGGAGCTAGAGCTTCTCAGACGGTGAGTGGGGAGCCCTGGGGAATAGGTGGCTATGTCCATGTTTGGACACAGCCTCACTGTGCACAAAGGCCCATGCTTCCATGCTGGCTGGAGCTCCATCTCTGTCTACTCTCTGGAAGGATCCTTCTGCCAGCTCAAATGTCCATGGCAGATGTGGGGCCCCCATAGCCAGGATCCCAGCGGTCCATGGCTAGGGTAGGCAGTCCTGCAGTTCTTCATTCACCCATTCCCAGGAGCCACTTGAGGTCAGGATTGGCTCAAGCATTGGCCTACCCTGAACAAGGTTCCCAGCTTCCTACCTCCTCAGCCTCCACATCTGCATCACATCTTCATCCACTGGGCATTTTCTCTTTGAAGATCTGTCCAAGTTATGTTGGTTTACTTGAAACTTTGGTCTTTTGGGGGTAGGAACAGTGCTTCCTGGCTGTGTCTAGTTGGCCATCTTGTCCTTTAAATTAGTCTTAGAGCCAGTATACTATTTGATGGAGAAACACTGGAGGCATTTCCAGTAAGAATGGAAACATGACAAGAATACACATTATCAATAATATAATGCAATTATTATTATTTTAACACACAATCAATATTAAAATTAAAATAGTGAGATATTTCATGCTCACTAAAGGAAGCTTTTTGAATCAGTGATTATACTCATATTGCATCTTAGTTTGGATAAAATTTTACTAAAAATATCTGATCTGTAATTTAAAGTTCATAAAGTGTACTGTTTAAAGTCAATTTACTTTTCCAAGTTGATCCCAATATACTTAAGAGATTTCTGACAATTGAATCAAATATCAGCTTTTAGATTTAGATTAGATAATTAAAATTAAATGCGATGTTAAAACTCAGTTCATTTGATAAAAAAGGAAAAAGTACAAATATATAAAGTTATAAATAATAAGAAACAAGTTACTATTAAAACAACAGAGAATTTTAAAATGACAGGAAACCTCCTTTACTTTGACACAAATAAATTTGAAATCAAATTTCAAATTTGATTTAATTTGATGAATTAATTATTTTCTAGAGAAATGAAGTTTACTCAAATTAATCTTATTAGTGTTAGAAAGATTAAATCAACCAATTTCATAGAAGAAATATAGGAAACAATTAGATAAATACTACACAAAATAGCACCAAGCCCACATAGTTTCACAAGGTAATTATTCTAAAGATTTAAATGGCAGATAGTCATAATGCTGTATGATTATTCAGAACATTGAAAGGGAAGGAAAACATCTTAATTCCTTTCATGAAGAAACTATAACACTGATACCTAAATCTGATAAAACAGTATAATGAAAGAAAACTACAGGTCAATATCACTGAAGAAAATAATGTAAAATTTTAAAATAAAAAATAGCAAACTTAATCCAACACTGTATTAAGAAAATAACACACGATAACTAAATAGGATTTATTTTAGGAATGCAAGATTGGTTTACTATTATAAACCCAATTCATTTCATATATACCATGTTGACAATTTAAAGGCATAATTATATTATCTTCACAGATGCTAAGAAAGCCTTTGACAACAACAACAAAAAACACTAATTTATTGTTTTAAAAAAACTCAAAGAAAAAGAATTTAGGGATCCTTTCTTAACATAATGAAATATATTTGCCTTAAACTTAAAGCCGGTATACTATTTGATGAAGAAACGCTAGAGGCATTTTCATTAAGATTTGAGACGAAGCAAGAATACATGTTATGATTAATACGATCCCATATTATTCTACAGTTCTTCGATGAGAGCCAACCCAATTAGATGAGATAAATTCTTGAAAAGCATAAAAATTGGTAAAGAAGAAGTAAAACTACTTCTATTTGCAGTTGTTAAGATAATAAACCTTGAAAATTCCAGAGGGTCAATGATAAAACCATCTCAAGAAATCAAATATTCTAGTGAATTAGCTGAATGCTGAATTAACATTAACAAATTAGTAGCCTTTATATACTCTTTAACAACGAACATTTAGAGAACTTAAGAGTAAGTCCATGTATAATAAGAATAAGAATAAGAATAAGAACACTATAATAAGAATAAGCAATAAGAACACTAAATACTTAGAAATAAATTTAATAAAAATGTACAAAGTTTGTGAAAGGAAAATTTTAACACTCACAAAGGACTCTAAAGAAGACTTTAAAAATTAGGAAAATACCCTGTATTTTGGATAAAATGACTCAACACTATAAGGACATAAATTCTCCATAAGTTGACTTATAATTCATTCAAACCTAATAAAAATACCAACAAATTATGAAGTTAGGTAAATTGACTAAAGTTCACATGGAATCACATGCATACAAGAATAGCAAGGAAAATACTTTTGTAAAAAAAGAAATAAGAGGAAGACTACCTTACTAAACATTAAAAGATACTACAAAGCCTTTATATTTAAAATGATGTTATACTAGCATCATATTGAATAGACAGATAAAGCAGTGGAATAGAATAGAAGGTCCAAATTTAAAACTAAATACATATGAGAATTTAGTATATGACAACAGCAGCATTTCAAACCACTTAAAAATAGACTTAATAACTGCTGCTGGGACAACAAAGTAGCCATTTGGAAAAGGTAAATTTAGATCCATATCTTATATCATATGCAAGAATAATCTGCAAAAGGAATGGAATTCTGGTGTAAAAAATAAAATCAAACAAGTACTTGAAAAATTCATCTTTAACCTTGGTGTAAGAAAAGGTCTTCTAACTATGACTCAAATTCAGAGGCAATAAAAGAAAAATGTCAATGAATTTGACTATATCATTTTTTAAAATTTTGCAGGAAAAAAACCCACTATACAAAAAATCAAAAGACAGCCAATGAACTGGGAGAAAATATTTGCAACACTTACCACAGACAAAAGACTAGTGGTATATTTCTCCCTCTCTCTCTCTCTCTCTCTCTCTCTCTCTCCCGCCCTCATCCCCTTAAATGCAAACTTATGTTAAACTCAGAGAATTTAGGTAATCTGATCAAGATCACATGTAGCAAGTCATGAAGTCCAGTTTGCAACCAGTTCAGTCTGACTTTACATACCTCTTTTTTTTCTACCTTTCCTGGCTATCAATTCAAGAAAGCCAGCAAGTGGGGGGGGGGAATGGATTATTTATCAAAATTTCTACCCATTCCTTCACTAATTTCTCCACCATATTTAACAGTGAATAGCAACTTCCATATTACACATCCTATTAATATGTGATGTGCTTGACTATTCATAAATCAGCAAAGCTCTTAAAAATGCCCTTTCACTTTAACTTAGGAACAAAATGGAATTAAACGTGACACTACAATCTTAGAGTGTCACACAAAATAAACCTTTAGTTAAGTTTCCATTCTTACAACTCCTAATTCTAAGATTCACAGTATATATTACTGTGCAAATATACAGCTCAAAGTTAACCCACCTTTAATAAGGCCAGCCCCTTAACATTTTTTCTTTCTCCTCAAACTCTCAGAGAATTTGTAAAGTTCTTCTTACCTTCTGTGTAAGAACATTTCAAGTCCCTTTTCTTACGAAGGTTCCAAGCTTAAGATACCTAGAAAAGAACTACTAATAAGGAACCAAACTGGCAGGGGAAGGAAGGAGGAAGGCATTGAGGTCGAGTGAAGTCAACACTAGACCATGAGATGAAGCCCTGGCTTTTGGTTTCTGCACCCACACTGACACTTTACTCCTTGTGGTAAGTCATTGCCCTTTGGATTTCAGGTTCTTTAAAAACAAAAGGGATAGCATTAGGAGATATACCTAATGCTAAATGACGAGTTAATGGGTGCAGCACACCAACATGGCACATGTATACATATGTAACAAACCTGCACGTTGTGCACATGTACCCTAAAACGTAAAGTATAATAATAATAATAATAAATAAATAAAAATAAAAGGAACAAACATAAGATGACTTAAAATTCCTAATTGTTTTAATAATTATAGCATCGTTTTGTTCTTTATATATATATCAATACAATTTATGTTAAGTGTTTGAAAAACTGTAAAAAGCACAAATAAATAAATTGAGGATAATAACATTGTTATCCTTTGTGTTTCTCATCTCTTTTCCCCTCTGCTCCAGCTATTTACTTGTCTGCCTTTATGACTATTCCCATAAAATTGTTCTGTTGAAAAATTTCTCATCTCTTTTCCCCCTCTGCTCCATGTATTTACTTGTCTGCCTTTATGACTATTTATATTTTTCAAACATTTCTTTTTGAATTTCAGATCTAAAGGTGTGATAAACTCTGTTTCCAAGTAAAATACATTATGAACACTTTCCATGTGATTAATAGAAAACTCTTCATGGTCACATGGTATTTCATTGATTAGATATCCATGGGATATCGAATTATGCTTGTTTTAAGATAGCTATATATAATTTTTATTTTTTATTTGTTTTACTTAAGATGAAATTTTGAAGTAGAATTGAATCATTAATATTTTATAATAGTGTCCTCAACTTTATAAGTTCAGTAGTCTTGGGCTAGAATTTGAATGTAAAATTTGGCTGCAATGGCATCATCATCTTCAGAGGCTTGAGTCCCCCTAAAGGATAAAGTGCCTAATACATATATCTGTGAAACCAAACTGAAGCTAAGTCAGTTTCAAAATTTCAATAAGAGCAAATTAATATGAGTGAAAATTTGGAACACAAAAGTGACATGCTTCATACACTAACTGTTGATGTCTTAAGGGAACAGCTATTCTATTTTGTATTTTATCAAGATTGTGTTATAAATTACAAATCCCATTGACTTTTTAGCAATCATATTAGAGAAATATTATTAGCTCCTGAACTTAATAACCCCTCAATGACTCATTGTTGAGATCTCTGTCAATTCAGTTGAAAATATAAATGCTAATACCTTGACTTTTCATTCTGCCGGTGACCTCAGTTAGATAACACTGATCCTTTTAAAATGATAAAATAGTGTGATCATAGCGTAGCTAAAAACAAGATATTTAAAGGCATTTAGATCTTTCCAGAATTTGAAGCCTTAAAATATGTATGTCAAAGTAGGCAATGAATTTATCTAAGATTTATTTTAGAGCAGCTGAAATTATAAGACCAAAGTAAATGAGAAACATTGTTAACATGAAATTTAGCCAAGGGGTCACCATTCTTATAAGAAATGAAATGATGGCAAAATAATCCCTAAGTCATTTTCTATGTACAATGCCTATCAAATGCATTATTACTATTTGCATTAAAACAAAATCTTACACATCTTTCTATTGGCTGTCTCTGGAACAAGGGCATTTCTAATCAGTGTCACTATGTTTGGAAACTTGTACAAATGACCAGTGTCTTGTCCAAGTACCAGTTATAAGTACACTTAATTCAGAGTACAAATTTGATGACTAAAGTATCACACGTGCAAAATGCTCCCAGGCTGCTATGCCTGCCTGATATTAGTATAACATTTCTCAGCTGCTTGTGAATTTTGTTATGCAATTGTATCCTAGTAAAATTAATGCAGTGAAAATAGGAAACACTTGTATATTCTAACAACTCATATCATGAAATCTTTTAATTGGGCATAAAATTCTGTTCTTATTCTATCAACAAAAGGAAAAAATAACACTTACCTACCCTCTATCACCTTTAGTTATGGATTCTTGAAAAATCTCCCTAAGTTTTTCAACAAACCAAAAAGATGGTTTTTTGGAGAGAATATGACTCACCTATCTGCAACTTCCTAAGTCCAAATCTAGACATATTTCCTTTTTGACAGTTGAAATTCTCAGATGATCCTATGTTATATGGGTAGTCTAGCATTTGAACATTGAGTTATTTGGGGATGATTTCATTTGATCATGCAACTATAATTATATAAGAAATTGAAATGAACACTTCAGAACCAAAACTTTCAGAAGATCTGTGTTCTAAGTTTTACTGAATACATTGTTTTAGCCTTAGATTTAATACAATTATTGAACATAAAATACCAGTTTTATAACTATCATCACGGCCTCACTTGAATAAAACTGGACTAAATTCCCTGATCCATCACTCAATAATTGTGGAAACTGGGGAAAGTTATTTAATAATTGAAGCTGTAATTGTAGATTAGTAATAAGACACATTTCCTTGTAATACACTGAGTTTAGTATCAAATAATACATACAAACCTCTTAGAACAGTTCGTATCACACAATGAGCAACCAATAAATTTTAGTTGTTATTTTGTTGAAACACTTTTTCAAAACCAGTAAACTAGACACAAAACTGGGTTTCATAATTAAATCACACAGAAATTTAGATCAGTTCTCAGTATAATTTTAAACATATTAATTGCCTGAAGATATGGATAATTTGGCTTCTCTAAAATGTGTTTGCCAAATATTCAGAAACAGCATTGTCTTACGAGATAAACATTAAGACGAATATTAAAAATAAAGAAAATGTGCATAAAAACTCCTCAACTTATGCAGATATTCCACCCTCAAAGAAGAGGTAATAACTCCCTACTTTTTCAGTGTGGGCTGTACGTGTGGCTACACTTCAAAGAGTCCGGTGTGGAAACAGCAAAAAAAAAAAAAAGAACGATTCCGCAGCAGAGAAAACTGACAAACACTATCTCAGCCAGGCAAGCAAGGTCAATATGAAGTTACAAATCATGTTAATAGTATATACCCATAATATGATGGGATGAACATTACACTTTATATCTGTGATCTTCCCTCCCAAGAAAGCTTCACCCCAGTTTAATCATGAGAGAAACATCAGACAAATTGCAATAGAAGGACATCCAACAAAATACCTAACCAATACTTAAAAAAAAAAAAAATTGCCAATGTCATCAAAAACGAGGAAAAGTATGAGAAATTGTCACAACCTAGAAGCGTGTAGGGGACATGACAACTAAATGAAACTAGATGGGATCCTCCAACATAGAAAAACAAGTAAAAAAAATAGGGATATGTGAAAAAATCTATGGTATTTAGTTACTAATAGTGCATTAATACTGTTTTATTAATGGTAACAAATACACCACACTAATGCAAGATGTTAATAGTGACAATTTAGTGAAAGTTATTTAGGAACTCTCTATATCCTATCTTCTTAATTTTTCTGTAAATTTAAAACTGTTCTAAAAAAAGTTGTTAAAAAACAAAACAAAACTGTGCTCAGACCAATGTTAGGAAGTTGAGACAGGCTCTGTAAACGAACGTCTTCTCTACACAGAGCAGTGTGCAAGGAATATATTCTGAAACTCTAGGGGATCCTGCTGTAGAAAGATAACTCCCTAAGTTAAACAGCATTTGTTTTGCCAAGTATAAAACTGTATAATCAGAAAAAAATGCAATTATGTGGGATTTAGGATATAAGACCAAAATTAACATTCAAAATCAGAAAGATAAATAATTGTTTAATTATGTTGCACACTTTAGGACATTTTTGTGGCTTTTTCTGGTACTATTTTTATTATTTTACCCATTAGAAAGAGTGACATATTTTTAATTCAAAAGCTACTAAACCGTATGAATTTGGAAGTTGCAAAAGAGACAAAAATGGCCATTGACTTGAATTAATCACTGGATTGTAGTGCAATGATCCAGCTGTTGAAAACATCAATGAGGGGAGGTTATACATATAATTCACTGTGCCTTATTTTGTGTTACTGTAGACATGGTTAAAATAGAGTGATGGAGACACAGTTAACTTATAAATATATTAGCCATGTAATTGCAATAAAAAAGACATGAAAAAGTTTTAGCTGCTTAAACAAGATGAAAGTTTTCTTCTTTCTCACAGAACAGTTCAAAATAGTTTGTCCATCTTTAACATCTGCCTCCCTTTTCTGGGTCCAATTTTGCTGCTCAAATTTTTACCATCTACGAGACAGCATCAAGTGGGAAAAGGACCTAGAAAGTTCAAATACATTTACTTTCTAGGTGTGACCTGGAAATCCTAGACTTCAGTACACTCACATGCCTCTGGTCAGAATTTAGTCCCTTGGCTATGCCAAAGTGCAAGCAAAACTAGGTTGTGCATTTTTTGATGGGTAACCTGGTAACCAGCTAAAATTAGGAAGTTCTATTATTAAACAAAAAGAGGACACTTTTTGGTAGATATCTAGCCATCTTTGCTATTGTGATTTCTGGGTCCCACAGGTTCAAAATTTGCAAGAACAACAGCAAAAAACGGCACTTAAAGATTGTATTCAAATGCAGGCTGTCATTTAATAGGTCTGAGATAGTGTCAGAGGTTATGCTTTTAACAAGCTTCTAATTGGTGTCAATACTGATAATCCAAGGGCCAAACTTTGACTTTTAAGATTCTAAGCTATGCCTTACCTAGAAGAACTGCTATTGAACCAGATCTGGAAGGAGCCCGTGTTCATATTAAGTAATATTTTTGCTCTTTGGTTCGCCTTTTTTTTTCCTTGTGTGTAGGATGTTAGTAATGGTGGTAATAGAACTCACGAATAAAGCACGTGCTTTGTGAATAAAATTAGAAATAAGTGGACTCTATACAAGAAAATTTTGGGATATATTTTCTCATTGTTAAAGTGGTATATGTAATTTACCACTGAGACAGTTAATCTTAACTAATGAACTAAGAAGCAGGATAAAATTATGGAGAGGTGGTATGTGGGTGAGTGCATACTCAAAAGGATGAGAAGAAAAATTTAAATTTGTATATGAACTAAAAAATAAAGAATATTTCAAAGATCAAAAGAGGAAGTGTTAAGAAGTGAGTTTCCACTCAATAAAAATATATTCGGTTTTTCTATTGTATGTCTCTCAGTATAACTGAAACTCATTTTTGCATGCAGCATAGTATATTGACAGCAGAAATATTACATGATTTTTGTCTGTTTTGCAAATATATATCCCCTATTCAATAAGTGAACACTGGAATGGATAGAAACACATAATACAAACATGTCCACAGGATATTCACAGTTGAAACAGGGACAATTATCAGATAATGAGCATGGCTTGAGGACTGCAAAACTCCCTCAAAATTCCTCGCACATAAATATAACCTTTTTGGTTCACCTGCATAATCAGTCCAAAGTAAGCATACATTATTTATTCATCAACATCAAACCTCCTAACATGATTTCTAGAAATAAGATAATCAAAGAGGTTTTTATACTTTATTTTCTAAAGAAGCTATTCACTTTAAGAGTAGGCCTGTGAATCACCGCAGTGCCTAAGCTTAGGGTCAGTGGGGCTAGGGTCATGACATAATCAGTACATGATAGGTGATGGTTAGGATAAAGAAAGGAACATGAAACTTCCTGAAGGTTGCTGAAAAATCTATTGACTCATTCTAGATAATTTCAGTGCTTATCACAAGGAAAATACAGACACTCTGATATACAGATTGAATTACAGCACATCTCTTCCCTCTTAGAATTTATAATCTAGTAGGGAATATGAGACATTGACGTATGACAATTGTTATAGAATAAAAAATACCTTTGATTAGGTCCTAAAGCATAGTTAAAACCATGCATGTCATAGGCATTTTACAAAATTATCAATAGTGGTGGGACCGATTAGAAATGAGTTCATCAAATTACAGAATAAGGAGGCATTTGCAGGTCTATATACATGACACTACTCATTCAGTCTCATCTGGGTTACTCTACTACATTTTTGCCAAACTCACACATAACAACATACAGGAGTGGCAAATACTTCACCTGTTAAGGTAAGTCATTTGAGCAGCTGTGAGATTCAATATTCCAATAAAGAAGCTTAGATTTAAATGTGTTAGAGGATACAAAATTGCAGCTAGATAGGAGGAATAAGTTCTAGTGTTCTATACCACTGTAGGATGACAATAGTTAACATTAATATATTATATAGCTTTAAATAGCTAGAGGGAGAATATTGAATGTTCCCACACAAAGAAATGATAAACTTTTGAGATGATGGATATGGTAATTATTCCAATCAGATCACTATATATTGTATATATACAGAAATATCATTATGTACCCTATGAATATGTACAATTATTATTTTTCAATTAAAGTAAAATTTTAAAAGCCTAGATTTAAACTCTGCATTGATGAATAAATGGGAATTCAACAAGACAAGATTATCCCAGGTAGAAGGGGTGTAGGAAGTTATGTAGAAAAGCACAAGTAAATACCAAAGGAGAGAATTTGACAGTGAATGTCAAGAGTGAAAAAAAGCATGAATAGACTAACTTTTACACATTATTGAATGTAAGCTAAGGATTAGGCTGAATCTTAGAGTAAAAGAATACTCACTGAGGACTGTGGAGAAGGCACATAACAGGAGAGATGATGTGCTTTAAGAATACTCATCTGTCAGTGTCCTTTCAGGAAGACTGGGAAAGAGCACAAAGTGAAGACCAGCCAAAAGAGGAAGAGTCAAACGTGAGAGAGAGAAAGGCTTGCAGTGTGTGATGACAGTGGCACTAAGCCTCGGGTGAACTGTGTTGGATGCTGTGAATACCCACATCCCTTATACATATTCTTTTTGGATGAACAACAGTCTTCCAGCTACCAAAATCTGCATCTCCTGGTCCAGAATATTTCCCCAGAAGGTCACTTCGCTTGCTAAATCTCTAAGGAAAATTAGCAGTCCTCCACATGAGTTGTAACTTAATGATGATGTCAAGGAGTATTTTTACTCCAAGTCCATTTTCCATCAAGTGGAATATTTCTGATGTAGTGTTTTACATTGTTTCCCAGTCTTCACTATGGAATTATTCAGTCAGCAAATGTGGTTTATTATCACATTGTTGGCTGCCTATTCCTTCCTGTACCACTTTCCCATTTCTCTCGTTTCCCATGCCTAGGAACAAAAATAAAATACTTACACTTGAATATTAAAATTAGAGTTTGCTTCTGAGGGAGCCCAAACTAAAGCATTCATTTTTTTTCAAAATGGAGAAAAAACACCTTTGATGAACATTTGCATTTGGAAGACAATTATAGCAATGTAAAAGGCTTTGAAGAGTGCAAGATCAGGCAATTGATTCATTTATTTATGCAGTACTTCTGAGTGCCTACTGTGGCTAAGCACTTCATAATAGGCTAAAAATAAAATGATGAGCAAAAGCAAACATCCACCATCATAAAGCTAATACTGTATTGAAGGCTTCATGTAATAAACAAATGTAAAAATTGCAACAGAAACAAGTGCTGCAGAATACAGGTGCATGTAGGATGTGACTATGAGAATACGTAACACAGAAAACTGACTCACATAAGCTGGGTAAGAATTTTATAAGGAAATCACAATTTACTGAGACCAGAAGGAAGAATAGAATAGTAGGCAAAACATAAAAGTATGTGAAAAACTATATTTTAGAAGGAAACATATGGCACTCAAGAGATAGAAGGAACACTTGTATCAGCTGAAGAAGAGCAGTGTGCTTGATATGGCCAGAAATGCAGGTCTTACCTGACATCTTAAGAGGTAGGTTTGCAGCAGAGACAATTAACTGTTTACTAAAAACCGTGTGCCACCATTTACAGTGGAAAATTTTCCTGAGAAGTGACTACCATTTGAAGGAAAATATCTCCAGACATAAATGCAGATATATATGGCTATCAGGCTGATTCTGGCCAATCCAGAGTATTAAACCACTATAGAAAAGAGTATGGAGGTTCCTCAAAACTACAAGCAGAACTATCATATGATCCAGAAATCCCACTGCTGGGTATATATCCACAAGAAGGGAAATCAGCATATTGAAAAGTTATTTGCATTCCCATGTTTATTACAGCAATATTCACAATAGCCAAGATAATGAAATCATCCTTAGTGTCTATCAACAGATGAATGGATAAAGAAAATGTGGTACATATGCACAACGCAATATTATTCAGCCACCTGAATGAAACGCTGTAATTTGCAACAACATGGATAGAACTGAAGGACATTCTGTTAAGAGAAATAATCCAGGCTCAGAGACAAATATCACATGTTCTCATATGTGAGAGCTAAAATAATTGATCTCATGGAGGTGGGGAGTAGAATGTTACCCGAAACTGAGAATAGTGGGACATGTTTAAAGAGGAGTGGGCTAGTGGGTACAAAAACACAGTTGGATAGTACGAATAAGATCTTGTGTTCAGTAGCAAAATAGAGGGGATATAGTTAACAATAATCTATTGTATATTCCAAAATAACCAGAAGAGTGGATTTGGAATGTTCACAGCACAAAGAAATGATAAATGTCCGAAGTGTTGGATCCACCAATCACCCTGATTTGATCATTACACATTGTATGCTTATATCAAAATATTACATTTATTCCACGTGTATGTGCAACTATTATGTATCCATAAAAATTGAAAGTAAAATAAATGATGTGCACATCTGGAATAACATGTTTAAGATTTTATGTGACTCCTTCATTCTTTTTAACTTCTTTTATCAGAATGCAGAGAACTCTGTGTCATTAAGCGACAGAACATTGGTTCTTGTGTCATAATTAGGCTGCATCTCACATACCAGAAATATATTTTGTACCGTTGGGTGAATGAAAGAGAATCTTTTGTGTTATGCCAATAAAATGTAGTTTTTTTTGTTATGGAAGCTACTTTTTTCTAACTAATGTGACTATCCTAAGAGAAATTTGGAGCCATTGAGCAGTTTTAAGGAATAAAATAGATGCCAATTTAATTGATTTTAGAAAGATATTCTTCTGGCTACAGACTGAAGATGGAATTTGAGACTAGGCAAAGTGGATGCAGATATTCCAACTAGGAGACTTTTGCAATAGTTACGATGAGTTGATGATAGCTTGGAACTTGAACAAGACCAAACCTTGATTAGCAATATCTGTGCTTAAGCTTTGCTTACAACAGAGAAAAAAAAGATTCATGACTTACTACTTGTTCTTTCTTGATGCAGACAATCCTATTGTTTCCTACTGTCATGACATGTGTCCAATAAAACTGATGGAAATACCATTAACTAATGAAAGTCATAAGTGAAAAAGACTCATGAACTTGTATTCTGCAATTTGTAAAATATAAAATGTACATTCACTTATTCATCCAATTTCTTCATGAATTGCAAACTGTCAATTAAATCAATGATTCTGAAAACCATTAATTTAATGAAATAGCATATGTGCTAGAAGTTATAAAATGTGTTTATCAGGATAATTAAGCACAGCAACATATTCTTTAAAACTAAAATATACCTCAATTAGTCACCAATGTAGCAGTTCATAAAAATGACATCAATGTGATACATAATTCATATGGATGATATTCAATTCAGGAAGTGAATGAATATGGCAAATTTCAAATTTGTGCTGCTTGATTAAAAAATATTTTAAGAATCGTTATTCCCCTTTTCTTTGTATTTTTATGTATTGGAGGCTCCACAATGATAACAAGAATATTGTTTCATATCATCTGGTAAAATCACTACTCACACTGATGGTGTAGCCCTGACAGCATAGAATTTCTACTGCCCCCTTCCTGTACTACCAGATGCCGCTGATTTTTATCAGCTAGAGACAAATCTGAAAGTTTTAAGCTGTGTAAATTACTAGAATCTATTTTCTGTCTAAACTGATGCATCCTATTATTCATTAGCAAAAAACAATAATTTTATTGGGGCTTGTTCACATCACTTTTTTAAGACATTACCTCCAAAATGCATAAAGATTAACTGAAAGTTTTGGGTGAACATGCAATATTAATGCATATGGTATATGCCTTATAAGTGAGTAGCTGCAATGATGTACTATCTGTAAGAATACCTGGAGTTGTCTATTTTGCCATCCATTCATTTATTATGCATGTATTCATTCCATCAATAAGCAGAATTATCATCTCAACTTTGTCCTTTACCCACAGTGTACTCTTGATCAAGTTATTTAACCTTTTAGAGTTAGTAATATCTGCTTACTTATGAGACTTTTGCTAGGATCAGCTAAAACCATGTAAAAGTGATTTGTTAAGCCATAAAGATCTGTACTAACACGTTTGTATCTTAAATTGTTATCTGAAACACTGGACTTTCTCAAATTCTCTCTGACCTACAGTACAATCATGCAAGAGACATCTCAGAGATAATTCTTTTGTGAACCTTAGCATACTAACAATGGAGAACAGCAAACTGAATATAAACTTACTATGAAGCTACGAAGAGAAGCTTCATGTTCAAAATGTTCCCTGAATAATTCCTATCACACTAGTCCATGATCTTATAGAAGTATTGTCTTCTGAGTTAATAATTACAAAGCAACTCTTCCCAATTGTATGATGAAGAATTTACTGAGGATCGTAATGAGTACTGAGCTACTGCTTGATCATACTACGTTCTAATACATTAATAGTTCAATGCATTTAATGTGATCCTGAATCTTCTCTTGTACAACTTCAGTTACATTATCCAAAATAATAAATGAATTTGTAGGTGAGATTAACGTGGTTTGACAATGTTAATTAGCTGCCAGATCTACCATGCACATGGGAGGTAACCATGAAGTGACATTTTAACATATAATAAATGGAGTAGTTCCCCCTCTCCCTCCCTCTCTCATTTTGCCAACAATCAGAAAAAGATATCATTCCTCCAGTTAAACATAAATTGATTTTTTGGCTTAGAAGGAGGGTCTCCTAGTGAAAGCTGTGCATTCAAGGGTATAATGAGATTGATTCCATGCTCTGTGAATAAAAACACATGACATTTAAATTTGGCTACTTCAAGGATGAGTGAATGATTAAGATGAGCACATATGTTGAAGAAGCAAGTTAAATGAGAGACTGTTAAAGCGAAGTGCCATGACATGTCGAACAACAGAAACGTCATTTAGAGGACTATGATTTAACATGTAGATTTTTGTCTGCTGTCCAATCTATACTCCAGGCAAAGCCAAGTTTAATATTACTAGATTTCCAGTGTGTCCTTTGAATACGATAATCCTCACTGTGTGATATATACATGAGGATATGTATGATGATTTATTTAAAATAAAACTAATGATAAAGTGACTGGATATTTCTTGCATACTTTGGTAACTGGGATCACCACGAGCTAGTTTGACTACTGTTTTTTTCATCATAGAAGTTTTAACATCTTGCGCAGTCAAAATTAAAACAAATAAGAAAATCACCCATAAACATAATTTAAAAAAATTTATATTCTCCTGAATTTTCTTAGTCTCCTTTTCTTCATATAAGCATAATCTGTATATTTATTGATCCCTTCATCTGTACTAAGCACTAAGTGTTCAAGAATGAATAAAAGGTATTCCCTAAATATTGAAGGAGTTAATATATAGTACACCACACTTAATGAACAAACACGTACTGTCTTATTCAGTTACATAATAAACATTATTCCTTATGAGCACACATATCCTTCTTTTAAGGAAAATATTTTAATTACCAAAGTTACACATGTATATTATAAGAATCTCAATGATAATTACATTGAATATAAAATAAACTTCCTGTTTCTTTACAGTACCCCATATTGTACTTACTGGAAAGAACCAATAATAATTTGGAGTGTTTCCATCTAGCTACACACTCACAGACACAGACTAGATCCACAGAACTTGTTTTTGTTTTATATAAATGAGGTCTAACTATGCATATGTTTGAGACTTGCTATTTATCAATTAGTTTACTTGGAAGTTACTTCCAAATGTCTACTGATACAGATCTACATCAGCATTTTGTGTGTTTATGTGTAATAAGACTTCCCTACAACTAGGCAATATTCAGTAATTTGTTTTTAAGTCAATTTCCCAAAGTGGAAATTCAAGTTATGTTTGTTATTAAAAAAAAAACCTCTGTGATATATTGCCAAATTAATTTTTAAATATTTTATTTTTTAATTGACAAAGGGTATACATACTTATGGTATGCGACATAATGTTTTGCTATATGGATACACTGTGGATTGGCTAAGTCAAGCTAATTAACGTATTTGTTCCCTCAAACTCACATACTTTTTTCTTGTGATAAGAACACTTAAAATCGACTATCTTACTAATGTTCAAGTATACATTATGTGGTTATTAACTGTAGTCACCATGTTGCACAGTAGATCTCCTCAACCTGCTCTTCCTGTCTCAGTAAAATTTCGTATGCTTTTGACCAACATCTCCTCAACCCCTACTGTCCCCAAACCCCTGGTGACCAGCATTTTGTTCTCTATTTCTCTGAGTTTGGCTGTTTTAGATTCTAGTTACAAATGAGATGATGAGGTATTTGTTTGTCTGTGCCTGGCTTATTTCACAGTTTATCCATGTTGTCACAAATCACCAGGATTTTCTTCTTTCTTAAGGCTGAACTGTATTCTACTGTGTATACCGCATTTTCCTTATCCATTCTTTCATTGATGAATACTTAGTTTGATTCTATATCTTAGGTTTTGTGAATAATGCTGTAATGAATATTGTGGTGCAGCTATCTATTCAACATACTGATTTCATTTCCTCTGGATATGTTCCCAGAAATGAGATTGCTGGATCATATGGTAGTTCTATTTCTAGTTTTCTGAGGAACCTCCATACTCTTTTCCATAATGGTTGAACTAATTTACATTCCCAGCAATAGCACACAAGGGTTCCCTGTCTCTACATCCACACGAACACTTACTTATCTGTTGTCTTCATGATAACAGCCATCTCAACAAGTGGGAGGTGATATCTAATTGTGAGTTTTATTTGCATTTATCTGATGAATAGTTATGTTGAGCATTGTTTAATATAACTGTTGACCATTAGTACTTTTTTTTTGAGAAATGTCTTTTTACATCCTTTGCCCATGTTTTAATTGGGTTGTTTCCTTGCTATTGAGTTGTTTGTATTCCTGCCACATTTTGGATATTAAGTCCTTATTAGATACATGGTTATAAAATGTTTTCTCCCATTCCGTAACTTGTCTCTTCAGTCTGTTGATTGTTTCCTTATCTGTGCATCATCTTCTTAGTTTGAGATAATCACATTTGTCCCTTTTTGCTTTTGTTGCCTGTGCTTCTTGAATCATATCCAAAAAATGATTACCTGAACTAATTGCCTTAGTTCATTTAGTGTTACTATAACAGAATACCTGAGATTGGGAAATTTATAAAGAAAATATGTTTATTTAGCTTACAATACAGCAGGCTTGGAAATACAAGAAGCATGATACCAGCATCTGTTCAGCTTCTGGTGAGACCTTTTGTACTGTGCCATGTCGCGGGGGAGAAATTCAAAGGGGAAGTGGACACATATGAAGAGGCAAAAACCCTAGGGGCATCCGGGCTTTATAACAACCAACTCTCATAGGAACTGATCTATTTCCTGAAAACCAATCCAGTCTTGTAAGACCTCACTCAGGATTGAGAGAACGGCACCAAGCCATCCATAGGGATGGATCCACCCATATGACCCAAACACCTTCCGCTAGGGTCCCTCCCAACACTTCCACATTAGGGATCAAATTTCAACATGAGTTTTGCTGCGGAGGAACAAATCATCTACAAACCATAGCACCAATGGCAAGAAGCTTTTTTCTCTGTTGTCTTCTTGCAGTTTTGTAGTTTAAGGTCCTGAATGTAATTCTTTCATTCATTTTGGTTGATTTTTGTAGATGGGGTGAGATAGATTCCAATTTTATTATTCTGCATGTGGATACCCAGGTTTCCAAAGCCACTCATTGAAGAGACTCCTTTCCCTGGTGTGTGATCCTGTTGACTTTGTCAAAGATCAGTTGGCTATAAATGTGCAAATTTATTTCTAGTCTCTCCTTTTTGTTTCACCAGTCTCTCTTTCTCTTTTTGTGTCAGTACCATGCTGTTTTGATTACTATGGCTTTGTAGTACATTTTGAGATCAGGTAGTGTAATACTTCCAGCTTTGCTCCCTTTGCTCCAGATTGCTTTGGTTATCCCAGATCTTTTATGGTTCTATATGAATTTTAGGTCATCTTTTCAATGTCTATAAAAAGTTATTGGAATTTTGATACAGATTGCATTGAATCTGTAGGTCACATTGGGTAGTATGAACATAGTAACAATATTAATCTTCCTATCCCTGAATACGGATGTATTTCCATTAAATTTGTCTTTTTTATTGTCTTTCAGCAATGTTTCATAGTTTTCAGTGTAACGTTCTTTCACCTCTTTGGTTAAATCTATTCCTAAATATACATTTTTAATGCTATTGTAAATAAGACTATTTTCTTGATTTTTTTTTTCAGACAGTTCATAAATAGTGTATAAAAATGCTACTGAGACTGGGTGCAGTGTCTCATGCCTGTAATCCCAGCACTTTCAGAGGCTGAGGCAGGTGGATCATGAGGTCAAAGATCAAGACCCTCCTGGCCAACATCGTGAAATCTTGTTTCTACTAAAAATACAAAAATTAGCTGGGTGTGGTGGTGCACACCTCTAATCCCAGCTACTCGGGAGGCTGAGGCAGAAGATTCACTTGAACCTGGAAAATTGCTTGAACCTGGAAGGCGAAGGTTGCAGTAAGCCAAGATAGCGCCACTGCACTCCAGCCTGGTGACAGAGTGAGACTCCATCTCAAAACAAACAACAACAACAACAACAAAATGCTACTGATTTTTGCATGTTCATTTTGTATCCTGCAATTTTGCTGAATTTGATAATTAGTTCTAACTGTATTTTGATAAAGTCTCTAGTGGTTTTCTATATATAATATCATCTATGAATAAAATTAATTTTAATTAGCGTTTTTATTTTGAGATAATTGTAGAGTCACATGCAACCATAAGAAATATTACAAAGAGATCCCATATACCTGTTACTCGGTTCCCCCTAATGTTACTTCATAGTACAATATTGCAAACAGGATTTTGACATTCACGCACTCCATCAATTTTATTTATATCTCTTCAGTTTTATTTCTACTTTGTGTGTATATGTATTTGTCTGTATGTATATATTTTACATAAATTTTGTCATGTATGTAGGTTCTTGTATCTACTATCACAGTCAGAACACAGAGCAGTTCCATCACCACAAGGACACCTTATACTGCCCTATGTAACCGTCTCCACCACCCTCTCTCTGGCTATTTCTTCTCTCCTAATACCTGGCAATTACTAATCTCTTCTCCAGATCTAAAATTTTATCTTTCTTAAAGTATAATTTAAATAGCTTTATATGGTACATAAGCTTTGGGGGTTGCCCTGTTTTTTCTCACTCAGCGTAATTCCTTGGTGATTCACACAAGTTGTTCCTTGTATCTGTGCTTATTCTTATTACTAAGTACTCTTCCATAGTATGGATAAACAATGGTTTGTTTAGTCATTTACCAATTGAAGGTCATCTGGATTATTTCCAGTTTGAGTCTATTATTACTATAGCTGATATTAACATTTGTGTATAGACTTTTGTGTCAATATACATTTTCCTTTCTCTAGCATAAATGCCTAAGCGTGTATTTGCTAGACTGCATTATAATTGCATATAAATTTCATTTAAAAACTACTGAATTATTTTCCCATAGTTGCTGTAATATTTTACACTCCAAAAAGCAATGTAGAGATGATCCAACTTTTCTCCATCCTCATCTTCATCTGGCTTTGTTACTTTTAAAAAGATTACTCAGTTTAGAAGGTGTGTATTGATACCTCACTGTGTTTTTAGTCTGTTTCTATCCAATGACTACTGGTGTTGAAAATTGTTTGTATCTATGATTTACCTGTACATTATCTTCTGTGAAATGCCTCTTTATATCTTTTGCCTTTTTCTAATTGGCTTATTTTTTCATCCTTTTAACAGGATGAAAACCTGTGCTTTCACAGAGCACAAGTTTTTAATTTTTATGTGGTCCAATTTATGAATTATTCCTCTATGGGCTATGTTTTGATGTCAGTCTAAGATCGTTTTACCTACGTCTAGAACTGAAAATTTTTCTTATGTGTTTTTTTTAAGTTTTATAATTTAACCTTTTATATTTGAGTCTGTAATCCAACTGAGTTAATTTTTGCACAAAGTATGAGGTGAGGTTAAGGTTCAATTTTTATTGCCTATATCCAATTTCTCTATCACTATGTGTTGGGAAGGCTATCTTTTAGCCATTGAATTGCTTTGGCATCTTTGTCAAAAAAAGACATCATTAAGTGGGTCTAATTATGGGTTCTATTAATATATATTAATTTATATTAATCAAATTATATAATCTATATTATTAATTATTAATTAATATATATTATTAATTAATTATTAACAGTTAATTGATCTATGTTAATCTATATTATGCCTTGGCCACTACCACATTACCTGATGTTTTATAGCTATATACCAGGTTTATTATCAGATAAAGTAATTCATGCCACTTAAATTTTTGGAGATTGGCTTAAATATTTTATGCCCTGTAACTTCCACATACATTTCATTGTAAGTTTGTCTTTGCTTCCAAAAAAAAACCGTGCTAGGATTTTAATAGAAATTATACCAAATCTCACTGATACATACAGGCTTTACTGAAAATAGACAAATGGGCTGGGCGTGGTGGCCCATACCTGTAATGCCAGCACTTTGGAGGCCGAGGTAGGAGGATCACTTGAGCCCAGGATTTTGAGACCAACCTGGACAACAAAGTAAGACTCCATCTTTACAAGAAAATAAAAATAAAGTACTTAGCCGGGCATCGTGGCATGCTCCTGTTATTCTAGCTACTCGGGAGGCTGAGGCGAGAGAATTGCATGATCCCAGGAGATGGAGGCTGCAGTGAGCTATGACTGTGCCACTGAACTCCAGCCTGGGTGACAGAGCAAGATCCTGTCTCAAAAAAAGAAAAAAAGGAAGAAAATAGACAAGTGTCCAAATAGTTCAATCAACTTGGCAAGATGGGGATCTTTGCATGTTGAGTCATCCAATCCATCAACATGGTATATCTCTCCATTTATTTGTTGTGTCTTTAATTTCTTCATTATAATTTTGTAATTTTTAGTTTATAAATTTTTTAGGTATTCTGTTAGACTCATATTTAAGCATTTCATTTTTGTATCAGTTATAAATGGTAATGTGTTTTTCATTTCAGTCTCCACATGCTTATTGTTAGCATGCAGAAATGTAATTAACTTTTATGTGTTAACCTTGTGTCTTGCAACCTTGCTGAATTTACACAATAGTTTTAGGAGTTTATTTTATATAGTTTCCTCAGGATCTACTTGGACAGTCATGTCATCTATAAATCGCGAAAGGTTTATCTCTTCCTTTGCAATCTGTACACATTTTCTTTATTTTCTTATTACAGTGGGTAGACTTTCTATTACTATATTCAATAAGAATGTGGAGAGTGAGCAATCCTTTCCTTGTTCCCAATCTTGAGCTGAAAGCATTTACTCTTTCATGATTAACTATAACGTTAGTTTTAGGTTTTTTTGTAGCTGCACTTTATTAAGTAGAAGAAATTTCCATTTATTCCTACTTTACTGAAAGTGTTTATTATAAATGAATTATATTTTGTCAAATGATTTATTCTGTATAAGTTATTCTTCAACCTATAGATATGAGAGATTATACTGGTTGATTTTTCAAGTGATCATATTTTTCAAGATTATATTGATTGATTTTTCCAGTTTTGCTTAACTGGAATAAATCTTAGTTGGCCATTGTACATAGTTCTTCATATTATTTCTAGATTTAATTTACTGTAAACATAGTTTGTACAGGGTTGCATTAATTATACAATGCACCCAAACCTTTGGAAATATTCTTACTGCACCCTTTTCTGGAATGATTTCTAACTTTTATGCTATAATCATAGCTAAAACTCTGAGATAAATAAGACATTAATCTTAATATTGTGGCTGGGTATTATTGGTGAGTTATTTCCTTTATTGACCAGGAAGTGTTGTTATTCAGGGTGATGGTGGTGGTGGTGGTGGTGGCGGTGGCAGTGGTGTGTGCCTGTGTCAGTGTGTATGTGTGTGCGCACGCGCGTGTGTGTGTGAGTGTGTACATTTATTTAGGAGAAAAAGAGAGTATATCAAATATATGATGGCCAGAAAGGCGTATTGTTTATTTGGTGATCAATGAGAAAAATCGTAGGTTTTTGTTTGTTTGTTTTTCAAACACATAGTAGAAGTATGTTTGACTAGCCCCTTTGAAATTAGGCATGGCTTTGGCCACTGTAATGGGAGCAGAAGTTACATGTATCAATTTTTAGGTGGAATTATCAAAGCCAGTATTGATTAACCATGAATCTTTTTTTCCAACTGTAGCAATTATGTAAGATAAAGAGTTTTCTCTTGAGTCCTTGAGTAACTACCATGAGAACAGACTACCTTGCCACCCTTTGTTGTACATGAAGCTTGAGAAAGAAAAAGAAAAATTTTAAGAGTTTCAAACCACTGAGATCTTGGAAATTGTAGCATAAATCAGTGTACTCTGACTGTGACACCATATTTTAAACAAGTTTCTTCTTTATTCTTAAATAATATTTAAAAAGAAAGAGTTAATGACTGAGTTAAAGTACGTACATGTAGTAGAAATTTAATAAAATATCAATGGATAATTTTCACACATGCCAGTTTTATTTCAAAATTATTTTTAAGAGATCAGAAAGACCTACCAAGACTAATTGATCAAGCCAGGTTTTCTCTGAAAACGTACAAGATAGCACTTCGCTGCAATGAACTATCTAACTAATGAGGTGTGGTAAAACTTGCATGTAAACCGAGAGAACACAGAGAAGCAATCTCATTTTAATCTCACTAATTTGCACTCGTTGCAGGGAGGTCAGCTTGAAGTAGTTAAACCTCTTAATTACTGAACTCAAAAAGCAAAGGTATTTTTGTCACATTTAAGAACACATAGTAATTGGAAGGAGGAAAAAGAAACCACGGTCTAGTGTAAGCTCTGTTTTGGTAAAGCTATAAAAATGTATATATACACAGAAAATATCAAACTAAGCAGAGTTATTAACTTCGCTGATGATAAAATATACTTCAATATTCCACACAAACTGCTTGTTATTTTAAGAGGATCAAACTTGTACTCCAGAATTGGTACGAATTTTATTAACAAGCTACGTTTCTCTGCTAAAATCACCTTACATCTAGTTTCTGATAAAATTAGCACATATTTAAAGTTAGTGCAACAATTTAAGTCCAATAGAGCAGAAATTAAGCTCTGCACAAAGTATAATAAAAGGAAAAAACATAATAAGAAGGCCAAAACAGACAGGAGTATGTAGTAACTTTTTAGGGGTTTGAATGACCCCACTATTCAGCCAGCTGGAGATATTTTGGAACCTTGTTAATGGATTGGAATATTTCTGGCACATATTCTGACAACAATAAAAGTTGAATTAAATGCATAATGCTGTGTTTATGTTTTTAGATTTACTATACATTTTACCTAATAATCAGTAGTTATATGAACCTTCCACCAATTAAGTGGTGAGAACATTTTGCAAATTTGACACCCCTTTATTAAATACCTTTTTCAATTAACCCAAACTCGGAAGTTTTTTAGAAACATTATAAACAAAGTGATGCATAATTTTTTCGTGTTGTGTGTGATGTAATTTTAATTGTGTTATTACTGATTTCCTAAATCATAAAGTCATATCAGAATCCTGCCCAATGATACTGCTTACACTTGATGAGAACGAGAGACAAACTGGCATAGTTATAGATAATAAAGGACATCTATTACCTGCTTTACGGTAAATATATTGACCCAATGACTTTCTACCAGTGAAGAATATAACTCCTTGCATCATTCAGAATCCATAATCCATTACCAAATAGCTAAACTTAAATGGAATTTGATAAATAGCACATCCTGTTTTCTAAGAAGTCGTCAAGCCTTTCCATCAACACAATGTTTTATTTTAAAACTGAAAGTATATCACTAAATGGTAAATATTTCTGTAAATTTTTGCATGAACTCCTTAATATATTGCTGGAAATTCTCCAAACAGGAGGCATTACTGACATAGTCTTCTAAGCATATAATGAAAGGAAAATGATGCAGATTAAATGTAGACAGAAGTGAGAAAGTCTTTCTCACTTTTGTATATGAGATCAATAATTTGGCTATGATTTTAAGTATTGTGACTTAAGGCATGTGATGGTACTTATTTAAAGTACTAAATTTAAATTTAAAATAGTAGTTTCAATCTATAGGAATGAAAAGAATGTATAAATTCTGCTTAGCGACACACATATAAGGGTATCTTATTTCTTAAAAGCAGCCAGGAGGTGAAGCATGCTAGATCATTATGATTATATAATAAGTATTAATTTTATTCTTCCACCATAATAACTAACATTAACTGATCATCGACTGTGGGCAGCGCACTACAATTACATATCTTTAAAATATGTAAAATAGCTACTGTTAGTATCCCCTTTATCAACTTCAGGAAACTGAGGCACAAAGAGGTAAAATAACTTACCCTAAATCACACAGCTAATCAAACGCAGATTTGGGATTTAGACCCAGGCAGTGGGACTCCACCTCTGATATGTTGACCAGTACCTTGTACTGGAATTCAGGAATGAAGAGAGATTATCAGGAGCATGCTACCCACCACTACCACACTCCAAAAACATATCTAGTCACATATGATGAGAATGAACCAGACTGTTGAAGAATCAAAACATTTGAGATGCCCTTGAAATGATGAGAATAACTGTAAAAGATGATGATGAACAAGGTTATTCTTTCCTGGGCAAACAAAGAAGAAAAGATAAGACAAAAATAAATGTCTAGCTGGGGGTGTGGAGTGTGAGGTCGATCTACAGAAACAGAGTTAGAAAGAGCTGCAAAGTTTTTGAGGTCTCTCTGAGGAAGAAGACTTTAAATATGAAAGTGAGCTTAATTACTTGACCTCCATTCAGCTGGCAATAAGAAATGAAAATTTTACAGTGTATCGATGACATTTTAAGATACATATTTTAGAAAGATTGATTTGCTTGTTTTGTGAAGAAATGGAAAGAAGCTGGTCAGGTTCTTTAACCATCCTGAGTCTTGGTTTCAAATATAGTAATAAAAACCCTCTGCATCTTATACAGTTAAGAACTGGGACAAAGTGTAATTAAAACAATTTTTTTTCTATCTTTGTGAAATGCTCTAAGAAACAACTTTTTAAGGTAAATCACCGACAACAGCCAACTTTTTGTCATGTGTCATAAAAATCAAATACCCTAAATATTCTAATTTTTTTCTTGTTGACAGTAGTTGTGGGTGTGGTATTTGTAGAAGCACACAGAACCAAATTAATTATAAATATACATTTTGTCGTCTGTATCTAAACAATTATGCCGTAAAAACAAGCCCAGCTGCAAAAGTCAGTGTATAAGTATCTAAATAATAAAATGGTGTAGAAATAATTCCACAATACTGAGTATCACAATGTATGGTTGTATTCTTTATTCATGTCATAGAACAATACTTAACACATATCAATACCATACTCCTTTAACAGTGGATCCCCCAAGCAAAGTAACCATTCCATTTTGCTTTGAGGAGAAATTCCATTTTACAAAGTTGGCTACAGAGCCTCATACATATTTTATAGCAAGTAATAGGTATTTTCCTAATATAAATTTCATGTTCCAGTGTAAGAGGCAGTTTTCAGCAGCTGTTGCATAATTTTTAAATTACAAAGACCTTAATCTTCATGATGTGTAAAAAACTAAGTGATAAAACATAACAAAAATAAAAACAGTTTGGAAATAGCTGTGTCTTCAAAAATTAACAACCTGAATGTTCAACTATTTCAGCAATTGTAATAGAAAGCCTATATTCTAAAAAGTTTTCACATTTTGTCAGTTCACATTCCTTGTAGAATAATGAAGAAGAAAATGTGATTTTGATCTTCCAAATTATTGCCAGTGCAGATGCCCTATGAGGATGGAATTTGTTTACACCATTTTATGATTTTATCATTTTAGGTCATCCTATTGGGTAAATGGAAAGAACACTAAGTTTCAGCTTTATCTTCAGCACACTGAACCAAGCGCTTAGCACAAGTCCCTATAACTTCTGCGGTGTCAATTTACTTATTTGGAAAAGTTTAAATTAGTCTTTAAATAGTCCATTGTAGCTCTAAATTTCTCTAATGTTATGGATAAGGCCTTATGTATTCTATATGTGAGATATTTCTGTCCGCTTTTTTTCTTTTAACCATGCTTTATTTTATCCTATTAGTAGAAGACTGGGCCAGGGAGTTAATGAGATTAAAACTAAGGTTTCGATTCCATGACAAAAGACAATAGCAGTCATTGTGAAAATTCAGGCTTCTAGTGACTTGGACAATCTGGAAAAGGCATAATTATTAATTAGAAAACTCACATTGTATTAATGTTTACTGAGCACTATATTTGTATATATAAGATGTCTCCTCGCTCTTGGAACATCATGTTTTCTTTTCTTTTCTTTTCTTTTTTTTTTTTTTTTTTTGAGACAGAGTCTCGCTCTGTCACCCAGGCTGGAGTGCAGTGGCGTGATCTTGGCTCACTGCAAGCTCCGCCTCCCGGGTTCACGACATTCTCCTGCCTCAGCCTCCCGATTAGCTAGGACTACAGGCCCCCGCCACCGTGCCTGGCTAATTTTTTGTATTTTTTAGTGGAGACGGGGTTTCACCC
Source organism: Homo sapiens (assembly GCF_000001405.40). Lineage (NCBI taxonomy): Eukaryota > Metazoa > Chordata > Mammalia > Primates > Hominidae > Homo > Homo sapiens. Next base: position 664,226 of record NC_000003.12, on the reverse strand, counting down.
TGTTAGCCAGGATGGTCTCTATCTCCTGACCTCGTGATCCGCCCACGTTGGCCTCCCAAAGTGCTGGGATTACAGGTGTGAGCCACCACGCCCGGCCAGAATATCATATTTTCCTACTGTTTTCCACTCCATTTGGCAAAAGCCTACAATTCTTTGTCACTGTATTCTACTCAGTGTCTAATTCACAATAATTGTCATTAAGATAAGTGGACGGCTGATATTCTATTTAATTTGAACCCAAAGAAAAAGAAAGTGGTAAAGAAACACTTCAAAGAAAGCTTTCTAAGGCATATTTCTGAGTAGCTCCTGTTGTGTATGCACAGCTGCTATAAGGGGTATCAAGTTCATTTTTAATTGTTTAGTCAAGAGTCTAAAATTTTAAAGACAGCACTAAGGCAAAAGCAAAAATATGATATTTCAAATTTTTTTTTGCTACACAAGGACATTTCTCTGTCTTTCAACATTGCCTTCTTTATCAAATATAATAACATGTCCAATTTCCACCCTGGCTTGCTCTGCAAGTCAGAATGACTCTTGCAGTTTTATTCAGCCTACAGCTCCATATGTGTTGTGTGACTGACTGCTTTGGTTCCAAGAAGACATTCTCAACAGCCCTAATGTGATGAGTGAATGTTAGTGTTGTATCATTGAATGTCTTCTTTAAAATTTTAAATGGCAAAGAGGGCAATGATAGCTGTTTTGAGAAAAATATTGAGCAAAGCCTTTTTTTTTTTTTTTTTTTTTTGAGACGGAGGCTCCCTATGTCACCAGGCCGGAGTGCAGTGGCACCATCTTGGCTCACTGCAACCTCCACCTCCCAGGTTCAAGCGATTCTCCTGCCTCAGCCTCCCAAGTAGCTGGGACTACAGGCAAGTGCCACCACGCCCAGGTAAGTTTTGTATTGTTAGTAGAGACGGGGTTTCACCATGTTGGCCAGGATGGTCTCGATCTCTTGACCTTGTGATCTGCCCACCGCGGCCTCCCGAAGTGCTGGGATTACAGGCGTGAGCTGCCGCGCCTGGGAGCAAAGCCTATTTTTGAAAAAGACTCGGGATGCAAACACCTGGCTCAAATTTTGGCTCTAACCTTAGCTAGTGCTATAACTTTGAGTAAGTTACACAGCTTCTGTGCATCACAACAGCCGACTTGCAAAATGCACAATTGAACTAAATCAAGAATGGCAAGTAGGTGATCCCTATGCTGCCAAATCTCCAATTCCTAAAAATAGGATCTTTTGCTAATTGATCATGCTATTCATTCCCACTGAGATATGGATTTCCCTCAACATAGCACTCAGAAAGCTTCTACAATTGATTGGACTTGGTATAAAAGCTGAAATCCATCCACTATTATCCTAAGTTCCCTTCCAATTGGAATATTTTATAGCCATGGATATGGTTGCCTGGTTTTGGATCATACAGTCATAGCATTTAATCTACTCTGTTACATCTTTTAACAATGTCCGTTCTTCTATGTTTGCAAACTTTCCCTCATATTAATCCCGAAGCTGGCTTCCTACAATAACTACTCACTTGTCCTCATTTGATTTGTAATGGGAAGACATCATTTTACGTTTTCACTGCCACATAGAAGGAATTCTAGCAATGGCTTAGCATTAGTATGGGGAAAACAGTTGGAAATTCACTCAGGCAGTCCTAACTGATCTTGCTAATAGCTTTTCTTTTAAATATACTCAATACTATCAATTTCTCCATTGGTGACAGATACAGTAAATTTCAAAGCTGTTCTTTTTTCCCAGGGGAGGAATGAGATAAGTGGCATTTATTTGTTTCTCAATCATTCATGACTTCCTGCTTTTCTTAGCCCTCCACTATCTGCAAGAAGGAAGAAGGATTAACTGATAAAAGAATTCAAGTGGTAGTACATAAATTATTATTTTAATATCAATTTTCAGAAATAACAACAAGTGTACCAAGCAGTCATTCCCAAACTGTGTACAAGAGAACACCAGTTCTGAGAAATCGTCTAAGTTAAAAAAAAAAAAAAAGTGGTCAAAACATTGGGAATACGGCTTACTGCATCTCTTCATTGAAGACTGACCATGCATATTAACATGGTTTTGAGAAGTCCAACAGTAAAAACAACAATAACAATAGAAAAAAAAAAACCTGTATCTCTTGATTGAACTCAGTTTTTCAAACAAATGTGACTGCATTTTTTCCTCATAACACTTCTTCATATTACACAGAACTAATACTCCAAGGTATACAGTGTGGAAAACACACACTACTATACAGGTTAATGTGTAACTTAATATGTAAATACACCAATAGTAAAATGGGACAATTGAACTTTTGCAGAGCTGTTCCGTGAAATCTATTTGCATTATATCCATTACTTTAATGAGGCTGGAGACTAATGGGAACTAATGAGACACTCTGAGGTCAATGAGAAGACACCCAGTAGCCTCACCTATTAAGTACTGAATTGTCTTTCCATTCTAAAAATGTGTACACTCTTAAGAGACTCTTATCCATGTTTAACGTATGATAAAAGAAACAAAGGTGGATGAAATTGCATTGGAAATCAATTCTATTCGTAAAAGAAAGCAAGTATCAGGATACTTAGGCAATACGGAAAATTGTACCAATTTTCCAATTCAAAGGGAGAGACATAATCTATGACTTTCTTTATTTGGATCCTGCTGAGTCTGCAACATTTGTAAAAGTTCACTGTGAATTCCCTTTATGACCCAGATTCAAAGTCAGTGCTCCTTGTTAAGCCATGTAACAGGATTTAGCTAGTGAAGATAACTGAGTTTGAGCTGGATCAGTGGTCACTATGCTGACTGATTACTGGCAACATTTTAGGACTTTGTGAATACTTTCATTACTGTAGCCTTCCTCAGAAACTTCTCAATAGGAATATCTGAGGGAGACAGTTTAGGTAAGACTGGCTTCCTACTGAAACTTGGTGATATCCACTCAATTCTACTTGTTCTCAGTGAGTTTGACTTTCAATGTGTGTATGGCTAGATTTAGGTTTCATTGAATTAATCAGCTAATGGACATTATATACACATTTATGCATTGTAATAAAGTTTTTGAGTCATAGCAAAAAGGTTTATTTATAGGAGGTAAGAGAAGAAAATAGAGAATAAAACAGGTAGATATTCTGTCACATATTCATCAGGGATCTGCAAAATCTTCCAGCAAGTGATGGGACTTCTCATAGAAATGCATGTGTGTGAGCACGTGTGTGTGTGTGTGTGTGTGAGTTATCATTAATGACAGGTAAAAATTGCCTATGGTGTACAACATAATGTTTTGAAATATGTATACATTGTGGAATGGCTAAATTATGCTAATTAACATATGCATTACTTCACATATTTTTTGTGTGTGTGGGGAGAACACTGAAAATGTACACCCAAGGCAATTTTCAAGCATATAATACATGGTTATTAACTGTAATCATGATATTGTATAGCATATCTCTTGAACTTATTTCTCCAGTCTAACTAAAATATCATGTCCTCTGACCAATATCTCCTTGAACCCCATCCACGTAAGCTTCTGGTAACCACCATTATATTTTGTTTCTAAGAGTTCAACTTTTTTAGATTTCACATTTAAGTGGGATCATGTTGTATTTGTTTGTCAGTGCCTGACTTATTTCAGTTAACATAATGTATTCCATGTTATGTCATGCCGTCACACATGATAGGATTCACAACTTTTCAGGCTAAATAGTATTTTATCATGTATATACACCATATTTTCTTTATTCATGTATACATTGATGGCCACTTAGATTGATTCCATATCTTGTCTATTGTGAATAATGCTGCAATGAACGTAGGGGAGCAGATATCTTATTTGACATACTGATTTCATTTTCTTTGGATACCCAGTAGTAGGATTACCAGATCACTTGGAAGTTCCAGTTTTCACTTTCTGAGGCATTTCCATACTGTTTTTCATAATAGCTGTATTAATTTACATTCCCACAAACAGTGTACAATTCGTCCATTTTCTCCACATCTTTACCAATACTTATTAAATATCATCTTTTTATAATAGCCATTCTAACAGGTGTGAGGGAATATTTTACTTTGGTTTTAACTTTAAAGTATCAGATAATTAGTGATGTTGAGCATTTTTTATATACTTTTCGGCCATTTGTGACCTACAGGTCTTCACCAAAAAAAAAAAAAACAGACAAATGAAATTACATCAAACTAATAAGCTTCTGCATGGCAAAAGAAAGAGTCAACAGAATGAAGAGACAAACAATAGAATGGAAGAAAAGATTTGCAAACTAAACATCTGAGAAGGGGTTAATATCTAAAACATATTAGAAACAAATCAATAGTAAGAAAACATAACTCAATTAATAAATATATGTTATATATTTTAAATTACACAAATAATATGGTATTTAATATGTAGCAGGTAGAATTCTAAGTGCTTTATAAATATTAGTTTTCTCTTGAAGCACTCCTATACGTTAGGTACTATTAATTAACCCATTTTACAGATAAGAAAACTGAGGACAAGAGAAGTTAAGTAACTTTCCTAAGGTCAAAAAGCTAGTAAATGGTTGAGACACGATTTGAACTCAGAAATTCGCTCCAGAGTCTGCTCTTATAACCTCATGTTACATTATGCTCTCCATTGGGTTCTTATGTTATACCATCCCTTTAAAATATTCTCTCTCTCTCTTTCTCTCTCTCTCTTTCTCTCTCTCTCTCTCTCTGTGTGTGTGTGTGTGTGTGTGTGTGTCAAAAATAGCATTCACGTCAGAGGACTCATTGCGAAATTCCTAGAATTGGACAAAGTAATTAATAATAGCAGGTACACCAGGTAGAAGGCTGACTCTGCTTTCCATGTTATAAACCAGTAAGTTGAGAGAAATGATTTTTTTGATACGCTGAAGTATAGCCATTTGGGACAACTTGTTCTAGAACACACAAGCTCATGTGCTTGACATGGTTAAGCAAATTATTTCCAATGTAACTCAGAATTATTACATGAGTGTTTGGGGAGACTGGCCTGTGTTGGGACACTTAGAATTTTGGAATCTGATTCAGTATTCAATCAAAACAAGCTTTTATGCACTTCATTTCTGTTGAATTAAATGCAAAATGATCATTATTTTTGAAACCCTTATTTTTAATGTACAAATTACAAGGCACATAAAATGGCAATAAAAATCCAGCTTTAAAATGATGGTAATAAAACAAATACTGTGTTAGATGCAAAACCAAACACACCGTTTTGTTACCTTTATTTACCCAATTGATCGCTGGGAATGAGCCTGGCAGATGGTTCCTTGATAATTTGCATTTAATTAGTCAGATATCAACAAATAACACAGCAGAACTTCATGAAATAATGTAGTTTTAAATGATCTTTTCTAAGGAAAAATTTTCCTTCACTGATACTGTTTGCCATTTACTATCCTAATTGTTTTTATTGTTAATATATGGTAAACATTTAGAAATACATTTTCAGTAGATATAGAAAATTCACCCTAGTTAATGTGGCTTATTTTTACACATGAAACCAAATAGTTAGAAACTTGTAAAATAAGAATAAGATATTTTAGCTCTATTTTCTGCCATCAAAATTTTCCTAGTTCTTTTTATGTGAATAATAATGTAGTGAGTGTTGGAAGAAACATCAACGTGAACGATATCCAAGTGTTCTCCCTTAGTTGCTCATAATGTGGAAATATAGAACATATATACCCACAACTCACATTTATAAACACATAAGTGTGTATGCATACTTACATATCTCCCAGCATCAAAACTTGAGTACAATATATCACTGGCTTCTAAGAAAACCTCAAGGACATAATACAACATTCATTTAAGTAATGCTTTATTACCAACAGTTGTGAAGCATTAGAAGATGCTAATGTGTGGAGAAATACGTAAAAGTTGAGTCTAAAAGTTATCCAGAAAAATTGAACTCTAAATGGGAAAGATGTTTTAAGAAAACCTTAACCAAATTTATTTTTCTGGTACTTTTCTATTTGTAAAGGAACAGGTGATATATAGTAAAAATATCTATTTCTAAATAAGGCTTTAAAAGTTTTCCTTACAAGGTATGAAATAAAACACCAATAATAAGGCATTATGTCAGAGTTTAAGTAATAAATTTTCATTCTTTCTTAGGGGTACAGAAAGTAATTGCCATCTTCCAAATAAGGGCATCTCAGATTTATTTACATTATACACTCCAATAAATGTCTTTTGAATGAAATACGGTTGAACTACTTTACCGCAAAACCAATACTATGAACCACAGTTATGAGTCTATTCATTTGGTCTGATAAACTCATTTTATAGATTTGGTAACTGAGGCCTAAAAAGCAAAAAGTGACATTCCAAAGGTCACATGGTGTTTTCAGGGCAATGCGGTACTAGAAATAAATGTTCTATACTTTTCCCATCAAACCATGTGCTATCCCAGAAAGGTCATAGTTGTAACTTACAACTTGTGAAATCAACCAGAATTCTGAATATCCACCAATAATGTCAATTTCATTTTGAGAGGCAATATCCTTTAATAGAAAACCTAAAATACAAATATTGGAGTTAGAAATAAATTTGAATTCTGGCTCTGCATCAGCTGTTGCATAACCCTAATAAAGAAAATTAACCTCTCTTAGCTTTATCTGTGTTAATGACAATAATGTATGTTTTCATATAGTAAGTATTAAATACTTGATTTTTTTTAAGAACTCCTCGCAGAGGTGGCCATAAAACACTCAGAAGGTGGCAGTATCCTTCGTGTTTCCTTTCCTACCCATCATTTTGTCCCAAATTTACTACTACACACACACATAGACACACACACACACAACTCTATCTTTCCACTGGGGAGATACCGGGCTTTTTTCAAAAATGTTTTCTTGAGCCTACATTAAGTTTGTTAAGAGATTTGGTTGTACTCATTCTTTGTTATATTTCATTCATGTTTCAATAATGCAATGAAAACTAAAGTCTGATCTTACTATGTGAAATTATCTAATTTTCTTATCAAATTTCTATAATTTACAGTTGGAATTCAGTTGTATATTATGTATATTATATAATAAATAATATATTATATATCAATATAATGTATATGTAATATTCCTATGCTTCTGTGTCCTGATTTGCTTTCACCCGAAGAACTGGATGAAATAGTTTTGATTTGAAGATATTTAACCCAACTCTCTGACCAGATCTTCAGTGAAAAGTTGTCTTACGATTTAAGAAACAATTACTAGTCTCTAAATCAATATTTGTTGAGTGGATAGGTTTTATTTAAACTAATAGATGTTATTTTTTTCAATCTTAAGAAGAAAAAATCATACTTTTCTCTCAGCATTCTGAAGTCCTCTTTTATTTTCAATTTAATGTCAACATCCTAAATTCTGCCTTGTGGATGTGCTCACAGTTATTCAGCTAATCTGGAACAATCAGTGTTCTCAAATAATCTTGTCTGCGCATGCCACATATCAAAGTATAATTATCAAATAGTTGGCCGAGAGTGGTGGCTCATGCCTGTAATCCCAGAGCTTTGGGAGGCCCAGGTCGGAGGATCACTTGGGACCAGGAGTTCAAAGCTGCAGTGAGCTATGATGGTGACACTGCTTTCAGGCCTGGATGACAGACTGATACCCTGTCCCTAAGAAACAATAATAACAATAATAATATTCAAATAGTTAAAAGTATGATTTTTATACAAATATTATAACACTGGCTCTCCTCATTAATGAAGTGGTCAACAGGAATGAAAAGGTGATTCAAAGGAGAATTATTAGAATAAGGGTTATATACACAGTGAAAAAAGGATGTAGGCATAAGATGGCTAACATAACCTTTGGGATACTTTTTCTACAAGCAAATAATGACTTGTATCTCTGCTAGACAAAAATCCACAAGTTAACATGTAAGTTCACACAAGCTGGAACTTTATAGTAAATATTAAGTCAAACAATGGTATACTATAGATAACTAAGCACTCCTTTCGTGGGCTTATTAAAAAATGTTTGTGATCTAATATGGCTCTAAGAGTATATGCAACCCTCCCTTCACCAGACTTCCAAGTTTTGGTCATTTTTTCTAACAAACTGAGTCTAGTCTACCAATACCAAATGACACAGGAATGATAGCAAGAAATATTTGCTTATCAGCTAGGACAAAATGACGCAAGCAACAGCAATCTATTTGGGTCAACTTAATTTTAAAGGGAATTTATTGGAAGTATTATAGTGTGACTCAAACAAAAAAAAGGAAAAACAAAATAATTAGCATTGGAAAGGAACTAGAAATAGAGCATCTCAGTAGATGAAAGCAGAAGAAGCAAAAGGAAGGTGTATAAATTTTCTTGAGCTAACATAACATATTACCACACTCTGAGTGGCTTAAAACCACAAATGTTTATTTTCTCATAGTTATAAAGCCTAGGAGTCCCAAATCAAGGTGTTGGCAGAACTTCTCCAAAACCTCTAGGAGAAGATCTTTTCCTCCCTCTTCTAGATTCTAGTAGCACCAGGCATCTGTTGGTTTGTGGCAGCATAAATGCAATCTCTGCCTCCAACCTCGCATGACGGACTTCTGTCTGTGTCTGGGTCTGTGCCTCTACTCTTCGTATTAAAAGGACACGAGTGACACTGGATTAGGGCTCATCCTAATTCAGTATAACCTCATTTTAACTTGATTGCAATTACTTATTTCCAAATCAGGTCACATTCACAGGTATAAATGGTTAGGATTTTAACATATTTTTGAGTGGGGCACAATTCAATCCAAATCAGGAAGTCTCTTCACTGCAGCAGTAAATCAGCTCCAACCATTTTTTCGATCCTACATGACTACATTCAAGGCTCAAAATCCTGGGAAAAATAATTTAGATAGCCAAGTTTGGATCATATAGCCCCATGTATTACAAAATTTCATGCAACTAAGTTGTTGGTGTTTTCCGGTAAAATTATTTTATCAGAATGAATCTAATAACTGCAAAACAAAAAAATGCTCTCTATATCTTAAAATAAATCCATAGATTCCTCCAATCCTCCAGTCTACTCATTGTACAAGTTTCAGTAAATTACCTCAACTTCACTAACCACAACCCTGACTTTGTAGGTGCCTGAAAATTTTCTTATATTAAAACAATTTTTCTCCAAATTTTTCCTTTTATTTTTAAGTGTGCTTTGCAACAGAAGTGCCCTAACAGCTCAGTTTACAACCAACTGCTTGATATTTAGAAGGGAAGCAGAGTGGTAAGTGGAACACATTGTCTGAGTTTCTTTATGGCTGCTATTGTAAGCTGACAAAGGAGTTTAAAAATTAAAGTTTTTTTAATTATTATACTTTAAGTTCTGGGATACGTGGGCAGAATATGCAGGTTTGTTACATAGGTATACACATGCCATAGTGGTTTGGTGCATCCATCAACCCATCATCTGTATTTCTCCTAATGCTATCCCTCCCCTAGCCCCTCACCTACTGACAGGCCCTGGTGTGTGATGTTCTCCTCCCTGTGTCCATGTGTTCTCATAGTTCAACTCCCACTTATGAGTGAGAATATGAGATGTTTGGTTTTCGGTTCCTGTGTTAGTTTGCTGAGAATGATGGTTTCCAGCTTCATCCATGTACCTGAGAAGGACATGAACTCATCCTTTTTCTATGGCTGCACAGTATTCCATGGTGTACATGTGCCACGTTTTCTTTATCCAGTCTATCATTGATGGGCATTTGAGCTGGATCCCAGTCTTTCCCATTGTGAACAGTGCTGCAATAAACATACGTGTGCATGTGTCTTTATAGCAGAATGATTTATAATCCTTTGGGTATATATAAGTAATGGGATTGTTGGGTCAAATGGTATTTCTAGTTCTAGATATTTGAGGAATTGCCACACTGTCTTCCACAATGGTTAAATTAATTTACACTCCCACCAACACTGTAAAAGTGTTCCGATTTCTCCACATCCTCTCCAACATCTGTTGTTTCCTGACTTTTTTTTTCTTTTTTTTTTTTTTTTTGATGGAGTCTTGCTCTGTCACCCAGGCTGGAGTGCAGTGGTGAGATCTCAGCTCACTGCAACCTGTGCTTTCCAGGTTCAAGCGATTCTTCTGCCTCAGCCTCCTGAGTAGCTGGGACTAGAGGTGCGCGCCACCATGCCTGGCTAATTTTTGTATTTTTAGTAGAGACAGGGTTTCACCATATTGGTCAAGCTGGTATCAAACTCCTGACCTCATGATCCGCCTGCCTCGGCCTCCCAAAGTGCTGGGATTACAGGCATGAGCCACCAAGCCCAGCCTGTTTCCTAACTTTTTAATGATCGCCATTCTAACTGGCATGAGATGGTATCTCATTGTGGTTTTGATGCATTTCTCTAATGACCAGTGATGATCAGCTTTTTTTCATATGTTTGTTGGCTACATAAAAGTGTTCTTTTGAGAAATGTCTGTTCATTACTTCGGCCACTCTTTGATGAAGTTGTTTGTTTGTTTTTTCTTGTCAATTTGTTTAAGTTCTTTTTCAATCCTGGATACGAGCCCTTTGTCAGATGGATAGAGTGCAAAAATTTCCTCCCATTCTGTAGGTTGTCTGTTCACTCTGATGATAGTTTCTTTTGCTGTGCAGAAGCTCTTTAATTTAATTAGATCCAATTTGTCAATTTTGGCTTTTGTTGCCATTGCTTTTGGTGTTTTAGTCATGAAGTCTTTGCCCATGCCTATGTCCTGAATGGTACATTCAGGTACATTTTCTTCTAGGATTTTTATAGTTTAGGTCTTAGGTGTAAGTATTTCATCCATCTTGAGTTAATTTTTATATAAGATGTAAGGAAGGGGTCCAGTTTCAGCTTTCTGCATATGGCTAGTCAGTTTTCCCAACACCATTTACTAAATAGAGAATCTTTTCCCCATTGCTTGTTTTTGTCAGATTTGCCAAACATCAGATGGTTGTAGATGTGTGGCATTATTTCTGAGGACTCTGTTCTGTTCCATTAGTCTACACATTTGTTTTGTTACCAGTACCATGCTGTTTTGGTTACTGTACCCTTATAGTATAGTTTGAAGTCAGGTAGCGTGATGCCTCCAGCTTTGTTCTTTTTGCTTAGGATTTTCTTGGCTATATGGGCTCTTTTTTGGCTCCATATAAAATTTAAAGTAGTTTTTTCTAATTCTGTGAAGAAAGTCAATGGTAGCTTGATGGGGATAGCATGGAATCTATAAATTACTTTGGGCAGTATGGCCATTTTCACGATATTGATTCTTCCTATCCATGAGCATGGAATGTTTTTCCATTTGTGTCCTCTCTTATTACCTTGAGCAGTGGTTTATAGTTCTCCTTGAAGAGGTCCTTCACATCCCTTGTGAGTTGTATTCCTAGGTATTTTATTCTCTTTGTAGCAATTGTGAATGGAAGTTAATTCATGATTTGGCTCTCTGCTTGTCTATTATTTGTGTATAGGAATGCTTGTGGTTTTTGCACATTGATTTCATATCCTGAGACTTTGCTGATGTTGCTTATCAGTTTCAGGAGTTTTTGGGCTGAGACGATGGGGTTTTCTAAATACACAATCATGTCAGGGACAATTTGACTTCCTCTTTTTCTGTTTGAATACCCTTTATTTTTTCCTCTTGTCTAATTGCCCTGGCTAGAACTTCCAATACTATGTTAAGTTAAAGACAGCTTTAGTTTTCGTGCAACTTGGAGATATACAGCTGAACTCAACCATGCTGCGCACCTGTAATTTGATTCATTTTATAAAGAAAGGAAGACCCGCTGTAACGGTTGCAGCAACACCGCTGGCAAAAATAGATGTCATCCTACCAGTACAGGATAAGAAGACTGGCAATCTGAGAAATGCAGATGCTGTGCTTCTTAACTCTGCCATGTGGAACTGGATAATAATAGGATGAGGCAGTAGGAGGAAGGAGAAATAATCCTCATGCACATTTATTCTAGCTGGAATTATGCCTCTGTGAAGATACCTGGTTAGTATTTTGTTTGGAGCGGATTCAGGTTATTGAATTGTTTTATTTGCAACTCCTAACAAAGAGTAGAACGAATTCCCTGAATAGGAAGTTCTCTCAACTACAGTACATTGAGCATTTTCTTAATTAGCCACTTACAGTGTAATTGTACACTGTACAATTAAGTCTGGGTTAAGGTGTGAGGTGGAAATATTCTTAAATGATAGGAACACTTAGAATGGGTTAAAAACCTAAAATCTTTAATATTTTCTAAGGTGTGATTTACATAGAAGAAATGTGGTATCCTCAAAGAGGAATTGTGCATTCACAGTTTTTCAAATACAAACATTAAAATAAATGCAACATACTGAACTCAGGTGCCATTGCTATGAGATATTCAAGGAGAGGAGAAACATGCTTAAGAAAGTGGATTCTAAGATTATTATTCAGAAATGACACTTCAAGGAAAGGCTGGAGAATACCTGGATGATGGTTCTAATACATAAAATTAGCTGACATAAATTGGAAACCCTAGATTAATGCCTCAGAAGTAGATTTTAGGTAAGGGGAGTTCTCTTTCACAATCAGCCTCTGACTTAGGAGAACTCAGTGTTTGGGGAAGAACAGTGCAGCATCATTTAGAAAGTATGTTATGTGGGGTATATGGCTTCTCAAACTAGCTCACAGAGTGTATTTTACATTCACCCTGTAGTTGAAGAATTATAATAATAAAAACTTCCTTTCTGAAAATAGTCTTTCAGGATGAACAAATGGAAAGGAAAAGACGGAAGAGTATTTTCCCTTAACTTGCCCTTGTCCTAAGCCAAAGGGTAAAATTAATATGAACAAATTCATACCAATGAAAAAAATCTACTAGAGTAGTTACCATATCTTAAGACACTTTTTAATTTCAGGGAGTGGGTTGATTGGGATACTTTAAAGTAGAAGTTTACCCCAATAACAGACTACCTTTGGTTCAATTGTCTATGCTAAAAATCAACTTTAGCTCCTTTCCATCCTTTGATTTTATTCCTCCTTAACATTATGTGAGAATTATAAACAAAGGGAACTTAGAAAAGACAAAGGAAATGGCAGGGGACAAGTAAGAAAACTAAGTCAATAATCCCAGCACTTATATTTCAGAAATATGATGGCGATAAACTGAGATAATCAAATTAAAGGAACATGATGGAATTTGCTGTGCGCTGGTATGAAGTTATCATAAGCAAACACAGGGGACAGAATTTCTTCAAACTTTCTGATATGAATAATTATGCAAAACTAAATGTGTAAACACTATGGATGGTGTGTGATACTTAATGACCATGAAAGTGAAGTCATAGTTTTCTATTTTTCTTAATCAATTAAAATTGTATACTGAAAGACTAGTTTCCAAGATTAGTAAAAAATTTAATAGTGGTCATTTTCCATGGTTCTCTTCCATAGGCTGGTAAATATTTAGATCCTGGGTTTTATGCCTTTAAGGAAAACATTAGAACATCAATATACCCTTGTCACTGCTAAGGATGCTCCTTCTCCAGGGCCTCAGAGGTAAGTAGGAAAGGAGTGGATTTTTTGGTTGAGTCCTTCACCATTTATCCTAAAGCAGGGAGCTTCAGTGTTCTGCTTCCCAGAACATCTGTGCAGCCACCCCTGTTAGAGGAGGTCCTGCCAACTTTCGGGCACTAAGTACTTCCACTGGAGTGTTCTTCCAGGGTGAACCCAGAGCCTAGGTTATGTCAAACCTAATTCTTATTAAGATATTTTATTACCTTATTTTTTCAAGATGTTTATTTGCTATAAGTTTCAGTTAATGTTACTCCAAGGCTTTTGCAAATTAGACAATACTCTATTGACCATATTTGCAAAGAAGAGCTTGTGTGGGTTCCTTCATTTATTCATTCATTCATTCATTTATTAATTTACTGATTCATTCTACAGTATTTATTGGTTATCTCCTATATCTCTGTATCTAGAACACTAGAGATGAAAGATACCATAGAGAATATAGTAGAGAGGAAAGACAGAGGACTGATACTAAAATGATGTGATAAATGCCATGGCACAGGGCGTTTTGAAGGCTTGGAAGAGCAACATCAACTAAGGCCTGAATAACAAGCAGAAATTAGCTAGGTATCAAGGGCAGGTGTCAAGGACATTGCAGGTGTCGAGGTCCAGGAGAAAGATCCAAGTGTCTATGGCAGATAGTGTCCATGTGTCTGTTATGGAGATAATGAGGAATGAAGTAAAAGAAGTAAGGCCCGAACTTAGAAACTTGGTGTTGGTCTTCTGTTAATGAGAAGTCACTGAGTGAATTTAAGGAAGGGAATGAAATGGAAAGAATTACCTTCGAGAGGGCTCTCTCTTGTTACGATACAAGGAGAGAGAAGAGAGAGATTACAAGGTAGGGGAGAAAGGTGGCCGTTATGCAGCTGCTGTGGTCACTTCTGGAGACGAGAAAGACATGAAAGATTTTGAAAATGGAGATGAACAGTGGACACTGTTAATGGATAGCAAATGCTAAGCATTTTATATATGTTATTTCACTTAATCCTTGTAACTTGTTAGTTACAATTGAGGAAGCTAAAGCTTAAGAAGTTAAACAATTTGCATTTAGCTTTTGAGTTTCAAAGCTGGGATTTGAATTCTTAAATCTCCTTTTCCCCAAAGCCCAGGCTTTTAACTATAAGAAGAATTAAGGAGGATGAGGGGGAGGAGCGGGAGAAGAGATGGTAAATGAAAAGAGTTTTGCTTCATTGCAAAAAATAAATAAATAAATAAAAATGAGTCATTCATCAATGAGTGAACCCTTGTTTATGATACTTCAAAGGCACAAACTTTAATCTAAGGCACACTTCTCTTCATGCTCCTATTAAATTGTGAAATCAGTTGTCTTTTAGTTATATGTAGTTCAGTGACTGAGTTCAAATCATAATGGCTTTAAAATAAAATATTCTCAATTAAACATGGTGTGCCCCCTCTTTTCCCAGCTTAGGCTGAACTCTTGAAGAAATTTGAAATTTTTTTGCTTCGTAAGCTCTCTGAAAGTTGGGATGTGGCCCGTCTAAGTAAACAGCAATAACCATTTACAGAGTGCCTGACTTAAACCAGGCAGTGCATAGAAGTGTAGAATCCATTCATGTATTATCTCATATATTCATCACAACTGATCTATAAGTTAACGAGTTTTTATTGAACCCAGTTTATGTGCTACTCCAGATTTGATGAGTCTACCTGCTCCCGAACCTCAGCTGTTTCCCAGTGAAAATTTCAGGACATGCCCTCATATGCCACATCTATTAAAACAGTCTCCTAAAATACTAAGGGCTAGATTTGGAAACATCTTCAATTTTATCTGCCATTATCCATCTCCACCCTACCCACCAAAGACTTTGCCTCCTTTTTCCACTTTTGAATTCAGATGAAGCAAGTTTCTCCTCAGCATGGTGTCTGGTTTTACCTCTCAACAAAGATTTAGCACACAAACTCTACCTTAGGCTTTATTATAGATAATCTGATCTAAGACAATTAAGGTGATGATGATGATGATTATGATGATGATGATGATCAGCCAAGGTGAGTATGATTCAAAGAATTAAACCTGAGTTCATACAAGGAATGAAGGGCTTATTTAAAATTTAAATCCTGGTCAGTTGTATGTCTGATACTTTCCTAGTACATCACAGTTATTTCAGGATGCATGGGTGGATTTAGTGATTGCTTTGGGTTGATCTGTGTTTCCTTAAAAAGATATGCTGAAGTCCTAACCCCAGTAAGGTAGAATGTGAAATTATTTGGAAATGAGATATTTGCAGATATGATTAATTAAGATGCTGTCACAATGGAGTAGTGTGAGCTAATCCAATATAACTGGTGTCCTTATAAGAGGAAATGAGACACAAAAAGAAACACATGGAGAACACCGCATGATGACAGAGGCAGAGATTGCAGTGATGTAACTGCAAGATCAAGAACACCAATGATTGACAGCAGTCACCAGAAATTAGCAAGAGTCAAGGAGTGATTCTTCTCTACAGGTTTCAAAGGAAATGTGGCCCTACAGCCACCTTGATTCTGGATCTCACAGCTTCTAGAACTATTAAGAATACATTTCTGTTGTTATAAGAAACACCTAGTTTGTGTCACTTTGTTACAGCAGCCCTAGAAAACTAACACAGTTATTCTTGGCAAATGTCAAGGGATTTGCTCCTGGATATATCAGCTCAGATTCAGTCTTGAGTTCATTTAAAATTTATATATCTTTTCTTTATTAAGATGAAAGTAATATACCCTCACTAAGAAAATTATACAGTAAAGTATAATGATAAAAATAAAAAATCCATAAATTATATAACCCAGAACTAATTGCTCTTCTATCATTTAAAAATATTATTTTAACTTTTTATTATGGAAATTTTCAGGCATATATAAAATTAGAATATTATATTAAAACACCTTATACGCTCCACTCAATTTGGACAGTTGCCAACATATGTCCAATCTTGATTCATCCACACCACCACCCATTATTTTCCCACTAAACTGAGCTATTTTAAGTCAAATCTGAGATATGATTTAATTGCATGCATAAACAATTCAGTTCATATCTAAAAATAATGATCTATTTTATAATCTGGCTATAATACCATAATCGCACCTAATGCATTAGAAATTTTTTTTTTTTTTTTTTGAGACGGAGCTCGCTCTGTCACCAGGCTGGAGTGCAGTAGTGCAATCTCCGATCACTGCAACCTCCGCCTCCCGGGTTCAAGCAATTCTGCCTCAGCCTCCCGAGTAGCTGGGACTACAGGTAAGTGCCACCACGTCCAGCTAATTTTTTTACTTTTAATAGAGACAGGGTTTCACCATGTTGGCCAGAATGGTCTCAATCTCTTGACTTCATGATCCGCCTGCCTTGGCCTCCCAAAGTGCTAGGATTACAGGCGTGAGCCACCGCACCCAGCCAGAAAATGATTTTTTATATCATGTAGTCAATGTTCAGTTTTCTCTAATTCTTTTTAAGAAGTGTTTTACTATTTTGAGTTTTCAAATGTCTACTAAAGAAAAATATCCACTACATATAATTTGTTTGACATCTCTTAAGTCTCTTTATCTCTTGGTTCATCTTTTACTCTTGTTTGTTTTTCTTGCCATTAATTTGTTAAATAAATCAGTCATTTGTCCTAAAGAATTTCTCACATTCTGAATTTTGTTGATTGATTGAATGTGGGGATTTTTTGTTTCTTTGTTTGTTTGTTTGTTTTAATGCTGCTCTCTCCTTTGTGTGTCTTGCAAACTGATAAGCACATTTTAAGGTTTGATCAGGCTGAGGTTCAATATTTTGGCATGGGTAATTTACAGATGTAAGTTATGCTTAATGATTCCTATTGTACATATCAGTAGGCAGGTCTTTTCTGATTTCTGTGTGTGGGGTGTGTGTGTGTGTGTGTGTGCATGCGCATGCACACATGTGTATTCCTAAGGTTAAAAGGTGTTGACAACCTGACCTATCCATTTTAAAGCTTTCCATTAGCTTTCCAAAACTTGGATTTTAGCAATTATTAATTATATATTTGTATTAGTGAGTACAAAATTGTAATAATCTAATTTTGTCATTATTTTTCATTGATTATCTGAAATACTTCTATATAAAGAAACTCTTTAGCTACCTTGAGGTATTGTTTGCATAGAAAAGATAAAGAAAAACTTGCTTATTTTTCCTTATCCATCTTTTTTTGTATCATTATGCACTTACATATTTTACATTTTGATACATTTCAATCTTATTACTATTTCTAATGTTCACATTTTCTGTATTTTCTGGGATGGGATTATGCTCTTAAAAATGACTATAATTTCCTTTGATCTGATTACAGTAATAGTGGCTCTGCTGCTTTTTTTCATTGCAAACTCTGCCTCCAGGGTTCAAGCAATTCTCCTGCATCAGCCTCTTAAGTAGCTGGGATTACAGGTGGGCCATCACACCTGGCTAAATTTTGTATTTTGAATAGAGATGGAGTTTTACTATATTGGCCAGGCTAGTCTCAAACTCCTGACCTCGGATGACCCACCCGCTGGGGCCTCCCAAAGTGTTAGGATTACAGGTGTTAGCCACCATGTCCAGGCGGCTTTGCTGCTTTTGGTTTTTGAAAGAAATTCCAGGCTCATTTTTATAGGATATTATTTCCCCCAAAACCTGGGATCAACCATCTGTCTAAGGTGTCTGATTTCCTTTTAACTGGGCAATGGCATTTAGAGACCATAATCTGTATGCTGGGGCTATTCAGTAATATTGGGATAGTCATCATTTCTACACTTTTTCAGTGGACAGATGTAGAAAATACTGTGTTAAGATAAGAAACGTCATGAGTTCATTTTGATCATTTTTATTCAAATGTTGAATTATAAGATTTTTGCTTAACTTCATTGACTTTATATTTCTTTTAGCTGTCTTCTCTAATGACATAAAAAGTATTCAGTTGCTTTATGCAAAAGTATGTGGATGATAATTCAAAAACAACATATATTGTAAAAATATTGAAACATACAAATTTTAATATTGTGGGCATATCTCATTGTCATGAAGATATATTTCACAAAGCTGCACAAATTACTAAAATTCAAAGTATCCTCAAATAATTCTTTGTACCATTAAGCTACTAACTTATACACAGATTCTTCTGTTTCATTTTTCTTTGGAGTTTAAGGATTTTTTCCCACACATTATGTGATTAATAGAAAACTTTTGCCTGTTTGCCTGGGTGCAGTGGTGACTCATGCCTGTAATCCCAGCACTTTGGGAGGCTGAGGCGGGCGGATCACTTGAGGTTAGGAGTTCGAGACAGCCTGGCCAACAAGGTGAAACTCTGTCTCTACTAAAAATACAAAAATTAACTCGGTACGGTAGCACGCGCCTGGAATCCCAGCTACTTGGGAGGGTGAAGCAGGAGAATCGGTTGAACCTGGGGAGGCAGAGGTTGCAGTGAGCCCAGATCACACCACTGCACTCCAGCCTGGGTGACAGAGCAAGACTCCATCTTAAAACAAAACAAAACAAGACAAAAACTTTTGCTTGTTTCCAAATTTGAAAATAAATAATCAAGGCTGTTTCTTCTAGTTTCTTCCTTTCTCTCTTCCTCCTCTAGGTAACCATTATTATTAGTTTTAATTTTACCCTTCCGGGCATTTTTTAAGTTTAAAGGTATCTTACTATACATACTGCTCTGCCTCTTTGTGGAAGTCTAATTGATTGTCCATCACATAGATTTAACCATGATTTTGTTTTACTTGCCCCATATTAATGAATATCGACTCTTTTCTAACAATCGCAAGAATGTTATGATAAACTATCTTTACCTAAGCCTTTAAATGTCCTCGCATTATTTTTGTAGTATAAATTCTCAGGAGTATAATTTATAATTTGAGAATGAATGTTTTAAGCTTGGTCCCATATGTGACAAGTTGCTTTGCCCAGATTTGGCATTAAAGAGCATTTTCTACCACACCATTTGAAGTCCCAATTGGTCTACATTAACAATCTCACATGAATATGAAAGTCATTATGGTGTAGTCCATTTCTGTAACATTTCTTTCTTTCTTCAGTGAATTTCATCAAGTTAACAGGTAATGAAATTTTGTATGAAATTTCAAATTATTCAAATCAATACTATAATGCAAAACCTTTAAAATATAAACCCATTAAACATCTGCATCATGCCTTGGCATTTTCAGAAATATGTGAAAGTTGTATTTCTGATTTCCTTATTCTTTTCATTCTCCAAGCACAAAGTATTTATGGGAGAGAGGTCATGATGTTCATAACTGCTTCCTTCCCACTTTAAAATCTTACTCAGATCTGACTTTTCCAATTCACACCTATTAGTTCTCATAATTCCTTCCCAATAAACTTTACCTATCTTGTGTCAATTCCCTCAGGACTTTCACAAATGAGAAGAAGCTGATTTGATAAATTGATAAGAAACATAAAATCAATCAACTGTGTCATGTGGCTAGATGAAAGTTAATGTGATAGTGTCATAGTTATAAAAGCAGATATCTATGTTGTGTTTGGTTACACCACATTTGGAGTATGTATTAATGAAATAACTATTGAGTACTAATTAGAAACTAGGTACTACACTGCAGTACTAAGATTACAATAAAAAATTACATAGATTTGTCTCCCACTCTGATAAACCAACTTAAGGGTGATACAGATGAATTTCTAATGGCAAAACGGGCATGGTTTTGTTTTGGGTCCCAAGCATTAAGAAGAACATTGGCAAACACTGAAAAAACATGTGCAAAGAAGTGACCAGGGTAGTGAGGGCAATTCGTCTGATTCTTATAAGAAAAATTTAAGAGAATGGGATATTTAGCCCAGGAAGTATAGGGGAAATAGGATAGTCCTTTAAAGCTATAAATTCTTGTAACAATCTTGAACTCGAAAATTATGCCCCAGAATGGAAGTTAATCAATGGCTGCTATTATTTTTCTAGCAGCATACTTTTTGCCAAGCATATATAAGAAGACATATGGGTATTCCACACATTGCATGATACCCTACTAACTGAAACTATTGCATATCAGAACATGTGGGGATTGGGTAAAGTAAGAACTAGGTTCCCCCCAACACACACACACACACACACACACACACAGATTTGTGTTAACATGATCTGTGCAAAGTAAAGGTTGGCTGTACTCCAATTCAAGTGAGTTTGCGGTTTTATAGTCTCAGCTCATATCCTCTTCCTCAGAGAGGTGTTAGAGCTTCCAGTGGCACTTCAGAGCATTTATGAGACCTTAGAGTTTCTTAGAGCAAAATTTGAAAACTAAAATGAGAACTTAAATAGGAAAAATACCTGTCTGTCTTTACTACTATTGTTTGCCCATCCCTTAGCAAGAAACTCAGGAAATAATCAGATTAAAGCTTTATACTAATCTGTGAAATGAACAAATACATGAGCCAACCCCTCTTCTGGTTAGATGTCTAGGTTTCAGCCCGTTAATGCCTCCTATGCTAACTCCCTCATAATGCATGTCACATTCAGCAATAATTATTTCTGAATGTTGTGGTTTGCTGTTTGCCTCTATTCTCTCATGTGTAAATTTCACATGAGCAGTGATTGTGCTTAATTCGATCTTTACTTTATCCAAAATGCCTGTAAATAGGTGCTCACTGCATGTTGTTGGTTGGATGAATTAAAGAACATGAACAAACAAGGAGAGAAGAAGTAAGGAAGAGACAATGAGAAGGAAAGAGTAAGGAAGGAAGTGAGGAAGAAATGAACTAATTACTCTGCATACCTGGTGATTGTCTCTAACGTTCAGATTTTATAAATCTATAGATGCAGTAACAGGTGCAAAAATGTTATTGGGTGCAACTAGTGACTTTGACATCTACCACCACTGCTAGTACTGCCTGTTAACATTTACTGAGATTACTCTGCCCTATGCCCTATGTTAAACTCTTTACAAGTCTCATCTTATTTAATCCTTAAAAGTCCTCAGTGAAGTAATAACTTTTTGTGATCCCTATTTAATGGTTCAGAAAGCATCTGGGTAATGTGCTGCTAATACACTGGTAACTGCCTCCATGTTTTGACAACTCTATAGAAGCTCACAATTCCCTAAAATAAAAAAAAAAGTGGCTTTTTTTGAATCTTAGATTTCAGACACTGTTTTAGACTGGATGGGTGTTTTAGAAGAGGTATATTCCTCATTTTCAAAATCATATCATATAATCCATCCTGTCTTTGTATAAACAGACCATTCCTACATATTCCTCTAATAAGAATGCACAGAAAATGGCCCCTGCTAAAAATTATACAGCCACAAAGACATTCAGTATCTCCTTTTCATCCTGGAGTGGCTTTAGAAAGCAAGTAGTGCAAGATATTTTCTTTTTTTCAACCTTTCTTGCCCAAAGGGATGAGTCAAATTCAGTGAAATACGACCAAGTGTTTTGAGATCTGAGAAGCAAATTATACAAATTCAAAGCATTTCGTGTAAGTTAAAGGTGGTTTCATGCCCTATAACCTTTAAAAGAGTACCAGTGTTCCCCTTTTATAGGTTTGTACTTTGAAACAGTCGACAAATAAAAAAACGTATAATTTAATCTTTTATGCTTTTGGGGACACCTGCAAAGATTTGGGGAATAATAATAGGCGCCTCCCAATCTGAACCCTTAAGTTACGTATCCCCTGTGGATTTCCTAAAGTAAGACTAAGGCTACTGAGAAGAATATCGCTTTCTAAATGAAGCCAATACTTCTTGACAACTCTTCGTTAACAAAATTCACAATTTAGGGCACCTGCTGAGCAAACAGCACAATGTATTGACAATTTGAGGAGTGACTACAAATCTGTGTACCTGCATCAGTTACCTTTGCCAGGGTTAACTGCATTTAAAAAAAAAAAAACATTTTTTGCTGATACTCTCCAAGAGGGGAAATAATAAATAGCACCATCTTTGGTTCTTCTATTTCTGCTGCATTAATACTGGAGTTTAGTATAACTGCAATCATTCTTTCATTTATAGTAAAGGCAGTTCTGAAATCTTTGGGGACTCTTTTTCAAATTTTCTCTTAAGACGTGGGGGTATCAATTGTAGCATCTGTGTTCTGGTACAAAGTGTGTTTTATGTAAGTGGAAAATATGTCTCATCTCCAAAGTAACTCAAGAGTCTATTAAATATAAGAGCCTTCACCATCACAGCAATCACATTTAAGGAGATTACAAGGAAACAAAAGACTTGCAAGCACAAAGACTAACTACTCAGTGCTTTCTTTCCTCTTTTCTTTTAATCCCTTTGTGTTACATTATTGAACAGGCCTCTTGGCTTCAAATGATTCATCCTCATCACTGGTGCGTCCATCACTTGCCACATGCCTGCTTCTTGCAGCCCAAATTCCAAATGCACAGGCTCCATAGACATGCAATAGCCCAAAGAGGCTATCTTAGATTTAAATAAGCTTCTTGCCTTTTGGTAACTGCCTCCATGATTTTCAAATTCCACAGATACTCAAAATTCCCTAAATAAGGGCGATTTTTCACATTGTATTCCTTGATGTTTTCTGGACCCTAAACCTTTTAGAGGCTCCAATGTAAGTTATCTATCCTCTCTCCAGGGAAATGAAAAGCACATGTGCATGAAGTATTGTATACAATTTCCAGGATATATTCATGGATATTTTTAATCCCATTTCTGTTTATCTTACTAGGAGTTTGCCTCAAAAAAGGTGAAATGGAATTTAGCCTGTCTGTGGAATTTTTATTAAGAAGACACCCTCTGTCCCCTCATTTGTGAGGGTAATCTATACTCCTTTCTAAAATACATCTTGAAATGTTTGAGGGGTAACACAATATGTGTTTGTTTGTGTATATGTATGTGTATGTGTGTGTGTTTTGTTGTTATTCTTGTCTTCTCCTTCACCAAATCTGATGTGGGTCAGACGTCATTTTTCTAGCCTCTACTGGTGGTATGTGTGGCCTCCAAGTTCATAGAATCAGAGAAAGAAATGATGTTGGCAAAATGAGAGAGAAAATCATTCACCCCCAGGCCATGAATGTTGATGTGAATTTTGCTCATAACCCATTGACCAGAACTAGTCAGATGTTCCCAAAGAACCTATAAGAGGATCTAGAAAATTACAAGATGATTAAATATTTGGTTATTACCTGTACATTCTCTTTTTCTAACTCTCCTCTCCCTTTTTTTAGAGGGATACTCTAAGAAATTCATTGATACTCTGACACAGTGACTGATGTATGAGAGATCAATCACCCTCTCCCTCTCTCTTTCTCTTTCTCTCTCTCTCTCCTTCTTGGTCTGTCTCTCTCTCTCTCTCTCTCTCTCTCTCTCTCTCAGAGAGACCAAGGCCATACTAACATTCAGAGTTTAGGTAGGGAGTTTGTTTTTCTTGAAAAAATCCAAATATAATACTTTGCTGATTAAGAAGATACACTCAGGAGAATGCTTTGATTTCTTAGAATGTTCACCCCAGTGAGTGACAGTATTTGAGTTAGTCATATAGACTCCCCCCTACTTTGCCTGTATTTTAAAATAAAATAATATATTGAGATATAAGCCCTTCCTCTCCAACACACACACACACACACACACACACACACACACACACACACTGCTGAGGTAATAATGTGGGCTAACAAAGCCAGAAGAAATGTAACTCTTCATTGATAGGAAACGTTTAGAAAGACATGATAATTTTGAAATTTGACATAGATTGATGGCTGATAGGGTTGGCCTTACATTTATACAATTTATCTGATACTTCAAGCCCTCTGGCTTCTCATAGAGGGATAGATGAAAGCCTGCATATTTAAGCCACATTCCAGGAGGACTCATTGAGACTCCATCATCTGTAAGACCCATCTATGCTGAGTAGAAGTATGTCAGGTCCCCTGAGAGTCATTGACCACTGTTGTTAGGAGAAAAGAAAGGAAGAAATTGTAGAAGCTTCATGATTGATTGTTACTCTTTTTGTCTTATCCTTTTTAGTCTCATATTCAATATGCTTATTGTTTTTCTTGAGTACCTGGTAGTAAATACACGTTAATTCAATTTTATTGTACAGGTATGCTTACGGTAACTGAAATAGGTCATCAATAAAGTCAATTCATGAAACCACTGTGACACTTTCTGAAGCCTATACATCAATGCCAATCAATTATTAACTATCTTCTGATTTCACAGTATTTTCCTCTTGGCTGAATCACATAACAACTTATATGTCCTTTATTTATTTATTCACTTAACAAATATTTACAAAGCCCCTACTGTGTGCCTACAATTTCTTCAAGCAGGGAAGAAAGTGTTAAAGAGATTAGTTGTCTATTTTCCCTGAGGGAATAAGGAAAAGGAGTGTGGAAACAGGATGTAAGAAGTCTCAGAATATGATTTACAGTGAGTTTCAGTGACAAAATAAATAGAAATCCAGAATTGTACAATTCACAACTCTATAACTCTGAGGCTGGAAGTCTAGGTATTATATTTCATAGACTACCATGGCTCTGGATTCAATTTCTATCTGCCAATGGGATGCATTTGCACAAAATGTGGAAGATACAGAGAGAGAGAGAGTGAGCCATCTTTCTCCAGCAGTGGAGGCTGATGTGTTGGTCTCTGCAGATATGACCATGAGCACAGCAGACTCCATGTCCTTTGATCTCTTTGACAGGTGTCATATTTGGGACTGAGGAGCATTGTGATTTACTTAGTAGCTGGAAATACCTAGATTGTTTTTTCTGCTCTGAAACCTATTGATACAGTGATTCTTTCCTTTGCAAAATGATTCTTAATTTTACACTACGATTTACTGTGGAATATACGTATCTTGAAAAACATCAGTTCCATGGGTTTTTAATTTGTGTTGTGAAGCAAGGATCTCCTTGTCAAATGACTTTGGACAATCCTGCATTATATATCTATCTACCCTTGAGAGTCCCATAAACATTATTGATAAATTCACCCAACACACTAGTTGTGAAAGAGTCTAAAAGGTCCAGCAATAAAATAAACCCATTTACCACTGTTTTAATAAAGCATCATTTCCCACACTTACTTAATCAAGACTACCTTTTTGGAGCACCTGCAGAACTATCCTTCAAGGACTACACTGTGACAACTGGTGTACTGTAGCATTTCTAAAAAAAAGCAAATTCCTGTAACAAATTATGCTTTATTTTATGAAAGAAAACCACATGGGCTTTTCCAGGATACACATACTAGAAAAAGTAATTTCTTTCTATTGTGAGTACCGGGTATGCAATATCAGAAGAGTATTTCTGTCAATGGATATTTAAGTTTTAAATAAATGTTATAAAAATGGTAGAAGATTTCTGTCTGGAAACATTGTGGCTTTTTTAAAAAAAATAATAAGCTCAATGCCAATTTGTCTGTTACATAGGTACCTGATATGATTAATTAGAGCTGTGAACTGGTCTGAGGATGCCATAAAAATACATAATACATTAGGAGGCTGAAACAACAGACATTCATTTTCTCACCATTCTAAAGTCTGAAAAGTCCAATATCATATCTATCAGGGTTCAGTTTCTGGTGAGGGCTCTCTTGTCAGCTTGCAGGTGGGACACTTTGTCCTCACATGGTCTTTCCTCTGATCACATAGGGGAAGGGATGGGAAAAGAGAGATAGAGAAAGATCTATTTCTTCTTATGAGGCCACCAATCCTATAGGATTAGGGTTTCACCTTTATGACCTAATTAATCTTAATTCACGCCTAACGACCTTAATTCCAAATACAGTGACATTGGGCATTAGAGCTTTAACATATGAATTTAGGAAGGACATAATTCAGTCCACAGCAGGCTAATATTCAGCGTATACTAGCTTTAGAGCCATATAAATTGTTTCCAGCCAATAGTTGTTTAAACTTCTCATTGCCCATGTTATATCCATCATTAAATATTTTTACTATTATCATTCATTATAATTGAGATATTGAAATTATTGTGCCTACTTCTTGTCTTAAGGTAGAACTTGACAGGAATACGAGAAGTTAAAGTTATTACTGGACATTTTCTACTGAGTTATCAAACTTGTATCATTAAACTAGTATAGGGAGATTGGCTTCAATTTTTAGAAGGTAGAAAATTCTCTTTGCTTCAGTTTCATGTTTGTAAAGCTAGCCTAAAGTGAGCCCTTCATTTATTCATGCCATCAATACACTTTATTGAGCTCTTTCTATGTGGCAACCAGCAGTTGCCAGTCATACAATGGTAAGTAAAACAGACCAAGAGCCTTCTCTTAGCAGGCTTCTTGTCTAATGGAGGAGAGAGATCTGACCAAATTACCACACAAACATGCCCTTAAAGCTATAATAAATATTATGGAAAAAATAGAGCACTGCCATTGTTTCAAGAAAAAGTTATAGTAAAGGGAGGTGAATGCTGCCAAGAGGCCACATAAGCTGGGAGTAACCTAAGAGGAATCAGTTTGAATCTGAAGAGAACTGTTCCAAGGGTGGCATGGCTGTGAGGCCAAGTTACAGCAGGGTAAAATGTGAATGAAACATGACCAAATTGGAACAGTAAATTGATGCCCCCCTCCCTTTTTTTTTTTTTAGGAGTTTGGCCATTGAGTGGGAAAAGTTAAAATTGGAATCTTTTCTGGAAATCCCATCATTTTATGCCAGAGCTTCTACAGGCAGGTGGAGTTTCCATGGGAAAGCAGCCCCCACATCTTTCATAAAACCAGTCAAGAAAAGGTGCCCAAACACCCCCTGCAATCCTCAAGAAACTGAGCTAATAAAGCACCTCTCAACGTCTCTAGAATCCACAAAAATGAATCTCATTACACCTGAGAATTTGTCTGGTTGAGGTAAACTTTTAGATATTAAACAAAGGGGAAGAAGAAAACGAAGAAAAACGAACACTACGGTTTTTCCATAAAGCAGTAAAGCTACTCCTCTTCAACTAAATAAAATCTTTAAGAACTGCAAAGCTTTTTTTAATCCATATTTGACCAATTTAATGATCAGTCATTTCTGATGTGATGCTTTAGAAATATCTGAGACTCCTTTCTCTCTAAGAAGTGGCATCTAGTACACCTCATTCTATTCTTAACACTTTTGTCACTAAGCACATTGCCAGTTTACTATGTGGGTAGTAAAATATGAGATTATGATAATGTTGCATGATTCAAATTTGTCTGTTCTCTTCAGATCTTGCACCCGTATTATAAAGAATGCCCTTTTTTTCTTTGCCAGCTGAATCCCCAAGTGTTGATGCCACAGATGGGCGATACACCTGGTACCAGGCATCTAGAAAGCACATGATGGAGACTTCATCAAACAATAAATATCAGCCATCATTTCTTCAGGTGCCTGCTGTCAGAGGGCCTGCTTCCCACCTTCCTCTTCATTTTTAGTACTTCTAGTCCCCTTCAAGCTGGAGAACCAGCTAAGTGATGATGTTATGACCACGTCTAAGAGAGAAGCCAACAGACGTAGCAAGCAAATAGAGGTGAGAATCTCCCCAAGTAAAGTACATGATGCAAAGCTCCTCCATTAAGAAAACTCAAAATCAATGTTTGCTTGTCTATCCGAGGTCAAGTGAGTTCACAATTTTGGAAGTTGCTGAAGACATGATTCCCAGATAAGAGAATTAGAAATCTGTCGGTACAATTTCAGTGACCTCCAGCATTTCTAAAACTCCCAGTTTTCTTATCACCATCTTTTTGCAGCAACAAATTGTTTTTTCTTCAAAATATAGGGCCAAACCACCAGTTTATCTTAAGAATAAATTACACATCTTACTTAGGTCTCAAAAGAACCCTATTCTATATTTTGAGTGTCACAATGAGTTCAGCCATTAATCCAGTTAACATGATTCCTGTACTAAACTTTGATGCCATCCAAATTTGTCCACCTCCATTATTGTTCCCTCAGTCAGCATATTCATATCTCTGCCTCAAATAGCTATCACCACCTTGAACCCTTTATTCCCCTCTTACTCACCTATTCCTCCTCCACACAACATCTGGAGTGAGTGATCTTCACAAAGAACAAAGGTGTTTTGCTTAAATCCTTTAATGTGTCCTTCACACCTTGCAGGATAAAGCCTAAACTTTTCACAGCAAAAGAAGGCCCTTTATGATGAGCCCCTGCCTACCTTTCCAGCCTCCTCTCTCCCCAGTCTCTTTCCACTGTCTTAACTCAAACCTTAGAAAGCTACTCAGGATTCCTGGTGAGCTCATCACTCTCTTATCTCTGGGTCTTTGCAGACTGAAATGCTTGGAACTTCCCCCCTTGCCCAGTTAATGCTTATTCTGTCTTTGACTTATAAGTCACCTTTTCCTGGGATCATGTCTTACAAACACTTCAAAAAAATAGGTTGGAGGACTCTCTTATATACTCCTACAGCTACCTATACTTAACTGTAGCATAACATGTTTCACAGGTGGTAGTTTTTTCTGATTTCTTGTCTTCTTTATTAGATGCAATGTTCCTGGAGTTCATATGTCTTGTTGACTTTGATATTCCTTCTACCAAGCAAAGTGTTTTAGTAAATAGCAGATAGTTTGTATATGTGCATATGTGTGTAAAAAATTACACATACTATATATACACACACGTATAGAGCATATATAGTTTATATTTATATGAATATTATATAAATATTTTATATGTGTATATATGCATATATACTATATACATATATACTCATATGTGTATTTATGTATATATTATATACAGTTTATATATACATATATATATTATATATGTATAATTATATAGTTTATATGTGTATATATGATTATATATAACATATTAATTATATATAAATAATATACCTAAAAGAAGCGTTATAGTTTGAAGATGGGTTGTCTCCATCAAATCTCATGTTGAAATTTGATCCCAATGTTGGAGGTGGAGCCCAATGGGAGGTGTCTGGATCATGGATGAGTTCCTCATGAAGAGATTAATGCTGTTCCTATAGGGTGGGTGAGCTCTTACTCTGTTAGTTCCCATGAGAGCTGGTTGTTAAAAAGAGCCTGGCACCTCCCTCCCCTCTCTCTTGCTCCCTCTCTGGCCATGTAATCTCTGCACCTGCCAACTCCCCTTCACTTTCTGCCATGAGTGGAAGCAAACTGAGACCCTCACCAGAAGCTGAGCAGAATGCTAGTGCCATGCTTCTTGTTCAGCCTGCAGAATTGGAAGCCAAATTTTCTTTGTAAACTACCAAGCCTCAGGTATTTCCTTATAGTAACAATAAATGGGCTATGACAATAAGTGAATAAAATTATTAGAAAAAGGGTTTATTTTGCCTCTAATAATATTTCTGCATACATCACTTTACCCAATACCATAATAAAGATAATAAAACTTATGTGTTCAAAATGTGCATTAAAATAAATACTTTCCTTTATCTTCTACATCTACATATTCAACTCTCAGGTGAGAAGGACAGAGTTTATTTCATTTCTACTTTTGCAGCATCTTAAACAATTATAATGACTTTGGATGATGATGATGGTTGTGGCAGTGGGGGTGGTGATGAAGACAGCTGTGTGCTAACGATCAAACATTGAGTTTAGTATTTTCAGAGAATTGAATTGCACTTCCTTTGTTTTATAAGCCCTGGATGACTTAGAGGAGTTCATCATATCTGCAGACCAACCCCTGTGCAGTTATGGGTTCCTTTATTTTATATGCCTGTGCTCAGAAAGACAAAACATCCCCAATGTGACTTCAGCTCAAGCCTTTTTGTTTTTTTCTTGAAAAATTCACTGTTTTTCTTAGAGGTACACAAAGAGCCCTTTCCTCCAAGAACACATCCTGATTAGGATGTTTTCAAATTATAGGAACAAACTACATTCTGATTTCTAACACCTCCTGAACATTTTACAATTTACATTAATTAGAGAAACTAGGTGGTGTTCTAACAGGTACATTAATCTGACTCTTCCTTGGAGTGAATCAAGTAATTAAGATTAAGGTTATTGTCAAAATAGGGAAGGAAGTCTTCCCTATGCCGAATTACATCTCTGTTTGTGATTAACCTTCTTCCCAACAGGTTTTTATAAAACAAAGAAAATGGGTCTCTGAATAAGAGTGTTTTTCCATCCTCTACTGATTTGGAGCCTCTGTTGGGACAAGTATTATACAGTGTTATCTGCTGTTCAGAGTTGGAAAGAAAAAAAGTGACAATCCTATTAACAAGAAAGGGTAACTCAAAGCTTCTTCTATTGGGAAGTTCATATTAAGCAATTCCAGGCATGCAATCATTTTTAAATTAATTCACAAAGGCGGCCCAAGTGTATTATACTTGCTATTATAGTCTTTCTGTGTCTATTACTGAATATACTTGACCACCACCTTTTGCTTCTTTCTTTTACCAGAAAGGAAATTCAATGCAACTTTAATGTCAACTAAAACTTTAAAATTTCCCCTAAATTTTAAACACCAGTTGTTGAAAACTAGAACAATCATCTACACTTTAACCAGTGCCATATCAGAGGCAGATGGACACATTGGTTAAGATTTCAGGCTTTGGAGTAGATCATTGGATTACACTACAAGCTCTGTTATTAACCAATTGTGTGATGTTGATTAATCTCTTAGGGTGTTTATTTCCTCTTCTAGGAAAAGAATGACAATAATAAATACTACTTACTTGATAGGCCGCTTGCAAGAAATGAGATGGTGAACATGAAATAATGTTGTATGTTTTGAGATTTAAAAAAATGCGTTAATGAACACAGTTGTCTCACAAAACGTAATTTTATCATTGTTGTTTGATAACATTTGTCTCCTTTATGTGTGTGTAGAGAGTGGTCTCGCTCACTAAATAGATAGACCCAATCCTATGATTAGAAACACTATATTATTTCTGAAATCTTTAAAGAAGTTTCATGCCACCCTTCTGGAAATGCGTATCTAGTGTTACACTTTCTCACATCAATAAATCCTGGATTGACTGAGTGACATGTGAAGAAAGGAAGTCCTTAAGCGCCACCTGGTGGTACATTCTTGATTTGGCTTCTATCTCGGCTACCAACGCTTTCACAAATCCCACAGGATCATGTGGAATGAAGTCTTGGCCTATTAAGTTAATTAAGCACTACTCGGCACCATGGTGTGTATGACCCAATCTAAGAATTTTCATGATCCAAAAATGAGACTAAATTTGGAGTAACGTCTCTCCTTTAACTGTGAATTGAGTCACGGCCAAACTCATTAGAATGATTTTAGATTATGTGATTTCTGGGTTAGGTACTCCAAAATTAACTTACAAATTGGATGTTCACAAAATCTAAAACACTTATCCACCGATAATTAAAATTTAAATAAAATTTTTGCATTAATGCCAGCCAACACTCTCTCCGCCAAACTATGGATTGGACTTTCTCACCAGCATTTGTCCTAAACCGAAGCACAGCACGTTATGAGGCCATTAACATTGTTATTTTCCCCACTTACTTTTTTTTCCCATGGCTTTCAAGATTCTGCATATGCAATAGTTCTTTCCTAGTACTGCAAGCCAGCTGTGACATAGTGACAAGATGCAGCCAAGTGGATCGATAATAATAATAATCCAGCTACCATGTCGGCAGGAGCCATAAGTTTCACTGACTTTAGTGGGTAATTTGTGTACTTTGGGCAATGTGGCCACATATGTTTGGGACTAGCAGGGAAA
Source organism: Homo sapiens (assembly GCF_000001405.40). Classification (NCBI taxonomy): domain Eukaryota; kingdom Metazoa; phylum Chordata; class Mammalia; order Primates; family Hominidae; genus Homo; species Homo sapiens. Next base: position 632,094 of record NC_000003.12, on the reverse strand, counting down.
AGATGTCAGTATGTCAATTAATGCAGGTGGTGGCAGCCAATTAGTGGAATTAGAATAACCTAGTTCAGAGATTCGTATTTCCAAACTCTCAAATGTTTTACTAGCACTGCCTTTGGATGTGCTATCCTTTGAGTAGGAAGTTCTCACCATAAATAGATAGCTCTCCTGTGGCCCAATTAAGTCACCTCCTTAACCTTTATTTTTTTAAATAAGTGGGTTGATTTTAATTATAGCCTTTTAGCACCTACATAGGAACCTGGTTTGTTATCTTACTTAGAAAATTTATGAGTGTGTAAGAATGTGGTTTCACTAAGGTAAGTCTCATTTGGAAACTGTCCAGAGAAACTGATTATGTCAACTAGCATTATGGCTCATAATCTCTCCCATCCATTCCTTCTCTCCATTCCCAAGGCTACTACCTTGGTTTAGACTCTCATTATTTCTTCGAGCTAGCTCAAGCATCCCTTAGCTAGTCTCGCAAATATCTATCTACTAACATCTCTCACGTTGTGTGGCCAGGACAAACTTCTTGAAACAAACTTCATGTGCTGTCATTTCCCCACTCAAAATTTTTATATACACACACATAAATGTATATGTACATATATATGCATATATTTGTGTACACATTTCTTCATTATTTGAAATATTTCATTTCAAATATTTTTATTAGAATAAGTTGACCTTTTCTCATCAATATTTTTCTACTATTGATAGGGTACAAATATGAAAACACATACATATACATAAATGCATAATATTTAAAAAAATTAAATCCTTGTTCTGATATTCAAGGTCTACTATTGCTTGGTCCTTTCTATCTTTCCAGCTTTGCTGTTACCACAGTATTCCCTTCATACTCTCAAATTCTCTTAATCATTGTTTCTAGACTGTAACATATTAAGAGAAAACATTTAGGCTTTGAAACAAGCAGACCTGGATTTAAACATTTCACCAACTATTACAATGAACTATTTTAAGAAAACCATTCACTGTCTCTGAACTTTTGTCTCCTCATCACTAAATAAGAATAACAATACATTTTTCATAGGGTGGTTTTGAAGACTGAATGAAATAGTGTATTTAGAATAGGCTCATAGTATTCATGTCAGTTATTTCTCTCACCCCCTTTATACCTAGTAGTATTTTAACTACACAACTTTAAGGACATGTAACATTTTCTATACAGTAGTAAAGTTTGCATAAAGTAAATATTTCACAACTTCCAGGTCAGAAATGGTGAAAAAATTGGCACACTTATCGCCACCTGCCTTTCCATGCTCACAGTAGGAATCCTTCCTCAAAGCTTAATAAACATCAAACCGCACCCCCCGCCCCAACCCTTTTTTCTTTTTTCGAGACAGGGTCTCACTCTGATTGCTCAGACTAAAGTGCAGTGGCGCTATTTTGGCTCACTGCATCCTGGCCCTCCCTAGGCTCAGATGATTCTCCCACCTCAGCCTCCTGAGTAGCTGGGAGCACAGGTGCACACCACCACGCCTGGCTAATTTTTGTATTTTTAGTAGATACAGGTTTTTGTAATGTTGCCCAGGCTGGTTTTGAACTCCTGGACTCAAGCAATCATCTGCCTCGGCCTCCCAAAGTACTGGCATTACAGGCTTGAGCCACTGTGCGAGCCAAACAATTTTAGTAAGCTCAGGATTCTTTAACTCTTTTCTTTTTTAAAAACAAAATGGGGGAACGTAGACACAAACTAGATATCACTAGATGATACCAGAATCAGAGCTAAACCAGTGCATGTCCATCCTTGCAGTTAAAGGCACCCTCAAAGACACCTACCACACTTTACTGATGCTTTGAGGCACATATGTTCCTAGATGCTCCAAGCACTACAATGAAGGATTTAAACAGCAGTAAAGTACATAAATCAGTAAAATTGAAATAGAGATGTGTGTTGATAAGGGAAGGGAGACAACTGAGAAAAAAATCACCTCAGCTTGATAAGTTATTTACCAGATCAGAAAATGTCCCTCTACACATAAAGATGTCCTTACCTTCAAATCTTACATTGATCCTTGAGACTGTGATCTATTTTGTGACCACTGAAAGCACCAGCATTATTAGAAGCAGTCAGAGGGTTTGAGTCTGGATGATGCCAAAAGATTATCCATATGGTCTCAGGAAAACATTCAGAACATAGGCCTAGTCTCCAAACTGGTAACCTAAAAGTGCACACATTATTTATAATGCTGCCACCCTCTGACAACAAACCCACTGTATTAATGGGGGAAATGGAGGCTCTTTAATAGACGCAACAGAGAAAATCCAACTAATGAAATGCTAATAACCTCTTTTGTGACTGGCCTGGGCCTTGGCAAAGGAAGTGGTTTTCGAATATGAGCTCACATTTAATCACTTTGTACTTATTAAAAAATGCAGGATTCCAAGATAATATCCCCAGGAAACCATAGATGTTTTTATATTTATATAAATGTGTATGTGCATATGTACATACACACACACACACACATATATATATTTGTGTTTGTTATGTATTTATACACACATACATCCATACCTGCCATGAGTTGAAGGTGTTCCCCAAAAAGCATGTTGGAAATTTAATAACCAATGCAACAACATTGGGAAGTGGGGCCTAACGAGAGGTGTTTTGGTCAGAAGAGCTCCATACTTATAAATGGAATAATACTGTTTATGAAAGACTTCAGCCTGCATGTCCTATCACTTGCTTTCTCATGCATGTGCATTTTTGTCCTTCCACCATGGGAAGCAGCAAGAAGACTGTCACCACATGCAGGATCTTTGACATTGGACTTCCCAGCCTCCAGAACCTTAAGATCTGTTCTTTATAAATTACTCCATCTCAGGTATTCTGCTATGCAACCCCAAACAGATTAAGATAAATAAATGGTACTGGGAAGTGGGACTGTTGCTATAACAAATACCAGAAGATGTGAGAAGGGCTTTGAAACAGGGTAAAGAGTAGAGACTGGAAGAATTTGGAAGAGCAGGCTATAAAAGCCTAGCTTACTATACAGGGAGCATTAAGGGTGCATCTTCTGAGGGCTCAGAAGAAAAGAAGAGTTGTAAAAAGAACCTAAATCTTCTTACAGATTATTTAAGTGGTCATCATCAGAATACTGGGAGAAATACAGAAAGTAAAGATCATTTTGATGACATCTCAGGTGGAAATAACAAAGTATTGGAAACTGAAGTAGAGGCCATCCTTGTTATTCAGTCACCAAGAAGTTGGCAGAATCCTGTCCATGTCCTAGGACTTCATGAAGGTAGAATTTAAGAGCTATGAGCTAGCAGGTCTGGCAGAAGTAATATTTAAGCATCAAAGTACTCAAGATGCTGCATGGCTTCTATTAGCTGCTTACAGTAAAATAAGAGAAGGAGACAATAATGTAATGATGGAATTTATCATTAAAAGGGAAACAGAATAGAAAGATTTAGAAAAATCTCAGCCTGGCCATGTAAAGAATTAAAAAGTGTGTTCAGCAGAGAATATTAAGTGTGTGGCCAAGTGACTCTTTGCTAATGAGATTAATATGGGTAGAAGCAAGCCAGGTTCTATTGATTAAGACAATAGAAGAACGACCTTAAAGGCATTTCACAGACCTTCAAGGCAAGATAGGACTTGCCTTGTTTTCAGAGCAAAGTTTTCAGAGAGGTGGCTACAGGACCTCAGGATTCACTGCCCTTTGCTTTAGGACTCTGCTCTCTGAATGCAGTGCCTCTTGGCCATCCTAGTCTTGGCTCAAGTGGACCCAAGTGAGGCTTGAGCCACCAAAGGTACAAGCTGTAAATCCTGGCAGCATCCTCATGGTACTAATTCTGCAGGTGCACAGCGGGCAGGAGCTCTGGGACCATGGCAACGTCTACTTAGATTTCAAAGCATGTTACAGACAGACTGGAGACCATGGCAAAGACTTGCCGCAGAGGCAAACCCACTGCAGAAAGTCCCCACTAGGGCAATGCCTAGTGGAGTCATGAGAGTGGAGTAGCCTCCAAGACCTCAGAACTGCTGAACCATCAATATGCTGCTCCAGCCTGGGAAAGCCACGGGTATAAGACTCCAACCCATGAGAGCTGCTAGGTGGAGTAAGCCTGCTAAAGTCATAGGGATGGGCTGCCTGATGCTTTGGAGGTCCAATCCTTGTCCCAGTGTGCTGAGAAGGCAAGACACGGAGTTAAAAAAGTTATTCTCCAGCTTTAAGATTTACTGTTTTCCCCCTATTGGGTTTTGGACTTACTTGGGACTAGTTACCCCTCTTTTCTTGCCTATTTGTCCATTTTGGAATGAGAATGTCTACTCTATGCCAGTTCCATCACTGTAATTTGGAAGTAGATAACTTGCTTTCGTTTCACAGGCTGATAGTTGGAGGGCATTTGCCTCAAAATGAATCATGCCTTGACTCTCACCACCATTCTCTTTAGAGGAGACTCTCGACTTTGGCCTTATGAGTTGGTGCTGGAACAAACTAAAACTTTGGGGGTATTGAAATGAAAGTAATGCATTTTGCTTGTGAGAATGACATGAATTTCGGGGACCAGGGTTGGAATGCTATGGTTTGAATGTGGTCCCTAAAAGCATATATTGGAAACTTAATCTCTAATGCAACAGTGTGGGGTAGTGGGGCCTAATGGGAGGTGATTGTGAAGGGGGCTCCATCTTTATGAATGGATTAATAATGCCAATTATAAAAGAGTTGGGGGCTGTGAGTTCAGTCTCTTGATCTTTTGAGCATGTACTCCTTTGCTTTCCTACTATGGGGTGATGTAGCAAAAAGTTCCTCACCAGAAGTGGGTCACTTGATTTTTGGACTCCCCAGCATCTAGAACTATAAGAAACAAATATCTGTTCTTTGTAGAAACCAAAAACCAAATACCACATGTTCTCACCTATAAGTGGGAGCTAAACATTGGGTACACATGAACATGAAGATGGGAACAATATATACTGGAGAGTACTAGATTGGGAAGGGACAGAGTGGGACAAGGGTTAAAAAACTACCCATTGGGTACTATGATCACTACCTGAGTGACAGGATCAATCATACTAACAGCAGCATCATGCAATATACTCATGGAACTGACCTGCATATGTACCTCCTGAATCTAAAATAAAAGTCGAAATATTTTTTAAAAAAATAAAGAAATATGTATTTTTTATAAACCACCTTGCCTTGGGTATTCTGTGTCAGCAGTCCCAAAAAGACTAAGACAACACCCAAAAGCAAAAGTTGGTGGTCTGAGCTTCATTAACAACTTTTCAAAGTCCTCCTTTGTGAAAAAGCGGCAAAAATTAGCTTGATTATTGGAAAATATGATAGGCCTAATTGACATATTAAAAGTAACATGATGAAGTAGAGAACATTTTCCCAAGGTGGTTTTCCCTCTATTTACACATATAGTAAGTATGTGGGTGACGACCATATCATGCATGTGAATACATCCCTTGCCTCATCAAAAAAAGTGACCAAAGTGTATAAAAGGTCATACAGTATTGATTATACATGGTATCACAAAAAGAAGAAATCAAAGGACATTACAGTTATAATATTAAATAAGAACTTTCCAGTGGAGAAGATGTGTCACATACTTAGAAGGAGTTAAAGAAAAGTTCATTATCTAACACAAGGCAATGTGGGAAAATAAATTGTTTAGTTGCAAATTATGTTTGATTTATATATAGAAATGTTTCATTCAAAGCCTCAGTGAAAGATCTTTCTGTTTGTTGTAAAGACATCAACTAAGCAAGTGAATATAAGTTGGGAATTGAAGAATAGTACGGTCTACAGAAGAGTTTTTCTAGCGTGACATTGTTGGCATTCTAGCTGGTTATTCCTTTGTTATTGGAGGCTGCCCTGTGCACTCCAGGATGTTTAGAGCATCCATACTCTACATACCACATGGCGGTAATATTCCCACCCCATCATCCAGCAGTGACAACTAAAGATGTCTCCAGATAGATCCTCGGGGGCTAAATTACTCAGTTTGAGAAGCACTGGTGTAGGCACATAGACTCCAAAGTCATAGGTGTATAGGTGGCAGAGAAGCAAGAAGGAAGGTTAAACATATAAAGAATTGTAGGATACAAAACTACAGGGTATGCTTGGCAGGGGTGGGGGAGACAGAAGCTAAAGAAGTTTAGTCAAAGAGGTAGGAGAGAAACGAAGAAAACATGCTCTTTCTAAAAGTGAGAATGTTTCATGAACATTCATGAAGGAGACAACATAACTCAAGGATAGAAAAGCATCCATTAGGTCTGAGAAATAAAAGATTATTAGTGACTCAATGGAACTGGTTTTAGGAGGCTGGTCAGGCAGAAATGAATGAGCAAAAAAGGAAGAGAACATTGATTAATTTTTAAATAATGTAGGACATAAATGAAGTAGAAAGAGAATTAGCTAGGTAGGTAATTGGAGAAGAAAGCTTTTATTTATTTTGATGTATGTATTTTTAGTGATAAGAGAAATAAGACTTATAGATTCAAAGAAAAGAAATGTTTAGAGGAAGCTGAAAAACTTGAATTTTGAGACACATTAATGACACTAACTTTATTGTTTTAAATCTTATTATATAAAATGACTGTAACCAGAGGAGAAGAGTGATATCTAGGTTATGGTGCTGGTTTTACTATGAACTGACAGCATGACAGGTGTCCTTATATAAGAGACTCCATTTTTGCAAGCATGAAAAATGAAGCATTTATAAAATGAAGGAACATTAAGAAGTTAAGGTCAAAAGAAAATGTCAAATCTGTGAAAGAAAAGGACAGTGCCTAGAGACAGCAGGAGTGGATGCTAGGGGCAAGGTGTAATATTAAACCGAAACTCAATCAGCCAATTACAGCCTGACGTAGTCACCCCTTAAGAGATTGTTTTAAAAGACATTTGGATCTTTTCTGACTTGAGAGTTATATAACCTGTGCAATAACTACACCTTGTTTTGGGAAGCTAAATGAGATTAAAAAAACAGAGAAATGTATGAAATGCTGGTATCTTCTACAACAATGATCAATTTTACACAGCTTCCCCTAGCCCTTGAATTATCAGTCTTCCATCTTCCAACATAATTTGGAAGCATGTTATTTTATGAAAAGAAGGAACAACAATTACTCCTCAAATTATGCTTAAATTTTTATAGTTTTGATAGCTATATCTCTCCAAAATATTCAAAAACCTGGTAATCACATAGGTCCGTTGACTTGCTTTTCTTTTCCTTATAATGAAGAAGTTTGATAACATGGTATCTGGAGGCCTTTTAGTGTTGAAGACTAAACTATTATCATTCTACTGTGGCTTAGGGACCCTAGGTCTGACCTACAGTGAAATGTAGTGTCTGAGGTTATGGTAGGCTAGTTCTGTGTGTGTGTGTGTGTGTGTGTGTGTGTGTGTGTAATTAGGCATTTTAGTTGTCAGGCAATTTAAGTGTATTAACTATTTAAATGATAAAATCATCATCTAGTGCTCTGAGGCAGCAATTTACTAAATGGTATTCTAAGTAGCCTGGAAAATATAATGGAGCCTCTGAAAAATGACCAAAATCTTTGGACTGGAAATTGTCCTTAAATTGTCCAGCATAAAACCATGTTGGCACAAAGATGGTAGCCATTAACAATGTTTCATATATAACATATACGTAGCCATAAACATTTTCGTGATTTATTCCTAACCAAATGTGCATTTGCTGACGTGGAGGAGCAATCTTCAGGGGAAATGGCTCTGTAATGTACGATTTGATATGTCTTTCAAATCAAGCTCCCATTAAAGAGCTAAGCATTTGTCTACATGAATCAAAAATAAATGGCCACTTACACTGATGCAGGAATTTTGTCAGCAAAAAAAGACAAGTAAACAATTATATCTGAATGTGTCAGAATATATAATAATATTGTAATACAGTATCTTAGAAGTGGCTAGGCTTTTGCTTTAACTGGTGTTTCATAGAAAATCTCAATGACAGGTAAAGAAATAAGAAAATTAGCTGAGTTATCACTTTTCATTATAATAAGAAATGTTCTCCAAATGATATTTCATAGAAAATCTCAATGAGGGTGAAGAAATAAGAATATTAGCTGAGTTATCACTTTATTATAATAAGCAACATTCTCCATCTTACTATTCACATAATGCAGAAAAGAGGTAAGATTTATAAAACAACCCCTTATAAAAATGTGTATTAATTAACACAGGATACATTATCTTAGATAGGAAAGAGCACTGAGGAAGGGGTACAAATGACAGATTTTAGTCTTATACCTGTTATTTATGAGGGTTAAAACTCTCCCTTCACCGTCTCCTTTGGTTGAACCCTCATATTTTATTTTGTGTGTACTGCTCATTCAATGGTGGGTGAGGGTCCTCTTCTCTAGCGCAAAGGGTTAGACCTTGGCTAAAACGTGCTCCATGAGTTCACAGACACAGGGATTGGTTTGTGTAATCCAGGCACCAATCAATCACCACCTAGAATTCCATGGCCCTTGAGATTGGGTCAGGAATGTTTCCAAGAGCAGGAAGCCCAGTGCTCCGATTCAGAGATGCATGCACACAGTTTCAGTTCTGCACAATATTTTGTGAATGTGGTCAAAGTATGGAAAAAGAAAGACCTACGACAATCACTGAAAAGTCAAGCTCTTATTAAACCAAGGGTTATCCCAACCTAACTGTGGCCTTCAGTTCACATGCAACAATAAATTATTTTTATTGTTTAAAACCACATCAATCAGATTTTTTGTTATTTGCTGTCAAATGCATCCTTACTATTACATATATTAAGATCAAGCCTTTATTTCATTGACTTGAGCTTTTATTTCCTCACTTGTGAAATGAACAAATCTCTGCTATATTAATGATATTGTAGGAATATCTGACCAGATATGTGTGTGAAAATCCTTAGTAAAGATTTTAATGCATGTAAGGTTCTATTTTACAAATAAAAACAGTTTTATTTTTCCCTTAAGAATCAAAAGTTGCAACTCAAAGACAGCATTTTGTTATAGCAGGGGTTTTTTTGGGTCCTTTGACTTTACTAAGTCATACTGTCTGCTCTTGCCAGATGTGTAGTATACAAAGTAAGGTGGAAAATTGAGTTAGTAGGTATAAAAAGTGAATTTTCTCTAGTACATCCCACTAAAGGCTGTGAATACAGTCTTTTTTGATTTGCATTCACTCTGAAGAAAACTTTCACATAACGAAAATCCTAATGCATGCTAGGAGGGGCATGAGAACAATTTTGTCACTCTACACAGCTGTGAATTGTAGCATTCCTATAAAAGTTGCTTCATTTTTTCATGGAGTATACTGCTTTTAATTTTCATTAAATGATGCTTGGTGGTTTTTATATTGAAGATATCTTCGAATCTCTGCATATCATCTAATCAATGTAATAATAAAGGCCAAAACTCTTGCTTTTATAAGTTATTCTAAAGAACCTATAAACATATATGGAGTTTGAAGAAACATGCGTGCACTTTAAATTCTTGAAGTGTGCTTGCGGTATTTTCTTTCAGCCCCTTACTTCTCCTCCCCAAGTAGTGAAATTAGATATCGAAACCTTGTCCTGTGACTTTGCAACACCTTCTTCCTCCTTGACCTTGGACATAGTCATGTGATCTGCGTTGGCCAATGTGAAGTTGTTAGGTATGACATAGCAGAAGCTTGAAATGTCTGATTGATGGAGCTCGTTTTCCTAGTACCTCTGTCTCTGTGATGAGAAAATGTCAAGTTATCCTGCTTGGAGTAAAAGAGACACAATCAAACCGCCCAGCGAAGCTCAGCATAGATCAGCAAAGCTATCCAGCCCAGCCACAGACCAGTCCATCCACAGCTGATCCAGAGGTGTATGAAAAATTTCACTTGATCATGCTTTAAGCTACTAGGTTTGAGAGGATTGGTTTTGCAGCATTTTTGTGCCAATAGCAAAATTATACAGCTCTGTGTGTGTGTGTGTGTGTGTGTGTGTGTGCGTGTGTGTGTTTGGTATCTGCTTAACATTGTGTGGTGTATGAATATATATAATTTACTGTCCTTAGACTGCAATGAGCTAGAACTCCAAAAATAGGGGATAAGAGGGATGCAAATGATTGCAATAAATAGCAGGATGCCACAAGTTTGATAAGGACCTTGAAAGCCAGGACTGATTTCTTCACCACTGCATCCTGTATATCAAGCATACATTTACAGTTGCATGATTCCAAATTGTCATCACTTGTCATGAAAGTGATAAGTGACATTGTCTACAACCAAATGGCTTTGTTATTAGTTAATCACAACTGACTGGAATCCAGGGAAATAACCTTTATTTTATTTTTTAATTTCAGGTTCAATCCTAATACTCCAAATAAAACTTCATCTCTAGAATGAAAGAAATCCAGTATGGTTTATTTAGCTTATTCTGTTTATTCCTATTCTCCTTTCAAGTTGCTATTCTCATGGGCCAGGAAAAAACATCTTTTGTGAGGCTAGCTCTCTTATATCCTCATACTCTCTCCCCCACATAGCATTTTGTTTCTTTGTAATCCTTTGCTGCTCCTGAGCTACAGGATCTAGAAAATAATTGGAAATTTAACAGTGAAATTAATTTCTTGCTAGCATTTGCCTTTATTAGACTGAAACAGTGTGTGCTTTCATCTGATTGCAATACATGCACGTATGTGTATGTAGACAATACATACACATATAACATATATGTATACAATACATACACATATAACATATATGTATACAATACATACACATATAACATATGTGTATACAATACATACACATATATGTATGTATACATGCATAATATGTACATGTGTATATACAATATATAAATTGCATTATACATACATATGTATATATGTATGTATTGCAATATACATATTGCAATATACATATATACAATGTACACACATATGTATACATGTATTGCAATATACACATATATTACTATATATGATATAAATATATAAATTATATTTATATATAAATATAAACATATAATATATAAATATTATATATTATATATATTATATATAAATATATATATTATAATATATAATATATATATTATTATATTTTATTATTATATATATTATTTATATATATTATATAAATATATAATATATATTATATATAAATATTATATATATTATATATATATATATATATATAAAACTATGTATATATGAATGTATTAGTCAGGGTTCTCCAGAGGGAAAGAATAGGATATATATTCTCAGGGAGTTTATTAAGTAGTATTAACTCAGACGATCACAGGGTCCCACAGTAGGCTGTCTACAAGCTGAGGAGCAAGGAAACCAGTCCGAGTCCCAAAGCTGAAGAACTTGGAGTCCGATTTTCAGCATGGCAGACAGATGTAGAATGGGAGGCTAAGCCAGTCTAGCCTTTTCACGTTTTTCTGCCTGCTTTATATTCTGGCCACACTGGCAGCTGATTAGATTGTGCCCACCCACATTGAGGGTGGGTCTGCCTTTCCCAGCCCACTGACTCAAATGTTAATCTCTTTGGCAACACCCTCACAGACACACCCCAGGATCAATACTTTGCATCCTTCAATCCAATCAGGTTGACACTCAGTGTTAAACATCCCAATGAATATATATTGCAAGAAGAAATATATGTGTATTTTTTCTTACTATATTACCATATGTCAACTATAAGAAAATAGTGTGGAAGAAGAGAAGAAAAACCTTAATACACACATAAGTAAAGCCAGAAACATCCTTGTAGAATTAGGATATATAATATATCTCTATGTTTTTTCTTTTTTTTTGAGACCGAGTCTTGTTCTTTCACCCAGGCCGGAGTGTAGTGGCACTATCTTGGCTCACTGCAAGTTCCGCCTCCCGGGTTCAGGCCATTCTTCTGCCTCAGCCTCCCGAGTAACTGGGACTACAGGCGCCGCCACCACGCCTGGCTAATTTTTTGTATTTTTAGTAGAGACGGGGTTTCACCGTGTTAGCCAGGATGGTCTCGATCTCCTGACCTCGTGATCCGCCCGCCTCGGCCTCCCAAAGTGCTGGGATTACAGGCGTGAGCCACCGCGCCCGGCCATATCTCCATGTTTTAATCTTGCTGTTTTTTGTTTTCCCACGGCCATGTTTCTAAATATGCCTTAACTAGGTACAGTACAGACTTGGCAAAAACTCTTTCCAGTCAAGGTGCATACACAGGTAGAATTTTCTGTTTCAAGAATGATTGATAAACAGATGGTGTATCCGTCAAGATTCTCCAGAGAAAAATAAACAATAAAAAATGTGTAGACGGATGAATGGATGAATGGATGGAGAAAGAGACAGAGAGAGAGAGAAATAGATTTATTTTAAGAAATTGGCTTATGTGATTGTGGAGGCTAGTAAGTCCAAAATCTGCAGGATAGACCAGCAAGCTGGAGACCCAGGAAAGAATGAACGTTGCAGCTCAAGTCTAAGGCAGTCTGCTGCCAGATTCCCTCTTCCTCAGGAGAGAAAGATGTTAGGAGAGGTCAGTCTTTCCATCCCCCCACCATTAAGGGCTTCACCTGATGAAATGAGGCCCACCTAGATTATGGAGGTTAATCTGCTTCACTCAAAGTCTACTAATTTACATGTTAATATCATCTTAAAAATTCCTTCACAGCAGAATTCAAAATAGTGTTTGACCAAATATCTGGACCTTAACATGTAAAATTAATAATTACAGAGGGACAGATTATGGAAGACAAAGAACAAATTTTTTTTTACCAGGTAAAGAATTAGATTCATTAATTTTAGGTAAACTGAAATTATCCTAAATTACTTTTAATTCAAACCAAAAGACAAGGAGAGATAATGTAGAATTGTCTGGTAAACAGTGTCAAAATCATGCAAAACTGAGGAGACTCAAGGAATTAAAAAAATTAAAAAAAAACATACTAGGCAAGAATTAGCAGTTTACTTTCTGGACTATGAGCCTAAACTTTCTTTCTTATCTATATAAATATTACCTAAATCTCCATTTTTTCTCTGCCTTAGCATTCTTAGACACAGTGTCACTGTCACATAGAACAAAACACTTTAAGTTTTCCTGCAGATAACATGAATCTCATATATCAGCAGAGTATCATCTTTATTGTGATGTGTTACAGTCAAAGAAAAATATAAACTTTGTATCCTCAGTGGGATTTTCTTTCTGAAAAACGCTGAAAGTCTATTATAAAGTGTGTCATAAAAATCTCTCCCTCAGCCCTAGATTAGTCCATAACTACCTAGTGATCCAATGCGAAGTATGGTGTTACTACAGAAAACTCACATCCTCTTGCAAAAGAAGAAATCTCAGTAAGACCTAAAGAAATAATAGGGGTCTTATTTCACATTTGTTCTTTTCTAGAAGAAGACGAGAGCCATCTTAGACTCACGCAGGTTCTCAAATATAAACCAATCTCTCACAGAATTTCCAACACTTCTGAGTGCAATATAACTTACCTGTGTCACACATACACTTCAATATTATATATTTTTAGGACCTCTCCATAAAAGAACTCATCCTGATGCCTTTTTACCATGTTAATATTCAATATTGTTAACTCAGAGGTATTTGGTTTTATAGTAAAGTCTTGTCTGATTAATAAGGTAATTATTTACTTTTATATACTTAAAAAATATTCTGACTTCTTTACTATCTTTAAAGGTCGGATAAAAATGCTGGAAATTTGAAAATGTGGGTGGATATAATAAAGCAGGCTTAGGTTTCTGCACTATCCAGACAGGAGTCCACATGTGTTGCTCTGGGTTCCCATGGTAACTTAAATGGAAACTTTCACAATGTCGGGAGTCCTTGATGTCCTGCAAATGAAGGAGGAGGATGCCCTCTAGTTCCTAGTAGCTGGAACCTGCTAGGTGGCACCAACCCTTCCAAATGGAACAGTATATCTATAAAAGGAAAACTGATGGCATCTACATCCTAAATCTGAAGAGGACCTGGGAGAAGCTTCTGCTGACAGCTTATGCCATTGTTGCCCTTGAAAACCCTGCTGATGTCAATGTCAGGTCGTCCAGGAATCCTGGCCAGTGGGCTGTGCTGAAGTTCGCTGCTGCCACTGGAGCTACTCCTATTGCTGGTCACTTCACTACTGAAATCCTCACTAACCAGATCCAGGCAGCCTTCTGGAAGCCACGGCTTCTGGTTACTGATCTCAGGGCTGACCATCAGCCTCTCACAGAAGCATCTTGTGTTAACCTGACTATCATTACTCTATGAAGCACATATTCTTCTCTGTGCTGTGTGGACATTTTCATTCCATGCAGCAAAAATGTAGCTCACTTAGTGGGTTTGATGTGGTGGATGCTGATATGAGTTGGCTGTGTCCCCACCCAAATCTCATGTTGAATTGTAGTTCCCATAATCCACACATGTCATGGGAGGAACCCAGTGGGAGATAATTGAATCAGGGGGGAGGTTTCCCATGTCCTGTTCTCCTGATAGTGAGTGGTGCTTTTTCCCCTTTTGCTCGGCACTTCTCCTTGCTGCTGCCATGTGAATAAGGATGTGCTTCCTTTACCTTGTGCCATGATTGTAAGTTTCCTGAGGCCTCCCCAGTCATGCCAAACAGTTAGTTAATTAAACCTCTTTCTTTATGAATTACCCAGTCTTGCGCATGTCTTTATTAGCACTGTGAAGAGCAGAGTTGCTTGAACATCTATGATAACTTGCCACAGCTCTAGTTAAGGGCAAATTCAGAATTCAAAGCCAGGAGGAGTCCAAGGCCAAAGGCCACTTTCATGACCATTATAATTCTCCACTCCCAGGCAGTATGGACAGATATAGAAATTATCCATTGAAAGTTTATGGAGTCAGAGAAATTTCATGAATTTTACAGTTTTTTTTTTATTTAGTAACTAGCAGGATTTTGTTAAGATTAATAATTTGGGCTCCAGAGCCAACTTTCCTGGGTTCAAATACACTTATTAAAAATAAATGAGGTTACACATTACTGAGTGGTAATGTAAATTGACAAAACTTTCCTGAGTAAAATGTGGTAAAATGCATTAAAACCTTTAAACATGTTAAAAACATTGTCCCAGGAATTTTACTTATAGAGTTTCATTTAAAGAAAATTTCTATAATGTACACAATAATTAATTACAAATGCATTTAATTTCATTGTTGTTTTGAAACAACCTAAGTGTACAACAATAGGGGATTGATTAAATGAGTAATATGAACTTCATATATCACAGGGGAATGCCTCCTTCCTCACCTTTGTTTTGTGGCATCCTCCGCAGTCTGCCTGGCTTCCTTTTCCACCACTTCCTCATCCCCAGAGCAGAGGACCACCAGCTTTACAGTGGTTGGTGTGTTACAGGTATTGGGTAGACATGATCAAAGTTTCTCTGCTTGGAGAAGTTGCTTCTTTTCCTCCTTCCTCTAGCCAGGGACAGTGAAGGGCAGGGATTTCCTGCTCCCTGGCTTTAAGCTTTCCCTGAAGTGGGTTCTTCTCACAGCTCAACAAACTTCCAAGGGATGCAGTGAGCAAGCCAATTTTTTCTCTCATTGTAAGCTGTGCCTGCCAATTGTGCCTTAATTAGGAATAGGGTGATATTCTGGTTCTCCACTTGCTGTCTATTTTTCAACTGAATTGGGTAGAAAAGACAGGTGCTACTTACTGAGTGCTCTCAAAGACCCTCAAAAACACTGAGGAGAATATTATAGCCATTAAAACTGACATATGAAAAATAACATACTTATGGTTGGAAAAGGTCATGACATTTTAAAGCAAAAAAGCAGGCTACACAAAAATGCGTAATACACAGTTAAGAAAACTGGGGGGATAGCAATACATTGTGTTTATTTTTCTCTTGCTTATTCTGCATTCTCTAAATTTTTCTACAAATATTTGTGTTGTTAAAAATACGAATAAAAATCTATATTTAACAAAACAATACAATAAAGGAGGAGAGTTTATTTAACTTTATGAGTCTCAGTTTTCTCCTCCCCTAAAATCCAAAATAACCCTCTTTGGGTTTTTGCAAAGACTTCATTGACTGATCTACGAAAAAGGGCTTGCAATTGTGTGCGTCATAGGTAGTGATCTGTTTTAAACTTTCAGTCTCATTTTATAACTATAATTTTGATACCTTCCCAATTTGGCCTAGTTATAGTGTAAAAACTATAGCTTCCTTTTCATTAATTTTAGTAGTCACTACCACTTTAGTATCAATTATCCAAGTGCAAAACAAAAACAAAAAATCGTTATTCAATTGCCTGCTGCCAATATTGGTGATATATTTGACCTCTAGGCTCAAGTATGATTTTGTTTCATAACAACAGTATTCAAAAATGTTCAAGATGTAGCTGGCATTATAAAATTTTAGATGATTTCCTTCCATAAGCCAAAAGTAAATTAAGATTTCTTTCCTCTTCATAAAGGAAAAAACCTATTTTCAGAGTTAATATGACAGTGGCTACGGCTATAGCTTTCTTTTACTTCAAAAAAAAAAAGTAGAGAACGGTATGGTGTATTTGGTATAAATAAAGGAAACATGAGGATGAGACAGAAAACACGTTCAAGAAGAAGTAATCTTCTCCCCTTTGACAGCCAAAACACAGGTACATTTTTAGCCTCATTTGGTTTCTAAGACAGTTCTTTTTAAACAAAGAAAAAAAATCATATTTTGCACCCTCAGTCTCTTCAATGCATGGTAAATTAGTAGCAAAGTAATGATGAATGTGGAAATTAATCAAAAGCAAAACTATAGTTTTTACACGTTTCTTAGTGAATTAATGATTTCCCTTTATTACAGTAAATGTGTCAAGACCATAAAATGTGAACAAAAATTTAAAGTGTAAGATTAAATGCTGTTGAAACTTTGCCTGACCCTTATTAATGCAACACTGTGCTTAAGCAGAAACCTGGAATAGAAATAGAAATTATAAGAAAGTGTTACAGCCAGAAATTTTCCAGTAAAGGCCTAAAAAAAAAATGAAGTAAATGATAATAGCTTTAAAAGACAAGTCAGGGGAAGAGCCATCACAATTCAATTTTAAACAAGGCCAGGGGCAGAAAACGGTACCTATAAAGAATCAAATGTAACTGAGAAAAATAATCTTGTAATAAGTCAAAGAGTGGTTTTGAAGGAGAAGATTCAATAATCCAGCTGTTAGCTCTCAGCAGGAATCTGTTAAAGGAGACGTGCACTAAACGCTCTGCTTGAGCAAAAGTATGCTTCTTAAGGTAGAAAAGTTAGGAACAGTGCAAACGCTTTGACTAAATGAACTGATCGCACTGGTCAAACAAGAACGTTTTGGAAAACTATACGTACTTCTTCAAAATGGAAAAGGGGAGTAGGGCTATTCAGGGAACCAATGACTCAAAAATTCCTATGGAAAATAAGTGTGCTTAATTTTATTTTTTAAATGTATTTTTAGTCCCAGTATGAGCAAGGCTCTACAATAGATTCTGCAGAATAAGAAAGTAGAAAACAAGTGGGCCCTCTTGTTGAAGAGCTCATTGCCTAGTACAAGGTGTGAAGATGCCTGGAAGACGGAGGAACCAGCTCTACCTAGAAGTTAGAAAACTTTTCCTAGCTAAGGGTGTGAGATAAGAAGACAAGTTTTAAGTAGAAGGGTTTCCAGGCTGAGAGTCTAACATAGGCAAGACATGGAGTCATGTTCTAGGCAGGCTGATTATATATTCCTGATTAACCTGCAATATAAGAAGTCATTGAGAAAGTGATTGCAAATATAACAGGCCAGAAATGCAGGTGAGAGTCAGGTAATTAAAAACTTTGATGTCCTGCTAAGAAATCTGTACTTAAACCTACACCAGTTGCAATCCACTTATGCAGGGAAATGGAATATGTTCAGCACCATGGTTTAAAAAAGGTTACTCTGATATCAGTGAAAAGTGAGACAGCCTATTGTAATGTTGAAAAGCTCATGCTTTAGAGAGAGGCAGATCTGGATCCAAATCATAGCCTTAATTTAAACCTTTAAGCCCTGAGCAGCCTTCAGTTTTTTCATACTTAAAAGTTGGATAATAGTATCTATGCTTGGAGTAGGGGGGGGTAAGGGAGACGGTGTGAGTGTTAATAGACTAACGAGACAGAAAGTCAACAAGGACATCCAGGAATTGAACTCAGCTCTGAGCCAAGCAGACCTAACAGACATCTACAGAACTCTCCACCCAAATCAACAGAATATACATTCTTCTCGGCACCACATCGCACTTATTCCATAATTGACCACATAGTTGGAAGTAAAGCACTCCTCAGCAAATGTAAAAGAACAGAAATTATAACAAACTGTCTCTCAGACCACAGTGCAATCAAACTAGAACTCAGGATTAAGAATCTCACTCCAAACCGCTCAACTACATGGAAACTGAACAACCTGCTCCTGAATGACTACTGGGTACCTAACAAAATGAAGGCAGAAATAAAGATGTTCTTTGAAACCAATGAGAACAAAGACACAACATACCAGAATCTCTGGGACATATTTAAAGCAGTGTGTAGGGGGAAATGTATAGCACTAAATGCCCACAAGAGAAAGCAGGAAAGATCTAAAATTGACACCCTAACATCACAGTTAAAAGAACTAGAGAAGCAAGAGTAAACACATTCAAAAGCTAGCAGAAGGCAAGAAATAACTAAGAGCAGAACGGAAGGAGATAGAGACACAAAAAACCCTCCAAAAAAATGAATGAATCCAGGAGCTGGTTTTTTGAAAAGATCAACAAAATTGATAGACCACTAGCAAGACTAATAAAGAAGAAAAGAGAGAAGAATCAAATAGACGCAATAAAAAATGATAAAGGGGACATCACCACCGATCCTGCAGAAATACAAACTACCATCAGAGAATACTATAAACACCTCTATGCAAATAAACTAGAAAATCTAGAAGAAATGGATAAATTCCTGGAAACATACACCCTCCCAAGACTAAACCAGGAAGAAGTTGAATCCCTGAATAGACCTATAACAGGCTCTGAAATTGGGGCAATAATTAATAGCCTACCAACCAAAAAAAGTCCAGGACCAGACAGATTCACAGCTGAATTCTACCAGAGGTACAAGGAGGAGCTGGTACCATTCCTTCTGAAACTATTCCAATCAACAGAAGGAGAGGGAATCCTCCCGGACTCATTTTATGAGGCCAGCATCATCCTGATACCAAAGCCTGGCAGAGACACAACAAAAAAAGAGAATTTTAGACCAATATCCCTGATGAACATCGATGCAAAAATCCTCAATAAAATACTGGCCAACCAAATCCAGCAGCACATCAAAAAGCTTATCCACCATGATCAAGTGTGCTTCATCCCTGGGATGCAAGGCTGGTTCAACACATGCAAATCAATAAACATAATCCAGCATATAAATAGAACCAAAGACAAAAACCACATGATTATCTCAATAGATGCAGAAAAGGCCTTTGACAAAATTCAACAACGCTTCATGCTAAAAACTCTCAATAAATTAGGTATTGATGGGACGTAACTCAAAATAGTAAGAGCTATTTATGACAAACCCACAGCCAATATCATACTGAATGGGCAAAAACTGGAAGCAATTCCGGTGAAAACTGGCACAAGACAGGGATGCCCTCTCTCACCACTCCTATTCTACATAGTGTTGGAAGTTCTGGCCAGGGCAACCAGGCAGGAGAAAGACATAAAGTGTATTCAATTAGGAAAAGAGGAAGTCAAATTGTCCCTGTTTGCAGATGACATGATTGTATATTTAGAAAATCCCATTGTCTCAGCCCAAAATCTCCTTAAGCTGATAAGCAACTTCAGGAAAGTCTCAGGATACAAAATCAATGTGCAAAAATCACAAGTATTTTTATACACCAATAACAGACAAACTGAGAGCCAAAGCATGAGTGAACTCCCATTCACAATTGCTTCAAAGAGAATAAAATACCTAGGAATCCAACTTACAAGGGATGTGAAGGACCTCTTCAAGGAGAACTACAAACCACTGCTCAGTGAAATAAAAGAAGCCACAAACAAATGGAAGAACATTCCATGCTCATGGATAGGAAGAATCAGTATCATGAAAATGGCCATACTGCCCAAGGTAATTTGTAGGTTCAATGCCATCCCCTTCAAGCTACCAATGACTTTCTTCACAGAATTGGAAAAAACTACTTTAAAGTTCATATGGAACCAAAAAAAGAGCCCACATTGCCAAGTCAATCCTAAGCCGAAAGAACAAAGCTGGAGGCATCACGCTACCTGACTTCAAACTATACTACAAGGCAACAGTAACCAAAACAGCATGGTACTGGTACCAAAACAGAGATATAGACCAATGGAACAGAACAGAGCCCTCAGAAATAATACCACACATCTACAACCATTTGATCTTTGACAAACCTGACAAAAACAAGCAATGGGGAAAGGATTCCCTATTTAATAAATGGTGCTGGGAAAACTGGCTAGCCATATGTAGAAAGCTGAAACTGGATCCCTTCCTTACACCTTATACAAAAATTAATTCAAGATGGATTAAAGACTTACATGTTAGACCTAAAACCATAAAAACCCTAGAAGAAAACCTAGGCAATACCATTCAGGACATAGGAATGGGCAAGGACTTCATGCCTAAAACACCAAAAGCAATGGCAACAAAAGCCAAAATTGACAAATGGGATCTAATTAAACTAAAGAGCTTCTGCAAAGCAAAAGAAACTACCATCAGAGCGAACAGGCAACCTACAGAATGGGAGAACATTTTTGCAATCTACTCATCTGACAAAGGGCTAATATCCAGAATCTACAAAGAACTCAAACAAATTTACAAGAAAAAAACAAACAACCCCATAAAAAAGTGGGTGAAGGATATGAACAGGCACTTCTCAAAAGAGGACATTTATGCAGCCAACAGACATATGAAAAAATGCTCATCATCACTGGCCATCAGAGAAATGCAAATCAAAACCACAATAAGATACCATCTCACACCAGGTAGAATGGCGATCATTAAAAAGTCAGGAAACAAGAGGTGCTAGAGAGGATGTGGAGAAATAGGAACACTTTTACACTGTTGGTGGGACTGTAAACTAGTTCAACCATTGTGGAAGACAGTGTGGCGATTCCTCAAGGATCTAGAACTAGAAATACCATTTGACCCAGCCATCCCTTTACTGGGTATATACCCAAAGGATTATAAATCATACTGCTATAAAGGCACATGCACACGTATGTTTATTCACAATAGCAAAGACTTGGAACCAACCCAAATGTCCATCAATGATAGACTGGATTAAGAAAATGTGGCACATATACACCATTGAATACTATGCAGCCATAAAAAAGGATGAGTTCATGTCCTTTGTAGGGACATGGATGAAGCTGGAAACCATCATTCTCAGCAAACTATTGCAAGAACAAAAAACGAAACACTGCATGTTCTCACTCATAGGTGGGAATTGAACAATGAGAACACTTGGACACAGGAAGGGGAACATCACACACTGGGGTCTGTAGTGGGGTCGGAGGAGGGGGGAGGGAGAGCATTAGGAGAAATATCTAATATAAATGACGAGTTAATGGGTGCAGCACACCAACATGGTACATTTATACATATGTAACAAACCTGCACGTTGTGCACATGTACCCTAGAACTTAAAGTATAATAATAATAATAATAATAATAAGAGACTAATGAAAGGACTCAGGAATCAGAAATGGAGAAAGGGTAAACCTATTCAAGAAACTCAAAAGAAAATAAAATCCAGGACTTTCTGAGTGGTATGAGGTGGAAAAGCTGGGGAAAATGGAAGATGAAACTGAGCTTTCTGTTGTTGGGGATGGAGAAAGATGGTGTATCATTCTCTTGGCCACAGAGACTGGTAGCATTTGGAATCAGAAAGGTTAATGGAAGAGAAATTAGAACTTTCAAACCAAAATTTAACTATAAAATGTGACTATGTCTTTGGGAGAGGAGACATGTATTTCAGAGACATCATGTCTGCATTCTATATTCCACGTTCTTCCCCAAACATAAATATAGAGAAAAAAATGAAAGATGTGAAAAATCACATACAGAGATAATAAATGTGCATTTTAAAACACAGTGAATTGATGCTTGAAGGATTATGATAACTAAAAATGATTTATAAAGAAATTCAAAAATCTTATTTACTTTTCAGTATAATATTAATAATGCAATATTTCTCCATGCTTGATTTCACTGATATTTTTGACTTCTTTAAGATTCTGGAAAACATGAAACACGGTTATGAGTAATTATGTTTTTCAATTTGCTTATCTGTACACACAAATAATGGTTCTTTCAAGCATCTATAAACAATCCAGTCTCAAGTACAAATGGGTTTAAATGTAACATGTTAATTTGCTAAAATTCTACAACATTTCCCAAGAAAATAACAGTTTTAGCATTTTTACCAAGTGGCTTTTTTATTTTTTTCACTGCACTTTAGAAGTCAGCCCTGTGCAATTTAATCTTTCAAAGAATCCTTCTGCTGATAAACTACAGAGAGTACAAGTGGCTGATTTGACCCAACCTTTCAGTTAATAAATATGAGACAGAATCTTATAAAAGGAAATGCAATCAGGATTTTCACAGAAGGTTTTTCCTGAAGGATAAAAATAATAATGGTGTTTGACTCCCTTTTATACCTGGGAGCAGAAGATGTCCTTGCCAAATATCTCTTTGGAAGAGCTCTAGTTGGACAGACACTTCCAAAAGATAAGCAAAGCATGAAAGATATGAACATCGGACAAAACAAAAGGAAATGAAACCATTTCCTAAAGCATTTAAAATGATGACATAAAAAAGTTTGTTTATATTTATCAAACATAAGTTGGGTGACTTTTTAAAAATGGAAAGATGAACTTCAGGATATTTATTACCAAGCTGGTCCAGACAGCTTGCATTCATTCATTTACTGTTTTAGTTACTACTTACGAGGTGAGTCTAAAATAAGGACAAGTCACCATAATATTTTCAAGCAAATATTCTCTAGTTTACTGTATGCATTATTTGGCCTACTAAAATTAGCTTGCAGTAACTCATCCAAACACAGCCTTACTAGCTCCATGATTGTTTAGTGGAATAAGGATGGAACATGGGAGTATGATGTAAAATGGGCTATATCCTTGATACCTCATGAGCACCACTCTGGCACAGGCTTCTACTAGCAAGGGTATCCCAGTAGCAGCAGACAGGCATGAAGTTTTTCATGATGTGCATCTGACAGTGATACCATGTGATATTGATAAGCAATGGCATTGGCATCTGGGATCTGTCTCACTGGGTTTGGCAGAAGGACCTAGAGACAGTATTAGATTTTTTTTCCCAGAAGAGAAAATGGGGTTTTCCAATATTAATTGAAAAAAAATACATATATATACAATAAAACGAAACAGGAGTGACCAGGTACACATCCTATGTTGGTAGAACAGGTAAAAGTGGTTTGGTGTATTTCAATTTTACCAAAACGGGAACAGGCTGACTATATTATTTTCTATTTTTTTTTTCTACTTAATACATCATGAGCATCTTCCCATGTCTGTGTCTATTATGGTATGCTCATTTTTAAGGGCAAGGAACTTCTTTTTGGTCCAGGCTTCTTTTCCTTCTGAAGTTCAATATTATGCTGCCATTCCACCAAGGCTTTATGGAAGATAATTTCCATTAATTTGACAGGTCATTGTCTTGTCAGTTTCAGATAATTAAGGACTAGCCATTAGTTCCTGTACCTATTGTGTAATCTCTTTTGTCTCATCAGGTTTGTGAATTTTGCAGTGCTTGCCAATCTACAGTTAGCTTAATTAAAATCAATGGAGTTGAAAGTTGGTGTGTTCTCTTTCTCTTTCTCTAAAGGATTCCATTTTCCAAAACACCATAAGCAAATAAATTGGCATGTGGAACTTTCTGCAGCCATATAATAGTCAAACACACTTAACCGTGTATATTTAGCTCCCAGCAAAATTGTCTAATTTTGCATTTGCTAGCTAGCCAGTAAACTCCAGGTTTCTTGCATCAGAGGGGGATGCTAACCCACAGATTTTACAGTTCAGAAGTATTATTAGTAAATACCCTCAAAAAAAGGCTCAGAAAGTGAAATCAGTTCCAATGCTATCATCTTTCCTCAAGCTGAGCTACAGTGTTCAATTCTCCAAATGTGAGGTAGCTGGCAAAGACATTGCTGTTGTTTTCTGGATTTAAGCTGGGAAGATAGTAACTGGAGCCTAGGAGAAGAATTTTCAACTAATGAAGTGTTGTTAATATAAGACTTTCAAAAATACTAATCACAACATTTCTATAATTTGCAACTAGCATCAATTGATATATCTTTGATTTTCTCTATAAAAACAAAGACTGAACTGGCCAGATTAGCAACTCAGAGTTATGCTGATCTTCCAGGCTGGAGGCCTCGCCCAAGATAACATCATGAACATTTTATACCTCCTACAGAGTAACAGTACACTTGCAATCTGCCAGACTCTATGACTGAAATGCAGAAACAATAAAACAATCATTAGTAACCCTGATTTTGCCACACGCCTGGGCAGCTCAAATTTCTTGACGGTTATGACCCTAAACATCTGCTTGAACTAATATATACTTTGTTATGCAAATCTATTTAAAACGTATTTCAATAAACATGCATAGTGAAATATATTACTGTCTGTAGTAAAAGGGAAATCCCAATATGTTAATGATGTAATGAACTGTAAAAATAATCAATATTGGTTTTTCTGCATGTTGACCAATCTATGAACCTATGTTTTATCTTCATTCTCATTCTTTCAGAATAAAAAGCAACATCTATTTAGTACATGCAAATAACTTGTGGGAGTTTTCAAGAATATACAAATCAAATTAATTTAGAAGCATATCAGACACCCTACCTATGCAAATGGTATTATTTTGTTAATCTAGTTCTAAACTATATGTTTAACATCATTATACTTCAGGATTATTTTGAATCCTTTTATTTATCAATAATAAAACTTTCTAAGATTTTAAATATAAAATACAAAGCTACCATCTTGAAGTTGTATTTCCTTTATTACATGATAATTAGTTGCATAATTAAAACATGTGGGGTCAAAGGTCAGATATTACAATCCAAGGGATATCACAAAGGATATTGTATTTTTTGCCCCAAATACGTATATTAACAGCAATGGCTGTTACACAGAACATTAAGCTAAAAGAGTCAAAGGGAAACTGGAATAACATTTGTTGCAAATAATAGGTATAGTGAAATTTCAAGATGATTCTGAAAATATTTTATTTATCTGAACTTATGATAACATATCTGAGTGAACAACTGAGAGTGTACCCAAGGAAGTAAATAGCTCTATTAAAACAGTAACCTGATGATGAAGACTCAACAAATGAAGACAGTGATATCCGTGGATGCCTTTCAGACACTGTGTTATTCTTTGGTGGTGACTCCATTATTCTTTATGAATAATACAATTAGTGCAATTTTGAGTCCTTCCATCCCTGCCAATTATCCTAACACTGGAAAATTTTCTGTTTAACACAAAAATACTAAGAACTCATTTGAGAGTATCTTCACTGAGTGGTTTATCAAGCACTGGAATAGCTCCAGAATTAGGAGTTAAATACTTCCCAAGAGAATTCAGTCCACTTTAATATCACTTCGGTGTCAGAAAAAATACCCTTGCACTGACTTGAAAATTATATCTATAGATCTTTTATCCATGACACCTGGGGTCACGAAGAAAAAATATTTTTCTTATTCTTAATTGATCTACAAATAGAAGTGTGCTCAAAATAGTAGCAACAATGCATTTTATTACATATGCTTTTATATATAATATATATATAAATTTCATATATATTACATATATACATTTTATTACACATGTGATTATGTAATAAAATATATTGATGCTACTATTATGTTATTTTATGAGTGCTTATATATAAGCACTTATATATGCTTATATATTAGTGAATGATAGCAATGATAAAAGTGACGAGGGAAGAATTATGATTATTTTATTATTTTAAGGTACTCACACACTACCTGTGAAGTGGTATAATGTTGTTTGAACATGGATTTGAATTAGTTATAAATGTATCTTGGAAACTCTAGTGCAACCACTGAGAAATGTAAAAAAGAAGCATAACTGATATGCTAATAATAAGGGAGAGAAAATGGAATCATACAAAATGCTCAATTAAAGCCACGAAAGGCAGTAAAATAGTGGAAGACAAACTAAGAACAAAGAAAAAGGGTAACAAATATAAAACTAACAAATATGATAGGTATTAATTCAACTAAATCATTAGTTACTTTAAACATCAATGTTCTAAATATATCAGTTAAAAGGCAAAGATTGTAAAAATGGATTTAAAAAAACCTTCCCAATTGTATGTTGCCTACAAGAAACATGCATTAACTATAGGAGCACATACTGAAAGATATACTATGCTGATGCTAATTTTTAAAATGGGAACAGCTATATTAATTTTAAACAGACTAGACTTCAGAGCAAAGAAAGTTATCAGGGCTAAAGATGGGTATTACATAATGATAAAGGGGTCAGTTCCTTATAAAGACATGACAATCCTTAATGTATAGATGCCTAACAATGGAGCATCAAAAACATGAGGCAACATCTAATAGAACTGCAAGGAGAAAAACATGAGTCCACTATCATAGTTGGTAACTTCAACACCCCTCTATCAAAAATGGACATATCAAGCAGACAGAAAAAAGAGTAAACACAGCACCGTCAATTAACTGGATATAACTGACATCTACTGACTGTCTTATGATTAAAGAACACACTATTAAAGAACACATGGATTAAAGAAAAAATCTCAACAACAACAAAATAAGTATTTTGAACTAAATGAAAATGAAAATACAACTTACAAAGTTTGTGGGATGTGTCGAAAGCAGTGCTTAGAGAGAAATTTATGGCATTGAATACATTTATTAGAAAAGAAATATTTAAAATTAATCACCTTATCTATAACAAACTCACAGCCAACATTATACTTAATGGGGAAAAGTTGAAAGCATTCCCCGTGAGAACTGGAATAGGACAAAGATGCCCACTTTCACCACTTGTATTCAACATACTACTGGAAGTCCTAGCCAGAGCAATCAGACAAAAGAAAAATAAAGGGCATCCAAATCAGTAAAAAGGAAGTCAAAGTGTTCTTGTTTGCTGATGATATGATCTTATACCTAGAAAACCTTAAAGACTCATCCAAAATGCTTCTAAAACTGGTAAATGAATTCAGTAAAGTTTCAGGATACAAAATTAATGTACGCGAATCAGTAGCGCTGAAATACACCAACAGCAACCAAGCTGAGAATCAAATCAAGAACTCAACCCCTTTAACAGTAGCTGCAAAATGCCACAAAAATATAACAACAAAAAAATTTAGTAATATACTTAACCAAGAAGGTGATAGACCTCTATAAGGAAAACTGCAAAACACTGTTGACAGAAATCATAGACAACACAAACAAATGGAAATACATACCATGCTCATGGATGGGTAGAATCAATATTGTGAAAATGACCATAATGCCAAAAGCAATCCACAAATTTAACGCAATTCCCATCAAAATACCACCATCATTCTTCACAGAATTAGAAAAAACAATCCTAAAATTCACATGGAACCAAAAAAAAGCCCACAGGGCCAAAGCAAGACTAAGGAAAAAGAACAAATCTGGAGACATTACATTACCTAATTTCAAACTATACTATCAGGCCATAGTCACCAAAACGGCATGGTACTGGTATAAAAACAGGCATATAGACCAATGGAACAGAATAGAGAACCCAGAAATAAACCCAAATACTTACAGCCAACTGATCTTTGACAAAGCAAACAAAAACATAAAATAGGGAAAGGAACCCTATTCAACAAATGGTTGCCAGGATAATTGGCAAGCCACATGTAGAAGAATGAAACTGAATCCTCACCTCTCACCTTATAAAAAAATCAAATTAAGATGGATCAAAGATTTAAATCTAAGACTTGAAACCATAAAAATTCTAGAAGATAACATTGGAAAAACCCTTCTAGACATTGACTTAAGAAAACACTTCATGACCAGGAACCCAAAACCAAACACAACAAAAACAAAGATGAATAGATGGGAATTGATTAAACTAAAAAGCTTCTGCACAGCAGAAGAAATGATCAGCAGAGTAAACAGGCAACCCACAGAGTGGGAGAAAATATTCACAACCTGTGCATCAGTCAAAGGACTAATATTCAGAATCTACAAGGAACTCAAGCAAATCAGCAAGAAAAAAAACAAACGATTGCATCAAAAAGTGGGCTAAGGACATGAATAGATAATTCTCAAAAGAAGATATACAAATGGTCAACAAACACATGAAAAATGCTCAACATCACCGATTATCAGGGAAATGCAAATCAGAATCACAATGCGATACCACCTCACTTCTGCAAGAATGTCATAATCAAAAAATAAAAAAAAATAGATATTGGCATGGATCTGATGAAAAGGGAACACTTTTACACTGTTAGTGGGGATGTAAACTAGTACAACCACTATGGGAAACTGTGTGGAGATTCCTTAAAGAATTGAAAGTAGATCTATCATTTGATTCAGCAATCCTACTCCTGGGTATCTACCCATAGGTAAATAAGTCATTATTCAAAAAAGATACTTGTACACACATGTTTATAGCAGCACAATTCACAATTGCAAACATATGGAACCAGCCCAAATGCCATCAATCAACAGTGGATAAAGAAAATGTGATATCGATATATGTGTGTATATATATAAAATATATATATATATATAATGAAATACTACTCAGCCATACAAAGGAACAAAATAATGACATTTGAGCAACCTTGGAATTGGATACCGTTATTCTAAGTGAAGCAACTCAGGAATGGAAAACCAAACATCATATGTTCTCACTCATAAGTGGGAGCTAAGCTATGATGATGCAAAGGCATAAGAATGATATAACAGACTTTGGGGATTTTGGGGGAAAGGGTGCGAGGAGGTTGAGGGATAAAATACTACATAGATATTGGGTACAGTGTACGCTGCTTGGGTGATGGGTTCACCAAAATCTCAGAAATCGCCAATAAAGAATTTATTCATGTAGCCAAACACCACCTGTTTCCCAAAAACTTATTAAAATTAAAAAAATTAATCACCTTAGAAAACTAGAACAAAAGCAAATTAAATCCAAAGTAAGCATAGGAAAATAAATTAAAATTAGAGTAGAAATAAATGAAATAAAAATGGGAAATCAATAGAGAAATCAACAAAACCAGAAGATGATTTTTTGAAAAGTTCAATTAAAAAAAAGCCTCTGGCCAGGTTAACTACGAAATCAGATATTCAACATTATTCACACAAACGAAAATAACTTAAAATGGTATATTTAAAATATAACTGTGGTGTACAAAGGCATTGCAGTATACAAATATATTGCAGGTAAAAATCACAATATTTAAAATATTTACCAAAGCCTACTTGACTGTGTAGACACTGCCTCACTTCAGCAAGTTTTTTAAAATAATGACTATACTAAATTATCTGCCTGAATTCAAACTTATTCTTTTTCTTTAGGTGAAATTTTTAATTCAAATTTCTGAAATCCAATAATGTCACCTAGGCCAATAATAGATCAATCATGGTGCCTGTCAGGTTCTTTCTGAGCCCTGTTAGCAGCTCATTTAAGTGTCATCCACTAATACACACTGCCTTGACACCTCCAATGTATTTTTTGTTAGATTAGTTTTCCCATGCATTGGGTCCATTATCAATCCTTAATAATGAGAAAAACATGAAATTTAAAATTTAAAATTATCTTTCAAACATTGGAAGAGGAAAGGATGGTTTTAGTTCCCCAGGTCGTTAAATGAGTAATGAAGCAAGTTTTACATTCTAACCGTGAGACATATTAGCTGTTCATTTGAAAAGGAAACATTTAGTTTCCAGTCTTTGGGGACCTCACTGCAAACTTTTGTTTACAAAGCTGGTTGCGCATGTCTATTATTGTGCATCATTTTTGAGCTTTTGCATTATATTTTGCATCACCACAGTTAAGGGTAGAATAACAGGACTATGGCATCTGTGTTTAGATTTAGATAGACAAATGGGGAAATAGTGCAGAGAAAAGCCAACTAAAGAAATTTTAATTGTTCCTTGTATAAAGCCCCAGTTTACAGAAAGGTTGAACCAATTCATTTCTGCAGCTTACATATCTAAATTTGTGACCATGTAGCATATGAAACAAATTAGGGTATCCCTATTAATCACTGAGTTGTCAATATGAACATAAAGATTGGTGCGAATTCAGTGTCCTGCACAAAAGTCTTCAGTTAAAACAGAAGAGATATTATGGTGGTGGATTCCCCAGGATGTTCAACAAACAGAGAAGAGGCCAAAGCATGTTGTCTCAATCTTCCTTCTTGTTTTAGTCCATTCTCACACTGCTAAACGATACTACCCAAGACTGGATAATTTACAAAGAAAAGAGGTTTAATTGACTCACAGTTCCACATGGCTGGGGAGGCCTCAGGAAACTTACAATCATGGCAGAAGGAGAAGCAAGCACATCTTACATGGTGGCAGGTGAGGGAACATGAGCAAAAGCAGGGAAAACTGCCTTATAAAGCCATCAGATCTCATGACAATTCACTCACTATCACGAGAACAGCATAGGGGAAACCACCTCTACGATCCAATCGTCTCCCATCAGATTCCTCCAACCACACGTGAGGATTACCGGTATTACAATTCAAGAGGAGGTTTGGGTGGGGACACAGCCAAAAAGTAACACTTTTTATTTATTACAATTTTATATCATCCCTAGCAAATTGTTCCAAATTCTTGCCCATCCTTCATCAATATCTAAAATTGCACTTGTAATTGAGAATACTTGCTAAGGTTTTACTTGTACTTGCATATAGAATGGACTCAAGATATGAACGCTGTTTGTCATGATTTCATAAATGAAGACAAAACAGGTATTAAATATTCACCCTGTTTTCTGGATGCTCAGTTTCATAATAAATGCCTGCCTTGGTTCATGCATCAGTACTGTTTCCACTTGGCTTCCTTGGACATCACTTTCTCTTAACTTTTCTCCTACCTCTCTGGCCCTTTTCTCTTGAACACTCTTGATAATCCTACCTTATCTCCCTGCCCTCTTAAAATGTAAGTGCCTCAAGCTCTTGGTATTTCTCTTCCCCGTTTGTGCTTTAGTAACTCAGTATTTTCTAGAGGCTGGCAGCATCCACATATATCTCCAGATAAGACCTCTGCTAGAAAAGCTAGACTCATACATATTTGCCCCTTTGCTTTCTCCATTTGGATGTTGAATAACCATGTAGAAAATAACAAGTCCAAAACTCAGGTCCTGATTTTTCACCTTCAAATCAGCATCTCTCATATTCTTCCAACTCAGTAAATGACAGCTACATTCTGCCACATGCTAAAAACTCTTGGAGACACCTTCATTCAACCCTTTGTCTTGTATTCTACATGTAATTTATCAGGTAAAGCAGTTACCTGTACCTTCAAAATACAGTTAAACAAAATCCTACCCTTTTTCTTGGTCCTCCCTGCTATGATTCTGGTCCAACCCACTAAACTCTTTTGTCTGGATTATTAAAATAGTCTCCCTGATTCCTTTTTGCCACCCACAAAGCCAGAGAAATCCTGTTAAAACACAAGATTAATGCTGCATAATTCCTTTTCTCAAAATACTTTAAAGAGTGCTGATTTCAGTTACCTGGGTATGTGTAAGACACAATTCCAAAACAGACTGGCTTAAAAAAATATGTATCACTCCGCTCAAGGTCCTGGGAACCAACTAGACTCAGCTGGGTTGTGTTGGTTTGGGATCTGTCATGTGATTGTAGTCAGATGGAGGTCGAGGCTGAAGTCATCTTTATGCCTTCCACAATCACAGGTTTGCATGACACAACTACGTGAAGGCTGGAACAGCTGGGATTTATCTGGCATCTCCTGTCCTACTTGTGAGATTTTTCAATGTGGTTTCTCCAATTCAGTGGCCTCAAGGTAGCCATATACTTACATGGTAGTTGGTTTTCTCTAGAGGGAGGATACAAAGAAAACAGTGGAAGTTGTATGCTTTTTTATTAACTAGGCTTAGAGGTCGCATAGCATCATTTCTACCATAGTACATGTGTAGAAGAAGTCATAAGTCCAGCCAAAATGAAGGCAAGATGTAGAGACACCTCTCAATGGGAAGAAATCTAAAGAATATGCCACAGTTTTTTTAAAACTACCCTACACTTCATCTCAATTAAAGCAAAAGCCAAAATTTTCTCAATGGTCTGCAATGGGAAATTGTAGCAAATTTGACCACTGCTTGCTTTTTAAAATCAAGTTGGATTAGAACAGTCACATGTATTGGTTTACATACAATGATGGCTTTTGTATTATAATGCCAAAGTTGAGTAGTTGTGACAGAGATAATGTGGCCTGCAAAGCTGAACCTGTTTATAATCTGGCCCCTTAGAAGGCAAGTTTACTAACCCCTGGTCTGCAGTTTTGAACACACACACCCTGCTCCCCTATTTGCTCTGTGAATTCATCTCTCTAGTACTCTGTTCCTCACCGTATAGTTTAGCATATGTGCCACCTTGCTGTTCCCTCTGCCTAGCATGCTTTTCCTTCAGATATCCAGCTGGCTCATTTCTGCATCTCTTTCATGCATTTGCTCAAATTTCATCTTTTCAGTGAGTCTTTTTCTGAATGCTCAATTTAAAATTCACCCCTACTTCCCAAAACTCCTTCTCTGCCTTCTCTGAGTGATTTCCCCCCACTTATAATATTCTCATATGCTATTGATTTAACTTATTTATTTTATTTATAGTCTATTTTCCTCATTAAAATGCAAGCTCCGTTACATCAGGGATTGTTGTTTGTTTTGTTCTCTGATGCATCCCAGAGCCTACAACAGTGCTGACATGTAATAGGTCCTCAATAAACATTTGTTGAAGGGACAGAGGCATGCATGCAGTGACTAATGAAATAACACAAAATAAATATGTAAAATTCATAGGCAATATTATAAAATGAAATGTATTGGCTGTTTGGGGTTATATAAGTGGAACATAGAAGTGAATTAAAGCTTTAAGTAAGAGGGAAGATCCTGATGTTAGTATTGATTCCCTTTTCCCCACGATGAATGATGTTTTGAAGATCTTGATGCTAACATTAGTTTAAGCTCATTCAATACTGTCATAGGAGAGAGAAAATCGTTTGAGATCTTTGATATTAATATTCCAATCCCTCACCTCTGTCTGTTTGAACTCATCAATCACTTTGGGAATAAAACTGGAATAGTGTACAAATTCACGTTGAGGTGAGGGGTTTTAACATAGAAGATATTTTCTTCTTTCCCTTGATGTCTCAGAATAAAATGAGGAAACCAGAAGGAGAGAGAAACTGATTTTTGTATTTCAAATTTCTATTATTTATTATTTAAGAGTATATGATTTGGAGTCAGGGTAAAATTGAGTCCTCACCTCAACTCTGTAATTTCACAGCTATTTGTTCTTAGAAAAATTCCTCAATGTTTCAGATCCTCAAGTTCTTTCTCGTTGAGAAAATGAAGACGGTAATATCCATCTCATGCAATTTTAGGAAAATTAAATAAAGTTAGATATTTTGAAAAATGTACTAAATTTAGAACAGTACCTGGTACATATCTTCCCAGTAATGATAAACAGAATATTCTCCCACATCTATTTTCAATAGTAATGACCATAATAGACAGAAATTTTTCATTTACTTGCAATGACCTTAAAAAATTAAATTCAACATAATGCCACCTCTAGAAAGAAGTCCATTAATAGTGGACAAATGTCTACTAAATATAACTTACATAAAAAGAAGTAAGAGATAATAAAACAAATGGGGTGAAACACCAAGACAGTTAAAAGTATTTGTCTTTATGACTTGCCCATTTGAGCAGAAATTCTTTTCTGGATGTCAGAATGTAAGGAAAGTTTAGATGAAAAATTTCAGTGGTTCAATTAGTTATAGATTCAGAGCTTTTGTTTATTTGTTTTGTGCTCAGTTGGTTCTTGTGTTTGTAGACATCTCTCACATTACAAAAATAATAACAGAGAGAAAAGACTACGTTCTTCAAAACAAAAAGCTACTCAGTAGTGAGTGGCACAGAAACCAAATCTCATGGATTATTTAAATTCAGTCAAATGTTGTTTATTGATATCACTTATGTGTCAGATATTATGGGAAGCATTGAGGATAAAATAGTACATAAAATACACTTCTGTCTTTCTTAAAGTTCAATGATTTGTTGCCTAACTTTGAGAAATACTACCCTTCACCACAGAATAACAATTCACATCAGCATAACTAGGTCTTGGAGAAGTACTGCAATAAAGAAACTGTGTAACTTCCTTATCACTGAGTGTCTCAAACTTATTTGAGGAGAGTGCTTCTTTGTGTAACATCCACAACTAATATGCTATCTAACACATTCGTGTCCAATTTCATCATATCCTATCTCCATTGATTAGAGATCCTTCAAGTAACCCTGAGGTTATGTGCTTTACGTATTTGGCTTCTGACTAAGCATTGATTTAGAGATCAGTTTTCTCAGCAAAACTGATTTTGAAAACCACAAGCAAGAACTATAACCTTTGATCTTCACAGGCATATGTGAGGGAAACAAATGACTGGCATGAGGTTGTGCAGCTGGTGAATTTGAAACTCAACCATATGAGTAAAAACAATTTGAGTAAGACACAATGAATTTAAACTTCATTTATTCTCATTTTGAAATAATTTGCAAAAGTGTTAGGCTAAGGATTTATATTTTCATTACCTATGAGGAAATAAAGCAAGCAAATTTGGACCAAAACTACAAAAACTAAAGAATTCAAAGTATCATCAAGTGCTTTAAAAGTCACATTTTCAGTATTCTCATCATCACACAAACACTTAAATTGAAATGACAAATTATCTCATTCAGTGTGGCTGGTCAGAAGAGAGATTTGACTCAGAGACATTTGTTACTAGTTGTTATCTGTTATTATAGGAATTGCCACAATGAGACAAGCTCACTCATCATGGATTTCTATTGGTAAGAAGAAAAATAAGGGATTTTTGTGAGAAGACAGTGCTGTCCTTTTAATGTTAGCATCAAAAGGTCCAGGATGAAACTTAATTATTTTTATCTTTTCATACAACCATTTAGAGAGTTATCATGAATGAGCTGCCTTTTGAGGAGGGATCCCATTTTATAATCTAGTTAGCTTCTTTTCCCAAGAAATTGATTGACCTAAGTGCCATACTATTTTGAGATGATCAATTTGGATTGGAAATTTTTAGAAACATGTTATTTCTAATTTCTTGCTCCTTTCTCAGGTAGAAGCAGAATAGTAGCTCACTTGCATAATGCTTGGCACATGATTTGTGCTCAATAATGGAGAGTTGCCATTACCATTATTAATAAAAATGCATATAAAACATATAATAATATATTGTTATTATACACAAAGAGCATACTAGATACCATGCCTCCGGATAGAAGTAGTATTTCTTTCTTAGCATCCAAACTTGTACATTGTACCTTTTTCTGCCTTATTACCTATAATACTTTTTAAATTTTGTGTGTTTACTTTTCTGTCTCACAGAATACAATAAGCATTCCTTGTGGATAAAAATGTTATCTTTTATCTCTGTATC
The DNA here is from genome assembly GCF_000001405.40 of Homo sapiens. Taxonomy (NCBI): domain Eukaryota; kingdom Metazoa; phylum Chordata; class Mammalia; order Primates; family Hominidae; genus Homo; species Homo sapiens. The sequence goes on along the minus strand of NC_000003.12, from coordinate 596,401 downwards.
CTTAACTATATTCTACAAATGTTTGCTGTAAGAATTGACAAAAACAAATAAATAAATTGTTAAACTACATTTGTTTTTTTTTTAAAGATAGCATCTGTGTGAAGAACCTACTGAATTCAATATGCATAGTGTTTAAATGATGTTGCAACATGGCCGGCTTGGAGTCCTCATAGCGTGTCGAGTTCCAAATATTCACACATCTTACAGGGCATCTAGTTTTCCCCAGAGCAAGCACTCCAAGCAATAGGAAATGGGAGCAGACTCTGCTTAAAATGTAAACTTTCAGCTGTCACCAAGTCATTTCTACCACATTTTACTGATGAAGCAGTCACAGAGCTAACCCAGGTTCAAAGAGAGAAGCAATAAACCCCATCTTTTATGCAGAAAGTGAGAAAGACATTGCAGTCATCATTAATTACCCACAGACCATTTAATCTATATCCTCATTAATGACATTTTCTCAGCTTGACATACTCTTGGCTTTGACAATTAACAAAAACAGAAGAAATAGAAGAAAAAAACCAATATGGTATGCAGTACTCATAATTACATTTTCATTTGTGTTGCTATCCTTGATTACTATACATATAAGAAATTATCTCTCAAGGAAATAAATCATCCTTGTATTGCTTCTGGAGATGAAAATCAATGAGTTTACCTTTTGCTACAAATATAGCCACTCTTTTTTTTTTCTTGTAGACATTAAACACCAATTTGTGGAGACAGTTTAGCATATACAAAGGAATCTGAGCAGCATACCTGACTCAATATTAATAAATGAAGTTGAAACAGGACCTGTGATTGGTCTGTGATGACAGAAAGCAAATAGCTTTTCCTCCTGATACAACTAAAAGATTACCTTGCTAAGCATTTATTTCAAGGATTGGCAAAGAATGTGTTATAACACAGGTCTGTAGGCATAATGGAAGAAATGCCTTGAGCGTCGTTCAAAGGAAGGATAGAGAAAAAATATATATAGAATCAATGTATTTTAACAGTAACAGTCTTTTAATATTTATTAAGAATAAAATATTTTAATTTTAAAAAATCAATCTTTTTTTATTAAAATAGAAATTATAAGTCAAAAGTAGTGATGGATACATTATTTAGCAGAAAATTCTTCAGAGACCACAGGAAAATCCAGGTTGTTGGAGGGTTAATGTTGAGAAGTAAGAAAGGACGGAGCAGTGAATACATCAATTTAACCATAGGAAAAAAAATGTTTACTGCTGATGAATTAACTTGGAGGCCCTCTATCTAGAAGAGGGGCATTTTTTCCTTGCCTAATAAAAGGGAGTTTATAAAACTTATAGCATCATTGTAATTGAGAAATGTATTTTGAAAAATGGAACAGAATAATAGGCTTTTCATAGATTAGAATAGACCACAGTGTTTAAATATTACATGTGTTTATGTAGTTTTAAAGACATGGAAAAAGTGCATAGCAAAATTAAAGTTGACATAGAAACTATACTTTACAGATCAAACTTAGATCAGCTAGAATAGAAAGGCAAGGAGAGTCTGCAATGAGTTGATTAGCTCTGCTGCAGGAAATTGACCAACTGCAAGTGAACTACTGGGGGGATCGACGTTTTATGTGGATCTTTGTGAAGCACAAAACAAGATCAGCAAATCATAAAGAAACAAATAATGAAAGCTGACTTAGTTGGTTCAGGCTGCTATAACGAATTACTGGGTGGCTTAAACAACAGAAATGTATTTCTTACAGTTCTGGAGGCTGAAATTCTGAAAGCAGGGTGTCAGCATGGTTAGGTTCTGATGATCACCTTCTTCCACGGCTTCCTCACATGGTGGAAAAAGATAAAGAGGAAGCACACTCTATCCTGTGTCTTCTTATAAGGGCACTAATACCACTAATGAGTGCTCCACTCTCATGACCTAATTACCTGTAAAGGATCTACCTCCAAATGCCATCACATTGGGAATCAGGCTTTAACATGTAAATGTTGGGGGCATACAAGCATTCAGTTCATAATGAAAGCAAAAGAAACATTGAAAGGAATCAGCATTTTCTTATTCTTCTATCACTTAGCCTAAAAAGTAGGCTTGATTTTAAATACCAGAAAGCAACCAACTATTTATGCTTCAAAGTTATTTATAGTTTCAGGTACGTGTGTAGTCATGCATCACTTAATGACAGGGAAATGTTCTGAGAAATGAGTCCTTAGGTGATTTGTTGTGTGAACATCATAGAATGTACTTATGCTCTATGTATACCTGCATGATATAGCCTACTACACACCTAGGCTATGTGGTATAGAGCCTATTGCTCTTCGCTTTTAAGCCTGTATAGCTTGTGATTGTTCCAAATACTGCAGGCAATTGTAACACAACGGTAAGTATTTATGTATATAAACATGTCAAAATAAAAAATGTACAGTAATAATATGATATTACAACCTTATGGAACCACCATGGTATATGCAGACCATTATTGAACTAAATTATTATATAATGAATGACTGTATGCATATTTATGTATTAACACACTAGCTATGCATTTGTACAGATTGGCATTCAGTAAATTTTGTATGCTTTTTTCTGGGGTTTGGCAAACTATGGCCCTCAAATTACATCAAACCCACCTCCATATTCACAGCTAAAGTTTTATTGGAACAAAACCACATTCATTTTTTGATGTACTGTCTGGTTACTTTTATGTTACAATGGCAGAGTTAAGTGGTTATGGCAGAGAACATAATGTCCTCAAAGCCCAAAACATAGACTATCTGGCCCTTTACAGAAAGAGTTGATCAACTTTTGGTTTATTCCATAGAGCAAATATGGGACTCTCAACAAATCCCAATTAGTACCTATAACTACAATAATAGTAATAATTACAATAGTAGTAATAATTGTTATCAGTTATTAAATGCATACTTTGTGCCAAAATTAGACTAAGCTGAAAGAGCAGGGTCCTGTGATTTATAGCCTCATCAAAATCACATGAAACGAGGAAAGAATAGTTAGAAAATAGAATGCCTGTTGTTCAGAAGAAAAAAAGATCAATATCTACCATACTATTAATAAATACAAATGCTAGCCTGTCATGACTTGTTCTAATGAATGCCTAACCTCATCCAATATATGAAATTAAATTGGATAAAGTCTCATTAATACAAGAAGTGAATAGTATTTTTTCAGAGGCAAGCATTTGTTGATAATATGCTAAAGTTAGTTTGATTCTAGGAGGGGAGCCTCTATGTTGTGTTTCCTATTCTTTGTAACAATGAAACAAATAAACAAAACTCTATTTCAAATCAATAGTAATGCCAAATCAAACTGTGAAGTCTCCAGATTGGGATGCATACAAAAATGATCTGCTGTGGTAGAAATAATTTATTAAAAATTCTGTTTACATTCATCTTATCTCATCAATTTTAGTAGGTATTTTTAAATTATATATTAGAAAAATTGTGTACATATAAACAAATATAGTACTGAAGTTTACTTGCTCAAATATTATTACTTATAGAGATGTCCATCCAAAAATGTTTAGAAACTACTGACAAACTATAAGTAAATAACCTATCAAAGAGTTCTCAGAATCCCTCTAAGATCGTAACTGAGTATGTCTGTAGCATAATCCTTATTAATTTTGCTAGAAAACTGTTATGTTCAAATATAAATAAATATACTTATGTTTAAATACAGATACATCAATAAATGCAATGACTGTCATTTCATTCCTTCATAAAGCCTTTCATTCTCATCTCTTCCTTCTCTTTGCTGATCTTCAAATTCTGAAGCTTCTTTAATGGGATTCCTGTTAGCAAGTTCTCACCTTTCTGTGTCCTCCATACACAAATGTCTGTGGTTTCTTGATAATTATATTCCATGAACATATTAATCATACCTTTGCTCCTAATTTTATATACAAGTTGGAATCCAGACTAAGCTTTTTTATTTAAAAAAATTACAATCTCAAATCAATAAATGCTTCTGCCATATTTTTCTCTTTCATTTAAGCATATTGCTATAATTACACCTACTGTTCTTTTCTCACTAATTTATCACTCTTCTTCTACCTTCCTTTCTTTATTATCCATGTAAATTTTAACCTTTCTAAGATAGACTGATTTGTTTTTTTGCCATGTAGTAAATGATCCTCCTACTTCTAGTCAAATTCTCCACAGCATCTATCAGAGTCTAGTTGTTACTAAACAATGGTTGCAGTTTTGTGCTGTGGTGACTTACCAGAAAGAACGATGATTTCCTAGTGAAGTTCATCACTCCCAGTGCATGAGATAAGAGTTACATTTCAGCAAATGTGGACCTAAAAACAAAAGGTGAACCACTTCATCAGATGCTTAATAATAAAATTCAATGCCGTTTGCTCACAGATGTACTTTTTCAGCTAAACTTGGTCTCAGGATCCACATGTAGTTTCTCAGCGCTGTAACGCAGCTCTCATTTGTGCACATATGTGTTCACGTTAACAACATCATACTTTGGAGGTCCTTAACATAAAAGATGAAAGAATTCTTTAGAAGATAAAACTCTCAGTGTAGGACATCTGATTTTTAGTATTTTCTTTTCTTGTTAAGTCCTAAAACCATCAAATGATTGCAGTTCTCAATTTGCTTATAGTGAGGCTAGAAGATGATATGAGGTCTAAGCAATATTCTTAAAGGAAATTTGGGCCTCTGCTACGTTACATCATGCTCACACATCACTTTAGGAAAAGTTAAAAGAGCTATAACAAAAATATTTTATACTTTGATAAACATAAATTTTCAGAACTGAATTATAACTATTGCATTCCAAATGAATTTTCTGTATACATTACTGATTTTAACACCAAGGTCATGGTCATTTTAATGAAAATAAGTAAATAAATAAACACTAGCAGAAAAATATGGTCAGAAAAAAGGAGAATAAAACCTGCATCTGAATTTCAGTTGATAATGGGCTATTTAATAACTACCAGTACACAGCTCTGCAGGGAAAAAGGCAATAATTCATGTTAGATATATCCAGTACCTAAGGATAATCAACATGCTTTAAGGAAAATGAAGATAATATTTCTTTATGGAAAAGAGGTAAACGAACGTCTTTACATAATATGTTTAAAATTCTCTTTTTAGTATTCAGATTTTAATGAACTGCAGATCACTGCAATTCTTCATGTTAAATCACATCTGGGATTGTTCCTTAATCGAGTAAATTGGGTTAAAATATTGCATTTTTATTGCTAGCTTAATAGCTTAAAGAGATATTAAACGTTTAATTATTAACCTTGACATGAAAGAATTGGAGAGATTTCTTAGATGATTTAAGGATTTGAAAGTTCTCTCTTCTGAGTGAAGTTTATATGTTAGGATAAAGCAAATCTAACGAGCTATCTTGAAATGGGCATCTGACTAATTGAAAGAGACTAATAACAGAGCATACATATATATCCAATGTTACTTAAGGAAATCATTCATAGAAGAATAGATGCTTTATTTTAAAAATCAACTAATGGATGTTAAATATTAATAAAGTCATCATAACTGAATAACAGATAGGTTAGCCTAGTAATTTACTCATTCAAAAAATATTTACTGTACATTCATGATGTGGAAATCAGTATTCTAGGCACTAGCAAGACAGCAGGGAATTGGTTCTTATCAAACTTATACTCTACTAGAAATAGATGCATATGAATAGAGTTTTCAGAAGAGAAATTAAAGGTTGCAAGAAATATAAAGAATATAAAGAGTCACATATTAATAGGCAATATAGGCAATGGTATGCTGACAAATGTTTAATAACCAGCTCTCTAAAAGGAACAAAGCAAGCCGAGTTTTTGCCATTTTCTGTGATGAAAACATTCCCAACATGACTGATTTAAATATACTAATATGACATCACTCAATACATAGTTGGAAAGAGGTATACTGTAAGCCCTAGTGAGCTGTTATAAGACAGCATTGGCACACACACTATGACAAGATTACTTTAAGTTGTATACTCAGAAAAGGCCTCTCTGGGAAAGTGACACTTAAACTAAGATCTGAAAAACCAGAAAAAGTCGTGTGTGAAATCTTGAGGCATTACACCCTGAAGAGGGATAACAGCTAAAGTTCCCAAACCAGTGCAAGCCTGGATGTCGGAGGAACAAGAAGAAGGCCAATAAGTCTGGGGTGTACTACATAAAAGGAGGATATACAATGGGATTAGAAAAACAGTCAAAGCTTTTCATGCAGAACTTCGTAATATAGGGTATGAAATTTGGCAAAGATGTCACTGGAAGGTTTGTGAATCATGTTAATTGTATTGATTAAAACTTTTGCATTTACTCTATGCTGTCTATAGTAAAACAAAAAGCTATTACAGAAGGAGGAACAGACCTTGGCTTACTGATGATAAAAAGAATAGGAAAAAATCCTTAAAAACTAGGTTGAATAAGAGGTTAGAATTAGTAGGCATCTCAACATATTATTACAATTATGGCATCAAACTTAATACATAATTTGCTTTGCTTCATACAAATATATTTTTCTGCTTTTGTTTTCTATGGTCAATTACCACTGTCTGTCATGTTGTACTATTATCACTTTTAGAAAGTGATTCTATCATACAAAACCAACATAATCTAAAATGACTTCCTGAGATCATGACCCAAGAGCTTATATATAAAACAAATGTTTTTAAAATTGTGCCTATAATAGCACACAACAGCAAGTATTAGATTCCACAAACATAATATTTGGGAAATAAAATGTTATGGACTCCAAGAGAACTGTATATATTTCTAACTCTATTCAAAAATGTCCTGTAACTCTAGATAGAATTTCCCTGGGCCATAGAAAAGCACTGATGATATTAGTGTTTATTAGATCCATGAAGCTTGCTTTAAAAAATATATTTGAAACACTGATGTTCTGCTAATATGGCAAGAATATGGAGATCAGAAACAACAATGAAAAATAGACATTCCTTGTGGGTGGAAGAAAATAAAAACATTTATATTAACCAAGTCTAAGTGCAACAGCTCAATTAATACAAAACATTAATTTATTTTGGGCTTGGTTGTAAAATTAGTTTTAGATTGAGCTTATAAAGTAATTAGGCTAATACTGTCTCCTCTGAGAGGAACCTGGAACAGTGCTATACCATCTGTCCAGTTGATTGTCTAAAGAAAGAAACTGATGCATAAACAGAAAAAAAACCAATGGATTGTGATAATTTCTCAAAAAATGTATGATGAAGTGTTATAGCAGCAGAGTAGGAGCAGCACTTGAGATTTGAGAAGATCCTCAAAGAAGAATTTAGCCCATGTATTGAAAGATAAGTGGGAATTTGTCAATGAGAGGTGAAAGAAGGCATTCTGTGCATAGCTGTGATTTCCCAATGGCTAAGATATGAACTACTTGCAAGAATGAAGAAGAGTGATGATTAGAGAGTTTAAAAACAACTTGGATTCATATTATATGTCTTGGTAAAAATTTGATTTTTATCTCTCTTGGTCTTGGGAATCAGTAGAAGCCTTTATTTTTTTTCCCTTGAATAAGATTTTATTTTGAAATATTTTAAGATAAACAAGTTTTTAAAACAGTACAGAGATTCCCAAAGAAACTTGTAAGCGAAGAAGTTCATCCAAGCCAAAAAATTGATATAGGTATGCTATTAACTAGACTACAGATCATACTGTGATTTCATCTACTTTTCAGTCATCTTTTCTTCCCTTAGTATATAGTTCTATAAATTCCATGACATATATAGATTAGTGTATCACTACAATCAAGATAGAGTACTGTTCTATCAACATAAAGAAATTTATCTTTTAATAGTCACAACCCTCCACTTCCTCATACCATAACCCCTAATAACCACTGGTCTGTTCTCCATCACTACATTTCATCATATTTAGGCTTTTAAATAAATAGAATCACACAGTAAGTAACCTTTTGAGATAGGCTTTTTTCCCACTTAGCCTCAATATATATTCAAGTTATTGTGTCTATTAATAGCTTATTCTTTTTCATTTCTGAGTAGTATTCTGTTGTAATGATGTACCACAGTTTGTTTATTCATTCATTCATTGAACGACAATTGAGTTTTTCCAGATTAGGGCTATTACAAATAAAGTTCCTATGCATTTTAGTGTTCTGGTTTTTCGTGAATGTAAGTTTCCATTTCTCTGAGATAAACACTAAAGATTGTGATTTCTATGTCATGTGATAAAGATATGGTTAACTTTATAAAAGACTGCCAAACTGCTTTTCAGAATAAATGTATCGATTTACATTCCCACCACCAATGCAGGAGAGATCCAGTTGTTCCACATATTTACCAGCACTTGATATTGTCAGCATGGTTTTACTTTTCCCATTCTAGTAAGTGTATAGTGGCATGTCATTGTAGCTTTACTTTGCTTTTCTCTAATAGCCAATGATATTGCATCAAAAACCTTTTAAACCTTTAAAAATGATATTATGATATAATGGGTAGGTAACTTTGGGAACCATGTAGAGAATTTAACGAGATGTCCAGGAATGAAAGACTAAGGAACAACTGAGAGTAGGGACACAAGTCAGGATGTTCAGCTATAGGCCAGACAATAGATAAAGTTTGCCTGAAGTAAAGTATTGACAAAAGGCAAGGAGACGAGAGGAGAGGTTGGATTTGAGAAGCATTTGGAAGTCGATTCAAAAGTTTTAATGAACAGTTTATTGTGGGAATGAAAAAAGGAAGTTGTCCATGTCAGTTCTTAGGTTTTAAGCTTCAAAAAAGTATGTAGATAATGGCTATAGTAATCAAAATTAAGAATAATAGAGGGAAATAGTTTGAAGAGAGGAAATGACAGATATTTTTGGCCATATTAAAATTGAGGTATCTACAGGACATACCAAAATATCTAACTGAGTAGGAAAAATATTATTCAGAAAGGACATTTGGTTTATGAAGAATAAAGACCTATTGGATTAAGTGCAATGTTTTACTTAAAAGTAGTTTCCTACTCTTTTCAGGAATATTATTGGCAATTAATCTCTGACCTCTAAGCCAGTTCACATTAAAAATAAGACCACACCAAAAGACATTTTAGGTTGAGAAACTAATGTGAACAATTCATGGGGAGAAAATTGAAATACGGCAATATTCTATTGTACAGCTGTCTTGAAGGGGAATTTGAAGGCCATAACTGTCGAAGGATTTTCCTAACTTACAGAAGCCTGTGTACACTACCAGAAGAATTGATGTTTGCAATTCCACCCACTGTGTACTTTTTCATGATCAGAGAAATCATTCAGGACAACGCAGTTAGCAAACCATAACTCAAAATCGATAGACCCCCCCCCCCCGGCATTTTTGTTATTTCATGATAAGATAATGGCAATATATAAAATAAGCATAATACTAATAGTATATAAACCATAAAGTAAAATGTTTAACATATATTATTTTATTCAACCCTAAACATCCTCTATTATAACTTGGTGAGAGAAGTAGTAACATCTCCATGTTAAATATTAAAGAAACTTAAAACTAGAATAAATGCAAAGAACATGACACGCGGTATGGATGACCTTTTTTTCTGAAAACAGTTTAAATTCCTTTCCCCTATACCAGTATTAGACTGAGAAATGGAGTCTCTCCTGAGAACCATCTAAGTACTGGTATATCTGCTTGCATCACAAACACATGATTATAAGGCAAATGTAATCCATATTTATGTTGTTAAAAAAGATGAAAATCCATAAAGTACTGTGATCATATTTAGAGAATTTTCAATCAAATGATTCTGTCAATTCCTAAATATGCTGATAGCAACAAAGAAACAGATGTTTGGTTTTATTCCATTGCCAGTGATATAGGAAAAGAAAGCTATTAATAAGCATAAATTCTACTAAAGTTGAAAGACATGGAATATTCATATAAATGGAGTACATTTTACCACTTTTTATACTCAAGAAAATAACATGAAAAATAACTGTACAGGGTACTAGGCTTAATACCCGGATAGTGAAATAATCTGTACAACAAACCCCCATGACACAAGTTTACCTCTGCAACGAACCTGCACATGCACCCCAAACCTAAAATAAAAATTAAAAAAGAAAAAAATAGTTATATAGTAAAGAAAAAGTAGTAAGTGTCAGTGGGAGACTTCAAAATTATGAACAAAGTAAAAGAGGAACGAGGGTGGGGTGTCAGATCTAAATAAAAGAAATACAAAAAATAATAAACAACAAAATTTGCCAAAAATATCCATACTAGAGAAACTACTTTTTTAATAATCATGAAAAAAGCATGATTATATAAATAAAAGAAAAAAGCAATGACTACTAAAATAGAATATAAAACAATAAAGAAAATCTGTAGTAAACTAAGAAATTGTTGAGAAAAATATTATTGGTATTTTCAAAAGGCAAAATTGAAGTGGCAGTATTAAAAAAGGGTTGTTGCACATTGTGTATATTTAAAAGGCAAATTAGAAAAATGGCTTAATTACCTATGTAGCTTATTCCTGCAGAAGAAACATACCTCAAAAATAGAATGAGTCAACTCATGGCTAATAAATACATCAGGAGAAACAGGACATTCCAGCAATGAAAGAACCATCATTAAGGAAACAATTGAGGACAAACATCCTGACTAATGAAAAGCCCAATTCTTTGATACCGCACACAGCTCAATTCAGGAATGATATTCCAAAAAATAATCAAAGTGCCTTTAGAACTATTATCCATGCTTTTACTTTCAGAAGGCATTTTGTAGTTACAAAAGAAAGAACAGAGATATTTGTAATTGTATCTATAAGGATGCAAACTGCCCTCTGCCCTAAAATCTTTAATGACAGTACCACTGCTGTAAATATACGTAAACATACTTTAGACACATGCAAGTTTTTTGAGGTTATATCAATAACAGGTTTCATATAACAAACTAAAAATAAGCAAAAAAAAAATGGAAAAAGGGTATGTAACATGCATTTACTATAGTTGACATGCAAACTTAGAGTCCCTGCTTTAAAAAATCAACAATGAGGCTGGGCGCAGTGGCTCACTCCTATAATCCCAGCACTTTGGGAGGCCGAGGCAGGCAGATCACTTGAGGTCAGCAGTTCCAGACCAGCCTGGCCAGTATGTTGAAACCATGTCTCCACTAAAAATATAAAAATCAGCCAGGCGTGGTGGCAGGGGCCTGTAATCCCAGCTACTCGGGAGGCTGAGGCAGGAGAATCGCTTGAACCCAGGAGGCAGAGGTTGCAGTGAGCCGAGATCACACTACACACCACTACACTCCAGCCTGGGCGACAGAGAGAGGCTCCATCTCCCCAAAAAAAAAAAAAAAAAAAAAAATCAACTATGAAGTTCAACAATTGCAAAATGTTTAATCAAAAGAGTTTATCAAGAGAATGAAAAAGAATGTAGCTATTAGAATTTATAAAGCTATAAACTATATCAGTATAGAAAAAGATATATTGGAAGAAATAAAACAGTCGGTACTTTTAATGTATTCATTTTTTTCTCCCAATGTATCAAATATTGAATAAAAACATATATGCAGGAAATATGGTGCTATAATCAAATGGATACTCAATAAATACTATCAATATATTGTGGCTTGAGGTGATAAAAATATACAGACAGGTCAGTTTGGAACCATGCATAAAATTATTTATGAAAAATAAAAGCTCCATATTCATTTATTTAACAAAGATGTATAGACTATGTGCTTAACAAAATAAACACTGAAAGAAGCCATCTTCATGGAAATACAGGATTATATTGGAAAAAAAAGTCACAATGCTTTCTTTCCTGATTTATTAAGGAAAATTACAAAGATTTTGGAAAGACTCAATAAAATATATTTACTTCGTTAAAAAAACACAAACCTATGCATACTAGTAAGTAGAGTTGCTGCTTCTGTTGATTACGGAGACTACTGGGAGAAGGCAATCAAAACTAAGATATAATATGCCATTCTCTTGGAAGCCAGAGAAAAAGAAAACCACCAGAAACCTAGCCCTGGAATGTCACTGAATAGCTGTAGGATAGTGGCAAGGATGTCAGCATCTGTAACACTCGATTTTCTCTTCTGCAAAAATGAAACTATTAGTATTCCACCATATTGCAATTAATATCACTTGAGCTAATGTATACAAGCAGTATGAAATCCCACAGGATTCACATGTAAAATATTGGATTTTTTATATTTTAATATGTAAAATGTAAGTTGTTTCTTTTCTCTCTGATACGAAATGCAGTTTTCATTCCACAGTTTCACTCTCATACACTTAATAACTTTTGTTAACGTAACAATACAGTGTGAGAGTTCCTGGGGCTATGCCTGACCCAAAGCAGACACTTAGTAAAATGTCTGTGGAACCTAAATTTATTTTAGGATACAATTGGAATCTAAACTAAAAGAGTTTTCAAATTCAGAATCAGGCATATTTGCTGCAAAGCATTATGGGTCTCATCTCCATTTCCAAATCCACCAAGTCCATCCTTTCACGCATCGTGTTACTCAGGGATAAAGCACATCTAAGTGAAACAGAAGTTAAATTTGCTCTTTCATAACCCAGAGACATTAATTACAATGGAATAGCATGATAAACACCGTGAACGATATGGAGATTAATAGAAAAAATATGAAAAGAAAATGACAGCAGCTAGGAAGAAACAAAAAGGATGGGTGGAAATAAGGGAGGTTGGCCTCCAAAGGGCAAGTAAAGTAGAACTGAAATAAAACCTGGTGATTTTGATCTGCGTGTGTAATTAATATAGTTTCTGGTCGGGGGTGATGGGAGAAATGGGGATAAAGAAAAGCCCTGGGTAGCAACCTTCTTGCCTGAATTGTGAAGGCAACACGAATACACAGATCACGTCTTGGGAAAAATAAATGTGACCCCTTAAAATTTGCACCATATTATTGAAATCTCTTTGACACAAGTAACCATAGAAGACACAGGTAACATATGGGTTGCTCTTTATGTAGGGCTTTAGCAGTCTATTCAGTCTTTTACCATGTGACTACTTTGTATGTGGAAAAATTGTTACATAAACAAAATAGAAGCATTTTCTCTTTGATACCAAGAGTAGAGCTAAGACCAATAAATCAATATTAAGGGAAAATTTTACCTTAGATATAAGAAAATAATTTTCTAACAGCTCAAATTATACTCAGTTGTTGTTATTAACTAACAACCCTTATATCTGCATACTAATACTTGTAAAATCAAGATTAATTTGATATTCATTTCTGGTAGGGGACGGGGTTATGTCATTTTCCTACAGTCTTGGAGAGAAAATAATTTGTTAAATGCAATTTGCTAGCATCTATTAGAAATCTTGTAAAGGTTATATATTTTTAATTTCACTTAATATTTCTGCTTTTATTTTTCTACACATGACCATAAATATATATCTTCATGTATGCATGATGAAGCATGGTGAGTAACAGATTTTTTAATGGAATAAGCTATTATGGTACTTTCATTCTAGGAAATATTACGTAGTTCTTAATCAAAATGAGAGGGATATCTGTATAAAACCTAAGCTATTGTTAACAGAAAAAAAGCATGTAAACAAAATTATTAAATTATGGTTTTAATAAAATCCATATATATGAATTTGGACACGTGTATACACAAGTAAAGCCAGAGAAAATGACAGAATATAACGTATGTTGAAATGATAGCAATGACTACCACTAAAAAAAAATCAGAATAGAATGGTAATTTAAAATAAATATAAGACAGCAGTGGGCAGGATGAGGACACATTTAAATCTACATAATACTGCACTGTGTAAGCTAAATTTTTCAAGACCTGCTTGTGTAATTATTTTTAAAAAGAAAACAGGTTTGTTTCCTTGTGTTGAGAATTATTCAACATGGAAAGTGCTACCTAAAAGAAGAGAGAGCTCATTGACTCCATTTGTTCTAAAAAACAAACCAACAAGCAACAAAAAACCCTATATATTTTATACAAGTAGAAACCCTATATATTTTATACAAGTAGAAATAACTAGCAATATATTTCTATAGGGAGAAATAAGCCAGCATATTTTCAACGTTCTTAAGATTTCATTTCTAAAGCAAATAAAACAAGGCAAAGCCAATATTGTAAAAAAAAAAAAAAAAAATTAAACCTAAGTCTACATGAACTTAGCTGGGTACCAGTTGAGATATTTGAAGTTTATCTACCCTGTAGTCCTCACATTTAAAATTTTTCTCAATAGTTGAATGTAAGTTATTTACTTCTGGATTGAACAATAAAATGTAAATGGAGGTTTCCAGGAAGATGAATTGAGTGTGCCATACTGCCTGCCTCTGTAGGCTCCACCTCTGGGGGCAGGGCACAGACAAACAAAAAGACAGCAGTAACCTCTGCAGACTTAAATGTCCCTGTCTGACAGCTTTGAAGAGAGCAGTGGTGTTCCCAGCATGCAGCTGGAGATCTGAGAACTGGCAGACTGCCTCCTCAAGTGGGTCCCTGACCCCTGACCCCCGAGCAGCCTAACTGGGAGGCACCCCCCAGTAGGGGCAGACTGACACCTCAAACAGCGGGTACTCCTCTGAGACAAAACTTCCAGAGGAACGATCAGACAGCAGCATTCGCGGTTCATGAAAATCCGCTGTTCTGCAGCCACTGCGGCTGGTACCCAGGCAAACAGGGTCTGGAGTGGACCTCTAGCAAACTCCAACAGACCTGCAGCTGAGGGTCCTGTCTGTTAGAAGGAAAACTAACAAAAAGAAAGGACATCCACACCAAAAACCCATCTGTACATTACCATCATCAAAGACCAAAAGTAGATAAAACCACAAAGATGGGGAAAAAACAGAGCAGAAAAACGAAACTCTAAAAAGCAGAGCGCCTCTCCTCCTCCAAAGGAACGCAGCTCCTCACCAGCAATGGAACACAGCTGGACGGAGAATGACTTCGAGGAGTCAAGAGAAGAAGGCTTCAGATGATCAGACTACTCCAAGCTACAGGAGGAAATCCAAACCAAAGGCAAAGAAGTTGAAAACTTTGAAAAAAATTTAGACGAATGTATAACTAGAATAACCAATACAGAGAAGTGCTTAAAGGAGCTGATGGAGCTGAAAGCCAAGGCTTGAGAACTACGTGAAGAATGCAGAAGCCTCAGGAGCCAATGCGATCAACTAGAAGAAAGGGTATCAGTGATGGAAGATGAAATGAATGAAATGAAGCGAAAAGGGAAGTTTAGAGAAAAAAGAATAAAAAGAAACAAACAAAGCCTCCAAGAAATATGGGACTATGTGAAAAGACCAAATCTACATCTGATTAGTGTACCTGAAAGTGACGGGGAGAATGGAACCAAGTTGGAAAACACTCTGCAGGATATTATCCAGGAGAACTTCCCCAATCTAGCAAGGCAGGCCAACGTTCAGATTCAGGAAATACAGAGAACGCCACAAAGATACTCCTCGAGAAGAGCAACTCCAAGACACATAATTGTCAGATTCACCAAAGTTGAAATGAAGGAAAAAATGTTAAGGGCGGCCAGAGAGAAAGGTCCGGTTACCCACAAAGGGAAGCCCATCAGACTAACAGCAGATCTCTCGGCAGAAACTCTACAAGCCAGAAGAGAGTGGGGGCCAATATTCAACACTCTTAAAGAAAAGAATTTTCAACCCAGAATTTCATATCCAGCCAAACTAAGCTTCATAAGTGAAGGAGAAATAAAATACTTTACAGACAAGCAAATGCTGAGAGATTTTGTCACCACCAGGCCTGCCCTAAAAGTGCTCCTGAAGGAAGCACTAAACATGGAAAGGAACAACCGGTACCAGCCACTGCAAAATCATGCCAAATTGTAAAGACCATCGAGGCTAGGAAGAAACTGCATCAACTAACGAGCAAAGTAACCAGCTAACATCATAATGACAGGATCAACTTCACACATAACAATATTAACTTTAAATGTAAATGGACTAAATGCTCCAGTTAAAAGACACAGACTGGCAAATAGGGTTAGTCAAGACCCATCAGTGTGCTGTATTCAAGAAACTCATCTCATGTGCAGAGACACACATAGGCTCAAAATAAAAGGATGGAGGAAGATCTACCAAGCAACTGGAAAACAAAAAATGGCAGGGGTTGCAATCCACGTCTCTGATAAAACAGACTTTAAACCAACAAAGATCAAAAGAGACAAGGCCATTACATAATGGTAAAGGGATCAATTCAACAAGAAGAGCTAACTATCCTAAATATATATGCACCCAATACAGGAGCACCCAGATTCATAAAGCAAGTCCTGAGTGACCTACAAAGAGACTTAGACTCCCACACAATAATAATGGGAGACTTTAACACCCCACTGTCAACATCAGACAGATCAACGAGACAGAAAGTTAACAAGGATACCCAGGAATTGAACTCAGCTCTGCACCAAGCAGACCTAATAGACATCTACAGAACTCTCCACCCCAAATCAACAGAATATACATTTTTTTCAGCACCACACCACACCTATTCCAAAATTGACCACATAGTTGGAAGTAAAGCTCTCCTCAGCAATTGTCTATGTTTTTATGAAGTCTGTAATACTTTCCTCTTATAGACCAAACTTCAGGTTTTTTTAGGAAAAGTTGGAGCTCTGTGCATTATGCCCCACCAGCTTCAGGTTCCACTGTCAACCTACCCCATACGTATAAACCATCTGTTTGTCATTTTTTGGCTTTATCCAAACATCTTCACAAAGAGGCCATCTGTTCCCTTCTTTTAGATATCTATTTATGGCACTTTCTCTCTTATCTATGTTACAACATTTTTGCATATGTCAAAAATTCAATTACTAGTCACATATTAGTATGTCATCTACTCAGGAGGAGTCTTAGTGATCCAAAGTGCATGGGTAGTACCGAGAGACTGATAGATCTATCTAAAATGAAGGGTATGGACATTGCCATAAAAGCCTCACAATGCATGAAATGGATAATAGATGTGAGATTCCCTGGGGAGCTGTGTGCACGTGACTTCCAAAAAGCTGTCATTTCACTATGTAGAAGGACAATATGAATTTACATGGAAATTTATTTCCACCATCAGTAATATATTCCTATTGCAAATGTACATTTTAGAGAAAGTATATTTTCAGTTGAAGTGAAAAAAAAAGAGATGCACAAATAGATGTTTGAATGGCATTTGTATTATTCTGGGTCAAGTTTTTAGGACAAGCTTACCAAAGAAATTTTTAAGGTTAAATAAAAAGCAAACTTTTAGTGTATCAGGGTGTTTGCTAAAAGCAGAGCACTGTGACAAATATAAAAAGCAGAAACATTAAAAGCAGAGAACTCTTTATTTTCTCTGCTTCCCTGGGAGAAAAACACCAACAGAAGAATTCGGTAGATAAATGATGTTTCCAACTGTGTTGGGAACTTGGAGTTGTGAGATTATAATTGAGACCACAGATTCAGACACCATTATCACCAACTATTTTTGTTCACATTTAAAAATAAAAAGTCAAAAGAAGTTTACTAAAATCTGTATATGTCTGGTTACATATTTATATGGTTAAAATTTAATATATATACTTTTATATAACTGCATTATCTATCAATGTATCTATACATCTGTAACTTTTATCTACAAATACGCTTCCAAGTTCTATGGATAACAGATGAGCAAATCAATTACAAATGAAGGTTATCTAATAAACATTATCAAATTTATTTAGACATCAACACTTGCAAGAAGATTTTGGTATAATAAAATAGACAGACAGACAGACAGACAGACAGACAGACAGATAGATAGATACATACATACATAGATAAAGGTAGATAGTCTAGATAGTTCAACACAAAATGTTAACATAAAATATGACAAAGGCATGGACTAGAAATAAAGCAAATATGTTAAACATAACCGTAGTTTTGAGAAAGCATAAAGCAAGCCTGAATAAAAACTTCTACTATCCCAGATGAAGAGATAATTTTATGAAACATAAAAGGATATGTCTATTGCTTGGAAAGGATTGTAGTTTTTCTTAGCATTCATGTCTAAGTGAAATTTCTTACACAGATGTAAACAGAAAAGCAATATTATTTTCTCCAATAGGAACACAGACTAGTGACTCTTGATTGATCATCCACAGTGCATTACACTAAGCCATTTTACAAATGGGCTCTCAAATTTTGACATTAGGGAAGTAAGTCAATTTGAGCCAAGAGTTTCAATAAAGCTATGCACGAACATGAATCTTGATATAGGTTAAGATTCTGGATCTAGAGCAGCCTTTGACCTCCATCTGCCTAGAACAGATATAATTTTCCTTTCATTCATTTTTGGTGAAAAATATAGGCTGGTGTGATTATTTCTGTGATGTAATTCAATAACTAAAATGTACACTCTTGTCTCAAAGTCCTCAACATCACCTTGACCTAAACTCCGGGTCCAAGACCAATCTACCCTCCATCCTCTTGTTGCCTGGATCCCTTTTCTTTGTGGGTATGACCATTGGAGCACTGAAAAGATGATATAAGTGTCAGGTGAGTTCCATGTTATACATTTGATTTATGAGGGAATGCAGGCTGCTTTGGGAATTTCCTCTGGCACCTTAGCCATTTTTCTCCTTTCCTTTTGTCCATATTCCAGAACCATCTGTAAAAGGCAGGGATGAGAGAGAGTTCAATGCCTTTCTCCTCCTCTTGATAAGAAGGGGTAGGATTATGGATAACTACAACTTTGAGAATTCTCCCTCTTACCTTCTGTAGTCCTCTAGATGTGGTCCAGGGGATTGGGGTGTTCAGAAGTGGTGTTTTTGCTGTGCCCTGTCCTAGAAGGCCCTGCAGAAGCTGACTAAAATGGGTAATTTTCCGAACCTAGAAATTGGAGCACTTAGTTTACTCTGCTTGTCAGCATTCTCAGGGAAGCAAGAAACAGTCCTCAAAAGCACTTTATAACTGATACCATATAAAAACAATTTTTGCTACATTTGACACGACATACTCTTACAGTGATGTCTCTGGCAGAACAATGCACACTCAGTGAGTTGTGGAACAAGTTGCTGCAAAGAAGTGATAAGGCTTCGTGTAAAGGCATGCTAGTGTTAAAGAAAGATGCCCTATATGCCAGAAATTGTAAGAAATTTGCATTATTACTGTATCAGAGAATATGGTCAGGACAGTAAAGAGTTTTTTGGTTCTCCTCAAATTAAAAACAACTAATTCAATAAGTATGGAAATATGTTTTCAATATTCTATAACTTTTTTATACTTTAATTCCTTCAAGAGTGTCATTAAATAATCCAGTTTTTTTAAGTATCCTGCAAACACCAAAGGTTGACAATCAAAGTTTTAAGTCAACATGTGAAGTTGCCATTGCTACGTTATCAGGGCAATAAAGTCAATGACTGATATATTTTTTCATTTTTTTAATTTATTTTTTAATTAAATTTTAGTGTTTATTTTAGATATGGGGGGATACAGGTGCAGGTTTGTTACATAGGTATATTGCATAATCCTGAGTTTGGGGGTATGGATCCTGTCATCTAGGTAGTTAGCATAGGATCCAGTAGGTAGTTTTTCAACCCTTCCCCACCTCTCTCTCCCCTCTTTTAGTCCCCGGTGTCTACTGCTTCCATCTACATGTCCATGTAAACTCAATGTCCAGCTCTTATTCATTAGTGAGAACATGTGGTATTTGATTTTCTGTTTCTGCATTAATTCACTTACGATTATGGACTTCAGCTTAATCCATGTTGCTTAAAAGGACATAATTTGATTCTTTATTATGACTGCATAGTGTTCCTTGGTACCTGTATGTACCACATTTTCTTTATCCAATCCACCACTAATGGATACCTAGGTTGAGTTCATGTCTTTGTTATCGTGAATAGCACAGCAAAGAAAATATAAGTGCGTGTACTTAACTGATGTATCTGTATAGACCACCTCTTAACAACTCCATTTTGACTGGCCTTTTTGTATGTCGTCTGCCCTGATGAAACAGCGTCAAGACAATTTAAGAGTATCTTTGCACAAGTTCTTCCCTTCTGAAACACTCTTCTCTCTTTACTTTTTTGCCCTTTGGATCTCAATTGAGCCAAGCCCTCCTATTGCACATCTCCTTGTCATTTTTTAATTATACTTTCTCTGTGACCAGACTACATGGACTAAAAATCCACTCCCACCACTTAATTACATGTGAACATGAACAGACTCATCTAGCCTGACTTTGTCATCTTTTTATTTGTCAAATAGAGATAATTAACAGTAGCTTTTCATAAGGTTGTTGGGAAGATTGAATGAGTTAATACAGATAAAGCACTCAAACTATATAAATGTCTTATTGTACTCAGAGCTATGTAAGTGTTAGGTATTATAACATTTATTATCGGTATTCACATTTTATTATTGTTGTATTGGTGGGCATACAGGCTGCTTTGGATACCCTGGGAATCATGTTAATCTTTCTCTACCTTTTTATTCTCAGCATCTAGTTCAATGCCACACACACACAAACATGCTTCACAAATGTCTGTTGACAAATCAGGTAAATGGCATGGCTTACTGATGTCTAACTGTGGAGATAGTTATCACTCATGGGCCCACTGAGAGCAAAAAGAAAGCTGACAATGGTAAAATAAACTCAGAAGGACCTGTTTTCACTGACTTGGTTTTAGGATATATCTACGCATAGAGAAGGGTTCGGACAATAATTAGTTAGCAAGTCAAGCAACAACAGTGTTTCAGACACTTTGATACCAAAATAATTTTCCTCACTTTAAATATAGCAGTTTGCTTTTCCATAAAAATGGCATGCATCAGCAAGGTAAAAAAGATACCATGTGTATATATATCACTCAGACTTCCTGCAGAAAAAAGATGACACTCAAATTTGGTAATTTGAGGAATGTCTAAAACAAGCACTATTTGAATAGATGTGGGCAGGTTATAGGAAAATTGAAAAGGAAGGCAGTAACCTACAGACTATGCCTGAAAGGATGGAGGGAAATAAGAGTTTGCAGGAATCTGGAAGGAAAATGTGTGGAGAGAACACGTGACAAGAAATGTGACCTCTGGTGGGCAGATGCAGTCAGCTTGGAGAGAGGAAGCCAGGGAAACAAGCACCTTACTTCTCTCTTCCTCAGATACCTTTTCCTGCCGTCATTCCTCCAGAAGTTTCTCTTGACAGCCAAACAACCAGGAGCCAGTAGAAAGAAAACTCCAAGTTAGAATTCACACACGTCAGTTTCATGAACACAGAGCAGGGTAGGGAAGGCTGAAGACTAATTTGGAAGAGCAAAGGAAAGATGTCGAATGCATAAAGTCCACTAAGTTTGGGAAACATTGGGTTAAACAAAGCTACATAATTTTCTTTTCTGCAGGATTTCTCAGATCCTTTAAATGTGAATGCAAACTATAACTCTCCAGGAAGAGGGAAAAAATGTGCCAAGCATGCCAAATGTTTAACCACACAACCTCCCATTCTTGTAGAACACCTTAACAGACTCTTGTCCCATGTGACACACTAACATTTTCCAGTGTTAGTATCTTGTAAATATTCAGGGTCAACCCATCATACCCCAAGTATTAAATTAATTTTGCCTGAAGAGTTGGTGTCTTAATTGGTAGAATTCATATATTCCATTTCTCTAGCCCAAATTGTAGAACTTTCAGAGCTTCAAATAATTCTGGGAATTCCTCTACTCTGATGGGTTCAATTGGCAGATAAAATAATGAAGACATTGAAAAATAAAGTGGCTTGGGCAAAAACGAGAGCTATTCCTCTTGCACCAAAATTTAGAATTTTAACATGAGTCTCTAGACTCGGTCTTACAACTTTCCAAACTATCAGGTTTAGAACACAATGGAGTTTTTAAAACCAGATTCAGAAATTAATGCACACACAGTTAATATAGGTAGATGGTACATCCTATTTTCTGCACTGCTAAGATATCCACTAGGCCTATATTACTTCTATCAGAAGCAAATAAATTTTCCCTTTTCATAACCCCAAAGGAGAATTCAAGAATTCACTGCCCTCAAAATTGGTTCACCCAACTTGATTTTTTTCTGTAAAACTGGGTTCTAAATAAAGTTCTCAGTACATAAATGAACACAGAGTGCTGTGCAGGTGGGCTTGCCCTTGGTAACAGACACAGCTGTGCCTATCAAACACAAAATATGGTATTTAATTTTGGAAAATTGCTAACGGCAGGCAGAACTGTACAAAGGAAAGTTACCTTCAACTGTCATTTAGGAAGAAACAAGGATATCAGGAACAGTACCATTTTTCCTAATGTTTCCAGGCTTCAGTTGCATTCGGTGCCTTTCCAGAACAACTGAACAATGAAATGGATAGTAATCTGCCAAATGCATACAGCTGTATGCCTGTTTGCCTGGGGTTTATATTAGGGCCTGGGGAAACAAAGTTAAGGAAGTAAGGCTGCAGGGTAGCATCAGTCCATCCACTATAGTCCGATTCAGATTCAGATGGTCAGATTGGAGTCTAAGGTGGAATTCCTAGTATAATACAGTCTTCACTTCCTTACAGTGTGGTTCCTGGTTTTTTATCCTTTACGTTGGCACTGTTCAAGCAGCACATTTTGCCACCATGCAATTATCTTTTGGCAACCCTGGGCAGTTGTTGTTTGTGGAGAGTGTGTGGTGGCATTGAACACCTACATGCTTATATATACAGGTGGCTGAAGTTAACCAATTATTCAGAGGCAGTTAGATGAATCATGCATTTAAGGACTTGTCTGATTCACATCTCTACCTCATATGTAGAGGATTCTTTTCTCCTCAGTAAAATTTTATGGAGATTTACTATGGAGGGCAGATGTCCTGGTTCTAGCACGACGTGGTGGACTGGAATGGAATCAAAGATGCTCTTCCAGTCTTTTAGGTGTAATACATCAGTGTTAACACTCACTCATTCATATAGCAGGGGTAAATAATCAAGAGTGTGGCATCATAGAAGCAGCAAGTCTTGAATTGTGGAGAGTCCTGCTTTTTTGTTGTCATTTTATTTTCAGTTTAGCTGAAAGTACACAGTCTTCCTTGTTTCGAACATTTTCTACTTTATGGCAACAGATTAAATTTAATCATGTTTTAGCTCACAAATTGTTTCTTGGTGTATATGTGTTTTTATTTTCCACTATGTCATTATTTCAAAAGAATCTACTGCTCTTCTGGTTAAATTCGCTTACCAACACTCTTTGCCTCCAAAAAAAAAGATGAATAACAGAGCCAAATTTGAAATGGCCATCTCTGTTACTCCAATTAACATACTGTATATACATGTGTATTGCAAAAAATAACTAGATTTTCCTGGGCTTGGCATCACTAAAATGTCCAAAAAATATCTTATTCCCATGAACATAAACTTCAAAATGTCAACTGCATTTACAATTACGAATAATAGCGAGCTGCCATTCCCAAGGGAAATAATGAAAGAAATGTTTCATAGATTTTTTTAGCAAAAACAAATGATTTGCATGTTTCCACCAAAAGGGAATAAAACCCTTAATATGGAATATCCCTCAGGTCTCCTTTTTGGAAACAAAATTCATAACCACCTGCCATTTGATGAAATCTAATAAATTCCTAATATAGCATACACTCCTCCAAAGTTTTCATTGTTCAAAGAAACTCAAGTGAAAATAAGGTATGAAATCCTCATGTGCACAGAGAGATAAAGATAAATGCGGCATTTTTAAAATATCTGTTTTTTTTCTAGTACAAAGAAAATATATCGGAAGTATTAAAGTGAGCATAATTTCATCCCACAGCAATAGTTTCAACTATACTTTAATTCTACCAGGTAGACTCACACACTTCCTTAATGGGTGTAAAATTTATTAACAACATTTTAGTGCAGTTTTTCATAGAGAATATGCATAAACCCTGTGTTTTGATTCATGCCATTTTATTCCTATTATTTATCCAAAGGGTAATTAAAATTTCTTTTTTGATGATGTAGATGGAATATGAAAATAGAAGGGAGGTTATTGACCCATTAAATAGTTAAATGAAAATCACCTTCACAGATGTTTGGTGGAGAAAAATATGCTATGCATAGAAAAGCTGAAATGTTTTTCCACGAATGTTAGGCATTGGGCTGAAATTACAATAGCCTTTCATGTCCAGTTTTGTTACAATTCCATTAAGGCAACTGCAGAGATTGGTAAATAGCTGTTACCATAGGAGAGTCACCATATGTAATATAGTTTGTGCTAGACATTGTGTAAGCATTTTATATACATTCTCTCATTGGCACATTTAACAGCCTGTGAAGTTCCTATTTTATTCCCACCTCACATATTGAGAAACTACAGCTCAGAGAAACAAAGTAAACTGAGTTCCTACTTGAACCTAGTTTTTATGTACTATGCATGGTTTCATATGTTTACTGATATACATATATAAAATTTTATTTATATATATTATATATATAAAATAAACCGTAAAGTCAGAAATTTAGAATGAAATTTAATATGAGTATAATTTATTTGCTGATTCCAAGATAGGCATCTATATTTTCCCAACATTAAAATAAAGATCATCTGGACAATCTTCTAACCAACTCCAAACAGTTCTTTCTGGAGTTTTTCTCCTTTTATTTATCCTACTTGGAGTTGTAGGAGAAATCTGTGTCTCAGAGAAATAAACAAAAGGTGTTCTATTTTAAAATAAAAGGACAGAAATTAGCAGCTTGGACATTTCACAAAAGAAGCTAATTAGTTCAAGCTAACTGGAGGTTTCCTCCATTCATGGGCATGCTGGAATTGCAAAATCTAGTTGTGAGCATAGAATAATATCTATAAAAAGTCTTTAAGATAGCATGAAAAACATAGCATAATATCAGTAACAAATATTTTATAATGTCTAAAATTTTATAACTTCTTTTATCTATTTTCTTAAAGCTCCCTTATGCCATAATTTGGCTGTATTTATGTGATAAACACACTCTTATCTTTGTAATGAATTTTTAAGGAAAAGACACAACCATGTAAAATATGCTTTTGAAAAATGGGCACATTATGCATGTGAATGCTCTCTCTCTACTAATTAATGTAATGTGGCGGTATCCAACAAACCAGAGCAGATGGGGCTCTAAGTTGTACCAGCCTATGCTGTTCTTAGGGGGAACAATTTTTGTTCACATCTCGAAATAAAGAGAGTGAGATTTTGGGAAGGATAGTATAATTTAACAAACAACAGAGAGTGTGACCATTCAGACTGCTTTTTCCTGTCAACCACTTGAATGCAAAACCTGTTTCAGAGATGAAGCAATAGAAAGTGTTGGAAGCAAGACAGATAGGAGTTGGAATCCCAACCATTGCCATGGGTGACCACTAAACCTCAGCTTCCTCATCGGCAGTATGGGGATAACCATAGTAGCAAACATTTCTAAAGGTAATTGTGAGAAGTACTTTTATGACTGCACAATTAATGCTGCTTCTACTACCATTACAACTGCTGCTATTCTATTACTATCAGTGCCTCTATTACTATCAGAGCCACAGAGCTCTAGCTTATAAGCCCATCTATTCATTTCTAGACTGACATGATCATTTTTGTATATTCTCATTGCCTCCCATTTCTACCTTCTCTAACTTATCCTGCAAATCACTACCTAATTATATGTCAATATTCTGTTTTGAACTCTAGGCAAGTGCTTTCTCTATTTCAATTTTAAAAAAGAAATTCTTGCTCCAAGTCAGTGATTCTCCACCAGGGATAACTGTAATGTACAGAGGACCTTTAGTAATGTCTGAAAAAAGCATCTTGACCCACAGAGGACATTTAGCAACATCTAGATGCACTTTTGGCTGTCACAACTAGAGGTACAGGTAACTACTGGCATCTAGAGACAGAGACCAGGGAAGCTTCTAAACATCCTATAATTCAGACTCCTCTTGCCTCAAAAAAAGAATTTCCAGTCCAAAATGGCAAAAGTGCTGAGGTTGAGAAACCCTGCTGTAAGTGTATACTGATCTTATATATGCAATAAACTACAATATACTAATACAATCATATAAACTTCAATAAAGAACTAAGCCATCTCTTCTCCCCTTACTATCATGAGAAATTCCGTTTTGAGCATAAATAATCAGCTATTTCTATCAAGTAAAATAATATGAACACACCTGCATTAAGGCAATGGGCTAGGCCAACTGATCTCTTAGGATCCCCCTCCGTTCTAATATCCACAATTACATATTTGAACTCTCCAAATGTTCTCCATTGCCTACAGATGTTCTCATTTCTTAGTATGGATTCAAGGATTTTCACAGCTTATTTCCTGTTTGGTCCGTCAATTCTATTTCCCATTGTTTTCCGGTATGAATGTCTGCTCCAGACAACTTGTCTTGCTCATTGGTGCCCATGCACAGCTTTATAATGCTCTCCCCACAACCTATCAGCCCTGGCCAGCCTCCAAGTCCTCAGGGCACATGACCTCTTACATCTTATTGCTCTCATTGTCTGTTAAATTTACTTGGCCCCTAATAAAATATGATGTGTCTTGTTTTGTTTTGCTTTTATGAACTTGCCTTTTCATTCAGATCTCACTTAGTTGCTTAAAAACATGAACAATGTAAAACATTTTTTGCATCCTTTGTGTTCATTTTGTACATCTCCTTTAAGACACTATACTTGCCCTATGTATCACATGGAATATATAGCCCATTTAGAAAGTTATTCCCAGGGTTAGTCCTAAACAACTTGCTTTGACTTATTTCTCATACTACATCCCACACTTCTCTTAATGAAATTGAGTGCCTTCATGACATCATTCAATGAAAAGCATTCCAAGACTTTCTCTGTATTCAAGGGAAAAGAAGCTATGATTGATTAGTGATGTCTGTCAAGGGTATACCAAAGATTTGCCATCCCTGCTCTTTTCATTCCCTGGTTTGTCAGTTCATTTCCAAATTTCACAATAGATGTGGTCTTCAAAATGGATTTACAGTATGCAATCTGCTAATGCTCACTGGTGTTCTATAGGCAACATAGGCTAACTGAATACACCGTCCCACCAATGATCTAGTTACTTGTCATCTTAATCTGGGATAGTTTAGCTATATGAAAGAAACCTATCACATACAAGATGCATACAAAAGTCAATTTCAATGAATCTAAGATGTGCCATGGAATTGAAGAAAAGGAAGTTATATGGAACCCAAGAAAAGGCACTCTGTCTTTTCTCTGTTCCATGCTGAGTGTCTTCTCTCTCTTCTAGATGGATGTTCACCCCTCTAACTCCTTTTCTGGCTGTCTGTCCTGAGAAACTGTTACTTCTTTTGGCATAATTAAGGACAAACATGACAGCGAGCTCGTCAAATGCAACATCCTTATCTTAAAAGCTTAGCCAAACACTTCAGAATCCCAAATCTTAATTCGTTCAAATTAATCAATGAGTATCAGAGAAATAGAGAAAGGAGAAATATGGTTGCTGGATGTGCAATCCTTTGGGTAAAAGTCACCATGCAAATCTCAGTAAAAAGACATGTGACCTAAAAATAGGCACATCCAAAAGCATTTACTTCATGTGCATTGTCACATGGGCAAAATAATCCAGTGAATTCGGAACTGTGCTTCCTCTGCTACATAAGCAAGCTGACTCTGACAGAGTTTTCATGACAGTCTAGTTGGTATGAGATATACTCAAGTGTAACGATCAGTCTGTCTGAATCCAGAGACTGGGTCCTTGTCACAAGCCCAGGAGACCCAGAAATCTTTTCTTACTACGTAAAAGAACAAGTCAAATGTTTTTGTGTTAGAGATGGCCAGATTCAAAAATAAAGCAAAGTAAAAAGTAGTAAAAATTAAACAATGATAACTACTAACATGCATTGAGTGCTACCTATGCATTGGCACGTGCTAAACGTTTGATGTGTAATTAATGCATTTAATGTTTTTGTCAACGCTGTGACACAAGGATTATTATCCCAGATGACAAAACACATACAAGAGAATGAGTCACCTGCCCAAATAACAAAGCTAGTTAATGGTGGATTGCGTTTTAAACGTAGACCAAACAATTCCAGAGTCCTGTGTTTTTAATATGCAGAGGTTTGACTCCAGTTATTTCTAAGAACAGAAGGGAGGAAGAGGTCAACTTATTGTTAAATTGTATAGGTCTACTTTATTAAAATATATGCTTGTATGTATGTACATACACACATGTATATGTTATATGTACACATGAATGCATGCATATATATACACATACATATATTCTGTATATGTGTATAAAATATATTTAATATTTAAAATGTTCAAAATTGAAAATTCATGACTGGTGGCACATTTTTTGTTCTTTTCTTTTGCATAGGAAAACTGCCTGCTGGTCCCTCTCCTTTTGTCAGAGACTGATAAGGGCTGTACAATCTTGTAGTCAAAACATCTCACTAAAAAGCTTCTTTGGCGGCAAAGCCTATCTTGGAGTGTGTTTGGTTTCCTGGACGCCTTATTTGTTTACAACATTGCTCTTAAAATTGTCTCTACCATCTGTGTGAGGTCTAATTCCTTGAATGAGAATGAGATATTAAAATGCCATCCAGATGTCTAGATGCACATCCACATTAACATATTATGCAAATTGTCACAAGCCATTTTTTTCCCCTTCTTAAACAGAAAATATTTTTAGAGGGAGTGTAAGAAAGTAAATCTGTAAAGGCAAAAGAAAATTTTTAAAAAGGTACGGAAAACAAGATGCATAGGATTTGCATTGCTTATCTTTTTATAATCATATCTTATGAAACCATGACTTGCAAATATTTTGCGGTCTTTCATTTTGCAAAAGAAAAATAGATGCCAAAAGAAAGAGCAAAATCTACCTTGAAAAAGCAAAAATATGAATTCAAGATATACTTTTTTTATAAAAGAGATTATATACAATCTAAGAATATTCTTTGATTCAACATCCCCAATTCCCGCATGGCAAATATCTTTTAAAGTTATATGTCAGCTCTCTGTTACAGGAAAGAATAAGTAAAACTTGATTTCAGATGTTTTTATTATTAAAACATTCTAAATAATGGCATGTTAAAAATGCTTCCACATTTATGGGTTTATTGTATGGATGATGGAAGATTTTTTAAAATGTTAAAAGAATTTCCATTAAAAATATGGCATGTTGGCATTAATAATAATTAGATTTCAGAAATAGCATGATTTGTGAAAGAATAGTTATCTGATTCATTCTGTGATTAATCTGGACTGAATCTGATATTTCTTCTAATATCTGTGTTCCCTTTTTAAATTCTGAATATATTTTCTTGGGGGGATGTATTGTAAAAGTTTTTAGCTCTCATATGAGTAAATTCAAACTCAAAAGCTTTTTTTATTCACCATAAAGAAACAAAAATAACAGCATTCTTTTAAAAAATATATTTTGCAATCTCAAGCACTTATTCCTGAATCAATATTTAAATTGCAACAGTATTTATTTACAATGAACTCCAGGATGCGTTTCAGAGATAACTAATTCATTAGCACTACTGAAGACCTTGACATTGAGTGGATAGTTTAAAATATAATCAGCAAAACAAAACAAAACTAAGCTAAAATCTTTTTAGGGTCATGTTATTTCTGAGCTTTCCATTAGTAATGGATTTTTCTCAGTGTTGAATCAAAAAAACTTACCAAACCATTAACACTTACTAAAAGCCAGTTAAAATGGTTAATGCCTCCCAAATTGTTCCATCAAATTTTTCAGCAGATAAGTGGCATAATAAAGTAATTTTTTTTTTTTTTTTTGAGATGGAGTCTTGCTCTGTCGCCAGGCTGGAGTGCAGTGGCCCAATCCTGGCTCACTGCAACATCCACTTCCCAGGTTCAAGCAATTCCCCTGCCTCAGCCTCCCTCGTAGCTGGGACTACACACACGCACCACCACGCCCAGCTAATTTTGTGTATTTTGGTAGAGGTGGGGTTTCACCATGTTGGCCAGGATGTTCTCGATCTCCTGACCTTGTTATCCGCCCACCTTGGGCTCTCAAAGTGCTGGGATTACAGGCGTGAGCCACCGCACCCGGCCAATAAAATACAATTTTTAAAAGAGAATATTCATGAGAATGTGGAAGTTGGATTGGAAGTGGGCAAGTGATGACAGAAGGAAAGGATGGAAGAGTTTAAAATAGGAGCTAAAATTGAAGTTGTTCACCAATATGTAACAAATCAGCTAGACATTCTATCTATCTTCTTCATTCTCTTACAATTAAGCTGTGTCGAGGAGTATAAAGCAAAGGTGAAGATAATTATCTACTAGATTCAGTTCAGCAAACACTAGCTCAAAAGAATTAGATGATCCAGGCATCCTTTCCACCCACGGACTTTGCTGATAAATTGTCTGTGTTCCACCTGCCTCACATCCTTACTTGGATCTGGTAGCTGTAGCATCCCCCTAACCATTCTCAGAGACAAATGACCATAGCCAATTACCACCAGGTGTGCCAAAGTTCTTCCCAGTAATCACAACTAAGAATAGTGAAACCACATAATTCAATACCTATATGAATTCCTTAAAAACTGACACCAAATCCTAAAAAGTAAGCCAGAATTCAAAGGGAAAACACAGACATAGCACTTACTACCATTGACCTGATTTCTAAAAAAGTTGGAATTACCAACTTTCAGTTCAAGAACTACTGAAGAATTATAATGTCAATAATTTTTAACCAAAGTACTCGAAAGGATATGATAACTGTAGATCTTCTATCCAGGATAATAACCAAGAAAGAGGTACAATATTTTACCGGAGGAAAGTTTATATTTTACTTCAGAGGGCCTTGTGAAGGAATTGGCAGAAAGACAGTATAACGTGGCCTATTATTGAATCCTATACACAATCTGGATTCCAAACAGATAAGATTCAATGATCTGAATATCACATACAGATTATGAAAGACTTTACCAAGTACTCCAGTCCCAATTTTAAGTGGCATTACCTTGCAAAAACAAAACCTAGATTCTGCTTATGATGAACCACTTGAAAACGCAAACTTATTGCTTAAGAATGCTAATTTACAGAGTCAAATGCAAAAATCCTCTTATTTTGTTTATTGCTTCACATTATTATTCATTTAGTAAATATTTATTGAGCACACTTTAGGCACCAGTCACTGTCCCACTGCTGATTGTCATCTGTTGCACACCCACGTGACAATCCTCTGTAATACTGCAGAGAAAAGATGGTCAAATCTTTCCTCCTTCAGTCTCTCTGCCTTTCAATCCATCCCCTAAGCTCACTTGCCAGATATTCAAATATCTAATCTTAATGATGCCATTCCATAGTGCAAAATTTTTCATCAATTCCCATCACCCAAAGAAAAAAATAGAAACCATATTCCATGATAGTTTAAAACATTTTATTGTCTGGCTGAAACCTAACACAATACTTTCCTCTTTGTACTTTTCCAACTTCTCTTCAAGTACTTGAAAGTCCATTCAGTCTGTTACTCAATAATACTTTCCCACCCTTTTACTTTGGTTTATACGCTTTCTTATTCCAGGACTGTCTCTATCTCCAGATCTTCAAATCCTCCCAATTACTCCAGAAAACTAAGGCAAATGAATTTTTTTTTAATTAAAAAAAAACTTTACAAAAAGAAAACTAAGGTAGTAGCACATGGTAGATACAGCCCAGTTTCTTACAAAAGATTTTATCCACAAAGGTCTTTTCTTATTCTATTTAATGATACTGCTTACTTTAAAAATTCAGTTAAGTATATTATACAGAGAAATTCACAAATCATACATGCAAAGTTAATACATTTTTATAAACTGAACACGGAGAACACCTTTCAAAGAAAGAGAACATGGCCAGCATGCCAGAGAGCCCCCTCCTATCCTCTCCCAGTCACTGCACCTCTCAACACTTAACTCTTTACTGAATTCCAGCAGCACATAAATGTTTTACTCTCTTCTTGGCATAAATAAAATCATACAGCTTATGCTGTTTTGTATCTGCCTTCTTCCACTCAACATAACAAGTTTGGGATTCCTCGATGTTATTGGGTATGGCTGAAATTTATTTATTCTTATGGCTATAATGTAGTCTATCATGCAACTATGCCAGTTTAGTAATTCATTTTATGTTGATGGATGTGTGAGTAATTCTAGTTTTTTACTATCATGGAGTAAATGCTGTGAATATTTAATTTATGGCATTTGGTGAACATATATATGCATTTCCTTTGGGTATGTGGCTATTTTTAAACTGTCTCATTGACCATATCAGACTATAAGTATCTTTAAGGCAAGGTCTCTACTTGCTTTTTTCTCAGCATCTTGCCTACGATATTCATGTAATAAATATGAATAACTATAAGTTAAATATATTAGTGTATAAAATCTATTGGAAAATACCACCTTATTTAAAATGAGACATTATATTAGTTATTATTGTTACTATTTTAAATAATCTAGATCATCATTGTTTTAATAGAATGCAAATATTTCACTGGATGGCATTGTTTTTCCTTGCTGACCCTGGGGAAGAAGGTCAGTCATTTTGTCCTAATTGCTGTATCTTCAAATCCAAGCAATAGAGATAAGAAGATAAAAACTGAGAAGAAACTCCCATGAATTAAGCAATAAGTACGTTAAAAGAGTCACAATTAAGATAATATAGGGTATCCTAAATACAAAAGTCCATGTACTTTTCTAAAATGAGCAAATCTCCCAGTCAGTGAAGCTGATTCTGGTTCCCATAAGACTAATAAAGCCAGTGTATGGCTCTCACTACAACTGAGATTTGCGCATCTCCGCATAGCTCAAGAGACCCAAGAGAGATACTGTAAATTTTTCCACTTGCAAAGGAAAAACGGGCAATGACTTTTGCTAGTTTTAACACCAGATTCACACATGCTCTAAAAATGTTCAAGGGCAGCCAGTCCTTATTTACAGTAAGTCACTCTTAACACCAGACGCAAACTTCCCAAGTCTTAAATTTACGCTTAGATATATGACCATTCATGATCACTGCTGTAGTTAAAAACACTGTGAGGAGCCTAGGTAAATCCATTATGGGGTAGACACCTGATCTCTTTAGCATTTAGCATAAAACCACAAACATTTGAAATGCCTTATCAGATGCTGCAGCTGATTTTATTCAGCTCTGAATAGTCCTCCTACCCAACTCTCCCTTACTGCATCTTTCATAAAATGACTTGACAAGCTTAATTTTTTTCTTACCCACCACTTCTGCTGGGAACCAATCTCATTACATTTGAGATTTTCAAAAACTGAACCAATGCTCTCATTTTCAAGAAAACACACGAAAGAGTCAAAATGTTTAATTTAACAAACCAAAAAGGATCTGTCAAAATGTATATCAATAGTTCGGCTTTTGATAATTTTATAAAGCATATGTTTAACACTCACTAGACAGCCCAGAAAATGTACACACAACCTACAAAATTTAAAAATAAATTTAAAATGTTTAAAATGACCTTCTGACCACCTGAAAAATTTGGGAGTCAAAAAAAAGAATATGGTCATTTGCATTTCTACTTTTACTAAAAATTTTATTTTCCTTATGCTTACTTACTTCCTCAGATGATATATCAAATTCCTTGGTCTTCTGTAAGAAAGACAGACTTTAAAAAGGTCCTCACTTACAGACATCTTGCTGAACATCTGCCTATATGCTTCTACATATTTTATCAGCATAAGACATAAAAATTTAGGCCGGGCACAGTGGCTCATGCCTGTAATCCTAGCACTTTGGGAGGCCGAGGTGGGCAGATCACGAGGTCAGGAGATTGAGACCATCCTGGCTAACACGGTGAAACCCCGTCTCTACTAAAAATACAAAAAAATCAGCCAGGTGTGGTGGTGGGCGCCTGCAGTCCCAGCTACTCAGGAGGCTGAGGGAGGAGAATGGCGTGAACCCAGGAGGCAGAGCTTGCAGTGAGCCGAGATAGCGCCACTGCACGCCAGCCTGGGCGACACAGAGAGACTCCATCTCAAAAATAAAATGAAATAAAATAAATAAATAAATAAAAATTTAAATACAATGAGGAAGCATCAAAGGAAAAAACAAAGACAAAAAGGAAGTAATTTTTCAATTATAGATTAAGAAAAGAAATCATGAATGACCTAAAACTAAGCTTACTAATTCATTATCCACAATGATTAGGAAAAGTTCAGTGTTCCCAGTGAAGAAATTGGAAATCAAGAAAATAAGGAGGTCTAAATGTCAGTCTAAATTGCTTGCCTTGTTTGTGGGTTAAAGCAGTCATAAAACTTTTCTGAGAAACGACTCATACTCTCTAAAACTTGTTGTTAGCTCAACTCTGTGCGTGTGCACCCATTTGTGTGTGTGAGAGTCTGTGTGTGTATGGAGGTTAGGAAGAGATCCTGTTCGGACACATGTACTGATTAGCAACTTTGGGTCCATAGCAACTTGTTAACTCTTCTCTTCCCTGGATAATCTTGCTTGCAAGTCTAGCAAATCTCTGGACATTGCTCAAGTTACAATTAATTCTCCCTTCTGTGAAGATATAGGAGTGATAAACTGTCAGTATTGTTCCTGGAACATGGTCAAGTGAAGCTTTGACAATTTTATCCTAAGACGTAATATATGCATGATATAACAGGAGAAGGAAATGTAAAAACATAATTATATATATATGATTATACATATAAATTTATGTATATATCTGCCCAGAAAAGTGCACATGCTTGCTAGTTAACATGAATTGAGTACATACTCTGAGCCAGACAATGGCCTAGAAGTTTTGCACATATTTTTTTTCCATTTAATCCTTTATCAACATCTCCTGTCAAATCTCCAAGTCCTCTTTCTTTTACTCCAGCCAGTTGGTGGCAGCTATCAGATATAACATGACAACATCTTGTCTCTAACAGTAACTTCTATCCTGGGCTTCTGTATCAGAGCTGGGAGAGTCTCCTATGGAAATATTCTGGTACACATGTGCAAACCTACGTATGTAAGAGAGGGAACACTTTAATGGGTCAATCTTGCCCAACACAGAATGGGAGGTTTTATGTAAATACTCCTCCCCTCCTTGATCCCTTGGAGACAATTCTATAATGCAGTCTGCACAGTCCTCAAAGGACCTGCAACAAGGTCAAGACCCAGTGTCCGCTGCCATGAACAGCTTGGATACAAAACCTTGGATTAGGTTTCCCTCCCTCCCTGTTTCACTCGTTCTATGCTTCCACTTCTTGAGATTCCTTTGCAGTGCAAACCACCTGCACCCAATCCCTTATCTTAGGCTCTACTTTTGAGGGAAATCCAGGCTAAACAAATGACTCAATAAGGAAGGTACTGTATTATCTCCATTTTAAAATGAAGCTCCTGGTGCACAAAGACGTTAAGTAAGTTGCCCAAGGTCACACGGTATGTATTAACACCTGGTTATGAATCCACCTCACAGCCATGTGCTCTTTACCATGAAAGGGTATTGCCCTTCCAGCTTCATAAGAACCATACAGATGAGGGAGGATACTCCCCAAGAGAACCATGCTCCCTGCAGAAGGCAGATAACCTGGAATGCCAAATAAATCAAGCAAACACATGCACGTCTGCATAAAATACCCATGTAAATCCACACAACCTTCTCTTTTTCTGTTGTGTCGACTTCAAACCCTACCATCCATTTCATTTCAGAGGCTGTACGACTGATTATTTTAAAAGACAAGAGAACATGAGGTCTGACAAAATTATTGGCAAGGATTCATCGCTTTCACTTCTGTCTTCATTCTACTGCCTAGGGCAGTAAAGAGAAGTTCCAGCCTAGAGACAAAGCCTGTTCATTGAGACAAAGCCGTAGAAACCCAGCCTCACTCCTTGGTACCCAGCATGACACACTTCCATCTAGTGACTTGGGGAGCAAAGGTATTTCACTAGAGTAGCTTGAAGTATCTGAGCAAAGAAACCAAAAACTGATTATTTTAAAAGTTGAATGTAGAAAGCATAATAGTTACCGTTTATTGAGCACTTATTATATACATGTCAGAGTATGTAAAAAACGGGAAAATATAAACTTATTTTTAAAGGTATCTTACTTACATTTTCAATTTTTTTTTTCAGATATCTATTCCAGAAGTACCTTTAAATTGAAAGCGATGAGTCCAATTATAAAAAAATCTAAAAAAAAGCAATTGAGTACTTTACTGCAAAGCTGCCTATTAGTAACCGAGTACAACTTAGTGTCCAGTGTCTCGATTTCTATTTAATGTATTGTCTATGACTGCCTAGCATAATATCCTTGGGGGATAAAGCCCTTTCAGGCAAATAACATGTTGGGAAGAAATTGTCTTTCTGTGGTTACCAGACTATCCTCTGAAGTATATAAAACCTATAAGCTTTTGTTATAAAGCTGGATGATGCAGAAATGATTGAATTCAGCACTTTAAATCTAGGTACTGATACTCTCTGGAATATTTAAGGGTATAACTGACATTTAGTTATATTTTAAAGGGGTTACTGGATTTTTTTCTTTTTTCCCCACAGAGCTCCAACCACTGAATGTCAGTCTTCTCTTGATGCCATCATGCCCTGACATGAGGTGGCAGCCTGCCTCTTGACCACAGTCAGGGTTGTACCTACCCAGCCTCATAATGAAGAAGGTTCAAGGCCATCTCTCCTGATGTCTGGAGAATCTGTACCCACACAGATTGTACTGCTGCTCTCGTACCTGCTGAGACTCGCTGATGGAAGCACTAGTTTTCCTGCAGGCCCACACACCTTTTTGAGATATTTCCACCCATCTCTCTCCTCCCACAATTTTCTCAAAAATTCATCTGAAGTAGTGAGAAGCCATAACCCTTAACTCCTTCTTATTCTGGAGATCTTTCTAAAGGTTAAGAACAACAATTCAAAGAGCATCGCCTGGGTTCTATCCTACTTTCCACCACTCTCAGCTGTGGGAGCCCAGGGTATATTATTTACTCTTTCCCTATCACAACTTTCCCTCTGAAAAAGATTGGCTATAACATAATACCTATCTCAGGGTTGTAAAGAATGAATGAGATATTACATGTGAAGTTGATAAATACATTTTTTGGAAAATAGTAAAAATCTATAAATTTGGAGATCATGTCTGGCTTGGATCCAGGATGTCTATTTCAAGGTCTCACATTAGAGTATGCACAACTAACCTAGGTGTTTTCCTTTGTGGCTCCAATACACAATCTCAATTTCTGCCTATGTTAGGTGCTCGGTTCAATGCAAAACAGGTCCCATAAAATAACTTTCTTCTCACTGTCTTCGAGATAATATTTTTCCCAGTCTACCTCCTTGACTTTTTTTACTCAGCTTTTATGTTTGATCTTCTCTCCCATATATGTGTCTTACAATATGAATCTTTTCCTCTCAGTTATGTGCAACACTCAATTCGCAATTCCTGCATCATTTATTTATTCGTTCTTTCAATGATGACATCAAGTGTTTACCATATACTAACTGGGAGAATAGCAGGAAAAGTAAGATGAAAACAACCCTATTGATATGTTTTCTTTGTCCCTCAAGTTCTAATTATCTGTAACATCATCTTACAGCTCATAGTGAATCAATGTATTTTGTCTTTGAAATATCATGTATCGGCCGGGCGTGGTGGCTCACACCTGTAATTCCGGCACTTTGTAAGGCTGAGGCAGGCGGATCGTCTGAGATCAGGAGTTTGAGACTAGCCTGGCCAACATGGTGAAACCCTGTCTCTACTAAAAATACAAAAATTAGCCAGGCATGGTGGCAGGCGCCTGTAATCCCAGCTACTCAGGAGGCTGAGGCAAGAGAATCGCTTGAACCCGGGAGGTAGAGGTTACAGTGAACCAAGATCATGCCACTGCACTCCAGCCTGGGCTATAGAGCATAACTCAGTTTCCAAAAAGAAAGAAAAGAAAAAAAACATCATGTGTCATAAGAAGTCACATATACTTAGATTAGCTCATTTATTAAAGATAGACAGGAATGCACACATTTAAGGTTCAAGCATCACCATGTTCAAAAATCAATTTTACCATAAACTTTTCTTATTTTGCCCCCTAAATATGGTGACCATTCTGCTACAGTTATCTAGCAAACACATGCATTCATAACTCAAAGATACAGACCAACCTCATAAAGCAGCTAGTGTGGAGAATAGGGAATACCCTTCATTTGCCTAACCAGATATTCAGCAAAATAAAGCAATGATTTCCAGAAACCAGTCATTTTGTACATTTTTGAGCACCTATTGCACTCAGCTTTCTGCATGTCATTCTCTCAAATGGCTCAGACCTCGGTTGTTTCCATCTCAGTACAACTACTGACAAGAAAGAAATTTTAAAATAGAAAATGAAAACTCAACAGTATTTTATTACCCCTTCCACAGAAACATTTTCACTTCCTATTTCTACCTCAACAAACTCTGTAACCAATATAAAGGGTTTAGGAACTAGAAATCTGCCATTTTCTAGTTTTTGCATTCAAAATACTGCCTCATTCTTTCTGTCTCCCCAGTATATTTGCTTCTCTGGAGTCAGTATATACTCTGAATAGTTTTGCACCTTCTTTTTGCAAGGCATTAGAGTAGAGTTAGCAATATTAAGCAATTACAGTGCTTCACAATGCATAAAATTGCAGTTATAAATGTATTCAGTAGATTATTTGGTGATTATAATACATCTTCATAGATTAGATAATTTTTCTTTGGAATGCATATGATGAAGGCACATTTAAAGTCAAGAGGAATGAATTCACTGATTCACCTTAAATCATCTACTTTTTAAATATTGGAAGCAAGTTAAAATATTGAGTTACACAAGTAATTTGTAGGTTAGAAAAGAAATAAATGTGTGTTTTTATTCTGAGTAAGACATTTATCACTACCTTAGATGCTACCTAGATTATAATATAAGGAATGTACATCTTCCCTGCTTGAATTGATTGTAAAGTTTGTAACGACGTGAATAGTATTTTCAAAATGTAATTGATCTTCCCTTTGACCAAAATAAATTACAAAAAAGTGAGAACATGTTCAGTAATGCTAATGAGTGTCTTAGCTGTTTAGAAGAAAGGAATACAACTTTAGTCAGGTATTTTCAGGACAAGACTAGTTAATGATGAATAAAATTAACCATATAATTCAAGTAAAACCAACAAAGACAACACATTGACCTAAACAACTAAGCAATTAAGATTCTACACTTAAATGAACCACTTTTCATTTCAGGAGACACCAACGTGGTCATAAGAATATATATATAGTGTTATTTTATTAGGTTGGTGCTAAAGTAATTGCTGTTTATTTGGTTTTTGTTTGTTTTGTTTTGTTTTTGTTTTCACTTTTACACCAACATAATATAATCAACAAGGAAAAAACAATGTACCCAGGCCAGCTCACTTAAAGGAATTTTATATGAATCAGAATGCCCAAGTAAGGAGTTGAAGCTTCTTTTTGATTAGGCTTGGGAGAAAAAATGTGAGAATAATCACAGGGTTTTAAATAAAGCATAATTCACAGGCATGTTCAGATACAATAGATTAATTTTTTAATGAAATAAAATAGCTATCTGATAAAGATTAGGGAAAGAGACAGAACTGTATCCTCTCCATCCACTGGGTGGGGGGTTTAACTAGATAATCCTAGATCACAAATAAAGGACCAAAAAATGGTGCCTTTTCAATAAATCCTAGTTCACCTTTCCATTTTGAGTCAAAGGTTATGAGCTCCAAATTTGCTTTTTATAATTCTAAGGCTTACATGTTGTTAGACTTAAAATTAAAGTAAGCATTTTCTTTGGACACTTTTTTTGGGCAAATTAGAATTAGAAGTATAAATCTGAGGCAATATGAAATACAGTTTTAGAATTATAAGAATTTTTTTAATGAACTCTACATTCTCTACTTTTTCAGTTCTTTGTCAATCATTTAACATAGTGAACACATTTTTAAAGAGTATGTGCTCTGCGCCAGCTTCTGTCCTAAGAAGATTATACGGCAGACAAAAATATGGCTCCTGCCCTCAAGGAACTTGATAGAGAGTATGCCAATGTTATCGGGGACATCAAGAAGTTCAGGTTTCAAGAGAAACTCAAACTTGAGGAATAAACTCTAGTGTGGGAATATAAGGTTTTCCTGAAAATGAGTCATTTAAGAGTAAGTGATATGGTTTGTATTTGTGTTCCTGCCCAAATTTCATGTCGAATTTTAATCTCCAATGTTAGAGGAGCCTGCTTCCCCTTTGCCTTCCATCATAATTGTGTCTCCTGAGGCCTCCCAGTCATGCTTCCTGTACAACCTGCAAGATTGTGAGCCACTTAAACCTCTTTTCTTTATAATTACCCAGTCTCAGGTAGTTCTTTATAGCAATGTGAGAACTGGCTAGTACAGTAAGCATAAGGATGTATAAGTAAGACTTTATTAAGACAGTGTTTTCAGCATGCTTGTCCATGAACCAGTGCTTTTCTATAATTAGGTTTTTACTGGTCCATGATAAAACAAGGAAAATGTAAGAACCATATTGTGAAGTTATTGAACGTAAGGGATTTTGCTTTATTCTGAGATCATGCCCTTTGTAATTGTTTTTATGTTAATTTTTTTCAATAATAACTGCATGCATTTTTGTGCATATATATATATAGAGAGAGAGAGAGAGAAAGGGAGAGAGAGAATAATAAACAAATACGAGAAAATGTTAAAAATTGGCGAATCTGGATATATTGTATGTGGGAATTCTTTGTACTATTCTTGTAAGTTTTCTATAAATTTGATTATTTAAAAATAAAAAGTTAAAACTTAAAAGTGCTTCTTTAATGAAAATCAGGGTATAATAGATGGTAATTATTTCTATTTAAAAATAAAAATTAGATAATCTATCAGTTTTGAAATTTTAAACTGAAAATGTATGGAAGAATTTCATACAATAGTTTCCTTTTGCTATTGTAACAATTACTACAAATGTGGTGGCTTAAGATATACCACTTATTATGATAAAATTTTGAAAGTCAGAAGTCCAAAATGGGTCTCATTAGGCAAAAATCAGATGTTAGCCAAGGTGTTTTCCTTTTGAAGGCTCAGTGAAAGAATGCATTTCTTTGCCTTTTCCAGCATTTAGAGGCTTCCCATATTTCTGAGATTGTAGCCCCTTTCTCCATCTTCAAAGCCAGCAGTGTAATGTCTTCAAATCTGCCTCAAACTCTGACCTTGACTCTCCTAGCTCCTTCTTTCACTAATAAAGACCCCTGTAACAACATTGAGACCACCCAGGTGGTCCAGTATAATCACCTCTTCTGAAGGTCAACAGATTAGCAATCTTAATTTCTTCAGCAGCCTTTTCTCCACCTCACCATATGACATGACATACTCAGATGTTCCAGAGAGTAGCACATGGACATCTTTGGGGTAATTTCTGCCTACACCGTGGAGAATGTTGGAAGAGCATTTCAGGCCACTGGGTGAAAAGGTAAGGTGTAGTAAGAAAGGACAATGGAGACATGGAGGAAAAGCCAGGGAGTGCAGAAGCTTTTAGGTCATGTTAAGGAACTTCCCAGTGGGAAACCACAGCAAGAGTAGGTGTAAGCTAACATGTTCAAGTTTGTATTTATGAAAGTTTCCTATATTCAAAGAAGAAAGTAGTTTGGATATGAACGGCTTGCTGAGTACAGGTTACGAGGCTCCTCTTGTCATTCTGGTAAGAGCAAATGACATTTTGGTCTTGGCTAATGGCAGTGGGAAAGGACAGAAATAAATTACTCTCAATTATCACTGGAAGAAGTGAGAAATTATAATTGGATCCCCAGGTGGCAGTGTATTCTTCAGTAATATTAAGGTACTACTTAGAAAAAAGAGTAAGCAGGACTTGGGGAACTACTGGACAATGGGCATTGTGAGGGAGTATACCAGCTAAGGTTCACCAGAGAAGCAGAACCAGTAGGGGATATGGTTTTTGCAGGTGGATTTAGTGTTAGGATTTGCCTTCACAACTGTGCAGGTGGTTAAGCAAGCCAGAAGACCACAGGCTGGACAGTCAGGAAGGGAAGATCTTGAACAAGAAAGAGCCCCCTGGTCTTGAGCTAATACCTGTTGCCCACAGACAGGTAGACAGGAAGGAAGATGTAGGGTAAAATGAAGACAACTTCACACTTGGCTGCTGTTTGGAGCCTCTCAGTACATTCGTTTTGATTGAAATAAATCCAGTTTAATGTGATGAAATGATTGAAATTGTTCCAAAATAATTTGTGTGATACAGAATATAAAAACAATTGTATTTAAAAGAGATCAAGTATTCTAAAATTACTGCATGTTATGTTGGTGGCTGTGGTTGATCACATTGCTGTTTCACCATCCCCCATTGCCTCAGTGTCGGTGGAATGTATCTTCCTGGTCTTTGGCTTTGGACGTGGCCACATGACTTGCTTTGGTGAATGATATTCAGGCAGAAGTAACATTGTGCCAGTGCCAAGCCTATGCACAAGAGCCCCAACAAGCCTTCACTCACTCCTTTCAACTCTGCCATTGCCATATACAAAGCATGGCCTGGGTATCCTGTTGGTCCAAGGATCATAAGAGACATGTGGAGTAGAGCTTTCCTGCTGACCCACAGGCATACAGTGAGAAGAGCCACCCAGTCACTACAGCCCAAAGTAGGGTGTCCTAACCACGTATTGCGCATTGATTAGTCACACTCAAGCCAACCTGCAGACACATGTGCAATAATAAATAATTATTGTAGTTTTCATCCACTGAGTTTTGGAGTTTGTTATATAGCAAGAATGAACTGATACAATGGGGAAATAAACAGAAAATTTAGCTATAGTTATATAAACCTTGTTAACCATTTATCTATTCTCCATTCACAATGAGATTTATGTTCTTCAGCTGTTTGTTTAATCAATAAATTTAATTATGCATCTAAGTGCCAAGCACCGTTACATACATTGGAAATACACCTATGAATAAGATATTGTGTCCATGTAATGCAGTGAGGAATAAAGATAAGAAATGACTAGAATATAATTCAATAAATGTTGAGGGGAGAAGTATATAGCCTTTATGAGTACATTAAAATTTTCATCTTTAACTCAGCTGATCAATCAGGGAATACTTCTCAGATGAAGTGACCTATTAGTGAAGTCTAAACAATGAATGGAAATGCAGCACCATCTGCTTACCAGCACCAAAGGTCTTCAGTTTTTGTTGGCAGCCTAATTCATGAGACACAACATGCTTCTAGTAAGACCAGGTTTACTTTAAGGAAGGATGGAGAAAAGAAACAACAGAGCATGCACAATGGCAGCATTGTAGAGTTCTTATGACTCCCAGGCACAGAGTCTATGTCATTCCACACTCAAGGTAAACATTGTCATGAGAGGCAAGCTAAGTGTATGCAGAACCTCAGCTTGGAAAAGCCCCAGCTCTGAGCTCACTCTACCTTTTACCCCTAGTTGTTTAGGTGTTCACTCAGGGGTATACGACTTGCCTCCATACTCTAGGATGCCTGTATATTATCAGCACATATTACTCAAAAAGCAACTGCTTCAGCCAGTCCTATAGCCCCTGGCTGGATTCTCACTTATCTTGATCCAAAAAAGTAAACTCTTAGCAATTCTTTGAGTTAATGTTACAAGAATAATTACCCATGGGCAAACCTTAGATGTCCAGGAGATGAGAGGAAAGTCCACAGATCCAGTTATTCACCCTTTCCATCCATGAGATTATCCAGAAGCAGGCGTGAAAAAGCAGGACAGCATGGTTTGAAGAAGAACAAAAAAGAGTTGCAAATAGAAGGAAAAGTATGTTTTGGGAAATAAAACCCTAAAGGAATAAAAAAGAATGTCATAATTATTCTGGAACTGAATGTGGTTCAATACAGATGGTTGTAAAATCTGGAGATGATACAATATAAGGTAGGGCTGGATAAATAAACAGAAATACTACATAAAGATTGCAGAAAAAACACAGGTTACTCTTAAACCAGATTAAGTATTTGGAAATTTATTCTGAGACAAACCAATGAACTTTAAAATGTGGAATTACATACACACATTCATGCATGTATACATACATAAGCATACAGACATATCCATATAGTGTATACACACTTACATGTTTATATGACTTACTTTTGAAAAAGGTTGTCTTGTCTGCAATGTGAAGAAGGGAATGGAGTTGCAAAATATTGTAGACAATAAGATTAGTCAGAAGGGAATTGATATAATTCAGACAAAAGATGATACTGGAGTTAATTAGAATAAAGACTTGTGGACAGAGAGAAACTTGACAGATTAGAAGAAATACTTAGGAGTTAATATGCACCTTAATTGGTGATCAGTAGATGAGGTTAGAAAACAGGTTGGAAGAGTCAATAATATTACCTGAATTTCTGGTTTGAGCAACTAGT
The DNA here is from genome assembly GCF_000001405.40 of Homo sapiens. Lineage (NCBI taxonomy): Eukaryota > Metazoa > Chordata > Mammalia > Primates > Hominidae > Homo > Homo sapiens. The sequence continues at coordinate 552,102 of NC_000003.12, read as the reverse complement.
TGGAAGAAAGAACAAGAAGGCAGTTAGCTCCAGCTTCCAAAGTTTGATTTTGAGGTAACTAGGAAACCCAAATAGAAGGAACCAGTAGATACTTAGATAAATAAATCTGGAGCTCAGAGATGCTGACAGTTCAAATAAAGTGTAAGGTGTAATTATGAGAAAGTCCTTGTTCACCTATTAAGAATATTTCAGTAATACCGTGGAAGTCAAAGCCAGGGACATACAAAAAGTAAAGTGAACAAGGGTAGAATATCTTATGATACATTTGGCTGTAATGGAAGACAATCAATATACATGATGAAAACTCAATCACTGTCAATCATTTTGTTACCGAAACACCAGGGGTTTAGTCTAGGTCCTGCTGCTCTCCGCACAGAAAGCCAATGACTGAGATGAGTATTGCCAAGGAGGAAGGCTTTAATTGGGTGCTGCAGCAGAGGAGACAGGAGATCACTCAAATTCATCTCCCTAACTGACTAAAATTGGGGTTTTATATAGCAGGAAAGAAATGCAACAATATGTGAGAAAACAGGAGCTAGAAAGGGGCAAGGAAGCAATCATGATGAATGAGGGGTATCTCATTGTCTGGATCTGGTGAGTTTCAATTCTTTGATATATTTTTTTGAGATGCCTGAAGGTAATTTCCAGAGGAAGGAACTCAGATAAAACAAATCTAATTTTCAAGCTTTAAGACCAGAAGGGTCAATTTCTATATTTATATATAAAAAAATACTATCTATGGGATTATTGGGTCAGTTTCAATTTGATGATGACTTTTAAAATTATAGGGACAAAGAAGACGTTTTCTTGCCAATTAAAACTAAAAATCTGAAATCATTTTGAATAATGTCCTACATCTGAGATTATCTAGTTTTGCTTATATTGTATAATTGCTCCATTCTGCCCATAAATAATCTCCAAATTCCATTTCACTTATAATGAGTAATCAAATTATTTGGCTTACATTTTTATAGTATATTTTTCTTCATAAAAGAAGTCCACCTATATTAAAAAAAAAAAAAAAACTATGGAAACCCGAATTTAAAAAAAAATGCTGCAAGTTATCCTTTTCCTAGAAAGGTAATAGCAAATACTTTGATCCAGACTTAGTCCGGCAATGATATTTGTGTTTTCCTTTAATACTTGATTATGCTCTTTAATTTCAAAATAAGGGCTACCTGGCTGCCGTGAATCGATTTTACATTACGTATTTACTGATTATTTTAAAAGTTGAATTCTCTACGCAGTTGATGACAATGGCTAGAACATGGGTACAAAAGAATTGTCCCTCAGTTATTTCAAATACCATCAACTTTCTCAAATGTATTGAATTGAAGCCCTTCCAGAAAACTGAATCTGGTCATTACCTTCTCCTCTTCACCATCAACATTCTGTATTTCATCTGTTGTTTCACCACCTGTTACTCCATCTGTTTTCATGACTGTGCTTAGGATTTATAAACATCCCCTACATTATATCTTATTTCCAGTCTGCTTTCCCAGGGAAAACTCCTTTGAAGTCTGTTTCTTACTGCAGACTTTTCTGTCTTGTATTTTCACCAATGTTTTCTTCATTTTCAAAATCTAAAGAATAAATTAGCTCTCACAACCATTTTATTTTCTTTTTTATACTCTGTAAACCAGAATGCCTCATGAAATAAAAATGTATTAGGAAAAAAAGTAGATACAGATGCCACAAGTCACTATACCTTTCCATAAATAGTTCAAAACTAAAAAATTAATTATATCTACTTTTTTCATACAAGTAATCCAAGAATGAAAAATTATACAATACAGATTGTTATTTTTTTAAAATGCCTCTCATCTGCTGTCTATTTCTAGCCCTACTTCTAAGAAGCAATAACTTTAATCCATTTTAATACTTCTCATGTTTATTAGTTTTCTGCATTATATGCTTATACCATTTTTTTCTTTTTTTTTTTTTTTTTTTGTAAAGTTTACTCAGGACCTAGTTTTTTTCCGTTATGAAAGATCATGTATTAGTTCATTTAAGTCACTTAGCATATCCACAGTCCATTCTTCTCCTGAGTTGTGACAGTTCTTGCATTAGTTTGCTAGGATAGCCTCCTACAAAGTGGGTGACAACAACAGAAATTAATTTTCTCACATTTTTGAGACTAGAAGTCCAAGATCACGGTTGGCTTCTTCTGAGGCCTCTCTCCTGGGCTGGTAGATGGCCTTTTTCCTGTCTTCACAGTCTTTTCCCTGTGTAAATTTGTAACCCAACCTTCTCTTCTTATAAAAACACCAGTCATAATTGGATTAGGGCCCACCCTAATGACCTCATTTTAACGTTATTACCTCTGTAAAACCCTATCTCCAAATAAAATCACATCCTGAGGTACTATGGGATAGGGTTTCAACATATAAATTTGGAGGGCCATAATATAGCCCATAACATGATTGTTATGATTGCTAATTACTATTGCTATTATTAATTTTATTATTTAAATCGATTCCTTCAACAAATTATCACTGATCAACCCAATGAGAATTTTTTTTAAGTTGTTCTCTTGGAGCTTATATTCAAGCAAGAGAGAAGAAATATTGAACAAAAAACTACCATAATATTAGATGGTGATAAATATTAAGAAAACCACAAAGTGAAATAATTCATGGCATGAAGTGACCAATGGGCAAGGTGGAGATCTCCTCTGAAATGTTGGAAAGTGATAACTGAGTTGAACGTGCACAACTATAAGAAGACAGCCACTGTTGTGGGGTGGGAGGAGGGGGGAGGGATAGCTTTAGGAGATATACCTAATACTAAATGACGAGTTAATGGGTCAGCACACCAGCATGGCACATGTATACATATGTAACTAACCTGCACATTGTGCACATGTACCCTAAAACTTAAAGTATAATAATAATAAAAAATAAAAAATAAAAAAAAAGAAGACAGCCACACCAAAAATTTTAGAAAGAATTTTTCTAGCAAAGATACAAAAAACGGAAAGGACCAGAGGCAGAAAAGGGCTTGGAGTGTGAGAGAAATAGAAAGAAAGTCATTGTTTTGACCTCCAGTAATGAAACACATCTGAAAGGTAAGCAAATTTGCAATTTTTGCGGGGCCTTTAAGACCTAGACAGGAATTCTTCTTTGAGTTTTCTTAAGTTTAAATTAATGCTTGATTTTTTATTTCTTCTAGAAAATAGATATTAGTATATATCTGATTGCCATTGTGAAAGATCAGGCAATTGGTTACCCTAAAAATACTTCCTTCCCACCTCTCACCCCTTCTGTCCCCTATCAATTAATTCTACCTTTAAAATTATGGTTTGATAACATTTAGAGTCTATTTTGTCACCACAATTAGATCTCCCAAACCATACTCTACAGACATATTCCAAAATGAAAAAATTCATGACCTATACTTGTAATTATGCCAATGGCATGATCCTGCGAATGTTATTTAATGCAAAATCAAGAAGTCTGTTTAGACTGACAGTATAAAACTTGGTTGCTAGGTGCAGACAACTCAGAGGAGAGCTTTTCGAGTGTAAAATTCAACTGCACTCTTTTTTTTCTAACTTTCTAACAATTTTAAAAACTAATAAAACATTTTAATGTGTCTCATATTTGCATTGTGCTTTCTTGTCATTAGAGATTCCAAGTTCATAAATAGAAAGTATCTTCTTCTTGAAAATAGTTTTTGTGCAGACTACAGACTTCTTACTTTAACTGATTGCTTTTTAAGGATGATGTATAACTCTTCATCCTAAGATCTCATTTTACTGAACACCTGTGCTAATTGCATTGTTGAGTGGATCCCATACCTTCCTCTTTCTTTAATTCCTTTTTATTTTTCTGGAATGCAACCTCAGTATTTTCTTCCTGAAATTCTTATAATCTTTTATTGTCAGAAATTTGGCAAGAATATATGAAATGATGAGATTTTTCAACAGCTTATCTTACTTGGCCCTCAGTTGGCTTTTTTATTTTAAATACAGATTTTTTTCCCCTAATATTAGTCACTTTTTAATATTTATTTCCTCCACTCTGTTTTCACAATGTTCCTTTGAATTAAATACTGTATCTCCTAAGTTTTCATTTCTCTTTTGTTGTGATTAACTATGTTTTGAAAAAATTTATTCATTTAAAATTGTAATATTTCTATTGATGTTTTTATTTTGACAACATATTTTTCAAGCATTCTTTTGTATTACATTTTTGTAACATACAAGATGTATCTTTAGAAAATTTTATAAAACCTCTGGTTTGTTTCATAAAATTTCACTCTCATTTTCTCAGGTCTAGTAAGGACTTACTCACTTTTAAGTCTTTTTTTGGCATTTAATATAATTTAGGGAAGAACATAAATTATGTACTCACCTGACTATATAGAATTTAATGTCCAAATGGCTTTTGGAATGATATTTTTTACAATGTTAGGCTTATAATAAGCTATTTTCATGAAAAACCTACTTGCAATTGACCTGAACAGATTAACTCTCTGTTAGAAAAGAGTACACATATGTAGATTATTTAATTAACCACTTAAATTTAACTAAACTGTGATAAATTTTAACCAAGTTTGATAAATTTTTACAATGATTGTACATAATTATTACTGAATAATACAGTACACATTTTAATGAACTTTGAGTATATTACTCACATGAAGAGTGGGCTATTTAATTTTTGGGTTACAATTACTTGCTTTCACTAACAACTGGAGAAATACAAAAGTTTTTAAAATTTTTAAGAACTTGAACAAACTAATTTGATTTCTATCAAAGTATAATTTGAATACTGGAGCTAGAATAATTTTACATCTCTTGAATGAGTTGTTCATGTTAACTGCAATGAAAATGTGAGTTAAGTGTGGAGAATTTAATTGATTACGTAGATGCTAGAAGTATAAAGACCCATTTATTTTTTAACCATGAAATAGCAGAGTTGTATGGCATACATTTTTAATTTTACTCTAAGGTTTGGGAATGATGAAGTGATCTGTATACCACTCAGAATCTTTAGACTTTGAGCTAAAGTTAGTATCTGGATGAAACTTGGAGGTGGTTTCTTTTGTGATAAGTATGGTTGCAAAATTAAAAAGTGGGATAAAGATTTATCTGAATATACAGAATAACCAAAAATGTAGGCCATAGCAGCTACAACTAGTTGCCTAGAAATATCTCTTATTCATTTCTTGCTTTCCAACAGAAACCTGACTTTTCACTCCAACGACCAATGAGCTCAGCCTCCTTTGTAACTAAGAGAGGCAATTCAACATAAGCATGGCCATTATGGTGCAGAAGTGTCATGAAGCAGATTTTTCTTCCTGACACAAAAAGGCTAAGCTGTCCAAAGACTATTGACTTTTCCCCCTTTCCTTCTTCTTGTCCAAAATATGGTTGCAACAGCTGGTAATGTGGCAACTACCATGTGAACATGAGTATAAAGCCACATGCCAGTAACCATGATCTAAAGAGTTAGAAGCAGCTAGGACCCAGAGTGCATTCCATGAGCAAAAGAACCAGCCCTTAATTTCCTCATATATAATATTATGGGTGGGAATATGTATTTGTCTTATCATTTTTATGTTACATTTCCTGTTGCTTGTAGCTGAATTTAATCTTTACTCACATACAGACCCCATGAGCAAACATAGTAATTTAATTACAACTTAGTTTTAGCTTCTCTCATATGTGAAAATGATTATACTAGTACCTATCTTATTGCTATGATAATCGAATAAGACAATACACTTAATAAGTCTGTGCAGATTAGTTACTTATAGCAGAGTAACCGTTACCTCAAAACTTAGTAGCTTAAAATAGTAAAAAACTTTTATAAATTCACACAATGGATGTGAGTCACAAATTCAAGACTGGCTTACCTGGGCAGTTCTAGTTCAGTGTACCTCATGAGGTGCAGTCATATACTCTAAAGAGTTCCAGTCCACTGAAGCATTGACTGGGACTGAAAGAACTGCCCCTGACATGGTGTGCCCACATGCTGACAAACTGGTGCTTGCTGTTGGCAGGAGGCCCCAGTTCCACTCCCCATAGGGCTACTTGAGTTACCTCGCAACACAGCAGCTGTCTTTTCCCAGAACAAATGATCCAAGAGAGAGCCAGACAGGAGCTGTCCTTTTTACGACCTAGTCTTGGAAGTCACAGCGTCATTTCTACCACATTCCCATTGTTAGTTACAAATCAAAAATTCCAATCCACATTCAGCAAGAGAGGAATTTGTCTCTGACTTTGGAAGGAAAGTATATCCAAGAACTTGTGGACACATTTTTTAAATTACCAGAGAAGGACTGTAAATTTCCAGCCTGTTCCTTCCTCCATGGCATTCTTCCACCCTCACCTCAACAGGTGCACGTACACAGGGGAGCACGCGCACACACACACACACACACACACACACACACACACACACACATAACACCAGTTTTCCTTTGTTCTCAGACAGAAAGACTAGGTTGCATGTAAAAAATTAATAAAGTTTGTTTTTTTGTTGTTGTTGTTCCAAAGAACTTAAGTAAGATTAAACTTTATTTCAAATTTTAAAAAACAGCTTCCAGCTCTAGAGAGAACTCATTATTGGGCAGCGGTAAAATGTCAGCAAAGACCATGGCTTGTTATTATAAAAATTACAGCAGCTTTGGCTCAAACCAAATTCCTTGAGATGTAGCATCTATACCAGCAAGAGGCAGATATACTAGGGTTAGCATATGGCAAGTATTGCCCTGACCCCTGATTCTAGAACTAAATGATGCGTGACTATATCAGAAAGAAACCAATTTCCGTAAGTTTCATGTGAGGAGCAGTTTCTTTACAGTCTCACCATCTGCTGCTAGTTAAAATTTTTGTGCCTGCAAAATGATATTTTTACTCCCCACCCTCTACCCCTTTAAATGCTGTAATGAACAAGAAGAATTACTGAAAATGAGGAAAGCTATCTCCATACATACTTCAAAGCACTCATTAATGGAAGTAGAGTACCAATTTCATTTTTTGAAAGCATACTTCAGCTTCCAACGTACTGGAAAATTTTTACTGATTATGAATTATAGCATCATGTTAAAAATGCCTTTTGATGCTTTATGATGGTGAAACGAAGATCGCGCACTTCTATATTTTAATGATTGGTTACAGCCTTCACAAAAATCTCTGCATGTTTTAGTATTACAATTTGGGGACAAATCTAGTTAGCTTCTGTTAGTTAAGAATTCACTGGTTCTCTGATCATTTCAAGTGACTTGAAAGTAGAGAGAGAGAGACTCATGTAAGACACAGAGCTGAGCCAGTTTCTATGATTAGAAGGAGGTAACCTGGAGTGGGAGGACCTAGGGGATGAAAGCTGCATAACCATCCTTGACTGTCTTCTTTATTTACTCCTATGATGTTTCAATCAGTTATTTTGTACTTCTCTATTTAACAACTTAACATCACAGCCTTAATAATCTTTACATATTTATATTGCATTCAAATAATTAAGGAGGTTTCACTTATGTGATGTCCTCAGGCAGCAAGTGACCATCTGCCTTACACCATCTCGCCTACAAATTTACATGGGAACTCCGTGTATACGTAAACTCTTATGCATAACAAACAATCACATAATAACGGCATTCAACAAAAAGCATGCATTTCTGTATTGGGTCTGCAGGTCAGCTGGGTTGGCTCTGCAGTCTATGTATTCATTTGACAGGTCTATCTTAAGGGGACAGCAGGTTTCAGGGTGAAAGTTCTTAAACAGAATGTCAGAAAAACAATTGTTCAAGCCCATAATTGCAGAAGCACATGGTGAGTTTTTGTTTGTATTACATGTCACATCTGCTGACATCCCTCAAGCCAAAACAAGTGACATCCAAACCCAAAGTCAAGAGACAGGGAAGTACACTCGTGCCACGGAGGTAGATGGGGAGGAAATTAATACTTTTGAATAATAATCTAATATACCTTTCTGTGATCTATAAATTATGTATTTTTAAACCAAAGTTACACAATAAATAATACTGTAAAACATGTAGTACAACTATAGTTTGAACACCTACCATTTCAAAACAACTTCTGGTATAACAGTGGTTCTTCGGGCTTACAGAGGTGTACAATAATTTCATGTGGAATAAGTGATTTTAAAAATAAATAACGGCCCTAATTCTACATATAAGGATTTCCATTATTTGTAATATCCAAATTGATGTCTTTGATGATTTGTTGATACTATATAGAGTAAATTGGTGTTTATGTCTAATTCCCAAATGAATTATTGATATTATCATCCATTTAGTTAAGCAACAAGTCTTTATTTAGGCATTACTACGTGTATGCACTCTACCCAGTCCTAGCAATACAAGATAAACAGAAACAGAATGGTACCCAATTTCTTGTAACTCACAGGTTGGTAGAAAACAAACACATTAAGTGATTGTGATTTTTTAAGTTGATATTAAAAAGGTTAATATTAAAAAATACAAGGTGTTGTGAAAGCCTACAGCAGAGGGAATAACACAAATCTAAGAGGTCAGGAAAGGCCTTTATAAGCAAGTGAACTTTCAGTTAGAACTGAAGAGTGAGTAGGAATACAGCAGATGAGAAATGTGAGGGAGGATATTCCTGCCTTGAAATGAACATGGCTTTTGTGAACAGCAAACGGAAGTTGCAAGTCCCAGATGGCTTCTGTGCAATATAGAAGAAAGGAGAACAATACAGATTAAGCTGGAAAGGTAGACAAAGATGAGATCATGAAGCACTACTCAGGAATATATTACAGAAATTGCTGAAGGCCTCAGTCAATGGCACTGGTTGAAAAGTTTTAGACAGTGGGAAATGGCCATGGAGATCAGCGATGAATAGAAGTCAAATGCATGCAATAGATATTCAGAAGGACAACTGAGAAAATCTTAGTGCTTGGGGTTTGAGGGTGGTGGAGAAGAAGTATCAAGAAAGATATGCAAATAGAAAGGCTAGTGTAAGTGGAGTTCTTAAATTATTAAGTGGAGACTCTCCGCTGAAAGCAGGAGAGGACTGGAAGTTTGCCGGAGACCCACAAAGACTCAGTGTTTTCAATGATTGGACAACCAGTGTCACAGAGTATCTCTTACCAGCTCTCTCCTTTGGTCCTCACCTTCTAGCTTTTGCTGTGGTCACTTTTAACAAACAATTCTCATTCTCTGCTTTTTCACTTCAGGGACTTTGGCTGCCAGAGAGGATCTCTAACTTTCTTTTTATTAGTCCCAGGTTAGATTTTAAGTAAGAGTTCAAAAACAGCAAGACTGGCTTTGCTCTCCCACTAAAAGGGAGATATGTGGATAACAAAAATCCCCAAGAGAGAATTGAAAGTAGTTCCTGTTATAAATACTGAGATTTGCAGCAATGTCTTTTTGACACCAAAGCCACTCTGCCACACTAAATAGGTGTCACTGTTACTACAGAGATCAGGACTTGCCACTAGACAAAGCGGTCTACAATGCTTGGAATATTGCAAATAAATATTTTATAAGAAAATTCTGTGGTCTCCAGTTAAAAGCAAACAAATAAAAATAAATAAAAACATTATTATCCATTATTACAAGAAAATATTTTGTAGGACAGAAGCTCTTTTTCCATCAGAAAACAGATGTCCACATCCATTTGTAACGACTTATTTCCTTCCCAGATGTTACTTTTGCTGTGTAGCCGTAAGTACCAAGAATAATGTAACGTCCTTGTTCAAAATGTCCAGTATTCAGCTGAAGAATTTTAAGTGTAAAATACTGCCAGGCTGTCAACGTGTTAGGGCACCTGGGGTGCTGTAAAATTGCTCCCTTCATGCAGACGACAAATGTAGACAAAGCCTAACTCTTTAGGCTAGCTTGTATTCCTTGAGTTCTCATGAATGTTAATTTTGAAGTAAATAATGCACTAGAAAGAAAATTAACTGCTGACTTAGCAGATGATGAAGTGCAGCTCTACGGACTCAATTGCCCTATCCAGAATGCAGGCAAGTCTCAGTATGAGTCTGTTCCATTGTGCCCCCAACAGTGAGGTCTGCATACTAAATTTAAGGGTTTTCTTCTGCCACAAAACATATGCTAGTATATCATAAATTAAATCACAGAAGTCACTATTTTCTAGATACATCATTGAAAAATTTATCATTTTTTCAGGAACCAACAGGAAATTTCATATACATATGGAATGCCCACGCTTTCTTTTTAAACTCCTCCCAACAGACAGAAAAGGAAAAAAAAAGGTTATGTTATTGGAGGGATAGAATCATATTTTTTACTGAGGAAGACATTTGAAAACTACCCTATTTAAAGACTTGTAACAGGCAAAAGGGTCCAGCTGCTTGCTGCTTGGAGAAAGACGCCAAAATAACAAGAGCGAGGTGTGATAGAAAGAGAGCAAGCTTTATTATCTGTGGTAGCAAGGGCAAGACTGGGCGGAATTCTTTCCAAACATTTCCACTCTTTAATTTGTGGAGGGAATGCAGGGGTTTTTAAAGCGAGAGGTTTGGAATGCAGGAGAAACAAACGGCTTAGGAGGTGTCAGGCGGTGCAACCTGCTCCGATGACTTGTTTTGAATTATTATTCCATCTAGTGAAGGAACCCGTGCCAGGATGGGCCCAACCAGGTTACAAATCAATTGCAGTCAATCTTCCAGTCAATCTCTAGTCAAGAGTGGATTCCAGGCTTGAGGTAATCACGCGTTGGAAAGAACTCTGGAGGTGTCTGCTCTGTATCAGGATCCGGCCCCTAAAGCTTCTAAGGAAATTTATGACCAGATAAGAGAGCATGGTGTGTGCTTAACAAGTACCTAGGCAAATAAATGTGCATAAGGCATGGGAGCATAAAGTGGGAAAGGGAGAGGAGAGTGGAGGTTCACAGCACATTCCGAGGCTATATTTCAAGATGAAAGAAAACACATTTGTAGTTTGGCTCAAAGCTACATCTTGAGACTGGAGAGAAAGGAAGAAAGAAAAAAATGGTAAATGCAGTTTGAGCTAAGCTGCTTAGTTATAGACTGTTTTGTTTGAAAGTTTTTCTTGAATTGATTTAATGAAAATAAATATCATGCTTTATGTCCAGTGCTAAGCATTAGGTCTAACAAGCAACAGTTCAAAATATAGTTACAGAATGGAGGGAAGGAAGAGGGAGAGAGGGAACAAAGAAGAGAGGGAAGGAAGGCACGGAGGGAGGGAGGGAGGGAGGGAGGGAGGAAGGAAGGAAAAGAAGGAAGTTCACAGTATCTTGAAATAAGATACATATTTCATTAATCTTTTTATCTTTGTAATTTGGTAAAGAATCTTGCACACAACAAGTCCACAATAAACGTTACTGAAAGAGTTATTGTATAAAACAAAGTGCAATCTTTTTCTTAGAAGGTCCAGCTTATCAAGTCGACTATAGTATTAACATATTTTGACATATTTTTGAAAATGAAAGTGTGGGTAATGAAATAATTATGAAAATATTTTGAAAATTCCTTCATATTTTATAGTTTATATTGATGTTTCATACCATTATCACAGTAGGGAAGAATTATCTGGCACTAGAAACAGTCACAAAAAATAATGAACAGCAGTTTCTTTTTAGTTTATGTTTGTTTCACTATTCATGATGATTGTTTTGCTACTATTGTCAATTATTATGGATGTTAAAATGCATTTAACAGCTATCACAGCACCAGATATACTCCTCAGCCATTTAACACGTATCCAAATTTATAGTCTTTATTATAGCTTGTTTTCCTGTTTCTATAGAAATATGTAGCCATTTCTCCTTTCTTGGAGAGTTTACTACTTCCTCAGGCATGGGGAAAAGTCAGTACTAAGTAAAATATTGTGTTTTTTTATATACAGGAAATGAGCAAATTGTAGCAGAACAGAGGTAACTTAGAAGTTTCAATCACTACAAGTACTTACTCTCACTGTGATTTATGCAGCCATATTGGTCAAACAGCAAATCATTTGCATCATTAAGAACAATAGCATCTAGAGATGAGACTGATCTTTGAAAAGGTAAGGTAGAAATGTGTATGCCAAATAAATATTTAGTGATAATATTGATACATTTGAAAAACAAAATCCGATTTTAAAAATGTTGGCTAGAATAAGCAACAATGTAATTACAATCCCTGGGAGAAATAAATATTAAAAGTTTGGCAGACATTGAATTCTGGGGAAATTGGTAAGAGCACAGCATAATTTGAAAATTATTCATCCAATCTGATTAATCTTTACTTCCCCAGGAATTTTAAGAATTAAATTGTTGCTAAAAATGAAATAAAATGAGTAAGAATTTACTGTAAAACCAATACCATTTTTTGCTGCATACCCAGCTTTAGTCATTAAAACCATTGACATGTAGACAAAAGTATATCCTGGGTAGTGAAAATGGATTTTTAATGTACACCCAGAATTCTCAAATAGCCCCTGGAGTTCTGGTAGAGCTCAACAATACCACAACGTAAAACTAACTCTTTAATACCAGAACTGATCTCATAACTTTGAGCTTATTTTAGACATGTTATCAAAGACAACAGCAACTCACTAATCTGCCAACCTCAGAGATAATGAATAGCCCTCCGGCAATAGAAAGTTTTTCTTTTGGAACTAACTTCCCAAGATGATTCCTTCAAATAACTTTATAGACCAGTTTAGTCTCTTTCCTAAGGCGCCTTTTTCCTTCTGATCAACATGCTGATGGAATGTCTTCAAATCTCAAAGCTACTGTTTAAGAGAATCAATAATAATAGTACTTGTCATTTTATATGCATTTATCTGCAACCTCATGACACAAAACACTTGTTAACAAAATGTGGGTAAATAACACTGATGCACAGAAAACCACACTGCAAGTAAGAGCTGTATGTTTCAACAGCATGTTTGTAAATCGTTTGTATAAATGAATGGCCTGACTTCCAAATACTCTTCCTATTTCTTTTTGTTGCCTACTCATTATATTCAAGAACACCACTAACCGTGAGTTGAAAATATAAAATTGGTTAAAGTTATGCTTATAAAGAGCTGTCCCCTAGATATGATGGTCAATACTGAGCCTCAAATTAATATATCCATCTTGACCTTACATGTGGTTGTAAAGACTAAAATTGTTGACTGAGCTCTTAAGAGGAAGATTCCAAGAAGCATGAAAACTCAGAATAATTAATTAATGGAAATTAATTTGATTGCCCACATTTAATATTTTCCCACGAATCCTTTATGACATTGAGAAATGGCTTTCAAGAAACACTTGGCTGGATTTGCCTTCTTGTTTTTCTTTAAAAATTTTTTTCACAAAAGTTATGTTAAAAGTTCTCTTCACATCAAACAAAAATTATTTATTTATACTGTACCAATCTTCATTTATACACTTCCTTCAACCATATCAAACTTCCTGGTACTTGAAAATAAGGAGCAAACGAACAACTTGCTTGGCTGTAATAACTTTTATTTCCAGTGAATCCTTGAGGTGAGTCTCCATTTTTAAATCCACAGTGAAATGCATGACTACTGAATAAGAAAATACACAACCTCAACAGCTTGGGCAGCATAACATTTCAACTGAGCAACAGACACATCAGCTGAAATAATGTACACTTTTCTTTGTCACACACACACACTTGCTGGTACCCCTGGTAATCACATACAATATGTGATTACGTCTTCCAAAATCCAGCATGGAATCTCAGCTGATTGAAGTCTTTTTCAACTAATTGTTTCACATCTTTGTTTTTCCTTTTTGATTCTCTATCTTCCAGACACACTTATTCAAGCAAACTATCATATTAAAAAACTAGCAGAAGATGTTACAGCACTGTGAAAAGCCCTCTGTAAATACTCCCTTTGTTTTTTCAACTTTTAGTGTTGATGGCTTCTCATAATGGAAATTGTGTTTCCCAACTGTGGTCTGTGACTGTTTCTCAGGGGCTTCCAGGAGATGGTGGGGTGAGGTGAAGTGGGACTCATCTAACTACCACAACATTCTAAAATCTCTCCTTTCAACATGAAAATATATTGGAGCCCTTAAGCTTCTCCTGTTCACTCATTATGGTTCCTGGTCTATGCTTTGCACATGGCTTCCTTCCTGTGGTCATCTTGAGTTCCCTCATAAGGCCTCATGGCAGGCAGCAGGCTCTCAACTCAGCGTCTAGCACATAGGGAATTCAGAAAGGATCAGTGTGCAAACTAGACCTTTACTCTGTGTGTGTGTATGCTGCACCTCTCTCCTAACTTTACTGGGGCAGCCCCTTGCAGTATAAGGGAGGTCTACACAAAGATTCTCCCCAGAGCATCAATAGAGGGGTAAGACCAAGTGTCTCTGCCCCATAACTTCTCTTAGTCTATCCAGAACACCTCTTCTCATGTTCTGGAACTACAAGCGAGAAATTCAACAAGGCAAGGGCAGATTTTCTTTCTAGCTTTTCTCTCTCCTCTTTTTAGACCAGCTATGAGAACCAAGAAAAATGGAAAGTGAAAATGTCATAATAAAAAGAGGATGTACATTGATTCACAGAATATCATGTGATATAATACATCAAAATATAATAATATCATCCTTTTATATTTGTTTGGGGAATAGGTCACAAATTTTCACCTACATTTAGCTTTTTTTACATTCTTATTCTCCTTGCCATCTGCTCCTGATTTTGAAAAAGCACATTCACACACACCTTCTAGAACATGGAAATGAATAGTTGACTTTTAAAGACTAGGGGACACAAACATTTGGAGGACGTGTTCAAAACGTAGGTTTCTTGTATCTGCAACCCTCCCCCCTTTTATTATTCAGTAAATCTGGATTGCAGTCCTGAGAATTTCATTAAAAAAATAAAATAAAACTCCTAATGATTCTGATGTACCTAATGCTGAGATCACAGTCTGAGAACTGTTAAACTCAGAGGCAAGAAAAGTCAGCAGAGGGAAGAATTAAAGATAAGAAGACAGATATGATGGTTAATTTTATGTGTCAACTTGAGTGGGCCAGGGGGTACCCAGATTAAACATTGCTTCTGACTGCGTCAATGAGGGTGTTTCCAGATGAGACTAGCTTTCGAATCGGCGGAATGAGTAAAGTAGATTCCTTTTACCCATGGTGTGAGCATCATCCAATCCACTGCAGGCTTGAATAAAACAAAAGGTGGAGGAAGGAGGACTAACCCCTTCTTTTCATCTCACTGCTTGAGCTGGGATATTTTTTCTTATCTCCTGCGCTTGAACAGAACCTAGTGGTGCTGTTTCTCAGGAGAATCCTGACTAGTATAATACACGGTATATATAGGTCTAGTATAATGGATCTGCAGAGTTTTTACAACATCTCAGTGAAAATCAATCTTCATAATAGCTGTAAAGTGTTATTTTAAAAAGCAGAAACTTCCTAGGAGAGAAAACACTATGGGTGACAACAGTTATGAGTGACTAGATATAAACAATTATTAAGTATTCACATAGAAGGACTGGATTGTCGAACTGGAGGAAACCTTAAATAATGTATTCTAATCAGTGATGAATCCAGCAGTGCATACCACTGGGGTTGCGGGCGTGAGGTGGCTTAAGAAAAATAATTTTAAAATACGAAGTCAGAAACATTTGCGCTCCCAGGGCTTTGAAAGTGACCTGTGCAAGTGAGGATCCATGAAGTATAAACTACGTAAGTTTTGCAGTAAATCTATAGGTGATTCCAAACCCTCTTTCTTGAGGATGAGAAGGGAGGCCAAAAAAGCAAAGAACGTTAACCCCGTTCTCACACTGAGCCAGAGGAAAAACTGAGAAGAACCTCTGGGTCTCCGGACTCTTCATATTATACACTTACCTCTCTGTGAGAGGTGACAACTGGCTAGCAGCTCTCACTCGCTCTCGGCGCCTCCTCGGCCTCGGCGTCCGCTCTGGCCGCGCTCCAGCAGCCCTTCAGCCCGCCGCTGCGCTGAGGGGGCCCCTCTCTGGGGCTGGCCGAGGCCGGAGCCAGCTCCCTCTGCTGGCGGGGAGGTGTGGAAGGCGAGGCGCCCGCCCGCCGAGGCTGCGCGCCCGGCGCTAGCGGGCCGGCGTGGGTTCCGGGTGAGCGCGGGCTTGGCGGGCCCCGCAGCCGGCAGGCGCCTGCTGGGCTTGATCGGGGGATGAGCTCCCTGTGGGCTGCCAGAGTGCCCGGGCTAGGTGCCACAAAGTCCCGCTGCGACTGCCATTGAGAAGCGAAGCCGGCTGGGCTTCTGGGTCCGGCGGGACTTAGAGAACTTTTCTGTCTAGCTAAAGGTTTGTAAAAGCGCGAATCAGCACTCTGTGTCTAGCTAAAGGTTTGTAAATGCACCAATCAGCACTCTGTGTCTAACTAAAGGTTTGTAAACGGACCAATCAGCACTCTGTCAAAACGGACCAGTCAGCTCTCTGTAAAATGGACCAATCAGCTCTTGGCAAAATGGACCAATCAGTAGGATGTGGGTGGGGCCAGAAAAGGCAATAAAAGCAGGCCACCCGAGCCAGCCAGGCAGCCGGCTCAGGTCACCTTCCAGGCTGTGGAAACTTTGTTCTTCTGCTCTTTGCAATAAATCTTGCTGCTGCTCACTCTTTGGATCTGCCCCTCCTTTAAGAGATGTAACAGTCACGGCGAAGGTCTACAGCTTGACTCCTGAAGCCAGCGAGACTACCAACCCACTGGCAGGAAAGAATAACTCCAGATGGGAGGAAGGAACAACTCCAGACGTGCCACCTTTATGAACTTTATGACTGAATAATATTCAATTGTATGTGTATGCCACATTTTCTTTATTCATTCATCCATCAATGGACATTAAGATTGCTTCAAGATTATGTTGTCTAATTTCGACTTTCCAGGTGTGCAGCTTCACTCCTGAAGCCAGTGAGGCCATGAACCTACCGGGGGGGAACGAACAATTCCAGACACGCCACCTTTAAGAACTGTAACACCACAAGGGTTCAAGAACCCACCAATTCCGGACACAATTATATATTCAATATTGAGTGTTATATACATGATTCATTTTCAACTTTCATATCAGGAATCATGTGGGCTCCCACAGGCTTCCTTTGAAGTGGAAAGATAGAAACTCTTCAAAGTAACCATTTGTTACTACTAAATATTAAATAGTAATTGGCTGTTAATCCAAAGGTGAAACAACAGCTTTTGGTCCATTTTGAAATGTTTAAATTATTTGCAGTTTGAAACATTAGTTTTATGCTAAACCATCACAACTAGTTTTTTGTATTGTAATTAATAGCAGCTAAATTTTAATTTAAATTGTGAGGGTTTAAATGTGTTAATTTAAATGTGTTTGGTGGAGATAGATTAGTGGTTTCTAAAATACTTTAAGTTCTCTATTATATTATTTCCAGGCATAAGAATAGAAATGTTATAAAGTTTTCAAAATATATGTGAGTGTTTTGTGGAATCAAGTATCCTACATGATAAACACCAAGCCATGCTGAAAATTAGAGTCGTTTTAGAATCAGGCCTTCTAACATGAAATTATTTATTTTACTATTTCTGAATAATGCTGTTCAACAAATTAAAATCAAACTGGTATATGCCAAGAATTAATCCAATACATCACTCACTCACGAATCAAGATGAAGTAAGCATTATGGGAACAAAAATAATAAAATATGAATTGCATTTTTATGAATCAACTCATTTATTTTTGTAACACCTTTGAGGAATGAAAAGCCTCCCAGAATACAAGGCAAACACAACATTACGAATGTAATTTATGAAAAAATAAAATTTTACAAGCTTTACTGGGACTTCAGTGTCCAAAAATATAGAATGTTTGATTTTGGAAGGTCATTTTGAAATCACAGCATGGTCTCAATGAAATGCAAATTATAGGTTTGCATGACCAAAATGAGTGAGACAAATTGTTACTAAAAAAACAGTCTACCAATAGCAGTTCCTCCCTCAGACCAGCTCCACCTTATCCTGAGTCACCAGATAATGATGAAATTTTCTGCTTTAAAGGTTTATATGTCAGACAAAGGACTATTTGCTAATGTTTATAGATACTTCATTCAAATCAATAACAAACTACTCAGTTGTTTTTTTAAAAAATAGGCAAATGATATGAACAGGCAATTAAAAACTACAAATAGCCAATAAATACATGAGAAGATTGTAAACATCAAAATTGAAGTGCAAATTCTAAAAAGTGACAATATTTTTAAAAATGTTTTAATGTGGTATAATACATGTAACATAAAATTTACTGTCTTAGTCATTTTTAAGTGTACAATTTGGTGGTATTATGTATAGCTATATTGTTGTGGAACTATCACCATTCATCTACAAAATTCTTTCTGTCTTGCAAACTGAAAATCCATACCCATTAAACACTCTGTGTTTCCCCCTCCTTGACAGACCCAGGCAACCATGATGTCTCTGTGAGTTTGACAACTTTTAAGTGCCTCATTTAAGTGGAGTCAAACAGTATTTGTCTTTTTGTGACTTTATTATTCAATGTAGCAATATGTCTTCAAAGTTCATTCATGGTATAGCATGTGTCCAAGTGTCCTTCCTGCACAATATTCCTATGTAAGTATACAACACATTTTATTTATCCATTCATCAGTTGCTTCCACATTTTAGCTATTGTGAATAATGCTGCTGTGAACATGGGTGTACACATATCTTTTTGAGAACTTGAGTTCAGTTATGTTGGCTGTATACCAAGAAGTGGAATTGCTGAATCATATGGTAGTTCTACTTTTCAGTTTTTGAGGAATTGCCATACTGTTTTCCACAGTGGCTGCACCATTTTTGCATTCCTACCGACAATGCACAAGGGTTCCAATTTCTCCACATACTTGCCAACACCTTTTCTTTTCTTTTTCTTCTTTGTTCTAATACTAGCCATCCTAATGGGTATGACGTGGTATCTCACTGTAGTTCTGATGTGCATTTTCCTAATTAATCATCATGCTCATTGTGTTAGTCTGTTCTCACACTGCTAATAAAGACATACCTGAAACTGGGTAATTTATAAAGGAAAGAGGTTTAATGGACTCACAGTTCCACATGGCTGGGAAGGCCTCACAATCATGGTAGAAGGCAAAGGAGACACAAAGGCACGTCTTACATGGCAGCAGTCAAAAGAGCATGTGCAGGAGAACTGCCCTTTATAAAACCATCAGATCCCATGAGACTTATTCACTATCAGCAGAACAGCATGGGAAAGCCCAGCCCCCATGATTTAATTACATCCCACCAGGTCCCTCCCACAACACATGGGAATTATGGGAGCTACAATTCAAGATGAGATTTGGGTAGGGACACAGACAACCATATCACTCACTGACTATTTGATTATCTTTTTTCGATAAAGATCTTTTCAAATCTTTTGCCCAATTTTGAATCAAGTTGTCAGGTTTTTTTGTTGTTGAACTTTAGGAGTGTTCTATATATACTAAATGTTAATCCTTTGTCAGATATAAAATTTGCAAATATTTTCTCCCATTTTCTGGGTTGTGTTTTGCTCTGTTGATAGTGTGTTTTGGTGCACAATTTTTAGAAAATTTAATAAAGTCTAATTTGTCTATTTTTGTTGTTGTTGCCTATGCCTTTGGTATCATAGCCAAGAAATCATTGACAAATTCAGTGTCATGAAGATTTTGCCCAATATCTTTGTCTAAAAATTTTATATTTTTAAGTGTTATATTTGGGTCATGGAACAATTTTGAATTGTTCCAATCAATTTTTATACAGTGTTAAAGATCCAACTTAGTCATCTACATGAGGATGTCCAGTTCTCCCAATAACATTTGTTGAAAAATTGTCCATTTCCACACTGAATGATCCTCACACTTTTGTTGACTATCATGCGACCATATATTTGAGGGTTGATTTCTGGGCTGTCTATTGCATTCCATTTGTATCCATTCCATATGTTTGTCTTTTTGACAGAGCCACACTGTTTTTACTACTGTAGCTTTGTAGTAAGTTTTGAAATCACGAAGTATGAATCCTCCAGCTTTGTTCTTTTGTATCAAGATTGTCTTGGTTATTCAGGGTTCTTGGACATTTCATATAAATTTTAGCATGGGTTTTTCTACTTCTGGAAAATATACCACTAGGATTTTGATAGAAATTCCATTTAATATGTAGATAGATCACTTTGGATAGTATAGATGTATTAACAATATTGTCTTCCAATCCATGAACATTGGATATTTTTGCATTTATTTATGTTTTCTTAAATTTCTTTCAACAATGTTTTGTAATTTTCAGTGTATATGTCTGTCACTTTCTTGTTTAAGTGTTTCCCTAAGTACTTTATTTTTTTGATAGTATTATAGATGAGATTTTTTTTTAAATTTCCTTTTGGATTATACATTATTAGTGTATAGAAACACAACTGATTTTTGTATGTCAATTTTGTATTCTGCAACTTTACTGAATTTATTATTTATAATGTTTTTCATGGAATCTTTAGGGTTTTCTACATATAAGATCATGTTATCTACAAACAGGTGATTTCACTTATTCATTTTATATTTGGATCCCTTTTGTTTCTTTTCATTGACTATTTGCTCTGCTAAGACTTCCAGTACTTTGTTGAATAGAAGTAGTGAGAGTAGGCATCCTTGTTTTGTTCTTAATGTTATAGAAAAAGCTTTCAGTCTTTCACTAACGAGAATAAAGTTGGTTTTCAGTTTTTTAATACATAATTTTTATTATGTAGAGGCAGTCTTAGTTTGTTAAATTTTGTTAAATGCTTTTCTCTGCATTAATAAAGATGATTATGTGAACTTATTCCTTCAGTCTGTTAATGTGGTATATTACATTGATTGATTTTCATATGTTAAATCATCTTTGCATCCCAGGTAGAAATCCCACTCGGTCATGGTGTATGATCATTTTAACATGCAATTAAATTTGATTTGCTAATATTGTCCTGAGGATTTCTGCATCAATGTTCATAGAGGATATTGACCTGCAATTTGCTTTTTTTTTTTTTTTTTTCAAATATTTTCTCTGCCCTTTTCTCTCACTTCTCCTTTGGGAGTCCTTCAGCATGTATGTTGGTGTATTTTATGGTGTCCCACAGGTCCCTTAGGCTGGGTTGCACTTTAACCTTTTTCCATTCTGTTCCTCAGACTTGATAATGTCCATTGATGTATTTTAAGTGTACAAGTTCTTTCTGCTGGCCCAAACCTGCATTTGAACCCCTCAAGTAAATTTTTATGTCATATATTATATTTTTCAGCTCATAATTTCATTTAGTTTCTTTTCTGTCTTCTACCTCTTTATTGATGTTCCCATTTCATTCACACATCATTTCTCTTTTATACTTTTTTTACATCTTCCTTTAGTTCTTTGATCATCTTTAAGAGAGTTATTTTAAAGCCTTTTTCTAGTAGATTCACTGACAGTTTTTGTTGTTGTTGCTCTTCCCTTTCAACTGAGCCGTATTTCCTATTTCTTTTTGTCTTGTAAATTTTTTTTGTTGAAAACTGGACATTTGAATCTAATAATGTGTTAATTCTAGGAATCAGATCCTCCCTTTTCCATGGAGTATATTAGGTTTTATTTCTGTTTTTGTTCTTCTGATTGTTGTAGGCTGCCTCTGTGCCAGGGATCAGACTGAGGTGCAAACCTAAGGTCTTTCCAGGTCTTCTCTTACCTGACACCCTTCTCTGGGCATATACAGTGAATTTCTAATTTCCCCTTTATATGTGGTTGCATTTGAATGTCGTAGTTCTTAATGTCTGGCTCCCAAAAGGGGAAGAGTTAGAAATAAAGGTTAGGCCGGGCGCGGTGGCTCACGCCTGTAATCCCAGCACTTTGGGAGGCCGAGGTGGGCGGATCACGAGGTCAGGAGATCGAGACCATCCCGGCTAAAAAAACGGTGAAACCCCGTCTCTACTAAAAATTACAAAAAATTAGCCGGGCGTGGTGGCGGGCGCCTGTAGTCCCAGCTACTTGGGAGGCTGAGGCAGGAGAATGGCGTGAACCCGGGAGGCGGAGCTTGCAATGAGCCGAGATCGCGCCACCGCACTCCAGCCTGGGCGACAGAGCCAGACTCCGTCTCAAAAAAAAAAAAAAAAAAAAAAAAAAAGAAATAAAGGTTAAAACAGGCCCCAGCCCTTTAAATACTTTGGAAGTCACTTCAACCAAATGGGGGAAGCTTGCAACATGGGGGGGAGATGCAAAAAGAATGATTTCCTGCCTATGATCAGAAGCAGCAACCAGCAATCAGAGCACAGATTCCCAATATTTAGAGGACAGACAGGGTTTAAAGGTTGTTGTTGTTGTTGTTGTTGTTGTTTTCCTTCTTTCTTTCTTTCTCTCTTTCTTACTCTACCCTGGCTTTTGCAAGCTGCTTGCCAGCAACTCCTGAAACACCTGCCCACAAGCCTGCCACGTGGCTAAGGGATTAGAATGGGTAGCTGTTACTGTGCAAAGAGCTAAAATACGACCAAAATCTTTCTTTAAAAATCTGTCACATGCTGGGGCCAACAAGAGTGAGGCTTCTTTTTTTTTTAAATGTGTATGGGCATGACAATTTGGATTGAAGGAATTGTGAGTGTGCAAATTGGAGTAAATTTCTAGAAAGCAATTTTATAGTATTTAACACATTATTTCACATACTCATTATTAATTCAGCTTGACTTTACCATGCAGACAAATCATAATATAAATACTCAAGTACGTATGTACAAAGATTTAAAAAAAAAAATGGAAGTAATCAAGGCCAGCTGGGTGTGGTGGTTCACCCCTGTAATCCCAGCACTTTGGGAGGCCGAGGCGGGCAGATCACCTGAGGTCGCGAGTTTGAGACAAGCCTAGCCAAGATGGTGAAAACCTGTCTCTACTAAAAACACAAAAATTAATTGGGCGTGGTGGCACATGCCTATAATCCCAAATACTCAGGAGGCTGAGGCAGGATAACCACTTGAACCCGGGAGACAGAGACGCAGTGAGCCAAGATTGTACCACTACACTCCAGACAGAGTGAGACTCTGTTTCCAAAAAAATAAAATAAAAATAAATAAGTAAGTAAATAAATAAATAAATAAATAAGTAATTTATGTTTCACATTGATGTATATTGAAAATAACCGATGGGATATTATAATACAGAAATAAATATATAATGAAAATGTAATTTCTAACAATAATATAAAGTGTTGCAGGGAGAATTAAAAGTAGTTTATGTATGCAATTGAACTTATGTTGTCATCAGCTTAAAAGAGATTGCTATAACTATATAAGATTTTATATAAGCCACATGATAACCACAAAGAAAATCTATAGCAGAAACACAAAAGAGAATGAGAAATGTATCAAAATATATCAATGCAAAAAAATTTTTAAAACACAGACAGCAATAGAGGAAAAGAAGGACAAAAGATCTATAAAGCCGCCAGAAAATACTTTTTAATGGCAATATTAATTTATTTGCTATTAATAATTACTCTAAATGGAAATAGATTAAATCCCCAAACAAAGGACAGAGTGGCTGAATAAATGAAAAAAAAAAAAAAAACCAGGATCCAATTATGTGAATCTATACTCACTTTACACTTAAGGATACACATAAACTGAAAGTGAAAGGGTAGAAAAGAATCTTCCATGTAACTGGTAACCAAAAGAGAGCTAGGCAGACATACTTATGTCAAACAAAATAGAATTTAAGTAAAAAACTGTTACAACAAACAAAGAAGGATATTATATAGTGACAAAAGTATGAATTTACCAGGAAGATATAGGAATTATTAGAATACATACATCCAACATTAGAGTACCTAAATATATGAAGTAAACATTGACAACTAAAAGAAGTACACAGCAACACAATCATAGTAGGAGACTTTAATACCCTATCATATAATGAATAAGACATCCAGACAGAAGATTAATAGGATACAGAAGACATGAACTACGCCTTAGGAAAAAAATGTTTATGACTAATACACAGAACAGTCTACCCAAAGCAGTAGAATGTATATTACTCTTTAAAGCACATGAAACATTTTCCAAGAAAGATCACAAAAAACAAGTCCTAATAAATTTTAAAAGATTGAAATCATACCAAGCATCTTTTCTGATCACAGTGGAATGAAACTAGAAATCGACAGCGAAAAGAAAGCTTGAAAATTCACAAACGTGGAAATTAGACAACATAATCTTGAAGCAATCTTAATGTCCATTGATGGATGAATGAATAAAGAAAATGTGGCATACACATACAATTGAATATTATTCAGTCATAAAAAGAGAAGAAAATTCTGTCAAATGCTACAGCATGGATGAACATTGAGGGCACTATGCTAAGTGAAATAAGTCAGTCACAGAAGGACAAATACTGCATGAATTCCATTTACACGACATATCTGAAGTAGTCAAGGTCATGAAAGCAGAGGTGGAATGGTGGTTGCCAAGTATGAAGGGAGGGGAAACGAGGAGCTGCTGTTCAATGGGCATAAAGTTTCAATTATACAAGCTCCAAAAGTTCTAGAGATGTGCTATTCAACATTGTGTTTATAGTTAACAATACCATAGTGTACATTTAAAAATTAGTTAAGAGGGCAGATTTCATATTATGTATTTTTTACCCCGATAAATAAAGGAATAATCAAAATTGAGTGTTTTAGTGGTTAGGTTTTTAAAAATTAGGTCATTTTGGGGGGCCGGGAGCAGTGGCTCATGACTGTAATCCTAGCACTGGGGGGGCCGAGGTGGGCAGATCACCTGAGGTCAGGGGTTCGAGGCCAGCCTGGCCAACATGGTGAAATCCCAACTCTTCTAAAAATACAATAATTAGCTGGACATGGCGCATGCCTGTAATCCCAGCTACTCCAGAGGCTGAGGCAGGAGAATTGCTTGAACCTGGGAGGTGGAGGTTGCAGTGAGCCAAGATTGCACCACTGCACTTCAGCCTGGGCAACAGAGTGGGACTTCATCTCAAAATAATAATAATAATAATAATAATAATGATAATAAATAATTAGGTCATTTTTATTATGGTCCATATTGCAATTGACTAAAAATCAAAGTAAAGCAGAAGAAAGGGATCTGAAAAACCAACAGTCTTTTTGTTAATATTAGTTTATGTTAACATATCGCATAGGGATTTCCTATTGATGGTTCTCTTGTTCACTTTTTGTTAACTGTAGCTTTTCACTGAGTTGTTCAAACGTCATAGATAAGAGTTTCAATTTGGAATCTTACTAAGGTAAAACTTGAATAGAAAACAAATTATTTCAGTGAATATTTATTCATTTGTAATTAGAACATTTCAATTTTCTCCCTCTCATGATGCTTGTGTGCATGTGGTCTAAATGTGTGGAGAAGTGACTGAACGGACTTCTGAAAGAGACAGAGTAACTCATTACCAACAGAGAATTCTAACTTTGGACTTAAACAAGAAATAAAAAGCCTTCACAGTTGTGAAGATTCAGAATTCAAAGATAATATTTGTCCAGAAAACTGAACTATACTTCACTTTGATGGGAATAGGAAATTTTAGATATAAATCTAAAAGGAAGAAATGAGTAATTGTAAGGCATTATTCATTCTGAAGTTCTGTCCTCTATGTCAAAGGAGCTCCTCCTAACTGAATCTGTGCATAACTCACTAGTGCTAGAACTTCATAGCTAATTAGAAATCAAACATTCAGGACAGACACTTTAGTTACCTATTAGGAATGACACTTTATATAAATCTCTCCCAATAATTAATTTGATATTTTACTGACCCACTGTTCAGAATTAGACTGCACAAGCAGCCCTACTTTACATCATCAGTGAGCTTTCATGCATATGATCTCTGTGTAGAGCAATATGAAAATTTACAATTCTATTTTAAAACTTTACCAACTGTTAATAGAGTTTGAGTATCAAAAGACATAAATCATTTCTGGGCAGAACAGACATTGTAAACCCTGCTAACTTCAGAAGACATAGGACTACTGAGCCAAATATCAAATAATGTGTTGTTTTTTTGAATTAAAAATGCATTTGAATCATTGAGGATTTTTGGCAACCTATAGTTAAGTTGAAGAGATAGGGTAAAAATTATTATTTGTACCAGTCAGTCAACATAATACAAGTTAGAATATTTTCTATTCCTTCTGAGGTGCCTCGGAGTTTGTCATGACCTCAAGGAGTTTCTTGTGAAGGAGTCACTGAGCTTCAGACCACTTGACTCTACCAACCTTGACCACAACTGATTGGACCAATGTGGGGACCTGACCTCAGGGACGTGTCCACAGATCAGTGGTCTTCAAGCTAAGCAGTAGAGTGACTTGAAAGCTTGGCCAAGAAGAACACCAGGTAAACTGGACGGTGACTAACAGACCCAGTAAGATCTTCCCTCTAGAGGAATCTGAACTGAGGTGCAAGCTGGAAAAACTACGAGACAGCTAAAAGTCATGCATTATTGATGTAGTAGCAATCACGAGATAGGAAACAGAGCACAAAAACATGTAGTAGTGGTATCCAAACACATGGAGAGTTGAGCAGAAAGAGTACCTGGGTTAGCAACAGGTTATAACAGGGAGAACTGAATGGCTACTTCAGAGGACAAATCCTTAAGGAGGTGATGAGTCACTGCAGGTGCTGGCAGACACCTTTCTTACTGAACAAAAACAGCATTGCATTTCTCTATGAAACTTTGCTCCATGGCTGCTGAAGTGCATTCCTCTCTTGTTTATCTTGTCACATATTCTTTCAAGACACCTCCATTCGGCAGACAGTAAACAAGAATACTTCCTTGCTCCTCGAAATCTGGAAAGATCTTAAAAATGCATTAAGTCACTACCATTTTTACTCCTTTTAACTAGTCGGTAATAGTTATAGAAATCCAGCACCTGGGCTAATGAAGAAAATAGTTTATAAATATTATCAGAATTTATTACCAAGATCATCAGATGTGTAGCTGCCCCTTGGGGTAGGGCGTAAACTTGCCCATTGACCACAGTCTCCACCACTTCACAATGTCCCCTGATATTGGGTTAGACTGCCAGGTACTATCTGTCATTACACTTATATACTTGGATGTTCTTAGCATTAAGAGGAAAATAAAATAGTATTGAACCTATGACTCTACCGAACTGTGGTAAAGTGAAAGATAGACTGAAAATCTCTAACTTTCTAAAAACAGGAAAGGGCATATCTTGGTAGAATGGAGAATATTTGTAGGAGATTTACGTGACATGATGTGTGTCTGGATCAAAGGAGCACAAGTCAAAATTTCATAAGGAATGATCCAGGCCACCTTCTCTCTTGGTCTGTAAGCATCTGGATTTTCAGCCCAGGTCTAGATACAGAATGCTTCATTGTTGAATAAAATAATGCCTTTTTACAGAGTTCTTTTTCCTGGTGGCTGTTAGCTGTTTAAAGTTGTGCTGAGAGTTTTTGAGGAAAGAAAAGGAGTTTAACTATGATGCCAGTCCAGAACGAGCGAATAATCTATTTGGGAAGATAAAATGCAAATATAAAAATCAGAAATATTCTCAA
Organism: Homo sapiens; assembly: GCF_000001405.40. Lineage (NCBI taxonomy): Eukaryota > Metazoa > Chordata > Mammalia > Primates > Hominidae > Homo > Homo sapiens. Next base: position 524,677 of record NC_000003.12, on the reverse strand, counting down.
TTTTGTTATTACTGTTAATAAGTAGCAAAAGCCATCATTTATTGAGCAACAACTATGTTGGAAAGCCACTTACATACATAAGACGGCATTCTTAATTCAATTCTTGTTATGTGGGCATTGTTGCCCAGATTTTAAGAATGAAGAATCTAGGATCAGAGAGGTTAAATGGCTTGCCAAATTAAAAAAATATTATTCAATGTTAGAAGATGAAATTTGAACAGTCTGTTTGGATCCAAATTCCATGCTATATCTAATGTACCATTCTCTATACTTAAAATGTGTTTTTCTGGAAAAAATTATCCATTGATATTTATATCTTTTGATATCACAAGAATTTTTGGCCTCTCATCAAGATGAAATATATTAGGAAATGAGATAGAATGTTAGAATTAAATTGTTGTGAGACCACCAAATTCCCATTGCTATGGAAATCATTTTGGGCAATGCAAATATTTTAACTGGCTAACACTCAAGGTTTTCCAGATTAAATTCTTTTCTTTCTCTCCATAGAATAGTAGTTATTTACCTTTGTATGGCTCATTCATAGTAAATCTCTTAATTTCCTTGGTGATGTTTATTTAAATAATTGGTCTCCTTAAATGAAAGCACAATTATAGCAAGACAATTCTTCTTCCATAAAACACACATTCACACGATTAAAAACCTAATTTAAGCTTCTATTACTGTATTATTAAAGAAAATCTTCATGTCACATTTATGTTTGAAATCATCTAACTGTTTGATTTCACAATGCTTTCTCTCTTTATAAAGGGTCTTATTTTCTAGAAATTATATTTTAGATTTGCAAGGCACTGTTTTTGATAACCAAAGCTAGTAGTAATTAATATAATTCTTGGTCATTAAGAGAATAACTTGATTTTATTTGACCATAGTCAGAGATATTATTTACTGAATGCCTATGACAGAGATGTATCTGAGTTATCCTAACCAGAATTCTATGTTGCAGATATTCTCATTTTGCAGACAAGGTACTTAAACCAAACCATTTTGCAGACCAGCCAAACAAGAAGTGATGTAGCCTGAATTCACTCAGATCTGACTTCCTCAAGGATAAACTACTAAATTACACCACCTTCCACCTCAAAGATTAAGTAATAAAATGGATTTGATCACAAATGGATGAAACCTTCTTCATGTTGACTGGGTGTTTAGCTAGATGAGCAAGAGATGTTATCCAGTGTACCTTCATTACTGACTAACCTACATCTAGGAGTGCTCTAACATACTGGGCAGGTTCAGAAATCCAGTCTCACCATCTTAAAATTCTTAATAATTTTTTAATAAAGGATCCCATATTTCCAATTTGCACTGGGCTCTGTAAATTACACAGCTGGACCTGCCATGAGCCCTGGTGTGTGGTGCTGAATGTACTCAGATGTCATACCTTTTTCTCTTTTGTAAAACCATGCCGTGTGAACTAACAATAATCTGGTTCTGTATGTAGGAACAAAAATAAAGAGCACCTAGTAGAAATAAAAAGGATATGGTCAAAAGAAAGAAACTATTTTTAGAAAGAAGATACTGGCAGATGTTTATTGTTCAGACTAGCCGTTAACAGATGTCCTGGGCTCCACCAAAGTTACTAAAATAAATGTTAACTCGTGTCCTTAAATGGTGTATGCTAAATATGCATACCCTTTTCCACCACTCCGATTGCCTACCACCACATCACTAAATTACTGCACAAAATATCCAATTTATTTTGCCTTAGGGGTCCTAGGCCTAAGCAAAAAAATAAATAGGTCCTTACTTGTTATAATTTGTAACTTGGCTGTGGGAGGAAAGTGAATGCAAGTCTTTTAACTGCAGTATTATACTCTACCATCAAATTTCCCATTCAAAACTGACACAGATGAAATCTCAAGATACTCAGACTTTATTTATTTTTAACATGACGTCTAGGTTGCTGAGGTCTCTCAACTTTCCTCCAAAGAAATTTGGTACTTACAACATTGTTGGCTTTTAATATCACCAGGGAGATATAAAGCCCTGCAGAAAACTGTTTTCTGTCAAAATTACAATGGACCTGCATATTTTAGCAATTTCAGCAACATTACGTAGTCTGATCAGGCCAGTCATTGACCAGTTGCTCACCCCTATCAATTGCGTTAGCATTTAACTTGTCACTTTAAATTACAAAGGTAACAAAAGTTTAAGAAGGTTACAAAAAATTTAATCCCCCACTAAAGAAAAAGAGAATATTACTGAATTACATAGATAAATTATCTTCCTCCTCTGTCCAATTTTGGTGATAATGTATTGGGGGTTTTCTTCTCAATACTTTGCTTTTATGAGGCTTAAAAGATGTAAGATCTTAGAACTGGTAAAAATCAATATGAATTTCCATTGCAGTGTCTGTCAAAGTAAAGGAAAAGTTAGTAAATAGCTGTGAGGTTTTCCTGGTTCAAGGAAAAGCAAGTGAGTGGCATGCGTCATAGCAGCAACTAAGATGTCTCATTTTCTGGCTGCAGTGTCCCACATTGCCTTCCAGTGACAAGACCAATGGAGAAATCAAGCAGGAGAGAGTACCAGAAATCCTTTCCTTCATCCCATCTAGATGCCACTCTGATGGACACCCATGTATAAATTTATAAGTAGGCAGAGGTTTGCTAAGTTCAAGAATAAAACCACAATCACTTAGATATACCAGATTCTTCCGTTTCTCTTAGGACCTGGGAAGAAGACCTTCACCTGCCAATTGTTTGAAAAGCAGTTTTCTAGTTTAGCAGAATATTTTAGTATATTTCTCTCCCCAAATCTCTTCTACTTTGAGTGGTATTCTGACCAATCTCAATCCACCGGTCAATCATACACTCAATTAATTTTTTAAAAGCTGCTTTATTGACATTTTCTCTCCTTGAATGAAATGGTTATTTGTCAAATGCATACAAAATCACTGGGTTTGTTGACCTGTAATTCTGTGGTGTTTAGAAAGTTCTTCGCTAAGCTTGTACCTGTATGAACACACTGCTCCACAGAGATAAATAATACACTGTTGGATTAAGTGTTTCAAGTGCACAGGACGGTGTGAATAAAACACACAATGTGAAAACATGAACTCATGCATATGTAATTGAGCGGTAGATAGAGACATAAATGCTAGCAGGAATATGTTAGCAGAAAAATAAATTGCTGTGTTCAAGACAAGAATATATTATCATGGAGACACATTAGCAGTGTCTGATTACCGAATATCTTTTTACTTTGCAAAGAAGAATTACCTCAAGGTATCAGCTCGGATTTATATATGCTAGCTCATTGTTCCATAGTCTGCAGAGCTGCCTGCCTCTCCATATGATCTCAACAACACAAAATTACCAAAGCAAAAAAGCTCTCAAAAGTTGTTTGTTTTGTAGTATGTTCCCAAGCCAAGTTATGTAAAATAATCACTAACACTCTCAGGCAATAAACCTCATTGTCACCTGCTTAGGTCCCCAGTGAGCAATTCATAGTGTTGCTAGCAACATGTAAACACATTTTCCACTGACAAGAATTGTTGAGAGACCATGCTGACGCTCTCACAAACTTATTGTTCTAAGACAAAGAAAGATTACTCTAAAATTAAAGAGCCCACTTTATTAAAAAAATGTGATGAGAATTGTCAGACTTCTGTAGATTGAAACATCCCAGTGGTACTCAGAAGACTGCTCTATCCTACGACTTGTGTTTATTGTCTTACAGACTGAAGGACGCAATAGAAATATAGAAAAGTTACAGCAAAACAACAAAGTGCAAACATAATTTTTTAACTGCAAATTTTTCTTTAGAGATTAGAGAGTCTTTTTCAAATTCAGTATATTACAGTGAGAAAATACAATACTCAAGTTAGTGAAACCTAATTCTTAGGAGAGGACCCAGAAAAAAGCGTGGAAAATACATACTTTCTTTTTTAATAAGTTTGTATACATACAAGAATGACAGAGAAGCGGAAGATATATTAGATACCATCATATAAATGTCCTCATAACATAAAAATCAAACTTAAATGAAATAATGAATATGCACATTCATGTGTGGGCACACACACATAAACACACACACAAAAATCTTAAAGTCACTTTCTATCTGGCACTTGGTATTGGAAGAATATAAGGTAATACAATAGTATCTGTCGTAAAAAAAGTTCACAATCCAGTACGGTAATTCACACTTATATTTCAAATGGAGTGACATTTCTTTACTTAGAGCATGTTTAATTCCCCCAAAGTTTAAAAGTTGCTCACAAAAATATACAAAAAAATTAAACTGAAGATAAGTAGAAAAACTAAGACCAATATAATGTAAGGTCACATAAAATAAAGCCACAAATCAGTTTGGTCCAAAATATTCATTATATATATATATAATATATATAATATATATATTATATATATAAAATATATATAATATATATTATATATATATAATATATATTATATATATTATATATATATAATATATAAAATATATATAATATATTATATATAATATATTATAAATATATATAATATATAATATATAATATATATAAAATATATATAATATATTATATATAATATATAATATATAATATATTATATTAAATATATATAATATATAATATATATAATATATAATATATATTATATATAATATATATAATATATAATATATATTATATATATAATATATAATATATATTATATATAATATATAATTTATATATAATATATTATATATAATATATTATATATAATTATATATATATATATGGAAGAGAGCATGGATATTAGAGACCATTAAAAATAATACCTGGCTGGGCACAGTGGCTCATGCTTGTAATCCTAGCATTTTGGAAAGAGGAGGTGAGTGTGTCACTTGAGTCCAGGAGTTCCAGACCAGCCTGGGCACCATGGTGAAACCCTGTCTCTTCTGAAAATACAAAAATAGCCAGGCCTGGTGGCACATGCTGTAGTCCCTGCTAACTGGGGGGCTGAGGTGGGAGGATGGCTTGAGCCCAGGAAGCCGAGGCTGAGGCTCCAGTGGGCTGTGATTGGCCCACTGTACTCCAGCTTGGTGATAAAGTGAGACTTGGTCAAACAAAAAAGAAAAAGAAAGAAAGAAAGAAACTAAAAATCATGCCTATCTTGTAATATTGTAAGATAATTGTAAGATAATGCATGCAAGCTATCTATATAGAGTCCAGTACATAGTAGGTACTCGACAAATCTTAGCATTCTCCCTATGCCACCATTAACTGGCCTTAAAGTCCTGATTCAAGAACCATTAAAGATTAGTAGTTTAAAACTAACAGTGTTATACATTTTTATTTGCCTATCACACAATTTGAGCTTTCTCAAATTGTGTGATAAGCAAATACAGTCCAAAGTACATGATCCTTAATTTCCCTGATGGGAAAGCTCTTGAAACTTTCTAGCACAGACAGATCTCATCTTCTGGCAGTCAACATCTGGTGATTCACATCTTATAGCACAGGCAAATTACAGTCATGTTAACATGCGCAGTAATTATAACAGTGAGCCAGGACATAAATGAACTTACGCTATTCATGGACTCTAGGAAAGACAGATTTTCTTTTGCGGGTAGCAAAAACCCTAAAAGTGAAGATATAAAAATATATTGTGCAATGGAATCAACATTTGAGTGAATGTGAAATCTTGCAAGAGGACAGCTTTAAGGAACAACACATATGTAGACATGCTATTTGTGCCATTCTTTGACTATTTAATTCTCAGACGCATTCCCCACACTTTTGAAAAGCAGAAGGGAGAAGTCAGGGTCCTTCTTTCCCACTTTGCTGTGCCTTGGGCATGTTTACAGGCAACGTCTGCACCCCTGGGTGGTTGCAACTCCCATCAAGCAGCAACTGAACAGCTCTCTGGGGTCTGATACAATCCATTTCTTCTATCTCTCCAGCCCTAGGGATGGGAGCTGAGTCTGCTGTTGCTAACTTCTGTGTTGCTTCCTCATTCTCTTTTTGACTTTGTAAGCTTTTATGTTGCTTGTGTCATCAAATCCATGTATTGAATTATCTGCTTGAAATGCTTAGAATAGTTTCTGTATCCTGTCTGAATTCTGACCGACACATGACTCCGATATGTTTGTTTCTGTAATATCAATTATGTTAATCGGTAGTCATGAAGTATATTTACATTTTAATGCACTAGAAGATGATTCACTGATGAGATTTGGGATCCACTATTATATTATTTTTAAAATACAGTTTTGCGTCACTTAATGATGGGGATGCATTCTGAGAAATGGATCCTTAGCTTATTTCAGCATTGTACAAACGTTATAGAGTGTACTTAGGCAAACCTAGATGGTGTAGCCTACTATACACCTAAGCTAGATGGTGTAGCCTATTGCTCCTACGCTGTCAACCTGTAGAGCACGTTACTGAGCTAACTACTGTAGGTCAGTGTAACACAGGGACTACATTATGTATCTCAACGTATCTAAACGTAAAAAGGTACACTAAAATATGGTATAAAAGATTAAAAATGGTACACCGTATAGGGCACTTACCATTCAATAGAACTTGCAGGACTGGAAGTTGCTCTGGGTGAGTCAGTGAGTGAGTGGTAAGTGAATGTGAGGGCCTAGGACATTACTGTACACTACTTCAGACTTTATAAACACTGTACACGTAGGCTACTTTACATTTATACAAAATATTGGCCAGGCGCAGTGGTTCATGCCAGTAATCCTAGCACTTTGGGAGGCCGAGATGGGCGGATTGCCTGAGCTCAAGAGTTCGAGACCAGCCTGAGCAACATGGTGAAACCCCGTCTCTACTAAAATACAAAAATTAGCCGGGCCTGGCAACATGCGCCTGTAATCCCAGCTATTCAGGAGGCTGAGACAGCAGAATCATTTGAACTCCAGAGGCTGAGGTTGCAGCGAGCCAAGATCGCGCCACTGCACTCTAGCCTGGGCGACAGAGCAAGACTTCCTCTCAAAAAAATAAAAAAAAATTCTCTGTAATAATAAACTAACCTTTGCTCACTGTAACATTTTTACTTTATAAGTTTTTTAACTTTTTTATTCTTATAATAACATTTAGCTTAAAACATAAATATATTGTGCAGCTGTACAAAAAATTATATTTCTTTATATCCTTATTCTATAAGCATTTTTCTACTTTTTTCTTTCTAAACTTTTTTATTAAAAGCTAAGACACAAACACACACATTAGCTGAGGCCCACAGAAGGTCAGGATCATCAATATCACTGTCTTCCACCTCCACATTTTGCCCCACTGGAAGGTCTCCCGGGGCAATAACATACATGGAGCTATCATCCACTATGATGGCAATGCTTTCTTCTAGAATACCTCCTGAAGTGCCTGTCTAAGCCTGTTTTACGGTTAACTTTTTTACATAAGTAGAAGCAATATACTCCAAAATAATGATAAAAAATGGAGTATCATAAATACACGAACCAGTAACACAGGTGTTTATAATCATTCTCTGGTAGTATGTACTAATTCCATGTGCTAGACTTTTATAGGACTGTCAGTACAGTAGGTTTGTTCATGCCAGCATCACCACAAAGATGCGAGTAATGTTTTGTGCTACGACAACTACAACGTCACTAAGTGATAGGAATTTTTAGCTCCATTATAATCTTATGAAACCACTGTTGTACCTGTGGTCCATCATTGACCTGAATACTGTTATGTGACACATGACTGTAAAGTCTTTTATAGAAAGAATAATTTTTGGATTCTGGAGTTAAGACAAAATTCAGTCCAGTGCTTCTAAATCTGACCACTATTCAAGCCTAAAATTTTACTCTCATAAAAAATCAAGGATTTAAAACTTTGAAGCAAATATGTGTCAGTTTGCACACTTTCAAAGCAGCTATATATCCACTCATGGTACATGGTGTATAGCTGCTATTCTTGATAAATTACTAGGCTTAAAAAGCAAAAACATTTGCTTACAATTTAGCAGAAGGACCAAGAAATTGACCTTTAATGCAGATAACTTGGTCCATAAAAACTAATAGTAAGAACAAAAAGATCAAGAAAGACATTTATAAGTCAAAAAACTATTAGGGAATTCTTATTATGCCATCGTTACCTAAAGTCATGCTAGTGACAGATTTCTGCAAGGAGTGTAGTCCTTCTGACTTCCAGGATACCACTGGTTTTGCCTTTTTTATGCCGTGTTACATTAATAAAGGGATATGAGTTATGAAGAGCATAATAATTTTACAGGGCACCCTGGGATGCAGGACTGTATCAAGTGCAATTTTGTATCATTGGTGACTCTGTGGCATAGCTTCACCAATCTACATCCCTTCTGAAGGCTTTCTGTTGTACAGTTATATCACCTGCATTTGATTAAAGCTGGTGCTATTCTTATTTCATTATGTGGCCTGGAACGTGGATGTGGAAAATCATATTTGACTTAATTTCATTTTAACTTAATGATACCATTTCAAATAAGCCGATATACCTTAAGAGATAAATCTATCTGAATGACATCACTTTAAATCCCAATGTATTTTTCAAATCCCAAGACTCAAAAAAAAAATAGGAGACTGATGTAAACATTAATCTCTTTGGGAAATAGTCACCTATTTCCTTTTCTTCCTCCCTCCCTTTTTTTATCTCCCTCCCTCCTTTCCTCTCACTCATTCTTTCCTCTCTCCCTTTCCTTCCTCTCTCTTCTCCTTCCCTTCTTCCTTCTCTACTCTCCCTCCCTGGATAGGAAGGCAGTAGAAGGAATGTGAATAATCTGCACTTTTCCCCACAGGCTTCTCTGGTGATTTTTCTGCTCTCTAATGTTTGAGAATCATTATTTTAGAGTAAAATTATTGTATTATCACCTATTTCCTTGAGGGTAACATCAAAGGCCAAAAAATGCCTGTTTTTAGTTCTTTGATATTTAGGAAATTGCTTTTCTCTGCTCTTAAAAATTTATCATTAATGGCCGGGCGCAGTGGCTCATGCCTGTAATCCCAGCACTTTGGGAGTCCGAGGCAGGCGGATCACCTGAGGTCAGGAGTTTGAGACCAGCCTGGCCAACATGGTGAAACCCCATCTCTACTAAAAAATACAAAAATTAGCCAGGAGTGGTGGCAAGCGAGGTAATCCAAGCTATTTGGGAGGCAGAGGCAGGAGAATCATTTGAACTTGGGAGGCGGAGGTTGCAGTCAGCCAAGATTAAGCCATTGCACTCAAACCTGGGGGATAAGAGCGAGACTTCTCTCAAAAAAAAAACAAACCATTAATTTAAATCTCTTATTTAGGTAAATTTAATAGCAAACTTCAGCTAGACAATTAAAAGTACATCTTACTATTTTGTAAAGTAAATGCTTAGGCCATACCTACTTGAATTCTGTGACTCAATGAAAGATCCCAATCGTTGAAATTTATATTCAGTGTTGTTCAATGAATTACCAGTGACTTCATATCTGGAAAATCTTATGTTATTTTTTATTCCAGTCACATGATGTTTAGAAACATCAGTGATCCTCAGCAGACTATATTTAAGAAGATAATAAATGTAAAAATAGCAAGTGTTATTGTTGTGTATCGGCAGTGTCTACTGCAATTTTTGAATACAGATTACGTGCTAAATATTACTTGAATCCTCATAATAAACCCATGGTAGATATTATTGTCTACAGTTTCAGATGAGAAAATAAAATGTATAAAATATGAATAACTCTACTAATATCCCAAATTTAGCAAGTAGTTCAGTTTGATTTTGAGTTCAGTACTCCCTTTTCAATAACTTTTTATTTTATCCTGTGAAACTTTCCAACAATGATTATAGACTAGCATGCTATGGTTACTGACAGAGTTAGTCTACATGAAATGCATCTGTTTCTGAAGATGGTGGTAAATATGCAAATAGATAAGGCTTTTATTTTATTATATATGCCAATTTATTCACTCAGCAAATATTGCCTGAGATCCTAATTTGTGCCCAAGGAAGCCAAAAAATACCAAGTGTGAGCTTTGTGTTGGATGTTTTCCAATGAATTTGCAGTCATTCTGAGTGTATGTTTGGTTAGACTTGTGCATAATGGCATGCATTTGTTAAGGAAGAACTAGTGCTGATGATACAAGACAGCAAGCGTGATATGGTCATAGGCAATGGTGCACTGGTAAATGCTCAACAATGAGGAGCATTATTGCTCCCTTCCAGGAGGAGAGGTGAGAAAGGGAGCCCTAATTTGTAGCATTTACTTACTCCTGTAGAGCAAATAACTCCTACTATGCCTTTTTTTCCCAGTCAACAAGGTGACATCATTAACAAGGAATTGGGATGAGACACCAGTAATATACAAGCCAGCTCTGATGCACTACTGAATAGTAACTGACCTAGCCTTTGTGTTTGTCATTTCTGCGAGGGGACTTGAGAGAATAAAAGGCTTGGTATGTCCAAGTATTATACTTTATAAATTGCAATACTGTTTTGATCATTTCATTACTGCTCAGAAACTAAATAAACATGTCACTTTATAAAGAGTCTGTGTAAGAAAAGTGTCCATTATTCCACCAGGAAAAATCTCAGCACTTTGTTTCTATTATCTTTGACACTTAGCTCTGGGCCCAGATTTTTTTCTTTCTTTTTTCTTTTAGAATAAAATACAGCTGGGTTTATGGTAGCTGGCAAAAAGGGAGGGGAGGTGAAGTATAAATGTGAAGTAGCCATCAGTATAATCAGTGCTAACAAATATTAATTCAGACAGAGTGTGATTAATACGGTTTAAATGAACTAGTTCCTACCAGTTACAAATGTATTACAAGTAGGAGGTGGAGAGTGATAATTGAGACTAAATACATAACATATTAAACTGTGCAAAATTGTAGAAACTACTCACAAATATAAAACTTTAGGCCAAGTGTAACTTTAATATAAAAAGAAAAATCAGTAGTCCTTGTATTAGTTGAAAACAACAGTAAAAAGTGTAAGAGGGAGTCTTCCATGCAGAACTCAAGATAGGAGCCTTTCATTTCTTTGTTACCAAGAGGACTCCTGTTCAAGCCTCCAGCATTTCAATCGAAGCTACCTCCTAAATGATGATCTAGATTCCTATACTTTTGGGTCTATGGGGAGTCCAACTCTAACCCAGTTAGATAAAAATAGTCACAGGCCCCACGTGCTTTCACAGGCCCCATGTGATTGCAAAATAGAGTGTACATTAGTCACTTCAAGGGCCTTCAGGGGACTCACCAGTTTGCCTGCCTTGCATTTCTCTCTTGAAAGGTTGGGTGTGGAATGAAAAAAAGAAAAAAAAGTGAGTGTCAGGTACCAACTGGACTTCTCTAACTTTGGCCTGCCAGGGTGCTATTTTTCCAAGAAATATCATCAAGTTGGAAAGTAATACTCAGAGGCATCCAGTGGGAAAAAAATTACAGTGAGAGAGGGGAATGGTAAACAACGACTGTGGTCACACTCTGGCACACATGATAAGCGGACTCAAACTTTCTTTTCATTTTCTATCCTTTTGGATAAGTTAATTTTTGTGCTGTCACAGGACAGTAGGTTGTACTAGCAGACTGGCATTGTCTGTACTAAAACTCATCCTCTCTGTCAGTGGAGGCAAAAATAGAAAACCTGTGCTTGTTGACAAGCACTAGGATTCCATGTAAATTATTTCACCCTTTTGATGGTAGTTCTGTGCTACTGTGTCTAAGGGCAGTGTCCTCAAGATGAGCCTTCTTATGCTGTTTGTAAAGGTTTCCTTATTTAGTGCTTATTCATTGTTATTCAACATAATCAGAAGCTTACAATAAACTCGATACACATACACTCTGAAGGATGGCTATAATTTCTGGATCCACAACTGACTATTTCTGTGATCTTGAACAAGATAGCCAAAAGCTTGCAGAGCCTCTGTTTTCTGATGTGCAAAATGGGATTAACAACACATACTATACAGTTCATCAAATTTTTAATACATTCAATGAGATAATAAAATTGAATGCTTACTAAATTTGCTAGCATAATATCAGTGCTTAGTAAGGCCTACAACTTATTTAAAAATCATATAGAGAACTTGAAATATATTTTAAAATAAGATGAAATGATTAGCCTTTCTCTTCAATGATGGTCACACGCCCAAAGACAGATGTATATGTACATATTCTGCTTATGGACTATACAGGAAAGAGACAGTTGTTTTGTGATTTGTTTTTTCCCACCTGCTAATCTGAATTATGTTCTTCATAGAGGGACTCAATAAATATTTCTTGAAAGAATTTGTTCGTGTTAAAAGAACTTCTTAGTTATTTTTGTGGAAAAATAAGAATGTAGTAAAATTCCCCTTGGATTTAATTATCAGAAGAATTTTTGCTTCATCAAGCTGTAAAGGGCTTAGGAGTCTAGAGTTAATTTGGTGCAGTACAAAGATGCATTGGGAAGTTCTGTGTAATCAGAGTCCAGTTCACATAATGCTAAGACTAATATTTCACCTAGAATTCCTTATAAATATGTCCAATTTTAATAAAATGTAGGTAATTACATATATACTTTAATTCATTGTAATTAAATGATTGATAAAGATTAGTTCCCCTTCAATGCTACAAACAGTCATGTAGCACAATATTAACTTAAATTCTAAAAAAAAGATGTCCTTACAATGACTTCCAGATTTGAAATAACAGCATACTCAGATATTCATGCACAACTGCTAATGCAGTTGGTGATTTTTCTGAATTTAATACCAATTAGTATCAAGAGATAATATGATATTGCCAATGAAATAAACCCTAAAATTTTCTAGCCAACTGGTGTGCTCTGAATAATATCAATGTTATATGAAAACACCAACAAACATAAGAATCAATACATCTGGTAGCTTTGTAGATCTCTAAAATACATTTAATTTAGAAATCATACTTTTTCTGCAAAAAAAGCCCATAACATAAAACTAAATGATGCCCCATACTTCTGCATTATTGCTTTAAAAAAACGTTTACTATATTTTTAAATGTCAATTTCATCAAAGTATAGGTTTAAAGCCATTCTCATTTGATTACCAATTCCTGTGATTTAGCACAGCAAATTAGTCATTAATATCTGTGGCATGAAAAAAACTATGCAGCTTAAGTGGAAAACATAACACGACATTTTATCAAGGTTAGGTTTATTATATTTCATAATTTCAAAACAACATAAAAAATGTGTCATGTGTTGCAAAGCCTCTTTAACTTTAATGTGCTTCAGAACACTTGGGGGTTTATTTCAAATACAGATTCTTATTCAGCTGTCAGGGATGAGACTGAGATCTATACTTTAACCAGTCCCAAAATGTTGCAAATGATGTGACTGTTGCTGATCTCCGGAGCACACCTCAAGTAACGAGGATCTAAGAGTCCAGGGCAAACAATTATAAGTTTAAAATGCTGCAATTTTATGTTCTATAAATATAAATACAGGATTGATATTAACACACAAGAAAAAAATGTCCCTTGATGTGAAAGTCAAACTATGAGATTTACAGTACATATCAACTTAATTAGATTATCTAATCATCCATGCACTCATTAGCCAAAATATGACCGATTGTATATTATGGGCCAGAATCTTCAATAATTTTTACCCTCCTCCCCTGATTATTGTGACACTTTAGAAAAATGGAATAATGTTAAAAATCCAGAAGTTCTTCTGGATAGTAGATCTCAGAAATAAGTTTTATCCCAGGATCAAAGCAGAAAAAATCACAAGAGTCATTCTAAAGGAAAATTTTTATAAAGACGTAAGTGGATACAAGTCATTGCTTTAATATCATTGCCAGTTTCCTCCAAAATCCGTCTCCACTTATTGATATTTCAAGTCACATCACATTATGAATATTTAAAAAATGTCTTGTGCCTTATTGAGTCTTCTATTGTCTCTCTATCATCCCCAAAAGAATAAAAGTCTCAATTTAGTAATTTGAACTCTAAATGTCAAGATTTCCAGCCAGTGTGAGAAATTACTTCTCATAATATGTGTGTGTGTGTGTGTGTGTGTGCGTGCATGCATCTGTATGTGTGCATGTGTGTGTGTGGTGTGTGCTCCCCATCTATGGAGAAAACATTATTTGATAGGAAGGGAAAACAAATTATATGTAAACAAATAATGTCTGTGTTCTTTAGAATTCTTTTGGCTGCAAATGATGAAAACTCAACTGAGTTTAGGTTAAGCAAGAAGGACTCTCTCTAATGAAGTCATTGGGTGTCTCAGGATCTGAGGAATGGAATAAGGGATTGTAGTGCTAGCAGTAGAGAACATTGAAAATAATCTGTGTATTTTTAAATTTTTTGCTTTCTGCACACAAGATTAGTTCTTTTTCTTACTGCATAGTGTTTTCACTGCTGCCTAGTTGAGAGACTAAGGGATGGCCACAGGTTTCAGCTGCTAAATTTGTATCTGATATCTTTAAGGTAGCACTAAACATGGAAAGGAACAACTGGTACCAGCCACTGCAAAAACATGCCAAATTGTAAAGATCATTGATGCTAGGAAGAAACTGCATCAACTAACGAGCAAAATAACCAGCTAACATCACAATGACAGGATCAAATTCACACATAACAATATTAACCTTAAATGTAAATGGGCTAAATGCTCCAATTAAGACACAGATCTGGCAAATTGGATAAAGAGTCAAGACCCATCAGTGTGCTGTATTCAGAAAACCCATCTTACATACAAAGACACACATAGGCTCAAAATAAAGGGATGGAGGAAAATTTACAAAGCAAAGGGAAAACAGAAAAAGCAGGGGTTGCAATTTGAGTCTCAGAAACAGACTTTAAATCAACAACGATCAAAAAAGACAAAGAAGGGCATTACATAATGATAAAGGGATGAACTAACAAGAAAAGCTAACTATCCTAAATATATACGCACCTAATACAGGAGCACCCAGATTCATAAAACAAGTTCTCAGATATCTACAAAGAGACTTAGACTCCCACATAATAATAATGGGAGACTTTAACACCCCACTGTCAATATTAGACAGATTAATGAGACAGAAAATTAACAAGTATATTCTGGATTTGAACTCAGCTCTGGATCAAGTGGACTTAATAGATACCTACAGAACTCTCCACCCCAAATCAACAGAATATACATTCTTCTCAGTACTGCATGGCATCTGTTTTAAAATTGGCCACATAATTGGAAGTAAAATACTCCTCAGGAAATGCAAAATAACTGAAATCATAACCAAGAGTCTCTCCTACCACAGTGAAATCAAATTAGAACTCGAGATGAACAAACTCACTCAAAACCACACAACTATGTGGAAATTGAACAACCTGCTCCTGAATGACTCCTGAGTAAATAATGAAATTAAGACAGAAATGAAGAAGTTCTTTGAACCAATGAGAACAAAGAGACAATGTACCAGAATCTCTGACACACAGCTAAAGCAGTGTTAAGAGGGAAATTTATAGCACTAAATGTCTGCATCAGAAAGCTAGAAAGATCTCAAATCAACCCTACCTTCACAATTAGAAGAACAAGAGAAGCAAGAGCAAACAGATCCAAAAGCTAGCAGAAGAGAAGAAATAACTAAGATCAGAGTGGAACTGAAGGAGATAGAGACATGAAAAACATGTCAAAAATCAATGAATGCAGGAGCTGGTATTTTTTTTAAAATTAACAAAATAGTCTGCTAGCTAGAGGAATAAAGAAGAAAAAAGAGAAGAATCAAATAGACACAATAAAAAATGATAAAGGGGATGTCACCACTGACCACACAGAAATACAAACTACCATCAGAGAATACTATGAACACCTCCATGCAAACAAACTAGAAAATCTAGAAGAGATAGATACATTTCTGGACACATACACTTTCCCAAGTCTAAACCAGGAAGAAACTGAATCCCTGAGTAGACAAATAACAAGTTCTGAAATTGAGGCAGTAATTAATAGCTTACCGAACAAAAAAAGCCCAGTGCCAGACTGATTCACTACTGAATTCTACTAGGGGTAGAAAGTGCAGCTGGTACCATTCATTCTAAAACTATTCCAAACAACTGAAAAAGAGGAACTCCTCCCTAACTCATTTTATGAGGTCAGCTTCGTCCTGAAACCAAAACCCAGCAGAAACACAACAAAAAAAGAAGACTATAGGCCACTATCCCTGATGAACATCAATGGAAAAATCCTCAATAAAATACTGGCAGCAGCACATAAAAAGCTGATCCACCAATAACAAGCCAGCTTCATCCCTGGGATGCAAGGCTGGTTCAACATATGCAAATCAATAAACATAATCCATCACATAAACAGAACCAATGACAAAAACCACATGATGATCTCAATAGATGCAGAAATGGCCTTCAGTAAAATTCAACATTCCTTCATCTTAAAAATTCTTAATAAACTAGGTATTAATGGAACATAGCTCAAAATAATAAGAGTTTTTTATGACAAACTCACAGCCAATATCACACTGAATGCACAAAAGCTGGAAGGAGTTCCCTTGAAAACTGTCACTAAACAAGGATGTCATCTCTCACCACTCCTATTCAACATAGCATTGGAAGTTCTAGCCAGGACAATCAGGCAAGAGAAAGAAATAAAGCGTATTCAAATAGGAAGAGAAGAAGTCAAATTGTCTCTTTTTGCAGATGACATGATTCTATATTTGGAAAACCCATTCATCTCAGCCCAAAAACTCCTGAAGCTGATAAGCAACTTCAGCAAAGTCTCAGTATACAAAATCAATGTGCAAAAATCACAAGCATTCCTTTACACCAACAAAAGACAAACAGAAAGCCAAATCATGAATGAACTCCCATTCACAATTGCTACAAAAAGAATAAATTACCTAGGAATACAACAAACAAGGAATGTGAAGGACCTCTTCAAGGAGAACTACAAACCACTGCTCAAGGAAATAAGAGAGGACACAAATAAAAAAAATTCCATCCTCGTAGATAGAAGAATCAATATTGGGAAAATGCCCATACTGGTGAAAGTAATTAATAGATTCAATGCTATTCCCATCAAACTACCATTGACATTCTTCTAAGAATTAGAAAACAGTAGTTTAAATTTCATATGGAACCAAAAAAACAGCCTGAATAGCCAAGATAATCCTAAGTAGAAAGAATAATGCTGGAGGCATCACTGTGACTTCAAACTATACTGCAAGGCTACAGTAACTAAAACAGCATGGTATTGGTACCAAAACAGACATAGACCAATGGAGCAGAACAGAGGCCTCAGAAATAACACCACACATCTACACCCATCCAATCTTCAGCAAACCTGACAAAAACAAGCAATGGAAAAAGGATTCTCTATTTAATAAATAGTGCTGGGAAAGCCAGCTAGCCATGTGCAGAAAACTGAAACTGGACCCTTTCCTTACACCTTATATGCAAATTAACTCAAGATAGATTGAAGACTTAAATGTAAAACCCAAAACCATAAAAAACCCTAGAAAAAACCTAGGCAATACCATTCAGGACATAGGCATGGGCAAACATTTCATTAAAGAAACGTCAAAAGCAATTGCAACAAAAGCCAAAATTGACAAATGGAATATAATTAAATTAAAGAGCTTCTGCACAGAAAAAGAAACTATCATCAGAGTGAACAGGCAAGCTACAGGATGAGAAGAAATTTTTGCAATCTACCCATCTGACAAAGGTCTAATATCCAGAATTTACAAGGAACTTAAAAGAATTTACCAGAAAAAAATAAAACAACCCCATCAAAAAGTGGGCAAAGGATATGAACAGAAACTTCTCAAGACATGTATGTAACAAACAAGCATATAAAAAAAGCTCAACATCACTGATCATTAGAGAAATGCAAGTCAAAACCACAATGAGATACCATCTCACACCAGTCAGAATGGTAATTATTAAAAAGTCAAGAAACAACAGATGCTGGTGAGGCTGTGGAGAATTAGGAACAGTTTTACACTGTTGGTGGGAATGTAAATTAGTTCAACCATTGTGGAAGACAATGTGGCAGTTTCTTAACGATCTAGAAACAGAAATACCATATGATCAAGCAATCCCATTACTGGGTATATGCCAGTAGAAATAATATAAATCATTCTACTCTAAAGATACATGCATACGTGTGTTTATTGCAGCACTATTTACAATAGCAAAGACATGGAACCAACCCAAATGCCCATCATAGATAGACTGGATAAAGAAAATGTGGCACATATACACCATGGAATACTATCCAGTCATAAAAAGGAATGAGATCATGTCCTTTGCAGGGATGTGGATGAAGCCAGAAGCCATCATCCTCAGCAAACTAACACAGGAACAGAAAACCAAACACCTCCATGTTCTCACTCATGAGTGGGAGTTGAACAATGAGAACACGTGGACATAGAGAGAGAAACAACACATAGGAGGGCCTGTTGGCAGCGGGGGTAGGGGGGTGGTGGGCAGGGGAGGGAGCCCATCAGCACAAATAGCTAATGCATGCAGGGCTTAAAACCTAAATGACAGGTTGGGGTGCAGCAAATCACCATGGCACAGGTATACCTACGTAACAAACCTGCACATTGTGCACATGTATCCCAGAACTTAAATAAAAATTAAAAAAATATAAAGTACACAATGTGTAATAATAAGATTAAAGTTTAAAGCACACACAGCCAGTAGAAATGACTTTGCCTCAGAGAAACTTCCTTGGGTTTGGAGTGGGGCAATAACAAAAAATGAGAAACATTTGTTTTAAAAAAATGCTAAATTCTTGTCATATTTGAGAGGAAGATGAAAACACTGAATAACATTAAATATTATTAGAACAATTTATGACTAATTATGTATGTTATGTATTTAATAATAACCACCAAAACTAATCAATTGCATACAGACCGTCAAAAAGAAAAAAAAGAGTATTGAAACTCTATGAAATCAGTAAAAGATAGGAATGAAAGAAACACAGGAAAAGAAGAATCAGTTCAAAAGACAAAACGAGAGGTTAGAAGATTCCAAATTTGTAAGTAGTCTTGTCACATGTAAAACCATTTAAACTCACACGTTAAAAGACATGGTATCTTTTTTTTTTTTTTTAGATTGTTTGAATTAGAGACAGGGACTCACTATGTTGCCCAGGCTGGTTTCTAACTCCTGGGCTCAAGTAATCCTCCCATTTTGGCCTCCCAAAGTGCTGGGATTACAGGTGTGAGCCACCACACCTGGCCAAGACATGTTGTCTTATCTGATAAAAATTCAAATCCCAGCTAAATGGTTAGAAATAAAAGGGAGGGAAAATACACTATACAAATATCTACCAAGTTAAAGCTGGTGTAGCAACTTTACATCAAACGGAAAAGAAATTAGGCAAAAGAAAGAGGACATAATTTAAAATTAAGGAGAAAAACCACCAAATGTATAACAATCATACGCTATTATGAGCTTCACAATGTGATAAAAATTTACAAAGCAAAAACTGACAAAATGTAAAAGACATATCAATGAATCCACAGTCAGCAGGCAATTCTTACATATCTCTATTAAAAACTAACAGATAAAGCAAACTAAAAATGATGTGCCCAAGAGCAATGGTGGAGAGAAAATGGCAAAGAAAATATATTTACTGAGGTTTACTGTTGCTTTTCTCTCCAATAATATTTGACTATTGATATAGAAAAATGTGAAAAAATGAATTATGCAGATCAAAGGATACTCGGACATCACTTAGTATCCATCCCTATTCATCCCCACTGGAAATATATTTTATTCTTATTTATATTACAGCAATTCAAGTCCATTGTTTTCCAAAGAGAAATGCAGGAAACATTTGTGACAAATCTCAGCTACTTTTATACATTTACCTTTCTACTGAAAGCTCCAAATTGGCCATTCCCCTGTCAGATCTTCCAAAGCCTCTCCACAAGATGTCACACAGTCAGAAACATGTTTTTGAAAAGCTTAGTTTATCTACTTTATTTGCACATGATTCACAGATTTCTCAGGCCATCATATCATATTATTATTTCAAAATTTCTTAATGATAAAGTACTTCTGTAAGTCAAAAATGTATTGAGTTTTCCACATGAACCTAACAATGTAATCATATACAATGTATGACTTTTATATCCATAAGCAGATAGGCATATTAGATTACTAATTTGTTGATTTATAACTAATACTTGAATCTAAGTCCAGAGTTTACAGAATTAATAGTGTCATAAATGAATATTTTTAAATCAAACATGGCTATATAGCACCAAACCTAACACACTCCATAACTAAATTAAAGAAAGTCAAGAAAACTGCATTTTTGAAGTTCTTTGTGATTTATATTTCAGAAATCAGATATGATTTATCACATGAATGACCATACGTCCGCATTATTACAAAAAAAAGGTTACACAAATTAAAATTGTTTTACACGTAGGGTAGAAGAGCAGGTTAATTCCTAAAAACAATAGCAACAAAAAATCACAAACATGATTTCTATTTTTAAAAGATAAATATTGACATTTTTAAAATGTTATTTAAGACCTATGGTGAAGGCACATTTTTTGGAATATTTCAATAAAATTATGGGTTTGGTGTATACAAGCTTTCAATATGAATTCAGTTTTGAAATTAGACTTTACATAACTATAGAAAGTATTTTTAGAAGCAATCATTTATATGAAAAATACAGTTTGAACCAAAAGTATCAAAAAAAGATACTTATAAATGCCTAAAAATCTATATGGAAAACATAATTTATAAATCATAAACAGTAAAAAATATGTTTTAGAAAATTTTGCTTGTGTCTTTTTCAGACATCTTAATGTTGTCACCCTTCACGTGTATGTTAATTGATACATTAAATCATTTATTCATTCATTCACCAAATACTTATGAAGTGTGTGTTCCATGCCAGAATCTTAGACAAAATATAGAGAACAAGCAACGATTAAGCTATGGTCTTGCCTCCACACACCTCAGGATCTAGAAGGAAAACAGCCAAACAAGGCAACAACTTCAAGTTGGTGTCTGAAATTCATGTCCAAGAGGAAGCATTAAGGAGAATAAAGTAGTATGGGAACACAAAGGAAGACCAATAAACCTGGGCAACCTGGAGCGAGCCCTCAAAGACGAGACCTAAAAGCAAAAGAGAGAAAATGATTAAGGGAAAAAGAAAGAGAGGGTAGGAGAAAAGGAGAAACATTCTGATTTCTGCAGCCTTATCAAGCCAGAGATGAAATGCATCTAGAAAGCAAAGCAGCCCCTGCATCATCTCACAGTTTTTGCGCTAGAGATTGAAATACCATTCTTCCTAGCAGAGATGGCCTTCTGGGAGTCCTCAGTTAACCTAGAAAAGGAACTTGGGAAATTGCATCATCCATGTGAAATAAGAGATTCCACAGGAGAGTGCAATATGCATGCAGTCTTGAGATCTTCCAAGGGCCAGGTGCAGTGGCTCACGCCTGTAATCCCAGCACTTTGGGAGGCCGAGGCGTGTGGATCACAAGGTCAGGAGATCGAGACCATCCTGGCTAAAATGGTGAAACCCTGTGTATACTAAAAATACAAAAGATTAGCCGGGTGTGGTAGTGTGAGCCTATAGTCCCAGCTACTAGGGAGGCTGAGGCAGGAGAATCACTTGAACCCAGGAGGCGGAGGTTGCAGTGAGCCGAGATCACACCATTGCACTCCAGCCTAGGCAACAAGAGAGAAACTCTGTCAAAAAAAAAAAAAAAGGATCTTCCAAAGGAGATGTGAACTCAGGTTTTGTAATTAACAGAACGACATGTTCACATGTTCTTCCGTGTGAGTAATGAGAGAAAGTTCCAATGTTTGTCTCTTCCAGAGTTTCAGAGTTGTCTTATATTCTCTCTGGTTTTCCAAGGAAAACAACAATAGCAACAACCTTACCACCACCACCACCACCACACACACACAAATACTCCACACATTTTCTGACTCTCCAGCTCAGATTTCCTGGAGCAAAGACTAATATCTAACTTTGCCACATCCCCACATACATGTCTCCCTACATGCAGAGAGTAGAGCCAGCCTCCTGAGTGAGTGGGAGACTCCTTCATCGGTTGCATTGTGCCCTGTGCTAATAAGCATCCCACACTTGGTTCACTCTGCTGTCACTGTCTTGAAACTTTTAGAAATTTTTGCACAAGGTACCCTGTATTTTACACTTGGCTCACGAATTATATCAGTCATGGGAGGAAGAATGGGGACAGAATTAAGAAGGGACAAATCTAGACTATATTCAGGACATAAAAGGTTTTCAAATCTCAGTCTTTGGCTTAACCTCTTGACTATTGTCACTGCATCTGTGTGCTCCCTAAATACTTTTGCCTAATATCAACTCATTTTTTTAAATTCATTTAAATACTGACTTGGCCTTATTTTAAGCAATAATACTTGTGAAATCATGAGTTTTGTGCTCCAGCCATGTAGTTTTTCTAACATACCTTTAAAACAAATGAATACTTTAAAAAGAAATGTTTCTGAAATACTACCTAAAGTCATTCTGAATACTTTTGGGAGTAGTGGCACAATCTGGGAAACCCTGAGCCATGTAATGAGAGGAACGTGCATTTGAAACATTCTCTCTTAAAGTAATAGCCACATTCCTAAAGGTGAACATAGGACAGGGCAAATTATGATGTTTTCTTGATGTATGCTCTATATTGTTTCACCTTCAAGCCTCTATAACCTTCTGTGTTGTCCTCACTTAGCAATGTGTCTAACCCTCTGCCCGTTCCTCCAGGTGTGGAGTAAGGTGATAGTAGTCATCTCTCCAGGTCAGACCTGGATTCCTGCGTGTTTGGTCATATTAGTCTTCACTGAGGAGCTTAAGAGACAAATACTCTGCCCCCTTAGGTGGTAGAGGGGCCCAGGTTTAGGTCTGAAATTTTAAATGTTTTCGATATTTGACTTTGTTGAATATTCCACCCCAATATCACTTAGCAAGTTCAATGTCACCCACTCTCTGACTTATGTATGTCTTTCTTTCTCATGTCACTCAAAAATCCTTTCCTAGATGAAA
Organism: Homo sapiens; assembly: GCF_000001405.40. Lineage (NCBI taxonomy): Eukaryota > Metazoa > Chordata > Mammalia > Primates > Hominidae > Homo > Homo sapiens. The sequence continues at coordinate 501,713 of NC_000003.12, read as the reverse complement.
GGGAGTCCCAAAGTCTTTCCTGTTCTCAACACAGTCTATACCCAGACCCCTCTTTTTTCACACACCGAGGACTTGAATTCATTCAAAATGCTTCATTAGCCCTTCTTTGTTTGTCACAATTTAGAAACATTTTCCTACACCTTCATGTTTTAAAGAAATATAAAAAGGAAATATATATATATATACACACACACACACACACAACTTTATATATATACACACGTATATATGTTTATATGTAAAATATATGTATACATATGTGGGCATACATATGCAAATATAACCTTCATTTTCTTTATCTTAGCTATTTTTGGTGGATTTGTTTTGGGCATTTAAACACAAATAGATTTTGCTTTATTTTTCTTTTAGAAGAGTAACCAATATTATTTTTATCATCATCATCATTATTATTATATAAATCAGGTTTAATCCATTATTTCAAATTTCTCAAAAAACAAATTATAAATTCGAACTCATCAAAAAATACTAAATAATTAAAATATTCATTACATTGATTTTTAAAAAATAAATATTTGTGTTATTGTATTATAAACTCTTGGATCTTTCTTTAAAAAACAGAAGAGCTATAATAATTTTAGATAAAGTAAAGATGTATTTACATTTTTCAAAAATATATATATATACCAATTGATATATTTGAAAGTCTTTCTCTCCTGAGGCTGTATTTTCTTTGGGCAAAGATGTGGTAAGGTGTTCTTAGGAGCAATCACAATTTTCATTTGGCAATACATTTACTGTTTATGTGCTTATTTACTGAAAAGTTATTTTAAGACATAGAGCAATGTCAATATATGAATTTATTTAAAAATGATTATTGAGTGTATATCACTGTTCTTTGTATCTGTCATCAGGGAATTATTTAGACCAACCCCTTGCCTTACTTTATCTTACTGCACCCCCTACCAAGATATGTAAGAGTTATACAGACGTAATTACAGTGATTAGGACAAACTGTTATGAACAAAATTTGAAAACACTTTGGATTTTTCTTTAAATTTGGAAAATGAAATATTATTGTGTGTTATATCTTTACCTTTATTATGTTAAAAAAAACAAAGAACAAGATATATAAATGTTTTGGTTTCACAATCACTATTTTACTACTTAAGTCATAGTGTTTTATCAGATTTAAGAATAACTCTTGGCCTTTCTTCAAATCACAAAGTGAAATTCACCTCAGTGAGGAATAAATGTATACAGATCCAACTGTTATTAAATTCAGAGCCCAACTCTAAAACTTCAGAACTTCTATGGACTTGCTGTTTTACCCAAAAGAAATAGTTCTTCCATTTGGCTCCCTCAAGGATTATGTTCTGTTTTTGTTTGTTGCTTTTATTTTTTGGTATTTATTTTCTCTGAAAATCTATTATAGAAGTTTTGCATTATTGCAAACATTAAGTTCAGGGAGAAATGAACAATACATGGATGTAAAATCTGAATTTAGTGATAAATGTAAATCGAGTTCCAAGATCAGTCAGCACATCTGAAAGTAAATAAAATACTGAAGACAATTTTTTTTAATTTCAGATGACACACATTTTTAAAAACAGATTTTGAAATATCAGTATTAAAGATCATTTCAGAATACATTATCACTCTCAGTAAAATAACAGTTGTTAATGCACCCATAAATAGAGATATGCAAAATAATTATAAGACACTTTCTAGCCCCCATGCAAAACTCTAATTCCAGGTGTTTATTATGAAAACGTAGCCTTCTGAAATAGCTTTTACAGCCTATGCTGTCTCAAGGACATTCCAATGGGAATTTACAGAAACTCGCCCATTTGTACCATCCTACAGTTGTATATATTGGCTGCTGCAAATACCCCAAATAAAGAAGAGTTCTGTCTGTATACATTTGTCCCTTGCCTTTTCCCTGAGTCATCTGTATCGAAAGATGCAATTGCCATGAGAGTTCACAAGGCCCTCAAGCTTTTTGACTCTAGCCGTGTCATCATTCCCTCCACTCCAATGAAAAATGTGTTTTTTTAAGGCCCGAAATGAATTTTCCCCCCAGCCAAACTTTCAGTTCCCTGGAATGAGTTTTTGACAGCTAACCTTATTTTCCCGAGTAATACATCATCAAAGCAACACAGACCTGATAGTATGTCACACGGGTCCAGATGAAGTATTACATCTGTAGATCACAAGACCCACGTCACTCGGGTGATACATTCACTGCACTGTCACCAGACCTGTGGAAACGTACACAGCTGACGTATATCTTTCAAGGTTTATTTAAAGGAATATTATTTATTTAGCAAATCCTGTCTGATTTTGAAGAAGAATATCTATGCCCCCACTCCACCTGGAGAGAGAGGCAATAAGGGTCTTTCTGGGCTTAAAAAAATATTGGATTGGGAAACGGAGTTAAATCAAAGGGAATGCTTCCCCTTTCCTAGTGACAAATAGGAGTCCAGCTGCTATTTTCCAATCTCCTTCTAATACCCTGCTGTGAGAGAAAATTACAACCCTCCAGTGGAGCCATGGTGTAGTAGATGAAGTTCACCTCTGACATTCGTTCACTCTTACTTTGTGCATAACCTTCTCTTCAGGTGTCTGTTCCCTGTTGGAATTTCAGGCCTACTCATAGCCCTTGGGATGACAGCATTTGGTGCAAGAACGTCCATATCTTACATTTCTCAAGTAAAACAAGACCCTAAGACCCTGGTTCTGCCACCTGCTAGCTGCATTATCTTGAGCAACTCTTTATTTCTCAGTTTATGTAAAATAGGAATACAATTATTTATCACCTGGGATCTTTGTGAAGGTTAAATGAGATAATGCATGTAAAGGCTTGAAACAGTGCCTGGCACAGAGGAAGCAAGTAATTAAGACTAGCTCTTATCATTTTTATCCTTGTCTCTTTTGCCTAATTATTCTACCTGCTTTCTAATTACTAACTCCTTGCATTTTATTGTAGCACTCTGACTTAGAGCCCATCTCATCTTTAATATTACCTCCTTAGGGGGTCTTTTCCTAATTACCTCCCTCTGTTTTATGCTTTCATAGTACCAGATACTTTTCCTTAGTGGTTCTTATTGCAAGTGTATTTAGTTAACTGTTAAATATCTGTCTCACTCCTTGGTAAATTAAAGATGGCCACAAATTCTTTGCTACTCTTGCCATTGAGAGTGGGGAGTAATTCCCCACTTTATGAATCTGGGAGCCATAATGACTTGATTGACTACTAGAATGTAATGTAAGTAACATTCTGTGATTCAGAGGGTAACTCAGAAGAAACATTGTAGCCTATACTGTATTCTGGTGGACAATGGTCTTTGAGAAAAGCCAGTCTGCATGTAAGAAGTCCAACTACACTGAGACTCCCATCGTGTGCGGAAGCCCAAGCAGTTGCTGGGAAGGCCATGTGGAAAGAAACCAAGGGCTCAGCTAACATCCCTGACTGAGTTTCCAGGAGACAGTCAACACCAAGTTGTAAGCCAGCCTATTGGAACTGAATCTGCAGCCACAGTTAGTCGCCCAAGCTGATGCCATATGAGACAGAGACAAGTTGTCACAGTGACCCTACTTTGAGTATAGATCATTGTTGTGGTTGTAAACCAATGTTTTAGAGTGACCCATTATCCAGCAATAGATAACCAGAAAACCTACTTATACCATGAGTTCCAGGAGAAAAGAAACTATGTCAGTTTGTTCACTGCTGTATTACCAGTACCTCACGTGTTCCATAAGTACTTGATGAATGAGTAAATGAACTAGTGACATTAAAGTACCAAAGAAACTGAGATAGAGATGAAATAGATAAATTATCTTTGTTATTTTATTAGTAGATAAATTGTTTTACCACTTCTAAATAATGGCTCTTTTTTTCTAAGTAAAAGAAAAATATTATATCATAGGGCAATTTGACTTAATTCTGCATTAGCTGTGAGCAACCACTCTGCTCTGGTTGCTGAAATTATGGCCATGAACTAGACAATCTCTAACCTCCCAAAAGTCACAGTTGAGATCTGTATTTCTCAAACTGTGATCTGTGAATGTGCATCAGAATTCCCTGGAAATGCTCATTAAAATTTCGGATTCCTGGGCCCCATCTCGGATCTGCTGAATCAGAATCATTAGAGGTGAGACCCCACAATTTGCATTTTTTAACAAGCCTCCTGGTGGTTCTTACACACTTTGAAGTGTGAAGCCAGGTCTAAATCAGAGTTTTTCAAACTTTCTTTACAATCACCAGGACGTTTAATAAAAACAAAACACAACACAACAGATTTCTAGATTTCTCTCTACACCCCCTGAATCATAATCCCCACGGACCAGGCTTTGCAATCTTTCTTTCGTGATTCTTATCATTAAGAAGGTAAAGAACAATGCTTTATTATGTTTTCTTAGAAGAGGAAATGGGTACAAGGTGTCCTAAAAATGAGAAATTAATATTTATCAAATCACATGGCTAACAAATCAGGTGGGACACCAACCTTGTGTTCCCTAGCTCATTGCTCTTTTTAGTATTTTAGTAGCATTTCCTATGTTAAGATATATTTATAATTGCAGAGACAAATGAGGATTTTTGATATTATGGGTACTGGTAAGATAATTTTGCAACAGATCCTCAAAGAACACTGCCTTTTAATCTGCCTTTTCTATGCTTAAATATGGCCTGCAAAATATGTGCTTAGAATAATTTCCCATCATATAAATGCATTAACAAGCAAAGTCTAGCATGAATTATATGCATAGTAAATGATATGAATGAGTGAATAAACCAGAGACTGCTTTTGAGTCAGTCTGATATTGGTATGAATGTTGATAGCTGTTATCACATAAGACATAGGCAGGGTGGTATAATAGGAAACTTTCAGGCATCTTGAGTCAGCACTAACCCTCTAAAACAAAGACCATGCTTTTCTTCCTCTCTCTCCCTCCAGCATGCACAGATGTAGACCATGTATGTGTCTGAGTGTGTGTGTGTGTTCTATGCAGGCAAACTGAAATTCAGGTGTGAAGCACCAAAACAACTAAATGCATTCAAGTATAGGCAAAGCCAGGTCTGATGTCATCATTTCTTCAGTCTGTGTATAGTTACTGAATTACTTGGAGCTGTGCTTGCAAAGAGAAAATAAGTGGAGGTCATAGGATCTGCCTAGGCCTAAGCTACACATGATTTTTTTTTCACTACCAACATAATTACATTTTCTCTTTTTATAAGAATAATTATTCATTCATCAAAATTTTTTGAGAACTTCCCATGTGAAATGAACTGCTTTTATGGGGAGGGGAAAAATGCACAAACAGGGCATGTCCTCTGCTTTTCAGGAGCTGGACAAGTGACAGGCAGCCTAGAGGGAACATGACCAAATAAGCATCTCACAAAGTAGAAAGTGTGCCCCTCATTTACCCCTGGTACGTCAAAGCCAAATGTTCTGGGATATTTGTTTGATGCTTGCTTTACTATAAAGGATAAAATCTGGGAAGACTTTAGAAGAAGCTGTGATTATAGAACTGAGCCTTGAAGTATTTCAACAGAAGGAGCGGGAAGAACCTTCTAGCAGAAGAGAAGTAATATGAGCAAATTAAAGTGTTAGCAAGAACAGGGCAAGCTTTGAGAACATTTCTGCATGATCACAGTGTGTATGAGGAATCATAGCACGCAATATTACTGGGAACCACAGAGTCAGATCATGGATGGACTTTAACGCTATGCCAAGAAATACGAATTTTATTCTATGATGAACTCGTAAACACTCCTTTTGATGATTAATGAAAGAACGTAATGGTGAAGAATCATCTATTAGTAAGAGTGGAGCATTCCACCTTTGACTGGACTGAGTCACTTTGGCCCACAAATACAGTCTCAATTTTCAACTTAATTAAGAATTTCAAATAAAGGGTTTTTAAATACATGCCATATTTATCTTTACTTTGTAGTTTTCAAAGCTACAATAAATGTCTGCTTCTTAGCCTGGGCCTAAGTTTAATTCCTCTATAAACAGCCCTCCCTCCTTTGCTTGATTCTACCAAAATACTACATCATTTAAGTTTCTCTTAAATTTTGCTCTTCCACAGACCCCTACTGTAACTGTGTCTCTTCCTCTGCTTGGCGAGCACCCCCATAGTTCCTCCAGTGGACAGCAAGTTAAGAAGCCCCACTTTGTTGCACTACGGGTATGTCCTTTCAGGCCTTTATCATATAGACTTTGTCATTATGGGTCAGCGTTGTCCAATGGAACTATAATGCAAGCCACATAACTAAATTTAAATTTTCCAAGCTGGACATGGTAGCTTACACCTGTAATGCCAGCACTTTGGAAGGCTGAGGTGGGCGGATCACTTGAGGTCAGGAGTTTGAGACCAGCCAGGGCATCATGGTGAAACCCAATCTCCACCAAAAATACAAAAATTATCCAGGTGTTGTGGCATGCACTTGTAATCTCAGCTACTTGGGAGGCTGAGGTGGGAGAATGACTTGTGCCCGGGAGGCAGAGGTTGCAGTGAGCTGAGATCGCACCACTGCACTCCAGCCTGGGTGACAGAGCGAGACTCCATCTCAAAATAAATAAATAAATTTAAATTTTCTAGTTGTCATGTTTTAAAAGTTTAAAAAGTAACAGATAAAATTAAATTTAGTACTGTATCTTATTTAAAAGTATATATAAAGTATTGTTCAACATGTAAGTAGCATAGAAAATTATTAATGAACTATTTTGCAGTATTCTTTTTGAACTATGTTTTCCAAATCTAGTATGTAATTTACATGGATGGCACATCTCAAGTTTGGCCACATTTCAAGCACTCAATCTCCATATGTGGCCAGGACTACCATGTTGGATAGTCCAGTTCTAGATATAAGCTATCAAATAGAACATTCTGAGTTGATGGAAACTGTGTAGAGTTGCATTGTCTAATACAGTAGCCACTGGCCACTTGAAGGCGTTGAACACTTGAAATTTGCATATTGTGACAGAGAAACTGAATTTTAATTTTCACTGAGTGTAATTTAAACAGTCCACATGTGGTTGGCGGCTACAGTTTTGAACAACGCCGTGCTAGATAATGAGAAGCTATTAAAGTGTTTTTGAACAGTGGAGTGTCCTTTAGGGAATTAAAGTTTAGGAATATTTACTAGAATGGAGAAACATAACTTTAAATGGGTGCATTCCCCATAGAAATGTGGAGCAGTGTTCCCCTGTGTTAAAGGATGATTAAACTTGTTAAGTTATCTGACCCCTATCTGATCTATCATATGACATCTGTAACAGCAACGCTATTTACCTCAATTACCCAGTCAAATCTCACACTATGTCAAGTGGTAACTCAGAAAATAACTCATGTCACCCCTGTGTCACTTTAACATCTTCATTTTTCTACAGTTGTTTTACGTCCCACAGTGTCTGACGACCTTTAACTATTTTACCCGCATAAAACTCCAGCAGGGGTAAAACTGATGAAAATTGATGATGCTTTAAAAACACAAAATTACAGTGGCTTCATTAAAAACCAAGTGTGTTTCAAGCAACTTATTCTTTGTATCAATAGGATATACAAGTACTCAAGTTAATGGTCAAACTTTTCCGTCTCTTATAATGAACCATGAAATTACACTTGGCAATCAAGAGTACTGTAGCAGATAAGTGAGGCAATTTTCTTCATCATTTTTCCTTTTGTTGTCAACCTTGTTGCAAAGCCCATTGCCTTTTCAATGAACCGTAATGTGAATATTCAAGATCGTGCGTGCGATACTTGAGCATATACGCTTAGGTCAAACCAGGTTGGTTTTGAGTTGTACATTTTAAATAGGTTATGTCAAGTAAAAGCTATATCTGGAAAGTTTTTATTAGATGACATACTCCTATATCTTGGACTTATTTTTAGAAAAAGGAATCTTTTCCTTTTTTATTGTTTTAAAAGATACTCTAGAATTTGACCTTGCATATACATGTTAGAACATATAATTTTTCAAGTATTATGAATTGCAATACTATACATAATTATATATTGATTACACTGTCTCCAAGTGTTTTATACATACAGATTTAAAATGAATGAGGAACTTACTTTCTCTATGAGGCTGAAGCAAACATCCCTGTGCTTTGTTCTATAATAATCTTTTAAGTAAAAACTCTGAGACTCTACATAGCCTTTAAGAAGTTATCAGGGGCTGTCAGGACCAGTTTATTTAACACTGTGAAACATAGACTCCTTCCTTATCTATAAAATAAGGAGAATGATACCTACTTCATGCAGCTGATAAGACAATTAAATGATATACTACTTATGCAGTGTTTGGTATTAAGTCAATGTATGGCAAATGTTACCATCATGAATGAATAATCTATTTGTTAGTATTTTGGTTGTTTTTTAATGGATAAACCCTGGAATCTTGGAGGCTTAACACAATAGAAGTTTATTTCCTGCTGATAAAAATTTCTGATAGTTAGATAGTGCTCCCCTAGGTGGTGAATCAGAGACAGGAGCTCTTTCTAGCTTCTGGCTCCTTAATTTTAAACAAGTGGCTTCCAAATACGGCCTTGGGGTTAAAGCCATTCCAGCCACCTGAAAGCAGAAAAAAAAGGATATGTGAAAACACATGACCATGCAAGGTGACACATAGCATTTCAGTCCACAGGGCACATTGCATAATATGATCTCCCTTAATTGCATAAAAGGCTGGATAGGTAGCTAACCACCAGGAAGAAAAGGAAATACTTTTTTTTTTTAATGAACACAGAGCCATCAGTGCCACAAATGCCATCAGCTTCCAAAGCTGATATACATTTCTATAGGTAAAGTATTTGACCCTTTATTTTTAGAAATGCATGTGTCTTTAACAAGAGAAAGTGAAACAAAAACTGAACTGGTTTATGTCAAAGTAAAGAAGACACAGGAGGAGGAAAGGAAGGCTCACACTGGAGATTCCAGGAGGATCTGTGGTCAAAAGGGAAAGGACCCAGATAACAAGCAGTAGTAGCCCCGGAAGTGTCTGCTAAGGAAGAGGTGGCTAGAGTCATTGTAAAACCGGTGAAGTTGCATGGCTGATTTCAAATAAGAAATGGTCCCTTTTGGTTTCTGAGTCACAGTGCTGCCCCTGGGATTCAATTCTCCTAAGGTTAAACCATCTTTCCTTGTATTGTCTGCAATGCCACAGAGTGAGCCTAAAAGAAAGGAAAATAACAGAAGATGTTTTTTGCTTGTTTTAGTATTTGATGTGTAAGAGAAGAGAATGAAGATAACCAACTGTTCAGGTTGGATCCATGAAACTTACTTGGCTCTCTCCTATTCAAACCAAAGTTTTCTTTCAGCCTTAACTTTCCATTTTCCTTCAGTTTGCCCCTCTCTTTCTCCACATCTTCAAGATGTATCTGCCTCCACTTACCTATCAACTTACTGTCTAGTCCCTCTTCAAGCCACAAACATCTGGAATCCCCTCTACTCTTCCCCCATGTAGACCAAGTTCTTAATATAAATACCAAGACCTTCTATACCTGTTCCCTTCTATTTTAATTTTATTTCTCTGCAGCATTTGGCCTAGTTAAGCAATCCCAGTGAACAGTACCACTGACTTCTGTCTAGTTTTCTTAAGCCAGAAATCCAAGTATTTCTGTCATTGTAGCTATTCCCACTCCCTCTATGTCCATGTCTAATATGGCACAAACTTCTGTCTGTTTGCTTATACAGTGAGCCCTCCATTATCAGCAGATTCTGTGTCCACTGTCTCCACATCTGCAGATGCAACCAACTGTAGATCAATATATGAAAAATAAAAATAAAAGAACAGCAATATAACAATAAAAATGCAAATTTAAAAAATAGAGTATACAAACTATTTACATAGCATTTACATAGCATTAGGCATAATAAGTAGTCTAGAGATGATTTTAAACACACGAAGAGAGATACATTATGGGCAAAGACTACACCATTTTATATCAGGGACTTCAGTATCCTTGGATTTTGTTATCTGCAGGGTTACTGGAACCAATCCCCATGGATACCAAGGGATGATTGTATATCCTTTTTTTTTAATGCCTGTAATTGTTGCACTTGTTGCCAGTTCACTTTCTAGTACCACATTTAGGTTATCACTATCTTGCCCAAATTATGACAACAACCGAGTGGTCACTTTTCCCTATCTCGCCCCATCTAGATGACTCTTTATCCTGTGGCCAGCATGGTTCCTTTAATATGTTCATCACATTAAAATCTCTCCCTGAATAAGATAATGCAATGTCTCATTATTGCTCCTATGAAAGATGATGCCTAACTCCCTAATTTGGGTTATCAAAATCTTAATCTTGTTTCTAACTTTTTTGGGGTCACTTTGCCATCCAATTTTTAACTCTCTTAAATCCAGATGCCTTGAACTTTCAGTCCCTTCAGAGAACTTGAAGGAGAAAAATCTTTCAAAACGAAGGAATTTTTAAATAGCATTGACCAGAGTACAAAACCGGTAAGTTAGTATGTTTGATGAACAGTAATCTGAAAATTGTTATTTTCATTGTTTTTATTTTATTTATTTTATTTTATTTTTTTTTTTGAGACAGAGTCTTGTTCTTTGCCCCAGGCTGGAGTGCAGTGGCACGATCTCAGCTCACTGCACATTGTTCTTATTTTTAATTGGTCATACCATACTTAACTAGTGAAATTTTATTCATATTTTAATGAGAAAAAGAAGTTCTCTGGGATGCTGTTTGTCTGGCCAAAGAATGAAGAAAATCTCAGAGAAATTAGAATTTCTAATTTCTGAAGTTATTTAGGGACTCACAGAGTCTTCATGTAAAATATTTTTATGGAGCAATATTTTTTGTTGTAGAGATTATATGTTTTTCTTTATTTCAACTTTTGCTAGAATCAAACTATTTTAACACAGTACAGAAATCCCTTGCTTTATGATTACTCTTTCCTAGAGAGATACTATAGCATATATCAGTTAATATGCAGTCATCTCCAAGTAACCACAACAGCAACCAAATAACTACAGTGGCCTTAATCACAGAATTTTTATTATTTACTAAAGATAGTAAGTAGGTAGATAGATAGTACAAGGGTTATTGAGAGGCTCAATTACATCAGGATTCCATTACATAAAGAGATATTTCTATTTTCTTAGTCCATTCCTCATGGTTACAAATGTTAGAGAGTCATTGATGTCTCAACGAGGAAGGAATGGAAAGGAGCATAGCTATTGAGATTTCTTAAGTGTGGTTCTTATCAGAAAGTGTCCCCTCCTCAGAAGTCCCTTGGCAAACCTCCACTTACACTTCACTGACAAAATTTTATTACAAGGTCTATTCCAGCTATGCATGACTAGGAAAACATGTGTTTTGCAAAAAAAAAAAAAACTAGGATACGCACAATTAACGAAAATGTATCACACACTGGCCTTTGGGGCTGATCATGCTATGGACCGAATGTTTGTATTCTCATCCCCCAAATTCATAGGTTGAAATCCTACCCCACAATATGATGGTATTAGGAGGTAGGGCCTTTGAGAAGTGATTAGGCCATGAGAAGAGAACCCTTCTAAAAGAAGACACCAGAGCTTGCTCTTGCTCTCTCTACTCTCTGCCATGTGAGGATACAATGAGAAGATGGCCATTTGCAAACCAGGAAGCATCCCTCACCAGACGCTGGATCTGCCAGTCCCTTGATGTTATACTTTCCAGCCTCCCGACTGTGAGAAATAGATGTTTATTGTTTAAGCCACCCAGTCTATGGTAATTTGTTATAGAAGCCCAAATTAAGACATTATCCCAAACAAAATCAAATATCTTTGAGTGGGAATCAGCTGGAGGATGATACTTGGGAGAAAATTTGCAGAATTCATCCCAGGGCATGCCTTATTTTTACCTGGTACACTTAAGAAAGAATAAAATATCAAGGATTTGCAAGGCCTCCATTACAGCACTTGTGGGCAATATATTCATATCAGAACAATTTTCTTTACAATGAAAAGCAAAAGCATTTATTCCATTAATAAGCTTCACTATTTCATTTTTATAATTTTAAAATACATGTTTTCAGGAATTTCTAAAATGATGTTTAGTTACTTCTTCGAAGAATCCCCAGGGTAATATTCGTTTTCTAAGATAAGTAGAAATTAGCCTAGACTTATAAGAAATAGATGATGATGCCTTATATTTATGCAATAACTTACATATTGCAAAGTACATCTATTTACATTATACCATTTAATCCAACATATGAGGTTAGTACTATCAACTTCATTTTACATGTGAGGAAGTGAAAGTTTAAAATAAAAACATTTACAAAATTGTCCTTTCTATTAAGTGATTTATCAGGATTTTGAACTATGCCTCTGTTCTTTTCCATCTTCACACTTTCATGATTCCATGCAGAGTAAGCCAATTGTTTTTCTACTTTTTAACAGTTGATCTATTCACTTCTGAAAGAATTTGAGATAATTTGTTTCAAATAAATATAAAGAATATGCATTTTTTCTTAATTTTAGGGGCACTCTTCACACCATGAGTGTTGGAATTACCCGTTAATTCCTGAAATGATTACCAAAACCTTGTTCTGTCTAAGACACTGAAATAGACAAGTACAGTCAATCTTATACTAGGAACCAAAAACTTAAAATTAGAATAAAATATGCATACAGATTTCTATAGCAATGATTAGGATACATAGTAAAATATTAAAGATTATATTTTACTGTTAAAAGATAAACTGAAGCACATTAAAATACAAACAGTTTCTTTGAGCTAACAGCAATTTATAAATCAGGCAATTCCAGACCACAGGTGGTTGGGGGTTCCACCAACAGGAGTATGAGTTACAGGCTTTTACAGGGTGAATGTGGAAACAAGGCAAAGAAAATATTTCACTGGTTGAAGTGGAGCAGTGGCCTTATTTGAATCATTCAAGTGGAAAGTTCCTATTGAGAGCTTATTTGGCAGCTTCTGACTGGTTAAGCTTAAGTTTTGTGTTACTATTTCCAGTGAATCAGGTTTCAACTTGCTTAGATAGAACCCAGAGTGCTGGAGCTGCCTCAGCCTAATGGCCTCTCAACCAATTATTTTAACATATTCCTTTAGCACTATATTATTGGCAAGCCACTCACAGATGTAGCTCACATTTGAACTGTACACTAGCCCTCTCAGATAGATATCATTATCATCCCCATTCTACAAATGGGAAAACTGAGGCTAAAAGAGGTGAAATAGAAGAGCCAGGATAAGGCTCTGTGTCTTAATCCAAAATCACTTACTTTCCACCTTGCCCATATAAATGATCAAAATGCACCATAGAGGAAGAATGAGAGCTTGTACTTTGGAATTAGGCAGGATCAGTTCTGAGTTCCAGTCACTAAGTAGCTATGTGAAGTAAGGGTGTAATCACAGTATCATCTCATGGATTTCCTGGGAGATTAAAAAAAAGTAACCTACATGAGGAGCTCAGTGGATACTAAACACACTATCTATGTTAGCTCTTATTAGGGACAGTTCCTAGAATTAACTGAGCACAGACCACGGGGCCCTGCATTATTCTAAGAAGATTTCATATATTAATTCATTAGTAATATTATTAAGCAGGAATTGAACTGAGTTCTGCAGAGAAAACAGGTTCATTAAATAAATAAATTGACCCAACCAGTACTTGTGAATGTCTACTCTTTGCCCAGCAGTTTTGAGTCACTGGTGAAGCAGCAGTAAAGAAGACCAAGTCCCTCCTCTCATGGGACTTAACATTTCCAGTAGGAGGAACAGACAAGAGATCCACGTGATCAGCACTAGGAAGAAAAATAAGGCAGAATCTTGGTTGAACAGTTGGACCATGTGATGGGTTTTGCAAAATGTTTTCAAATTCTTTGGCATTCCTCCTCCAAAAGGTGGAATTTAATTCCTTTTTCCTTGAATGTGGGCCATCCTTAGTGACTTGCCTCCAACTAATAGAACTTGGCAGGCAAGAAGAAAGCAGAGGTGATACTGTATGAGTAACTTCCAAAGCTGAGTCACAAATGGCCATTTGGCTTCCACCTAGTACTCTGTCTCTCTTTTTCTTTCTGTGTCTCTTTCTCCTCTCCTCTCTGCCTCTCCACCTGTGATCCTGGAGTCTGGCTAACCTGAAGCAACTACGATAAAGAGACCCTGACGTGATGCCACATAGAGACACAGACAGATGCTTGAGGAGCCCCAGATGTTGAGTCTTCTCAGTCCAGGTGTCAGGCTTGTGGGTGAGTGAGCCTTCAGATGATTCCATTCCCCAGCCTTTTAGCCACCTTCCTCAGCCAAAGTTGAGTGGAGCAGAAAAGAGCTGTTCCCACCAAGCCCTGCTCAGACTGCAAATTGAAAAGCAAAATAAATATTTTTGTTTTAAACCACTAAACTTTTTCAGCTACACATCCATAATAACTGGGGCAGTATTGTAAACAGGGTATGGGGAGGTTTATTTCAAGAGCAGATATTGGAATAGAGACCTGAATGGCATCAGGTAAGGAGTCATTCAAAGATTTATAGAATGTACTTTCCAGAAAGAAGGAAGAGCAAATACGAAGGCCCTGAGGTAAGAATGCACATGGTGTTTTAAAGGAATAACATGTCAGCTGGTCTGGCTGAAATGGAGTGAAAATCAGAGAAAAGTAGCAGACAAGGTGGAACAGGAAACAGGTCAGATAAGGGAGGGTCTTATTGATGGCAAACAGTTTAGGTTTGGGTATTAATGGGCTGGGAAACAATTAGGAAATAATAAGGAATAGGTTTGATTTAATTTATGTTTGGAGAAAGATCTCTCTGCCGTTCGTGTGAAAAATATTCTTCAAGGGCAACAGTCAATGACAGATGTCATTTAGGAAGCCAAGGCAGAGATTAGGAAGGGAATGATGGTGGCTTGGCTTGAGGTCTTAGCTATGCAGTTGGGTGAGAAGTGATTATATTCTGGATAGATTTTGAGGGCAGAGCCAATAGGTTTGTGGATGGATCGAATAGGAACAAAGAGGGAAGGCAAGGCTGGAATTGTCAGGGCTCCCCTGCATCGCCACACAAAGTGAAGTCTGCCTGCCAGCAGTGAGGGCATCCCAGGCAAGCTTGCTGGAAATGGCAAATCTCAGGCCCCATCTCAGTTGAATCAGCATTTGCATTTTAACAATGCACTCTGGTAATTCACATGTAGATGAAAGTTTATAAACACTGTTTTAGACACTTAAGGAGTATCAAGTAAGAAGCTTGTTCTTCAAGTCTGACCTTAAGAGGGTCAGTCAGGATAGGACATTTTTAAAAAGCAAAAGAAAATCAGGCTTTTATGAAAATTCTTGAGATGGATAATACAAATCCACAAAACTGTCTGTTGCCTAATAATAGAAATACTATTTTCTATTACTAGAAGAATCTACCATAATTCCTTCTGCTGATTGTCACACCATTTTTAAAGAATTTAGATTTTTCTTAAAAAGTATATTCAGAATATGTTTCTTAAATTGCATATTTTTTCCTTTTGGGTTTGTCATAATAGCTCACAGTATAATTTTATGAGACTCCACAGTTACGTTGAATTTCCACAGTTAGGGGATGAGTTTCATTTTTACTAGAAACTAGTAAGCCATCGGTAAAATGTTCTATTACCCTGCCTTGTTTTAACTCTTGAACTACACTTAACAGCCTTTTTGGTTCCCAACACAAGCTGAAAACTCTTCATTCCACAACTGGGGCCAACTCATCAGTTTTCTTTAAAATATAAGCTCCATGC
This sequence comes from Homo sapiens, assembly GCF_000001405.40. NCBI lineage: Eukaryota > Metazoa > Chordata > Mammalia > Primates > Hominidae > Homo > Homo sapiens. The sequence goes on along the minus strand of NC_000003.12, from coordinate 486,020 downwards.
TAGAGGCCCTTATCCTTAGCAAACTCACACAGGAACAGAAAACCAAATACCACATGTTCTCACTTATAAGTGGGAGCTAAATGATGAGAACACATGGACACATAAAGGGGAACAACACACACTGAGGCCTATCAGAGGCTGGAAGGTGAGAGGAGGGAGAGGATGAGGCAAAATAACTAATAGGTACTAGGGCTTAATACCTGGTTGGCAAAATAATTGGTACAACAAAACCCCATGACATATGTTTACCTGTATAACAAACCTGTACATGTACTCCTGAACTTAAAATAAAAGTTAAATTAAAAAATTATAATATGAGCTGCATAATAATAATAATAAATGGTTTTCCCCAAACTCTTGTTCATCGAATCCCAGATGTATGATATTTAGGGCCTTAAACAAAGATTTTTTTAAAAACTGCATACATTAAAAAAAAAAAAATTTCTCAACAACACAAAGAACATGGAAGTGCTCCAGTAATTATTTTGGAGACAAAATTATTCTTCAGGTTCCTGCAGTTCATAGATAAGAACATTTTTAGAAGTTTTATGCAAAGTTCAAGATGACAAAAAATGCAAATTTCAGATGGGTATGTTCACTGTGAAGGTTGGAAGACAAGATTAGAAAGATCTTCTTAAATTAGCCTTTTTTTCCCCCTAGCAGGTTACATGCAAGTTGAAAGTGTTGAATATAATGCATTCCTAGATAAAATTTAAGACTTCTAAGGTTACAGAAAATAGATTCTATAAACTAAACCCCAAATGTGTATTATTTCTCCTAAGATACAATTGAACCAAACCATATCTGATGACAAAAATCCAATTATAGCAGTAAAGGTTGCTCTCAGTTATTCCTTTCTTCAAGTGAAAGCAAATGGTAAAATGAAGTGAGCAGGAACCAACTGCCTTCATAAATACATGGGCTTACATTTGCTATCAATTTTTTGTTAGTGAAAGAATGAAAAGGGTAAAAGTATCTGGTGCATTGCAAATGCCATTGATATAGATTTTTGTATTGTTTTAACGGGCCAGAGAAAGAAAATAACTTTTTTCATGATAACAAGATGTTCTCTAAGGAAGACAGCATGGTGTAATGGTTACGCGTCAAAGCTCTTGAGTAAAAGGGTCAGTGGTGACAATCCTCACACTGGTGAGTTCTATGACTTATAGCAAATTACGTAACCTTTCTGAGCCTCAGCTTCCTTTTTGGTAAAATAGGGATAATAACAGTGTTACTGTCTAAAAATGAATTAGGATTTAATGAAATACTGCATATAACCATCAGAAATAGCACTCAATAAATATTAGCTATTAAAATCAGCTCAGCCTTTACCAAATATGTATTCTTGGAAGGCTAAGTTTCATTTTGCCTGAACCAGTATTGCTTTTGGACTGGCTCATTTAAGGCCTGGAAAATTACAAAGATGCCATGAACACAATTACAGCAACGCATTCCCAGTTTCTACTTTAGAGAACATGAGGGGTGATGACAGAAAAGAATTCTTTGCTGTTTCAAGAATCCACTTATGGAGAAAATGAAACCGTGGTAAGCCCCTGAGTCTGAACTATGCTGGTAAATTCTGTTTTCTCTGTAACTTTTCTGTTTGATCTTTCTAATGAACCTAGTTTGTCTAATCAGCAGAATAGTCATAGTTCCAAAGCAGTTCTTTTGTTGTTGAAAATAGGCCCCAATCAGAGGTGAGAACAATGAAACATTTATCTTATTAAGATCACAAAAGAGGAGACTTTTATGTTACATGCTCTCTCTCTCTCTTTCTCTATTCTTTAGTTCAATAACTGATTTATTCAGCATCCCATTGCTGTCAGAAGTGATGTCCCTGCTCCCAAGCTACCAGCTCCCTGCTTTGGCTCCTGGATATGGTTAGTGACCACCCGATAGTGAGCAGAGCCTATTCACTGGCTGCCTGCCGATCACCATCTCAGACCCAGGGTCTTCTTAACCTGCCAGTCGCAGGTGGAGAGAGCATCCTGCAGGCTGAACAAAGCTGGCTCTTAAGGTCTCTTCTGCCACTTACCACGCTCTTCAGTGTGGTCTCGGCAAAGCTGTCCCACCTCTCTAAGTCTCGATGTTTCTTCTGTAGCATGGCAATAACTCTGACACTTGCCGAGTTTTTTTGTGACAATTAAAGGAGATAATTATGGAAAAGCCTCTGGCATAAGGTAGGGGGTTCAGTGAATGTTTGTTCATCATGAAACTGTGGTCCCAAAGCCTCAGCATTTAAAACAAGACATTTTTTTTCTCAAGCAAAGCTTTCCTGCTTGTTGTCATACATTACCCGGGTCAGATGATTTCTCTGAGTTCCATACTCTCCCAGGGTAAGGACAAGAGCTCAGAGGTCGCCTTTGGCCTCCCCCAAGCCCTGCCCCGCGCCCCCCCCCGCCCCCACTACCCCGCTGCCCGCGAGGAGTCTCGCTCCGTCGCCCGCGCTGGAGTGCGGCGGCCTCTGCTCACTGCGACCTCCGCCTCCGGGGTCACGCAGTTCCCGCGCCTCAGCCTCGCCGCTCCGTCGCCCGGGCTGGAGTGCGGCGGCCTCTGCTCACTGCGACCTCCGCCTCCGGGGTCACGCAGTTCCCGCGCCTCAGCCTCGCCGCTCCGTCGCCCGGGCTGGAGTGCGGCGGCCTCTGCTCACTGCGACCTCCGCCTCCGGGGTCAAGCAGTTCCCGCGCCTCAGCCTCGCCGCTCCGTCGCCCGGGCTGGAGTGCGGCGGCCTCTGCTCACTGCGACCTCCGCCTCCGGGGTCACGCAGTTCCCGCGCCTCAGCCTCGCCGCTCCGTCGCCCGGGCTGGAGTGCGGCGACCTCTGCTCACTGCGACCTCCGCCTCCGGGGTCAAGCAGTTCCCGCGCCTCAGCCTCGCCGCTCCGTCGCCCGGGCTGGAGTGCGGCGGCCTCTGCTCACTGCGACCTCCGCCTCCGGGGTCACGCAGTTCCCGCGCCTCAGCCTCGCCGCTCCGTCGCCCGGGCTGGAGTGCGGCGGCCTCTGCTCACTGCGACTTCCGCCTCCGGGGTCACGCAGTTCCCGCGCCTCAGCCTCGCCGCTCCGTCGCCCGGGCTGGAGTGCGGCGGCCTCTGCTCACTGCGACTTCCGCCTCCGGGGTCACGCAGTTCCCGCGCCTCAGCCTCGCCGCTCCGTCGCCCGGGCTGGAGTGCGGCGGCCTCTGCTCACTGCGACCTCCGCCTCCGGGGTCACGCAGTTCCCGCGCCTCAGCCTCGCCGCTGGCTGGGACCACAGACGCCCGCCATCGCGCCCGGCTGGTCCTTTGCATTTTAGTAGCGACGGGGTTTGGCCGTGTTGCCCAGGCTGGCTGCGAACTCCCGAGCTCAGGGAAGCCACCCGCCTCGGCCTCCCAGAGTGCTGGGGTTGCGGGTGTGAGCCACCGCGCCCGGCTTGGCCATTGACTTTTTAAAGGTAGTTTTCAGGTGACTCTCACAGTGCCAAGGTACCACTGGGGACCTGTGGTTTCTGGATTCATCTGGGAAGACGAGAAACATTGAGGGAAAGCAAGAATAGGGGCTTGGACCGCAAAATAGGCAGTATAATTGGAAAACACTTACTCTTAGAGAAGAAAAGAAGTGTTCTAAGAGTGAGATCAGTGCTTCACAGTGGAAATACAATGCAAGCAACATCTGTCATTTTAAATTTTCTAGTAGAAAAGTTAAAAAAGTGAAAAGAAACAGCTAAAATTTATTTAAATCGTATATTTAACCCAACGTATCCAAAACATGATTTCAACTTTTCACCAATTAAAAAAACAAAAACAACAAAAACCTAGTGAGACGTTTTGCATTCTTTTTTTGGCACTAAGTCTTTAAAAGCCAGTGTGTATTGCATGCCTAACAGCACATCTCAATTCAAACTAGTCACATTTCAAGTGCTCAGTAACCCCTCATGGCAAGTGGTTGCTGTACTGAACGGCAAAAATATAGAGAATACAGGGTGCAGTTGTGTTGAAAATTATTATTTTAAATCCATAAACCATTTACCAAGGCCAATGTACACATCATTTTCCAAAGTTTGCTTCCAGTTAGATAATGGCTTGAAGAGAAAAATTATCTAATAGCACTGATAAACTATTCAGTGAACAAGGCGTCTAGGTTTAAAGCCACTGATGTTTGATCAGTGCCCTCTGCTGGATTAGAGAGTAAAGAAAGGAAAGTTCTGTCACAGTCGACATTAGCATAGACTCAAGCATTGAACCAAATTTATTTTCTTTTCAGTTAAATAGCCACTTAGATGTATACAGTCAGTTATAAAGCCCTTGGCTGTATCACAAATGACATTGTCAAAAAAACTTGAGTCCTCTCTCACCGAGGTAAAATATTCTTTTATCTTGAGATAGTGAAGTAACTACAAATCAGAGAAAAACAAATGGACACACAATTATTCCTCATTCAGCAAACCCAGATGGGCATTTCTAATGTAAACATGAGATACTAGGAAATTTAAATATATACAGAACTTTTAGATCAAAAGATGGCTGGGCTTTTTATACACAGTTTTTTCTAGAAGCAGTCAAGACTGCAGGCTGCTGTTAATTTAATTTGAAATCTCAGAAGCCATATTTCAAATGACGTGTAAAAAACAATAGTTTCTCAGGTGGAATTTCCTGATACTGCATTTGGTGATGGGGAGGAGAGACTCTTCAAAGAAAGCTCCCCACAGCTGTAGGCACGATAAGAACAGCTAAGCGTGTACTTTGCCAAGTCTGGGGAAGTTTAGTAATGCTTTCTCAAGAAAGTTTATAATCCTTGGTTATGTGGCTTCAGATAGTGTGAGCAACATTTGGGAAAGCTGTAAATAGAGCAAGTAAAGGAATCTATAACCTTGATATATAGCAAGGTCATATGTGAACTTATTCCCTCTTAGGGACCTCTCCTTCCTGCTAACCCCTCAAATCCCTACCTTCAGCAGAAGCACACCTCTGGCTCTGTCCACTCAAGTTGACTTTCTCTCTGCCCCATGCTTCCCATTCTAAATCACAAAAAGTCCTCGAAGTGCTGGAAAAGACAGAACGTTCCTTAGATTTTGAAGAAGAGAAGGGAGATGAGGGGCTAATCAGTTCACAGCAAATAATCTTTGGTGGCTGCTAATATAGACTGGAAATTCATGTCCCTCACATCCATTTCCCTGAAACTTGTATCATTCAGGAAGTGAAAATGTACCACAAATTGACCTTGCAGTTATTCACAATAAAAATACTCCCTGTTAAACTGAAACTTCAGCCTGGGAAAGGGATTGTTGAGAATGAAAAGAATGGCAAATAGCTTTTCTCTACTCCCAGAAAGATCAAATAAAGATCTTACACCAAACACTTTTTTGAAAATGTAGAAGAATATTTAAAAGCAATTCTTCAGGAGTCAGACAGAGCTTAGTCTGAATCCTGGTTTCACCACTTACTAGCTATTTGATGGGGTCAAGTATTTAATTTTATAAGCCTTGGTTCCCTCATTTATAAAATGGACTGATAGTATGACTCACTTCATAGTGTTGTTACGAGGATTAAATGAACTAATGCTTGTAAAGTGCCTAATGCATAGCAAACACTTAAGAAAATAATTACTGAGGTAATAAAGGTTTTCAAATCTTTAAAAAAAGTGTACAAGTATAAATCATCAATTATTGATAAATGTGAATCCTGCAGGGTACTTAGTAGATTGCTCAGCAGAGTACAGAAAACATTAAACTAAATTCCACACCACTTTCTATTCCCACCACCACTGCCCTAGTTCAGATTCTCAGTTCCTTTCACTGCACTTTTAAAATGACCTCCATATTCTGTATTACTACATAATGTACCACACCACAACTTAGTGGCTTCAGACAATGATATTTTCTCTTATTTCTTCTAAAAAATAAAAAAAGGGATACATGTGCAGAACGTGCAGGTTTGTTACATAGGTATACATGTGCCATGGTGGTTTGCTCACCTAATGACCTGTCCTCTAAGTTCCTTCCTTTCACCCCCTATCCCCAACAGGCCCTGGTGTGTGCTGTTCCCCTCTCTGTGTCCATCTGGTCACAGATGTTCAACTCCCAGTTATGAGCAAGACCATGGGTGTTTGGTTTCTTGTTCCTGTGGCAGTTTGCTGATGATGATGGCTTCCAGCTTCATCCATGTCCCTGAAAAGGCCATGATCTCATTCCTTTTTATGGCTGCATAGTATTCCAAGGTGTATATGTACCACTTTTTCTTTATCCAGTCTATCATTAATTGGCATTTGGGTTCATTCCATGTCTTTGCTATTGTAAACAGTGCTGCAATAAACATATGTGTGCATGTGTCTTTATAGTAGAATGATTTATATTCCTTTGGGTATATACCCAGTAATGGGATTGCTGGGTCAAATGGTATTTCTGGTTCTAGATCCTTGAGGAGTCACCATACTGTCTTCCACAGTGGTTGAACTAATTTACACTCCCACCAGCAGTGTAAAAGCATTCCTATTTCTCCACAGCCTTGCCAGCAACTATTGTTTCCTGACTTTTTAATAATCGCCATTCTGACTGATATGAGATGGTATCTCATTGTGGTTTTGATTTGCATTTCTCTGATGATCAGTGATGTTGAGCTTTTTTTCAAATATTTGTTGGCCATGTAAATGTCTTCTTTTGAGAAGTGTCTGTTCATATCCATTGCCCACTTTTTGAATGGGGTTGTTTGTTTCTTGTAAATATGTTTAAACTCCTTGTAAATTATGGATATTAGACCTTGTCAGATGGGTAGAATGCAAAAGTTTCCTCCCATTCTTTAGGTTGCCTGTTCACTCTGATGATAGTTTCTTTTCCTGTGCAGAAGTTCTTTAGTTTAATTAGATTCCATTTGTCAATTTTGGCTTTTGTTGCAATTGCTTTTGGCGATTTTGTCATGAAGTCTTTGCCCATGCCTATGTCCTGAATGGTATTGCCTAGGTTTTCTTCTAGGGTTTTTATGGTTTTGGGTTTTACATTTAATTCTTTAACCCATCTTGAGTTAATTTTTGTATAAGGTGTAAGGAAGGGGTCCAGTTTCAGTTTTCTGCATATGGCTAGCCAGTTTTCCCAGCACCATTTAATAAATAGGAGATCCTTTCCCCATTGCTTGTTTTTGTTAAGTTGTAGATGATTGTAGATGTGTGGTGTTATTTTTGAGGTCTCCGTTCTGCTCCATTGGTCTATATGTCTGTTTTGGTACCAGTGCCATGCTGTTTTGGTTACTGTAGCCTTGTAGTATAGTTTGAAATCAGGTAGTGTGATGCCTCCAGCTTCATTCTTTTTGTTTAGGATTGTCTTGGCTATATGGGGTCTTCTTTGATTCCATATGAAATTTAAAGTAGATTTGTTCTAATTCTGTGAAGAATGTTAAAGGTAGTTTGATAGGAAGAGCATTGAATCTATAGATTATTTTGGGCTGTGTGGCCATTTTCACGATACTGATTCTTCCTATCCATGAGGATGGAATGTTTTTCCATTTGTTTGTGTCCTCTCTTATTTCCTTGAACAATGGTTTGTAGTTCTCCTTGAAGAGGTCCTTCACATCCCTTGTTAGCTGTATTCCTAGGTATTTTATTCTCTTTGTAGCATTTGTGAATGGGAATTCATTCATGATTTGGCTCTCTGCTTGCCTACTGTTGGTGTAAAGGAATGATTGCTATCTTTGCACATTTATTTTGTATACTGAGACTTCCTTGAAATTTATTATCAGTTCAATAAGTTTTTGGGCTGAGATGATGGAGTGTTCTAAATATAAAGTCACAGATAATGATTTATTGTTTCTCATGATCCTGTGGTTTGGCTGGGATATTCTACTACTGGTCTCACCTGGGTATATTCATATAGCAGGTACACTGGGAGCAGGCCTCACTGGAATGTTGGAAGACTTGGGCTTCTTTCTCTTTGTGGTATGGGTGTCTCTCTTTTCTTGTGGTGTCTCATCCTCGAGGAAACTAGCCTGGGCTTTATACATGGTAGCTGAGCTCCAAAGGGGCAATCCCTAGTACAACAAGCTTTTTTCAAGCCTCTGTGGGCATTGTCCTTGTTGATGACCTATTGACCAAAGTAAATCACATGGCTAAGCCCTGAGTCAACAGAAGAGGGGACTACATAGGGAGGCTTGTTTTAAAGAAACCATCAGCATAACAAGCAGCCACACTTTCTACATGTCCTCCACCAATCAGTTTTAGCATCTCAGTTGTCCTCAGCAGGGTTGATTTTGTCCTCCTCACACCCACCCCAGAGTTGGACAATGTTTGTAGGTGTTTTTTTTTTGTTGTTATTGGTTTTGTTTGTTTGTTTTTGTTTTTTCATTTTTTTACAGGATCGTGCTGTGTTGCACAGGCTGGCCAACTTCAAGAGCTCCTTCTGTCTCAGCTTCCTGAGTAGCTGGGACTATAGACATGTGCCACTTTTTGATTATCACAAGTGGGAAGGGGTTGCTACTTATCATCTAGTGGGTAGAGACGAGGGATGTTGCTAAACATCCTGCTGTAGGATGGATCCCTACAACAGAGGATTTCTCAGCCCAAAGTATCAATAGCATACCATTTGAGAGAGTCTGTTCTATATGTAAGGTTCTGAAATATTTCTAAGAATGAAACTGGATGATCGCTCAACTCAGAGAGTGATTTCCAGGGTCGGGGAAGATAGATAGGTAAAGAACAAAGGCAATGAAGTTATAGATACTCTAAAATATGAGGAAGGACCTCAGGGGCTGAGGCAAAATGAAGGAATAATCAGTTCTACTTGAGGAGAGAAGGCTCAAGTGTATAGAGAAGGATAATGGTAGGAAATGCAGACATAGAGAATAGCATAAGTCAAAGCAGGGAGGCTTGGAATAAATCGGCATATTCAAGAACTTACCATGCCTTTAACATGGCTGAAGGACATGCCATGGGCTGAGAATGAGAGAGAACATGGAGGTGGAAGCAATGGACAAATCACTAACAGTTTATTTGGCTGAGAGCAATGATTCTCACTCATAGCTGCACATCCAAAACACCTAAAAAACATTTAAGAGATACCAGTCCTGAGCCTCATGCCAGACCGTTTAACTCAGACTCTCTGGGCATTGGAGTTCTAACATCTATATAAGAGTTTAAAAGCTCTTCAGGTTCCACACTGAAAGGGAGGGATGGGACTATTATAGGTTGAGTTAACAGAATACAAGTATTAATTTGAAATTGATGGGATAAAATGCAATGGGTGGTGAGAGAAAGAGAGAAATTTAGGAGGGCCTCTGATTTCCTGGCTTGCCTATTAGATGGGATGGTAAGGTCAATTACTAATTTCAGTTCACGGTATGAGTTGGAGGGTTGTCAGTCAGATCTGAATCCACAGAGTTGAGCTTCTTCTGTTCCTTGGATATGTGGACTTTGAGATTCCTCTGCTCCAAGCTGCTGTGAATGTGTACCATCAGACTATTTCTCAAGAGAGGGATCCAGCTCACTTGTACAGATGCGTGAATCATGGGAATGGATGAGATTGGCCAAGGAATTGTAGAAAGTGACAAGAAGAGGCCAGGGCCTGGCTCTTGGGCCATGGTGGTATGTAAAGAATAGGCAGGAGAGGAAAGGTCAGCAAAGACCACTGTTAAGGAAGGTTCAGAGAGATCCCTGCCTTCCCCATTCCAAGTCATTTCACGTGCTACTGCCAGAATGACAATTTTCAATAATAAAAATCTGAGTTTCTCATTCTGTTGTTTAAATTCTTCAGTGACTCCTTGCTGTTCATTGGCTGAAAGTCAAACTAGGGCATGTTATTATTACTTTGTTTATTTGTTTCATCCTTCACCATGTCCCAACATTCACCCTACCCTCTACCATTACCAAACCACTTTAAACTCTCTGACCCTAATATGTTGTTTCATGCCTCTGGCCTCAGCACAATTTTTTATTTTTTAAATCTCATCTCACCTTCTTTCTTTCTTCCTCATTCTCTTGCTAAGCTCCCATGAGCCATTCAAAACTCATTTCAAATATCTCCTCCACTCTGCTCCAATAGAAAGCTTTTTAAGCAATTTGCAGAGATCTTTGTGCAAAATGGCATTTCTCAGGAAAAGGCAGTAGAATATAGTAGTTAAAAGCAGAGACTCTAGAGCCAGATCTGCTTGGGTTCAACACAGGCTCGCCTACTACACAGCGAGCTCCTCTTGAGAAAAGAACCTGCCATCTTGTTTCTACTATCACCAGTAGGTTAATATTTTCTTGCTTAAATTAAAAAAGAGTTTTTCATAATGAAAAATATTCCTTTTTTCTATTAACTATTGAATTATTTTCCTATTTTAATAATCTTTTTACAACAATTTTAAGCTGAATATTTTATAGAAATATTTATAAGCACAGGCCGGGCAAGGTGGCTCACGCCTGTAATCCCAGCACTTTGGGAGGCCGAGGCGGGCAGATCACGAGGTCAGGAGATCGAGACCATCCTGGCTAACATGGTGAAACCCCGTCTCTACTAAAAATACAAAAAAAAAAAAAAAATTAGCGGGGAGAGGTGGCGGTCGCCTGCAGACCCAGCTACTCGGGAGGCTAAGGCAGGACACTGGCGTGAACCCAGGGGGCGGAGCTTGCAGTGAGCCGAGATCACACCACTGCACTCCAGCCTGGGCGACAGAGCAAGACTCTGTCTCAAAAAAAAAAAAAAAAAAGAAATATTTATAAGCACAGATATAAATACTTCACTCAAATTATTTTTAACTTTATAATGAGCATTCAATTAACATAGGGCTTTTAACTAATTTTATTTTACTTGTTAACAAAAATAATGACTTTTCTTCTAAATATTGGGAAACAAATGGATAATTTGTTAAGGAAAATTATTTCCCTGCCTTTGGATCTATTAACTCACAGAAAGTCCTGTATCTGGTACAATGGATGACCTCTTCTTCAATGTAATCAGGACAACAGTAGGTCAGTTAATAAAAATGCAGATTAAAATGGGATTCAAAGAGCACATCTGCTGGGAACAAAAGTATTTGTGAGTACCCTAGTGGATGCATGAGTCAGCATGTTTTTATCAGAAAAAAAGGTGTGGGTTACTCTGTCAAGTTAATTAAGGGTAGAGGCTAAGGCAGTCTCTGTCTCTGCGGTTAATTACACTTTTATATCTTGTTTTTAAGAGATATTGGAATTTGGATTCAGAGTGGCCTGGGTTAAAATCCTGGTTCTGCCACATCTTGACTATATCCATTAATTCATGCATTTATTCATACAACAAACTATCTATTGAACGCCTACTATCAGGCAGCCCATTTTCTTTGGATACCTTCCCCTCTTACATAATTAACCACTAGAAGTTAATGACATACCTATAATCAAATTTTTCTTATGCTATTTACTAGTATGTGACATTGGGTAAGTCATTTAACCTCTTGGTCCCTGTTTCCCGGCCTATAAAATGGGGATATAATGTTATCTACCACATAAGATTGTGGTTAAAATGAAATAATGTAATAGGTGGAAATTCATCAGGGGTTCAGCAAACTTTTTTTGTAAAGGGTCAGATAATAATTCTTGCCAGTTTTGTAGGTCATATGGTCTCTGTGGCAACTATTTAACTGTGCTGTTATATCACAAAAGTAGCCATAGATTGTATAGAAATGAATGGCATGATTGTCTTCCAATAAAACTTTATTTATAACAAGGAGCAGCAGCCAGCCCACAGGCTGCAGTTTGCCAACACTAAAGAAAAAGCCTCAGATTATACAAAATTTTGTCTATCCTTGTTATCATCACTATTTATCATCATTTGACATCTGCGGAGGAAGCGTTTTCTAATCAGTGCATCTTCACCGTTTGGTCACATTGGTATTTGCTCCTCCAATTATTTGGGGGCACTGCATACCTGAGAGCACTTTTAATTAAATTGTCTGCTTAGGGTTTTGGACCACCTGAGTAGTGTGAATTAAAGTCAAAAATTCATGTTAGTAAGAGCTTAAGGTCCAAATTTTTAAGGGAGTTATTTTTTTCTTTCTTCTATCGTGTGCCAATATATAAACATGAATGTTTCTTACTGCCTTTCTGCATGGTGGTTTCATTACTCATTTTTCTTGACATTGAGAATTTAATTCTTTTGTGTCCCACTTTTCTGGAGGTTTCCTATTAGATTGCCATCTTGTGGCATGGTTTTCTTTTCTTACAGTCCTTAAAATAATAGTGTGTGTTATTGTTAATGGGTTCCTAAATTTGATGAAATACCTAATTATTAAGGGATCATGAAATATTAGTTACTTCTATTTATTGAGAAATAAAAATAAAATCCTAAGCCCGTTGACTGACTGAATGGGCCCCTTCTGAGCCAAAGGGACCAAAGGGAAAACTGAGCTCCCAGCCATGATGGGATAAGAGGTCAGATGTGCCTCAGTCCTCCCCTCCCTTATTAACCTTTAACCAGAATTTTTTCCTGAGGAGTAAGCAGAAACAAGTTCTGGAAAACAAGAAACAGCTGATTCATTCCATTATTTCCCTTAATCAGTCATCTGAGGCCACGACTGGACTCCCCCTCCAGCTTTGCAGTTTTGACATGACAGCTCACTAGTTTTACAATGCACCCCTTTCTAAAAAAATGACCACCACCTCTGGACTGCTTTTGACCAACTCATGGAGGATGTGCAGTAAAGGTTTTCGTGTCCTCTGCTTCACCATTTGACATCAGAGGGCCAAAACATCCACCCTCATCATGCCAGCACAGCCATGCTTTTTTCTATGCAATTCATGAAGAGGCATGAAGCTCAATTGCTCATGGGCATGGTTTCTCCTTTCATAAATATTCATGACTCCTCCTTTAGTTTATAGAATATGGATACTTAGTCAACTGCTCAGCATAAACTTCTGTTCCTTTTGCCCCTGCCTCAAAGTGTTTGAACTTGGCTTCTTCCAGAGGCGATACTTTCCAGCCTGTGTAGTGGCCAGCCCAGAGGCTGCAACCCTTTATGAGAAATAAAGTTCTCCATTCCACGTTTATGAACTTCATGATTCTTCCACTGGCATATAATAATTTCTGCAGTTGGCACTGTGGGTTGCCCTACCAGATCACCTTTATTCAGTAACCCCTCTATCTATCCTCCCACTGCTCCAAGTGACTTCTCAGGGACACTGGAAATGTTACTCCTCACCCTCTTCCCTAGATGTTGCCTATAGCCAGTGACTGACAGATTGGATTGATGAGGATTACAAGCTGAATTGTGTTCACCCAAAATTCATACACTGAAGCCCTAACCCCAAGTACCTCAGAATGTGACTATGTTTGGAGATAGCACATTTAAACAGGTGATTACATTAAGATGAGGTTGTTAGCAGGGCCCAAATCCAGCCTGTCTTGTGTCCTTCTAAGAAGAGGAAATTTGCACACAAAAAGAGCCATAAAGGGCATGCAGACAGAGGAAAGACCAAATGAAGGGGCAGCAAGCAGGTGGCCACCTGCAAGCCAAGGAGAGAGGTCTGATAATGGTTCTTTTCCTTATGGCCCTCAGAAAAAAAAAACTCCACTAGCATCTTGATCTTGGATGTCCAGCCTCCAGAAGTATGAGACAATAAATTTTTGTTACTGAAGCCACCCAGTCTAGTATTTTGCTAAGACAGCCTGTATTAGTCTGTTCTTCCACTGCTGTAAAGAAATACCTGGCTGGGCTCAGTGGCTCACGCCTGTAATCCCAACACTTTGGGAGGCCAAGATGAGTGGATCACGAGGTCAGCAGTTAGAGACCAGCCTGGCCAACATAGTGAAACCCCGTCTCTACTAAAAATACAAAAAAAATTAGCTGGGTGTGGTGGCAGGCTCCTGTACTCAGGAGCTACTCAGGAGGCTGAAGCAGAAGAATCTCTTGAACTCGGGAGGCAAAGGTTGCAGTGAGCCGAGATCACGCCATTGCACTCCACTCCATCCCAGGCGACAGTGTGAGATGCTGTCTCAAAGAAAAAAAAAGAAAGAAAGAAATACCTAAGACTGGGTAATTTATAAAGAAAAAGGTTTAACTGGCTCACAATTCTGCAGAATATATAGGAAGCATAGCAGCATCAGCTTCTGAGGAGACCTCAGGAAACTTACCATCATGGGAGAAGACAAAGGGGAAGCAGGCACCTCTTACATGGCTGGAGCAGGAGCAAGAAGGAGGGAGGTGGTACTACACACTTTTAAACAACCAGATCTCGTGAGAACTCTATCACGAGAACAGCACTAGCGGCTGGTGCTAAATCATTAATGAGAAAGAGCTCCCATAAGCCAATCACCTTTTACCACACCCCACATCCGGGATGGAGGATTACATTTCAACATGAGATTTTGGCAGGGAGACAGACCAAACCTATATCATTCTACCCCGGTCCCTTCCAAATCTCATCCTTCTCACATTTCAAAACGCAATCATGCCTTTCCAACAGTCCCCCAAAGTCTTAACTCATTCCAGCATTAACTCAAAAGTCCACAGTCCAAAGTTTTATTCGAGACAAGGCTAGTCCCTTCTGCCTATGAACTTGTAAAATCAAAAACAAGTTAGGTACTTCAAGATACAATGGGGGTACAACTATTGGGTAGTTACTCCTATTTCAAAATGGAGAAATTAACCAAAAGAAAGGCTACAGGCCCTGTGCAAACCTCAAACGCAGCAGGGCAGCCATTAAATCTTAAAGCTCCCAAATATTAACCTCTGATTCTATATCTCACATCCACGGCACACTGGTACAAGGAGTGGGATAACAATGCCTTGGGCAGCTCCACCCTTGTGGCTTTGTAGGTTACAAACCCCTTTGGCTGCTTTCACAAGCTGGCACTGAATGCCTGTGGCTTTTCCAGGTGCACAGTGCAAGCTGTTGTTGAATCTACAATTCTAGGGCCTGGAGGATGGTGGTCCTCTTCTCACAGCTCAACTAGACAGTGCTCCAGTGGGGACTCTGTGTGTGGGCTCCAACCCTACACTTCTGCTTTGCACTGCCCTATTAAAGGTTCTCCATGAAGGCTCCACCCCAGCAACAGGCTTCCACCTGGACATTCAGGCTTTTCCATATGTTCTCTGAAATCTAGGCAGAGGCTCCTGAGCCTGAACTCTTGCACTCTGTGCACCCATGAGCTTAACACCATAGGAAGCTGCCAAGGCTTATGGCTTATACCCACTGAAGCTATAATTGGGCCCCCTTGAACCATGGCTGGAGCTGGAGCAGCTGGGAGGTAGGAGGCAGTGTCCCAAGGCTGCGCAGGGTGGCAGGGCCCTGGGCCTCACCCAGAAAACCATTTTTCCCTCCTAGACCTCTGGGCCTGTGATTGGAAGGGCTGCTGCAAAGGTGTCTGAAATGCCTTTGGAGTCTTTTCCCCATGTCTTGGATATTAGCACTTGGCTCCTTTTTACTTATGCAAATTTCTGCAGCCTGCTTGAATTTCTCTCCTGAAAAGGGGCTTTTCTCTTCAATCACATGACCAGGCTGGACAATGCAGCCAACCTCTTTGCTAATGCATAACAAAAGTGACCTTTACTTCAGTTCCCAATAAGTAACTCATTTCCATCTGACACTTCATCAACTTGGACTTCATTGTCCATATTACTATCAGCATTTTGGTCACGATCATTCAACAAGCCTCTAGGAAGTTCCAACATTTTCCTTACCATTCTCTCTTCTTCTGAACCCTCCACACTCTTCCAACTTCTGCTGCTTTCTCAATTCCAAAGCTGCTTCCACATTTTCAGGTATCCTTATAGCAGTGCCCTGCTTCTTGGTACCAATATTCCGTATCAGTTTATTCTCACATTTTTCTAAAGAAACACCTGAAATTGGGTAATTTATAAAGAAAAGAGGTTTAATTGGCTCACAGTTCTGCAGGCTGTACAGGAAGCTTGGCAGCATCAGTCTCTGTGGAGGCCTCAGGAAACTTACAATCACCGCAGAAGATGAAGGAGAAGCAAGCATGTCTTACATGACCAGAAATGTAACAAGGGGTCGGGGGAGGTGCTTCACATTTTAAAATAAGTAGATCTCATGACAACTCTATCATGAGAACAGCACTTGCAGAATGGTGCTAAACCATTAATAGGAAATGGCCCCCTTGATCCAATTACCTCCCACCAGGACCCAACCCCAGCATTGGGGATTACATATCAACATGAGATTTGGGCAGAACACAGATCCAAACCATATCACAACCCCATCAAACTAATACCTTGGGGGTATAAATATTGACCCCCTTGCCTCAAAGTGGACCAACTCTTGCTTGTCTTTCCTCAGTCCTTATCTCTTCAGCACACTCCCTGATACATCAAGTACATTCAAATCCGTATCTCAGTTTCTGCATCTAGAAAACCAGACTGAAAATAATGTCTAAACTTCCAAAACGTTTATTGTTTCAGAGGCCTATCAGTTTGAAAGGTAAATGCTGAGAATGTAAATCAGATTGGATTGTAATGGCTACTATTGTCAACATAAAACTGAAAGTGCCCAGGAAATGAATAATTTATTTCTGAATAACAGCATCCTATAACATCTGTGCTGATATTCTCAGCACACCAGCACCTTGCAGGGGTGCTAAAATATCACACGTGTATATACCACCGGGATAGAAGACACATTCAAACCTAGTATTGGAGTTGACAATATGACTCAGGAAAAACCTGGCATTCTTAAGCACATGTGGGGAGCAGATTTTTAATTACGCACATCAATCTAATTACAAAAAAGCAGGGAAAAATATTAATATCCTAGGCATATGTAGGAATTTCAATTATCTTTTGCAATATGTTGTGATTTTGCATGTTGCAAAACATTGTTATTTTTATTCGTTAGATCGTGATGCATCTTGAGAAGCTTTAATTTCTGTGGACTTTTGAAAAGTTTTTCCTTTGTTAGAATGCCTTCACATAAATAGCTACATAGGGCACGTGTGTGTGTGTCTGTGTGTATGTGTGTGAAAGAGGGAGAGAGATGGAAAGGAGGAAAAGGAGAAGGGGGACGGGGAAGAGAATTCAGTAGATAAGTATATACATACACCCACACCAATTCACCCATACACACACACACACACACACACACACACATACACACATACACAAACATGTTTGTGAAAAATTTCGGGCTGGCCCAGGTGGCTCACACCTATAATCTCAGCACTTGGGAAGCTGAAGCAAGAAGATCACTTGAGGCCAGGAGTTCAAGTCCACCCTGGGCAACATAGTGAGACCCTGTCTCTAAAAAGATTAGATATTCATTTATGTATCTTTGTATGTATGAGCTGCCATGATCTGCAGTAAAATGGTGTGGAATTAGAAGAGAGCAGGGCATGACTTCTTAGGGTCACTTAACCAGGAAATTAATTCTAGTTCAATCTCCATGGTGTGATTGAAATAGAAACTTGAAGCAATGATCAACTAAGTCAATGAATTTGCAAATAATTGCCCCAGTTCTCTACCTCCTCTGAGACTTAACTGATGTGTACCTAAGGCAAGTGAACCATTGCAACCCTGTAATGTAAATTTCAGAGAAACAGAAAGACCTATGACCCTACATGAATATTATACTCTCCTTCCTTTTTCTTTCTTATTCTCCTGGACTAGTCTATATCTATTTTTTATTCCCCTTTGAAGTTGGTCTCCGTAATAATAAAAACCCACATGCAAAACGATTGCAAAGAAATAAAGCAGTCCTTTTTCCACAAGAATTCGATTGTTTCTTTCCTATACTGCCCCCTCCTGCCTGCCACACGCAAGCACACACTCACTCATTGCTTACCACTTAGCTCTGAACTGAAAAATATGTTTGAAAATGCTTCAGGGGATGAATTCCTCATTCTCCATGATGTGATTATTACACATTGCATGCTTGCATTAAAACATCTCATGTACCCCGTAAGTATATAAAACTTCTATGTATCCAGAAGACTTTTTTAAATATTAAAAAATAAGCTTGATATAAATCTGATCCTTAAAACAATGGCTCCTAAGCTTGGCTCCTTGTTAGAATCAATTGGCGAAATTTTTGAAAGTTTGCATTCCCAAACCTCAGCCCTTGAAGCTCTAATTCCAAAAGTATGCGAAAATTTTCCTAAAGTATAACAGGTAAATAATAGAAAACTTTTATCAGGGATGTGGCTTAGCTCTCTGTCCCCACCCAAATTTTGTGTTGAATTGTAATTCCCAATGTTGGGGGAGAGACTTGAGAGGTGATTGGATAATGGGGGCAGATTTTTCCCTTGCTATTCTCATGGTAGTGAGTGAGTTCTCAAGTGATGTGGTTGTTTAAAAGTGTGTAACACTTCCCCCTTCACTCTCTTCCTCCTGTTCCAGCCATGTAAAACACTCCTGTTTCCCCTTTGCCTTCTGCCATGATTGTAATTTTCCTGAGGCCTCCCCAGCCATGCTTCCTGTACAGCATGTGGAACTGTGAGCCAATTAAACGTCTTTTCTCCATAAATTACCCAGTCTCAGGTATGTCTTTATTGCAGTGAAGAATGGACTAATACCATCAGTCTTGTTCTACTTCACATAGACCAGGGATGCAAAATATCTTGCATATATGTATAACCTACAACTTCCCTTTGGCAAACTCATGACAGACATCATTAATTGATCATGATAATCTTCCCCAATGACTTCACATAGTCTCACAATCCTCATTACAGCATTATTAGTGTCTACTAGAAACTGAAGTTGGCCTTAAATAAATAAATGCATGAATAAGTAAATAAATAAATAAATAAAACCTATTTGCATTTAGACTGGGTTAATTCAACTGCTTTAAGGATAGTCAAAATTTATGAAGTGGTAACATACCATACCATAGCTATTCCATCAGTGATTAGTAGATTTATTTTTTTCTTACTATTATATGATACTTTAAATATGAAGAACTCCTTTTTTCCTTTAAAGAGGCCCATTTTATGTGTTGTCCAGGAGATACTGCATAGATTTTACCTCTGATAGACAAATGTCTCATTAAATTTCATATAAACTTTAATCTTCATTAGAAGAAGCAAAGGGAGAATTATTAAAACACGCAAACTTCCCTCCCTATTTTTTCCTCATTCTCAGAACACATTAAACCATTGATGTTAAGAAGATTGTAATTTACAAAGCTTGAGTGAAAAAGATTTCACTTTTACAAACTTAGTTTGGGAAAGTTACACTCTCAAGAATAGAATAAAATTTTGATTAAGAGCTTATTCACACAGACCATATAGAATGTGGAGTGAGGGCAAATGTGATGATGGAAATACAGAGCCAGCAAGGTTATTGCATGACAAATTACATTTTTGAAAATTGGGTGGTAGAATATTAATAATCAGAGGGAGGTCTGATATTAAAATCTAATTGAAATTGAATTCAGACAGAAAACTTCAGCTCTTACGCTTCTAACATGAGCTCCTAAAGGCAACATAGTTTTAAGAGGCCAGATATCTTTATGATGGTTTTTCTTTGATATTTCCCTTCACAGATAATTGAATCAAAATACTTTTGTCACAAAGTAAGCATCTGGACGATGGATCCAGGGAAAGCCATTATAAGAATGAAATAGGTGAGCATATGAAGAATATATTGCATATTTGTTTAGGATTTTTGAGGTTTAGCATGGGTCTTAGTGTTTATTTATGGCCTAATAGAGTTAGATAAGATTTCTCCAGTGGGGGGAAAAAAAGAAGGCTTCAGTCCCTGCATTTCAGTATGGGAGCTGTTATTGGGCAGGAAATGGAAAAAAATGAAAATAGATTTGAGGTTACGTTAAAACATGTGAGCTTGTTAAAATTGTGTGATTGCCTGTTTTTTTTTTTAGCCAGACTTGGCCTTGGCCATAGCTTAATTTCCATAGGTTGGAAGATGCCACATGGCTAATAAAATATCCAAAGCTTGTGCAAACCAGATTTATTTTGTCTTAGTTTACATTACCCTGTAGCCAAGGAGCCATTGATATATTGAGGATATATTGATAACTGCAAATTTGGGGATTTTGGCCTGAGCTTATATCTGGGCATTTGCCTTAGCTTCAATTTCAGTTGGCCTTTATAAATGTTGCCTGAAATAAGGATTGTATAAGAAGTAAATTGGTTGCTACTAATACCTTGCATTTATTCTTCTTATGCATAAATTTATATTTCGAAAATAAAATAATCACATCCACTAATTATTTTTTCACAAAGTACATTTGTTATTATTTGCTACTTTTTGATAAAATACCCAAACCCAGCCTTCAGGCAGCACTTATATAACATGCCCAGTATCTATTTAAAAATTTTAAAAAATCAGCCAAGTTGTCATTTTTTCCTGTCAACCGGTTTTAACCGATAATTTTCATAATTACAGAACTCAGTCTTTCTGTTGTTGGCGGAGTATGCAAATAATAGGATCTCCCACTTGGTCTCCCTAAATGCACTCCTATGGAACTGACATGCTTAAATATTTGGGGAGAGGGTTATCCCCTTAAAACTCAAATCCAAATGTTATATTAGCTAGAAAGAAAACAGTAATATAGAATGTCTTCCTCAAAATTAGATAAGCTCTTTATCTGAGACATGGGCTCTGCTCTTTGAACACAGGGTGAAATGAGTCTCTGACCTGCCTAATGATAAAATCTCTTCCTTTGATTTTTAACATCAAGCTAGCTTTAAAAGAGGCTTTTATATTTAATATGTTATGGAAATTTATTCATGTAGAAACATGTTTGGTATTAGTGTGGTGCCAGCTTACTTCTAGAAGTGATGAATTGAAGTTAAAATTGAATATACTAAAGAAGGTAATAACATAGTAATTAAAAGATTGGGGGTTCCAAGGTCGGTTCTAGCATTTATTTGTGGAGGAAATTGAAGTCTAGAAACCTCACATTCAACGTCTGCAAGCTGATGATAACAACCATATCTATCTCCAGGAATAATTATTAAAATATTTAACAACTGATTGGGCATGAGCATAGAAAAATCAGGAAAAACACTCATTTGACCAAAATAAATGCCAGCCAACAGTTGTACCACTGAGGATCACCTGAGTATCAGCCATTTTATCTCCTCAGGATGTTGGCACATATAATGAGACCATAGTCTTAACTATATTTGCTACCCTCTAAGATGACTCCCAATCATTTGTACGTTGTACAATGTTGTTCTGTGGGACCAATAAAATACAGCAGATAAAGGCCCGGCGCGTTGGCTCACGCCTATAATCCCAGCACTTTGGGAGGCTGAGGCAGGTGGATCACAAGGTCAGAAGTTCGAGACCAGCCTGGCCAATATGGTGAAACCCCATCTCTAGTAGAAATACAAAACAAACAAACAAAAAGCTGGGCATGGTTGTGCACGCCTGTAGTACCAGCTACTCAAGAGGCTGAGGCAGGAGAATCGCTTGAACCCAGGAGGCAGAGGTTGCCGTGAGCCAAGATTGTGCCACTGCACTCCAGCCTGGGTGACAGAGTGAGACTCCATCTCAAAAAAAGAAAAAGAAAAAAATTACCACAGAAAAAAATGATACTTCATTTCTGAGGTGAAGTTACAAAAGTCCCTTCAGCTTCCACTGTGACTGGTATTTTTCTTCTTCTCTTCAGCCACTCTTTCTGGGGGAAGCCATGTGATAAGCAGCTCTGTGGAGATGCCAGTGTGGTGAGGAACTGAAGCCTCCTTCCAGTAGCCCTGTGAATGAGCTTAAAGGAAGATTCCACAGCTGCGGAAAACTTCAAATGGCTGATGCCGGGCTGACAGCTTGATTGCCATCTCATGAGAGGTCCCAAAGCAGAACCACCCAGCAAAGTGACTCCTGGATTTCTGACCCTAAGAATTTATGTGAGATAACAAATATTTGTTCTTATTCGGCTGCTAAGTTTTGAGATCATTTGTTTTGCAGCAAAAGGTCACTAATTTACTACATAATTAGCATTATTATATAAAAGTGAAGTGAGAACAACAAAGCATTTTAGGGCAGAAAGGCATGTTGTCCTCTTAATGCTGAAATCTGAATGAAAGAGAGATCTTAAACAGGAACAATATTTTGACGAAAGTGATGTTGAAAAAGACCATGGTATTCAGTTGTATAGACTGTGCTGTTCACAAGGGTGCCCGACCCAGGATGTGAAAGAAGATGCAAATCAAACCCCCGCTCAGGTCTCCAAGCTGTGTGACCTGACTCAGAGTTGCATCTACCCAGAAGTAGAAATGCCTTTTTCTAACACACAAACATTTAATCCTCTTGCCAGGTTGTGTACCCATGGGGTTTTGTCAGCCTTGGAGAAGGCATTTTTTTTTAAATTAGTAAGCACATTTTTTTTAAAATTAGCACAAGACACCATATGGGCTAGCAGTGGTTTCAAAGTTGGTGGGGGCAGGAGGATTTAAATCTTTTTGAAGGAGGTAGTTCTAGCTTCAAATCCTGCCCACTTCATATGTTTTATGTGTATCTTCTGATACGTTTTATAACTTCAGTTTTCTCACTAGTAAAATGAGAAGTGAGAACAAAAATATCTGCATAATTGGATTATGGCAAGAACCATATGAGATAATTTTTGAAAAGCACCGAGCTCAGTTGGCTAGTACACCATAGATGATCAATACATGCAGCTTTTCCATCTCCTTTGCATCTGCTTGATTTAGGCAGAATAAAAAGGCTGTTTATGGAAGAAACTGCAAGCTTGCCAAATGAGTCAAAACTCATAATGTTTCCTATTATAGCAATCACTAGGAGCGGAACCTAAAGAAAAAGCACAGCAGAAACTCCTGAACTATTTACTGGTCAGCATCACGAAAATGGGACAAATTGATTATATAGGTAGGAAGATAGGTTAATAGATAGGTTGGTAGACAGATAGATAACAGATGATAAAAAATACATATAAAGTTTGTACTGAATATATATTAAAAATGTATCTATGAGGTACTAACCTACATTACTATATTCACCCTCAAAGCAGCTGTGTTGCTGTTGTACAGGTGTCTCAGTGCCTGCAGAACGAACCTCGTAATGTCCTTCTTGGAAATATTAGCACCAGCTGTTTAGGATCCCCCTGTCAGAAGTCTATATCCAGACCTTGGCAGGCTCCTCTGGTGAGCTGAGACACTAGGCCAGCTAAGCAGAGTCCTGGCTCAGAACTTTGTCTGTTCGTTCTATAGGCCTCCTCTTCCAAGCTTCAAGGTTCTGAAAATTCCAACCTATTCCCTCTGTTTCCCCAGCCCTAGGAGTGTCCGTTGCTTCTCACATTTGTCATCTGTCTATGATACCTTAGTTTCCCCTTTTGCCTTTTCGATTGCCAAGTTAACAACTTTACACGTAGTTTACAATTTTTCATAGGACATTCTCTGTTAATAAAACTGTGTGTGATTTCTGTCTTTTGCTTGGTCCCTGACTGATCTAATGACCTAAGGGGCAGCTCTAACATCACAAGGGACAATGTGGGGAAAGTACCAGATATTTCAAGCCAGAATATTTATAGTTGTGATAAAATTGTTTTTGTAAAATGGGAGTATTATGTAGATTGTTCTTCTTTATTATAATTTATTATGACTCTTTTTCAAGAGTCTGATTTAAAATAGTTAGACAAAGGCACGCACCATTACTTGAGGTTTAAATTTTTCGGTGACTTATTCCTGCATCTCTTCATTTATTTCTGCTGCAGTATCTTTACCAATTCTACCACTTTCAGTTTCACATAGGGAAAACCTCCTACAGGTCACAAGGAAAGTAGAAAAGAGGTATTATCTTTAACTTATATTCCTCTAGCCAAAATACTGAAATTTTCTCTTTTTATTTTCCAAGGGAATTCAGTTCCATCCTCTGAAAAGTACATAGCCCCATTCTATTTCACTTGTACTGACAAATAGAATATATACTAACTCCTGCCATCTTATTTCCTTCTGTAGGTTCAATAAGTACCTAAAGGGCTTCATCTGAGAAGAGATGTGCAGTAGAGAAAGGGAAGAAAAAAACTTATAGAAATATTTTTTTAAAAACTATTTTTGCATGAAGCCACTGTTTGAATAGATCATTCAAGTTTGAGGTTAATGATACCTTGACTGTCAATATGGATGAGTCAGATGATCTAGTGTTGATAATGTGTCGTTAACACATCTGAAGGTGCACTGAACATTGTATGTTCTTTGTACATATCTTGTAATTAACCAAGAAGAAAAAATGAATTTCCCTGGCAAGAAGCACAAACTTGTAAGAGTTTTGATTAGGAGTTAGTACAGTAGGCAGGAAACAACTTTTAAAACTGATATCATGATGCTCAAGGACATAAACAGTGGTATTTTAAAATATTCTTTTAACAGAAAGAGACTTTCTTCCAATGAAAACTTATGTGATATCAAAATATTTGTATTAAAGATAAAGATGGTGCTGTAGTAGATATTTAGGCTAGTTCCTGACACCTTGCTAAATGGCACCCTCCTCCTTTACCTTCCCTGCTATTATTTACTCTCAATTTTGTATTAAGCAGGGTCCCAGCAAAAAAATATGGCATACTCATATTTGGTAGTTTGAGTATAATTGAACACAGAGATTGTTTACAAAAGTAAACTACCCAAAGGTAGTACAGTACTCTGTGGCTAATAAGTAAGAAGCCATCAGATAAATTGCCTTATTTCTAATATTTCTCATCCCACATGCTCTTTTTAGTTTCACTTGGTATTCTGCCATTGAAAGGTGATGTCTCTATTTCATTCCTTTGAATCTATGAGCATTTGTGATTACAGTAGAAAATGATGCAGAATGATCCATGGTTGTATCATAAAAGTGATGCAGTGTATACGCCTGGTTTTCTTTCGGAAGATTGTTGTTGGAACCTAGACACTGTACTGTGAGGAAGTCCAAGAAGCTTTAGAGAAGCTCATGTGAAGAAGAACCTAAGCCCCTGGTCCTCAGTCCAAGTTGAACTCCAAGCCAACAGTCAGCACTAACTTGCCAGCATGTGAGGGAACCTTCCTGGAAATAGATCTTATATCCCCAAGTTAATCCACTCCAGCTGAAGCAGTGAAAAGCAAAAATAAACCTTCCTGACCAAGCAAAAATTGCCAGTTCTGTGGCAAATAAACAATTGTAGTTGTAAGTTACTAAGTTTTGGGATAGTTTGCTTTGCAGCAATAATAACTAAAATAAGAAGTTACTACCCCAGGCCTGAAGTAGAGAGGGGAGGGGTTGGCTACTAAAACTCAGCAGGAGAAAGAGTTGTGTGCTATTAACTCCCTTTCCCAAGAAAGGAAACTGGGTGAATAAATACCCTAATCTCACTCTACCTTCCTGATGGGCTCCTGTTGATTCTCTCATTGGCTGAACTCAATCGGGGGCCAGAGGGTAAGAAAGCCCACAGATACAACCCTAAAAAGTTAGCCTGACAAGGCACAGAGCGGAATTTTAAAAGGTAATTATAGATCTCGAGGGCAAAAAAGGAAGATATCCAATCCAAATTCCTTCCACTAATGCAAAAGACTCTGAAAAAGTTTAAAACCCAGCAACCTAGATAGAGCAAACCAAAGGAATAGATCCTCTGCTGGAATTCAACTGCTATTTAAAATTCTGCTATAGATTGTCCTACCTTTGTAAAGTTACATACATGGATATATGAATCTATAGACATACAGATGGATCCACATCTAGATATAAACATGAATATGGATTAATATGCCACAATGTCAAGTTGTTATTGGTTATTATTATTTTTAAAATTTTCTTTCTTTTAGTTTAACTATTTTGTTATGTACAACAAGCACATTATTTTTGTCATTTTCAAAGTTATTAAACAAGCAAAGAATAAGCCTCAGTAGAATCAATAGACTCTTTTAATCTATGACTTTCTTCTTGGCTTAAGACGCAAACCATCCTGGGAGAGTGAAAGTGGGTTAGAATTTAGGCAATCGATCCTTAAATGGGTAATGTAAATATATTTTAAAGACTTTGTTACAGGCAAGTGTTGAAGGGAGGACAAAAAAGGCTTTGTGGAAAACGGAAGAGGAAGTAAAGGTGAGTAGATACAATAAAATTACTGAGACAGGGACTAAAAGAGGTGAGATACTGAGTCTACAGAAGATCTTTAAATTTTCCAGCTTGACTGATAGCAGGACCACTGTTTAAAGAACAGCATCATTGAGTAACGGCAGGCGATCATGCGACCTGATATATGCAGAGTTTGTTTGCCCTCATCTAACTCAATACTTCTCTCAGCTGCTTGTCTGCCTGGTTCTCCAAGGTCCTTTGATGTTAAAAAAAAAAAAATCCAAAACCTCAAGATCTAACAAAAAGTAATTGTGCCAGTGTATTGAACTCAAGGCCTGTACTTAAGAATCCTGTCTCTGAGAAACAGAAACCCTAATCTAAAATACTAACCTTCATTATTAGGTTACACTTTAGCTCAACGCAGGTTGAATGGCCTCGAGTGTGTTTGGGCTTCCAGCACATTAATTCTTTTATTGCACCGAGGCTTTCTAAGAGATAGAACTCATAGAACTCTGAGCTATATTTTGGATTGTTTGGAAGAATCCTATTAAGCATTTCCTCCAAAGCTGTAATCCAGGCTTTCAAGAGTCAGCATGACATATAAATGAATTATTCATGCAAGACTCTGCAAGATGGGCAACTTTCCTGCCAAGAGATGCACAGCAAGGGGTGTTATAAAACCGAAATTGGTGTGTGTAGAGGGGAACGGATGGCGACGATTTCAAAAGATGATCTCTTTGCTGGGAGGAAAAATCCTCTAGACCTTGAAACCTTGCTTTCACAGCAGAGAGCTTTCTACATCCTCTGATTCTTTCCTGCCATTCCCTGTCATTCCGAAGCCCAAGATGCTAAAACACAGTTCTCTCCTGAGCTGGTTTAATTAGAATAAGAAAGGAGTTATGAAATGGACCAATCAGTTCTGAAAGGACACATTCACATTTCATTGTAGGACTCTGGTTAGTTCATTCTGTGCAGATGAAAGGGATTTGAATGGCAAAGTTATTCCAGTGGCGGGGAAGACTCTATCTTAAACAAACAAGCAGGCAACACATGGCCACATGCCTTCCTTACAGCGCACAGACATGAAACTTAACTTCAGCGCTGACATATGGCAGCAGTACAATGACAATTGCCAGTCCGATGATTAAAGCCTTTGAGTTTTCCCCACATTTGCAGGATTTAATACTGTGATGCCGCACTGTGGATCTGTAAATGAATAAAGCTTCTGTCACTGATGGTACATCCCGCTGAGCAGCAGTAAGTAAGCTCACAACAGAGATAAAAGAAGCCATACCCAAGTAAGCAGTCATAAGGATAAATACAAACTACAGATATTACTCATCTGGTCAGGTCATACAATTTCTGGGCGAACAAATCATTCAGCACTGAATAGTCCTGATAATGACACTATGAATAATGCAGACTGTCAGCAGTGCGAGGGAGGCCATCATTAATGCAAAGCTACTCCATGACTCTGAAAATGTTCTTTTTATTCTAATTTATATCTTAGAGAATGTCAAACACACACCATTCACAATTATGCTGGAGAGCTTAACAGCCGTTTATTCTAATTCGGCCTCAATTAGGGATTATGGTGGCAACCCAATCTTCCCTTTTAGTAAAACACAAAGTGATAGTCTTCGGGTTATTATCCCAATTCTGACAATCTAAGAACTAGCAGCTGGAAGGTAATGAAAAATACATGTGAGCTTGAGGTCCCTGCTCTTTCCAAAATGCTCTTAAAGATTGTGTACATAATCTTTAGAGAGATAGAAAAATGTTCTGCTACAATGAGCTACAGAATATGTAAATACCTCTTTGGATTCTAAAAATTCTCACACCCAAATCCTGTAACTTTGGCAGGATGCAGACCGCAAATGGACAATGGGAGGTGAAATGTTCTGGGCAATGGTTTCACTTTCTAGATACGGAACCAGAATTATTTATTTGTGACTAGGGAATCACTGATTTAATGTATACTGTTATTGAATTTCTCTCTGGGTATTGTTTTTGGTTATAAATGACTGAGATAATTTTTTCTCAAAGAGAAACAACACTGGGACTAATTAATGGCTGGGGAATTCTTTTCAGGAAGAAGAATAATATTTTCATTCCACAAACCTATGTTCATGGGGATGTTTGGAAAAGACTCAAAGCTTACTTCCAAGCTTCTAAATTTAATTCCTGATCTCCCAGGCTAGTGAAATAATTATGATTATGATCGATAAAGACGCACAAACCCCCTTATTCTAGATTCGATACTCTGCTTTTTGAGTGGCCTTTTGAGCATATGTGGTCCATAATGTGTGTGTATATATATGTACAGGGTTTCACACTATCGCCCAGGCTGGAGTGCAGTGGTGCAATCATAGCTAACTGCAGCCTCAAACTCCTGGGCTCAAGCACTGCTCCAAGCTCAGCTTTCCCAGTAGCTGGGGCTACAGGACTGCTGATATGCACCACCATGCTCAGTGAATTTTTAATTGTTTTTGGTAGAAATGGAGTCTCACTTTGTTGCCCAGGCTGGTCTCAAACTGCTGCTCTCAAGCGATCCTCCCACCTCTGCCTTCCAAACTGCTAGGATTACAGGCATGAACCACTGTGCCGATTTTTAACATTTGTAAAATATTATAAGTAATAAAAATTCTATAATAAGGGCTTGACCACTTCCTAATTTCAAGTACATAAACTTTTCTCTAGAATTGCTAAGATAATTCGTTATGTAAGCAGAAAAACAAAGGATTCCTCAATTTAACTCAGTGAGTAGATATGACTATCCAGAAGTGACCTCCACATATTCTAAGGTAGATTATAAGTATCAGATATTAAAAATTTAGGTCAGATGACTTCTGATTGTCATTGGTGTAATATTAGATAATATGAGAAATTAGTAAAAACCACAACTAGATGCAGACACTTACAAATTATGCTTTCTCCTTATGCTCTAACAATTTTATTTTTCAAATCTTTATAAATTTGACATAATCATTTATGAGACATATATTCATATTATATGTAATTCATATTATAAATACATGTCCAAAGTACATCAAGAAAGAAGATGCTGTCATTAGCTCTTTTTATATTTTGGTAAACTAACTCTCATATTTGATCGTGAAGTATTCATCTTTAATAACCTTAGAATTCAATATAGCCACAATTTTAGCACTTAAATATCTGATTTTTTGCATAGGTTATGTCCACACAAATATAACCCATTAGATTAAAAATAAATATGAGGCTGCTCCAGCCAGCTCATTAATGTCTAACATATTTTTCATTGCACATAAAAGCAGGATTTCCAATGAATATAGTCTTTGTGTTTTTAATTTGTTTTAGACAAAATAATCTATATATAAGAAAAGTTGGTTAAAGAGACTCCAGAGAAATATTTGTGCATCACAAACTCTGAAACTGAATGCTATCTTTTCACTTTTATAGTTTCTCAACACAGATGAAAAATTTCTATAAGAACAGTTACAGCTTGAAATAAGAATGTGTATCAAACCCATTCACATGCTATCTGTCATTAGAACGTTTAGCCAATACACAAAATTGCTGAACATATTTACTTGAATATCTGAATTCTTTAGAGCAAGTGTCAATAAATACCTAGATGGATTTTGTCTTCTGCTTATTTTTAACAATATAAAATAATGGACAGTATTATATAATTTCCTTTATGCTCATTCCCATAGTTGCTGTTGTTATTAATAACAAAGCTAACTTGGGTTCTCCTAGTGCCTAGAAGACTTCCACTGGCAACTCTGGGTCTTAGGTTCATTCTTTCAGGCAATCAGTGTCCTGCTTGGTAAACAGAGCCAGTAAGTGATAAATGCCTGTATGATGATGTCTTCTAAAATGATTTATTTTAAAGAAGAGAGTAGCCAGCTGGTTGTGAAAACTAAGCCCCATGTTTTAAAAAATATTTTGCATACCTTACACTGTTTTTCATTCATTCAAAGTGTATTTAATGTCTAAGATTATCTAAACATTGGTTTAGACGTAAGAGATACAAAATTGTATAAAATAGTGCCGTGATTCCAAGAGTTCACAGTCTAGTTGTAAGGTCAGATAAGTGCAAAGTAAAAATTAGAAAGGACAGGCATCTTTGTTACATGGTAAGAGGTTCCAAGATATCTTTCCAAAAATGTGTTTCTTGCATTCAATCTTGAAAAGAAAGACAGAGTCAAATCAAAAGTGTGAGCTGCAGTAGTCAAGCCAAAGAAAAAGCCTTTCCAGAGGAAATGAGACACACAACTGTACCATGATTGAGGAAATTTCCATCTTGACAAAACCCTGATTGGTGACCGAGGTTCATCTTTAGCCAGACAGTAATACACAAACAGTTAAATGTACCTTCTGAAATTCGAAAGGCCAATTTTGAACTTAGTCCTTCTTATCTAGCAAGTTGTAAACCTGAGGATGTTTTGATTAACCCCAGAGTCTCACTCTGTCGCCCAGACTGGAGTGCAGTGGCACAATCTCGGCTCACTGCAGTCTTATAGTTATAGTTTTATAATATAGTCTCAAAGAAAATTTAGTTAAATTAATACCAGAGAGATAAACACTATGAGTAAAATAATAACAAATAAAAACAGCAATGTTGTATATTTATAACATAGCCGATACACACTTTATCCATTAATAGATTAAATCCTGACTAATATTTTGATATAAGTACTATCATTGCCAATTTACAAATGAGAAAATCAAGCCCAGAAATTTAACTGAAGTATGTAAGACTTCAGAAGGATGTATTTCTGACCCTCTAAGGGTGCTATCAGAGAGGGACAGCTAAGCCTTCCCAAAGGACTTTTGCAATTAATAGAGAGAGAACAGAATTTTTCATAGGCTTTAAGTCTGTCTTACTGCAGTAATTTCAACTCTTATTATTTCAAACAATGGCTATTCAATAATTTCTAGCTGTTAGAATCTGCATTAGAATTACCAGCACTTCTTTCTAGGATCGTGGGTTTTGCCATCTGGAATTCAATATGCTTATTTTGGATTTGAATAACCTTGAGGATACAAGAATTCACAAAGTAAGCTCGGAAACATGCATTGTATTTCTAGTACATTTCCACCATTTCTTTCAAAGCTAACTTTAGGTAATACCCTCCAAAACTGGTGCAGACTCACATTCCATTGCACTGGCTATGAAAATAAAATAATTACTCATACTACTCAGTTGTAATGGACTTAAAAAATAGTTGATTTTTTTTCTAGGCTTTGTTTGATTTTGTCTGTGGATATTATGTGCTTGGTTCTCTAATCTAGGAAGGTTATAACATTAAAAATAAGACAACCTCATAGAGAAAGTTGAATTATTGAGCCATAATTTTGAATTGAGTTTTTGGTGAACACACAAACCATTTGAGCTTTGCACTCAGGTTTTATACTGTCATCAGTGTCTCTCTAAGGAATTACAGCATCTCATAATTCAGACTTGTTTATTCCAATGTGAACCGCACAGAAAGCAAACATCTTTTTACACTTAAAATATGTGGTTGCATATTAAAAGCGTTGGAGATGATGTTTGTTCTCGTATCTGGGTAAAAATAGAAACGGTTATTAAATGGGTTTTACTTATTCTAAAATAGTTACTGTGTGACAACTATGAGTACAACACAATTAGATACAATGGGAGCAGAAAGCTTGTGCAACATGGAGACAGTACAGGTGGAAGGTAAGTACAATTGGCCAGGTGCGGTGGCTCACACCTATAATCCCAGCACTCTGGGAGGCTGAGGCAGGCAGATCACTTGAGGTCAGGAGTTCGAGACCAGCCTGGCCAACATGGTGAAACCCCATCTCTACTAAAAGTACAAAACTATCCGGGCGTGGTGGTGCACACCTGTAGTTTCAGCTACTCGGGAGGCTGAGGCTAGAGAATTGCTTGAACCTGGGAGCCAGACATTGCAGTGAGCTGAGATTATACCACTGCTCTCCAGTCTGGGCGACAAAGCAAGACCCCATTTCAAAAGAAAAGAAAAGAACAATTGTCCCTTGCTGTCCCTGAGGGATTCGTTCCAGGACCCTAAAACACCAAAATCCACAGATGCTCAAGTCCCTGATATAAAATAGCCTACTATTTGCATATAACGTACAAACATCCTCTTGTATACTTTAAATCATCTCTAGAATACTTATAATTCCCAATACGAGGTAAATGTTTAAAAATGGTGGTTGTACTGTATTGTTTAAAAAATAATGAAAAGAGAAAAAAGTTTGTACATATTAAGTACAATTGCAGCTATAATTTTTTAAAAATTATTTTCAATCTGCGACTGGTTAAATCTGCAGATGTGGAATCCACAAATATGGAGGATCAACTGTATATATATTTGCTCATATATCACTATTTTTGAAAAGAATAACAATAGTGGTAAAATAGCCTGTAGACAAAACTATAAACATTTAATACAAATGAAATGATTGTTGAGTTGATAAAAACTAGTACAGATGTCAAAGTAAGAAAGCAATGTGGGTGTTATCAGGGTGGAGTTTTGGAACAATCAGCCTTGATCCATGATTGTTTTTGTATTGAAGATCTTTTGAGGACCAGCAGAAATCTACTTGTGCTAGTGCAAGTTAATGATGAGAGTTTCTCCAAGGATACAGGACGAATCGCACGACCCAAAGGCGGAAATGCAGATGGCATCACATAGCATCAAACTAGGGACCAGAATGCCCACGGAAAACACTCTTTCCCCATCCTATATCTTTTGCTCTGCACTACCTGGGCTCTCTTTCCTGCTTCCTACTTCCTGCTGAACACAGGCAACTTGGTGTAGCAGCCTAGGAGATGGACTCTTGAGTCAGCCCGGCTGAGTCTAAAGCTCAGCCTCATCCCTTACTTGCTATGTTGCCCTGGGTAAGCTATTTAATCATTATTGCTTCATCTTTCTCATTCCTTAATGAGGGTCATCATAAAGGCATCTACTTCACATGGTTACTGTGAGCATGAAATGAATAGGCGCTATTAATCTTTATTCTCTGGGATTTTCCACACCAGGACTTTTCTGGAACACAGGTGTTGAGATATTATGCAAAAATGTGTTGGTATATAAGCAAGTTAAGTGTGATAGACAGTGGGTTAACTAAGCATCTCAACTGTAAAGCTACTGGGAACCTAATTTGGGACCAAGGTGGGGTTAGAAAGGCACTTGCCTTAGAAGCAATATTTAAATAGTCACCCCCAAACTCCATAATCAAGATAATTTCATGCTATATATATATGTATGTATTTAGATTTAAGTATATACATATATATTTAGATTTAAATATATACATATATATTTAGATTTAAATTAAATTTAGATCAAATGGGTAAACTATGGCCTGTACGCTGGCTGCCTACTTTTAAAAACTTTTATTGGAAAGAGGGCCAGATTAGGATGAGGATACAGAGGAAGGGCTCTGAAGTATTCAATCTTGTCTTCATTTAAAATTTTAATGTTATATTCATCATGGATTTTTTAAAATTAAATTTGATTTGAATTAATAGTCCATTACATATTTTATCTTGATTACTGAGCTTTTTTTCCAAAGCGAAAGCAAAGGGATTTTAACAAAATAAAACTTTGCCAATTAAGGATTTTAAGCCTAGTAACTTACACCCTGAAATATATCCATAATTAGTTTGGTAGCCAGGGCAGAGCCAGTCCCAGTTGGATGGCCCACATATGGTGCAGATGGTCTTATTCTAAATTGGGAACTCATTTCCAACCTCCTCTCAAGCAGAGTGCAAGGCTTGAGCCTGATTTATCATGTAAGTGAAAAGGGTGAAGCTGATTCTAACTGGATTAGGATGAAATGACTCTGAAGCCAACTTTCATGGTCAGAACCTCAAATCAGTAAGGCTGACTAATTCAGTGGAATCTACAGAAACATCCAGGCAAAACGTAAGCAATTGAACAGAATTTCAAACAGGCACCCTCTATCCATCAGTTCCCATTAAGATGTTCCCCTTTCTTCATCTGAACCACAATAGAACTTATGCCATATTTTAAGACTTATCATAGTTTGTCTTATTTTCTCACTATTCATCAGAAGACCTGCGTTGGAGCCCTGACTCTGCCTTTGGTAGCTATGTCTCCTTGAACCAGTCTCTAGCTTTGATTTCTCAAATATAAAACATTACAATTGTATCTAAACATTTCATTATGCTATGTTGGAAACTGGATGTAATTGCTAGTTTTGGAAAGAAAAAAATGGATGTCAAAGTGTTATATTAAACTCTTAAGCTAGCTGTATATAGTAGAAAATTTAAAACTCAATTCTTTTGAATGATCCCTTATATCAGAAATTATATTATTCAATACCAATTAGAATTCTATTACTAAAAGCTGACACTTATTCAGCATTTTGTGGGCTGGTACTACTCATTTATTCCGTCTAACAACTGAGGAAGGTGGCACTATTGTTATCTCAGTTTTGGAGTTGTGAAAACTATGCCAGATTGGAGAGGAAAGTAAGAGAATTTAGTTAACAACTTCATTGAAATGGTTTACTTTGATATTGTTTTGTTAACATAAGATTTCCTATCATTATAACAAACTCCAAGTCACAAGTCCCCTACCTTGTAGCTAAGCCTTCTTGGGGCTCATAAATAGCATAGAGAAGCCTGAATCAAGTCTGTTTGTCTCACAAAAAATATAAAAGGTTTTATGTCCCAAATGTCATGCACTAGGAATCTCCCTAAATATGTAGAGTACATACTTTTCCTACATTTCCTCTCATGGTTCTCCCTATACTCCCAGAACGATCCCTATCCCATGAAAACACTGAGATTAATTTTCTTCTCCTGAGCCACTTCTTCACTCTTTAGGTTATAAAAATAGCAGATATCTCAAAACCTCCAGGCTTTCAAGATACCACATGATACGGTGTTAGCCTTGGAAAGTCTGGAATTAACCCATTTAATCAATCCTAAATTAATACAGATTTTAAAAATGTATAGTATTTAAAGAGGAAAAATTTCCAGTCTCTAACTACCAAACTCACTTGGAGTAGATAGATGAGGCAAGAATGCGAGATGTGAGAGAATGTTTTCCATAATAAAAGACCATAATGAGGAGAGCTATGGGAATCTGGAAAGACCCTTTGGTATTAAATGTAGTTCTACATCATGCTGGCTCCTGGCTAAAAGAGGTAAAAAGAGAGAAGATGGATTTAGAAAATACTCTCCCCTCTGTGAAGCCTTTCCCAATTCTGCCTCACAATTAGACAAGAACCACAGAAGACATGGATTAAAGCAATGGTTTCTAAATAGAATCATTAATCTAAATCATGTGGAAGATTTTATAATATGCTTATTTGAGCCACGTCCCATATGCTGGTTCAATGCATGAAGTGAGGGTCTAGAGTGCTAGAGCTACGTTTAGATTTTTATATGGACGAGCAGGCAGATGCATGTGTGTCTGCACGTGTGAGCATGTGCATGCAGGTATAGAAAGAAAGTGTGTGTAGGGAACGAGAGTATGGGCTCTGGAACTGGATTGCCAGTGCAAGTTGTGCATCCCACCTTAATCCCTTCAGGTGTCGGTTTTCCTCCTCTGCAACAAGGAAATGATTATACTAGAATTTACTTCACAGGGTTGTGATGAAGATTAAATGACTTAATAGCTTAGGAGACTGTCTCACACATAGGAAGCACTATGTAAGTGTTTATTACAATTCTGATAACAATAACGTAACAACAATAATAATAAGGTTGAATATGTATGCACACATGAGAGTGTTTGGATGTGCCCAAGATTGTGATATAAGCATAGATCACTTTAGGCTGTTCAGGAAACAGAAATGGCTTCCTGAGGCAGGTCAAAGAATTTCAGGCTGCCATGCCATCGCCAGAGCCACAGTGAGGCTGTCCCTTTGGACCAGGGACCATGTGAAAAAAGCTATTCAGGGGCAGCAGGAACTTAAGTGATAATGGCTAGATCTGCCATAAGAAGAAGAGGGAGAGGGTGAGCAGGCATACCAGCTTTCTCCATTCCCCTGTCCTCCATTATAAGGAGTGGACATGAGAACAGTGGGACATTTGACCAGCACAATGTATCGAAGCATTCTTTGCTTGAAAGTGAATCTGTGTATATGGGTGTGGAAAGATGAATGTTGCACTGACACACATAGATACGCATCATGCGGAATTTGAAATGGCTCTACAAGCAGCATTGGTTTGGAACACACTGAGAACTGCTGGGGGGAAGAAATCTGTACACCTGGCATCTGCCCTGCTTGTGCATGAGTGCGTCCAGCCTGTTGGCCCACACTGTAGGCATGGTGCTGTTGTTGGAGGACTGCTTGGTGCTGTTTTCTATTGATGAAACAGAGCCATGCTCTGCATAATGACATTTCAGTCAATGACAGACTGCTTATACAATGTGGTCCCATAAGATTATAATACCACATTTTGACTGTACTTTTTCTATGTTTAGGTATGTTTAGATACACAAAAACTTAACTTTGTGTTACAATTGTCTTCAGTATTCAGGAAAGTAACATGCTGTATAGGTTTGTAGCCTAGGAGCCATAAGCTATACCACATAGCCTAGGTGTGCAGCCAGTTATAACATCAACATTTGTGTAAGTACACTCTGATGTTTGCACCAATGACAAAATCACCTTTCTCAGAATGAATCCCCATTGTTAAGTAACATATGACTGTATAGGTTTCATTTTTCATGTTTTTCATTTTTCGTTAATTTTTATTCTTGGCAGAGGACAGGGTCTTACTCTATCACTCTGGCTGGAGTGCAGGGGTATGAACATGACGTACTAAAGCCTCGATCTCCTTGGTTGAAGTAATCCTCCAGCCTCAGCCTCCCAAGTAGCTAAGACTACAGGCACATGTCACCACATCCAGCTGACTTTTTAAATTTGATTTAATTTTTATTTTTTTAACCTTATTTTATTTTTTGTAGAGATGGGGCCTCACTATGTTGTGTGTATATATATATATATATATATATATATATATATATATATAGTATATAAGTACATATATACACACATATGTATTATATATAATATATATTCATATATATATATATACACACGGCATTTGTAGTTTGCAAGAGAAAGTTCAAAATAAGAAATAGATGGACTTGGAAACTGCTGAACATGTTTTCAAAGGCAGAAACTCCAAGTGCTGTCAGCTAAATGTGTTTTGTGGCCTCACTGACCTTTCCATAAAAATATTGTTAAGGAATTATGTTACTTGCAAATTATTAAAGAGGGAAAATAGTGTACACTGTAGCAATAACATTTTAAGTATCTCTTACAAATAAAACAAAAGTTCACATTTTAATTAGGACAGGTTAATATGAAGTATGTTGTAAAAAAAACAAAGCAATGTTTTCGACTATTTTCAGTGAAGAAAGGAGGTATAAAAATGTCAGAATTGAATAATCTGTCAGAGAGAAGATATATGAAAACTTAACCTTTTTTTGGCACTGCCTTTACAATGCTTTCACTTCATCCTAAATTGTCTTGACCCATGATATTAACCTTTCTCGTTTCCCTTAAAGTATGTCCACACTTTGTTTTGACTCGATTTTGCTGATTTCAGCCTCCAAACAAAGTTCTTCCTATCTCCATCTTCCTTTTGTGACTTACTCATTCATACTTGTATGTCCTTCCTGGTTGGCTTCTCTTATCAGTTCATAAGTTTTCCTTTGTAGTATTCTCCCTTAGGCTTCATTTTTCCCCCCAAATACTGCACCCATTAGGTAATTTTGGTTTCAAGAAACAATGGCTTGCTCAAGGAACCTAAAAAAAAAGGGAAGTTTTGAAAGGACATACAAATATAGGGCTTAAGAGTATCTGGGCAGCCATTCATATGAAGGGCAGGAAGGCAGGCAGCTTTGAGAATCAGTCATGCCTTTGCCTCTGCCATGAGATACTACATGTCTGCCCTTCAGACATTTACTCATTTTTCCCCTTTTTTCTTCCTCTAATCTTTTTATGGCTTCTTCCACCACCCATTATTCTCTAAAATGGCAGACCCAACACCTGTGTTGATATGACCTTCCAGCCCTAACACCTGCATTTATATGACCTTCCAAGTTCATAATCAACTTTGCTCTGGGATTCTCAGTCAAATATTCTGGAGAAAGACAACCACTGTTCCAATTATCCGTGCCATGGAAGCAGGTTGTGCAGACTGCTACCTACTCAAAAAGGTTATGGATGAGCATGTACAAGAATACGCTGGATCATTTGCCTAGTATACAGGCAAGCTTCCAAATCCCTCTAATCTCTTTGGAACTCCCTTATTATGCAAATAAAGCTAGAGCTCTTTGGTTCATTGTCATAAACCATCCTTCCAAGCCCTCTCACTTTTTCTCAGAAAAGTTTAGTCGCCCAGACTGGAGTACAGCCTCACTGCAACCTCTGCCTCCCAGGCGCAAATCATCCTCCCATCTCAGCCTCCTGAGTAGATGGGACTACAGGTGCCCACCACTACACCCGGCTAATTTTTGTATTTTTTTTTTTTTTTTTGAAGAGAATGAATTTCGGCATGTTGCCCAGGCTGGTCTTGAGCTAGTAAGCTCAAACGATCCTCCCTCCTTGGCCTCCCAAAGTGCTGGGATTACAGGTGTAAACCACAGTGCCAGGCCTTAAAGAACTTACTTTAAATATCTCCCCTGAGTGAAGTGTTTATTAAAGCCATTCTTATTATATAAATGAAAATGTTCATCCAGCACAGACTTTACTGTTTGAATCAAGTGACAATGACTAAAGAAGCACAAACGTCTCATGACAGGAAACTAATAAAAGAGAGAAAATACATTTTTTTACAGATATCAAAAGCTTTAAATCACTGAATGCTGACAAATATCCCATCTGACATTTCTAATACTTGGTTACATAACACCATGATTACTTTTTACTTGTTTCACGTATATAAGCCTTAGTGTACTAATTATTTGAATGAACAAATTCAAAGTTGGGTTCTGGCAAAGTCCTCCCTGATAATAAGCAGACATTGGACATAATAATGGGTAAAAATAATTTAGCCTGCATACTTTGTTTATGTACAACTACTAATCCAGAACTTTAATCTTCTAGAAAGAAGTCAAGTTTACAGTGTTTACACATGGAAGATGCTTTAGGGTTATTGACAACTTAATGCAGAGAAAAGTGGAATTTTTTTGTTTTGTCTTGTTTTGCCTTGTTCTTGATACTGGACTAAATTGATTTGTCTAGCCTTCGGGCCCAGGCCAAAAAGGTGCTTTAAAAGAAGTTGAGACAGTGTGGCTTTAGGAACAGAATAGAAATGTGATAGTTAATAATGAGTGTCAATTTGATTGGATTGAAGGATACAAAGTATTGATCCTGGGTATGTCTGTGAGGGTGTTGCCAAAGGAAACTAAAAGTTGAGTCAGTGGGCTGGGAAAGGCAGACCCACCTTAATTTGGGTGGGCACAATATAATCAGCTGCCAGTGCAGCTAGAATAAAAGCAGGCAGAAAAATGTGAAGAGAGAGACTGGCCTAGTCTTCCAGCCTACATCTTTCTCCCTTGCTGGATGCTTCCTGCCCTGGAACATCGGACTCCAAGTTCTTCAGTTTTGGAACTCAGACTGGCTCTCCTCACTCCTCAGCCTGCAGATGGCCTACTGTGGGACCTTGTGATCATGTAAGTTAATAGTTAATAAAATACATATATATTAGTTCTGTCCCTCTAGAGAACCCTGATTAATAACAGATTTTGGTATCAGGAGTGGTTCTAGAGGAACAGAATGTTAAGGATGGAGTTCTTTTCTTGGTTTTGGGGTTTCTGGAGTTGGCTGCTTAATATGATTAGACTCAAAAATGCTAAGGACTCTACTTCTAATAGCATGGCAAACCCTGATAGTCATCGACATGAACTGTTTACAGAGTTATGCAAAGTAAATGCACTTTACACTCCTGATTCATTGCTCATGAGTGGCAAGGAGTTTAGTGACTCTACACATAATACCTTTGACCATTTGTGGAGAAGCAAGAATGTAATGAAACTGGTTGGTTGCTCCTAAGTTCAGCAGATAAAATAATGAAAGAAAATGCTGAACTCAGCGATTCTATCTCCCAGCTTCAGAAGCAGATACTGAGCTTCAAATCTGATTAGATTGCCCTGAGTGAGAGTCTTACCTCCTGTAGAGAAAGAGCTGAAATTTGGGAAAACAGACCCAAGCTCTTACCATGCAAGTGGCTGACTGCAAGAAAAGGTGCATGAACCGCCTCACCAGGTATCTACTGTTAAAGTGAGGGCATTGATTGGAAAAGAATGGGACCTTGCAACTTGGAATGGGAATGTGTGAGAGGATCCTGATGAAGCTGGGGACACTGCTGATGAATTTTTTTTTTTTTTTTTTTTTTGCCAGAAGAAACAGCTTCCCCATCCCCAGTAGTGGCAATATCCCCTCCTCGACCCATGCTGTCATGAGCCTTTCTACCTTTGTCTGAGGAGATATACCCTGTGCTGCCTGAGGCCTCCCCTGAGGCAGTTGCCAGGCAAGATAATGTTGATTCTCCTTAGGAGCAACCCCCAACACCCCTGTTTACTTCTAGACATATAACTAAAGTCCCAGTGGGTCCCTAGAGGTGGGGTTCACAGTGTGTCCCAAGAGGAGGTGCATTACACTCGAAAAGAACTGCTTGAGTTTACTAATTCATATAAACAGAAATCTGGAGAACAGACATGGGAATGGATATTAAGGCTGTGGGATAATGGTGGAAGGAACATAGAGTTGGATCAGGCTGAATTTATTGATTTGGGCCCACTAAGTAGGGACTCTGCATTTCATGTTGCAGCTCAGGGAGTTAAAAAGATTCTAATAGTTTATTTGCTTGGTTAGCTGAAATATGGATTAAAAGATGGCCCACTGTGAGTAAGCTGGAAATGCCTGATCTCACTTGGTTTAATGTAGATGAAGGGATCCAAAAGCTTAAGGAGATTCGGATGGTGGAGTGGATTACTCCCTTTAGACCTACTCATCCCAGCTGTGAGGGTCCAGAAGATATACCCTTGACTAATGCCTTGCAAAATACATTTGTGAGGGCAGCACCTGCATCTTTGAAGAGCCCTGTGGTTGCTCTTCTCTGTATGTCAGATCTAACAGTGGGACCCGCAGTCACTCAACTACAAAATTTAAATAGAGTAGGAATAACTGGATCCTGAGGTGGCACAGGCCAAGTGGCGGCACTCAATCATCAAAGGCAAGGTGGGCATAGCTACTGTCATGGACAGCAGAGGCAAGGCAGCAATCAGAATAGTCTGACTAGTGTAGAGCTCTGGTATTGGCTAATTAATCACGGTGTTGCTAGAAGTGAAAATGATAGGAAGACTACTGTATTTCTACTTAATTAATACAAGCAGAAAATTTCTAGGTCAAATGCACAAAAGACTACTTTGAATTATAAAAACAGAAAATCATCGTCCATCAATCAATTTCCAGACTTGAGCCAGTTTACAGATCTGGAACCCCTTGAATGAAGGAGAGGCCGGATCCCCTTGAGGAAAGACCCCAGTATATTACCGACAATTTATGCAGTGAATCTTTTTCCCATTCTTCCCCAAGAAGACTTCTGACCTTTTACCAGGGTAACTGTGCATTGGGGAAAGGGAAATAATAAGACATTTCAGGGACTACTGGACACTGGCTTTTGGCTGATGTTGATTCCAGGAGGCCGAAAACATCACTGTCGTCCTCCAGTTAAAGTAGGGGCTTATGGAGGTCAGGTAATTAATGGAGTTTTAGCTCAGGTCTGACTTACAGTGAGTCCAGTGGGTTACCGGACTCATGCTGT
Source organism: Homo sapiens (assembly GCF_000001405.40). Lineage (NCBI taxonomy): Eukaryota > Metazoa > Chordata > Mammalia > Primates > Hominidae > Homo > Homo sapiens. Next base: position 444,350 of record NC_000003.12, on the reverse strand, counting down.
GGTCATTTCCCCAGTGCCAGAATGCAGATTTGGCATAGACATACTTAGCAGCTGGCAGAACCCCCACATTGGATCCCTGGCTGGTAGGGTGAGGGTTATTATGGTGACAAAGGGCCAAATGGAAGCCATTACAGCTGCCTCTACCTAGAAAAATAGTAAATCAAAACCAATATCACATTCCTGGAGGGATTGTGAAGATTATTGCCACCATCAGGACTTGAAAGATGCAGGGGTGGTGATTCCCACCACATCCCCATTCAACTTTCCCATTTGGCCTGTGCAGAAGACAGATGGATCTTGGAGAATGACAGTGGATTATCATAAGCTTAACTAAGCGGTAACTCCAATTGCGGCTGCTTACCAGATGTGATTTCATTGCTTGAGCAAATTAACATATCTCCTGGTACCTGCCATGCAGCCATTGACTTGGCAAATGCCTTTTTCTCCATTTCTGTTTATAAGGCTCACCAGAAGCAATTTGTCGGCAGCTGGCAAGGCCAGCAATATGCCTTTACTGTCCTACCTCAGGGGCATATCAACTCTCTGGCTTTGTGTCATAATCTTATTTGGAGGGACCTTGATCACTTTTTGCTTTCGCAAGGTATCACACTGGTCCATTACACTGATGACATTATGCTGATTGGATCCAGTGAGCAAGAAGTAGAAAACACACTGGACTTATTGATGAGGCATTTGTGTGTCACAGAATGGGAAACAAATTAGACTAAAATTCAGGGACCTTCTACCTCAGTAAAATTTCTAGGAGTCCAGTGGTGTGGGACCTGTTGAGATATTCTTTCTAAGGTGAAGGATAAGTGCTGCATTTGGCCCCTCTTACAACCAGGAAAGATGCACAATGCCTAGTGGGTCTATTTGGATTTTGGAGACAACACATTCCTCATTTGGGTGGGTTACTGTGGCCCATTTATCGAGTGACCCAAAAGGCTGCCAGTTTTGAGTGGGGTCCAGAATAGGAGAAGGCTCTGCAACAGATCCAGCCTTCTGTGCAAGCTGCTCTGCCACTTGGACCATAAGACCTAGCAGATCCAATGGTGCTTGAGGTGTCAATGGCTGATAGGTGTGCTGGTTGGAGCCTTTGGCAGGCCCCCATAGGTGAATTACAGCAGAAGCCTCTAGGATTTTGGAGCAAGGCCCTGCCATCTTCTGCAGATAACTATTCTCCTTTTGAGAGACAGTTCTTTGCCTGTTACTGGGCTTTGGTGGAAACTGAATGTTTGCCTACGGGTCATCAACTCACCATGCAACCTGAACTGCCTATCATGAACTGGGTGCTTTCAGACCCATCTAGCCATAAAGTGGGTTATGCACATCAGTATTCCATCATCAAATGGAAGTAGTATATACGTGATCTGACTCTAGCAGGTCCTGAAGGCACAAGTAAGTTACATTAGGAAGTGGCTCAAACACCCATGGTCTGCACTCCTGACACCCTACCTTCTCTCCCCAGCCTGCACTGGTGGCCTCATGGGGTATTTCCTATGATCAGTTGACAGAAGAAGAGAAGACAAGGGCATGGTTCACAGATGGTTCTGCATGATGTGCAGACACCACCCGAAAGTGGACAGCTGCAGCACTACAGCCCCTTTCTAGGACATCCATGAAGGACGGCAGTGGAGAGTACACAAATGCCTCACAAATCAATAAGTCCAGTGCATTTTCCCAGTGGGCAGAACTTCAAGCAGTGCACCTGTTTGTGATCTTTGAATGAACAGAGAAATGGCCAGATGGGTGATTATATACCAATTCATGGGCCATAGCCAATGGTTTGGCTGGTTGGTCATGGACTTGGAAGAAGCATGATTGGAAAATTGGTGACAAAGAAATTTGGGGAAGAGTTATGTGGATGGACATCTCTGAGTGGTCAAAAACTGTGAAGACATTTGTATCCCATGTGAATGCTTACCAACAGGTGACCTTAGCAGAGGAGGATTTTAATAATGAAGGATGAAGAATGACCCATTCCATGGAGACCACTCAGCCTCTTTCCCCAGCCACCCTTGTCATTGCCCAGTGGGTCCATGGACAAAGTGGCCATGGTGGCAGAGATAGCGGTTACTCATGGACTCAGCAACATGGACTTCCACTCACCAAGGGTGACCTATCTATGACCACTGCTGAGTGCCAAATTTTCCAGCAGCAGAGACCAATACTGAGCCCTCGATATGGCACCATTCCTTGGGGTGATCAGCCAGCTACTTGGCGGCAGGTTGATTATATTGGACCTCTTCCATCATAGAAATGGCAGAGGTTTGTCCTCACTGGAATAGACACTTATTCCAGATATGAGTTTGCCTATCCCGCATGCCATGCTTCTACCAAGACTACCATCCATGGACTCATGGAATTCCTCATCCACCATCATGGTATTCCACACAGCATTGCCTCTGACCAAGGCACTCACCTTATGGCTAAAGAAGTGCGGCAGTGGGCTCATGCTCATGGAATTCACTGGTCTTACCATGTTCCCCATCATCCTGAAGTAGCTGGATTGATAGAACGGTGGAATGAATGGCCTTTTGAAGTCACAATTACAACACCAACTAGGTAACAATACTTCGTGGGGCTGGGCCAAAGTTTTCCAGAAGGCCATGTATGCTCTGAATCAGTGTCCAATATATGATACTGTTTCTTCCATAGCCAGGATTCACTGGTCCAGGATTCACTGGTCCAGGAATCAAAGGGTGGAAGTGGAAGTGTCACCACTCACCATCACCCCTAGTGATCCACTAGCAAAATTGTTGCTTCCTATTCCTGCGACATTACATTCTGCTGGCCAGAGGTCTTAGTTCCAGAGGGAGGAACGCTGCCACCAGAAGAGACAATAACGATTCCATTAAACTGGAAGTTAAGATTGCCACCTGGACACTTTGGACTCCTCTTACTTTTAAGTCAACAGGCTAAGAAGGGAGTTACAGTGTTGGCTGGGGTGATTGACCCGGACTATCACAATGAAATCAGTCTACTACTCCACAATGGAGGTAAGGAAGAGTATGCATGGAATACAGGAGATCCATTAGGGCATCTCTTAGTATTACCATGCCCTGTGATTAAGGTCAATGGGAAGCTACAAAAGCCCAATCCAGGCAGGACTACAAATGACCCAGACTTTCAGGAATGAAAGTTTGGGTCTCTCCACCAGGAAAAAAAAAAACACGACCTGCTGAGATGCTTGCTGAAGGCAAAGGGAATACAGAATGGGTAGGAGAAGAAGTTAGTCATCAATACCAGCTATGACCACATGACCAGCTGCAGAAACGAGGACTGTAATTGTCATGAGTATTTCCTCCTTCTGTTCTTAAAGACATGTTTGTGCATGTGTACACTTCTACTAAGAAAATATCTTCATTTTATTTCCTTTCTCCTTTATCATGTGACATAAGACTTATTGACTTCACATCAGCATTCAAGTATTATTAACTTTACGTAATAGTATTTGGATTGGGGATAGCTGCATTTCTGGTTATACGAAGGATAGTTATGTTAGGCGTTAGTATGACTTTATTATTGTCTTTATTTAAAGATTATGTATGATCTCAGGAGATGTGTATGCGTTCAAGTTGACAAGGGGTGGACTTGTGATGGTTAATACTGAGTGTCAACTGATTGAAAGATATAAAACATTGTTCCTGGGTGTGTCTGTGAGGGTGTTGCCAAAGGAGATTAACATTTGAGTCAGTGGGCTGGTAAAGGCAGACCCACCCCTAATCTGGGTGAGCACAATCTAATCAGCTGCCAGTGCAGCTAGAATAAAAGCAGGGAGAAAAATGTGAAAAGAGAGACTGGCCTAGCCTCCCAGCCTGCATCTTTCTCCCACGGTGGTGATAGATGTTTCTTCCCCATGAATATCAGAATCCAAGTTCTTCAGTTTTGGACTGGCTCTCCTTGCTCCTCAGCCTGCAGATGGCCTATTGCGGGACCTTGTGATCAGGTGAGTTAATACTTAATAAAATTCTATGTATATAATATATATTATATATACATTATATAGTATATGTACTATATATTAGATAAATATATACAATATATTATATTGTATATATACAATATATATCATATATATTACATATAGAGATATATAATATATATAATATTGGACCTCTTCCATCATGGAAAGGGCAGAGGTTTGTCCTCACTGGAAAAGACACTTACTCCAGATATGGGTTCGCCTATCTTGCCTGCAGTGCTTCTGCCAAGCGTATGTGTGTGTGTATATATATATATACGTGTGTGTGTGTGTGTGTGTGTGTATATATATATGTATATATATATGTATGTATATATATATATGTATATATATATGTATGTATATATATATATGTATATATATATGTATGTCTATATATATATATATATATTCCATTCGTTCTGTCCCTCTAGAGAACTCTATTACAAGACACAAGACAAAATTATTGCAAAGAAGCCTATGGTGAATGTATACTTTGCAGTTTCAATAAAATGAACATTGGAAGTAAAAGTGTAGTCCAGTACACTGGAAAGGCAGGTTTCATAAATGGTGTTACCTTGACAGGAAATGATCTCTTCCATATTATAAACTAAGCATGGCGTCACATTTCTACTTGAACAAGATAAATAGCATGTGTCAAAGCTAATGTTAGCCTCTCCCACTGACATTTCTTCTCTCTTCTGTTTCTTTGGAGGTGACACACACTTTTATTTGCTTATTTATTTGTCTTCTTTTTTCCCAACTTTTATTTTAAGTTCAGGGGTACGTGTGCCAGATGTGCAGGTTTGTTACCTAGGTAAATGTGTGCCATGGTGGTTTGCCGCACAGAACACCCCATCACCTAGGTATTAAGCCCAGCAACCACTGTCTGTTCTTACTGATCCTCCCCCTCCTCCCTCTGCACCCTCCAGCAGGTCCCAGTGTGTGTTGCTCCCTGTGAGGTGTCCGTGTGTCCTCATCATTTCGCTCCCACTTATAAGTGAGAATATGCAGTATTTGGTTTTCTATTCCTGCGTTAGTTTGCTAAGGGTAATGGCTTCCAGCTTCGTCCACGTCCCTGCAAAGGACAGGATTTTGTTCCTTTGTATGGCTGCATAATATTCCATGGTGCATAAGTACCACATTTTCTTTATTCAGTCTATGACTGATGGGCATTTAGGTTGATTCCATGTCTTTGGTATTGTGAATAGTGCTGCAATGAACATAGGCTTGAATGTGTCTTTATAATAAAATGATTTACGGTCCTTTGCATATGTACTCAGTAATGAGATTGCTGGGTCGAATAATATTTCTGTCTCTAGGTCTTTGAGGAAGCTTCACACTGTCTTCCACAATGGTTGAACTGATTTACACTCCCACCAACAGTGTAAAAGCTTTCCTTTTTCTTCACAACCTCGCTAGTATTTGTTCTTTTTTGGCTTTTCAATAATCACCATTCTGACTGGTTCCTATTGATATTTTAATGCAAGGTCTGAAGCCAGGCTCAAGATTTGTTGGCAGTCAAATGTGAGAGATGTTTGCACAGGAGGTGTGGAGTCCAGAAAAAGACAACACTAAACCATGAAGCATAAGTTTCAACAATTCGACATTTCACAGCATTGTGGAGGTCAAGAAGAGCTGGTAGTACTTGGGAAGATATCACAAATCTGGAACACAACTCAACATTAGATGGAAATAGTGCCACATAAGCTGGAACTTATGATATTATGTGGGCAGTGGATATGTAGAGACAGTGATTTCCATATCTCTTTTTATTTCTTATTATTGAAAGACTATTTGTTCATAGCTACAAATGATTTCAGATTTCCTTTGAAACTTAAAAGACTGTGGTAGATCAGGCCACATTAACGGATCAGTGCAAGAGGATATTTAGGACAATGCCCTTGGGACAGAATGATAAACCCTGGGCTTGCAATCAGGCTGGAAAGTCCGCATTTCAGAGCAAATTTTAAAAGTACACAATGTGAGATGCCAGCTAAGCAGAAGTGCCAACAATATCTGCAGCAATCATTCAGGTTTAAAGAGCTCATTCAAATGATGCAAGGTGAACAGGAGCTGTAGGCAGCCAGTGAGCATATTTGTTTCACTTTGAGATGTTAATTTAATGCCATCATTGACATTAAATTAAATTGTCATGAAACTGATCCAGGCATTAGGAGATTTATAAATGGGTAAGGCATACTTCTCTCCTGCAAAGAGTTTGCATGCTGTACCTTGTAGACGTTTCAATTATCTGTTGTATATGTAGCCACTGCAAAGAGCTTGCATGCTGTACCTTGTAGATGTTCAATTATCTGTTGTATACATAGCCACTCCAGAACTCAGTGGTTTTAAGTCAATTGCCATTTGTTACCCCACAAGTCCAAAATTTTGCCAGGCTTCACGGTGATGGATCATGTCTACTGCACATGGATTGTATTTGAGTAATTTATGCAGCTGTATTTAGCTGGAAGCTTGTCTGGGACTGGAACATCCAAGATGGTTTACTCACTCCCAGGTATGTTAGCTGGAGCAGCTGGAAAGGCAGTGCTGGCTGTCCTCTCCCTCTTGTTTTTTCTTTTTTTTTTTTTCTCTCTCTCCATTCATCTTTATGTCTGTAATAATTCTCTAAGCCTTTCACATGGCAGCTGGATCCCAACAGGGTACAAACCAAAACCTCCAGTTCCCTTAACACCTTGTTCTGGGAGTTTTAAAACACTACTAAGGGTACATTCTATGGGCCTAAGCAAGTTGTGGGATGAAGGGGAGAGGAAATAGACCTCACCACTTGATGGAAGGAGTATATGGATATTCAGGGATAAGAAGAAGTGTTGGTGGCCATTTTTGTAGACAATCTACCATAGCGTATAGATGTTCTATGTAACCAAGGATGTGTGGTACAAAACATAAAAGAAAAGATAAAACCAACCAAAATAGCTAGTATTTATGTAGCTAATATCTGTTTTGTTCCTAATGAAAGGTCTATATCAGTATGTGTCTTACTAAATCCTAGGAAACAAAAAAGTAATTCAGAAAAATACATACAGGCTTTGTAGATGAAGTCACGGTTATTGTGGAAATAAAAAGATGAAAGGTAAGTAGAGAGGGGAGAAGAAGCTAAGTTTATTACAATCTGAGAGAATAGCAGACCAGTGCCAAATTACAGGAGTTCAGGAAGAAGCTTGGATGAAAGAGGTATGTACGTATCTGTTTGGGTGTGTGTTTAAGGGATGAGGCATAAAGCCAAAAATATATCATGGAGTTGATCCTGGAAGCTGTGGCTGGGAAGACAGTATGGAAGCAGATGGTAAAATATACTAACTGTTGCGAAGATTCTGACCAGCAGGAATCTGTGATTTGGGCCATGAGGATCATTCCTCAGATTTTCTAATTTTCTTGAGGGTTGAGCTCATGCTAGCATTTTCATCATTGTCTCATCAACACCTAGTTTAATTTAATGTACTAAATTAAAGAAGAAATATATCAAAATGTAACTCCATGTCCTTACAGGTATTCATCAACACCACAGATACCAGTGGCTGTGATAAAGAGACCTCCGTCTTTCCCCATTAAAGCCTTTGCCCTATGTGGCCCACTCATCTTTGGCAGAAGTTCTGATCATAAAGACCGAGACCTGGCATGCTTTGAGCGCTCAGTGATTATTTGCTCATAGACTGATAACTTTCTCCCTTCCGAGTCAGCACCCTCTACCACTGGTTGCATCTCTCCTGCCAAATGAGATTACCTGAAGAGTTTATAATTAACCCTGTCATACCATGGGAGAGACTCAGGTTGTCTAGATGCCTCGTGTCAATCTTTGCTAGGGCACAAACTCCATGAACATCGCTTTCATATAGTTATCCTTCAAATTCACAATTTAGAAACATTTCTGCAACACTCTGGGTGCCTTGGTGGTTGGATACCATTTGGGAAATCATTTATCCTTTGGAGATGTAAATAATTGGCAGGACTCGGCTGCAGTGTTCTCATCAGACATTAGAGTGTTGCCAGTAATCAAACCTATTGCATGTCAGCTGCTTTCCAGCATCATTCTTTTCTATCTTACAGCATGACACTTTCTGGATTGCAGTGAAATAAAGAAACAGCAACATGCATGCTTGCTTGAAGGAAGTGTGATGAGGCATTCCTGATTTGGCAGGGGCAATTCATGAACACGCTTTAGAAATAAGGGATTTTATTGGAAAGCTATGAGGCAACAGTGCATCCTAGTGGATACAGTTTTGCTCTAAAAATAAAAAATACATTTTATTTCCCTACCTAGATGGCTAACATCATGAGAAATTTTGAAAATGGCATTTTTAGTCCATGGTTTCTGGTTTTGCCTGAAGGGTTCAAATCCTCCTCTCAAAATAAATCAAAGCTATTATGTGAGATTCTCTTCTAATAATTTGATTTTGTGTCATATAAGCCTCCAGTTTAAATAAATTTATTTTAAAGGAATAAGCTGTGTTTTTAGAATTGAAATATATGATAATACTTGGAAAAGTTAGAGAATATTATCTTGGTATGAAACCAAAGTGTTGCTTTTCTAACTTAGTATTTTTATAAAGCTCTGTGTAGGTTTGGAGAAGAGGAGGAGAGAAGAGAAGAGAAAATTTGAAAGGTGAAGTTTATTAGTGGTTACACTTCATCTTTTTGCATGAATATTCATGTACTCATTTCAAAAGTTTGTTGAAATTCTAAGAAGCTTAAAATTAACCACTATGTCTAAAATGATACCCTCGGCTACAAGTTATAGAAAAACCTAATTTGTACATCTTATATAGTAGAAAATACATTATCCCACATAACAGAAGGTATTGGGTAGGTGGTTAAACGGTTGGTTAATTCTTTGGGTCAGTGATATCAGTTATCCTTCTCAACTTCTTTGTGATCTTCTTTGTGATTCTCTCATCTTTTACCTCATACCTTAAAGGTGGCTGCCAGAGATCCAAGCATCATATTATCATACAAAAATGTCCAAAGGCAGGATGTGGTATGTCCTTTTTAAGAGTGAGGGCAATTCCAGAAGCCTCTCCAGGATAATTTCCATGTGAGTCATTTGTCAGCATTATACCTGCTGTTTAGTCATTAGCAAAATAAATAACATTACTATGCTTACCTTTATGCTAATCAACATTTACCTAGCTGCAACTGGGGAGAGCTTCATGAAGCTATAGGTCCGATTCCTAAAGACCATTACTGTAACGGTAATAAGAAAGAGAGAAGGAATAGCCACTGAAAAGGCAACCAAGAGTGACCACTACAAATATTTGTCTTTCCTCACCTATGGTCACAGTTAAATTTTGCTGGATAACAAACCACTTCAAAACTTACAGCTTCAAACAAGACCATTTGTTTATCCCCTAATTCTGTGTTCAGTCATATGGGCTGGGCTCAAGTGGATCATTTTTCTGCTCATCTTGGCTATTCTGACACATGCATCTTTAATAATCTACCAGGTGATCTAGGAGCTGTTTGATCTAGGAGAGGTCTTTAGCATTAGTAATTTTGCTGTATTTCATAGGCCCTTTTATCCTGAAGCAGGGTAGCTTGGACTTTTACACAAGGTGATAGAAAGATCCCCAGGGCCACTGAAAAACAATCCCCAAGTATAAGTGCTTTTAAGAACTTTGTTTGTATCATGTTTATGAATGTCTCCTTGGCCAAATAAAGTCACATGTCCAATCCTGATTCCAGGGGTGTAAAATAAAAAGGCATGCACTGTCACATTGCAAAGGGGTAGATGCAAGAGAGAAAGAATGAATGGCCAGTTTTAACATCTCCCATATAGGTTTACCATAAGTTGCTGTGCTGAACTGCTTTCTACATTTTCTACAACATGTGAACAATGGCAAAAATCAACAGAATAATAACAGTTACATATTGCTTTTTATGTACCATACATTATTCTAAATCCTTGCACATTAAATTAATGATTACATTATCATAACACTTGGAGTCTGTAGTGGAAAGCATCATGATATAGAAGAAAGAATATGAGCTTTCATGTCAGAAAGATCTATGTTTAGTTTTGGCACTTAGGATTTACTAACAATATGTATATGACCTTGGAAAACTTATTTATTTTCTCAACAAATAATCTATAAAATGGGTGTATGTCAGTTTGGGTCTTCCAAGAAGCAGATGCCAAGACAGAACTAAATATGCAAAAGGCTTATGAAGAAAAACACCTTTTGGTGGGGTGCAGTGGCTCAGGCCTGTAATCCCAACACTTTGGGAGGCCGAGAGAGGCAGAACATCTGCGGTCAGGAGTTCAAGGCCAGCCTGGCCAACATGATGAAACCTCGTCTCTACCAAAAATACAAAAATAAGCAGCATGTGGTGTCATGTGCCTGTAGTCCCAGCTACTATGGAGGCTGAGGCAGGAGAATCACTTGAACCCAGGAGACAGAGGTTGCAGTGAGGCAAGATCACACCAATGCACTCCAGCCTGGGTGACGGAGAAGAAAGGAAGGAAGGAAGGAAGGAAGGAAGGAAGGAAGGAAGGAAGGAAGGGAGGGAAAGGAAAGGGAAAGAAAGAATAAAAAAGAAAGAAAGAAAGAAAGAAGGAAGGAAGGAAGGAAAGAAAGAAGAAAAGAAAAGGAAGAAAAAGACACCTGTGAAAGATAAAGGGAGACAGAGCAAAAGTAAGTAGAAACTTCAGACTGCAATAGAGGTCTGGCATCTGTGAAAGAAGAAACACAAAGAAGAATTGGATATGAAGAGCTTAGACCACAGCACAATACTAAAGAAAAAAAAAAAGTCTTATGGCTGATGGGGAATCCCTGAGCCAAACTTGTCCAGCAGGAACCAGCCAATTCCAGTGTCCCTGCTAGACTTAGTCTGTGGCTGGGAGCAAGCAGCCATATCTTGCAGGGGAAAGATGGTCTGATATGAACAAAGGAGTGAATTCAAAGGAGTGGCAACTAGAAGTTGTCAATCAACAATGCTACCTGCAGCTGGTTCTCTGGAAGGGCAATCTGAGCAGTGCATGTCCAGGGCTGCCACAGAGTATCAGAAAGCCACCCTTTGGTTTATTGTATTTAATGAGGTAACATGTAAACAGTCTGCCATATTGCCTGACACATGGTAGAAATTACATGATACTTTCATGTTAACTGCTGGAAGTATCAATAGCCTCAAGTTTCAGTCCTCTCACTCAAAGACCAAGCTAAAAGCTGAAAGCAAAGTAGGAGTTTAGTAAATTCTTATTATCCCACATTCACCAGCTACAATGAACATCGATTACACTGATTATCAAGCCCAACTTTATGTCTGAGAACAGTTTCCACTCTAGTTTGTGACTGGTATTCTTCATACCGTGTTGGTACATACGAAGCAGCCATGTCTATATTAAACATCTCTATCATACTAAATGCAGTCTACTGACTTGGGATTGGGCAGCTAACCCAAAATGAGCTCTTTAAATCTCTTCCCTGGAAACTGAAAGATGGAAAGAGTCAATCCGGTTGTCCTCCAGGTGGGTGGGCCAGTAATAGAAAAACTCAGGATGTTATAGAAGCTACATTTCCAACATGTGGTCTCTGAAGAAGAATATTCTTGTTGAACATTCCAGAACATTCAACCAGGATGAAAAATGAGATAGATTCAAGGAAACGAACAGACATGAAAGGCAGAATGAGTGTTCCTTTCCCATTTGATTCTTTCAGTTTATTTTGAAGTTCCCAATGCATTCCTATCTTTTATGTGACACATAAAGCATATATCATATTTCCCCCTACTTTCTTTAAGTTGGTTCAAGTGGGTTTGGTTATATTAAAGTGCCCTCACTGAAGCATCAATATATCTGGGATGTGGTCCAGTTGTAATAAAGCATCAAACTAGTTTCTTCGTTAATATGTTATTTGGAAGTGACACAACAAAAACAGCTGAGAAATAATAAAAATATAAAGAAGCTATCTCTGTAGCAATCCTGTCTTTGAACAAATGGAAACTTCTAGACATGTCTCCTTGGTGACCTCAAATTTAGAACAGGAATATTAAATACATAAATTTAAAGCACATTGAAAAAATATTTGAACTATAAGAAGAAAACAAATTCTTGAAAGAGCTTACCAGTCTGTGATTATAAACATGAATATAGGGATTTTAAACCTTGAGGATTACTAAATAGAGAAGCACTTTACAGGGCTATTTGTTAGAGCTTAGAATTCTTCAATATTAAAAGACATGGGGTATTAGTAAAAATTATTTAATTGGAGGTATTTAAATAGATGGTGGCTGATGGTTCCCCTGTGGTTATGCAAAATTAATTTCATTCTGTACAATACACTGAATCATATTACAATTTAAGTTTATAAATTCTGATTTTAAAATGTCTTCATAAATAACATAGTGCATGGGACATCATAGGAACTGAGAAATTTCAGTAAACATATGAAAAGATGTTCAGTTCATTAGAATAAGAGAAATGTATACTAAAGCGTTAAATGAGAGCCTCAGGAAATTAAACAATCTCACAATATTAGGTGTTGGCAAGAATAGAGAGGAAGAATAATTCACACTCTACCAGTGGAAATATAAATTAGTTCTATCTATTTTTCTTATATTAAGAAATACAGTTGTACATAGGAAAATTGATCATGTATTATACTTTCTGATCCAATAATTTAAATTCTAGGTTTGTAACTAGAATTACTCTTGCTCATGTGCACAATATGACATGCACGAGTGTGTTCATTGAAGCATATTGCATAATAGCAAGAAAATCAAAACAAGATAAATACCCATCAATAAGGGAATAGATAAGTCAGCTGTAATAGATTCATAAAACTGAATCCTGTAGGTCAATTTTTAAAAAATACAGTAGATCTATATAGAATTTACTAGAGAGCCAAAAAATTAATATATTATTAAGTCATTTAATTGGAGAAGTCTTCCCCTTGTATGAGGCCATCTCTGTTAGTCCTGGCTATGCAAGAAGCAGTCACCAAGAGAGAATAAAACATCCAAAGATTTTATAAGAGGAAATGTCCATATGAAGGGAAATAAAAAGGGAGCTGACAAAAACTGGGAAAGTCATCAAACTGTAATGCTAGTCTGACACTGTGCAGGAGGGAGAGAAGTTTGGGTGGAAGACACGTATAGCCCCTGCTTGTCTAAGAAATGTTCAAGAAAGTCAATGGGAAGTCCTTGAGACAAAGTTCACAGACATGTCTCAAGAGCAAGGCTGCTTTAGTATCTTCTTAGCACTCATTCATTGGCAGGAAGCATCTGATAGAAGGCTTGGCCTTAGCATAACCACCACAATGAATTTCAAAGGGCAGCACTTGAGCCTCTTGGTCAATTACTCCCCTTGTTGGAGGAGGTCTATGAGGCACAATCTCATGACAGCTGCACTGTCATTAAAACAAGCAAACAAACGCAGGCCATAAATTTTTCATCGAGAAATTTGTGGGAAATATTTTTAATGAAATATATGGTAAATGACCAGAAAGGTTTCACACCAAAGTCTTAAGAGTGATTTCTTCTAGAAATGGAGGGAAAATGGAATTGGTAGTAAGACACAAAAGGAAATCCAAATGTAGCTATGTTTCATTACTTTCAAGTAAAACAGAAATATAACCAACTGTTATCAGAAGTCTATTTTGACTGGCACATATAGTGATGTCTTATTATTTTTAAATATTTGATGATTGATTTATTATCATAAAAAGTTTAATCTATTTCAATTGGTATTTGCTGAATGAGAATGAATATCTACAACAAAAGTGGACCAAATGCCTACCATTGTATAGCATCTCATAATGTGGTCTAGGATGGTGACGTTAAGTTCAAACCTGCACTATGAAATTTTAGCATTAGTGAATGCATATAATGTTTTCTAATATTAATGTAACTATATCACAAAATAAAAACACTAACCCAGACAAGTTTTGTCTCAGGAAACCTAGTTCCAACCTATAATATGTAATATTAATATGTAAACATTCTTTACGAGAAGGTTTAAATCCTCGCCAAACTTGTTGAACCACCCTGTACACAATGCTTTCTCCATTCCATAGAAATACCTGTCACTAAAATCTACGCATTGGTGTGTGGTTTCTATTGATAGCTAAATTGTTGAAGAGAGCCTTTAAAAGTCAGTAATTGATGATAGTGTTTGAGGATGAAGTCGTTACCTTCACAGCCAGTTAGTTAGGACTTTAAGAGAGCACTTCTGAAGAAATCCTGCAGATCATGAATAAGATAAACTAATATAGTGCGTCCAGCTTCTCCTGTTAGGCAATAGAATTGTGAAAAACCAGTTCATCGCTTATACTGTAGTTCCTGTGGACTGGAGTCTGTTCTAATCCAACCGTTTTAATATTCCCAGATGCATAAAGAAGACTTCAGACTGCAAAAGGAAGCTGGAAAGCCAACAATTAAATCACTTCAATAATACATAAGACTTATAATAGACCCTGTGTATTCACCAGAGATTTGTTTCAGAACCCCTCATAGATACCAACAATACATTGAAGCTCAAGTCACTTATATGAAATGGTATAACAAAGTGGGCCCTCAGTTATCCACAGGTTCACATTATTTTTTGCATGTTCACCCACTCCCTGCATGTTTTTCCCCTCCATGTGAATATAGCAACGTCTTTAGGTCAAAGGTCACTCCTGATTTGTCTAAGGCAATTTTTGGAACCCAGTTTCTCCTGTCAACAACTGATTAAAGAGTGAACATGTGGCCTAATTCTCATCAATGAAATAAGAAAGAAGTCTGCTGGGGGCTCCTGTATAATGCCTCCTCACCCACATAAAGGAACTGTGGCCTAATTCTCATCAATGAAATAAGAAAGAAGTCTGCTGGGGGCTCCTGTATAATGCCTCCTCACCCACATAAAGGAACATATGCAAAAACCCACATCTCTTCCTGCTTTTTAATGGGTTTCTCCTTGGAAATAATGTCTGAAATTTCTACAACCATCTTGCTACTAGCCTGAAGATGAACCCAAAATAGGAAGGAGAATAGATTCAAGGAATTACTACCTCTTAAAAGAAAAAGTTGGTGCAATATTCATGGAATATACCCTACATAAGCACTTGGATAAGGGCATAGTTTTATAATAATGCATCCACTTATTGCTTAAGCTATTTGAGTGGTGGTTTTCAACCACTTGAAAAATAATATTGTGAGGTCTTTGACTGTTGTTTTAATTCACTTTGTGTTTTGTTTTGTTTTAATGTGGTACATAGCTTATTTGCCAGGATCAAATATAAAGTTAATTATAGAGTTTTCACTGGTTCATTGTAGAATGTATTGAAACTCCAGATTTTAGCCTTTCCCAACTTTCTTGTTTTTGTTGTTCTTTGGTTATGTCCCTGTCCATTGGTAATACTTTCTAACACTGACTTTAGGGAAGAGTTGAAATTTGACCCAGCTAGTTTAGAAGTTTCTATACCCTTCTAATGAGCTTTTATATGAATATAGAACTGTACTATATATTGGTGATTACAATTTAGTAACTGTTGGCTAAAAAGCAGTCAAAATCATGTGTTCATCATATATCTACAATATTATCACTTAGACAAATATTCGTGAATAGGCTTTAAAATAAAGGCCAAGAAAACTATCTCTAAGATAATCCAATATTCATAATACCTCTTTGTGTTCATGTCCCAACCACGAGACATATTTTGCAATCTGTGAAATGCGCATTTCAACAATGTAATTTAAACGAAAATAACTGCCAAAAGGTTGCTAAAATTTATCAATAAAGACTTCAAGAGCCTTAAAGATGCTCTATTTAAAACAAGCCAATTATGAACTTTTTTTAAGTTCCTCAATTGTTGGGTGTCTAGTAGTCACTGTAAAACTGAAGCTATCTCATTTTGCTTTGCCTAAAAAAGGGTAGGGGTGCAGGAGAGAGACACACATGGTTGGCAAAGGCGAAGTGTTTTCTACTCCCACAAAAGTTGCTAGCAACAAGAGGCTATCAAGACAAATTAATGCAAAACACATGTTGATGTCTCTTGAGGAAAGTGGGTCACAAGCCACTTGCTCTGGGAGCTGTTGATTCATAAATCTAAATCGCAATTCCGACTTCAGCATGTTTATCAGTCTCACAGACCACAACGTTCAGTGTTTCTTCGTTAAAGCATTTTATTTCATTTCCCTTTAATGCACAGAACATCTTTACCATCATGCAGAAACTACCATTCCTGGCTCTTTCGATGAAAAACACTTATTCTTTGAAGATTCCACAAGAGGGAAGATCCAAATGTAATCGGTTTATTCTCTTGTGTGATATTAATTGGCTGAACATAACTTAATAACATCCATCAAATTGAGTAGCCAGTGAGCAGAGAAACAAGAGCATTTGAAAAAATTTCAATGTGTGATTCTCCAATAAGGATTTTTCACAGGATGCAAAACTGTGCAATACTACAAAATTTTTAGTATATTATAGCTTTAAACACATATTTAATCTTTGTATTCATTAGACTCATCCCCTCTACCCTCAGACAAATTACTAGTGTTGACAATACATAATGCTATGATTTACATTGAAAAGGGTTTGCTGACTCTCGTTATATACCTTATACTTATCTCTCCTCCGTGTCCAAATAGTATCTGGGGGTTGTTCTTTCATATAATTAAAATCAATCCAGATGCAAAAGTTGCATTCATTTAAGTTTTGCAGAAAACATGGCCAGTTCATGTTATGAAAGATATTCCACAATTATTGTACATTTAAAATATTTTTGTTAAAAGAAGACATTTTAAATGCCCCCCCAAAAAACACTAAAATATCAAAGTAGCAGTAAAATAATGCAAACACATATTTTGATTATATCTTGCTTGGTCACATATGTATTTTTGCAACATTACAGATATCAGTAGATTATTTCTACATGAAAACGTTCAGTCCACTTTACTTGTGCTGATTGGGAGATTCTGATGTAAATTAGGCTTCAAAACATGATTTCCAAGTTGGGGGGTGAGGCAATTCATGGGCTAGTAAGGATTCCAACTCCTGAATATACCGGGAAGCTGACTAGGTAGACTTAGCAGACATGATTTAAATAGCATTCCTGTATCCAGGTAGTTATGCAATGATCATTAGATGTCAAACAGCAGGACTTGCCAGTTGATCTGCTTTCATATTTGCATTATTTTGCATATTTCTGTTTTCTCATCAGTTCATTTCACGAGCATTGGTAAGAATGTGAATATTTACGTACATTTTTATGTTATTCCAAGCAAGAATTTGTCTGTCTGTATCCTGATGGCAAAGTATTTGCCTTCTGACTTTTCTCACACATAAACAAGGCTCAAACTCCCCTAAACCAAAATGAAAATAATTTATCTAGAGATGTGGTGAATAATTTATTACATAGCTAGCATATATTTGTGTGCAGACATGTACTTATCTCACACACCCTCTTTTACTAAACCTAAGAAGAAATATTCTATCGTTACATGAAATCACTCTGGTAACTTACATTACATTGTCATATATGCAATCAAATAAGTTGGCCTTGTATTTGAGAAGCCCTGTATTTAAGTCAGCCGGAATAATAGATGTAGATCTGCCTTAGACAATATCATAGCCACAAGTTATGCATGGCTATTTAAATTGAATTAAAATTAAATAAAATGAAAAATTCAGTTCTTCAGTTTTACTAGCCGTATTTAAAGTGCTCAATAGCCACATGTAATGAATGAGGACATATTGAACAGTGTAGCTACAGAATATATAAAACCATCTTACAAATTGATAAGATTAGAAACAACCCAACAGGGAGAAAAGGCCTATAGTGAACTTTTCCATTATCACAGAGTGTTCCATTTAACAGTCCTAATACAGGGAAAGCATACCTTGCATTTTTTAATAATTCCCAATGAAATCAAGCCACATATGTGGAATTTTCTTTGGCAGTGAATGACTTTTTTAAGTATACTTTGTGTTTTCTTCTCAATTGTAAAAGTATCCCTACTCATTTCTGCAAGCCAGTGGGACATAGGAATTATTAGTAAGGGAATATTCTAGGAATATAATGATGAAGAAAAATCCAAAACATTGGTTCATGTGATGCTGATGTCAATAGAAAGAAATGTGATCTTAAAGATAAGTAAACAGTGGCCAAGGTGTGCCCTCTGCTCCAGTCTCCTTTAAGAGACGTTGCAGATTAGTCACCATCTGTGCCATTCCTAAGAGTAAGTTGCATTTGTTCCCAAACCCATTTATTACAATTAGATGTTAAACTTTAAGCTTTCTTCTTTTCAAACATTGAGAAACTGAAGTCATGTGTATGTTCCAGGAAACAAGTCATAAAAGGCATTTGGCTCAAATTATTGTAGCTTTAGGTATATGAAAGTTTTAAATAATTGGAGAAGGCAATTATAAGAATGTAAAAAAGACTTTGCTTCTGTAAGGTAACTAAAGCCGTAAATGAAGACCTTTGCTTCTGTAAGGAAAGTAGAAATCTTAGATGATGCAACATGAGTATTTTTAATGACTAAAGAGCAAAAAGAAACTTCAGTCTGTGGACCCACCCTTAATTAATCAAAAGTATTGCCTTTGCATTATGTGATTAAATAATAAAAGAACTTTATATTCTGTGTACAGTGTTGATGCGTATCTACTATATGCTACTGCATGTTACATAACATTTTTATGTGATCGGTCAAATACTAGTGCCAATTTTGTCAGATTTGTTTTCTAACTTATATTTTACCAACTAGGCTCTAAGGGACAAAAAAATCTACATATTAAATTAGACTTTATTAAGAAAGAAAATATTAAATATTCACAACATTCTCATAGCTTTCCTTCAAGGGACTATTTTTAATTTTTTTCTTTATGTCCCCAAACCTCAGTTTTCTTATCTGTAAAGTAGATATAACAATAACACCTATATCAGAAATTTGGTATAAGGATTAAATGAGATAACGTTTGAAAACACTGCTGTGTCTGGGACTTAAGTGCTCAATGCATTTCATAAGATCTACTTACAAAGTACTTTTCAGAACTCATCAACAAGCCTCATAATTTACGGTCCCCAGGTTACCACTGGAAACAGTAACTTTCAGACCAGAAATTAAATGGAGAAAAAAATGTAGCTGGGCCTGCAGCCAACCATCTGGTTGCAAGGCCTAGCCAGAACTTTTTCTGTGCAAGCTGGCATCACCTCCTGTCTGAGGGGCTCAGCATCCATAAAGACAGTATTTGATGCTCCTGGCCCACATCCACAGGGAACATGAGCAGTGGACATCCACAGAGTGGCCATTGTCAAATGGCCTGGCACATCTAAGCATGAGAAGCACATAGTCTACTGTCGGCAATTGGGTCTAAGGGTTGTGGAGGTGGGGAGGTAAGGCTGCACTTGCCAAGTCTTTTAAGTCCATTTATAGTATTTTAAAAGCAGAATAACGTATCTTTGTAACTTACATCCTCTTCCATTTGGAGTCTTTATCTAACTCCTAGCCAAGTCCTGAATAGCTACTCAATAAATGGTTGTTGAATATTAATTTTAGTTGATTGTTACATGTCCCCTCTAGATCTAAAAGTCTATGACATTATGGTATCATAAATGAATTCTGTCCACAAAGATAGTCATCTGGCAACAGGAGAAACTCAAAATTATTTGTCCCAAAACAAATGAAACTGGCAGTGCTACAGTATAAATAATGGAAAAAATACACAAACAATAGCAAACATTTATCAGGTACTTTACTGTGTACCAGGAACCTTGCATGCCTTCTCTTATTTGTCTTCATAATAAATTTGTGAGTTTAATATTAATATTATTTTCATTTTATTTAGGTGTTTAAATCATGTGTCCAGCAGCCCTATTAATGAGGAAGTAGGAGAGAAGAACTCTTTGGTTACCACTAGCAGTTTTTGTCATAAGACAGCAACAAGCTATAAAGAAAGCAAATTGAGATATTTGTTAGTGAGGATGAAGCAGCAATTTTAGGTTAAGTTGTAGAGGAGAGCATTCTAATTATTTGACATTTAGGTCAATACCTGCATGAGAAGAAGCCAATGATATTATTTATCTAATCTGAATTATAAATCTGAGTTTGGTCTCAATAAGTTTAAGGTAAAACTTAGAAGCTTAAAACAACATATATGTATTTCCTCAATGTTTGTGTGGATCAGAAATGCAGGCATGATCTGTCTGTGTTCTCTGCTTCATGGTCTATGACAGGTTAGAATTAAGACATTGGCCAAGGCTGTAATCTCATCCTCAGGATCAACTGAGGAAGGATCTACTTCCAAGCTTATGTGGCTGTTAGCAGAGTTCAGTTGCTGGCAAGTTACTGGATTGAAGGCCTTGATTCTTCACTGGCGGTCAGCCAGATCCTAGCCATGTGGGCCTTTCCAATATGGTAGCTAGCTTCATCAGATCTTATAAGCCAAGAAGACAATGGAGAAATTCAGCTAGCAAAATAGAAGTCATGGAATTTTGTAACCTAATCTCGGAAGTGACATCTGCTCATTTTTTGCTGTATTATGTTTATTAGAAGCAAATCACTAATTCCAGGTCATACTCAAAGGAGTGGATTATACTAAGGTATGAAAATAGCAAGAGGTGAAGCCTTCTTTAAAAACTGCATAGCACATCAGCAATGGAAGTATACGCATTAAAATCATTCCAAGCAGAGGGACCAATTAGTACAAAGACTCTAATTTGGTTGCTATCTTGGCATATTTGAACTAGAAGAGAGGTGTGTGTGGCTGGAGTTTAGGGAGGGGAGTGGAATGCAATGAGGACATATTAGTGGGTGGATGCCAAATCTTGCAGGGTTTTTAGGCCAGGATAAAGAGCATGGATGTTAATATGCTATAGATCCTTGGGAAGATTTTGAGCAGGAAAGTAATATGGTAAAGTTAATGTTTTTTAAAGTTCACTCGGGGCTATTGTATGAGATAAACCAAGAGGACTCAGATGGTTTGGTTAGTGGATAAGAGGAAAACTATCAGAATGTGGTATTCTGGAAGGCAAAAAAAGAAAATAATTTTCACCATGGTGAATACTTGTGAGACGTCAAGCTAGAGACTGAGAACTAACCCTTGAATCTGGAAACATGAATGGTATTAGGGCTATTGGAAGCAATTTTAGAGTAGTGATGGTAATTGAAGAATGACTGTCATGGGAAAAAGATAAAGTTGAGAAAGTAAATACAGTATAGACAGTTATACCAAGAAGTTTTCTTATGAAAGTAAGTGAAGTTGGAAGCCAAAGAATGTGTAGTGGCGTCAGTTAAGCTTAACTAGGTTATGCTGAAATAACAAATAATCCTGACAGTCGTTTAGCACAACAAACATTTATTTATTTATCAGGCTATAAAACTAATAAAGGTTTGCTAGTACTTTGTTTATCATTGTCACTCGGTGACCTAGGTTAATGAAGGCTCCAACTCAACACTTGCTTCTAGGATCATCTGGCACGAGGCGGAGAACACGGAAGGTCACCATTGGCTTGTGAAGTTTTTGGAAGAAATGACTAGCCAAAGCAAGTTCCACATCCATATCTAAGTTCAAAAAGCTTGAAGAGTTCACTCCTACTATGTTTTTGTGAGAAGAAGGCAACACTTGAAATCATAGAAGGAAGGATTTAAAAACATTAAGAACTTCTAGCATTAAAATATATACTACAGAAACTCCAAGACATGACTACTGCACATAAAAAGAGATTTCTGATACAGGGGAAAGGGGAAGTGCTAAGATGATAGAGGGTGGTTCTCTAAACTGAAATTGAGAAAATGTCCTTAATTTAATATGAGTAGAAATTGTTGGTCTATTGCAACTATTGTAACAGGCAAGAATGCAGAATGTTTCAAGAAATTAGGATATGACAGCACATCATGGTGCTGACCTTCAAAATGATTTAATTTTATCTATATACACTGACAAAATATTTAAGAGATATTGTTACTTGAAAAAAGTCACAAAAACGCTTATAAAATAAAATACCTACAGAATATGGGGGTTATTTATGTAAACAGCCACTTAATACACACACACACATGCATGCCCATATACATTTTTCCTATGCAGTACACATGTGAATACGTACCATCATAGGAAAAAAAATCTGATGCCTACTCATTAATATGGTAGCAAACATTGCTATTTTGTAGACTAGAGTGGAACTGAGAGTGGAAAGAGATGAGAAGGACTTTTTTTTTAATATAGAGACAGGTCTCGCAATGTTGCTTAGGGTGGTCTCAAACTCCGGGGCTCAAGTGATCTCGCCTAGGCCTCCAAAACTGCTAGAATTACAGGTATGAGCCACTAAGCCTGGCCCAAGAAGAACTTTTTAAAGTGTTATTTTTTGTCTTTTTTGTAATAAGATAATATTCATATGTTATTTGTATAATTTTAAAGAATGTAATTAACTTTGTTTAACCCAGTTATCTTCTAAATGCAGACTCCTTAAAATTTAATTAATAGTAGGACTTATTAAAATCCCATGGAAGAAATTGAGGAATATGTCTGATTCTTTTCCAGGTCCTTACTCAGATGAGGAAAAATTATGCATAATTTGCAGACATATCTTTTATGTGGTGCATCTTGTTTCTGGCCCTTCAGGAAAACTGGAAAACTAGAAGATGTTTATTTTTTCTTCAATTACAACCTTATTAATAAACATCTCATCTTTTTTTTTAATGTCTGCGATGTTCAATGTAGTCCGTAAATGTTACCAGTTAAAAAAATGTTAACTTTCTTGTTTTATTTAAAATATTTTTTTTTCTTTGAGACAGTTTCACTTCTGTTACCCAAGCTGTAGTGCAACGGCGTGATCTCGGCTCACTGCAACCTCCGCCTCCTGGGCTCAAGCAATTCTCCTGCCACAGCCTCCCAAGTAGCTGAGACCACAGGCACATGCCACTGTACCTTGCTAATTTTTTTGCTTTTTTTTTTTTGTTTCTTTGTTTGTGGAGATGGGGTTTTGCCACGTTGCCCAGGCTAATCTCAAACTCCGGAGCTCAAGTGATCTGCTTGCCTCGCCTCCCAAAGTGCTGGGATTACAGGTGTGAGCCACCACTCCCGGCTGAAAAAATGTTTTAGGAACATATGCAAATTGGTTAAAGATTTCATTTGGATTTTATTACAGTGCAAACAAGGGCACCCAGGTGGACCCACACTAACCTGGTGCATGAGTATTTCTTGATCAGTAGAGCCAACCTCTGGATACACGTATACTTGTTCCAAGACCCACCCTTGAGAAGGACACTGACTTTTCTTTGCGATATTTTCTTATCCAGTTACTGAAACACTTGAATTTATTTTTTAAAATATCATATTATATGTTATTTTGAAGTGAGACTTAGAAACCACTGGTGAGAATCTTTATCATTGGATATGTATTTCAGAAATGCCAACTCAAATATTTATCATAGAGTGGTTGAATGCACCCCTGGAGAGATCTATGCATTCAAAAAGCAGATGTCGTTACGTAGAAGAGATGATTCTGTACAATGGAAATATTTTTATCTATCATGAAGAGAAAATTGTGACTAAAATTGACCTAAACAAATAGGAAGTTATTTCCTCACATGACAAGAAGCCTACAAGACAGTATTTGCTGGGTTGTTTCAGTTCCAAAATGACAGTAACTGGCATGTCTGCGATTATTTTTTACTTCCCCTGTTTGTCACAAGATGGCTGCAGCAGCTTCAATCATCACGGTGTCCATTACATTCAAAGGCATCTGGCAGGAGATGGTTCAGAGCAGAGCATTTCTTCTTAAACTTCCTCTTTAATAAGTGAAGGGATCCCAAAAGCCATCCAGTTTGTATCCCCTTACACATCAGTGGAAAGAACGGGGTAACAATCTTAGTATTAGAAAAGGAACTTGCCTTCCCATCCCACATCAGTACCCAACATGAGTGTCCCTCTCCCCAGTAAGGAAAAGAGGCTCCAATGACTTTGGGAGAAATAATGACCAGAGTGTGCATCCATGATCTTACCAGTAAGTCCTAGTAGTAATAAATACTTACACTTGGCCAGGCATTGCTCTAAGCCTTTTGTAACTATTACCTTAGGTACTCCTCCGAATAGGTAAATGAGATAGGTACTGTTATTATCCTCACTTTACAGATGTGAATATTTAGGAATGGAGAAAGTAAGTAACTTTGTGCAGCAAGCAAGTGCCCTGAGTCAGGATTTGAATACTGTCCTCGGAGTTCTTAACCACTGTGCTGAAACGTCTTTTAGGATACAAGCAAAATGATGACTACAAAATAATATGCATGAAAAGCTCTCCTACACTTAAACAATCTGCTGTGTAAAACTGGGAGGCAAATCTTGCACAAATCTTTCAGAGCTCACTCAAAAATGCATCACTCAATTGTAAATGAAAGCTAAAATGCAAAAAACAAATGAAGAATTGAGCAAGGTTAGTTTTATTCATAAGAAAACCATTAAAATGAACTCAAAATGGGAAAAGAGGCAAGGAAGGGGGAAGAACCAACTTGAAAGAAAACTAAGAAGCCTACAGGTAGTGAAGAACGTGTATAATTTGGGGACTTAGTAACTTCAGGTTAGAGTAGCTTTATTTTCCTTCTCGTTGAAGGAAACAAAAGCAAGTTTGAGATAGAGACCCATCAGAGTGAAAGATCAGGGAACCCGGAGGAAACGACTCACATTCTTCCTGCTTTAGTGTCTGACAAAGAAGGCATTGGGATTCTGTCCTCAGGTGAACTACAAGGAGAAATCAAACATAATATCCCAATCAAATTTCCCCGCTGACAACCCTAACTGAAGTTAACTAACTCAAAGAGCCATTAGATCATAAATGACGTCTTAGCAGACATCCCATCATTTTAAAGACCACCTCTAACCTTCTCATCCACATCACAAATAAGAAAGGCTGAATAAAAAGTCAAACAAACAAAAAACCGACCTTTTCTAGCTAACATCAAGTAAAGAAAATTAAACACATCCACTGAATAATATAGACTGAAAACTAGTGTTTAAAATTTTATTGTCATGCAAATATGTTTTCACTTTTAAGGATCACTTTAAAGGAGTAATTTTATTTTAGATAATTTTTTTAGATTATAGGCTAATTTATATTCCTTTCATGTATAGGAATAGATCAAAAAAGAAAGTTATTCCTTTCTCATCAACCCACAGCCAAGTACTTGAGAACCCCAAAGCAATAAACTCTTTATGCACATCTATATACTCTATTCTTAATATTAAAAGAAAAACATAGTTATGTTGTTGTTGTTTTTAATAAATATTTTGCTTATTTACAATTTTCCCTGCAATCAATGGCTTTAATTTCCTTCAGTGCATTGATTATGGCTTACCACTATGAGCACTTTTCTATCACTGCAGACCTCCTTTTATTTCCCCTTGGAAGTCATTCTAGCATTTCCGAACTACAATAAGCTGATGCTGTTTTATTGAAATTGATAGCACAGAACTGGGGTCAGAAAACTTTTCTTGTAAAGGACTAGATAATAAATATTTAGGGTTTTACAGGCCATATCCTCTGTCACAACCACGCAATAATGTAAGGTTAAAAACGTCAACAATATGTAAATGATTATAGCTATGCGACAATAAAACTTTAAAAAACAGAGGGGATGGACTTTCCCTGTGGCTGTAGTTTACAGGCCCCTAATAAGAAACTGTACTTCTTAAAACGCTAGAAGACTTACATATGCATCAATGCCTACTCTATTATCATAGCAATTTAAATAGAATGATAAATTTATGGTAATGTATGTGATGGAAAGTGTCGGCTGATGTCATGTATGCATATCGTTTGGTAAATTTAAATTAAACTATTAGTTTGCTTTATTTTTAGCAAATTGTTGACGACTGATGGGAAATATAGAGAAATTCATAATTGCTAGCTTTAGCTGGGAAATTATGTGGCAATGCACATAGAAACAATGCTGGAATTCCAAAACCTGATAGCAGGACCATAAAAATCATGTACTTTAGTACTCCCTCCTCTTCTCAGTTACTCCTCCCACTGTAATAGTTTCCTCACTTGTCTTTCTTCTTTTTTTAATGATCCTGTTTCCCAAGCAGTGAACATAGTGTCTAACAGATAGCTTTTCAACTTTTGCTCACCTCTTCCCTCCCCACCTTTGGAGGTGTTTATTGTTCTCATCTTTGTGTTCACAATGTTTTGTGTACCCAATGTTTAGCTCACACCTATAAGTGAGAATGTGGGGTATTTGGGCTTTCTGTTTCTGTCTTAATTTGCTTAGGATAATGGCCTGTAGCTACACCCATGTTGCTGCAAAAGACAAAATTTTATTTTTTTTTACATCTGTGTAGTATGCCATGGTGTATGTGTACACATTTTCTTTATCCAATCTGCCATTGATAAGAACCTGGGGTTATTCCATGTCTTTGCTATTATAAATAGTACTGCAATAAACATATGAGTTCAGGTGTCTTTTTGGTAGAACAATTTATTATTCTTTGATTATATATCCAGTATGGGATTGCTGGGTCAAACAGCAATTATAATTTTAGTTATTTGAGAAATCTCCAAACTGCTTTCCACAGGGGCTGAACTATATATGTGCAATCTCACCAACAGTGTATAAGAATTCACTTTTCTCCACAACCTCACCAACATCTGAGAGTCCTGACTTGCTCCACTGCTGTTCCCACCACATTGCTCTGCTCTTTCTTGGCAGAAAGAAATCCTCCCCATTGGTTCTAGAGAGTAAACATTTTGCTTGTTAGGAGTTCTAGGAAAAGTACCCATATTTTGGGAACCGAGGGTAGGTGAGACTCCAGACATGCACCCAACGGTGACCAGATATTTAGACAATGCTAATTGGTATAGAGGTTAGGGTTGGTAGTCTGAGTTTTTAGCAGTAGCATTCGATGTCTTCTGTGGTTAACCCATTAGAGGTTGATCTCCAAGTATTTGGCAATCAACCTGGACATTGACAAATATTCCTATGTTTAGGCATTAGGCATCATCTATCTACCTACCACCTAAGTCAAGGATACCCAATATGTGACATGAGGCATCAATTCAAGTTTCAACTCCATGGTGTATATCCCTGGAATCCCCTGTCTACACCCATGGCAGCATCACTCAGCCGTCCTGGGATACTTGTTATCAATGCTGCCTTTGAATCTTCAAGACAATAGTCTGTAATATTCCATTTGTCAATCTGAATTCTCACAATATTTGAAATCCATTTGCTATCCTATCCCTAGATGACCACATTATTACCTGTTGTCATTCATGTCTGAGCCAGGCATTGGTTCCAGTTTTCCACAGTGGTAAATGAACTTTATGATGACCTTTGACTCTGGTTATAGACTTAGTCAGCTAGTAGTATTTCTTGTGGGGAGTTCAATCATTAGTGTATGTGTCAATCTAACTGCACATGGTGGTAGCTCTTGGGGTCTCAGTAAATGGCAGCTATTTAGGAAAATAGTTAGGTCTAGCATATTACATTGTGGCAGAAAAACAGGAAGAGAAAAATAAGCAAAGTGAAGAAAAAAGAAGGGGAAAGGCAGACCCAATCATCATTCATTGTTGCAAATGGAAATGTCTGGAGAATGGTAGAAACAAAAAGAGATGTGTGTGTGTGTGTGTGTGTGTGTGTGTGTGTGTGAGATTCTACTCAAGCTGCTTGGGCTCCTTCATGCATTAAAGGATGTTCTTTAGTTTGGCATAAGAAAGGGGTCTTTTATTCTATCAATAATTGCTAGTGTTCAATAATTATTGCATAATTTATTCAACATCTTTCTCTTAAGTTTACTCATATGTCTATGACTTTGTGGCTTACCACGAACCTCTTATGACACAATTGTATAATTACCATGTTTATATTTTATATAAATGTGATTTACCTGTATTGAAATAGTGTGACATAGACCATAAAAAACTCCAACTTTGTGCAAAACCATTCTCATCTTAAAAATTAAATTCAAATACTAATTTGATCTCATAGCTGGTTGTGTAAATTGTAAATATGTCTTTTCAAGTGGAATTACCCTCTTTAGCTGGTAAATATAAAACCTAGTTTATCAGGCTAAGTCTTGAATTGGGTGAGTTTTGAGTTATTTAAAGCCTTTAGGAACACAACTCTAGCATAAAGTGGAGTACCCTGAAAATCAGTGTACTGAATGGAGTTTCAACATGTGAATAACTAAAGATAGGTAACATATCTCAAGAAGCCTGAAAAACTATTAACTGTATAAAATATTCTGAGCCCAAAGGGACTCAGATAGATAATGATGAACATGGGATCTATAGCAATGAGCAATCTCATAGTATCTTCCCTAACTACCTAGAAAAACTAAAATATCACAGAAGAAAAGACACTATGCTTTATTGCTAACTGAACCAATAACCAAAGTTTGTGTCTGTAGTTCAAGGACTTTGCAATCACTTACTAAAATACATCTGACAGCAGATAGAGGATAGTTATGGGCATTTACTGACTCTAAGCCTGATTAATTATGGCAAAACATAATCTCGATTTTCCACTGCAGAGAAATTTATGAAATAATTTTACTGATGATTATTTGGATTATGACAACAAAAGACATAACTCTAGTCTCGTCAAACTGTCTGGAATGTAAACATAGAGATTGTGGAGAAAAGATAGATATAATGAACATCAGCTAATCCCTTGACTGAGAATTTTAAAATTGGCTTCAATTTATATTCCACAGATATTTTTATTGAGAATTAAGCTAAGTTTTGTTACCGTCTCACACTCAATCTATTTGGAAATTGCTGATGGCTTCTTAGAGCCTTTCAAAATTAGTTGTTCTGTTGGCTCAATTTATTAAAAAATTGAATACAATAGAATGTTGAGCAAATCTTCCTAGACCAGTGTTACTTGGGATAAAAAATAAAATTGATCTGCCAGATATTAAAATCCATGGGATGTTACAAACTCAGGAAATGCAAATACACCATGCGTGTGCTGTAACTCCCTATCCCAATGTCCAGGGCAAACATGACTGTGCTGTGAATTTTGGTTCACAAATCTTGAAGGAAGTATGTCATAACTTTTTCATTCTGAAAGTTAATTTGCTACTTCTTTAAAAAGAGTATTCAAATAATTAATGGAACATTCTTATATTTTGGAGTTATTTTCATTCTTTCTGAATTTTCCTTAGTTTAACTGATTATGTTCAAATCCATGCACCGTAGTAGGCCAATGTTTCTCAAGGTGTGATTCCTAGATCGACAGCAATTTTTTTTAACACGCAAAGTGTTGGGCTCCACCTCAGATCTACAAAACTAACAGTTCTGGGGCTGGGGCCCACCAGTCTGTCTTAACAAGCCGTTCAGGTGATGCGGGTGCCCACTGGGCTTTGAGGGTATTAATATGGGTGGTAGCCAATTACATAGAAGTATTTAATTTTTATGTGCTAAAGTTAAAGTTCAACTCAATTTTGAAATTAAGGCTTTATTTACAATACACGTCAACTCAGATGTCATCTGGTGCCCTTTCTTGGGAAGATAAAGAGCTTATTTCAGATAGAGCCTTATCCTTTACTGTAGAATTATCAACACGACCATAACTATACTTTCTCAGTTGGACAGCTTTATAAAAATGTTTAATTAACATGTCATAATGTGTGATTAGCATTTTGCATATGACAGGTACTGTTCTAAAGTATTTACATATTTGAACTCATTTTTATCTTCATGACTTCACAGGTATTAGTACTCTATTGTATTTATGTATCTATATCAGACAATATTTTATCACAGTAAATGAGGTATTCCTATACATTAAAGAAAAAGGTAAGAAATATCGATTTGTTTAGAAATAGGTAATATAAATAATTCAGACATTATTTCCCTCTCTTTCTACCGGTATTTAAAATGTTAAACTAGAAAACTGGTTGTTAAGTCCTAAGTATTATAACAAGATTATTTTATCATACTTTGTTAACGTTTGAAAAACACTTACCCCTTCTAAATTAGGAAAAAAAAAACTATATAATTTACAAAAACTTACATCAAAGAAAGTCAATAATTATTATAATAAGGCCACAATTTAGAAGTGAAAGAAGGAGTGTAAACTAAGTAATACATACATAATACATGCTAAAGCTTGAAAACTGCCTTTGAGGAAAAAATATCTTGACTGTAGGATGCTTTCTGTAAGGCAGTTTATATTACTTTGAAACACTTCCATCTAGTGGTTGAGATTTTAACTACATCTTTTATTAAAACAGTATGCTTTTTATTATTACTATTATTATTATCCACTGTTTAATCAAAAAAAGTGTTGGAAATTTAAAATTTTATTTTAAAGCATAGTTGATTCTCATACTCTATGCAAGAATTCACATTTTTTATAATATGAACATTTTTCCTATGAAATTATAGTCATATATTATAAACATTTTAATTCATTATAATTATTCAAATGCATATTGTACTGCAGTTAACTTCATTGTTTTTAAGATACTGACATTTAGCAAAGAAATTTTTTGTACTGATTCTTATAACTGGAATTACTGATTTACATGTCATGTTATTGTTTTATAAAACATTAATAATGACTTTCTTTCCCTAAAAGGAAAAAAGAAAGGGCTTGGCATCAGCTGTAAAAGAAAAATCTTTTTTTTTTTTTGGCAGTTTGATCAGTTCTGCTGTGAGCAGCTTTATGTGTTTATGCACTATACAAGGCTTTTTGGTGGAGGCAACTGTATATTCTAAATATATGAGTATTTTTTAAAAACTCGAGCCAATAGGTTTTGATAAGATTAATTTGGCTTTTTCTTATTATGATTTATTGTATTTTTCCATTTAGTGCTTTAGTTCATTCATCTACCTAAAAATTTAGCATCTGTTATATTCTGGAGCCAATTCTAGGTATGAAAGCAGTGAGCAAGACAAAGTCATTCTCATAGAGCTTAAATTGTAATAAGAACAGAGAAGAAAAAAAATAAGAATACAAATTCATGTAGTAATGATTGCTATGAAGAAATTAAAAGGAATAATATCACAGAGCCTGGCTATTTTAGAGTTGGTAATTAGAAATGTCTTCTCTGACGTAGTGACCTTCAAACAGAGACTTAAATGGTGATAAGTGAGCTCACACAAAATTTGGGGAAAGATTCCAGGCAGAAGGAACAGCAATTGCAAGTGCCCTGAGGCAAGAAAGAGATTTGGTGGGCTCTGGAAATACATAGAAGGGCAGCGTGGCACAAGCTTTGCTTTTGGGGGAAGAATATATGAGCCAAGGTCATAAGGTAGGCAGAGCTAGCTAATATACAGCCATGTGGTTAGACATTTGGGATTGTGGCTAAATTTACTGAGAAACCACTAATACAATCTGACTTATATTTACAGATTTCCCTGGTATTGTTTTATAGGTTGGAGAAAGGGACAAGAATGAAGGAAGGCTAGTAACAGGAAAAAGATTCCTTTGGCTTAGCCCAGGATGGTAGCAATGACTGTGGAGAAAAATGAATAGATTTAAACTGTATTTTGGAGTTAGCACTGTAAGAGACTATGGGTTGGTTGTAGGACAATGAGGAAAGAGTGGATTCAAGAATGATCCTAAAGCTTTTGGCTTGAGTTACTGGGTGGATGGTGGAGTCATTTATTAAGATGAAAAACACAAGGGGTAAGAACAGTTTTTGGGGTGCAGATAGAGACTTCTTTCATGCATCTAGACTGACATTCTCTCAAATGTATTAATTATTTTGAATATCTCTCCTTGTGACTTTTATTCTTTTATTTAGTAAACATTTAATAAATGCCCAGCAGATACAAGACATTGTGCTAGGCAGATGGTATTTCCAGTGAAAATGAAGGTGCATCTCCTGCCCTCATAAAACTTTTAGACTAATAGGATAAATAGAGATGGTAATCAAATAACCATGTAATAAAAGTAAAACTTCAGCAGTGGTCCATGCTAAAAATCAAAGGTACATAACACCATGACACATTAAAATAAGATGATTTCATCTAGTTATGGAAGTTTTCCCTGGAGAAATGATATTAAACTTGAAAGCAGATCAGTGATTTTGTGAAGGAGAAGAAATTTAAAGGTTTCTCAGGACAGGAAGGAATGAGAAAATACCTGGAACTGATAAAACACACATCTTAGTCTGGATTCCTTAACAGCAGAGCCTGCAGGAATCAGTACACGGGCTACTCATTTATTAGGGAGTGCAATCCTAGGTAGCAGGCATGAGGCCGAAGGCAGCGTGAGACAAGGGAGCAGGGAGAACCAATAGAAGATACGTTATTGAGTTGGCCACTGTTGAATGCCAATGATTGCTCTGTCCCATGGGACCATTTGGTATAAGAGAGAAGGGAGGGGACACAGGACAAGAGAGAAGGTTGGCATTTATCGACCAGCTCCATTCTCCCATTGGATAAATGTTTGCCCCACAAGGTGTTAACCCTTCCATGCTTCCAGGTTGAGCATGAATGGGCACCAGACAGTCTCACAGCATCTCATGCCATAGTGCAAGGGTGCATCATGAACACTGCAGCTAGTTGCAAGCTGACTTGCAGTTAGTCAGCTTTGGTCCATGCAGAACTGTTCACTCCAGCAGTGGCTAGATGAACCTTACAGAATCTGAAGCATGCAAAAGACTTGTTTAATACAATCATCAGGACTGGAATGGAGAAAGGGAAAAAAAAGAACCAGAAATTAAGGGACTTGGAAGCTAAGTAGGGATCTGACCATGGAGGACATTGGAAGCCAATTATAGATTTTTGTTTTTATCTTAGAAGAAATGGAAAGCTATTTGTTGTTGTTGTTCTTCAAAGTAAGGAAACAGCGCGAACAGAACTGCACCTCATAAATCACCCTGCCTGCATAGTGGATAAGAGACTGGAGGGGAGCCAGTCAACACAGAAAGACCACTCAGCATAAAAGAGGTCTGAGTACAGACAAGTGGGCAGATCCAGGAGATACTTAGGAGAAAACATCAACAGAATTTTTTGATGGATTGAGCACAGGAGTTGAAAGAGAAAGCTCAAGTATGAAGGACAATGTCTAGGTTTTTGTCTTGAGTGGTTGGATGGATTACTGCTGTCATTCACTGAATAGCACAGTGGGGGAAAAAAGGGTTTGAAACGTGGAAATTATGCTTTTACTTTTGAAACATTGAGTCTGAAATTGTCTACATCAGAGAGCTGCCAAGTAAAATGTCACATGTAAAAGCCTCGGATCTGAGGAGAGAACTGGGCTAAAAATGACTTGAAGTCATCTGTCTGCCCATGGCAATCAAAGTCTTAAATGGACCAGACACCTTAGGAAAGCATTGGAGTGGGAAAGCGAACTAAGGTTGAGTCTGCAAAGAACTCCAGGGTCCAGCAAGTTTTGACGCCATATTCTCCCAAGGATTTTCAATGCAGCAAATGTATCCATTTAATTATGCTTGCCAACATTCCCAAAATAATTTGGTCAAACATAATGTTTTCCACAGAATCAGCGATTCAAGAGAACTATTTTGGGAACAATTTATATAGATGATCACGTCGGAAAATATTTAATGTTTCATTTTGTTATAAATAGACCAATCAATGAAAGATTTTTTCCACCTGTTAAAAGAATTTATGCATTTCAGTTGCAGTGCATTATATTATTTCTTTCAGGTAACGTGGGAATTTCCATATTTTATCCTTTCTTTACTCATGTATATATATATTATTGCATCACATTGTAAGTGATGTGAGGATAATAAAACCCTCATTGTATTAACATATGCTAAAATACTAAAATAAGGCCCTTGAGAGGTTATCGTACATATGTTTATCTGACTTAAAGTCTGATTTATCTTGGCGATAAGGGTTCTCCATAAGTGGGATGCCATGAGTCCAGAGATATATGGCTTAAAAATTCTGTGTTGTATTTTACAGGGAAACAAATGAGAATAGCAAAAGAGGAGAGATGTCCTACCATAGACTCTGGTGTTTGATGAGCAAATACAAATATCAACTTTAAAATGTTTAGCGCAGTTGTTTTTGAAGCCACTTCTAATAAAAAGCTTTTGTTCTTTTTCAGTTTCCCAATAGAGTGAGTGGAATATAATGAAATGTGTGACATTCATTTAAAAATAACTGGCTTATTTGAATTACTACTTTTTAGGTTGTACACATTCAACTGTTTATACAATAAAGCATTGATTGTTTTCCCCTATCGTATGTCTTGATCGCATATCTTAAAGCCAAGGTGTTTGTAAGCATGATCAATAAGTCGGCATGAAGTTGAAACTCACCTTTCTTTAGTATTTCTAAGAAAAGGTGGAGGAGTGAGGGCATGAAAAAATGTACTATTAATGGTACAATGAATTAGGGTTTTGGAGTCAAACATCCCAGGGTTTAATTTCTAGTTCTAGCCCATGCTGGTGACACTCATTAAGTTAGTTAACCTCCCGGTCCCCTAATTTAACAAACCAGAGAATATCGTTCGAGGATTAAATGTGGTATTCTGTGTAAAGTGCTTGGTATAGATAATTTTTTTTTAAATTTTTTAGACGAGGTCTCACTATGTTGCACAGGCTGGACTTGAACTCCTGGCATTAAGTGATCCACCCACCTCATCCTCTCAAAGAGCTGCGATTTCAGTGAGTCTCCATGTCCGGTCAATAAAACCGTTTTTAAAAATAACAATTTTCAATAGATTGTCCCCTGAGCCAAAGTGGGTAACCCAATTCTAAAAGACCATATCAAAATTATCTACTAGCCTCATTGAAAATATAGCATATCGGACATTTTCTTGAAAAGTGACATTTCTACATTTTTATTAAAAATGACCAGATAAATATACATTCACCTTAAATTTATATTTATTATAAATATAAATTTTATTGTAATATTCTTTTTTATAGATGATGATATTGTATATTTATAAAGTAATTGAAATCAAAATATTTTATTTATCTTATTTTTACTTTATTAAATTATACTTCATTTATAGATATTCCAGGATCAGAGGCAACTGAAGTAGTTAAGATTAATATGTAAATTCTGATTCTTCTTAACTATATAGAACAGAATACAAACATTTTTGGATTACATGAAGTAGAACTTTTATTTGGAAAGTTGAATTTCATGTATAATGAAAATATTTTCAAACCATACATAGTCATAAGCATAATACAAACACCACCTACAATACAAACACGTTTTATAAAGTTCTACTATGAATATTAATCCAAGCCAAAAGAAAAAGGTAATCACGTGAACCTGTTCTACATACCTTTCATCTCTTTTGATGACGTAATCGAACAATTTAAGGTACAAAACAAAGAAAGCTTTGGCTGAACCCTACTTATTTCACTATAGGAACACTAGGATATATACTACCACAGATAACAAACCCAATCCCATTATAATTAATTTAACATTGTTACATGAATCATATCTTAATGGTATGTAAACATATTTAGGGTTTCAATTGGCAATTATGTTTTAAATGCTTAGAAAAGCACACCAACATTTCTCATTATTGTCCCCTCTTTAGCTTATCTCTTCCATGAGTATAAAATAGGAAAAAAATATTATTTGAGACTTCCAGCATAATTCCATTGTGCTCTACATTTTTACAAACACGGGTGCATCTAAAATATCAATGCCTTTATACCGATAGAATAAAACCACCAAATTCACATTTTTCTTATAAATACGCATGCAAAATTAGTGGAAAACACTTTTGTATAGCAAAGACCCTGCTTAATTTTCTTCTGATTAATAATTTTCAATGGCATGTACAAATCATACTGCTCACTAAACAGTAGATTTATTTTATGTAGATTTGTTTTTCTATAAAAATATATTTATGTGTTCACAGGAAAAAAGTTGAGTTGGTATGTGGGGGTGACTTTCAGATACATAATTAGTTAAAGGTTTGCTTATGAAGTTAGAAGGCATCTTAGCTTTTATCATTTTCAAATTTTTCTTCATAAAAAAGAACACCCTGTGACAAAGATAAGGTAACTGAGATTATTATTAGCACTTTAGAGTTGAGAGAGTTTGAAATAAAAAGGTTAAGCAACCTGCCTAATGTTTATGTACAAAATCAGTGCTGGAACCAGGAAGAGAATTTGGATTTTCCCAACCCTTGGACAGTTCTCTAGGAACTCATGCCCACCAACCATTCTTGAGACTATATACAATCAATTACATTAAAATGATATTGACAGTAGACTAGAGAAAGTTAGGGTAAAGCCAGTAACGAACAAAGTTTTAAATATTGGCTGTTGACTTATCACGAGTGGGCAATTTGCAAACAAGCATCACCAATTTATAATTACCATTGCACGCCGTGGACTCTGTTACTCATTTTCTGAGGGAAAATCATGAAATCCATTTTAACCGACTTAGATTTATTTTATTTGAAGGTTATTCTGATTCATAAAATATATGAATCATATAATTTCACAATTAAAATCAGGGTCAATCATAGATCTATTCCTTTTGTGCTGAAGAGTCCCAGTAGTTGCCAAATAGTATTGAGGAAAGGTAACAATGATAGCAAAGCATAGTCATCATTCAATCTCATTTTTCATATCCATAAGTTTTAGCCACTCAGAAGATCTGAGCAGGAGCAATCTTGATTTTCAGGCAGCTAAAGGGGAACACGAAGTGTAGGAAGAGCTAATATTTCAGTATTTGTTTTAGTTTCTGACTTAAAGGTTATTAAATTCCTAAATATTTTTGACATTATTTCTAACCTGCATGACTCTCTTTAAAAACCACGTTTTGGCTGATGACAAAGAAGAGGAGACAGAATAACACCAGAACTAAGCTCGAACGTCACAACCTTGCCCTCCTCACAAGCTGTGCACCACAGTTTTCTCCCAGATAAATCAAAACATGATGACTGTCCCTCCAGAAAACTGGAACCTTAGAAATCGGAGGAGGATGGAGCTCGAGTTGCACTGATGGATGTCTACATCCTCACATTCACACAGGGTAGGGACCACACTGCCTTCCCCCTTTGAAATGCTTACTCCCGGGACTGCGGTCAGATCCTGAGCCCATAAATTACAGTTTTAAATAAGACATGCTTTTCCTGTCTATACATTCTGGATGACTCGTGAGGTTCAAAAGGACAAGTAGATATTCCATGTGCATTCCTGCGCTGACTATTATAAATACCCCAAATTTTGGTCTCCATGAACTATAAGGGGTTACCATAAATCCAAGTTGAGGATATAACAGTATACCAATAATCACAGTTCAAAAACTAAAGTGAAATAAGTCAATTCACTTAAACAGTAGTTAAGTATTTCGTGGTAAGGTTAAAAAAATCTTTCCATAAAATGTCGAGCGCTGAACTTGACCGACATGTATGCATCATCCTCCATATTGTTTCTAAAACATGTTCATGTACAATTTTAAAAGGACTGGAGCACAACTGCCAGAAAATAAATTCCCTGAATTTGTTCTGACTTTGACAGAAGGAGAATATCGGGGAAAAAATTCTCACCACAAAGATGTTTAAAATAACATATACGCAAACGTATGTGTAGGAATTTCTATGTAAACAGTTTTTCTTTTGAGGGGCTGGGGTAGATGTACATTCAACAATAAAAACCTATTTTGAAAAATATGAAAACATTTCCCTCAATATTTATATGATATTTTATTTTGAAACTGTTGAAAGAAAGCAATACAAGAACAAAACCCAAATACTTTATACAAAGTCTTCAGCTTTGGAACCTCGTGTTATTAGTTGTAGCTCTGGAATGACGAAAAACAGTATCTTACTAATATATTCTAGCTGTACAAACATGCCTGTTAATGTTCATTTTCTCACTTCAAAATAAAACACATCTATATTTTAAATTGTGTAAATATTAACATAATATGTACAATGTATTCATGAAATATATGCAAGCATACCATTATATAAACATGAGAAAAAGGTAAAAGCAGTCAATTTAGAAATGAAGATATTAAGTAGATGTAGCTATTAGAATCCTGAACAATGGGCACTTTCTGCCTGTTCTCGTATAAAACAACCTTCTGACCACCGCTTCCATGCAGTTGAATTTAGTCCAAGAAAAAAAAAAAAAACAGACACAAAAAGTGATGCTTGTGGATGTCATAACTGACAGAAATAAAAAAATTCATGTTGAAACTGAAAAACGTATACTTCTGTTTAAATATGACCATCTCTGGGCAAATAGGAGCTCAACAAATACTAGTTGATTGTTCACCTAAGACTTTTGCTAGTAAAATTTAAATAATAAATTTAGACTGTATATTTTCAATGAAGTGTTTTAATAAGACTTTCATATTCCTTTTTACATTTTAAATAACCAGTTTGCTTATGGTCTTTTAACCTGTAGTGAAGCAAAGTCACCAAGCCAGTTCTCAGAGACTGTATACCAATGTGCATACGGAGAAAAACCCACCAAGTAGCAACATCTATGCAAACACACCGAATAGTAAAATCAGGCAAATATGGAATATACTGAATGGGGACTTTGGATTTAGTTGAGGTGTATCTAAATGCAGGATTTGTTTTGTGTTTTGCATTTTGAGCACCTGAAAACAATATAAGCAAAACATAGGCCTGAAGTGCTTGGCATTTTATATTTTGAAGAAAGTACTACTCTTTTCAACATAATTGCAGGATGTTGACTTCTGGATGAAATCTTCGGCCAGCATGTTTCTATTCCTATATGAAAGTTCTTGCTCCTTTGAACAGATAAATATGGAAGGTTGGGGTGAACCAGTAGCGTTGCTTACATATGTTGTGTTTATGCCCGAAGGGGAAAAGTTGCTGTAGAACTTCCATTGCTTTCAACAGATCCCTTCTCCTTAGATCCAGCGTAGGCACCAATAAATGATCCATCTTCACTGAAGAGACCATGGTCTCCCTCTCCGTATTCGACTAAGCTGTCAGCACTTTCAGTAGGCTGCATATCCCTATTAAGGGACCGAAGGCTTCCTTTGAGAGGCTTTTCATCACTGTCACTAGAAAACAAACAAACAAAAATAGCTCAACAAAATCTAATATTAATATTCATGTAAAGCAACACAGTCATAAGTGATAAAAGATTTTATAATTTTCAGGACATTTGTGTTAGCATTGAAGACAGATAGTAAAGCCCACATGATACTACCACAAATGTTTACCAAGTTTACGAAGTCTGTAAACACATGTCTACAAAGTCATAAGCAATTTCCACCAAACAATTTTTCATTATTCACAACATTTGTGCTTCTCTTTAAAATTGAGCAGCTTAGCTTCTGTAGGACATGTGGGATTCAACCTGTTGATGTCCACAGTGGCTGCTATGGTCTGAATATCTGTGTCCTCCCAAGCTTCCTATGTTAAAACCTGATAACCAATGTGAGGGTGTTAGAGGTGGAGTCTTTGGGAAGTGATTAGGCCATAAGGGTGGAACCCTAGTGAATGATATTAGTGCCCTTAGAGAAGAGGCCCCAGAGAGCTGCCCTACCCCTTTCACGATGTGAGGACACAAAGAGAAGGTGCCATCTGTCACCCAGAAAGTGAGCGTTCACCAGACATTGAAAATGCTGGCACTTTGCTCTTAGGCTTCTCAGAATCCTGAACTGTGGGAATTAAGTTTCTGTTCTTTTATAAGCCACCCAGCTTATGGTATTTTGTTATAGTAGCCCTAATGGACTCAGACAGAGAACAAATGCAATTTCCCTTGCTGTCATGAACTTTTGGAGCTCCTGGCCTCCAAGTCTTGATCTTCTGCCTTTACTTCTGATCCTTTTGATTCTCTTATATCCTGATAAAATGTTCTTTTTTAAAAATCAATCACATTCTGTTTTTGAAACCAAATAACTTTCTTTAATATAGTTAACAATTCAAGTTTGTTACATTTTAAGACAGAAAGAAATGGCTGGTATTTTAAGAACATAAATAAGTATACTATATTTATGGTAGGTGTTTTATTCATGAACAGAAGCAAATCCATTAGTGAAATGCTTATCAAATGGTATGATCTTCTAAATTTTGGATCAAGATTTTTTTAAGTACCAATTAGTATTACATTATGAAGCTATACACCATATAAAATGATTTTATCAAATTTGATCAATGAAGCATTTGGAAAAAATATAATTTGGATGTACATATCACTTTATAATTTGTGGTATTTGTCAGAGCTGTTCATCAAGTATGTCAGGTTTCTAGGAATAAAGCAGGATGGCACTTCTTTGCCTACTCTGTGTTATATGCCACCATGGAATTTTCTTTGGTTTAAAAAAAAAGTGAGCAAAGGTGACATGTGTCTCTTCCGAGCCAAAGATTTAAAGCCAGTGCTCAGTTTATTACATTCTATTTTCCCTGCTGTGGGGAGCCTGGATGCTCGTCCACCAGCCAGTGCTCCTAAGTGATTAAGATGAAAAGGGCAATCTCTGTGGGACACATAACTTGAGAAAGAAAATGCTTTTGGAGTTGTTTTGACAGCAGCATAACACAGGCTCCCCTGACTGATACGATAATTGGCTCTTGAATTAGGATATTGCAGTTACAAGAACAAAT
Organism: Homo sapiens; assembly: GCF_000001405.40. Taxonomy (NCBI): domain Eukaryota; kingdom Metazoa; phylum Chordata; class Mammalia; order Primates; family Hominidae; genus Homo; species Homo sapiens. Next base: position 403,948 of record NC_000003.12, on the reverse strand, counting down.
CAAGAAAAACAATGAGGCATCGGCTGAGGAATCAGGAACAAAGAATAAAGAAAAATAACAAAAGGGATGATTATCAGAAGCTAGAAGAATGAGGACTTATGCAAGGGCACAGCATCTTATAAAAGTGTCTCCTGGGATAATGTGGAAAGTAGACAATTATCCTGATAAATATGTAGTTTGGGGGAAAGAGGTTGGAAAACACATCAGCTACTATAAAGGGATGTCATAGGAAATAATGCACAGGAAGATGTTAGCTATCTTTATAAAGGAGCAGCAGGGTGTGGGGAAATGGGTTTTTAGACAAGGCATTGTTTTTGTTTTCTTGCCTGTAAAATTGAGCTAATATTGTCTTTCAAAATTTTTTTTTGCTTGTTTGTTTGTTTGTGTTTTTGTTTTGTTGTTGAGATGGAGTCTCGCTATGTTGCCCAGGCTGGAGTGCAGTGGCACAATCTCAGCTTACTGCAACCTCCGCCTCCTGAGTTCAAGAAATTCTCCTGCCTCAGCTTTTGAAAAGTTGTTGCAGGTCCTTAATGATCATTGCCTCATGGAATTTGTATCTTGTATAATCCTCTTCCTTTGAGTTGTGAGCTAAACTTAATGATTTGTTCCTATAGAATACAACAAAAGTGATGGGATATCACTTCCAATATTAGGTTACAAAAGGACTGTGGCTTCCAACTTGGGTGCTCTCTCTTGCTCCCTGGCTCACACATTCTGAAGGAAGCCAGCTGCCATGTTGTGAATGGCCCCATGGAGATATCTACGTGGTATGGAGTTAGGAATGACCTCTGGCCTGTGAAGAACAGAAGCCCTTAGTTCAACAGCCTGTATGGAACTATATCCTGCCAACAGCCACACGAATGGCCTAGGAATGATTTGTGCTTTGGCTGAAACTTTAGATGAAACCATAGCCCTGGTCAAAACCTTGCTGCAACCTCATGAGAGGTCCTGAGCCAGAAGTACCCATCTAAGCCATGTCTGGATTCCTGAATTATGAGGACATTGAAATAATAAATGTTTATTGTTTTAAGCTGTTGAGTATTGGTGGTTATTGTTATGAGGCAACTGCTAACTAATACAATAGTAATGATCACAATTCGTGAAGTTCCAAAATTCTTTCTTCCTTTTTCTTTTTCTCTCTTTCTTTCTTTCTCTTTATTGTTCTTTATTCTGGAAAGAATTTAAAGTCATTTATTAAGAAATATAAAAATATAAAAAGGGTATTGACTAAGTAGAATACAGAAAAATAAGTATACCACAAAATGGAGGTACAGGTAAGCCCAAATGTCTACCAATTAGCTAATGAAAATACTCCATATCCCTTGCTAGAGTAATGAATCCAGAGATGAGAGAATCAGGATCAATCAGATTTCTTCTTTAATATAAACTCTGGTTTCCCATGTGCTAAAATCAATACAAACCTGGAACTTACAATATGTCTGTTGGCTGAAATATACAGGAGACCTGAGAAAAATGATGACATTACAACAAAAAAGAACTAAGAAGTTGAGAGAGTAGCAGAAAGGGGAAGGTGGAGAAAGATAAAAGGAGAATGAGACAGTTTAACACGTCCCCGAAAGATTCCTACCTAGCTCAGAGTAGACTTCTTGCCATTCCTCCCTTGCCCGACACACCCTCACTCATTTGGTCATCCTCTGTCCAGTGGTTAACAGTAACACAATACTTTTTATCCTTTAAGGCTTAGCTTATCTCTTATGGATGATTCTTTTTCCAAAATCCTACCTGGGCAGAAACAGTTACTCTCTTTTGTGCTCTTTTATTCTATTTAATTCATTACAGTCATTTGCATATATAGGATATTTTTCTCTGCTGATCAGGTTCATCTAGAGGACAGGGTTTGTAACTTACTTACCTTTGCAGGTGCAACGCTGTAGGTATACAGATATGCGTGTGTGGATGCAAATTGGATTGAACCCGAGTTCATAATGGCCATGCTATAGATGTTTTAGCTACCCCAAATAGATATTCTTTGTGTTAGGCACAGAGCTTCAAGAAAAGTGTCCTACCTGACATTTCTGCCTAGACGGTAATTATTTATACACCCTCATCACACACACAGAAATTTGGTTGCTAGCACTTAAGTGGGCCCTATTTGTACAAAGTATTCTTTATAGGGTCATTACATTGTAGTTATGTAACCTTTTTATTAAGAATAAACACCTTTTTGTTCACTTAAGCTTTCAACATGATGAATATGTGTTTTATTTTACAACAGAACCTTATGTTTACCTGTATTCACCAAAGGTTTCATCTTTTACTGACTGAATTTCTGGGTCTGGATGCAAATCTTCCTTTTCTTTAACTAAAAAAGAGAAAAAAAGTGGGAAAAGTAATACAGTGACCATTTAAAAGACATTTTACCAGTGCTGTGGAATAGTTAATAGTCAGTAAGAACAGCATTGCTCAAATGTTTTGATACCAGTGAGGCAATATTTTTTTCTGGCTATACCTACAGCCCATCAGTTGCTTCTTTGTTTAAACAAAAAAGAGAGGGGATTTTGGGGGGTTCTACTTGTCGTCACACCTGCAGCATGTTGCATATTTTCACGTGACTACTCAATTTTATGTGAACGAGAAGTCTTATTGGAAGAGCCCAACTGAGTTTGATTTCTCAGTGAAGACCAAATTACTAAATATTTATTTTACTATCTGAACTTTTTGAAGATGTCATAGACACCTATTAGATCTGTGTCATTAAACTAAATTGAATTTAAAAAGTCAATCAAGGCTGGATGTGGTGGCTCATGCCTGTAATCCCGGCACTTTGGGAGGCCAAGGTGGGCAGAACACTTTATATCAGGAGTTTGAAACCAGCCTGGGCAACAAAGCAAGACCCTGTCTCTATTAAAAACACAGAAATTAGCCAGGCATGGTAGCATACACCTGTAGTCCCAGCTACACGAGGAGCTGAGGTTGGAGGATCACCTGAGCCTGGGAGGCAGAAGTTGCAAAGAGATGAGATAGAACCACTGCACTCCAGCCTGGGCAACAGAACAAGACCTTGTCTCAAAAAAAAAAAAAAAAAAAGGCAGTCATTTGGTTGTTATACATCACTCTTACTCAAAATTGTTGCAACAATCTGAATATTCAGGTCTCCACTGACATTTTATTTTATTATTACTTTTTTTGAGACAGTCTCACTCTGTCGCCCAGGCTGGAGTGCAGAGGCGTGATCTCGGCTCACTGCAACCTCTGCCTCCCAGGTTCAAGGGATTCTCCTGCCTCAGCCTCCCGAGTAGTTAGGATTTCAGGCAGCCACCACTATGCCTGGCTGATTTCTCTTATTAGTGGAATATAAGACCAAAAAGCTCTTGTTCCCTTTACTTAAAAAAAAAAAAAAAGCCCTCAAATACAAATTGTTCTTCCTGGAACATTTTACGACTACATGCAGAGACCTAGTAGATTCTCTTAGTTGCTCTACAATATGAAATGCTAATTTTTTTTTTCTTTTTAGGGCATGATTTGAAGAAACATCTTTGGAATCTGGATAGCACCACAATACACAAATGATTATCTGTTGGGGATAAGGAGAATGCTATAACTCTTTAACGTTTCCAATTAATTACTCAGAACATTTATTAGTCATTGTGAACTTAATTCATAATCATTCAGTCTTCAGAGAAAAAAGTGAAACGCATAACTCCATAAATTATGCATGTCATTTTACAAAAACCTAGAAATTATGCTCTCAATGTTTCTATGTAGATGACGGGTTCCCAATAAATATTTGCTAGATAAATCATAAGCCAGTAATGAACTTCTCATATATCTGAACATCATGAAACAAATAGCAGTGTAACCTAAATCTTTGTCCCTTTATAAAAGCATCATGAATACTAAGCAATACTAGTAATAATCATCATCTTGATACAATATGTATATCTGAAAAAGACAAAACAAATTCGGGAGTTGAATGAAATTAAAGGCAAACGTCATATTACCAACTATGATGGTTTTCATGTATATCTTATGTATCATTAATTCAAGAGGCAGTGTGTCTACTACATGCCATGGTAATAAGAAATGCATTCCTAGTAATGATTAACACCAACAAAATTGACCAGTGGAGCCAGTAATATTAGAATGCACTAGTGCGAAAAATATGAGTCATGTATGTCATGCATAGAGAGAGGCGTGCTATACATGGGTCACTTCTTAAAACACTAAAGCATATATGTGACCTAGTGATATGTCTCTCAACGACGCTGATATTTTACAGATAGACAATAGAAGCTTGGAAGTGTTATCAACCTTGTTAGAGCCTATTTTTTATTTTTTATTTTTTTGAGATGGAGTTTTTGCTCTTGTCGCCCAAGCTGAAGTACAGTGGCATGATCTCAGCTCACTGCAAACTCCACCTCCCGGGTTCAAGTGATTCTCCTGTCTCAGCCTTCCGAGTAGCTGGGATTACAGGCAGCTGCCACCATGCCCGGCTAATTTTTGTATTTTTAGTAGAGACGGGGTTTCATCATGTTGGCCAGGATGGTCTCGATCTCCTGACCTCATGATCCGCCCACCTCGGCCTCCCAAACTGCTGGAATTACAGGCGTGAGCCACTGCGCCCGGCAGTTAGAGCCCATTTTAAGTGCTAGAAACTAGAACATACATATTTTCTTTGGTTAATTTAGCAATACGTTTTTCCTGTCAGTGCATTGTACATCTAACTTGCTAATATAAATTTGACTTGAATGTGTATTTTTAAAAAAAGTTGTCTCTGAAGAATGCTTCCCAGAAAATGCTTTTTAATAAGTTGAAAATCACATTAAGAAACAATTTTACCTGAGTACTTTCCACCTCTATTCCTCTTCACAAAGCAAACAGTTAATAATAGTAGTGTGAGAAGAGCAATCGCACACATCAGTCCAATAAACCAGCCTTGAGTGGAGATGTCATCATATAAACCAGCATATTCTGTGGTAGAAAGAGAAGTCACAGCATTGTAAACTAGAAACAGTCTTTTGTATTCTGTAACATTGGGGAAAATTAGACATCATTTTTAAACATACCAAATAGTATCAGTTTTTTTAATGACCCCAGAAGGAATGCAATTTGAAGGACATGTTAATGGGAGAATACTGGTAAATCTTTCCTTCTTTATTTAAAAAGGGACTTCTTCGAGTTGTGTTTGATTCCGAGGATGAAAAACCAAAGAAGGATAATGAAGGCAGATGAAGTTAAACTCAGAAGCAGCAAGGAGCAAACAAAAGCGCAAGCTGCCTTGGTTAGAAGCAGATGACCATGGAGACCGGTGGTTTTTGTTTTGTTTTGCTTTTTCTTTTTAGTTTGTGTTATTAAGATATGTTAATTAGCAGGAGATATTTTTAGGCAACAACTCTAGTAAAAACAAAATAAAGGATGGTGGACTACTGTGAAACATTTTTCATTTTGATAATTTAAAAATATGTCAAAACAAATTGAAATTACGATTTTCATAATTAATACACTCAGTGTTTTTATGTTTAATATAGGACACAGGCAACACTAAGTATTCTACAGGACATAGATTGACTAAGACTTCCCCAAATATAATCTCATTTCTCACCTCTCCCTCTTGTCTCAATTACATCTTGAAAAATGCTATCATTATCGCCCCAATTCTTAGTCATTAGGCGAACTATATGTTCAGCTCCCGGCTCAAATACCTCTATTGGGTGAGTCTTTTGAGTAAGATTTACTCCTGATATCTTCCCGATACCTTTACCTAAGAAATGTACACAGTTAAATCATGTGAATTGTAATCATGGAAAAACAGGACATAAAAAAATATTGTTGTTAGAGGTGAATAAGAAAGTCACTTATACCATATTTTCTCAGATAGTTTTTGAATTACCAGGAGATCAAGAAAATCAACATTTCAACTTTCTTTTTTAATATAATGAAATTGAGTAAATGAAATGAACTCAATGCATGGCCATTTAAGATGAAATGGTACTGTAAATCTGCCTGGTCACATGAATGGTTCAAAACCACAGACTTAAAAAAATTATACAATATAATTTTGTGCAATTTGGATTTTCGCAAACCTAATGCGAAACTGAATATGGCCTTTTGACTTATAATTGACAGCACATAACCTTATAATCGTAACTAACTATATATTGCTTTTTTTTGCTTTGGTCTTCTCCATAAACACTGATGAAATAGCATTAAAATATGGTCATATATTAAATATTTGAAATTTATAGAAGTCCAAACTACGTGAAATGCAGGCTTGCAGGTACATACCAATGGAATGGTTTTACTGACATTTTGAAAGTGGTGTGAGAAGTTAATACTTTTCAAAAAATATTAATATGTCAATATGTTAATAGTAGAATCTCATAGTAGAAGATAAAATGAATCAAGTTGAACAAAAATATGTTAACTTCTTGTCTTACCACCAAATATCTTAAATATTTTTGCATGTGATCCACAGCTTTGCTGGGAATCAACTCAATATAATAAACATAACCCAGAAAATGTTAACAATGATATAAAATATGTTTCTTACTGAGACTACAAGGGGTTATGAAATGCTATTTTAAGTGGGTATATGTTACAGATCAATATTTCATTATGTATTTTCACTATAAAATAAAAATTAATTATATAGTTACTAAATAACAAAAAGGTTTTATTAAAAATGACACCATGAGAGAAATAAGGCCAATTATATGAGCAAAGCCTTCAAGATTAAGCGTCATTGAAACAGAGTGCAATTAATTTTGACCTTGAAAAACAGAGATATTAGTATAACATTAAGTAGTGCAAGCTTTTGAAAAATAGAGTAAAGCAAGTGATTTATTCAAACCGCTAATGACACAAAAATAATATTTCTGATTAACTCCATCTTTTCCCCTCTTAGATTATGGAATATGATTTACTTGGAAATCAGAGTGAAAACAATCAGAGAAAAATACTTGTCAATCAAATCCTATTTTTTGAACAAATGCCAAATGACCTTGAAATGAGCTATATAGGCAGAGCAAGAAGAAAGATGCATAGCAGTAGGTTCCTATTTGCACAAGTGATCATTTTTAGAGTGCTGACTGATAACAAGATGTATCTCTCCTCATTGGAAATATATATTTTTTTCAAAGATCATGTTGAACTCTAGTAGAAAAAGAGATTGTAATTTTTTTCCCTGTACTTATAGCAAGACATGCCTATAGAATAGAAATCAGTGTCAACTCGGGAAGGGGGCAGTTAGCTGGAATACTGAAAATGTGGATTCCTGAAAAAGAGCACAAACACACCAGTAAGAAACATTTTTAAATTCCTGACACATACGACAGTGAAGAAATGTTCTTTAAGACATGCAGCACATTAGTTACATTTTTAGTTTAAAGAAAAGATGCCACATCACCTGTAAAATCACATGAACAGCACTTTCATCCTCCAAAAACAATTTCTCAAGCACGAATGCAACCAAGCCCAAATTTCGCAACATATATACTAGAATGTGTAACACTTGTCAGGCAATTCTGTGAATATTTTTTCTCATGTGCTTCCAATTGGTAAGAATGGGATCAGCATTTCACATGCACATTATGGTCTTGGTTATATCAAAATAGCAACCAACTCCATGCCTTAAATTCTGTTTTTAAAAATATGGCAGTTGCATGTTTGGACTACTACCACTCTGACTTCTCTTTGTATTGGACACTTGATGTCAGTTCCAATGCTTCAGACATAAGAACCTTTTAGTTACTGGGAAGTTTCCAATCCCCATCTTTAAGTCTAACTTTTATGAGTAGGTAAAGTCAGTGAAATTAGTTCTTCATTTCACTTGGTGTTCAATTCATCCCTGGGAATACTTTGTGAGTTTTAGGGAAGTAATTATTTGGATTATACAATTTTCCCACATAAAGGGCTTTTAAATGTTTAAGGAATCTGAGAAAAACGTAAGCTTGTTATTAGTTAGATATAGTAGGCACAATAAGATGTAAAAACAAACCAATATTAAAGGTCAGAGCATAACCATTCACACACAAACACGGTGATTTACAGTCACTCACAAGCTTGAATATATTTTAATATACATCTTCAATAAATAATAGGCAACTGCATTTTCTCTACTATTTTTCCCCTCTGTGATGTTTCTTTCATTGATTCTACCGTTTTTCTAATCTACAACTTGGAAAAGCATCCAGAACACAGTCTGACACATAGTATTAGATTGGTGCAAAAGTAAGTGCGGCCTTTGCCATTACTACTTTTAATGGAAGGGCCACAATTACTTTTGCACCACACTTAATACATGATAAATAAACAACTCTATTTCCCTTTCTGCCATCTTCTACATCCTTCTTTTCTTTCTCCAATATCCTTCCATGCCTGAACAGCCTAAGCCCTACATAAATCTCTCTCTGTTTCACTTCGTGTGTACATCAGTTCCTCTGACCTGATTTCTCTGCAAAGGTCCTGTTGCTATCATAGAAAGCTTAGCAAGAACCTCACTAAAATCATAACTGGAGATGCAATTTGGGAAAGGAAATGGTTAAAGGTAGAAAAAAACAGAAAAGTGTAATTGAATTAGGATAATTGTGTTACAAGTGAAACCATACATTTATAAGCCATTTCCCAGACAGTTGCTTGGCATCCATCATCAGACAGTAAAACAAAATTGACATATGAATCAATGTATATAGAGTGAAGGCATGAAAGTGAGATGTATTAGATCTGTAATGTCTACCAATGGAAGAGCCAAATATTTTTCTGTATGGAAACATTTCTAAAAGAAAAACGTACCTTTACTAACCTTTTGAATAGCTTTGTGACCTTATGTCCTGCTACTTTAATTAAGTAAAATTATAGTTCCTGACCTTGTATACACTAAGCTATAATTTGATTGGTATTGCGCAGAAATCCATAAATTGAGTCAGTGTGAACTTTCCAAACAGATTAATAAATTCTGCCTCTATGTCAGTGGAAAACAGAAGGTCAGACAGAGTGGGATCACAATCATTTCTAATTTACAATGACTGGCACGGTGCTTTCCTTTCAGTGCAGCTGTTTAAAAAGATGCAGTCTCTTTTTAAAGCCTCTATTAAAAAGAGAAGCCTCATGTACTTACTCCCTTCTCCTAAGGTGGAGCTTTCCTCCGTGATCGGTTTTCCACAGCCCTGTGAAGTGCAAGCCCTCAAGTAGAATTTGTACTTGGTAGTTGCATTCAGGTTTGAGAGGTGCCAGCTGGGCTTTGATGGAGTTGTAATGTTAATATCATTTAATTCTCCAATCTCGTAGGTGTCATTTACTAAAAAAATAAACATGAACAACAGCTCAAATGTATTTAACCATTCAAGTTGCATTCTTCATTATTTTCATTTCTCCTTATGCTTGTGGTACGTAAAGATACATTAATGATTCATAACCATCAACTCATTTAATCCTATGAGGTACATACAACTACTATGACTATATCATATATGACAAAACTGAGGTCTCGCAAGAATAAGCCCTTTGCTCCCATCTTGGGTCTCTAAATTTGCAGACTGGGATTTGAATCCAAACCATGGCCTTTTGACCCCAGAGAAACGTCTTTAATCCCTGTGCTATATTGGAGCCAGCTGCTCCAGCTTCATAATACGCATTAATAATAATGAATTTTCCCCATTGCTATATTTTCATTGTATCTTTGACTTAAGTATTATAATTTCCTTTTGGAAGAATAATTGAGATGATAATTTATTTGTGTCTTCTATGGTTTCTAGTTTAACATGTGGCACCAAATAGCTACTCAGTATACATAGAATCAATAAATGAAGGAATATATTAAATATTTAAGAATATCTACTGTGTACTAAGTACTATGTAAAGTGCTCACTGTAAAAAGCTGAATCAGATAGACAGCTTCTTTCAAAGAATTTGGAACCCAGCAAAGACATGAGATTTGTGTAAGAGTATGGAGTATTATAAGATTACTGTAACAATAGTCCAAGAGATGAAATACACCCAAGATAGTGCAGCTGTTAGTGGCAAGAAGGAATGTAGAATAAATCCTCTTGACTCCCAGTCCAAGATACCATAGAGGTTAAAAAAATGCATTTATTATTGACATAAAAATGCCTTCCTTGGTCCATAAAAATGCAATTCAAATCAATGAAAAGAAAAAACAAACAAACTAGGCATTCAAACATTGGAAAGAAGGAGGTGAAATCATCACTTTTTTAGATTTTTTGAACACATAATTGTGAATGACCACAAAGTCAATTGAAAAACGACTACAATCAATATAAGAATTCAGGAGAGTATACATAGAGCTCTCATACATATAAATTGCAACAATTTAAAATATCTAAAAGCAATAAGAAAAAGGTAAACTACCTAAAATGTCTTGATCAATTAATATTAATAGAAAGCAAAATAATTATATATTATTTTATTTTAAAATACACATATCAAGCAGTTCAATAATCATTACAATTGTTAATATTTCAACTTCTATATTCTAAGAACTTGTTTTTAAATAAACGTAAATGTCACATACGGATCAATATGAAGGTGGGAATTTAATTAGTTGAGTTTCCTATTGTTAGGATAAGGAGAAGTTATATCTTTACCAAACAAATTGACATTTAAAAGAATCTTAAAATATTTCTGCAGTTCTTACAATTTTTTTGAAAACCAGTTCATCGACTAATATAAGGTTAAGAGCTCAACATCTAGAATTGGACTGATCTTGCTTTGCATTCTTAACACTTTTTTTTTTTTTTTGAGACGGAGTCTGGCTCTGTCGCCCAGGCTGGAGTGCAGTGGCTCCATCTCAGCTCACCGCAAGCTCTGCCTCCCGGGTTCACGCCATTCTCCTGCCTCAGCCGCCCGAGTAGCTGGGACTACAGGGGCCCACCACCACGCCTGGATAATTTTTTGTATTTTTAATAGAGACGGGGTTTCACCGTGTTAGCCAGGATGGTCTCGATCTCCTGACCTCGTGATCCACCAGCCTCGGCCTCCCACTTAACACTTATTTTACTACTTGACTCTGATGTACATCAATTCCCTCATTCATAAAATAGTGATAGTACATTTCTAATAGATTTCTTATTTTAATGGCACAATGCAAAGAGATACACTTAGTATTGATCCTGCTACTTAGCAAGCACGTAAAAGTGCTAAAGTCTACTTCCGTTGGGATTATGCCTGTATGTATTTAAACATACGTGCTAATTTCAGCAGAAACCATCAGAAACTAAAGCAAATACGTGACCTGGATTGCTGGAAGTCTTGAGCTGATGTGAAAGTAGCACAACAGGACTATGATCAAGTTGACTAGTAAGCAGTGTGTGCTGGGTCTCTGTATTTCTGGTGTTTTGGGAATTGATGTCTTGAAAGCCTAAAATTTTCATGATGGGTTGTTGATAAAATTTTCTATAATGTCAATCCCCGAATTTCCATTTTGAGATGATGCTTAAACTTGACGACTGTTTCAGAGGGAACGCGCTGCTATTAAAAACGACCTGATCTCATCTAAACACATTCACGTTACTCTAGTCGCACAGCAGCATCTGGGCAGAGCCCATTCTGAGTCATGATCCAAAGACAATTATTTAGTCCTTGCAATATCATCTCCATGAAACAGTGAGCAACCCATAGACATTGGATAAACACAAGCATATTTAGGATTGAGTCTGGGAGCATATATCTGAGGCAGAAGAGGTAGCGTGGAAGGTACCTATGCTTTGAATCTCCATCACATCACTCAATAACTCTTTCACATGTTTCCTACTTCTCCAAACATCTTATATATAAACATTAAACACGTGTTTTGTGTACCCATCAGCACACTGCTTTTTTTCTAAAACAGGTAAGCAAACCTTTCATTAAAGGGCCAGACGGTAAACATTTAGCCTTTGTAGGCTGTGTAGTCTCCATTGAGATGACTCAACTTTGCCACTCCAGGGAGAAAGTAGCTGTAGACATATATAAATAAGTGGACATGGCCATGTCGTCATAAAACTTTATTCCTAAAAACAGGCAGCAGGCTGAATTTGGCCTGCAAGCCAGTTTACAGACCCCTGGGCTACAAGGAAGAACGGCAGCTTACAAACCATGGCCTTAAGTGATCATTAGACTCCCAACATAGCACAGAGAATATTCAACCAAAAAATGAAACATTAACAAGTTAACTCCAATTCAAATTTCTACTTACTTATCTGATATTGCAAAAGATAGCCAGTTAAGTTTCCATTTAATTTCTTAGGTAGTCCCCAAGATAAAGTGGCAGTGTCTTTATCAACTTTGATGACCTTTAGAAAAGTTGGCTGTTCAGGTACTAGAAAACACAAGACCAAAAATAAACTCACATCAATTAGAAAAATTCAAAAAAGCCTTATTATATTATAAATTTTATAGAAATTGACAAGCAAACTCATCTGAAGTAAATATTAATTAACTACTAATAAGGAATAATGTTTATTTATTTATTTTTTTGAGACAGAGTCTCACGTGGCCCAGGCTAGATGGAATGCAGTAGCCCAATCTTGGCTCATTGCAACCTCCGCCTCCCGGGTTCAAGTGATTCTCCTGCCTCAGCCTCCCGAGTAGCTGGGACTACAGGCATGCACTACTACATCTGGCTAATTTTTGTATTTTTGATAGAGACAGGATTTCATCATGTTGGCCAAGCTGGTTTGGAACTCCTGACTTCAAGTGATCCATCTGCCTTGGCCTCCCAAAGTGCTGGGATTTACAGGCATGAGCCACTGTGCCTGGCCATAAGGAAGAATGTTTAATATGGCCATGGATCACCTCCATTTTTGACATGACTCTACATCATTATCCTCTCACCTCCTTCTGGTGTTTGAAATATATAAGGCTCACTTTCAGGACCAGCTCCTTTAGAGTTATAGGCTAAGACTGTTAAATGAAATTCACTAAAGGCATCTAAGGAAGGAACCATTCCAGAGTTTCTTTGTCCTGAAAATCTTAGAATGTTCACTTCTTTGGGATGTGTTCTTCCATCCAACAGACTTTTTGTTTTCCACCAATTTATCTGCAATGAAAACCAAAATCTTTTAGTATATCCATTGTGGTCGCAGATTCTCTTTGACTTCTTCTGAAATCAATTCTTCTTTATTCTCAGGAAAGATACCAATTCAACAAGAAGAGGAAAAACCATGATGATAAAAACCTGATAGCCTTTCAGACGTCCATGTACTCTGTCCTTTGGAACTGTTGACCAGGTAACTTTAACTAATGTACTGTTTATAACGTCCACCCCATGGATCACTGGAGCTGTATCAGGATCTGTTAATCATAGAAGATTGATTAGTTTTCAATAACCTGCAAATGTGATTGTTAGGATCCTTTTCAAAAATTTTCATAATGTTTCTTCTGGAGAAAGCACTTTTGTGAAATTCACTCCAAATGGAACCAAAAGAGTTTCTCATGATAGATAAGTTTATCAGCCCAAATAGATTTCCCAAAGAAGAGGACAGACTGTATCACACTGAGAAACAAAGCCCTCCAGATAGATACAATGTGGATAAATAAAACCAGAAACTATTCTGTGGGCATCTTGCCTTTGGAAGCAAGTGAATTAAACTAGTAATATAAATAAAATTGGTCAGGAATTTTGTTAATCAAATATTAATAACAGCTAACATTTGAGCATATGCTATGTGTCAGGCACTGTTCTAAGGGACTTACCTAAATTGGTTCATACAACCCTGTGAAGAGGATATTATTATCTCTGTTCTACAGGAGTTCTTACTACAGAGTAATAAGCCAAATACAGAGCAGTCAAGGCTAATACTATCTTAATTCACTTGTGATATGTGTTTTGTGTGCTTTTATTTGGGTAGAAGAATTTAGACGGCAGGTGAGTAATGAGTTGGCTATTTCTCATTCTGAACCTTTTCTATTTTTGGATCAAATTATTCCTTTAGATGCTGGAAAGGCAATGAGAATAACCCCTAATATTATTCACAGTATTAGCAATACAGAATGCAGTGTTTTTTTCTTCTTCCAATAACCTATTTGCAGCAGTTACTATGGCATCAGAAGGTGTGTGTGCATATAATTCTACATATAAATCTGGGTATATATCTCATCAGTATTAGGAAAGCTCCAGACATGCCACTGAAGCCCAGGGCATGAGAGCAAGTGGCTCTTAGGGGATCCTTGACAAGTAAGGGCAAAGGGCAGATGTACTTGAAAATCTTATGACAGTTATGCTGCTTTAAATGATTGCAGTGATAATTCCAGGTCTTCAATTTTCAATGTAGAAAGAGCTTTATAGGAAACTGAATAAAATGAAAACTTTCAACATACTTCCTTGGTACTCTATACGATCAACTGTCCTACAATCAATCCTAAGATAGAAGTCATGTGTTATATTTGTTTTTATCTCCCACGGCTAGTACATCCTCTTTGCATGCAGTAGTTGTTCACAAATATTTGTTGATTGAAGTACAATATATTTGAAAGCAACAGTTACTGACGTGCTTAGCAGTTTTAGGTGCATCACTTACAGTCTTCTCCAGAATAGAGAGTCACTGACTGAGGGTCAGGCCCAGATCCTAGTTGATTGATAGCCTGGACCTTGACATCATAAGGGGCATAGACAGCAGGCGTCATCACCCGCAATGTGTGGTTTGTGACTGTTTCTTCTTCCCACTCCACTGGGGCTCCCTGTGGCTTCCAGGTCACTCTGTACTCTAGGCCTGGTCCATTCTGCTCCATGGATTTCAAAGGCTAAAACAGAAGGCAAGACTCATTTAGTCTGATCACAGATGTGTTGACTCAGAGATGATGGTGAACCACCCTAAGTGGAATAAGGAACAATGTAATGAAATGGTCATTTGTTGAGAGATCTTAAATCCCCCTTCTTGGTTTAGAGACAGTTGTGAAAAAGTTTTGTCATCATATGAGCTTAAGTATGAAAATTAATCCCTTAACTCCCCAAGTAACGAGAAGCCTACAATCAGATGCCTGGATTATGTCCTCATGGTAAAGTCTTAAGTTTTTACACACGAAGGAAGTTACAAAGAAATTCCACAAAGTGTTTTAGCTTTTTGCTTATGCTTTCCACTACATTCCGCCTTTTCATTTTCAAAGAACAGGCTGAAATAAAAAATAATATGGCCACGAATTCTTTGGTTGTGAATGGGATTCTCCCATGGCTTTTTGAAGAGAACTCTTTCTTGCACCTGGTTCTATCCTTCTCCATTTTTCTTCTATAAGAAGAGAGAGATCATGTAAATATTTTTGGAGAATATGAATGTTCATATTTTAATACAAAAAAACAGTAGCTCCTCTTTCTTATAATTTCCCAGCTCCTTGACCATTCTTTATTTTTCTTTAAGAAAAAATGTCACCCTTACCCACTTTATTTTTCTCCATAGAAATATTTGGAGGAATAACTTTTTTTTTCGTTTCTTTTTTTTTTTTTTTTTCTTGAGACGGAGTTTCACTCTTGCTGCCCAGGCTGGATTGCAGTGGTGTGATCTCGGCTCACGGCAACCTCCATCTCCCGGGTGCAAGCGATTCTCTTTCCTCAGCCTCCTGAGTAGCTGGGATTACAGGCATGCACCACCACGCCCGGCTAATTTTGTATTTTTAGTAGAGACAGGGTTTCTCCATGTTGGTCAGGCTGGTCTTGAACTCCCAACCTCAGGTGATCCGCCTGCCTCGGCCTCCCAGAGTGCTGGGATTATAGGCATGGGCCACAGCACCCAGCCTGGAGGAATAATTTCTAGTATGGGAAATTGTTTATTTCCACTTTAGTTTTTAATTGAGCAACACTTTAATTTAAAAACAATAATGTGGTTTAAACTGCCTGTTTAGCTTTCAAAGATAATGGGATTGTGCATTGAAATGAATCAGTTATATAAAATAAGTTTAAAATACGATTTTAATCCTAAATTTAAGGTTCACTTATATAAACAGTAATTTTCTCTGGATATGTGAGTGAGTCAACAATGTCATACATAGTGTTCTTACAGAATCTGTAATCCTTCTCAACTTAATCTAATTTACTAAAACACTTATTAGAGGCATTGCTTGGAATTAAGTTGAAAGGGTAGTGACATATCAGCAAAATAATTTTAAGTGTATTCCTATTCCAAGGTGAATAAACTAAACTAACTGAGGGAAAAAAAAAATCAAAACAAAATGAAAACTTTCTGAGATTTTCTGCAGACCTTGTTAATACTTGGATTCATTGGAAAGTTTTGCTCCAAGATATTTTAGAGTGTGAAATGGATATAAATTCACCAGGGGCTTTAGCATTGTCCCAGTGAATTAGGCCATGGGCTTGTAGTGCCGTACTGCAATCTGGAATGATAGTTTTCTTCAGTCTCTGCTGACAATAAGTGTGTGCAAATAATATTATTCATTTTACACATTTTGCTCCAAAGAAAGGAGTTAAATTTAATAAAGTTCTCTGACAAATTTTAAATAAATAAATAATAAACCATAACACTTTAAACAAAAATATTTTAGCTATATTAGCGGCCTTTTTAGTACCTGGGAACCCAAATAAACAGCCTGAATGCTTTGTATTTGACTTGAAGGCAATGCCTACTGAGCCTCAGACATTTCCCAAATAATCTCTTCAAGAAAGAACAAAAGGAGCCAGGGCAGAGTAAGCAGGAAGAGGCCACCAGCCTTCCCTTCCCTCTGCCTCTCGTGAAGGAGCCCACGAGGAAGGAGTCTTTAGAAAAGAGGTTCTTAACGTGGGGTGTAGGAATCTCTAGATGGGGTACATGTGTATCCTTTAGAGGATCTGAGAAACCAATGATATTGTTAGTATGACTTTTTGTGTGTAATTTTCTAGAAAAAGAGCTTGCACGTCCAACATAGTTTCAAAGAGATCTATGACCCAAGCAAGGTTATAACTATTAATCTAGAAAACAGAAAGACTGCCGTCCTGCCTTGATTCCATTTTTTAAAAAATTGTTGAACATTTTTATTTATTCTTGAGAAACAAAAATTGTATCTACTTATTATGTACAACATGTTTTGAAATATGTATACATTGTGGAGTGGCTAAATTGAGCTACTCAAAATATATGTTACTTCATATACTTATTTTTTATGATGAGAACACTTAAAACCTAGTCTCTCAACAATTTTCAAGAATACAATACATTGTTATCTACTATAGTCATTATGTTATACAATATTTCATTTAATTCCACTTATTTTCATTTTAAAGCCAGTAGGTCTTCTTATTATACTTGTATTATAAATAATAAAACCTAGATCCATTAGGAGTTAACTATCTTGGATGCGATTATATAACCAGGTAATTAAAGATGTTCCTGCTTCCCAACATTAGTGGGGTTTTGGGCTTTTGGTTTTGCTTTTGGTGTCCTTTAAGTTTGAAATGTGTTATTTTGCTGAGCAAAGTTAAAAATTCACATACATATGCTTAAGAACAATGGAAACTCTCAAGCAAAAATTATCCTGATACAGGTATTTAACTGATAAGGTTGCAGTAGACTCTTTTGTCCTGTTTTGCAAGTAGAACATTATGATGTTCGAACACTCAAAATATATGAGTGAGTCATGACCGACTTAATATATGAGAAGTGAATGTCTGAAGGTAATGCTAACTAAAAAGCCTAGTTCTACCATTAAGTTAAATTGTAATGTTACTTTAAATTGAATCATGTTTAATGTTAAATGTAAAACATAAACAAATAAACAAAAATTAGGGATGTCCAGTCTGTTCCTACTGCTCATCTTCATTGTTAATTCTTTTGGGAAAGATCAGCTTTTTTTTTTTTTTTTTCAAATTATGTCCCTCTGACCATTATCATGTAGATAGGAATTATTTCTAGTACATCTCTGGAGGGGGTCTGGTAATTCATTCACAATACTATCTGATTGTGAAACTGGGAAAAACCTGGAGTCTAACTCCTTTCCGCAGGATGATCCATACAGAACCATACTCAGTGAATGAATGTTCTTAAACTTCACTGGCTGTGTCAGTAGTGATTAGATCTCTGACACATCAAGATAATAGGAGACACCATGGGACATATTGGGAATGTAACTGTCAGCCTAGATCCAAATCCTGTGACTACTTCCTTCCTCTAGTCAATTAATTACTAAATGACATGTCGTTTGCTCCTCAAAGACCAATTTTAAATGCTTTTTTTTTTTTTTTTTTGAGACAGAGTCTCGCTCTGTCACCCAGGCTGGAGCGTAGTGGCATGATCTCAACTCACTGTAACCTCCACCTCCCGGGTTCAAGATATTTTTCTGCCTCAGCCTCCCAAGTAGCAGGGATTACAGGTATGTGCCACCACACCTGGCTAATTTTTATATTTTTAGTAGAGATGCAGTTTCACCATATTGTCCAGGCTGGTCTCAAACTCCTGATCTTGTGATCTGCCCGCCTTGGCCTCCCAAAGTGCTGGGATTACAGGCATGAGCCACAGCACCTGGCCATAGATGCTTTCTTAGTACAGTCCCATTCTTACAAGAAGAGAGCATTAATAATCAATCTTGTGTATCTTTGGGGTAATAAAAAATGACTTATGAGTGAGAGGAGCAGTCAAAAAGACTGAAGATTTCTGGCCTTTTTTCCATATGACTCAGCCCATGGCATCTGGGTGAGGTCATTAAACTCTGAGATTCCCAGTTTCTCTTTATGACATATAAGACTGACACCATCATGGACCACAGCCCTCCCAAAGGAGTAGTGAGGATTAATGAGCTAATGTTACTGGAACATGATGTGCTTCTCTGAGGAACTGACTGGCAAATACACAGTATTACTGATATCTAACCAACTATATTATCTACTTTATGAAAATTTCTATGGAACTTAAGGGAGGATAATACAGATACACCCTAAAAGACTAACATCATTTTAGACTATAAATTAAGTAATTATCAAGACAATGTAGTAGTAACTATAACCACACATTCAAGGAAAGAAATAATATTATTGAATATATTTCATTTCTATGTATTACCATTTTAAAAAAAGTTTTCCACATCTTAAACTTGTAAAACTTAATTTCACTGAAGTGGAAATAAAGATCTAATTTTGATCTAAAAAATATTGACTAAATATTTTGCAGGTATGGGCCATGTGATTGTGTAATGAGTACAAAGACCAACATATGAGGATAAAAAGCAAACTAAACTTTGTGCATTCTAAAATTCTCCCAAAAATTATACCTGGAATGAATTGTGGAAATAAATTAGTATATTTCAGCATACATTAAAAATGTTCTATGTTTACACAAAATTTTATAAATTCAATGTTGGAGGCCTATTACTCATCAGAATGGTTGAATGATAATTTCCTTTTAGGTAGGCCAATATACTGGTCATTAAATACATCCAAGTAGTAGAGAGAAAATAAAATGCCCCACTGTTACAGAAAAAATTTGGAAATGACCCTAGAATAATTAAAATTATCTGGGTAGATGGGCATTTTTATGCAAAATTCAAATGGTGAAGTCTATTTAATAACATTTAACCGAGATATGTAAAGGAGGAAAAAGTGAGGTTTGGAGTCCAAAGATCCTCATACATAAATCCTAGCTTTGCGGATTTCTGGTTGTGTGGTGATGGGCAAGACATTCATAATCCTGGATGCCATCTCCAGATCTAGAATAAGGCGTTCATGATGCTTTCTTCACAAGACCATCCTCAGAATTACTAGAAAGGAGAATACAAAATGTCTACTGGTGTTTAATGAGTAGTGAATACTTTATGGGGGTTCATCAGTTTGATATGCATAATATCTAGTAGATTATACTAAATTAATTAAAGATTTTCAGTATTTTTTGAATGGAAGAGAATCTAGAATATTGTTAATTAAATTATTAATAATTTGAAACTTCGGTAATGTATTACAACTAAATCAATCTGTATAATCTTCCCTAAATTGTTGACCAGTGTTAAACTCGATTTCATAACATCATTTTAATCACAATGATCTTTAAAATTTGTGATGATGACTCACAAGTTAATTTCATTTCCAAATCTTATCTTTGTTCTTAAAAAAATGTTGTGCTATCATTGTAGTTAGCATGCAGACCTAAGAGGAAGAGAAAAGCACAAAGAAATACATAACGTATTAAGAAATACACACCTCCCACTTTATAATCATTTCCTTGGGTTGAGAGGCTTGAACCCTTATGTTTTGTGGATTCCTATCTGGAGCTGAAAAATTAAAAACATTAACATTATTTTTCCTTTTAACCCATAGGTAAGTCATCATATCACAACTCCTGCCCCCCAAAAACACAGATAATTAAGTAAGTTTGATTGTACTTATTAATTTATATCTGGTCCAGTTCCTAAAAAGATTTAAGGTAGATTTTAAATATGTATTTTATTTAAAAGAGTAAAACAGTCTTCTTGGAGTGAAATAATTATTATCCAGTGGAGAGTAGATGGTTTAGTATATGTGTCTTAATTTTGAATCTGCTTTTAAAATTTTTAAAACTGCTTTTTAAAATTCTGAACCTGCTTTTTTAAAAAAAAATTTTAATTTAAGCCTGCTCTATTTTTTCTATTAGAATTGTCATTAGAAACATATGTTGTGAATATTTGCCTGTAGAAGAATAAAGTAAACACCATGTATTAATATCAGCAGCCAAGTTTTAAGGACATCAAAATGAATAAAACCTGTACAGTAGTCATGAATATTTTTAGATGGATTCGTTTTATTAGAAATAGCTAAATGTGGAGTTTAGTGCAAAGGTTGACATGCACTAAAATCACACAAGTGTTAATTTCTATCTGATCCAGTTATAACCTTCACTTGCTTTTTCTCAGTCCAAAAAGGAAATTATGTCCTAGAGTATTTATTTTAGCCAAGGAAAAATAAAATATCATGCTATGACCACATTGATGATCAATAACAATTCAGTAATACAAATTTTAGCAGTCATCCTTGAGATTTTTTCAAACGCATCTTGGAAATTTAGATTGATGTTGAGACACAAGAAAAGACACTGAATGCATAAAAATTAATAATGTTAGATGCATACATATTGAATTTTAATTTAGAACTTACTTGATGATATCTGGTTAAACTTGATATTTAGCCATCACAAAATTACTGAAAGTAATGTTTTTTTTTCATATGTCACTCCCCTAATTTCCTGCTTTTATCGAACTCGTATGTAACACTTCTGAAACTTGTGTGCTTTGAATATTTTGTGTGCTGTTTAGAGAACTGTTAACACTATTTGGAGAAATCTAAAATCCTACATTACTCTATCAATCTTTTTTTTTTAGATGTTCAAAGATGGGGACAAACAAATATTTTGTTAGAAACCTGATGTGAGAACCTGCATACCTGCTGGTGGTGTTTCATGATGGTCTGACGGCTGGCTAGGCTGACTTCTCCCTACTTCGTTCACGGCTATGACCCTGAACTGGTATCTCACAAATGGAGCCAAAGGTAAGATAACTGTGGTTTTCTTTCCTTGGACTCTGGTCAGTTCCTCCCACCTTCCAGGCTCTTCTTTGTTTCCTTCAAATTCAACAATATACTCTGGTAGTATAAACAGGGAAAAAATATTAGAATGTATGGAGTATGGATAAGTTATACCAAAATTTATACTCAATATTAAAAGTTCAAAAGGATGTTATAAGAAGAATAAACCAGTAAGAGTGGTTAAAAAGTGACTTCGCTATTAATTTTGACTATCTAGAGTAATGAAAACAGTTATCCCAAGTCTTCCTACCGCTAATATTGCTGTTGTGGTCAGCTCCAGCTTCCCAGGTCAGCCGAACACTCCTGTTCTGTCTTTCAGACAAGTGAAGGTTTTCTGGTGGATCCGGAACATCTAATTAATAAAGGAAGGGAAAATGTAGATAATTGCCTTTGTTTACCTGATTCCCTTCCTCAGACACATTGCCAGCTACCCGGAGACAGAGGAGGTACCACCCTCTTAGGGACCTGGGAAGCACCCCCGCCCCCCACCCCACATATGGAAGGGAAAGGTGGAGTTTCAAGGGTAATTCAGGCACCTAGCTAGCCCTAAGAAGTAAATAAACAACTTGATAAGAACGGAGGTAATAGTAGCTTTAAACAATAGCCAAGGAAGCTGGAATCACAGGGATGTTTGGTTCTCCTATAGAAACTGAAGATAACATCTTAATATATGTCTCTAAGTTGTTTTTCTGGAACCCAGACTCTCACCAAATAACTTTGCTGGCATGGAGACCTCAGATAAGGGGAAACTGAAGTCTGAGTTCTGACCATCATTTTTTGTAAATTTCTTCCTGAGGGCCTAAAGGGAGCCACATCCATGAGCCAGAGCTAATATTCTTTTTGGCTGACTCCCAATTTTTAAACAAAGCTTCTCTTCCTTAACCAATTGCAAATCAGAAAATCTTTGAATCCACCTATGACCTGTAAGCCATGCCCCAACTCCAGTTCAAGATACCTCACCCTTTTAGGCATAAAGCAATGTGTAACCTCAATGTACTAATTTACTATTTTGCCTATAGCATTTGCTCTCCTGAAATTTACTCCTGCTTTTAAATACCTTCACCTGCAAGCCACTGGGGAGGTTGGGACTTAAGCATGAGCTGACCAGTTCTTGTTTGGTGCCCTGCAGATAAGTGTCTTCCTTTCTCCCACTGCAAACCTCAGTATAGATACCTGGTCTTACTGCACTGGGTTGGTGGACCCCAGTTTGGTTCCATAAAAACCCTTCTTTTCTGGGCCCATGTCTCCACTGTGTTCAATCGCATCAGGCTCTGGGGTCTGGGGTTCTTTGTAAAATGCAGCATCTCCACATGTCCTCCCCAATGGACCATATTACCTCCCTCTTCTCTGATTACAGTCTCAAGGGGTTATCCTTGACCAGGGACATCAGAATTCTTTTAGGAGTAGTTAATAACAATGAAAATTCCTAGGCCCTATTTCTGGCTTACTGAGGAAGGTGGGCCCAGGAATCTGCATTTGCAAACAAGTTCCTTGGATGGGGATTAGGTATACCCAAGTCTGGGAAACATGATGTATCTCAAATGAATCATTTCTGTTTGTCCAGTACATATTTGTTTATATGCCTGATTCATCTCCAAGAATAGGGGTCATATTTTATTAAGCTTTGCATTGCCCACAGTGCCTCACACATAAATGTTTTATAACTAAATAAATCAGTGAAAAAGATATTATTACTTCAATCATGTGTATAATTATTATATTAAAGCAATAAACATTAGGTCTTATGGTTATAGAAAAAGAGATCATGAGCTCTGCTTTCTTTTCTGCAACTGTGTTGGATTTTTATCATTATTGATAACAATGAATTTTCATTATAGCAACTTTGATACCGTCTTAACCTGGAGTTCTCAAAAAGAGTAGGAAGGCAGTTTATATCAGAACAGGGAGATTTGGCATTGTTAAATGTTGTGACAGAAACTGGAAAATTAAGTAAGTAAATGATCACAAATTTTTGAGTACTAAAGAAAATGAAAATTTCTGGTACTTTGAAAATAAAGCAACAGTAAAAAGAAATCTTATTTCTAATGGTATTTACTCTGAAAATTGGGTTTGAATTCTCTCAAGCATTGGAGGACTTTTATCTTTTAGCAGAAGAGAAAAGGAAGATATTATCTAATGTAGCCTTTCAATGGGCTCTTTCTTCTCCAAGTGGAAAGCACCGTCCATTGCTCCTCCTGAATATTTGCTAATTGTTAGAAATTTACATTGACAAAAAGCATCGTTTCCAATTCAGAAGAGAGAACATGTTTTTTAAAAAATGTGGTTCATGACTGTGTCCAAACATTAAAGCCATAAATAAAAAGTTAATTCTTCAACAGGTTTCAGAATCTCTGAGCTCAGAGGACTTTGGTTTCTCTTCAGTATTTACTGAGTCCACTGATTTCTGAAGCTTCCTGGAATAAACTAAGGCTGTGTATTGCATCTGATATTAAAATCTGGCTCTTCTGAGAATCGTATGGAGCTAGAACTGATGAACTTGCAACTGAAACTTTTAAAAAATGATATCCTGAAAGCATGTTTATGTCAAGGCTTTTAAAAATAACTTTTGATTAAAGGGGGTCAAGTATGTACTTTAAAAAATTGTTTTCCAGGGGGTAAAACATAGTCTTTTAGAAACCTCGTATGTGTCTATATAATTATTTTTTTATTGTCAATTGTCGAGAGATGCTTTGGTAAATCAGAAGTTTGTCTAAAAAATAAAAGAATGTAAATTTTAAACATAATATTCTCCAAAATTTATTTTTATTTTTATTCTGTAAACACTGGTAGATTACTGCGTATATAACCAGTACATATAATCGTAGGTAAAATTTATGTAGAATTAAAAAAATTAATAGTTCCAAAAATGGCAGCCTAATCGCAAGAATGAACTTTTAAATTTTGTAAGGAAATTGAGAAGGGGAGCACCAAGCAGTAGGAGACCCGGTCCTTTTGGTGGCTGAGACTGCTCAAAATACTTAGGGACAAAGCGCACGGAGCCTGACACTTACCCCTCTACTCACTAGGCCTGGGATGAATTCCAGTTTATCTGAAGCTCGACTACTTTATCTGATGAATTATTGTTGAAATCATCCTAGGGGATTAAACCTTTCTGCTTGTAAAGACCTGAAAATGCTCAAATACCCAATGGCCAAACATTCTGCCTAAAGGTACAATTCTACTGAGCCGACTCGACAACTCTACAAGTCCATACCTTCTGTAAGTGGAAACTGTTCTTTTATTTTAGAACCCAACCTTGATGGCCATTTGTTTCGCCCGAGACAGGTTGGCCATTTGCTTTACTTGAAGGGATCCAGCCTGTTGACCCATTTTTTTATCAGTCTCTCAGAAGAGACTGAACTTTCTCCCTTGGTCTGTACCACCACCTCCCTTGTTTGGAACCTAACAGGTGGCCCCAACAGCTGGAGTGCTAAAGACACAAAGGTCTGTTGATAACAGTGATTAATGTAGACATATGATAAAGAAGGGTAGGCAAAACCAACACTTTTAAGGAATGTCTGCAAACTAAAAGAAAGACTACATGGTGGCCACCGAAACAGAACAAATGTCTGTAGCTGTTAGGGTCCCTGCAGAAAATCAATGAATAACTCACACAAATTTACGATAGTTCCAAAATGTTTTAATAAAACGTCTTTAAAAAGATGTGGGCAGGATGTTCAGTAGGTTGGGTGTGAGAGAGACTTGAAATATTGGTGGTGGGATGCAGCTGCTAGAGCCTCATCAGAAGGAATGGTGTGAGGAGACCCTGTCTGCAGAAGCCATGACTTTGGCAGTGGGACACAGCCAGTCCACAGGGATGGAGTAGGGAGAATCAGTACAACACTCCAAACGGCCCTCCACTTGCTGAACCAAATAATAGCTGGAAGGAAAGTGGTTTGCTGATGTTGTCCTTAAAAGCAACCTTTCTAGGTCAAAGAGCTGGTAGAGAGTGAATCTGGAAGGGAAATTTTGGAAAACATCCAGCAGATGGTCTAAGAGCTTTAAACATTGGTGATTTCAGGAGTAATTGCATTGATTATACTAGTGAAGTGTGCACACTGTTTCCTGATTAGTACTTTCATCAACAACAACAACGACAAAAATCAAAGACATTCCTTTGTAGAATGCTGGAAGTTCCTCTCCATCCTTCCTGGAACCCTGGGAACTCAGTCTGTGCCTTTGGTTTAGAGATGACCACCGTGCATCCACCTCTTGACCCCTATCGAGATCCTCCAGTCTAGCCCACCTCCATTCCTCAGCCCCATTTCTTTGTACACCAGGAAAGAGTAGCTCAAGAGTGCTAGGAACTCAAGCGTGCTTTATTTTTCTTTCTGCGGATAGCATCACTTACCTCCCACTGCTATTGGCAAATTAACACATGTAGGGAAAAAAAATTAAGCATTAATTAATTTCTTTTATATGAAAAAAGGAGAAAGGATTTGAAGTTGTGTTGCTTTTTAAACAAAAATTTGAAACTAACAATATATGTGCAGGGGCTCAAAGAATCATTAGCTTTATTGGCCAGGAACGATGGGATTTAATCAGAAATGAAGAAATGAACAGATTTCTCATTAGTTAGTGCACTTACCAAGAACAGTTACTTGAGTTATATCGGCAGCACTGTCTAGAGCAGTATGAGCTGAACAGCAGTAAATACCTTGGTCCTCTAAAGTTACATTAGATATGGTCAAATTAGCTCCATCAATAATTATCCTATCAGAAAAAAAGTGAGTACATGATGAGAAGGAAAACAATAGAAATGATAGAAACCCAATTCTTTTAAAAATGCATATTCCTTATCGAAAACAATCTAAGAGTGAAAGATGACTTTATGCAATGCAAATTTGATTAGAGAATGCCACAGTTGAAACCTGGAGATAAAGAATTATTCTAGCATACACAACTGTCTACATAGCCATAAACAAAATCACATTAAAAATTATGAAATCTAACCATCTGTTTGCATGGGTCAGTGATGGAACTGTATGTTGCCTGGCATGTTTAAAGAGTGCATCATACCTCACAATGGCCAAGATATATTTGAGTAATTCTTAAGGTATGTTTAGGGAATCACCTATATAGGCTCGATTGGAGTGCTTCCTACAAAGGCAGATTCCTGAATTCCATCTCCATTCCACAGAACCAGAATACCTGAGAAGGAGTCGGATAATCTCAGTTTTTCACAAGTTTCTCTTTTCTCCGCCCCTCCACTCCCAAGTACAATGCACATTAAGATCAGATAGCAATTGAAGCATATGACTTATTTGAACAGAAGATGGCAGTGTAGTACTTCTTTTTGCAAATCATTTCACCTCACTTTTTATCATTTGTTTTTACCAATTTGTGATCAGGTTTACTATGAGAAAACTGCTTCTTTATAAACTTCACCTTTTACCCCGTACCATTGTTGAGATAACTATTAAAGTATTTTTCAAGTTCCGTAAAATTTAAAATGTATTCATAATAATTAGCATTTTGTTGAAATAACTTAAATAGTGTCATCCTTGTGAGGAGGAAAGGAGGCTCACATAATTAATATTTTTATGTACATTTCATATAAAATGCTGAGAATTTTGAATTATATAAACCTACTTTAAATTGCAGTGTAATGAAACATAGTTATTTTGATTATAGACAGAATCAGCCCTTATTCCTACACCAATAATAGAAAGATTTGCCAACCAATATTACCTTGAATTGTTAATCAAGAATCTCACCATAATTCTAGACATAATAAAACTTTGACATGAATTAACATGTCAGGTCATGTTACTCAGGTGTCCATTTGATACAATATTAGAATACTGCATATCCTGACAATTTTTGAAAAATGTACCTTCTTAGATGAAAGAATATACTTTAATAACCTCTTGAAATAGGACTTCTGTGCCCTGCACGAGGGCCCATAGTAGCTGAAATCTTGCCAAGATTTATACCCTGGCACGGGGTGTTTCAGGCCAGAGAAGAAAGCTACCAATTTTTTTGGCAAGTCATGGTTGCACTATGCCTTGTTTCCAGTCTCACAAATGTATCTTAGGTGCCTCCAATTAATCAACGTTGGGTGCCTCACTAGTCCTCGAAATGTGGTAGGTATGGTATACCTAAAGAACTTATTAAAAATGTCGTGTTCCAGCCTCAGTCCAGGTTCCAAATCAGTACATTTGGAGATGGGGCAAGGGCCATTGCATTTGAACATGAAGCCTGGATAATTCTGTCACATGTCAAAATCACAAATAGTTGTCACACATAGGGTCACACAGAAAATCACACACGGGGTCACACTATGGTGTGCTGCAGTAACAGACAGCTCCAAATTCCCCATGCCCAAGAAAACAGTCACTTATTCCTCCCTCACATTATGTTCCCATCATAGGTCAGCTGGGATTCTGCTTTAAAAAGTTGTATCATTTCTACTCTCATAACACTTGAACTCTTAGAAGAAGCTAAAAACCTCTTCACATCTTCGTGCCCCAATCTTTTCCTCTGTTTGCCTTCATCTGCTTAATTACCTTGCCTGAGAAATCTATCCACTAAAACCACTCGACTCCTTCATCTGCGGTATCCAGTCTGCTAGTCCCTAATCCATGTCAGCAGCCATTGTTGTCTTACCCTGTTCAGCTGAGTAATATCCGTGTTTCCCTGAAGGCACTATGACAAAACGATTCTCTCTTTGGAGACCTGTGTTTGCGGCTCAGTTCCATCAATTATTATTTGTACAACCTTGAACAAAACATTGAGCCTAATTCATCTTATCTGAAAAATGGGGATAACAATATTTTCTTTCTCTTTAGGAGAATTAAATGAGGTAAAGCACATAAAGTGATTAGTGCATACAGCCTGGCAGAGTATGTGCTCAGAGAGTGTTACTAATAATATTAATCAAGTTGATTTCATTCATTTTTGGCTTATTGCTAATCACATTTCTCATGGTTGGTGTTTTAATGTCCCCAACTCCCATTTCTCCTGCCTCTCTGCTTGAACAAATTACCTTATTTCCTAATTTGTTAGAAAGAGACCTTTCACTATGACTGCATCTTCATCTTTGCATCTTCAACTTCTCCCCTTCCCTCATTAATTTGCCACTATTTCTGGAGGGGGAAAAAAGCAGCTCCTATTTGGTGCCAAGGAAAAACCCTCCCACTGGATTCTCAATGCCCTTTCCTCCCACGCCCTCCTAGTTATCAGTATATCCCACTTTTCATGCTACAGTGGTCTCTCCCACAGGACTAGGTCCCTCCCTTTGCCTACAGTCATGAACAGTCCCCATTACCTTTGTTAAGCACGATATAAATTCTAAAAATGGTTTCATAGCCATGCTCCATTTCATTTTTCATAACCATAGTGTATGGTCTATAGCCTGTATGGTCTATGGCCACCTGCAGGTAGGAAATCCACAGAAAATTCCTGGGGGGGCATTTCAATCTACCTAATAGTATTATTGGGAGGCCTAAAGAGAGAAAGCATGTATGGGAAGTACTAACATAACATGAAGCCCCGTAGGTCTAATGGTTCAGAGTGGCAGTTCCCAGCACTTACTGCATCCCTACACAAGAAAGGGGACAAGCGAGAAGAGAAGAAGGAATTTTCACTTCTCATTGTTCACCATGTATATTTGATTAGAAGTTTAACCTCCCTTTAGGTTAAAGCTTCCGGTCTTCTGCATAGTAATAAGGAGAAGGTGTCTCAGCAGAAGGTAAGAAGTATGAGGTTACTGATATGGCTTTGTAGAAAATTAGCAGATACCTGTGACTTCTACTCCCTGCTATATCACCGTGCATGCCCTTGGCAGCAGTCAAGGCCAGCCAGCAGCAGTTACTCCCAGGCTTCCTTGCTCCTGGGGCCTCTTCTGAGCTAAGGTTATTGTCCTTTATCCCTGTTACTTGTTTAGGGAAATTGGCAGAACATCTGTGTCACTTGCTCAGTCCACTCAGATAGCCAGAGGTTCATTTCAGTGTCAGCTCTGGGATCCTGCAGGAACTGTAAAACTGGGTCACATGAAAAGGTTGCTTAGGGCTTCTGGGGTCAAAGCCTAAATGTCCATGTCATATTACCCACCAGCCATGGGTCTCTGATTCCCTTCTTGGCTGTAGCCCAGAGGTCACATGGAAGACCCCGGATAGTCAGGCAGTAGTAACAAAAGAGGCAGAATTTAGGCATATCTGAGCAGTTGGCAGATCAGCGGAGACCTAACCTGAGGCTGGAGATCTGTATTGCAAAGCGTAGCCTTTAGAGGTATATAATTAATCTCGTGTTTCAATGAGAACTGGTTGTAATACATACACTGCCTTTCTGCAAACCTTTGTATATATCGGAAGGAGGGGAGAGAATAAATCAAGAACCAAGGCTGAGACCAATGCCTTTGCATAGAGGCGGCTCACACATAAATACCAACATAGACCAAGCAAGCAACAGAAATGAGACAAGCAGATGAAGAAATGAAGGCAGTGGGGCGGTGGGGGCTGGGGGAGGCGGAGGCAGGGAGCAGGACCAAGATAGCGAACTAGAAACAGCTGTGTTCGGAGGCTCCCATGGAAAAGAACTATAGTAAGTGTGTGAATCCTTCCCTGGCAACCAAGGTATCCAGGTTTCTCTTAGAAGAACTGACTAGGAGGCTGGCATGATCCGCGGAGAGGAGGGAAGAACAGTGTGGTGCAGTGGTCCACCTGAGAGCCGCACGGGGCAGGGGAGACCCTTCCCCCCAGCCAAGGGAGGCGGTGAGTGAATGTGCTACCCAGCTTTTTCCACAGAACTGTGAAACCCATGGATTGGAAGACCCCACTCACAAACTCCAGCCACTGGGTCTAGCATCACAACCCCGAAGCCCCACAGATTCTCAACAGCCTTTCAGCTGGAATCTGCTTAAGCCTACCGAGCTCCTGGTGGAGGGGCGGCCAGCCCCACAGCTGCAGCTGCCTGCTTCCTAAGCCATTTGAGCTCCTTAGAAGAGGGGCAGCAGCCAGCACTGGGAATCACAACTGCCTAACACGCTAAGCTCCCTGGGTGGGGGAGAGGCAACATTCATATCTGTAGCTCCAGGCTGTGCTTTCTCCCCTGCTGGAGCCAGGGAGGCTGGATGGCTTGGTCCCAAGACACGTCCCCCACAGCCCAACACACCCACTGTGGCAGAATCAATGCCTCTTCAGGCCTGACCCTGAGTGCCTTTTCAGGCCTGACCCTGACCCATCATTCCTCCTTGGGTGGGGCTTCCCTGCAGGAACTCCAATAACTCCAGCCAGAGGCTCAGGGACAGAATCCAGATCTCCCTGGGCCTGAGCCCCTAGGGGGAGGGGTGGCCATGGTCTCTGCAGACCAGCAGACTTAGCGTCTCCTCCTGGTAGTTCTGAGGAATCCAGGCAGCCCAGACAAGTCGGTTTCCCCCTAGTGAAGCACATCCCCTCCACCAAGGGACAAAGTGCTTTATTAGATGGGTCCTATTCCCCGTGCCACCCAACTGGGTGAGACCCTCCAAGAGGGCTTGTCAGACACCCTATATAGGAGTGATCCTACTGCCAACAGGTTGGTGACCTTTGAGGTCTGAGATCCCACAAGAAGGAGCAGGCACCCATCTTGGCTGTTCTCCAGCCTCCTTGAGTGACATCTCCAGGCATAGGCGTGAACCAGATGAATAGGGACTGAAGTGGACCCCCAGCAAACTGCAGCAGCCCTACAGAAGGTAGACCTGACCATTGAAAGAAAAAAAAAAAAGAAAGAAAAGAAAGCAACAACAACAGCATCAACAACAAAATCTCCCACAAAAAACCCCATCCAAGTGTCAGCAGCCTCAAAGATAGAAGGAAGACAAATTTATGAAGATGAGAAAGAATCAACAAAAAAAATGCTAAAAACCCCTCTCCTCCCAGTGATCACAATGTCTCTCCACCAAGGGCGCAGAACTGGATGGAGGATGAGGCAGATGAATTGACAGGAGTAGGCTTCAGAGGATGGGTAATAAAAAACTATGCTGACCTAAAGGAGAATGTTCTAACCCAATGCAAGGAAGCTAAGAACCTTGATAAAAGGTCACAGGAGCTGCTAACTAGAATAACCATTTCAGAGAGGAATATAAATGACCTGATGGAGCTGAAAAACACAGCAGGAGAACTTCATGAAGCATACACAAGTATCAGTAGCCAAAGCTACCAAGTGGAAGAAAGGACATGAGATTTTGAAGACCACTTTGCTGAAATACAGTGTGCAGACAAGACTAGAGAAAAAAGAATGCAAAGGAATGAACAAAGCCTTCAAGAAATACGGGACTTCATAAAAAGACTGAACCTGCAACTGGTTGGAGTACCTGAAGGAGATGGGTAGAATGGAAACAAGCTGAAAAACACACTTCCGGATATTATCCAGGAGAACTTCCCAAACCTAGCAAGACAGGCCAACATGCAAATTAAGGAAATACAGAGTACACCACTAAGATACTCCATGAGAAGATTAACCCTAAGACACATAATCATCAGATTCTCTAAGGCTGAAATGAAGGAAAAAATGCTCAGGGCAGCCAGAGAGAAAGGCCAGGTCACCTACAAAGGGAAACCCATCAGACTAACGGTGGACCTCTCAGAAGAAACTCTACAAGCCAGAAGAGAGTGGAGGCCAATATTCAATATTCTTAAAGAAAAGAATTTTCAGCCCAGAATTTCATATCCTGTCAAACTAAGCTTCACAAGTGAAGGAGAAATAAAATCCTTTCCAGACAAGCAAATGCTGAGAGATTTCATTACCACCAGGCCTGCCTTGCAAGATCTCCCGAAAAAAAGCACTAAATATGGAAAGGAAAAACCAGAACCAGTCATGCAAAAACACACCAAAATATAAAGACCAATGACATGATGAAGAAACTTCACCAACTAATGAGCAAAATGACCAAACAGCATCATGATGACAGGATCAAATTCACACATAACAATACTAACCTTAAATGTAAATGCACTGAGTAGCCAAATTAAAAGTCACAGACTGGCAAATCAGATAAGGAGACAAGACTCATCTGTGTGCTGTATTCAGGAGACCCATCTCACATGCAAAGACACACATAGATTCAAAATAAAGGGATGGAGGAAAATTTACCAAGCAAATGGAAAGCAAAACAAAGCAGGGATTGCAATCCTAGTCTCTGACAAAACAAACTTAAAACCAACAAAGATCAGAAAAGACAAAGAAGGGCATTACATAGTGGTAAAGGGAACAATTCAACCAGAAGAGTTAACTATTCTAAATATATATGCATCCAATACAGGAGCACCCAGATTCATAAAACAAGTTCTTAGAGACACATACAAAGACACTGAGACTCCCACACAATAATAGTGGGAGACTTTAACAACCCACTGTCAATATTAGACAGATCAATGAGACAGAAAATTAACAAAGATATTCAGAACTTGAACCCAGCTCTGGACCAAGCAGACCTAATAGACATCTACAGAACTCTCCACCCCAAATCAACAGAATATACATTCTTCTCAGCACCACATCACCCTTATTCTAAAACCCACCACATAATTTGAAGTAAAACACTCCTCAGCAAATACAAAAAACCGTAAATTATAACAAACCGTCTCTCAGACCACAATGCAATCAAATTAGAACTCAGGATTAAGAAACTCACGCAAAACCACACAACTACATGGAAATTGATAAACTTGCTCCTGAATGACTCCTAGGTAAATAATGAAATTAAGGCAGAAATTAAGAAGTTTGAAACCAATGAGAACAAAGACACAATGTATCAGAGTCTGTGGGACACAGCTAAAGCAGTGTTAAGAGGGAAATTTATAGCACTAAATGCCCACATCAGAAAGCTAGAAAGATCTCAAATTCACATGCTAACATCACAATTAAAAGAACCAGAGAGGCAAGAGCAAACTAATCCAAGAGCTAGCAGAAGACAAGAGAAACAACTAAAATCAGAGCAGAATTGAAGGAGACAGAGATATGAAAAACCCTCCAAAAAAATAAATGAATCCAGGAGCTGGTTTTTTTTTTTTGAAAAAATTAACAAAATAGATAGATGACTAGCTAGACTGATAAAGAAGAAAAGAGAGAAGTATCAAATAGACACAATAAAAAATGATAAAGGGGACATCACCACTGACCCCACAGAAATGCAAACTACCATCAAAGAATACTATAAACACCTCTATGCAAATAAACTAGAAAATCTAGAAGAAATGGACATATTCTTGGACACATACACCCTCCCAATACTAAATCCAGAAGAAGTTGAATCCCTGAATAGAGCAATAACAAATTCTGAAATTGAGGCAGTAATTAATAGTCTACCAGCCAATAAAGCCCAGGACCAGATGGATTGACAGCCGAATTCTACCAGAAGTACAAAGAGGAGCTGATACCATTCCTTCTAAAACTATTCCACACAATTGAAAAGAAGGGACTCGTCCCTAAATAATTTTGTGAAGCCAGCATCATCCTGATACCAAAACCAGGAAGAGACACACAAAAAAAGGAACATTCAGGCCAACATCACTGATGAACATTGATGCAAAAATCCTCAATAAAATACTGGCAGACCAAATCCAGCAGCACATCAAAAAACTTATCCACCATGAACAAGTCAGCTTCATCTCTGGGATTCAAGGCTGATTCAACATATTCAGATCAATAAATGTAATTCATCACATAAACAGAACCAAAGACAAAATCCACATGATTATCTCAATAGATGCAGAAAAGGCCTTTGATAAAATTCATCATTCCTTCATGTTAAAAACTGTCAATTAACTAGTTATTGATGGAACACATCTCAAAATAATAAGAGCTATTTATGATAAACCCACAGCCAATATCATATTGAATTGGCAAAAGCTGGAAGCATTCCCTTGGCAAACTAGTACAAGACAAGGATGCCCTCTCTCACCACTCCTATTCAACATAGTATTGGAAGTTCTGGCCAGGGCCATCAGGCAAAAGAAAAAAATAAAGGGTATTCATATAGGAAGAGAGGAAGTCAAATTGTCTGTTTGCAGATGACATGATTTTATATTTAGAAAACCCCGTTGTCTAAGCCCCAAAACTCCTTGAACTGATAAGCAATTTTAGCAATGTCTCAGGATACAAAATCAATGTGCAAAAATCACAAGCATTCCTTTACACCAGCAATAGACCAGCAGAGAGCCAAATCATAAATGAACTCCCATTCACAATTGCTACAAAGAGAATCAAATACCTAGGAATACAGCTAACAAGGGATGCAAAGGACCTCTTCAAGGAGAACTACAAACCACTGCTCAAGGAAATAAAAAAGGACATAAACAAATGAAAAAAAAAAATCCCATCCTCATGGATACAAAGAATAAATATCACGAAAATGGCCACACTGCCCAAAGTAATTTATAGATTCAATGCTATTCCCATCAAACTACCATTGACATTCTACACAGAATTAGAAAAAAAACTACTTTAAATTTCATATGGAATCAAAGAAGACCCCATATAGACAAAACAATCCTAAGCAAAAAGAACAAAGCTGGAGGCATCACGCTACCTGACTTCAAACTACACTACAAGGCGACAGTAACCAAAACAGCATGGTACTGGTATGAAAACAGACATATAGACAAATGGAGCAGAACAGAGACCTCAAAAATAACACCACACATCTATAATCATCTGATCTTTGACAAAACTGACAAATCGAAGCGCTGGGGAAAGGATCTCCTATTCAACAAATGGTGCTGGGAAAACTGGCTAGCCATGTGCAAACAACTGAAAGTAAACCCCTTCCTTACACATTAAACAAAAATTAATTCAAGATGAATTAAAGACTTAAATATAAAACCCAAAACCATTAAAAACCCTAGAAGAAAACCTAGGCAGTACCATTCAGTACATAGGCATGGGCAAAGACTTCATGATGAAAATGGCAAAAGCAATTGAAACAAAAGCCAGAATTTACAAATGGGATCTAATCAAACTAAAGCACTTCTGCACAGCAAAAGAAACTATCATCAGAGCGAACAGGCAACCTACAGAATGACAGAAAATTTTTACAACTACCCATCTGACAAAGGTCTAATATTCTTAATTTAAAAGGAACTTAAACATATTTATAAGAAACAAACAACCCCATCAAACATGGGCAAAGGATATGAACAGACACTTCTCAAAAGAAGACATTTACATGGCCAACAAACATATGAAAAAAAGCTCAACATGACCGATCATCAGAGAGATGCAAATGAAAACCACAATGAGATACCATCTCATGCCAGTCAGAATGGCAATTATTAAAAAGTCAAGAAACAACAGATGCTGGTGAGGCTGCAGAGAAAAAGGAACACTTTTACACTGTTGGTGGGAATGTAAATTAGTTCAACCGTTGTGGAAGACAGTGTGGTGATTCCTCAAGGATCTAGAACCAGAAATACCATTTGACCCAGCAATCACATTACTTGGTATATACCCAACAGAATATATATCATTCTACTATAAAGACACATACACATATATGTTTATTGCAGCACTATTTACAATAGTAAAGACATGAAACCGATACCAAGGCCCATCAGTGGTAGGCTGGATAAAGAAAATGTGGTACAGATACACCATGGAATACTATACAGCCATAAAAAGGAATGAGATCATGTCCTTTTCAGGGACATGGATGAAGCTGGAAGCCATCATCATCAGCAAACATGTGGGAGAAGAACAATGAGAACATATGGACACAGAGAGGTGAATCACACATACCAGGGACTTTTGGGGTGTGGAGGGCAAGGGGAGGGAACTTAGAGGACAGGTCAATAGGTGCAGCAAACCATCATGGCACATGTATACCTATGTAACAAATCTGCATGTTCTGTTCATGTATCCCATTTTTTAATGAAGATGTAAAGAAAAACAAAAATTAAAAAAAGAAATTTGTCATAAGGAAAAAAATGAAGAAATTAGCAGTACAAATCACAAAAGCAAAAATGGACTGTGCAGTTGGTATTTTCTAAGTGCTCTGTATGTTAATGTTTTCTAAGTACTTGGTATTGTTAACCCTATAATGAAAGTACCTTTTTAATACTTTTAATTCAAACTATGTTATGGGATTTAAAACTAAAGCACAAAGATGTTAAGCAGCTTGTCTAAGTTCAAAGATCTAATAAGTGACTGAGCTGAGATTTGAATCTGAGCCATTGAGCTTCAGAGTTCATGATCTTACCCATGGCAGTGTTGCTGTCTCATGCAAGCAGCACATGTCCTATCTAAACATTTTCAGATTTGTAGTTTTACAGGGTAATAAATTACAAAATTAATGAGAGGGGAGATTTGGCTCCAAGATGGTTAAGTTTTAACCCTTACTTAGTAACAATGCAAAAGGACGCGAAGCTGACTTTCTCATATTTTCAAAAGAGAGTAGACATTCAGCAAATGCTGACTTTTTATTTCTTTGATGTACTTAATATCATCTAGTGCTATTAAGCATCCATTCACACTTTCCTCTATATGTTCTCTTTTATATTTTGTCTATATTCTCTATACAGAGTTTGGAAGACTCAAAGGTGTACTTCTCAGTACTCTCTGGCAGGAAGAATCCCAGATATGATTTAGGTTTTGCTAGTGAGTTAAATAAACTCATGTGAGATTGAAAAGTAGAAGGAAAATGGATGCCATCTTCTCTGGGCCAGTGGGAGCAGACAGTGGTTCTGGCAGACATGAGAGGTGGCAGTGGCAGGACTCACGAGTAGTACCAATGGGGTGAGGTGGCCATGAAGATGGCAGCAGTTTCCAGACACCTGGATTGCAGCTGCAGTGCTTTGTGATCAAGAACCTAGAAGACTAGTATGCAGCCTCTTCTAGGCCTAGCTCCTCCAGTTTTTTTTTTTTTTTTTTGCAACCATCCAAGCCCATGCAATTCTTCCTCGGTTACTTAGAGTGGTTTCCATTTCACACACTAATAGAATGGTACATGTTACATGAAAAGTCAGTAGCAAAAACAGGATGATAAACATATGATAGCAGAGTGAAGTGACTTGAAGACAGAAATATTACTCAGTTTTTGTTTTTGTTTCTGTATGAATGCTTTAAGAACTTTTTTTTTTTTTTTGAGACAGAGTCTCTCTCTGTCCCCCAGGCTGGAGTACAGTGGTGTGATCTCAGCTCACCACAACCTCCGCCTCCTGAGTTCAAGTGATTCTTGTGCACCAGCCTCTCGAGTAGCTGGGATCACAGGCACGTGCCATCATGCCCGGCTAATTTTTGTATTTTTAGTGGAGACGGGGTTTCACCGTGTTGGTCAGGCTAGTCTCGAACTCCTGACCTCAAGTGATCCACTCGCCTCGGTCTCCCAAAGTGCTGGGATTACAAGCGTGAGTCAGCATGCCCGACCTAGAACTTTTTAAATCAAATGCAAGTTGTTTACCCCAAGCAAATATTATGACATATCATAATAGTTTACCTACCTGCCATCTTCTGTGCCATTAATTTCAAAGGCTTCTCCATCTTTACTCCAGGACAACTTCAAACTGTGTTTCAAATGTGAGTCACATTTGCTTTCACAATGTAATTCAAGCATATGCAATTTGGGGATACGAGGATTCTTAGGAGAAACTCTAAGTTTTGTAGCATCTGTTTTTACCAAACAAAGATATTAGTTAGAACTAAGCGTAACTTACTTTGTTATTAAGTGCCTGCAAGTTAAGTAACCCAAATTGTCACCATAACTGTCCAATCCTCATGCAGGGTTTGTCCCACTGTAATTTCCTAACATTGTATGTCATTATTATTTTCTTTCCATCCAGGCTTGGACATCTGACAAAATTTAAGTGGAAATATCAACTAATAGTTTAGGAATTTCCCTCATTATTTCTTGGGGAAGGGAGTAAGCAAAGTATAAGCAAACAAATGTCTCTAGAAGTTGAAAATAACATAATTTCTCCTTCAAGTGCTTCTGGATATATAATCAAAGCACTGTAAAGGAAAAGGGAAAGATATTTGATTTTCTGTTAGGGTGTTTATTATTAATTCAGAAACCTGAGGGTAAATGTTTAAGCCCATGAATGGATGAACTATTAACATGAAGGTGGGGAACTAGAAAGCAAGCCTCAGGGAAGTAGGGCCTGTGACTGTTTCATGACACTGCAGTGTCTCCAGAGCCTAGAAGGGAGCCTGTACACCGTAGGCATTCAATACATAGTGTTAAGTCTCCTTTTGAATGAATTACAGGGAGTGATAGTTTGAAACAAAAATAAATTTGTAGTTATCAACATTATGAAACTCAAAGATTGGTTTATGGCTGCCTTAAGAAAATGTTTGGTTCATTATGATTGTTTCAAAACGTGCAATCCTTACTCTTTAATGCCCTATTAAAAGTAAGTATACTCTTAATGTGGCATTTGGCATTTTGGGGACCTCCCAGAGACCAACTGCACAAGCTGACCTCCAATTCTATAATTATACTCTGATATTGGCTATGTACATTTTTCTCAAGGAACTGGCTAAAAATGGAAAGTATTAATAAAATTAATTGTTATTCCAGGCACAAAACTTGAAGAGACTATTAAATTGAATTAATTTTAAGTGAATTATTTGACATCCTACTTCTAATTCTAAATTTAAAGCCAGAAATTCATTTAATAATAATAGATACAATTTAATAAACACTTCTCTATCAGGGCTCTGCTAAGTAATGCATATTCATTGTGGCATTTTATAATTATAACAACTTTATGAATATTAATACTCCCACCTTACAGAGAAAATAATTTAAGGCTAAAATGAAATTGAGCCATAAGACAAGGTTTCCTAACCGGGAATGGGCTGAACCAGGATTTGAACCCAAATCTGCCTGAGACTAAAGCTCATGCTCTCAATCACTATACTATATAGGCTCTCACTTAACTCCATTCTCAACATGCCTTTTGTATATGTAAAAAAAAAAGTGTCCTTAATCCTCCATTGATACGATTCGTATATATTTTTAACATATAAAATAGACACTACAGCATATTGA
This sequence comes from Homo sapiens, assembly GCF_000001405.40. Lineage (NCBI taxonomy): Eukaryota > Metazoa > Chordata > Mammalia > Primates > Hominidae > Homo > Homo sapiens. The sequence continues at coordinate 364,565 of NC_000003.12, read as the reverse complement.
AACTTTCTAAACTTGTCCATCTCTCTGGCCACTAGCAGTTTTGAGGTCCATTTTGGGCCAAGCACTGTATTGGGCAATAGGAGTGCAAAGTTCCATTTGGATTCGAGGCTTCACGCTCCTTACACCTAGCTGAGTTGCTTAACCTTGATATAGGTTTACTTTTTGAAGTATAAAAACAATCATCACCATCTTCAGTGACTTCATGAGGGCATCTTGAAAAGTGTACATGACACTTGAAAATGTAAAAGACATCAGAGATAAGTAGATATTGTGGGAGAGTATTTGAGTGCTTTAAAAATATAGTCTGTGGGGCTGGCACACTGATTTACTCAGGGCACAGAAAGAGACAAATGCTATAAAATAAGAAAAGGATGTACAGCAAAAGAAAAGGAAAACAGGATGAAAAAAGAAGGAAGGAAGGATATATATGGGAAGAGAGAAAGAAATGTCAAGACATCAGTGGATACAACAGCAGATATGTATGAGGAAAAGTGGCATCAGTGAAAACAGATGATCAAACAAATATGCTCTCCCTTATCTAGGTGGAAGTGAGAAGCAGGCTGGGATATGGACACGACAGAAGAAACAAAAATGCTCCTTATTAATACCGAAGATCCTTTCCATTTTGTGTTTTCTTGAAGATTCTCTGAGCAATATTAAAATCAAAATATCAGTGAAGCCCAAGAAACTATTAACAGCTCCCAGGACTGTGCCCTGAAGTGAGAAGGAATAATACAAAGCTGTTTATGACTCAAAAAGAGGATCAAAAACCCTCCTCATTCTGTCATGCCTCAGTCATTATAAAGTTATGAGTTTGTGAAATCTTTAGCTCAAAAACTTGATTACTGTTACCATTACCTTGAGTTAGCTTTGGAAATAAAATATAGTTACAGAAATATGGTGTAGTATGGTTAATAGGTAATTTTTAAATATTGACAGCCATCTGTCACTACAGACACCTGGCTGCCTCTTAAAATAGGATGAAGCTGTGCACATATCATGGGCATACCCTGTAGTTCTTGCAATAATCTTTTAGATGAAACCCATTCTAGGAATTTTGAAAAACGGTTCAAAGAACTTTATCTGGTACTCCAACTTAAATGGTATTATTCCATTTGGGCAAATGAAGACAGACTGAACCCATGTGACAATTCATGCAAAGTAACAGTGAAATAAAAATACTTCTAATATCCAAATTGGCTGTGACTGCAGTTTTTCCTATAGCATTTTCTACCCAACATGAGTAAGACCCAGCATCTTCTTCGGTGGTTCTGTTGATCTGCAATGTGCCATTTTCATAGATATGATACCGCCTGCCCTCCAGGGGTTTCACTTCTTCCACCTTCTGCCTATGGACAAAGAAAGCGTACATCCATCTGAGGTAGGGCAAAATTGTATACGCTTTTTAATACTAGTCAGTGACGTCATTCAGGCTAATCCCCTTTCAATAGCTCAGAAAACCTCATGAAATGTTCCAGTGGGTTTCATATTTTTCTCAAAATGGACCAAGATTGTATATCTTATCTACCCAAATAGACTGTGGCTATAGAAAATCCAAGTCCATGCTCAGTGCTTCTGCTGTATTTGTCATAGCCACCAGCACCGGTTTGCATGTGTCCTCAGAGCTTAATAAATATTTTCTGGCTTATTGATGGTGAACTCTTTAGTTAATGATTGCTCCAGGGTACTAAATGGGAAAGCTAGTAATTGAAAGAGATAATGAACCTTTCAAACCTCCTGCTGTCCTGGGAGAACATTGGTCATTCAGAAATATTATAAGCTGGGGAGTCTTGCCTGTCCTGTGGACATGGATTACATTTACCCTATCAACCCCAGAGCCATTTCCTCCAACATTCAGCCATTTCCAAGCCCTTGCTGCTACAGCTTGATTTACCCTGTACATTTGACAATAAGCGACTGCTTGAGTTTCTTTTTTTTTTTTAAGGATAAGCTGTGGATGCGGTCCATGTAGGATCATACAGGACAGGGACTAGGCTGAGGCAAGTGGGAGGCTTGCCCCAGATGCAAAATTTAACAGGGTGCCAAACATCTCAGTAAGCAAGGTAAATAATATTTCAATCTAGTATTTTGAAAAATCACAATAATGCAAAAAACCCACGATGAACAAAATACGTATCATGATTTAAAATAAAGGCAATATCTGACCCTATAAATTTATGACCTGGGGTCACTCATCTCACACTGCCCTACAGACCAATGACAAAATTATTCAAGAACTATTTAACCAAGCTTTTTCAGTAAAGCAACTAATAAGGTAGATCCATATTGATAATGTCTTTGGACTTATGATACCAATTAATTCATTGAAATTAAAATCAAAATGAATGCTGGAAAAGTCTTAAGCACATGCATTTGGAATTAAATTCGAGCTTAGATAATCATTTAGATAATCCCAAAACAACAACAATAGAGTAAAACATGACCTTGTGGTACCTCATAATGAAAAACCAAAACTACCTTTAAAATTGTCTCTGTAATCTCTTCAATTCTCTGCTTTTCTTTATGAACACAAGTGGCTCTCTGTATGTCTCTATGTGAGAAAATCCTAGAAATCTAGCCAATGCTTTCAGTAGAGCTAATTTCCTGGACCGGTAAGTTTGTTACCTTATGTCTCAGAGGTACTGGGTACATGTAACAATATAGACACAATACAGCCTGTCAAATGACGGATGAAGAAACAAGGTCAAATCTACAATTGACATTCTCTTAAGAAAACCATGAGCCACCGGCTTACCAGGACACGACTGCCTCAGGTGAAGCAAAGAACTCGCAATGTAAGAAAGCACTGTACCCAACCACTGTAGCGTAATTTTCTCCATCTTTGGTTTGTATCAATGGACGGACATCTATTTGAAAATAACATAAACGCAGTTTTAAACTTTTGTGGAAGAAAGATATGCAAATTAAATTTTTCTATGTCCTAGTCATACGAATACAAACAGAAAACAGCAGAATATTATGGTGTCTGTTTTGAATTATAGAAGTATCCCAATTCAATACATTTTTGAAAGTACAATTTCTTGTAAATTTGTTTGAGTTCATTGTAGATTCTGGATATTAGCCCTTTGTCAGATGAGTAGGTTGCAAAAATTTTCTCCCATTTTGTAGGTTGCCTGTTCACTCTGATGGTAGTTTCCTTTGCTGTGCAGAAGCTCTTTGGTTTAATTAGATCCCATTTGTCAATTTTGTCTTTTGTTGCCATTGCTTCTGGTGTTTTAGACATGAAGTCCTTGCCCATGCCTATGTCCTGAATGGTAATGCCTAGGTTTTCTTCTAGGGTTTTTATGGTTTTAGGTCTAACGTTTAAGTCTTTAATCCATCTTGAATTGATTTTTGTATAAGGTGTAAGGAAGGGATCCAGTTTCAGCTTTCTACATATGGCTAGCCAGTTTTCCCAGCACCATTTATTAAATAGGGATTCCTTTCCCCATTGCTTGTTTTTCTCAGGTTTGTCAAAGATAAATCATGCTGCTATAAAGACACCTGCACACGTATGTTTTTTGCGGCATTATTCACAATAGCAAAGACTTGGAACCAACCCAAATGTCCATCTATGATAGACTGGATTAAGAAAATGTGGCACATATACACCATGGAATACTATGCAGCCATAAAAAATGATGAGTTCATGTCCTTTGTAGGGACATGGATGAAATTGGAAATCATCATTCTCAGTAAACTATCGCAAGAACAAAAAACCAAACACTGCATATTCTCACTCATAGGTGGGAATTGAACAATGAGATCACATGGACACAGGAAGGGGAACATCACACTCTGGGGACTGTTGTGGGGTGGGGGGAGGGGGGGCGGGATAGCATCGGGAGATATACCTAATGCTAGATGACGAGTTAGTGGGTGCAGCGCACCAGCATGGCACATGTATACATATGTAACTAACCTGCACATTGTGCACATGTACCCTAAAACTTAAAGTATAATAAAAAAAAAAAAGAAAGTACAATTTCAGTGTGAAGTCTAAAACTCAAATGTATGGTGAAAAGTAGTTTGATTTTTCCCTCCATATATTATGTGTCAAGAGTTAATACACTTCTGAACATGACCTTGACCACTTTCCTTAGGAAAATAGCATGTTAAGTCAGCTCCCAGGCACACTCACCCACAACATCAATATTGGCATTGGCAAGGATAGTTCCATGGACATTTGAGGCTTCACACTGGTACACAGCAGTATGATTTGGTTGAAGGTTGGTAAAACTGATTTCCCTGGGGAAGACAACATCACCAGCAAATGGATGATCTGAAAGAGATTAAAGAATGTCAGTTTGATAAGGAACAGGACATAAAATATTTATACACCATTTATTAAATGTGTCACACAGTATTTATATTTTCAAACCAGTTTAGGGTGACTAATAGTTCATTGAAGCCAATTCTTTAGGTTTTCTGAACATCAACTATGGACTTTTCTTTCCAGATCCATGTGAATTTTCAATTATCTTTCAAGTTAATATTTAGCAACAAAATATCTGCTCATCTGGACCTCCCAGAATTTCCATACCTATACTCATGGCACTATTCTGGATTATCCTTTAGGCATTCAAGACCTATGATGAAGTGACACTCTGTTACTCTTCTGAATTTAGACACTGATGCTGCCTGGCACAAGTCACATGGTCAACACATCACGATCTCCCTAGCTACCAGTACTGGCTGCTATTTTCCCCCTTGACGCTTTTGTTCCCGTTTCAGTTCTCTGCCTCTCTACAGTTTTCTGATCTGCACCATTGATTTCATTTGCCTTGCTTCACTATTTAACCACTTCATGTACATTGCTTGTATATTTCATTTTCCCAGGAAGACTAAACTCTTCTTGAGAAAAAGGGCCAGATTTTCTACTTTGGGGCAATAAAACCTTCCCCACTCCTGATCCAAGTATAATTCTGGGAATATCTTTTGGAAATGAGAATACCTAACATGAGGCTGGGCATGGTGGCTCATACCTGTAATCCCAGCACTTTGGGAGGCTGAGGCAGATGGATCACTTGAAGTCAGGAGTTCAAGACCAGCCTAGCCAACACGGCAAAACCCTGTCTCCACTAAAAATACAAAAATCAGCCAGGTGTGGTGGTGCACTCCTGTAACCCCAGCTAGTTGGGAGGCTAGGCAGGAGAATCACTTGAACCCAGGAGGTGGAGGTTACAGTGAGCCAAGATCTCGCCACTGCACTCCAGACTGGGTGATGGAGAGAGACTTTAAAATAAAAGTGAAGAAAAAGAAAAGGAAGAAAAAAAAGAATACCTAACATTTCTGATGCATTTAAGGACCAAAAACTCTACTGGATGTGGCACATGCATGATCTCACTGACACTGCTCAGAACTCGATGGATCAGCATTTACATGGCCATTTTAAAGGTGAGGGGACTGGATTACAGAGAAGTTGGATGACACATCCCACAACATTTGGCCACTTTTCTGACTCTAAAAGCCCTGCCCTTGCTATGATACTATGTATGTGTATATCTTTATCTATATCTATAGTATATATATAGATATAAATATATATTATTATATTATATATAATATCCGTATATAATATATATATATATAACATATATTTTATATATATAAATCCAGTGGGAAGGAAAACATGTTAGCTGGAAATGTCAAGGGAAGGGCACAAATGCAAAAATTTTTAGTTTAAAGGACATTACAAGATTAATAATCAATCGAATTCTACTTTTCTGATTGTCTCTCCATTATACGAGATAATGACTATACTAAGCTTTAGGTTCTAGAAAACATGAATACTACATATTGAAATAAAAGACTTACACATCTTTTTCTGCCTAGGAGTCACAAATGAAGATTTTTTTCACTTGACTGTGAGCTCTCTAAGGGCAGGACCTGAGTGTGAGGTTGTGCAGTGTGTCCCCACTGCCCAAAGAGCAGCTACCAGAGAAAATCCAGCCAGTAAATACTTATTGGAATGACTTAAAATGTTAGGTTGGGTAACCTTTATTCCTGAAAGGCCCCTGTAAGTAGGCAAAACAATAGCCCCTGAAAGATGTACACGTTCTAAGTCCCAGAATGTATGACTTTGTTACTTTACATGGAAAAAAGGGACTTGCAGATGTGATTAAGATTAAGGACATTGAGGTAGGAAAATTATTTCCTACATCTGGATGACCCAAGTGGGCTCAATGTAATCACAAAGCTCCTGAAAATCAGAAGGCCCTCCTTGGCTATGGTCAGAGGGAAATGTGACCATGGAAGGATGGTCAGAGAGATGCAGTGTAGCTGGCTTTCAAAATGGCGGAAGGGAGCCAGGAATGTGGGCAGCCTGGAAAAGCTGGAAAAGGCAAACGAAGGAATGCTCTCCAAGCACTTCCAGGACATGGCACTGCTGACATTTTGATTTTAGCCAAGACTCGTGTTGGACTTTTACAGAAATGTAAAATAGTGTACATGCACTATTTTAAGACACTAAGTTTATGGTAATTTAATTTGTTACAGCAATGTTAGAAAACTAATACAATCCTGTTGAACAATTTATCACTTATTTCTTGCAAATTAGCAAGATGAGTAGCTCTTCCAAGTTTTTAAAGGCTAAACTCTTTAGGAATGCTGCAAAGCACTGAGTCTCTAATCCCACTCTTCACTTCCACACCCCACTCAGGGTCCTAAGACTTTCAGAGTTAACGCCATCCTCCCATTTAGTTCTCCTTATCCCGTCTGATCCATGCATGGCTCTGAATTAACACTGCATTACAAAAGTAAGAAATTAGACTATATAAATGATACTTTATTTAAGTAATTAAACATTGCTTAAATCTGCCTGTTGGCATGGGTATGGAAATTGTTGTGTATTGACAAAGGCTAACAGAAGCTCCCAGGATTCAAGAAGGCCAAGTCTTTATAAAACACACTAGTCCTGACATACTTCAGAAATTCTTTCTCAGTTTTGTCTTTGGTCAACCCTGTGAGAAATCATGCAATAAAATGGACGAAACTTCAGCTCTGGAGTTAATCCTTCCTGGGTTTAGTTCCTGGTTTTAAATGTACCTGGGTTGCATTCTCCAGTAAGTAATGTAACCTCTCTGAGTCTCAGTTGCCAATGGAGAATAATAGAATCTATTTTTCAAGCTGCTACGAGGTTCAGAAATATCATATGCAAAGCATGTGAAAAGGGTTAGTCCGATAATCAATAATAGCAATCATTTTGATTTAATTTTGAAATAACATGGGGAAAGGATATATAACCTCTAAAACTAAAATAAGCTTAAAGAGGTTTCAAATCCTCTAGCCAACACTCTGTCATCAAATATCCCAGCCTATAAAAGTTTACGACCTGTTTGCAGGGCAACAAGTAGAGCCAGGGCCAAAAGCTGTGAACAGAACACCGAGCTTGGATTCCAGCCACCTGGCTTTGGTTTGAAGTCTACCATTATTCAGCTGTGTGGTCTCGCATAAGTTTATTTTCAGCCTTGACCTCCTCATCCATTAACAAACCTATTGGCTCAATTTCAAAATAAATCCAGAAGCCAACCATGACTGCCACCAATCTAGCCCTGAGCGCAGAGCCTCTCAGATGGCCTCCTACCTAGTATCAATCACACAGTCCATTCTCCATTCAAAGGCCAGGAAAATACCTTGTAAAAATGTAAATTAGATTGTGTCACTCTTCTGCTTAAAATTCTCCAAGAGCTGCCTAGTGTATTCTCAAAATCCCAAGGCCCTACTTCGATGTTCATCTTTACCTGAGCTCTGGCCCCTTCCCCTGCTGGCGGATCTGGTGGCCTAGGGCTGCCCCTTGCACTCCCTCAGCTTCAGTCACACTCACCTCTTTTCTCCTCCTCAACACACCTCTCCACTGAGACAGCACTTTCCCTGCTATTTAGGTGGCTGACTTCCTCACTTCCTTCCCATCTCCACTCAAAGGTAAATTACCACAGGGGTCTTACTATTATGATCTTAAGATTGCAACTCTGGGTCCTGAACCTCTTTCAGGCACTGCCCTTACCCAGCTATTTTCTGCTTTATCACACCATAGCACACACTCATGTGTTATTTGTCTAATGGCAGGAGAGCAAGGATTCCATCCATTTTATTCACTGTTGTATATCTCAAGCATGAAGTCCAGTGCCGGGAACATAGAAAGTACCCCATAAATATTATTGAATGAACGAATCAGTTAAATATGAATAATAGCACCTCCTTTATAAAGTTCTTTTGAGGATTCTAAGTAATTTGTGAATGTCTTTTGTAAACAGCCAAATACCATCCAAATATAATATTTTATGATTTTGTGTTCCGGAGAATCTGCGTTCCTTACTTTTGTAACCTGAACATTCATTATAAACAAAAGTTGCTTTCATTTCCCTTCGTCTACCCAAAACCTCATTATTATTTTTCATTTTTTATTCTGTTCCCTAAAGAGATGAAGAGAAAAATCCCAAATCTGAAGATAGTTAATAATGAGGACTAAGGTTTCCTGAGTGTCTGTTATGGGAAAACAATACCAACCAACCATACCTTACGGGGGGCTGTTTTTGTGGCAGTCCCCGTGCTAAGCATTCTCTGCATGATGTTTCCTTTAATCCACAAAACAACCCCGTGAGTCAGTGTTATTTTTATCCCAATTTACTGATGAAGAAATGGGTTTGAAGAGGGTCAGTGATACTCCCCGTCACGCAGCTAGTAAGTGGTAGAGTCAGTATGCAAACCCAGGCAGTCTGGCTCCAGAGTTTATAAACCATCACAGTGCTCTACAGATGAATCACTGCCCTAGGCAGCTGGCCACATTTTTTTTCATTCAAGCACAACCAACCGCCACTATCTCCATTTTGCAGTTTAAAAAACGTAAGCTTGGGGAGATTCAGAAAACACCTCAAGATGAAACAGCTGGCAAGGTGCACATCCTAGACGGGACCCGAGGTCTGTTATCCACCAAGTGGCTCACCCTTGACTTGTGCAGGCCCCAGAGCAAAAGGACAAATGGAAGCCACTATCGTACCTGCTCTTAATTAAGCAATTGACACGTAAAAATATGTTCTATCCTTCTTCCTGAACAAGGACATCCAAAATAATCTGAGCTCTAGGTTCCAGTGGAAGATTTGGGGACTCCTTGGAGCTCTATGCTGAGCATGGTGAAATGGGGAGAGTTGGCCCTCAGTGCTGGGCCATTCCTGTCTTTCCCCGCCCAGCCCATTTGGAGTGGGCTCAGGGTGGACCGGGCATGGGGATTTTCAGGTCTTTGTGCTTGAGGTTGGTAGCAAATAGGCAGTAATGGGACCATGTTCAGACTTGGGATGCCTCCTTTTCCCTGAGGATGCTTTCAAATCATGGAGACAAGCGGGACCAGAGGGTGATCAGAGCAAGTCCCTTAAAAGGGCAGAGCCCAGGACAGGTGTTGCTGTTGCCTGAGCCTAAAGGAGGTCCTGACTTTGAACCTGTGCCCTCAGCTGCTAGGCTACTGTTCTGTTTCTTCTCAGGGACAGGAACAATAATTGGCTTTTTTCCTTGGATGCATCCTCTTTCTCATTCAATTTTCTTTTTAAAAATTAAAAATCTTTATTCTTATATATAATTTATAAGAGGGCACAGGCAGTATAAATATTATTTATGGCTCTTCCATGAATATCAAGTCTTAACAACCAAATTGCTTAGAAATAAACAATCTCTGATTTGCTGGTTGTATCTGTCCTGCTAATCCAACCACATACCAACTTCATTTTACACACGTCTGACCATCATTAATCCCGTCAAACCAGGGCCTTCAGCATTGCATTGCAATTGGTTTTTAAACTTACTGTCAACTGGGGAGCCATTGACTCTCCACTTGATTGTGGGTTGAGGTTCTCCTTCAGCCTCACATAACAAGATGCCATTGCTTCCGGTGCTATACACAGCACTCTGAGGCTTCTTTGTCCAGCGAGGAGGCTCTGGATGTAAAGTGAAGAGCTCATGAGAGATGTTATCTATGTCAAAAAGTCCAAAAATGTTAAGGCCTGTATTTCTACTTTGCACCAGCAGAGGGCAGACACCACAAAGGGTTTCATAGTAGCTCTTTTTGGTAAACTTGCTCTGCAAAGCAAGGTGGGAGCTGCTTTTGTGTTGTATGGTGTGTGTGTGTGTGTGTGTGTGTGTGCTTGTGTTTAATTTGGACTCAGCATGTATCATACATCAACATACTGAAAATAGTTATATACAACCATTTTATTTAGCTATACAAGTAGCTACCCCACTAGGAAAAAATGAGGGAAGAATAAGCAGATGGTGAGTTTATTTAGAGCTCACTACAGGTTATTTTCAAGCTGCAGCATGGCATCTAAAAAGGTGGATACACAAGAATTATATTGTAAGAATTTTAAAAATAAAACTAATTAAAATATTTAATGCTTATTTTGAATATTTCTTAGTGATCTTATAGCATTTATACATATAATCTACTTGAAAAATATTATTTCCTAGAGTTTTTTTGTAAGAGGGGAGAGAGAGAAGCCCAAAAGCAGTGTTTAGCTTTCTGCAGTCAAAACAATGCAGCAAAATATACCTTAAAATTACCTGTATCTTTCTATGCCCTAATGCTCCAGTGTAACAATACTACAAAGTATGTCAGAAACAGATGACACATTTTACTGGATTTCCATGTTTTTATAACTCTATGTTTTATAACTTCATGAATATTGCTATGTCAGGGGTAACTAAAAGGTTTAGATTAAAGTGTTGATGGTTTGGATAATTTGATTTCAGAGAAAATTGCACAAAACCTGCAGGTAGCAACTCCCATCAAGTGTAGTTTGGTTATTTCCCCAAAGATATTTTAGATTTCCATTTTTAGCTAAAAACGAAAGTCTTCAAAGATATATGTATGTATACAATGAAAAAATATCATTAAAATTTTTCTAAGTAAAGGAAGAAAAAGAGGATTATGTAAAAAGGAAAGAACTGTAAGTTCATCAGAGGAAACAAAAGTACACAACTAGCCTTGGCAAGTTCAAGTTCAAGTCCAAGTGAGATAAGTGCCTTTGTAATTACTCCACAGGGTGTGGACTTAATTGTTAAATTCCAAGTTAAATATCTGTATTCATAAGCTGTACTACCTGTAAATGTTTAGTCACTTGGTTTAAAATACACTAGTCCAAATTATAAACTGCGATCATTTTCTGAGGTGAAGGTTTATTTTTGTCTATTTTGCATTTTTTTAATGATATCCTTACTTTTTTTCTGGTTATTTTAATACAACCAATATAAAACTAAATATCTGTAAGTTAGAGAAAAATATTCCATGAACATGAACATTATGGCATATCATATTTATAATAGAAAATTACAACTATTGCTTTCAACGTATGCAGAAATAAAGAAAATCAAGCAATAATGATATTTCTGTAAATCTTCTTGAATAATTACTATTGCCATTAGGATATTTACTATTAGGACTATTAGTAATATTAGTATTACTGAAAGAGGTTCCAAATTATCACGTCATCCAATCCTTTCATCTTACAGACAGAGGGCTGAGCTTTGGAGAAGTTGCCTAACTTGCCCAGGCCCACCAGCAAAGGAAGCTCCAGTTCCTGTTCTCGCCATTCCACAGATAAATACACAGCAACTATGGATGAGCAGCATTTAGACTCTGAAGTCATGTGGTTTTTGTTTCTAATTTAGTGTTATCTTATGAATTTGTATCAAAGACAGGAAAGAAGGCCAGCCCAATTTATGCTTCCAAATCCAAGCTCCCCCAATATTTATCAACTGACTCAAGAAGTTCTGAGCATTCACTAGGCTTCCTCACTATACTTTACCTTAACCCTTCTTTATAAGCTTTCTTTATAATTGCTTGAAAATTTACTTTAATGCTTTTCATCCATTTCTCCTATAGAAGTAAGCTGGTCCTGAATCATGTAATATTGGGAGGGACTTGAGTCAAGCTTGTTCTGCTCAGAAACAGCTGCTTCTTGAGCCTTAAAACCAAAAATTCTGAGGAAAAATACCATCCTCATAGAAACCCATTCTTTTATCTATTATCCTAAGACATATGGTAACAGATGAAAATTGCTTATGTTGAAACTTTATGCATTTTCTCATAATTGTAAATACAAAAATAAGATGATAAATATTTCTCATGTTGCTGGAAACAGATGCAAATGTCTGAACATTGGGACTATATATTAAGCAAGCTAAATAGAGATGTTTATCACTAGGAAAAAAACAAAATAAAACAAACTTGGTACCTATAGAACATACAACACTGGTTATTTTTAGTAAAACTGTTTCTTCACAGGTTCTTATTAAAATCTATATTTTAATAAATCAAAACTTGTTAGGTTCAACAAAAATTGGATTTAATCGCAACATTTTAGAAATAGGTTTGTTATTTGAAAACAAGGATTTCTCAAGTATATTAATGACTGAGTTGCATTTGATTTTATGACAACCTTTGAAAATGCAAAAACATTTTGGATTATACTATGGCTCTATAATTACATATAAATGCTTTCCTATTTCACTTACTAAAATTCAAAGGCTTTAAATAATTCAAAAGTTGACAACATAAAAATTATTGGTGGGAGCTTATTTTTAAATAGTCTATTGAAATGTGATTGTGATTATATTTTGATTTCTGGATGTAGACTGTTTTAGATGTCACTATAATATATCTCTTTTTATTGAATGTGTAATTAATCATATCTTAGATATTTAGAATATACAGTTGTACCTAGTCAAGACATCCTGGCTGCTTTTGCTCATACATATTATAGGATTTGAAGTGCAGTCTGATTTTATATTTAGGATGTTGCAACCTAAATTACAAGCTCATAGTATTTGATTATATTATGTTTGGTAATAGGAAAGACATTGCACATACAGAAAGAATCCAATCGAATCCATGATTTTACTTAAGCACAATGGGTGTTTTCAGAATGGAGTAGATTTTCAAAATATACAATAGCATTGCTATTTTCTCACATGGCAAATCCTTATTATTTAATGTGGGCTTCTAAAAAAGAGACAAAAAAGGAAAAGGAGAGGGTGCAGGAAGGCAGAAAAAATTGAATAAACACGAGCTCATCCATCCAGATGATTAACAAAGTTTTTATTTATTACCTCCACACTTTAGAAAAAAAAGTAAAGACTTCTTAAGCTCAATTTGTTTTTCATGTGTATAGGTAAAGAGAAACTTCAAAAACATACAACTGAAGGTACATTTAATAGTTTCTTACTAAAGAGAGAGGATTAAAAGTTCTTCATAAAAACATCATTTACATCTCAATAGTGCTAATAGCTGTTTTATGAGTAGTGAGAACAATTTGTTCAGGAAATCTATATTCCTTTGGAGTCCTATAGTCAACATTTTAAATTGCATAATTAATGTTACATCTTTGATTTCGTTTTTTGCAACCCTTGCAATTCTTTTGAAAGGTTTGGTTTTATAGTCAAGAAAACTGTGGCCAGATTGTTAAAATATTCAGCTACCGTAGCTATGTTCCAGCCATCTGGAAGTGTTTCTAATAGTCAGCAACTTGGAGGAGAATCTAACAATTAGATATGTCTGGTTCGTGGGTGTGTGTGTGCCAGGGAGGGGAGGAGGGGGTTACAGAAAAATACCCCTGTTGCACGATGTAGCCAAATTATATAGAAACATCAAATGATGACTAAAAATATACATAACATAAATCTTTCAAACTCTTCTTCCTTGAATTTCTTTGTGAATAATTTAATGTCAAAGGAATATATCACTGTTTGGCAGATGTTGACGTTAATGCATATCTATATAAGTTTTGCTTTTGTCAAGTCAAAGAAAATAAAATTCTCAACTTCGGTTTTCTATTCTTCCTACCTTAAATAATAATATGCATTATGGAGAAGGCTTGGAAATGCAGTGTTATTCCAAACAGGGGTTTGCCTAAATCAACTGTGTTAACATTTACTTGGGAGGAGAATTTGTGTCTGAGTCCTTTTTTTTTTCCATTAATTTAAACAACAGGCCATTACTTAGGTGTTCCTTGTGGAAACTAAAGTTTTAAGAGGTGAACTTTACTGGAATATTAATGGGTGCCTAGAGCACTAGTTCACTAAATTGTAGTCTAAAAAGAATAATTCCTTTCAGTAGCTAAGCTTACACTGCACTAAATAAGTACAAATGCAGTCATCATTCCATTAATTTGATCAATACGGTCAACTACATTGTAGATAGAAAGCCTCAGTGTGATTGGATCCACAGAAAATAGTCTGTGTCAATCACATTCAGAGGACTAGACAAACTTCACATCAGCCAGTCACAGCACTAATAACTACATTCCACATTTAAATGGTATCATCTTTGCCTACTTATTCCTATAAATGTAACTAATACCAATAAAACCTTGATTGATCAAAATCTCTGAATTTACAGAGAGAAGATGACTTGAATATAATGTTTTTGCACTTTTTGAGAGAATTAATATTATAGCATACAGTCTATTCTTTTTTGCCTGTAAGTAACATACTGAATTTATCATCTGAACCCAAGATATGGATTACAAAAGTGTTATATGCAGGAAAGAGCTGACACAACAATTTGCCTGCCTCTTTCACTTCTTTGGTGAAGAGCCTGAGGTACGGAGAGTGAAATAAATGGCAAAGGGCACAGCAAGTTAAATCCAAGCTTTCTTCCAGGCTCATTTTAATACTTCCTTTCATCATAATCCTTACTGCTGCTTTTATGATTTAATATTATGAAATGTATATGTGTATTACAATAAAAATAATTTAGGAGACTAGCTTTAATGACTATTTGAATAAATCATGTAAACTGTCTGTGTTTAATCCCTAACATGAGATCTTTTCTTGTCATTTGTCCCTTCTATGTCATTTTGGGGCGTAAATGACAAACCTGCTTAGTTGAAGTGTAATATAATTCAATGCCCGCACTACAATTAAAAGTTGAAACTGCTGACCTGTTTTAACATGTATGATTTAGAAGCAAGGCCTACTACATGTATACAGTTACTTTTTTGAAAAGCAGAGAAATAGACCAACATGGGAAAGGTACCTTCTACTATAACGTGAAAATCGTGAGTGGCTGTTCCCAAGAAATTGCTGGCTGTGCAGCGATAATTTCCTTTGTCCTGGTAGGAGACATTCTCTATCTTCAAAGTCTTGCCATAATTTTCTTTTGTTTCTCTCCCCTTTGGTAAGTCACCACCAATTTTGTTCCAATCAACCTGTGGAGTTGGCCTGCAAAAAATAGTTAAATAAATAAACATTTTTTTAAAAGCGGAAAGTAAAATACAAAGAAAACCTTAGGACACATCCTTTATCAGGGTGCTTTTACACATGTGCTCATATTCCACTGAATCACGTCATCCTTACCAGTGGACAGACACACCCACCACCAACAATAGTGAACACTGGTGTTGAAGCAAGTCTCTTTCACTGAAAGTTCCTCCAGTGGTCTGTCTCCTTGGAAGTCTTCTCTCTCCTCTATTACAAGGGCTAACTACATGTAAGTGCTGACTAGGTGTGGCTGAGCGAAGGAAAAATAGCTGGAGCTCATTGAAATAATATTACCAAGATATTTTCCAAGTGTGAAAATCTCCCAGTGGGTGGTTTGGGGCAGCCAGTGATAACAGCCCTATTCCCTGTTTGTGTAAAACACAGTAAAGTGGGACTTAACAGTCAGCAGAGAGAAGTTTCCCTTTTAATCCTATGATGCTGATCATGGAGAATGGGGCTCCTGCGTGAAAGCTGGACATGTCGATTAGACCCATGAACAGCCTATTCCAGGGCAAGCTGGAATCTGCAGCACAGATACTGCCTCCTGGATCACGTTCTCGCCCTTGTCGGGAAGCAGAGGAAAGGAGGAATGAACCAAATCTTCCCTTGCTTAGCGCTTTCAAAAGATTAGCTCACCCAGTCAAAACAAACAGGAAAGTAAAGACAAAACAAAACCAGCATGATAACTTGTTACACACCAGCATGATAACTTTCCCCACCTTAGTAAGGAGGAAAAAAGGACTGGGGAGTCAAGGCAGCTACATTAAGAAAAACCCCTCCTCATGAAAAGCAGACAAGTGCAGAAGTCATACCTTCTGTGACTCATTTGATTTAAAAATTATGTGGAAAGCATAAAGGGTTGGTTCTAAATGAAGGATGACTGTCTCTTTCTCTTCCCCAGTCAGGTTCTATAAGTGAGTAGGAGAAACAACTTTGCTAATTTTATTGATGCAACACTTTTCCTCTCCATATTTCTTCTTGTTATTAGTAGCTGTAGGTTATTTGGTGAGTTCTAAAGATGGGCATATTATTGTGATCATTTAACAGTAAGGAGTCTGAAGCTCCAATAAATTAATTTCTTAAGGTCACTGGAGCAATAAATGATATACCCCAACTTATATTTGTCTACTCTAAACTTGTTCCTTTTTTATCAGTGTGTTCTATTATTTTGTGCTTTTCAACCTATGTCCTTCCTAACTCTATAGTCTTAGAATATATGCTTCCTGTCAAATTGCCCATTAGTTACTATGTAATAATTGAGCAATTCCTTGAAATCGTGTGTGTCAATATTCTCAAATTATTTGTATTGATAGTTTGTGGTTAAAATAATTCAGTTATTTATGCAAAAAAAATTGGAGGTAAAGATGAAGGCTCTTTAATCTCTATATATCTACTCTTTTCCTTCTTCCTTCAAGCCTCAAACACTAACGTGCTGTGCAGCCTGGAATAATAATCTTATATTTTACCAGGCTAAGAGCACATGGCACGCTTGTGTAGGAAATGGTAATGATGCCTGGGCAGACAGCTGTGAGAGCATATTAGCTGCTGGCTTTCTGAGCACACCACCTAAGAGGATGCATAGCTCAAGTCTCCTAACTGCTGGCTTTTCACTCCATCTGTCAAAATGACAATTTGCCAAGTTATAGGCTGCTCTGGAACTCACTTCCCCTAAAACAGGATTTTTTCAAGAGTCCATCCTTTATTAGAGCAAGTAACTCACTTTCAGCAAGATCTCCCGGACTCCCTAGTCTTTGGGTCTTTGAAAACTAGTCTAATTTTCTAATACCATTTACTTGAAAGAATAAAGTAAAATAATGATCTAAAGTATTATGTGAAAATGAGATATAATTTAATCTCAGGATAGGTCTATACCATGGCAAAAATTTTCAGCTCTATTCTTGCCAATTTTTTTATACCTCCTGCCTTTTTTTAAATTTAAATAACATTTACTAACAGCATTTAAGCAATGTGTTTTGAGGGAAAATATATTGCTTAATGCCTTTTTGCACACAAAATACACTACCTCATAATCTCAATTTTTTTCAGGTCCTTGTCTGGCCAACTTTTATTTGCATATTTCTCTATTTATAAAGTAGTATCTTGTGAAAGAATTATACCTACTTTAAACCCACGAATTTACAAAACAGAAAAAAAAACTATTTGAGCAGTGCACATGAGTCCATCTATGGCCATTTTATAAGTTTTCCCTCAAAACACATTTGTTCAGATACTGTTGGTAAATATCCCTTAAATCTAAAACAAAAGGAAATGAAAAACATTTGCAAGAATATAGCTGGAAATTCTTGCCAAGATATAGACCTATCTTGAGATAAATTATATCTCATGTTCACCTGACACTTATAGATAATCATTTTACTTTATTCTTTCAAGTAAAATGTATTAGACAATTAGACTAGTTTTCAAAGACCCAAATATAGTGCTTGACACAAAATAATAGTACAATACTTTAATTATAATTATTTTTGTTACTATAGGAGGTTAATGGCTTGAAAACTTCTTAGAAAGAGTTTTTTAAAGGACCCAAAAAACTTTTTAAAAATGTATCATCTTCTGAGAGACGACCCAGATCAGACAGGATTACCCAACACAAAATCAGTATGAGTAAGAAGAAACTACTTCAGGTGAAAAGTCTTAGGACAGCGCATCAAGAATTTTCATGTCCTCACAACAACATATATTTTCATCCACTCTGTTTTTATATATTCCTTCATGACTCTTCATTTTCTAAAAAGCACATGAGAGCATTTCATTATTTTGAAGACATTCTGCGCAGTTGCTAGTCAATCCAAGAGGTCAGTGAAGGCATTTGTGGGAAATAAGAAAAAAGAATTACAGAAAGGATCACCCTGCCCAACTCAATACAGTGATGAACTCTGCAAGAATGTAATTTCTACCACTGTAAACATGTACAAATACAACCAGTAGAGCAGGTTGTTGCCATCATGATTCAAACTCAATATGAGACTTTCCTCTTCTAAAATAATACACAGACCAAACATTCCAAACAGAGTCTGTGTCATAGTACTTCTAACTAATTTATGTAAATACACATTGGGAGTTGAAGACAGACAAGCAACTTTGATATTTTTGGTGGTTGGAAAGAGAAACTTACAAAGCTTAGGGGCTGTAAAACCAATAAAATCTGCTCCATTTCTAAACCAGTCGTTCAGAATGTACTCTAAATTATGAATGAATATGATTTTTTGAATTTCAAATCCTAGTCCACTAACTAGAGTCCCCAAAGCCCTTAGCTTACGAACAGATTATATTTCAAATGAGTAATCCCAGGTGCTAGGAAGCTGGAATGCATTTTCCCAAGGTATCCTCAATGGTAGGGAAGGACCGTAAGTTCGGAAGGATAGTGGTAAAAATAGGAGACCCTGTATGATTAAATATTAAATAAGATGGTCCCTGTTTACATGTACTTAACAGTAGTTAATAAATGGAACAATTTTAAGAGGTGACCAAGTGAGGTCCTTTAGGGTTTTCTTGGAGGATTTAAAAAGGTGCATTGCGGGCTGGGCCCGGTGGCTCATGCCTATAATCCCAGCATTTTGGGAGGCCAACTCAGGTGGATCACAGGGTCCGGAGATCGAGACCTTCCTGGCTAACATGTTGAAACCCTGTCTCTACTAAAAATACAAAAAACTGGCCAGGTGTGGTGGCACACACCTGTAGCTTCAGCTACTCAGGAGGCTGAGGCAGGAGAATCGCTTGAACCCAGGAGGCAGAGGTTGCAGTGAGCTGAGATCGCGCCTCTGCACTCCAGCATGGGTGACAGAGTGAGACCCTGTCTCAAAAAAATAAATAAATGAATAAATGAATAAATAATTAAATAAATAAATAAATAAATAAATGGATTGCTTTTTCAGGTGTAAAGAAAGTTCACTTAATTAGATTTTGATGTAAAACTCTCTTAAATTACATGGTCTGGACCTCCATGTGTGCAAAGGGCAGCAGAGTAAAAATAGATATAAATAGGGCTCCTTGGAACCTGCAAAGCAGCAGATTTAGTAAGTAACATAGCAAACAGGAGTGGGGCAAGTAGTATAGCATAGAGAGAAAACTCAGCACCAAAAGTGAGGGACTGACTACCAACAACCTCAGGCTTCTTAAACTTAACTAAGGAGAATGTTATCATCATCCCCTCCATCCACAATATCATAAATTGACAGAGAGATCTAATTTTATGAGCCTGTTACTGCCTGAAGTCTGTAGAGTGAAGTACAAATTACTTCCTCCAGAGATATAATGACAGAATTTATGTTTATTATTTATTTTATTTTATTAATTTTAATTTCATTTTATTTTAGATGAGGTCTTTCTCTGTCATCCAGGTTTTAGTGCAATGGCATTATCATAGCTCACTGCAGCCTCCAACTCCTGGGCTCAAGCAATCTTCCTGCTTCAGCCTCTTAAGTACCTGGAATAACAGTCCTGAGCAGAATATCTGCAGTGCCCGGCAGAATTTAATTTTTTTAAGGAAATAATTTTAAAATATCTTTGCAAGCACAGTCTTAATGTGCTTGATGTCTTATTCTTTACAGAACTGGATGGACAAAGTCATGAGTGAGAGTCAGGTTACTCACAAGCCTTCAGCAAAACACTCAAGCAGCAAGATTTCCCCTTTGAGGATGGTAATTGAAGACTCACTGCCACTCTCAGTGGGAGGCAACAGCAGTTTGGGTTTTCTTTGCTTGATGGAATTTGCTACAAAATAGAAAAGAAAAGTCAGAATTTTTTCAAATTAATATACATAAAATTCTGTGACACCACATCTTTCTTAAAACAAAAAATCCGACACACGAGTGTGTGTGTGTGTGTGTGTGTGTTCTATACACATTTCACATATTTCCATTTAAATAGACTCCTCTTCTCTCTTACCATGAAGCATGGGTTGTCCCTCATATGTTTTTACTGAGCGTAGCACTGCAAAATTTTATAAATATTATTATTTATACCATATCTGCTAACTCAGAAGGTCAAACAGAAGTCCTTAATTGAAAATCTATGATTTTATATTCTATACTTCAATCATGTCATGTGCAATGACTTTATGTTTATGTTTTTATTTAATTTAAATTGCCTAAGAATTTAACGAGGTTTCTGCTAAAAACAGCTTCCTCACTCCTGCACTCAGAAATTCTCACTGAGGAAGGCTGTGGTAGACACTAGGCATCTATGAATTTATCAAGCTCTTTCGGCAACTCTACCTGTAGTCTCAGCTCCTTAAAGAAAAACACAGTTTTAGGAAATGACTAGTAAGCATCCTCACTACCTGCATATTGAAGTGTCCCATTTCTTATTTTCTTAAGAATATTTTTCAAATACAATGGCAAATTAGAAGACTTCCATCTTCAAAGGGACTTTAGCAGTAGACAGTCTTCTATACTTCGTGTTTATTTTTTGAAAAATAATTGTTGAATATGTACTATGTGCAATGATTTTTCATTGAGTGCTGTGAAAATATAGCACTATATATGTGTGAGTTATTAATCTCAAAGGAAATGATGTTGGGGATGAATCAGTCCACCTTAAAACTGACGGTTCTTCAAAAGGAGCTTACATCCTCCTCCACTGAACTTGCAAGTATGCAAGGTATCTAAGTTATCACTGGTCCACATTTTATAGAGAATATTTGCTGCAATTATGTAACTGACTCTTCTCATTATAGAGAACTAGCCTGCTATACAACTCAGATTTACTCAGGCATTTTCCATAGAACACAAGTTCTGGTAGACGTTCTATGGGGGAAAGAATTAAATAAAAAGATCACGCAGACACATGAACTTGAAAAATGCTACAAACTGTTTTTTTCTCAGAAAGCCACAATGTACAGTTGCATGTCAAATATTTCAAAAAGCCTTGCAAGAAAAAAATCCACTTAACTTTCTTAAACGCAGTGTTTTCTCTACGTCTTTTGACACTTAACCATTTCTTTTCTTTCTGCAAAAGTATCAACCTTATATACCATAAGAGACGTTTTGGGAGACCCAAAATAATTACTCCATTAAATATCTCTATCTGTCTATTCAATGCATTATATATAAGTATTTCATTATATTTATACAGTTATATATTTATAAAAATCACTCCCTTTGCATATATTTAAGAGGGCATGGGGGGCAATAGAACCCTCTAAGTTCAGATGTTTTTCATAATAACAGTATTGTAATAAACTTAAGAGGATATTAAAGAAAAAATTCAAAATCTGAGATGACAATGAGCTATACACAAATGCCAACACTCCACATGGGTTCAACTTACCCTTGGAACCAATTTCTGTGGATGAACTTGAGTCATTAGCATGCTTTACTGAAATAAAAAAACGGAAGGAAAAAACACAAACATAATGGTGGATGCTGATATCAATAAAGAATGAAAAGTCATATTTTTGTCTTAGAAAAATTACAAAATGATGTAGAACCATGCTTCACTAGAACATTGCCTTTGGGAATATAGTTTTACATAGAAAATAATTATAGTGAGTTTAATCTTGAATCCAGGTGGAGAAGATTCAAGTTATAGCTCCACTGAAGAGAACTGAGGCTACTAGAAGAATGTTATAGTGAAGCCCTGGCATGGCATATCTACACATAAAAATGAAAAAATCATGGACCAAATTAAACAATGAAATGGTAATGCCAACTTTCAACTATACCAGGGCCAATTATTCGCTCAGCAAACTGTTGGGGATTATTTCTTCCCTTTGAATCTTACGGTTCTTCCTCCCTCTAATTACTCTTCCCATTTGGGAACCCAGGCTGGCCTCCACAGAATCAAGTCGGGAAAGGGTGATTCAAGTAAGTTTGCCAGTTTGGTGATACAAATTTCCATCTTTTTGCCTCTGTTGTTTTCTCCCCCATTTTCAGTCTGCCAGTTTATCCAAGATCACAGTGAATCGATGCCCAAGATTTGCTTAGAAAACCCTGGAATTTCATTGTATATTTCATCCACTGAAAATGACAAGATCCTGCAGATGTCAGATGAAATACATTTGTCCTGTGAATTGAGATGTGATTTCCTGGCTGTGAGAGACAGAGCTACCGTGAATCTGCAGCTGCAGATGTCTATTTCATCTGGAAGAAGTCTCCAGAGTTGAACTGCACAATGGTGCAAAATATCAACCCAGCTTTAAATGGCTTCAGCCAGAAGGAAATTACAGACACATTTGCATTCAGCATACATGATGAAACGATAAATTATGTGGACTTACAACTGTTAACTGTTAGTTTCATTGGCATTTTCTGTACAATAGTCCTTAATCTTGGAAATGCAGCAAAGCAACAGTAGTCATTGCGACTGTCCTTTTCTTCCACGTTTGCGAAGTATAGATCTCCCTTTTGGCTCATGTATACTCTTTCATCTTGTTCGATGTGTTCTAATTCTGAAAAGAGATATCTTGCCATTGAAAAGGGCAATTGTCCCTTACTGTGCTTCATCTTCCTTTTTCATTTTCTTTTACATTATTATTTCATTTGGTTTTTCCTGTTTGCTCTTTAATTCCTCTCAAGTCTGGTCTTACTACAGGAACAATGAGCAAATAGGAAAACAAAACAAAACAAAAACAGCAGCAAAACCCTTGGGAGGATACTTTTTACCATTAACCAAAGAAGTCCACCAGTAGACAAACAGTGGTAAACTCTGTTTACCATCTTTGTCTCCACCTCTGCCCTATGAATCTGAATTGGCTGAACTGAAAACTGATCAATGCAGACAATGACCTAATTAACACTTGTATTTTCTGAGAATCACGTTTATTTAAAACATGATTTAAAAAGAAAAAACAAAAAGCTCTCCAAAAGTTTTATCCGTGATATTAATCTCCCTGTTCTGGTTGCAGCCTGGAAGGTTCTAGGGGAACTGATGTCTGGAACAATTGGCTGTACCTAAGAGTAGCTTCATTTGCTTTCTTCTGAGTGCTGTGCAAATAGCATTTTTCTCTATGGTTCACAATGAGAAAACATGTAGAGATCACTGCTAAGGCATATGCTAGAAGTAGACTTTACAAAGCTAGATTTTCAGATCAGAGTCAGCAAACCTTTTAGAAAATTAAGCAAAAAAGTTAATACTAATTTCCTGGTAGGTGACTGCAATTAGCAGGTAGAGCATTACTAAAATAGAAAGATGAAGCTAGCAACACAAACCCATGCCATCCTCAGCTTTCACATGATCTATATTCCAAAGGTAAGTGCACTGTTTGAAATATAGGAAGTATTGTCTTCACAGACAAATCTTATCATATTAGTAGCATCTCCTCTTCAAATATGAAAAAATTAAGAGATCTTTATTTTTTATTTTGTCTTTGGATTCATTATGTTATTGATATGATGGATAGAATTAAAATGTCCCCCTTTTTTGATGGAACGGAGCATTACTTACCAATATTCATCCAATAAATGTGTAAAGGTGGGAGGCCTTTGGGAGGATTGCATGGGAGGACAATTGGATCTCCCTCCTCCACTTCAAGAGGGTCAATTTTTTCTTTTGGGAATTTTGGAACACCTGGTGTAAAAAATCATTTTAATGTGTTATTTTAAAATTAACTTTGACTATAACAACAAATATCTTAATATGTTCTTTTTTTTCAAAATTCAGCAATTTAAATAAATTCTATGCTACAGATCCTGGTTCTTACATCTCCCCTTCAGAGTTAAATACTATTAAGAAACTGGTGTGCATCTTTACACAACTTTAAAAATATTTCTGCATTTTGAAACCCCAGACAATAATGTTTTTGTTATGCGACAACAATAAGGCAATAACATACTTGTGCATATTTCTCTGAGCAGAGATATAAACCCAGAGTCACAGGATTTTCTTGCTTTAGCTTTGATAGATGTGAAATCTTTTTCTCCAAACACTGATTTCACTTTGGGCGGTTGCATATTCTCTATCTCTCGCTTTATTGGGAAGGCCTTGAATGTGATTGGCAAATATTCCAGCCAGTGCATTAACCACACTAAATAAAAACTTCCCAGCCCATATGGAGAAAATGGTAAGAATGCAATGGAAAGCCAAATTTGACCACTTTAAGTTGCAAAAAGAGCCAGCCACATTGAAATTACTCCCATTAAATAAAAATTTAAATGAAATGGAATTGATGTAGGAAATGAGACTTGTCAATATTTCAACCTATTGTTTCCTCCCCACACTGGAGTCAATTTCTTAAAAGAGCAATGCAGTTATAATCAGAATATAAGTCAGAATTGTGCAGAATTTGAAATCTAACACCAAAGTTTAATATTTTTATGGAAGTATTGATATTTATAAGGATATTCAAAATGTATTCTTCCTGAGCATTACATTGATATCTTTCAACTTTTGGTGGGGGAATTTGCATTATAGAATTACACAGTCTCTTGTGGAGGAGAAGGATCTTAGGAAGGCAGTTATAACAGTCCCAACTTGATGGAATTCATTAGAAGGTATTTATTTGTATGTTTCATTCTTAAATTATGATTCACAACCGATTTTCATTGTTCTTGGAAATATAAAGGTTTACTCATTTACTGTAAAATTTCTTCTTGAGAAGCTTTGTGCACTTCCTATATATTTGTCCTATAGCCCCTCAACCCCCATCCATGCCTTTAGAGGTTGAGGGAATTTGCTGACATTTCTCTTATCGATGCACCAGCTGGTTACAGTGAATTGCTTTTTGTCTAAATTCAAGGACCTTCCAAGGCTTAACATTGCAGGGGGCGGTGTGGCTATTACACTGCCTTTGCAATTTCGGAAGGCAGACTTTGGTTCTCTTTATACATTCAGCCATGTGACAGTCCTTTAGTGGGTTTCCTCTTGCTCAACTCGTTCTATAAGATTCCTTTTAGAAAGTCTCTGGAAACATTTTTGAAATAGCAACCATCTTTGAATCACATTTTTGCTATAGGTAGCATGAAATTTCCCTCAAAAGTCGGGAAAGTATGTTTAGTATATTCACTACATTAAGAGCTTGTAGATAAAACATCATGCCAGCTATTTGGTAAAGCCTCGGCTTTGATTGACATCAAATGCTATGGAAAACATTTTGCAGAAAGTACACCTTATAGACATAAGGCATAGTAATATACAAAACGTTTATGTACCCAAATCTCCAAATTGAACCACTTATTTAGTTTTATTCGCTGTAACTTAAGCCCAGTAAACACTGGCATTGAAGTCAGTGGTGCTGTTGGGTAGTTGGTGAATCTATCTATACTCAGATACAAGAGGCAGCAGAGGAAATAAAATATGGATTAGAAAATGGAAAGGGCATGTAATCCACTTCGATAACAAGCAAACTATACAGTCCCTAATATGAATACACAGTTCACTGGATAATATCTATTGTAAAGTAGTTAATTAATAAGATGTATAAATCCCTAATTGGAGAGCTGCTCCCTGAGAGCGTTAAAAAAAACCTAGCAATTCGAACAGATAGTACTGCCACTGAAGCATTATCATCCTTGCATTAATTAAATCTAGATTATACAATTCTAATTCTGAAAATGTAAATTTGTAATTCAACTGGCTTCTAAGGCACCAACAATAAAAAAGAAAAGAAAATTTATAACTCTACCAAAACTGCTATCGCGTGCCATAAATCTTCAGAACAGCTTTTAACTAAATACAAAATGAATATTGGAAAACAGGGACGCATACTTATACATCAATAAATTTAAGGTTTTAGAAGATATATAAATGGCATTAATTTTTCAGGAATTTTTTATGTCTTATCCTTTGACTCTGAAACTATTTAGTGAGTTTGATGGCACGATAAAAAGTGAAAATTTTAACACTCACAGATAAATGTGAACTTTAATTACTATAACACAGCAGCTAACATGAAGTCTACCTCAATTCAGATAAAGAAATGACTCCATTTAAAAATAAATCCAACCAGTGGCATTTACTGTGTTTATCTGGTGACAAACATTAGCATTGCTGAGTTTGGACAACAGTAATATTTTTAAAAGTAAATTAAAAAAATATTTTTTTCGGTAAATGAGGTAATTACACTCCTTTATCTTGCCAATATATTTCACATGGGTACTTCATCAACACCAAAACCAAAAATCACTTAACTTTGTTTCAACAAGACTGGACTTGATCCTGAATGGCCTCTCTGCAAAGGGATCAGAATCAACTTGCACATAACAGTCTAGCTAAGCAGAATTTCAAGAATGTTTGCACTTTGGGAGGCCGAGGTGGGCGGATCACAAGGTCAGGAGATCGAGACCATCCTGGCTAACATGGTGAAACCCCGTCTCTACTAAAAATGCCAAAAAAAGGTGCTGGAGAGGATGTGGAGAAATAGGAACACTTTCAAACTGTTGGTGGGACTGTAAACTGGTTCAACCATTGTGGAAGACAGTGTTATTCCTCAGGGATCTAGAACTAGAAATACCATTTGACCCAGCCATCCCATTACTGGGTATATACCCAAAGGATTATAAATCATGCTGCTATGAAGACACATGCACACATATGTTTATTGTGTCACTATTCACAATAGTAAAGACCTGCAACCAACCCAAATGTCCTGGAACCAACAATGATAGACTGGATTAAGAAAATGTGGCACATATACACCATGGAATACTATGAAGCCATAAAAATGATGAGTTCATGTCCTTTGTAGGGACATGGTTGAAGCTGAAAACCATCATTATCAGCAAATTATCGCAAGGACAAAAAACCAAACATTGCATGTTCTCACTCATAAGTGGGAATTGAACAATGAGAACACTTGGACATAGGAAGGGGGACATCACACACCGGGGCCTGTTGTGGGGTGGGGGGAGAGGGGAGGGATAGCATTGGGAGACATACCTAATGTAAATGATGAGTTAATGGGTGCAGCACACCAGCATGGCACACGTATACATATGTAACTAACCTGCACATTGTGCACATGTACCCTAGAACTTAAAGTATAATTTAAAAAATATATATAAAAAAATTAGCCGGGCGTGGTGGCGGGCGCCTGTGGTCCCAGCTACTCGGGAGGCTGAGGCAGGAGAATGGCGGGAACCCGGGAGGCGGAGCTTGCAGTGAGCAGAGATTGTGCCACTGCCCTCCAGCCTGGGCGACAGAGCAAGACCCCGTCTCAAAAAAAAAAAAAAAAACAAAAACAAAAGAATGTTTGGAAATCCCATTATAACCAAGTCTAGATGAGATCAATTTCCTTTCTATCTAATGCCACTATTAATCCATTTGCATCAGCAAAGCAAGCATATCACAGCATCTATCTTTTCACTCTTCTCCATTAGGCTTTCACATTTATTATTCAGTGTCATAGACAGATTTCTAGCAACAACTAACACCAAGGGTATAAGTGACATTCAAATATATTCACATCTAGGTTTTTGAAAACTTCCCCAGTTGAAATCCATCATGGAAACACTTCCCTACAGACAAGCTAGCTGCACAGGAGTCTTATTACCACAACTATCAAGGCACAACCAACCTGCAGATACAAAATTTGCAGGAGCTCTATGACTTCAGATGCTGTCAATGAGTTTTGAAAACTCATCATCCCAATTATTTCAACATAATATACAGAAAAATAGCATCTTCATTCCTGAAATAAAGAAGACTTCTGAAAACAGAATTTATATCTATAGGATATCCTACAGCATAAACTAGGTTCTAGCCCAGGCACTAGAAAACTAACTGGTTACAAAGATTCAGACCAATATCTTTACCTTTTTCTGTATCTCATTTTGTTTTCCTTTGGTGTCTTAGAATCCTTTGAATTCATCTCTCTAGGCTCCTCAAACACCTCACCAGGGTAGAAGCTTCTTAAGGGTAGAGATATAATAAAACCTAAGCTGTGTAATCCCATCATGCCAACATGTTTAATAGTGAAGAGTAGTAGTGAAATGCCATCAGGGAAATTTAACTAAATACAATTCATGCTAACTAACCACTGTGATGAAAAAAACAAAAACCAAAAAACACTGGCATCTTAACCGCTACCATGTTATGCAACACTACAGATTCTCCGGCACTCTAGGAACAAAATAGAAGGTTTCCTTATATTTTCCTATTTCTAGATGATACTGTAATCTAGTATCAAGGTATTTTCAACAAAGAAGTACAATGCCTTTTTGCTCATCTGTAGCATGTGTTACCTGAGTCTCAAAGTACAGACAACACTGTAGCATCAGATTATCCATAAACACTGAAGTCAGCTGCTTGGGCCTGCGTCCTGGCTTCTCTTCCTATGCGATCTTTGAATCTGCTACTTAATATGTTTCAGTGTCGTCATTCATAAGTGGGAAATGTAATAACACCTAACTCATTTGATTTATGTTGAAATTTAAATATTTCACATGAATCGATTAAAATAGGAGCAAGCACTTAAAAATTATTCAATACATCTTGGCTACTCCTCAAATATTTTCACTTTGCATGGTACAGCCAAACGCACAGAGACAAGGTAGGCCAAAGGGACAGGGAGTTTTCTTCTGCTGCTGCTCCTGATTTTCTCCATAGCCTGCATCTCAACAACTTCTGTGACTTTGTGCAATTATTTGAATTAACATTTTCAGAGGAGGTAGAAGGACAGAAGGAAGAAAATCCTGTTCATTTGTTCATTTCATGTAGAACATATGATGTGTTTATTGAATTATTTTCCCTTTTTCCATCATTGGACGAATCTTCCTATACCAAAAAGCTTTATCTATTTTGACTTGGCACTCCGTTTACAGGACTGGCCTGGTGAGCTTTCCAGGGCCGTACATTTCACTTAAATATGCTTGGCGAATTGCTCACAGTCTGCCATCATTGTCACAACTGCATGCTACTGAGTGCACATACTTTATCACCTCTAACTCCGGTTTCCTTTGGTAAAGAGATTTAATTGATTCCCATTTCCTGCAGAACATCCCATTAATCCACTTAGGACTACAGAGAAATAACACTGGCTTTCAGTCCATGAGCTCATAATGAATTCATGCTAAGGAAGGACACCCAGTTCAGCCCATTTCATTACAGGCATTCACATACTTTGGTGAATCAGAGTAAAATCCTCGAACTTAATTAAAGCTTTAGAATTCAAAGTTGCACCCTTAATTGAACAAATTGATCTGTTTTTGTTGATTTGCACTTAGGAGAATTTAGCACAGGCTACAACATCCAGGTTTCCTACACTCCCCCTCCAAAATCAGGGTGGTAAAAAGCCAGGGTTTATCTTAAGGAAATTGTCCTGAGGAATCTGAGGAAGTATGTTAACACAAATGTAGAAACCTAGTGCATGAATATTTCTAATTAGTTTTCATTAAATTATTA
The DNA here is from genome assembly GCF_000001405.40 of Homo sapiens. NCBI lineage: Eukaryota > Metazoa > Chordata > Mammalia > Primates > Hominidae > Homo > Homo sapiens. The sequence continues at coordinate 335,024 of NC_000003.12, read as the reverse complement.
TATAGAAAATTTCATCTTTGTCAGACATTTCGTAGACTATTTTAATAGCATGTGCAAATTGCAGTGTTACTTTTATTCATTCTTTTATTTTTCAGCCTATCAACCAATAAATCAATGAAATAAATATAATACACATTCTTGTGACATCTACAAGGCAATGCAGAACGGGAAGGATATGACAGTCTGTCTGATATTTTTTCTCATTCTTAAGGATCCTAATTAATACATATGACAATTGATAGACTGTCCCTAACAGTACACAACTAAATGCTTTAATAACCCCAGAGAATTTGCAGTATCACTATTTATAATAGCCAAAAGTGGAAATAATTCAAATGTTCATCAACTGGTGGATGGATTAACAGGAAATGATATCCATGCAGTGAAATACTCTTCAGCAATATAGAGAAATAAACTACTGATATATGCTACTACATGGATGAACCTCCAAAACATGCTAAGTGAAAGAAGACATATGAAAAAGACCATATACATGATTCCAATTATATGAAATGTCCAGAAAAGTACATTTAAGGAGGCAGAAAATTAATTGGTGGTTGCCTAAGGCCTGGAGATGGGAACAGAGAGTGACTGCAAATGGGCACAAGAAATCTTTTTGTGGTGATGGAAATGTTTTAATACTACATTATAATGATACTTCACTAAAAAAATTACTAAAAAAGTCATTGGTGGGGCATAGTGTCATGTGCCAATAATCCCAGCTATTCAGGAAGCTGAAGCAGGAGGATCACCTGAGCCCAGGAGTTTAAGACCAGTGTGGGCAACATAGCAAAACCCCATCTCTAAGATAAATAAATAAATAATGTATAAAAACTAGTAATTATACACTTAAAACAAGTAAAATTTATGATATGTAAATTATACTTCAAAAAAGATGTTTATAGGTGGGCATGGTGGTACATGCCTGTAGTCCCAGCTACTGGGTAGGTTTAGGTGGAAGGATTGCTAGAGCCCAGGAGGATGAGGCTGCAGTGAGCCATGTTTGTACCACTGCACTCTAGCCTGGGCAACAGAGCAAGATCCTGTCTCAAAACAAAAACAAACAAACAAACAAACAAGTTGTTTAAAAACTCAGAAAAAGGAAAAAAATTATCTAGGCTGGAATAGGCCAGGAATGCTAAGTGGAGAAATCTAATCTGTGCACTGAAGTGTGAGTAGTATTCAACAGTCAAATTAGGATTATTTATATTATCATTTTAACCTTACTGATAGTTGGATAATGAAGGCAAGAGAGTAGCTCCCTTCCTTTCCAGACCCAATCACCATATACATGCACAGGATGTATATTTCTGGAGGACAGTCTTTGTTTTTATTCACTGTTAAATCCCAAATTACTAGAAAGTGGCTGGTGTATTATGGGAGTTTCAGGAAGATTGTTGAATAACTCACTGACAAAATCCCTGTGCCATGTCTTGGATAATACATTTAGTTAAATAGTTTTTCGTGTATATAAAAATGGTACATTCTGTTTGTTTGGTTCTTGTTGTTGTTGTTTCTTTCACTCTTTCCCTAGGAAACTTAACTGCAATGTTGTTGAAAATAGAAAACTGGACATTGTATACAAAGGTTTCTGTTTGTTAACAGGAGATTGAGAAGTAGAAACTGTAACATTTGAATCACAAAGTTTCTATCAATCTTTGAGAAGAACCAATTCTCTACAGTTTAAGAGAAGAATCGATTAAAGATTGTAGGAAGCTTTAAATTGTCTCTGATTTATAAACTCCTAAGTATTGGGTTGGGTTACTATTCAATATATAGATGGTTGCAGAAAGCTGTCAGATGATGAAGTAATTTCAGGAGAGGCTGGAAATGATGCATAAGAAACCTAATTTATTTTGCTCTTTTCTGCAGCAGCAGCAAAAAAAAAAAATAAAAAAAATAGAGCAATTATCCAACAACGTAGCTCAGATCCAACTCCCAGCTCTTAATACAATACTCTCATATCATATTCTGGTCAGAATTATCCTTATATTGTTCATGTCTTCACTTGGTCTGCCTAGATAATGACAGAAAAAAAAACTGAAATCCTTTAATTGCAGAATCTTAAACCAAATTCTGCCGCTCCTTTCTTTGCAATAGATCTAGCTGCTGCCTTTTCCTTTGTGTCTCCATAGCAACCCCTAGAATTTAGGTTAGGAATCATCCTCATGACTTGCCTCCTACAAAAGATATTTTATCTGTCCTTTTCTCTGGTCTTAACTTATTTCAGTGAAGTATATAAATGTAATATACAGTTTAACGATGATCAACCACAATTTTCATAGCAATACTTTCTAATCCAGAATTCATGGACATTTCCTACTGAAAGTCAATTCAAATCCAAACTCCTGAGAACAATTTTCAGGTTGACATGTCACTGGTCTGATTCTAAAATATCTCAGTAACTCAGAAATGTCCACTTGAGACAAACGGGATGCTTCACACTTACTCATTTTAAGAATATAAAACAATTGTTTATAGAATAAATGTAAAAAAAACACAAAGAAAGAAAGAAACACAATGGAAATCCATTCACTTACTACCCATTTTACAAAATAGGAATATCGTCATCACCTTTTTGTCAGGTGCTGATCTCAACCCCCACTTCCATTTTCCAATTTTTACTTCCATTACAGGTAATTACTGCCATGAATATTGTTTTTATCATTCTCTTATTTTTCATTATAATTTAACAATAAAATTATACCAATCAAAATTGTAGTCAGTTTTACATATTTCAAACTTTCTCCAAGATTTACTTTTATTGCTCAACATATTCTTGACGTTTTATTTACTATTGAATAGTATTTTTGGTATGAATAGAGCACAATGCATTGATCCATTCTACTTTGAGTGGACTGCTGTATTTTTTCCAGCATATTTTTAAATATAAACAATGTGACCACAAATCTTCCTGGTATGTATGGACAAGAGGCACATGCACATGAGCTAGGGAACGGAATTGTTTGGTCATAAGTAAGAGCATCTTCAACGAAGGAGGGGATTAGAAAATGTTTTCCAAAGATCACGCAGTAAACTGGACTGTCATCAGTAGTGGATACGTATTCTGTTGGATGTATATTGCAATCTAAAATTTTTACTTTTGGATTTTCTGATATTTCCCAATTGGGTAGGATCAAATGCTTTTATCACTAGGGTTACAATAGGTCTGTTTCTGGTAACTAAAGAGGTTGAACACATTTTCACATTTTTATTGGCCCTCCAGTCTGAGGTTCAAGTTTATATATGTTGCCACTTTGTCATTTTTCCTTTTTTATAAAGATTTGTAAAATTATTTATGAATACATACCATTTTTAGTTATATGCATTATCAATAATTTTTATCTGAGTTGTGGCTTATTTTTGTTTGTACTTTCTTCCTAGAGTCTTTCAATAAAAAAAGGATCTAAAATCAAATGTAGGAGAATGTATTCTTGATGATTTCCTTCATGAGGCTTTAATATGACTAAAGAAATCATCCCACACTGGGCATGGTGGCTCATGCCTGTAATCCCAGCACTTTGGGACACTGAGGCAGGAAGATTGCTCGAGGCTGGGAGGTCAAGACCACCCGGGGCAACATAGTGAGACCCCATCTCTACAAAAATAAAAATAAAAATAAAAATTGGCCAGGCACGGTAGCACTCGCCTGTAGTCCTAGTTACTCAGAAGGCTGAGATGGGAGGATCACTTGAACCCAGGAGTTCAAGACTGCAGTGAGCCATGAAGCCATGACTGCACCACTGCACTCCAGCCTGACCTGGAGAGAGTGAGTTCCTGTCAAAAACAAACAAACAAACAAACAAACAAACAAAAAAGCCAGAAAGGAAGAAAAGAAAGGAAAAGAAATCTTTCTCTGTATTAATGACCCTGGTGATAAACGTATTGTTCAAATAGTCTCACTTTTTAAAACATTTTTTCCTTTCACTGTTCAGCCTTTTATCCACTCTGAGATGATTTTTATATGATATGAGGTGGAAGTCCATATAAATGTTTCTCTGTGTGAATTATCAATTGTTCCACAATGTTTAGTTCAAAGTAAAGAGAGTGGGGGAGAGAGAGAGAGAGAGATCCATGCTAACATGCCAATTCCCTCAACTATTTTTACACATGTGATGGTCTGTTTCTGGGTTTACTATGCTATTCTGATTTGTGTAACCCTGCACAGAACCATAATGGCTTAATTCCTGAATTAAGCTGAATCTTGATTTCTGAAAACAAGAATCCCCTATGACTTGTTATTCTTTAATAATTTCTACTGAAGTTTGCCCTTTGTTCCTCAAAGATATTTTTGAACCAGCTGGTCACATTTCACAAACAGAAACAAAAACTAAACTATAGGCGTTCTGATTTCAATTCTTCTATATATCAACCCATTGAGAATGAGCATTTTAAGTGTATAGATTCTTCCAATAAATAGAAATAGTTTACTTATTTTCTATTTGTCTAGATTTTTTCTTTTTTTAATAAATATGGATACTTTCACTACAAAGATTACATACCACATTGTTGAATTTATTTTCTGCTTTTATACTATTTTCTCCCTTCACTCCAGTTTATTCTGTTGCCTTAAATTAGCTCATTCATTTTTATCCTAAAATTATGTTACCTAATAAGCTAAGATCATTAATTTTCATCCTTTATGTTTTTCTAATATGTCTTTAAAATGATAAAGATCCCTCTAAATAATGCTTTCACTGCATTCAACATGTTTTGTTATGTAGAGTTTTCACTGTCATCACTTCAAAATATATTCTATTTTCCTTACCATTTGGTACTTGACCTAAGACTCACTTAGAAATGTATTTCTTAGTTTTCAAAGATATAAGTTTTTTAAGTTTTCTATTTATTATTGATTTCTAACTTAATTACATTTTGATATTTTCCTCATAGCCCAATATATCATCAAATATAACCTTTTACCCCATGTGTATGAAAAAACTCATTTTGCCGTGTTAGTTACAATATTCTATGTGTTTTCATTAGATGGAGCTTGTGATTGTATTCTTTAAATCTTCTATATGCTCACTGATGTTTTTCTCTGCTTGAGTGAGCAAATAATGAAAAAGATATGTTAATATCTCATTATTATGGTGAATTTGTCTATTTCTCTTTGTAGTTCTATTTTTGCTTCAGGTATTTTAACATTATATATGTCTAGTAAATTAATTTCCATGAAGGCTTTTACAAATAAAGTCTGTTATGACTGACATTAATATGGTCATACCTACCTTCATTTGGAAAGCATTTGTCTGGGATATCTTTTCTGTCTTTTTCATTTCAACAATTCTGTATCCTTAAGGTTTAGATAGATGTGTTGTAAAAAGTTTATAGCTTTTTTTTAACTCAGAGCATTTATTCTATTTACTTTTGTCTTTCATTTGTGATATATTTGAATTTATTTCTATCTCTTTTTCTTTCTGCTTGTCTTACTTTTTTTCTCTCCTTTATTTTTTCTTCCCTGCATCAACCACATTGTGTGATAATACTATTTTCTTATAATTTTAGTGTACATACTTATAAATTTTAAGATGCACACCTTACTTCCGAGTCTAAATTTGACCTATATTCCTTCCTCTAGAATTATATAAGGACTTTAGGACAATTTAAATACAATGCCCTCTCTGAACTTTTGGGTTAAAGATTCATCATTTGTTTTTCTGAAGTTTGTGGCCATTCTGCACCCCCAGAATCAAGTGTTCATATTTTGCAAGTCCTAGGACTTTCTTTGAAATACTTTCATATCTAGGACTCTAAAAGAAGAAATTACCGAATAGAAGCTGGCTGACAGTTTTATACTTACCAATTTACTCTATAAAGGCTTTGGCTAAAATTGTGTAATGGTGGATATATTAAGAACAGGGGGAAAACGTGATAAAATATAAAAGGTGGTCATGGATATCCCATGCACATAGGGCAAATAAGCTATGAATAAAGTACGCTACTTCAGGGGACGATTACTGATAAATACACCTCTAACAACAAAGTGTCTTGCAGTTTTACACAAATTTTATTTACGGTTAACATTACCAATAGCTGTTTCTCCTTTCCTAATGAGCATCATACTATTGATGTTAGATGGGACTATGCAACTTGCTTTGCCCCACCTAACAAAACATGAGTAGGAGTTGCCTGCATAACTTCTTGTCAGAAGCATTTAAGAGCCAGTGTACAATTTTTCATGTTTCGTCCCAGACTCTTTGACCAAAATGGCATGTTTCACAAGAGGCAACCACAGAATGACGATGTCTCCATTAGCTGTGATCAGCAAGAAGGCTGCATGAAAGAGTTGCCAGGCCCACAGTAAATTGCTTTATCGGGGAATAACTTTATGTTTACATAGAGGTTTTGGGGTTATCTATTACTGCATAGAATTTAGCCAAGTTTAACTAATAATATGTTTAATTCTCATCTTATAAGGCAAAGCAGATATTATATTTTTCCATGTTAGATATAAGGTTACTGAAACAGAGTCAAATTATGTTGTTTTCTAAGGTCATCCGATTTTAAGTATCAAGACCTGGAGGAAATTTTTCCTTATAAATAAAATACAAGACACATATAAGTTGATTTAGTTAATAACTGCTTTATTTCATTGGAACCCAATCTAACTCCTATTTAACACTTCACTAAAACACTTGTAAAATGAAATTCCCGTTATAGTACTTACTTGGAACTATAAATTCTATTTCTTCTGACATAGCGATTCCCAGTTTATTTGAAGCAAAGCAGCGGTATTTCCCTTGAAAGTGAGATATGTGCCCCTCGTTTGGGATCCTGAATGTTCCTGAATTGTTCGATGGAATTATCCGATGGTCAGTGAAATAAAAAGGGTTGCCATCCTTAGTCCACGAAAATCTAAAACATAAAACTGAACTTAATAATCCTGAAAAATAATGACATATGTTTAGAGTACTTATTAACAATTGCATAAAATTGACAAAACCAAGACATTTTATGATAAAAAGTATATACTTAATGGAATATAACAGGATATAAATAAGGGTCTCAGAAGAATCTGAGAAATATTACTGTCCATAAAACAGCTTGATAAATGAGAGGATTAAGATTGAAATTAGCTTTTGCTTTTTTAAATTAAAATTATTTATTTATTTTTAATTAGAAAGGTAATACAAGATTATTATTAATATTCTGGAGACTACAAGAAACATATATAATTTCTGTTCATGTATTTGTGTGTGTAAGGAACTCACTCAAAATCCCAAAACAGATAAGCCCAGTATTATTACACTTGCTAATATTTCCTATTAGTATTTTTAGAATTTTGTCACATATTTGAGACCACACTGAATATATAATTTGGCCAACTGAATTTTTCCATTATTATAATGATACTAAAGACAATTTTTATAGCTACATTATCTTCTGTCATATGGTTACTAATTTAATTACTTTTAACCATTTCAATGTTTTTCCTTTTATGAACAATATTGTGAGAAACAACCCTATATATTTATTCTTTGGTACTTGTCCAAATATTTCAATATGCCAGTTCCTTAGAAATAAGATTAATAAACCAATAATTAAAAACTTTTTATAGTATTTGATAAATGTTGCAAAATTATATTCTAGAAAAAAAATGTACACAGTTAAATTCCCACCCCAGTATGCTAGAGTGTCAGTTCTATGAACAATGACATTAAGAAGTCTCTTTAAATCTTTATCAGTCTGATAGACAAACAATGACTTCCCAATTAGATTGTATTCAGCATTGTATATTGGAATTACCCATGCAAATTTGGGTATATTTCAGGACGCCATATTCTTACACTAATCTATGTGATTATTCTTCCAACAGGAATAACAAACCTTCAATGGACATGTATTCTCATTAGGAGTAGGCCTACCCAGCCACCCTCCTGACTTATTTTACTTCTCTCTGTGTGTCTTATATTTCACTGTTGACAAGTGTATGGTATTACCTTTTGACATAATAATTCAGCTAATTAATATTAATATATCATGATATTGATCAATATATCCATATTGATTGAATAAATTATCCTTAATTCCATTGTAATTCTATCCATACTTACATATTTTGATTGAATATATTCCATTTGGTTAAACATAGAAATAATTATAATTTAGCATGTTAATGGGTCACTAATGATTATTAAATATCAACCCATCAGGCAATAATAATAGTCATGATACAATTGAAAATCATCAATTTTCATTAAATATGGATATTCTTAATGAATATAAGATAATCATGCAGAATAATAAAAGTATGTAGCTTTGCTTTCCATTTTAGAATCACGTAGAGTTTTAATATTGGGAATTCTTCCCACAGCCTCTCCCTTCTCACTTCCAATACATCCACATTTTTTTCTTCCTCCCCAAACATAGAAGGTATTTTGAAAAAGCTCATCAGTGATTATGGTCACCTAGAATAACAATTATTTAATTCTAAAATAAAATAATACTAGATAGTAGTATATCATGCAATAGTACTCTGCCACCTGAGATGACAATATTTCTATGACAACTTAAAAAAAATCAAGTAACAACCTATCCACAAAATAAGATGTTTAAATTTAAAGACGCACAATTATAAATATGTATAGAATGGTATTTACAAACTTTGACTTAATAAATGCTACATTTTACTAAGTAGAATAAAGGATCTTCTAGTTTTCAGCTACCTTATTTATTTGTAGACTAAGGGATTGTGGAGTATTTCTGCTGTACCAAAGACTACTCTAAGTATTTTAATAACAGCCCTTAGTTTATGGTCAAAATAAATTCAAGTGGCAGAAAAACATATGTGAAATAACCAAATTTTTTTTTTGTTTGCATGGATATGATTTTTTGTAAACCCTTAGCTTTAATCATGCGTGGATTCATAGTCCAACAGGCTTGTGATGGTAAGAGTAAAGAGCAGCATAAAGAACAGCACGCATTTAAAGAACCACTTCGTTTGAAACAATACTCACGTTGGTTCTGGATTTCCTTTAGCTTCACATTCAATTTGAAAATACTCATCGAAGGGAAAGGCAACTTGGACTTTTGACTGTTTTATGATTGTTGGAACCTGTTGAACTAAATATTAAAATATGTACTTAAAAACACACTATTCAAACAGCAGGCAAGGTTAATCTATAGCGAAAACACTTTAAACCTCTTTTGTATACTGATAAGTGAAAGGATGATACAAAAGTGAAAATCAGAATAAATCTCACTCTCTCTTTGCAACATGTACTTACTTCTAAGGAATACACTTCACTGCCATCATTTCATGTTTTAATATATGTTCATTTTATTTAAACCCAGAATAATTTAATGATTTTTATAGCAGAAGAAAAGTTGCTATGTCATCACAATTTAAAAATATATATTATTAAAATTATTGGCATTCAATCTATGTTAGCATGCATATGCATTTTTACTTAGTTCAGTCACTTTGAAAGTTCTGTTTGTAATCTTCCGTGTTTCTATAAACACATTATAATTAATGTACTGCTTTTACATTATTTCTTCCCACTGATATGCTATAATTTTTAATAATTCTATTACTGGTCATTAGATTATTATCCATTTTTTTTCTTTCCAGGTAAACTATTTCAATAGGAATTTTGAGTAAATAGATTTTTCCTTTTTTGAATTACTGATTTATGATAAATTTCCAGGCATGGACACAAGTGGTAATTACTCTGGGTAAATTGTAAATATCATTTCACCACAGAATATATACACAAATAACAAAAATAGAGTGGTTCTCTATATTTTTGCCACCAGTGAATGCTAACATTTCAAAATAATAAAATAGTTTAGCATTTATTACAAAGGAAAATATAAACTCCTTATTCCCTTTATTTTAATTTTCTTTTTTTTTTTGGGTAATAAATGTTCTTTCATGGGCTTGTTTAGTGTTTGTTATTCCTCATTTATGTTTTCATTTTATAACCTTTTCTCACTTATCTATTGGAAGTTTTGTTCTGTTTCCTTAGAGAATTTAACTTACTAATAACCATTATTATATAATAATAACTGATGCATAATGGCATTAATAGATTCTTCATATTCAAATATCCCCTCCTCTTGTGACAAACTCTGTTAGTGTTTGATAAGTAATCTACAAGACAAACACAATTTTAAAAAGTAGGGAGTGGGCCACACTTGGTGCCTCACACCTGTAATCCCAACACTTTGGGTGGCTGAGGTGGGAAGGTCACTTAAGCCCAGGAGTTCAAGAACAACCTGGGTAACATAGGGAGACTCTTATCCCTACAAAAAAATGTAAAAATTAACTGGATTAATTTTGAGACCAGGAGGTTGAAGCTGTTGTGAGGTGTGATCAAGCCACTGCGCTTGAGCCTGGGTGACAGAGTGAGACTCTTTCATAAAAGTAAAAATAAATAAATAAATAAATAAATAAATAAATAAATAAATAAAGTAGGAAGTGATTTTGCCTCTCACCTAGTAGAGCAGCGAGATTACATTTCTGAGAATTACAACTATAAAATAAATTTACTAATGCTGGAAATACAACTTGGATTAAGCTTTGAAATAAAACATAGATCATGAAGTGTGTAAAGATCTACTGCTGATGAGCACTCAATATTTTTCAAAAGGAGACATCCCAGTTTTAGTACAGTTCTTAGAATCTCTAATAAAAAGACAGGGTTGATTCACAAGGAAATGAAAACTGTTTCGCAGCAGGGACCTGACTTTGGCAAATAAAGTATGAGAAAAGCAATTTGGAGACAGGCACAGAGCCTAACTTAAATAAGTACTATTCCACAGTAGAGTTGCAAATGAGGCCCTAAAACCTGTGACATTGGACCAGGCCCTGAACCACTCTCTGTTTTCTCATTTGTAATATTAAGGATTTAGCCTAGATAAATTGTTCTCAACGTGTTGGTCTCAGGACTCTTTTGCAGTCTTACAAATTACAAGACATCTCAAAGAGCATTTGTTCATGTGGGGTATAGCTAACAATATTTACTATAACAGGAATAAAAACTGAAAAAGTCTTTCAAAATGTCTTTCAAAATGTTTACTTATGAATTTATTTAAAATAATTCAATGTTAAAGTAAATCACATATTTTATGAAAACCTTTAAATATTATGAGAAGAAGGGCATTACTTTACATGATTGCAAATCTCTGTAATTGCTTTTTTCTTAATTCTTTGAGTCAGGGTCTTGCTCACTCATGCAGGCTGCAGTGCAGTGGCAGGATCATTGCTCACTGCAGCCTAGAAATCCCAAGCTCAAGTAATCCTCCCGCCTCAGCCTTTCGAGTGGCTAGAACTAAAGGCCATCTCTGCAATTTCTTGAGAAGGCAGATGGATTCTTTTATCTGCTTCTGCATTTCATCTGTTGAAATAGGGTTGATTTGTTCAAAGATATAAAGAAAATCCAGCCGTACACAGATAACGTAGTTAAAAAATGATGGGAAATTTTAGAGTCCTTTCTGATGATTGTAGATACAAGTGTAGTTTTTTAAACATTCATTGAAATGTGAAATCTAAACCCTATCAATCAACTTTTCATACTGTGTACCATTAAACCATTTTACTTTTTTTAATCTACAAATGATTTTGTAACATCATGGAGCTTTCATTTGGAAAAAATACCCGCTCACTGAATTTTGTGTCTTCCAAACATTGATGCATTTCATTATAGAATATCAAAAATTGACACTTGTTAGAATTGCCACTGATCTAATCAGCAGTATTAAGTATCGGGAAGCTCTCAAGCTTACAGTGGACAATACATGTCCTCCACAATTCTAATGTTTTCTTGAACACTCACATTTAATCAATGACCTTATATATGGTCAGTTGTTTATCTTGAAATGAATGGGCTCACTTGGTTCACTTTCAGGAAAATATCTGACCTATATCTATCTGAACAACCATAATTTGTCAGTCATAACTTTAAAGTAAAGATGATGTCCAGCTCAGGACTCAAGCAATGATGCAATTAAGAAATAGAGATTGTCATAATACTTTGACGCATAGCAGAATTATTTTATATCTACTTCCCAGTTCACTAGAATGTTAGAAAGTATGTATTCCAAGGTAGATAATTAATAACATTAATAATTTTTAAGTGCTTCAACAATTATAATCATAAGCAAAACTGTTTTTGTTTTGCTTTGTTTTGAGAGTTTTTTACTCTGAGTATATGGACATTAAATATCACCTGACTACCAGTAAATTTGATGCCAGTGCCAGGCTGGAATGTAGTGGCATGATCATGGCTCACTGCAGCCTCAACCTCCTGGGCTCAAATGATCCTACTGCCTCAGCCTCCCAAGTAGCTAGGACTACAGGTATAAGCCACCACACCCAGCTATTCGTTTTATATATATATATATAATTATATATATATATATATATATATATTTTATATATATATATAATTTAGAGATGAGGTCTCATTACATTTGCCAGGCTGGTCTTGAACTCCTGACCTCAAGCCTCCCAAAGTGCCGCAATTACAGGCATGAGACACCACGCCCAGCCCTCATTACTTTTGTATCATCAGAGCAAATGACAACGCAGTGAAAATGAAAAAATGGCGTCTTAGGTTTATGATAAAAACAGTTTAATCTCACAGACCATCTGGATGTGTCCCTGGGACCCCAAGAATTCTGGAAACCACATTTTGAGCATTGACAGCCAGAGTAGAATAAAAACTAAATGCCTTTCCAAACTCTAATTTTTTTCTATTAATTCTATTTTTTTAATTTTTCATTATTGCCCGATAAATCTGATAAGTGAGTTTTACCAGGTTATGGATATTAGCTCAAGTTCAGTGTTTATCTACTGGATATTCATAAACCAACATGCAAAATGTCTGTATTTTCATTCACATTTACTTTGTTTCTGACTACTACTATTTCTGTGTAGAGCAGGACTTGAGCTTATTGCAAATTCATATTATTTAAATTTTATTGCAGTTATAAACGGTGAGGGATGATACACAGTGGCCACAGTCCCTTAGATATCAGCTAATAACTTGTGAACAACTTGTTTATTAGAACATTATTCTTTCCTAAATTTGCTAAGGTTGTAAAGGCTCAGCAATAACTAATTATTTGGGGAACGGAGCTAATAACCTTTGGGTGTTTATAAGAATATATATTCTACATTATAAATCCTTTCCTCTATAATTAAGCCAATTACAGAGACACCAGACTCCTTGACATTCAAATTGGATATCTGCCTTAGTTGCATTTATTTGTGAGTGCTCTAGAGCCCTGAAATAAATGAATAATATTCAGATGTTCTGAAAATATGCCATTAATATTTTATAACAATTGTTGTCTAAGGACCTTACAGCATGAAAATGCATAAGTAACTGAGACAACCAGAATAAAAATGTGGGCCAGGAATTAATACAAAATTTCACATCCTTCACCACTGACAAAGTAAGAAATGATGAAGAATAAATGTGTATGCCAGAGATTATGGTCAAAAATCTGAATCAGTAATCTCAGTGGCATCTTCGTTGCTATTCGGAAGACAATGTGAAATTATTAACATTTTTCCACAGGATTACCAAGAAGCTTGCTCTTAACTTGCTACTGCATACTCAAAGCAAAAGAATTCACTAAAGATGAAGGTACTTTAGACTCCCGACCAGAATTTCTACAAAAAGGCTGGTCAGTGAAGAAATCTAATACATTGTGTAGGCCGAAAGATTTCAGCCAAATGTAAAGCAGACTTTAAGTCTGTATATTTGTAGGTCAGATAAGTGGAATTTCTTAAGAAATGGAAATGTCAAAACAGAGCTTACTTATCTGTTAAAAATAATAGAGAAGGGATTTCTACCTGGGGGGATGGAACTACAATTTCAGTTCTTTCCAAAGTGCATAATATAAAATAGGTACATCAAGTAATTTAAGGTGGCCCTTAGAATAGTTTTTAAATACATTATATTATAGATAGTCAGAGAGTTGTTTCCTTTCTATTGACATTCAGTCTGTCTGAGCACTTCAAAAGCAACGTTTTAGTTAAGTCCCAACACTTTTCTAAGATGTATTAAATTTTATGAGCTCAAGATTATTTCTCTAGAATTTAGAAAATCCACAAATATCACCTGCAATGCTAAAATTCTAATAAACAACCAACACCTCTAATATAATAACCCTCCAAATTATATACAGAAGATGCAATAGAGATTATTCCTGAATGATACGGATAAAAATGTCTTAATAACCTCTCGTGGGTCTTTTAGAACCCATATGCATGTAATACAAGAAAAATCTGCAAGATCTATACATGGCAGACTTGATATACTATTACATATGTTCTGTTTGCAGATTTTTTTAGTTTTTATTTTTTTAAAAAAACAAAGTCTCACTATATTGTCCAGGTTGGCGTGCAATGTCTATTCGCAGGTGTGATCATTGCACACTATAGTCTTGAACTCCTGGGCTCAGGCAATCCTCCTGCCTCAGACTCCTAAATAGGTGGGACTACAGTCATGTGTCACCATGTCCTGCTGATGCTGATCTATTTTTTTAACTATTAATTACCATGGTTCGTTCAAACTGATTTATAATGGCTAAAAATCTGCATCCATTTTACCAATATATGTTAGAATATATATTTATATATTTCCATCAGACTACTGTTTAACCTCTTAATATGAATTCACACTATATAATGCCGTAAATTTTGAGAGTTCATATCATCTTATACTTTTACTTGTAAAATGGCTTATTGTTTTGCTAATTCATTGTTTTCATTCTTAAATATAATCATTTTGAAAAAGAATACAAAGTTCATCCAATTCCTTTTCGACATAATTTGTTGAATGCCAGTAATTTCTGAATCTTGATTAACTAACCTAAGTATACAAAAGTGAAGTTGTTGGTAATATTGCAGATAATCCAAGACATATGGAAAAATACTAGCTTATCTATAGGTTACTATTCTTGTTATGTTCTAAGTTTGCATAAGGAACTAAAAGCCTGGGTTGCAAAATAATTACAGCAGTCATGTATCAGCCACCCACAAAACGAAAAAGATAGATATGAATTCTCATGACAGATTGCTAAAGAATATATAGAAATATGGTAGAAAAGTCACATCCTCAATCCATAAGTATTCTACTTAAAAATCAAAATGCAAATATGAAATTCCATTAATAGGCACTGAATGTTTTAACTTTACCTGAAGATGGTATTTCAATTGCTTTTGAGAATTTTAACAGGAGGAACATTAGATATACGATTAGTCCTCTTCCAAGTAAAAGCGGCTCCATTGCTCTTCAGGAAGAAGACAACCCGGTAAGAATGAAAATCTTAATGTCTCCTCTCACTTTTGGTTTACAGCTGAGACCTTAGTTAACCTGGAAACTAAAAACACAAACAGAATAACATGTTAGTTCACAAACTCTAAAATTTCAACAGAACAAATTAAATACCTTCTTTTTTTTTTTTTTTTTTTGGTTTGGCAGTATGTTTCCTCCTTATGAAACTGTTCTCTCATAACTCCGCATGAATGAAATTAGTTTTTCCTCTTTGTATGTAAAATAAAGGACAGCGAATATATACTCTATTGTAAACCACAGACTATTCCAAAAAATCCTAAGTCAGAGGAAGTTTTACTTGGAAGGTATGATATTATACACATGAGTGGTTTTTCTTTTTTATTCTCAACTTCTATTTTAGATTCAGGAGGTAACTTTGCAGGTTTGTTACATAGGTAAATTGAGTGCCACTGAATCTTGGTGTATACATGATTCCATCACTCAGGTAATGAGCATAGCACCCGATAGGTAGTTTTTCAATCCTCACTCCTTCTTACCCTCCCCCATCTAGTAGTCCACAATTATTCTATTATTCTTATCTTTATGTCCATAATATTCTATTATTCTTATCTTTATGTCCATAATATTCTATTATTCTTATCTTTATGTCCGTGTGTATTCAGTGTTGGACTTCCACTTCTAAATGAGAACATGTGGTATTTGGTTTTCTGGTCCTGAGTTAATTTGCTTAGAATAATGACCTCCAGGTGCATCCATGTTGCTGCAAGGACACAATTTTGTTCTTTATATGGCTGTGTAGTATTCCATGGTGTATATGACTGATGAGTGTTAATGGCTAAGACAATAACTTCATTTAGTTAATTTTATTTAAAAAGTGGTTCTTTTTTACTCAGTTCCTCATATTAGATATCTATTCCCATTTGAGTCATTATTAAGGATCACAAATACATCAATGATTTTTCCGGTGAAATAGCTTTTCATCTTCAAAGTTTTCACACTAATAGAAGATGGATAGTTCCAGCAAGATAGAGGAAAGAAATAATAAAGAACAAAAGAATAAAGGCCACCATTTTAACTGAAATTTACAAATGTGAGTTTGGTTCAAGCAGAAGACAAAGGCGTAAGATGCTTCTCATTTAAACAGAATATTTATTCATTTCAAAGTTTACAGAAATAGAATAAGAATTAAGGTTTTAATTTTTTTTACTTTCTCTTACAATTTCAATTTTTTTCTGAAACATTGTGTTAATAGATGTCTAAACATTGTTTATACATTGTCTATCATGTATTCTTGCAGGTAATAATACAATAATTTGCTCCAAAATGTGAGAATTAGTCTTTCAGGTATGTAATTTTGTTTTGTTTTCTAAAAATCAATTACTCTATGTGTTCACTTAGAACTGGTGAAAAAAGTTAGCTAACACAGAGATAGTAAAGTCTTTAAACTTACATTAAATTCTAAGTATTTCCGCTTTATTATTTCACTTTAAATTGCATCTTAAGATATTATAGACCTGTATCTTTTGTATATATGTACCGATTGGTAAAATTTAAAGTAGTAACTAATGGCTGTTGTTTCACAGTTTTAGCAGTCTTAAGGAACAGCAACACTGTTTATGCTTTACTTTGAGAACAAAATTATATTAATCATAAAAGAAAATACTACCCTCCCACCTCCAAAAAAGTTGTGAATCTTTGTCCTGAATTAGAGTAATGGCATTATTCTACTCTGGCTGACCTCAACTGACCCATCTTAAAATGGGAATTGGAAAAAATGACTCATGTATGCTTCAGAATATTTTCTAATGACAAATAACTTATACTTGTAATTTAACTTCTACTGGTAAATTTAACATATATGTTCAATGTGTCACTATGTTAATTGACACTACTCTTCTGATGAAATGAGTTATCCTAATCAATGAAATAAAACATGGAAAAATGCTTTCATTATAAAAAGCAAAATACTGCCTTAACTACAAAAGGTGAGTCCTACGTATTTGTACAAAGTTGGGAGACATTAAACCATGTAGCTATTATTAATATGAAAATTTTGAGGAAAATATCAATGCCCTGCCCCTTCGAATTTTCTTTTTCCTGTTTTTTTTTTTTTCTGAAACAGTTTGGTAATAGTCATCTAAAGTCATTGTTTATTATATATCAATCTTTACTTGCAATCTAGTTATTATTTAATACTCGGTTCCATTAGTTTTCAATGCTGATGGCTTTAAGAGCATCTCATGTATGTGTTTTATGAGTTGCCTTTTATTTGTAAGGAGCAAGACTTTCCCAAGTATTATGCTACTAGGAGATCGTATTTCCAGATTAATATTTAACATCATCTCACCTCTGAAATAGGGAACAAGAATAACTAGATAGCCAAATAAGTGAGAACACTCTCAATTTCCATTAATCTCTTGACTTAGGGCAGTAAGTTCACTGGTCTCTAATTTTAGTAAAGTAGCTTATAGATACTAATTATTCAGTAATGGTGATCCCATTTTTTGAATTTTAATCGTTTTAAATGCATGGTCTTGACCCAAGAAATTCTCTCCCATAATGACATCATCACTTTTCAGAATATGAATAATGACTAATTCTACATATGACCTTACCTCCTGCAGGAATTAGCTTCAATTTACCTGAAATTTGTATGTTCACAGGCTACAACATAAAAATTATTAGAAGTTTAAATGTGACCCCGTTCAAGTAAGACTCCATTAGCTGACGATGAAAGCTCCAAAATAGCTTTCAGATTGAAAACGGAAAGTCAGTCTTAGTTTCATTGCCAGAATTCATAAAGGGTATGTTTCTTAGGAATTCCATTTTGCAACAGTAAGATAGCAATAAAATTATATTCCCATTTATCTTTCTTGAAACAATGGCATTTAATGCCTCATGCTAGACCTCAAAGATAATAGCAATTGTTGAAACTCAGGATGGAGCTGGCACTAAGACAAGAACTAATTTTTTTAAAATTTTTACTTTCTATGAGTATCTAGTATTTATAGGGTACATGAGATGTTTTGATACAGGCATACAATGTGGAATAATTACATCAGGGTAATTGGGGTATCCATCACCTGAAGCATTTATCATTTCTTTGTGTTATAAACATTCCAGTCATACTCTTACTAAAATATTTTTGAAGTTAAGTCACATGAAGCTGATGTCTGATAGCTTATATTAATGATATCAACTCAGATCCACAAAGAAATCTATTAATTTTTATGAATCTGGGTAAACTGGGTTAAATTTTAATTCCTACGATCGTAGCTCATCCTTAGGAAAAAAAACATCCCTGCCAACCACTTCAAAAGAAAAATTTAGCTTGGTGCAAAAGTTATTGTGGTTTTTGCCATCAAAAGCCACAATAACTTTTGCACCAACATAATACATATCTTACTGTCACATCTTACTGACATAGGAGTTAAGAAGAAATTACTTAGGCAGATAGTGAGGGTACTAGAGTCCTCGGTAAGGTTTTCCTTTTCAATGAAATGCAGCCCCCAAATTATTTTCTAACAAAGAGCAACCTGTAAAATAGAGCTGCAGACATAGACCCTGGCAGTTGTGCCAATCATGTTCAAAAATGGTGGCTCCATCTTCCCTTCCCAGCCACATGTACAGTAAGGAGCAGACAAGATGGCACCGGTCAACTGGAAAGCCCATTCACATAAGATTAGGGTAATAAGAGTAGGGTGGCAAGCCTTTTCTGCACACTATGTAAACGTCACACCTGATCGAACCAATCTGTGGGCCCTGCATAAATCAGACACCACCTCCTCAAGCCTGTCTATAAAATATAGTGCATCCGCAGCAGGCCAGCCTTTTCCTCTGGGAAGCCCCTCTCTCTCACTAGAGAGAGAGTTGTTTTCCTTTATCTTTCTTTCTCTTTCTTTTGCCTATTAAACCTCTGCTTCTAAACTCCTCATATGTGTCCATGTTCTAAATTTTCTTGACATGAGACAATGAACCCCAGGTATTTACCCCAGACAATGCAGTCGCTTCAATGCAATGGAACCTTCCTGACTCCCTCAGGTTCTCCAGTACGACTAGTGGGATAAGAATTAAGAATACACTGATTTCAAGACATTAGTTTAACATGGACAAGCGTGCGTACCTCCTAGGGCAACTTCCAACACAACAAAAAGGAAATAAAATTCTTTGCCTCTTCAAAACAGAAGCCTCTAACATACACATCATGAGTATTATAAAGTGACCACATAGATCCCCTTGATGTTTTTAAAAGTGCTCCATGGTGGCAAATCTAGAAACAACTTGCTCCCTTAATTTAAATTCATATTATTCCTTGAGAAATGGAGGAGAGAGATGGCTAAGTCTTTGTCCATTCTACTTGGCCTCCCAAGTAAGTGCAAAGCTACTGTGGCCTCCTGACTGGTCACATGACAAAGTGATGTGCAGTGATGAGACCATGGGAAAGTTAGTATGACCTGGGTTCAAAGCCACCATTGCTAGATGGCTGTGGGCAGTTTACCCAGCCTGCTCACTCAGCTGTACAAACTGGGGTGATAGTTGCTGCTGTATAGCACACTTATGAGATTTAAGTGAGGTAATGTGTCATTAGCAGAGAAAAATAAATAAAATTTGCTAATACTAGTGAAAGTGATGATCATTGTGTTGATAGTGGCAATGAGGATATAGTCCCTCCTACTAATATTCTGATCCAAGGAGCATGGTTAACTTTGTGGATGCTATTAGAGTTACAAAATCATAACAACTTACAAAATAAAGGCAAATTCTCTAAAGTATATAGTGGTGAAATGATATTGATTGATATAAAATACTCTCCCCAAAAGTGTGAGAGTGTAGTAGATTGATTGCAAAATCTTCTCTGATTCTCTTCCCCTCTTTGTGGTCACACTCTCTGTAATAAGACTTTGTAGCTCCTCCTAAGAAGCTATTTCCTCACTTCTTGAATCTGGTAGGCTTTTGACCCTAGGATGAATTCTAGTCTAGGCCTCAAGAAGCCTTGCACCTTTTTCCTCTTTCTCTCTGTCTCTGAAAACTCTGCTCAGCTATTTTAAAAAGAAGCCTGCACTACCCTGTTGGAAGATAAGAGACATTTTGCCCATCATCCCCATCATCCTGGCCAACAGCCAGCCAGCCACTAAACGTAAAATGGCAGCCATCCTAGATGAGACTGCCCTACTAACCTGTCAGCTGAACACAGATGCTAGAACCAGCTGGTCAGTATCAGTCAAGACTGGCTAAGTTCAGCAGAATCTCCCAAAGAAACAGTAGACTTAGGAACAATAATAAATGTTTCCTTTATTGAATCAGTGTTTTGGGATGGTTTTCAAGGTAGAAATAGCTAATTTAGGTAGAAGAGATAGAATAAACAAATTGATGCAATAATGAATATTGCTGAAGCAGATATATATATATATATATATATATATATATATATATATATACACATAGAGAGAGAGAGAGAAAGAGAGAGAGTGCAAGATTGGGGGGAGGTTATGCTAATCTTTCTATTGGGGGTGCATTTTAACATTTTCCTAATGGAAACATTTTTAATGTTTATTCAGTCTTTGGAAATCAGAAATCAGCCTAAAATATTTCAACAGCAGTAAGGAGATTCTTTAGGCAAAAGGTAGACAAAATCTTGAGAATGCCTGCTGCCATACATCTAAAATAAAAATAAAAAACAAACAGAAAAAAAGACTTTCTTAAAGCTACCATACTGTCTGCACCTCTTCTATTGGAACAAGATGAGAAAATGTGGGGTTTCTTTAAACATCAGTGTGTATGTTCTGCATATTTAGTTTAAGCAACTAATGTAACTCATTGCTTTTTCTTTCTTGGTTTAAGAGTTTTGAAAGTTATAGCCCACCTAAAGAAAATGTAAGCCCATTTTATAGTACACCATCATTTAAGTCTTGGTAGCTGTTAGTATACATGATGCCTGTTCATTTTTCTTTAATGCTTTGATCCTTAATTCACCAACTTTGCATTATGTTTCCACTGGAGACTGTTTAAATTCCAATAATAAAGCATAGAAAGGCAACAATGCATACAAATGGTTAAGACTAAGTTTTCACTTTGGACAATTATAGATCATTCCACCATTATAAACTGAACACTAAAACAAATTATTTTAAAATTACTTTAAAGACCCAAGGCTATTGTTAATGTACTCTGAATAATAATCATTTCCTAATAATCACTTGTTTTTTTCACCTAACAGTCATGATGTCATGTTTACACAAAACCTTTGGCACTATGGTTCTCTAATGGCTCTAATGAATAGTAAATGCTTCGATTTTCCCTTTTGCAAATAACATTATTCAAATTTATATGCTGGAATTTAAAAAAAGAGGTTTCTACTTTATCCTAGAGGGAAATAGAATCTGATGAGTGTGATACATGGGCAAAAAGCAGCTTAGAAAGGCAGCTGGTTTGACATAGCACATTTTATTTTAGTGATTTTTAAAAATCCTTGACATTTTTTCTGAATAATTATTCACAAACAGTTTTAGGTCAAATTTCCAAGAAGAAAATATAACACAGCAAATTCAGTGAACAAAAGGTGACTCTTATCGTCACCATTTTAAAAACTTTTTCATTTCTATGGCAGCAACTACACAAAGCAGAAATGTCAGTGACAGTCCATCTGCCATTTTCATTGACAACATGGAATGCACACAGCCAAAAAAGAAGGGAAAAAAAAGCATGCTACGTTGACATTCCTCTTCACTAAGAAACAGCATTAAGTTGTTTCAGCTACTATGAGTTCCAGAGGTAGAAATTAACTTCATGCATGCAAAATCATTAAACAACATTTTTCTACTCAGGATGCTTGAAATAGATCAACAACTTTTATTATAGCCAGCAGGAAGAGATATTTTATGACACTGGCATCCAAATTATAGTTTTAAAAATAACTCAATGGATTTGTATAATAGTCTGAGACAGTGCTATAACTCGGAAATGTTTAAATTTTCTTTTCTCTCCATGATAAAATGGCTTAAGAATCACTGAGCTGCATCAAGCAAGATGTCTTATATAAAGCCATTTGACATTTTCATGATGGAGTGGATGTCACCTTCACTTCTCTCTGACCTCAAGTGTCCCTTTATGAAACTCCTTTTTATGTGATTATCAGGCTAGGTTAAACTATTCCCCTGGTTTGGAATCAGTTCTTATGGGGAGGAGGTCCAGCAAATTTCCATAAGCCTGAAGTGTGATCTGAATCACTCAACATTGTGAAGCTGAGAAGGATAAACACATACACAAACATTAAAAGGCTTTTGTTCAATCACCTGCCTGGCTAATACCATAAATCAATTTACAAGTGTCATAAACACAGTAATCCTGAAATAACTGTTAATGGCTTTTACTCTGAAAACAAAGGAAACACTGTGCATTATAGCCATATCCATTCAAACACTCTTTCATGTCTCATAACACCGCAGTGACACGACAAAAGAACTGCTTAGAGTGTTAACTCATCATCCCTGCAGAGCTGGCACATTTTGTACACAGTAGATCAAAGGAATGTCGATGTTATTATAAGCAAATTGATTTTATTGGGAAAATGTCAGCTTTAGTTAATAATGATGTGGGATAAACTAATATCATTAATAATATCATTTATTTAAATAGCAAATTACTGTGGTTGAACTCTAACTGGAATATAATTGAATATAACCTATATATACATACAGGTTATATAAAAACTTATGTATATACATGTTTTTGTTTTCCCACCTATACATGTAAGATTCTTAAAAAATAGTATACTGTAATGACATCTAATTCAAATTGTTTCACAGTGGAGACTAAGAAAGAAAATTACGGAAATTCATGGTCATTTGACTACAGGGATGGAGAATAATCCCAACATTAAGTTATTTTCTGAGTTATTTCTCAGAAAACAACTTATATAGCTGTGAAATTCCTGTAGGGACTATTTTTCAAATTAAATAAAAATCTCAGATGTACTAAAATGCACAAAACTTAAGTGTACAGCTCAGCAAACTTTTACATATGTATAAATCCAGGTAACCACTTTTCACATTTCTTAAGGACTTTCAGTCACTAAAAACATTCCACTAGCTTCACTCCTGGAGCATCCCACATGGCCAGCTCATAAGAGGGTAAGACCTGTTTGTGTTCCTCTAGCCTTTTGGATTACAACCAAGGTGCTATCTCTCCTCCAGGTGATATTTGGATTATGTGGGAGCAGCTGGGGTTGTCACATGACTGGGCAGTGCTATTTGCATCCAGTGGGCAGGAGCCGTGGATAATAAACGACCTGCAGGGCTCAGCACAGTCCTGCCCAAGGAAGAACAGCCCTACCTGAAAAGTGCAAACCCTCACTGTGACAGATACTGATGCTATAGTATGCTGGGTAAAAAAAAAAAAAAAAAAGTTGTGTGGTCAATAAATTGTGGATATAGTATATGCATTACTATTGAAGCAGTCACAATGGAGTACAGTTTGATGGCTTCCCCCAAAACTAAACAAACTCTCACATGTGATCCAGCCATTGAACTCTTTGGTTTTTACCCAAAGGAGTTGAAAACTTATGTCCACAAAAAACTTGTACATGGATGTTTAACAGCTTTATTTATATTTATCAAAATTTGAAAGTCACCAAGATATTCTTTGGTAGGTAAATGGATAAATAAACTATACTGTGTCCAGACAATGGAATATCAGTGGTAAAAAGAAATGAGCTATCAGCCATGAAAAGAGGTGAAGGAAACCTAAAGGCACATTAAGTGAACAGGCCAATTTGAAAACACCAGATACTGTTTGATTCTAACTACACGACACTCTGGAAAAGGCAAAACTATTGAGAAAGTAAAAAGATAAGTGGTTGTGAGGGGTTAAGGGAGAAGAGGGAATGAATAGGAGGACAGGATTTTTACGGCAGTGAAACTACTTTGTATGATACTACAATTGTGGATATGTGTCACTATACCTTTGTCAAAACCCGTAGAATGTATACACCAAAAGAAACCCGAATGTAAACTATAGATTTGGGGCGTTATTGATATGTCAATGTAGGTTCATCAGTTGTAACAAATGCACACTGCTGGTGGTGTTGATAACGGAGAGGCTGTGCATATGCAGAACCGGTAGTATGAGAGAAATTTCTGCACGTTCTGCCCAATTTTGCTGTGAACCTAAAACAACACTAAAAAATGAAATCTTCCTGGAAAGAAAAACTGCAATATGTGAGAGGAAGCAATAATAATATATGACAGATTTCTAAGCTATAACAAAAAATCAACTTCAAAAATATATTTGTAAATTAAAGAGAACATCCTCTTAATTCTTTTTCAGATTTTCATCACTCACTCCCACCTTGGACACCTAAAATCACAGCAGACTGATAACAGCAGTGGTGAAATCACTCAGTCTTAAACTCTTGGCTCAAGTGAGCATCCTGCCTCAGCCTCTCTAGTAGCTGGGATACTATAGGCATCCGCCACCACATGCAGCTAATTAAAAAAAAAATTATAGAGATAGGGGTCTCACTATGCTGTCCAGGCTGTTCCCAAACTCCTGGCCTTAAATGATCCTCCCACCTCGACCTCCCAAAGTGCTAGCCACTGTGCCCAACCCATGAATGCTCATTTTTAAAACTGTCTTCTCTCCTTCTCTACTATTCTCTTGTTATTAAATACCATCCCCTCTGTTTGTCTCCTCTTTATTTTTTTCACATATATATCAACATTGATCAGTACCATGGCAGGAATTTTCAAAAAAGAAATGAGGCACTTCCAGGTAAGCTGAAAGGTCTGTCCCTTATTTTCCATTAATAGAAAAATGACTCTCATTGAGTCTGGAAACTAATGATAAAAATTTAACCATAACAATAAATTCAGAATTTTTTAAAGGATAATATATATAATGTTTGATTACAACTTACAGTTACATTTAAAAGTAGAAAACTAATTAGAAAAACATAGGATCAAGTGCAGTGCCTCATGCTTGTATTCCTAGCACTTTGAGAAACTGAGGCTGGAGGATCACCTAAGGCCAGGAGTTCAAGACCAGTTTGGGCAACATAGTGAGGCCCCATCTCTACAAAGATTTTCTTTTTTTAAATTAGCAAGGCATAGGGTACGTGCCTATACTCCCAGCTTCTCAGGAGGCCAAGGTTGGAGGATTGCTTGAGCCCCAGAGTTTCGGGCTAGAGTGAGCTATGATTCTGCCTGGGCAACAGAGTGAGACCGTTTCAAAAAAAGGAAGGAAGGAAGGAAAGAAGGAAGGAAGAGGAAGGAGAAAAAGAAAGAAAGAGAGAGAGAGAGAAGGAATAAGAAAGAAAGAAAGAGAAAAGAAAGAAAGAGAAAGAAAGAGGAAGAAAAGAGAGAAAGCAAGGAAGGAAGGAGGAAGGAAGGAAGGAAGGAAAGAAAAAGAAAATATATACCTAAGTTTTTCTTTCCAACCAGCGCCCAGCACCGGGCATCTCTCACGACAACTGGCACAAGCAGCAGAAGGCACAGGGGCAAGAGAAGGAGCTGCCACAAGAAGCGGGAGTCTGAGCTGGGGTGCGCACTGCCAGGACTAAGGCGGGCCCTCGCCGCATCCACGCGGGGTGTGTGTGGGGAGGCCGTGGGAAATACTGGGCTCTGAGGCTGGACCCGGGAACTTCTGTGGCTGGGAGTGTTGCACTCGCAAAACGAGGGTCGCTGATCTTGTCTGCGTGTGACCCACAGCCAGCCGGCCTGCACCGGGGCCCTGGCGAGGAGCTGCCGGCCGCGCACCTTGGCAACAGCAGTGCGAGCTCCACTGTGCACCGTCCGGGCCACAAGAAGGGGGCCCAGCGGACTCCTGAGGAGGAAGAGATTTTAAACAAAAAACGATCCAGAACAAATTCAGAAAAAAATATAATGAAAGGAAAATGAATGCCGCAAACAGCAGTCTTCTGGAGGAGCAGTTCCAGCAGGGCGAGCTTCTGTCGTGCATCGCATAAGGATGGGGCCGTGCTGAGCAGAGGGCTACACGTGCTAGAGTGCAAGGAACTGGAGCTCCATCTGAGCCAGATCAAGGTCTGGAGAGGCAAACCAACGCGCCTCCTTCCTGTCTCAGCTCACCTAATAACGGTGTTTATCATTCTAGTATATATATTATATAATATAGATATCATTGCATATTATTATAACATATATATGTTCTATAATATAGATATTATCTATATATATAATCTCCCTATGTTTATATGACTATCTATGTTTATATGATTATCTATCTATCTATCAGCTGTCTATCTATATCTCCCAATGTTTTGGATGGTTTTAATCTACTTCTCCAGTTTTTTGTGTTAATCAAATTGTTCAGGTGGATATCAGTAGTGAGCACATTACTTATAAAACTAAAATAAACAAGGGCTCACAATTTTTTGTACCTGCCTTGTCTACATATTTGTAGGAGACTGTACATTTTATGAGGCAGTTGCCAGATCCTATTCATTATTTTTGCGCTTGCCTAGAATATAGGAAATACACATAATAAATCCTTCTGGATGAACGAATGAATTTCATACATATGTCCACAAAAGAATATAATCTGCATAGATATAGACGGTTGATAAAATTCTGAATTCCTTTTATTTTCTCATTCATCCAAAGACAACTCAGAAATTAAACTTTCTGAAATACTCGTTAAAGTAAATATGGATCTGAATGTAAAACACTGAGCTGAACATTGCTGGGCTTCTCACAATAATTCCATAAAGGCTAATAGAACTTTAAATGAATATCTCTCAACCTCATTCATTTTACAGTGTCTACTTAAGGCCAACCATATTCATAGGTTTTAGTGGTTCTTAAAAGTGTCAACAAAAACAAATCATTAACTTTTCTGAAATTTACTTTAAAATACTTTAGCATAGGCTGTGTGGTAATGTAGAGGCTACTGAATTTTAATGTACCCCATAAGTATAGTCAGTCAATATTCAAAAGGTCTTAAACAAAACTCTTCTAAATCTCTAGTCAAATGTAGCAGCACTGGTTACTACATGTACTTCAGGTATCTTTATTTCGTAAAGTATGTTAAGTGTGTAAGTATGGCTTAATCACTATAGTCGATGTTAGCAGAATGTTCCATTAAAAAAAAACAAGTAGTGTTGTATATATTGGTGGATTTGCTAGAAATGTTTGCTCAGACACAAGCATCCTTGAGTGAATAGGATATTAAAAAATCAAGGGAGCCCCACAGCCTAAACACAATTTCATTGCACTCCAGGCTTAGGATTTCATTCATTTTTGCAATGAGTGTTTTTTCCTATGACTCCAATCGAAAATGTAGCTGAATCCTGCAGCTAGAATATTATCTCATCTGCCTCTAGTGAAGCTTTCTTGCAGATTTCTGTCACAATGCCTCAAAGGTTTAACAGCTGGGACTCCATCAAGCTGACAGAATACAGGGTATAATTCTGTGAAGTGTACGTTTGTGTGTGTAAATGCATGCTTGTGCATGTGTACACATACTTATGAGCATATGTGTACATTTGATGGCTAATACATATTTGTTTGTCTGGACAATTTCATCCTAAGACTGTCCTTGCCACATAGCATCTGGTAGCTAGGTTATAAGAGAAAATTAAAACTCTCATTTTTCTCTAGGACTTGGAAAATATTGATACCTATAAAAAGTAACCTAATGACCAAAAATTAGGTCAGGATGCAAATATGAAGAAACTATTATCTGCGGTAAACTTTCTATATGGAATCATTGTCAGAAAATATACTCTTTAGAAATGTGAGCAAGTTATACACCATTAGCCTTAACCTAAGGCCATTTCTCAGGTTGTATTTAAAGTACGAATTCCAACAGTTGGTACTTGAATATGATTTTATTTTTCTTTGCTCATCAAAAGGCACTTAAGGATCTTGTAGTGACAGGGATGGTCATCATAATTATCAACTGCTAGTGAACATTAAGCATTTGAATATGACATTAATAGATTCTTTCAGAGATGAAAAGGCTGCATGATTAAGATAAATAGTTCATGGTTTGGGATATCTCACCTTTGATTTTTTTATCTCTATACTGTTTCATAACTGTTTATTTTTTGCATTATTTTTTTTGTCATCACATTTCTTTTTCCATTCTCTGAGACAAATTTTTTGGTTAAAGACAATTTACTGGTTGAAAAATGCTAAACACCAAACAGTGATACAAAAAACTTTAGTCTTATTTTCCTCTAAAATCTGTAGTTCACAGAAACATCCCTCTTGTCAATTCAAAATTTTCAAGTGGAATATAATAAAGCAAACCAACTATAATCAGAGAGATTTGGGGCATAATCACATCCCAGTGGTTGTTTAAATGGGATTTTTTATTCAAATTCAAAAAGGTATAGGTATTTTTGTTGCAAACAGTTTAATAGATGTATCAGTGCTTTGGATATGTTGGTAGAAATTTTAATCTTCTCACTGTACAAATCATTAAAAGCAAACGTATTCTATTCAAGCCATAAGATACAAAGTATGATTTCCAGATACTTAAGACACATTTATAAGAAACTCATAATTTCCTTTGGCTCATCTTCTGCTCCAACGATGGCATTAGAGCTGTCAACACTGATTGATCGTTCCCTGTGCTTGTATGAGAAGAATTAATGCCAAATCCCGGGCCAATGACCTAGATCCCTAAACCCTTCATATCTTGTCCTCGTTTTCCATGAATAAGAAATAAGAACAGGAAGGCAATATCAGTTACTATGTCATTTTTGAACTGATTACCTTCTTCATTTGCATGATAACCAGTTAGATTCAATTTTCTGGATATAATGTGCAGTTTACTTAAATACACATGTTTAATAGTCTTATGTGTTTTGATTCCAATATTGATAATATTTCTAAGAACTACTGTTTTTATCATCACGTACCATTTTTAATTAATTTGTTTTTACTTATTTTACAATAAAATATATTCTTATTGTAACAGAAAATAATGGCAAAGGAACGTATTCAGTAAAAATTTGAAGATTATACAACCCTCTTCTCCCCATCCCTGCCAGAAAACATTTAAGATATGAACACTTCCAGACATTTATATTTATTTTTATTTATATGTACATTTATATTATATATAATGTATAGTATGCCTTATATCTGTTATATAAATGATATATCTATTATTTTTTGTTAAGTGAAAAAAGCAAGTTATAGGGTGTTATCTATAGAACAAACAGGTAAAGACCATGGGTTTTTCCTAGAAAAATCACAAGTTACTAGGCACTCGAAATTCAGTTTGGAAAAAGGATTACTGAAGGAGAAACTGTGAAAGATCTTAAACTTTTTAGCTATAAAGTTATAATAGGGCAGAGGTCACTATCAGTAATGCAAGCGTTCTTAATCATGTCAACATTCCTAACTGTAATTCATTTATTGGATATATATTATATTTTTAAGCATTCACTCTACTCTAGAAAAGTTTTCTTTTACATCATATTTTTGTGATTCCAAAGATAATACTGTCGTCATTGAAATATACTGAATGACTAGCAGGTGACAAAGACAAAGTGTTCTGTAAATATTTTGATAAAACCTGAGATTAAATAAAAGTGACTTTTAGCCATGATACTTTCTTCCTTACTGTAGAGATTTTCCTTTGAATGAAAGAAATCAAACTGTCATTCTTTTCTACTAACATATCATTAGCACAAATCAATTATAACTCTAGAGATATGATGTTTTCCTAAATGTTATGGTTTGGCATGCAATTTGAATTCAACATGCCTGACAGTCAAAAACGAAATAAAGTTTATCCGTGACCAGATATGACTACCAGTATAATTTATCAGAGAGAAATTGATAAAATAAAAGCTCCCACCAAGTCATTTAAGGAGTGTCTTCTTTCCATTTAAAGCAGTGTTTAGAGGGAAATTTATAGCACTAAATGCCCACAAGAGAAAGCAGGAAAGATCTAAAATTGACACCCTAACATCACAATTAAAAGAACTAGAGAAGAAACAGCAAACAAATTCAAAAGCTAGCAAAAGACATGAAATAGCTAAGATCAGAGCAGAACTGAAGGAGATAGAGACACGAAAAACCCTTCAAAAAATCAATGAAACCAGGAGCTGGTTTATTGAAAAACTCAACAAAATAGTTAGACCGCTAGCCAGACTAATAAAGAAGAAAAGAGAGAAGAATCAAATAGATGCAGTAAAAAATGATAAAGGGGATATCACCACCAATCCCACAGAAATACAAACTACCATCAGAGGATACTATAAACACCTCTATGCAAATAAACTAGAAAATCTAGAAGAAATGGATAAATTCCTGGACACATACACCCTCCCAAGTCTAAGCCAGGAAGAAGTCAAATCCCCGAATAAAACAATAACAAGTTCTGAAATCGAGGAAGTAATCAATAATCTACCAGCCAATAAAGCCCAGGACCAGATGGATTCACAGCCGTATTCTACCAGAGGTACAAAGAAGAGCTGGTACCATTCCTTCTGAAACTATTCCAAACAACAGGAAAAGAGGGAATCCTCCCTAACTCATTTTATGAGGCCAGCATCATCCTGATACCAAAACCTGGCAGAAACACAACAACAACAACAAAAATTCAGGCCAATATCCCTGATGAACATTGATGTGAAAATCCTCAATAAAATACTAGCAAATGGAATCCAGCAGCACATCAAAAAGCAGCACATCAAAAAGCTTACCACCAGGTACGAAGTTGGCTTCGTACCTGGGATGCAAGGCTGGTTCAACATATGCAAATCAATACATGCAATCCATCACACAAACAGAACCAATGACAAAAGCCACATGATTATCTCAATAGATACAGAAAAGGCCTTTGATAAAATATAACACCCCTTCATGCTAAAATCTCTCAATAAACTAGGTATCAATGGAACACATCTCAAAATAATAAGAGCTATTTATGGCAAACCCACAACCAATATCATACTGAATGGGCAAAAACTGGAAGCATTCCCTTTGAAAACCAGCACAAGACAAGGATGCCCTCTCTCACCACTCCTATTCAACATAGTATTGGAAGTTCCGGCCAGGGCAATCAGGCAAGAGAAAGAAATAAAGTGTATTCAAATAGGAAGTCAAATTGTCTCTGTTTGGAGTTGACATGATTGTATAATTAGAAAACCCCATCTTCTCAGCCCAAAATCTCCTTAAGCTGATAAGCAACTTCAGCAAAGCCTCAGGATACAAAATCAACGTGCAAAAATCACAAGCATTCCTATCCACCAATAACAAACAGAGAGCCAAATCATGAGTGAACTCCCATTCACAATTGCTACTGAGATAATAAAATGCCTAGGAATACAACTTACAAGGGATGTGAAGGGCCTCTTCAAGAACTACAAACCACTGCTCAAGGAAACAAGAGAAGACACAAATAGAAAAGCATTCCATGCTCATGGATAGGAAGAATCAATATTGTGAAAATGGCCATACTGCTCAAAATAATGTATAGATTCAATGCTATCCCCATCAAGCTACCAGTGACTTTCTTCACAGAATTGGAAAAAAATTACTTTAAACTTCATATGGAACCAAAAAAGAGCCTGCATATCCAAAACAATCCTGGGCAAGAAGAACAAAGCTAGAGGCATCACGCTACCTAACTTCAAACTACACTACAAGTCTACAGTAACCAAAACAGCATGGTACTGGTACCAAAACAGATATATAGACCAGTGGAACAGAATGGAGGCCTCAGAAATAACACCACGCAGCTACAACCAACTGATTTTTGACAAACCTGACACACACTAGCAATGGGAAAAAGATTCCCTATTTAATAAATGGTGTTGGTAAAACTGGTAGCCATATGCAGAAAACTGAAACTGGACCCCTTCCTTACACCTTACACAAAAATCAACTCAAGATAGGTCAAAGACTTAAACGTAAGACCTAGACCATAAAAACTCTAGAAGAAAACCTGGGCAATACCATTCAGAACATAGGTATGGGCAAAGAATTCATGTCTAAAACACTAAAAGCAATGGCAACAAAAGCCAACACTGACAAATGGGATCTAATTAAACTAAAGAGCTTCTTCACAGCAAAAGAAACTATCATCAGAGTGAACAGGCAACCTACAGATTGGGAGAAAATTTTTGCAATTTATCCATCTGACGAAGACCTATCCAGAATCTACAAAGAACTTAAACAAATTTACAAGAAAAAAAGAAACAACCTGATCAACAAATGGGCAAAGGATATGAACAGACATTTCTCAAAAGAAGACATTTATGCAGCCAACAGACATATGAAAAAATGCTCATCATCACTGGTCATTAGAGAAATGCAAATCAAAACCACAATGAGATGCCATCTCATGCCAGTTAGAATTGCCATCTTTAAAAAGTCAGGAAACAACAGATGCTGGAGAGTTTGTGGAAAAATAGGAATGCTTTTACACTGTTGGTGGGAGTGTAAATTAGTTCAACCATTGTGGAAGACAGTGTGGCAATTCCTTAAGGATGCAGAACTAGAAATACCATTTGACCCAGCAATCCCATTACTGGGCATATACCCAAAGAATTATAAATCATTCTACGATAGACACATGCACATGTATGTTTATTGTGGCACAATTCACAATAGCAAAGACTTGGAACCAACCCAAATGTCCATCAGTGATAGACTGGATTAAGAAAATGTGGCACATATACACCATGGAATACTATGCAACCATAAAAAGGATGAGTTCTTGTCCTTTGCAGGGACATGGATAAAGCTGGAAACCATCATTCTCAGCAAGCTATCACAAGATCAGAAAACCATGCACCACATATTCTCACGCATAAGTGGGAGTTGAACAAGGAGAACACATGGATAAAGGGAGGGGAACATCACACACCAGGGCCTGTTGGCGGTGCGGTGCTGGGGAGGGATACCATTAGGAGAAATAGCTAATGTAGGTGATGGGTTGATGGGTGCAGCAAACCACCACGGCATGTGTATTCCTATATATCAAAACTGCATGTTCTGTACATGTAACCCAGAACTTAAAGTATAATAATAATAAAAAAGAGTGTCTTCTTTCCGGAAAAAGACTACAAGACAGCAAGTAATTTCCATGTAGTAATTGCACAATGTAACTACTATATGGCAATGCCGCATCTCTTTAGAAGTAGTGATTTTCACAGCAAGAATTCTGCTTTGCTTCTCATACTGTTAACTAGACAATGCTGAATCTCAACAAAGAGCTACACAATTGCAAAAGAATACCTTCTCTGAGCAACCAAAATCACCACCATTAAGTGTTGAATTATTCAGTGGGGATAATGGTACTCAAAATATAGCTGCTGGCTCTAACAAGTCACTTTTGCTTGTTTATTGGGTCAGAACAGCCAGTAGGAGGTTGGCAATGAATTCTCTTAAGCAGCACAGAACAGTTTCCTTTTTCATTTTCCTGATGTATATATTTTTGGTACAGCCAGAACTTCTAATTTACTCAGAGTTATGTCATCTGCCATCTGAAACACTAGGTGAACCAAAAATGTGGTCTGCAGACTAAGCCAGCCATGCATATTTGTGCATGAAGAAAATCCTATGGAAAGAACTTGATGAGGTTCAGCTCCCTCCTAATGTAGACACTCTGGGGTCTGAATCCCTTCTACCTCTACTTTGATTCCTCAGCACTTCCTATCTGTATTGCTCATGTAAAGGAGATCTGGGTTAATATTTTTAAAAAATGGAAACCTTCAATGGCATGTCATTACTCAGAACATGGATCAAAATCCTTATTATTCTGCAAATTCTGAGTGCTCTGGACTCTACACACATCTCTCATCTCTCTTCCCCCTCCTGAGCTTCAATTACATGTTCTTTTAACTTCCTAAACACTCCAATCTCTTGTTATAACTTTTCCATCAGTCTGGAGAATCCTTTACTTTCATCACCTTTTGCCTAGATGGCAACTCTTATCCTTCAGGTCTTAACACAGCTGCACTTTCTTCGGAAACCTTTCATATCACAAGGGTTTTCTCTTTTTTTTGTTGCACTTTTTTTTTTCCTAGAAATAAGATGTTTCACACGAGAGCACTTATCTCAGTTTCAAATTATACATTCACTAGTGTAATGTCTTATGATGCTTGTCTCTTACTAGACAATAAACTCAGGAGAGTAAGAAACATTCAGGCTTTGCTCATCATCATGTCGTCATTGCCAAAGGTATTGCCTTGCACAGAATAGGCACCCCATGAATAAAGCTGTTTAAATAAATAGTGAGTACATATAAAATAATTGGATGCCAATAAAAATGAAGAAATATAGTAAAAATTATAGCTTAACCACATTGTGCCCTACCTCCTTGTAAGGTTCTTGCCATTGAATGTGCTTTCCCATTCACTCTCACAAAGTCATCAGAACCCAAATCCATGTCTTCTATCCCATCACCTCTGTTTGCATCAGAGCCAGTTCCTGCCTGCCTATAAGCTACCCCCAACTCAAACAAAAAACTTTAGCATTCAGCCCCCACAAACTCAGTAAATCCAAAGGTTCATTTATTTTCTTTTTCTGGCAATTTCTATCTAAGTAGCCTCACTGCTCACTGTAGTGATTCAAACTGATATCTTGGGTCCCCTCAATGGTCACAGCAAGTCTTATTAGTTTTAGTTTCAATCAATTGATCTATGTTTGCCACTCCAGATTCTTCTTATTACTTCATCTCTGAAATATTATAGTAAGTTTCAAACAATTTTCTCTAACCACAGATTCTCTAAGCTGCCATTTTCCATCAATTGGTAAGCAATTTATCTTTCTGAAACCCAATACTGATCCTTTCATTCTCCTACTAAAACCTTCAAGGGAGAGGCGGCCAACAACTTCCTGTTGAAGAGGTGCCAGGAGCTGCAATCTCGATGGAATGGAGAGAGAAGGTAGCAGTGACCTTGTTTTGATATTGTATTTCCAAAGCAATCTCACTATTCGTAGATTTATTTTTTCCTGTGGGTGTTCGCAGAGGCACACTGATATACACTCTGAATGATGACTAATTGTCCTCCTAGTGTTGTTTCACTGCTCCCCTGTCAGGTGAGAACAATGTGCAAGCTTCGAAGCCTAGGGGAGCTCACACAGGGTCATGGAGAGGGATGGGTTTGCAGTAAGAGAGTTATGGAGGCACATCCCAACATAGTATCTAACTAGCTGCTGAACTAAATTCTTATTTATAAAATCAAGATGTTACATCCTCCTAATCTGTCATGAATATTAAAAATGTGTACCTAATATTGTACCTGGAACATAGTAATTTCTCAAAATTGGTAGCTATTTTTATTATCATTCATTCCTGTTGGCCTAATATATCATCTGAGGCAAACCTAATTTTCCAGCATTTTCCTAGATCAACATCCAAAAGGGAACCAATGGTAAGAATCTGCAGCACCCCCATGTCCATATGTTCACTGATGCTGCTAACTTAGCCCATCTCATTCTCTTCCCCTAAAGTCTTTCATCTTGTTATTTACCCAGTAAGTGTTCACTCATCCTTCAAGATTTAATTTGTATATTGATGAAACTTTCTGCATTTCTGGAGGCCAAGTATGCTGCACTCTCATACTTAACAAGTAGATTTTTATAAACACTTTATGATATTTTTCAATTATTTATTTACGTGACTGTGTCTTCTCTAAGACTAAAAACTCACGGAAACCAGGAATTCTCTTTCATTTCACGTCAGATAATGTCTGGCACATGGGAGGTTACTCAATAAATGTCAGCAGAATAAGTATACTCAAAACTTGTACAAATTCCATTGTCCACTAAGACTCCACCATCCAAATAAGATTCAACCAGGTTATAGCACCTTAACACGGCATTGTTAATACTATCGTAAAAAATATTACTGTCTATTGAGATACTTGTTCTGTGTCACACAAGTTATTTAAGGGTTTAGGCACATTATCTCTGGTGTTGATTTTGTGTTCATCATCTTATATGGTAAAAAAATTTGAAGGCAGTGACTGTTTTGCTAATCTCTGTATCCATATCACCAAGAAGGTATTTAGGAGGAATATGGTCAAATAATAGGTCTACCACTCATTCTCTCTTTTCACCAAGGGACCACTCCCTGGAAATAAACAAGGTAGCCCAGTCAAATCTCCTATTAAACATGAGATTTGACTCATGAATGAGAGACCCTCCTGGCAAGCAAGTTAATGGCATTTAGAGACAGTCCCTATCTATCAAATGCTCACTATCTAGCACTGCTTATGATAAACAAACCTGAAATCTATGCATTTATGGGCATGGTCTCCTGGAAAAAGCTATGCAAGTATCTGAATATAAATGGAGATTTTAATTACCTAAATACTCCTATTGAGCAAGGAATGTAAACTGCACATGTCACCTAGAGATTTCCTGTGGGTCCAGTGCATGCTCTTATGTGGAAAGAAAGCATTTGCGAGCTATACTGAAGGTCAAAGACCTCTCTCCCTGGCTCACCCATGCCATGTGATTACCTATACCATTAAAATTATTAGTAAAACTAGATATTAGGTCAGACCTGTGATCCATGGGGTCTCTTTTTAGCAATTCGACTTATTGTATTATCTCAGGTTCCAGTAAGTGTTTTCTGAAAGAACACATTTTTTATGCCTATTTATGGACTAAAATTATAAGAGAGATCTCGTTGGATATACCCACATTCATATGTTGATATGTTGTCTCTTTCCTGAGTTATAACCACTGAAAATAGTGAAAAGACTGGTTGTATATACACTCAGGTAGAAGAAACAAGTCCACTTTGGAGTGCATTAACATAACACAAATGATTATCAAGATGACCACCTAATATTCTCTACCCCTGTACCTTACAGCTGTACCAGACCTATGGAGTTCATTTGTATTTTGAAGCCTTATCCAGCTCTATAATCCCCAGCCCACTGAGATGGCCCAGATAACATTTCCTGCATCAGGGTAAAGAGTTCACAATATTAAAATCAGTTTGGCTTCCTGTTGTTAACCAAGGGTCTGTTTTTTCAATACTGCAGAGATGAGGCAAGAACGGAGCTCTCTTTGAAGCTAACAAAAGCTTAAGCTCAGATCATCTCCATGGGATACAAAGCAAACCCAGAGAGAAGTAGCAGCCAAATGGTATTTGAAGTGTTCTATCAGGACAAGTACTTCCGTAATACAACCATTCATTCATTATTTGATATGGCTTTGTTCTCTCTTCACGGTGTTTGAAGTATTGTATGATTTTAAAATATAATATGTTGTATACTCCATTGATTAAAAATAGCAATATTCTTTGAGAATTACTATGATATTTGTTCATATCCTATTGAAAGACATTTATAATTTGGAGATCAATGTTACTCACAAATCTCATTTTACATTAAACCTGCCAATAATGCCAAAATAGTCTAATGGGCAAAAGAGAGCAACTGCAGCAATAATACCAATAATAATAGCATTTTAATTTTCTCTCCACAAATTACGCTTTTCTGACCCCTTCTCTTTCCCTGTTCTTGCATCTGTGTCCCTCTATGTTCCTTTCTCTCATGATCTCTCTACTTATCCCTTATATTTATTTTATTTTATTTATTTTCTTAAGACGAGGTCTCACTTTGTCACACAGGTTGAAGTGTAGTAGTGTGATCACAGCTCTCTGAAGCCTCCATCTCCCCGACTCAAGCAATCCTCCCACCTCTGCCTCCCGAGCAGCTGGGACTACAGGTGCGCACCACCATGCCTGGCTATCTCTCCCTTGTATTATCTCCCCATCCTCTAACTAATTCTCTGTTCTAATCCCTTTCCTTTGTACCTCTCCTATCTGTCCTCTCCTCACATACAAACTCAGGATGTCCCCACTCTTCTTTCTGTTGCTTGTTTTGCACATTCTCTCCC
The DNA here is from genome assembly GCF_000001405.40 of Homo sapiens. Lineage (NCBI taxonomy): Eukaryota > Metazoa > Chordata > Mammalia > Primates > Hominidae > Homo > Homo sapiens. The sequence goes on along the minus strand of NC_000003.12, from coordinate 296,929 downwards.
TCCCACTCTTCCTATCTCTCTAATCTGTCTCCCTGACTTCACTATGTAGTTTGCTGATATAATTACATGCACATATATTCCAACAAACCTAAAGAAATATATAAACATTGGTTTAACTCTTCTCCTCTGATTCAAGTCTATATTTTCCCCCTTACAGTGTTTTGTTTATATAAATATATAAAACTGGATACAATGTCTGCCTTCCACTTCTTTCCATTTTAAAAATAACTTCCCCTCATTTTTCCCAAGTGCAGGCTCATGACCTAAGCTGGGGCATCCATACCATCTAACCTTCAGGCTGCTGCAATGAGTCCAAAATGTGACCCAAGTGTGGATAGTCACAGTGATTCCTTGAGAATTTCCAAAGCCTCTTTTCCTCTGTGGTCATGAAACTATGAAAGCATGAGTTAGAAAGTGCCGACGACCGTGGTTCTAAATTCATGAAGAGGTCAGTGACAAATAATAAAGAAGTGATTACAAAGGGAAGAAAAAAAAGCATGAGAGAAAGGCGACAGGATTTATATCCTAATATCAGGTATCCCTAAGGCCAGTCCCACCTGTATTTTCACAGAATTTTGGTATATAAAATAGTAAATTCCATTTGTATTAGGTAGCTTGAGTTCAGTTTTTATTACTTGCAACAAGTCTTAATTTCGATGAACGATATAAAAATCTGTATATGGAGGATAGGTCTTAACTGAATGATAGGCCAGGAATAATCACCAATGTAGAGGAAAGGCAAGTATCTACTAAGTGCGTACGGGATATTAAAATGAAGTTTCAGCTGATGCACCAAGAGACTCAAGCAGTATATTCCAAAGAATGTGCTAAACATTGCATTCACTAAGAAGGGGTCTGAACTCCTCACCACATCAAAAATATAAAGCAATCAGTAGTTAGGATGGAATTACAGGAGTATTTTTTTTTTGAGAGGGAGTTGTACTATAGTTCCCAAATTTCCTCAGGAAGAAGGGGCACCAAGGTTCTCTCTTCCGAATTCAAAATGAGAGACTTAGACTTTGCACATGATTGTTTAGATCTGTGTACACTCAATCGTCGCTTAAAACATAAGCCTGGCAACGGAGCAACCCTGCTCACTGGACAGGCTGTCCAGCATTTGTTAACTTGCATATAGTTAATAGTAACGGAAGTACAAAAGAAAAGCCACAGCCATTGCTTGACTTTATCAGTCCTCTTCCTGTGCTTAGAAAATTGTGTTTAATTGTCATTAGGACACTTCCCATTCAAATTACATATCCAAAAGCAGAGAACTGACCCTTCACTGTTTTAGAGTGGTGCTAACTTTCCTTTGCATTTTTATTTGAGAACTCTGACAGAGATGGATGACTAAGAACAGAAGAAAAAAAAAGAGTTACTTCCAAAGAACGAAACATTTTATCATTTTGCATCCATGACCTCTTTCTTAACATCATTTCATGTTACTTTTTAATGTGCCTTTGTTTGTTGTTGCTCTGATGATTGTATCACTTTTATTTAAGTCTTATCCATGTTAATCCTTCTCCTATTCAGTGCTTTTGGCCATTAGTCAAAGGGTAAGCAATGTTTAAGCAGCTGCTTCTTCTGTGGCTTCGGGACACTAGAAACTCTCCTAATTAAATACTATGTGCTCTCTGGCTTCTTCCTTGGCCTTTTTGGTTCTGTGACTGTTCGTGTAAAGAAAATAATTTTGCCTTTTATCACTCTAACAGGCCCTCTGAAGAAATGTGAAATCAGCTCCTTCCCTAAATTTTGTTAGTTTTTTTGGGAGGGGGATTGGGAGGCAGATTGTGCCTTACAAACAGAAACGACCCAGTAGACTCCTGTTTATGGCTACACAAAAGAAGGAGGCAAAGAAAGAAAAGAAACAAAGGAAGAAAGGAAGAGGAGAAGGAGAAAGGGAGGGCAAGAAAACAAAGTTTAATCTCTCTACAAATTATTACCATTTTAATAAGTATAATTTCAATAATAAGTAATATAAGCTATCTTAGAACAGCATTATAGTGTCTGGCACATAGTAAACATTCAATAAATATTTGTTAAATGAATAAAAGGAATAAATTAATGACATGTAACTATGCCAATTAGGCATGTATTGCCATGCATTCTCACTGGTGAATAGCTCAAAATCTGAATTGTGGTCGACCGCAGTTTTGAAGGTCAAGAGGTATTCTACCCTGGGATGTGATGAATCAAACTTACTAATTATATTGACTATATTAGTTTCCATTTTTTGTTATGGGCATGCCTGTACTGTTACTAATATAATAATTCTATATTTGGAAAAAAAAGGAATATTTTAGAAGGGTTTAGTGAATGACTACCTTTCATAATCTAGGAACAATAGTGAATGTGGAAAAAAAGAAAATGATAAGATTTTTCTCTCAGACAACACACATTGTGAGGGATCTTGGTATAACCTGTTTGTGGTTACCGTTTTAAGACTCACAGTCAACGTAATCTGAGCTTGTTTAAACATGTACAATTAAATAATATTACATGGGTAACTTGGGAAGGTCCTGATTAATTTACCTTCCTCGTTAACTCAATGAACTCAGAAACAACCCCCTTGATTCTAGTACGTATGTAGGTATGTACGTACCTATTTATTTTGAGACAAGAGTCTTGCTCTGTCACCCAGACTGGAGAGCAGTGGTGTAATCATGACTCACTGCATCCTCGACCTCCCAGGCTCAAGTGATTCTCCAACCTCACCCTCCTGAGTAGCCGAGACTGCAGGTGCCTGCCACCACACCCAGCTAATTTTTGAATTTTGTATAGAGACAGGGTTTCGTCATGTTGCCCAGTCTGGTCTTGAACTCCTAGGCTCAACCGATCTGCCTGCCTCGGCCTCCCAAAGTGCTTAGAACACAGGTGTGAGCCACTGCTCCCAGCCTGTAACCTTTATTTTAAAAATCTAAGGTGGATGGGTCACCTGAAGTCAGGAGTTTGAGATTAACCTGGCCAACACAGTGAAGCCTGTCTCTACAAAAAAATTCAAAAATTAGCTGGGTGTGGTGGCAACTGCCTGTAATCCCAGCTACTCAGGAGGCTGAGGCAGGAGAATTGCTTGAACCCCAGAGGCTGAGTGACAGAGCAAGACTCCATCTCAAAAAAAAAAAAAAAATCTTCTCCAGCCTTTCCACAAAATAGCATTAAGAATCACAATTTAACACACATAAGTAAATGTATCCAATATGTCTTCAGGTTACAGTGGCTCACAATCATCATTTGGAATCTTTGACAGAACAAAAGTGAAAGTTGCAGGAAACTGGGTAGTATCTTATCAAACATTAGAACGTATGACGCTGGGTCTTTGATTTCTAAATAAATGTTCCATATGTATTCTTTTTGTTTATTTTATATTTGCTCCTTTTTCTCAGAAATACAGGGGGAAAGATTCAATTAGGGTTTTTTTAAAATTTTTTTTGATGGAGTGTCACTCTGTGGCCCAGGCTGGAGTGCAGTGGCTCGATCTCTCAGCCCACTGCAACCTTCACCTCCCCGGTTGAAGCGATTCTTGTGCTACAGCCTCCAGAGTAGCTGGGACTACAGGCACCTGCCATCATGCCCGGCTAATTTTTTGTATTTTTAGTAGAGACAAGTTTTCCCCATGTTGGCAAGGCTGGTCTCAAACTCCTGGCCTCAAGAGAACCATCCACCTCGGCCTCCCAAAGTGCTAGGATTACAAGCATGAGCCGCTGCACTCAGCCACAAGTTTTTTTTGTAGTTTATTCCTCAGCATTCTAAATTTGAATGAATGCATAAATCATTTATTATTTAAAGGAAAGACTTGATTTTTATAAACTAACCTGAAGCACTGTGCTATATCTATGTATTTATATCCAAATAACTGTTCGATAAACATTAATTTGGTTTTTGTGTAAAAATCATGAGTTACTGGGTAAACCCATGTGTTGGCTTAATACAAATCAATAAAAAGCTTCGGTAGTTCACTTGGTGATACAGCTTGGATATCTGTCTCAACCACATCTCCTGTTGAAACGTACTCCCTGATTTTGGAGGTGGTGCCTGGTAGGAGGTATCTGGGTGATGCGGGTAGATCCCTCATGGCTGGGTGCTGTCCATGATAGTGAGTTCTCTTGAGATCTGGTTGTTTAGAAGCGTGTGGCGCCTCCCCCACTCTCTCCCTCTTGCTCCTGCTCTGGCCATGTGACGTGCCTGCTTCCGCTTCACCTTCCACCATGAGTAAAAGCTCCCTGTGGCTTCCCCAGAAGCTGAGCGGTGCCATGGTTGTAGACTGCAGAACCATGAGCCAACTAACCTCTTTTCTTTATAAATTACTAAGTCTCGGGTATTCCTTTATAGCAATACAAGAACAGCTCAACACACTTGTGAATAAGATAGCAATTTTTGCCCCCAATAAGATTTACCTACTGTGGTGTGGTGAATCCAACTTACTAATTATATTGGCTATATTAATTTCCACCAGTGGTCTTGTAGACACTGTTTCCAATATAACAATTTTTATTTAAAAAGAGGACTTACTGAATGACTATAAAACCTGATTCTTGCTTTCCATAAGTAAAAATACTAAAAGGAAATATGTGGGAAAGTCAAGTAAAGCTTTGTGATTAAATATGTGCAGACAGCACAGCTAGCCCCTCAGTGCCTAAACAGATTAGCCCCATTCAAGCAGTAGTTGCCCTGTTTGCAGAAACAACACAGCCTTTGGCAGTTTTGACTTAATGCATCTGTAATGAAAACAATACGTCTACCATTTAGATATTTTTATAAGATTTGAAACACAGAGTCAGCATTTCTAAGGAGTCAATTTGTGAGGAACACTTTTATGACTTCTAGAGCTTGTACAGAGCAGCAAAGAACAAGACACAAATAATAGGCGGTTTCTAACACTCTGAAACGTGCAAGAGGAATCGTTTCCACCTTTTCTTTCTCCTGGTTAGTGCTGACATCAAAATGAACATTTGAATTTCAGGGTGAGCATAAGTCCTGCCTTAGAAGGGATATTTCCAAACACACAAAGGTTATATTTATAAGCTGAGCTGCAAAAGACAATTTTTCTGCTGTGAGACTCGACAGGACCAGCCTAGTCAGCAGGATTTTAAAATCCTTCTGCAGACATATGTTAGCCAAGTTACTGGACTGGTCCAAGGCTCATTACATCTGCTGACAATCATTTTGAACAAGTATAAACCAAACACTTCTGAGTCTACCAGTGCAAATATGGGTCAGTCAGTATTTTAAAAAAATGAGAAAAAAAATGACCTCTAAAAATCTCTTATTTGGAGAGTAATAGTATGTATTTAATGAGAAATAACAATGTATAGGAAAATTTATTACTTGCCTGCTTATATGAACCAAATTACTTACTTTGTAGGTTTTATATCAGTGATCCTAAAAATACTATTATTGGAAAGCCAAGTAAGGCCAGAGTGATCAGGCTTCTTTATACTGGACATCTAATTCCTTCTGAGGTTAAAAAAAAGAAAAAGAAAAAGAAAAGAAAAGAAGAGAAAAGAAAAAATAAAACTAAAATCAATCTGAGAAAAATTGTATAATAAAACTTACCCAATATGTTTTTTAAGTGACTACAATGATGAAAAGACCTGGGTAGAATACATTTGCAATAATAAGGAAATATAGTAATGCTAATATATATGACATCATTATGAGTTTAAGTTTTGTGTCTCCAGGATAAATAAATTCAAAAGGTTTTCCCCCTTATTAATAGCAAAATTAACATAGTTCCTTTTTGTTAACCAACCTCTTCCTCTTTACCTTGCATTACAAGAGATACTAGTTCACTACTCATAATGAAATACAAATATTAAACAGGCAACCCTGGTTTACAGCAAAAAAGTCCTATATTAATGTTTTGAACTATACAATATTATTTATAAATTAATTTCAATGACTATGTTATTAAGCAAAATTAAAATCCTCAAAATAGAAAATAAACAATTTGGTGGTTTTAACTTTTTTTCTTTTTCTTTCTTTCTTTTTTTTTTTTTTGAGACAGAGTCTCATTCTATTGCCCAAGCTGGAGTGCAGTGGTACATTCTCTGCTCACCACAACCTCTGTCTCCCGGGTTCAAGCAATTCTCCTGCCTCAGCCTCCCAAGTAGCTGGGATTACAGGTGTGTGCCACCACACCTGGCTAATTAAAATAGACAACTTTTTGTGTGTGATTACAGCTCCAATCACCTTATTGCCATCTGATGTTCTCAGCAATTCCATAAAGTTCCAAATGAGGAAAGGGGTTTATGCATTCTTTCAACAAGCATTAACTGAATGCCTACTGTACTCTAGGAACAGGGCCAGGGTCAGAAGTAGAGAGTGATGAAGACATAGTTTCATCCTAAATTATGTTAGTCAGGCATGACTAATTAGAATTTGTCATTCAATTAAGCAAACAGAAATCAAGAGATGGAAGAAAATACTAAACCCAGGTCTTTCATTGGCTTCTGATGACTAAAAGGAGCTCATTTTCTCTTTTCTAACCTAGAATATAAATACTGTCTGTTCTCATTATCCACAGATTCCATATTTGCAAATACAGCTATTTGCTAATATTAATTTGTACTCCAAATTAATACTCACAATATTTGTGTGATCTTTCCCCAACATGTGCAGAGAATCACAAAATTTGAGTTACCCCCTACACATGTTGCCAGCTGAGGTTGAACAAAGTGAAACTCTGCCTTCATGTTTCAGTTCTCTTACTATAAACAAGTGGTTTTTTCATGGTCTATTTAGTTCTTCTCATTTTTATGTTTTTTGTTTATGATTCTGCTGTTTAAAATGACTTGCTGTTTAAAAATAATGCAGAAGTGCTCCCTAGTTTTCTTAAGCACAAGGAGGCTATAACATGCCTTACAGAGAAAAAAACTGTGTTGAACAAGCTTCAATGAGGGGTGAGTTACGGTGCTATTGGCTATGAGTATACTGTGAGTATACTGCACTCCACCCTGGGTGATAGAGTGAGACTCCATCTCAAAAAAAAAAAAAAAAAAAAAGATACCAGTGGAGCAATGTATCTATGTGCTACCATAACAAAAATGATCATTTTTTTGGTATATTTGATGCTCGAAAGCACATGAGCATCAATATGTATTAAGTAAATGTATTAATGAGCATACAATATGTATTAAATAAGATGTATTAAATCAATATGTATTAAATAAATGTATTAATGAGCATAAAATATGTATTAAATAAGATATGTATTAAATCAATATGTATTAAATAAATGTATTAATGAGCATACAATATGTATTACATAAGATATCATTAAACAGAAATACATATAAAATAAGATTATGTATTGATAGATTGACAAAAATGTGGCCAGAGTCGTGCAGGAACCAAGCTCTTATTTACCTACCAGGAGTAATTGTTCAGTATTTACTAATTCAGTGTTTGCAGAGACTTTATAGAAGATAACTACCATGAATAATGAGAGATGGATAAATACATATAATTTTAGCTAGATTCTATAATTGCTCTCATATTGTGAATTATTAATGGCAAAAACCACAATTACTTTTACAACAACCTAATATTTTCAGAATAAAATCACTCATCTTAATCCACAACAGGGAATAAAGCAAATAATTTCAAGGATTAAGTAATGTGTTATCGGTAAGTTTGAGCACAAAATTAAATATGATATCAAGTTTTTATGTCTTTAAGATAAAAACCAATAAATCTAACTTTGCAAATGCATTTTTAATCCCCAAAATATTATATAGATGTTTGTTTCATGACTCCCTTTTAAATGAAAAACAGTTGTTACATTAAAGGAGTAAAACTAAGAAATTAAAGCAAAGTAAGTGATGCCAAGATATTATTCATTTCTCTTGAGTTCTAGGCTTCTACTTCACACATTTTCTCCTTGATCACCCTTCGCATTGTCATTTGACCTGTTTTCCAAAGGAAGAAATGTTGATTAAAAGTATCTGAAAGAAAGAAATCGGGAAATAAAAACAAAAAAGAAGCTCACAAAACCAAAGGCATGATGGAAAAAAATGATAAAGTCTTCATCTAATAACACTAAATAGATAAAAGTTGTAAATATTATCGAAAATATTTTTCAGTTGCACAATTAAGCTTGTCTCAAACTATATTTAATGATAAGCTGTCTTCACTATATAAAGATGGTGTTACTGGTCCCACTGATTTAAAAACCCTTCACAGACAATTCCCTGTGGACACAGCCTGACACATAGAGAATGCAAAGATGGAGCGCATCCCGCCCATGCCATTCGTCAGAAAAATGCTGAGATCCTTGACCAGTAGAGGTAGGGGGTTGGCAGGGGAGCAATCACATCCTCCTTCATGGCCCCCCTCCTGTGACAAACAACGTGTGTGAAACAGCAGCCCAGGGATCATGATAGGATCTGTGGCAATGCAACAGAGCCAAAAGACAGACTCAGAGGAACAGTAGATCTGTAAACTTGACCTCATTAGTAGCAAACTGTAACCAGTTGCTAATTACCTTCTGGATATATTGTACATTAGTAGCAAACTGTAACCAGTTGCTAATTACCTTCTGGATATATTGTACATTGTATATGCATATATGTAAATTATGCCTGTATATATGTAAATTCGACATGTGTTTGTCACCTAAAATTTGCAAAAGTTTAATATGATGACTGCAGTTAGAGAGAGGAGATAATAGATTAACCAATACCTTCTAATGAAAATGAAGGTAAAATCTTAAAGTAGTGACCAACTTTCTGGTGAAAAATGCACTAATTGTACTTAATGTATAAACTTGGTCACCTTAAATTAGCTTTGTTTCATCCTGTATTCTGAGGAGAACATATTTCAATCAGAATCCAAGTAAAATAAGGCTAGCTAAAGAATTCCAGTGAAGGCGGGTCATAGTGGCTCATGCCTGTAATCCCAGCACTTTGGGAGGCTAAGGTGGGCAGATTGCCCGAGGTCAGGAGTTTGAGACCAGCCTGGCCAACAGGGTAAAACCCCATCTCTACTAAAAATACAAAAAACTTAGCCTGGCGTGATGGCGCACGCCTGTAGTCCCAGCTACTCGGGAGGCTGAGGCAGGAGAATCGCTTCAACCCGGGAGGCGGAGGTTGCAGTGAACTGAGATCGTGCCACTGCACTCCACCCTGGATGATAGAGTGAGACTCCATCTCAAAAAAAAAAACAAAAAAAGACACCAGTGGAGCAATGTATCTATCTGCTACCATAACAAAAATGATCATTTTTTTGGTATATTTGATGCTTGAAGGCACACACTAATAAGTAGCATGCTATCAGTAAATTAAAGCATCTTACTAAATCCAGTTAGTTCTATGTATTGTAAATATTACCTAAAGAGTTAAATATATCAAATCAAAGACTGGCATTTATTATCTGAGTAGAAGACATTTTAGGATGGATTCTAAGATTATAAGGAGGTATCTCAATCATCTTTCCCAAAGCACCTCTACTGTAAAAAATAACTACAACATCAAATGGCTTGCGTGTCTCAGCACAAATTTATATAAGAGCAGGTGAAAAGACAATCGAATGTGTAAACCTATCAGGTGGCAATTACGGTTTGCAGGAAAAGTTCTTCAACATTCAATATACATTGAGTGTCTGCATGTACCTGGCACAGAGCTATTGTCTAGAGAGGGAGTGGTGAACAAGACAGATTTCTTCACTGACCTACTAGAATTTACATTCTAATGATGGTAAATATAATATGTATTAATATATAATATATGACATTTTAAATTTTTATATTATATGTTGATACATATGTGAAAAGTATAAATGAAAATGTCAGAGGCGTTTGAACCAGAGCAACTCCATCTTGAATGGGGGTTAGGTAAAATAAGGCTGAGACCTACTGGGCTGCATTCCCAGAAGGATGGGTATTCTAAGTCAGAGGATGAGATAGGAGGTTGGCACAAGATACAGGTCATAAAGACCTTGCTGATAAAACAGGTGGCGGTGAAGAAGCTGGCCAAATCCCACCAAAACCAAAATGGTAATGAAAGTGACCTCTGGTGGTCCTCACTGCTCATTATATTCTAATTAGCACGCTAAAAGACACTCCCACCAGTGCCATGACAGTTTACAAATGCCATGGCAACGTCAGAAAGTTACCTTATATGGTCTAAAAAGGGAAAGAACCCTCAGTTCTGGGAATTGCCTACCGCTTTCCTGGAAAATCATGAATAATCCACCCCTTGTTTAGCATTAATCAATAAGTAACAATAAGTATAAGCAACTGGGTAGCTCATGCTTCTGTTCTGTCTATAGAGTAGCCATTCTTTTATTCCTTTACTTTCTTTGTTTAATTTTTTTTTTTTTTTTTTGAGACAAAGTCTCACTCTGTCACCCAGGCTGGAGTGCAATGGCGCAATCTCGGCTCACTGCAACCTACGCCTACTAAGTTCAAGTGGTTCTCCTGCCTCAGCCTCCCAAGTAGCTGGGATTACAGGGGTGCGTCACCATGCCTGGCTAATTTTTGTATTTTTAGTAGAGATGGGGTTTCACCATGTTGGCCAGGCTGGTCTTGATCTCCTGACCTCAGGTGATCCACTCACTTCGGCCTCCCAAAGTGCTGGGATTACAGGCATGAGCCACCATGCCCAGCCCTACTTTCTTAATAAACTTGCTTTCACTTTACTCTATGGACTTGCCCCAAATTCTTTCTTGTGCGAGATCCAAGAACCCACTTTTGGGGCATGGATCAGGACCCCCTGCGAATAACAAAAAACATTAAGGGTTGTGATAAGTGCCTTGCAGGAGACAAACTGGGTGGTGTTATCTGGGGTAGGGTGGGCAGAGACATCTTACACAGGAGGCTATGGAGCCTATCTTGGAAGGGGATCTCTAACTTGGAATCAGAATTATGAAAATGGGGGTAATAAACTTTATGTATTATATTCATTACATATTATGTTCATTTATAATTCATTACTGTAATTATGTTCAATCTTGAAAGTGACAGGAGAAAAAAAACTGCCAGAGAGAAACAAAATGCAGAAAACTGAATAAAGTCATCACAAGTCTGGAAACACTGCTTTCTCTCTCATTGCAACCATTTTTCTTTCCTAAGCATCAAGGCAGGCACATTTTTTTTTTCATAATTAGCAGTGATCATAGAAAGCAAAATAAAAATATTGTTGTTGTTGGTTTTAGGTCACTTCTGAGGGAAACAAACATTGCTAATCATAAAGTTATGATTTATTGAGCATTAGCTATGTAATGTGCATATTATACATAGTATTTCATTCAATCCTCACAAATATTCTAGAAGACAAGAATTATGATCTCAATTTTAAAATTGAGTAAACTGAGGTAGAGTCTACGTAGTTTGCCTGAGAGTACACAGCTGGGGAGGAGTCAGGCTTCTTCTCTGGAGCCCAGTGAGACTTGTGAGCCTGTGAATTTTAAGTACCAGGCTAGAAAGCAAAATTAGGGAAAGAACTGAAATGATTATCTTCTCTGACTTCCTTTATTCATCTGATCACATTCCCACTGACTGTACTGAATTTTGTACTCAATTGCTTAATTGCAGTATAAAAATATACATTGGCTCCTCTGGTGACACTACTTTTAAATGCCATTGGCATTTTATAGAGAAAATGGTGGGAGGGACTTCATCAGATTCCATTTAAATGCCCAAGTCACCCAGCTGTCATAATGTCTTCCTCAAACAAGGTTGTATTTTGTAATTCATCTCTTCCCTTTACAGAATTCTGTATCTCATCAAGATGTTTGACTTGCAATTCCAGTTTTGACTTGATCCAGCATCTAGCATAAAAGGTGAAAGGTGATAATGAAACTTATTCTAATTATTTCAATTATGCTTGAAAACATGCGTAAGCATGTTTAAACACACAAATATGCTTAAAACAGCTTTGTATTTCCAGTGGATAAGCCTACTTTCATAAGGCAAGCATATGCAAAATAGTTCATTTTAGACATCTATTTATAAGGGAAATATTCATGAGAATAAAAATGCAGAATACATTATTTGATTCGTCAAACAACGATATAATAGATTCTGCAGAATTTTGTACTTAATTGCATTATCTACTACCAATGGAATTATAAATGAATCCACGTACTCATAGCACAGCTATATATAATTATCCCAAGGTCTGATTAATGTCCTTAGATCTACTGAGGTTGGAGAAAAAAAAAAAAAGATGAATACGCATTTACCTGCTTTCTTTTAAATGTATCAGGCCAGGATTTTCCTCTGAACAGTTTTCCCTGGTCACCACCATCTCCCCAGCAACATATAATGTCATGAAGATAGAACTAAAATTTGTCTTTTTCAGTGAACAATCACTAGTTCTTATCACACAGGATATTTTAAGGTCTGCATGTCTCATTTTTGCTTTTCAATGTCTTACCAGTTTTCACGGCATTGTCATAAAACAACGCCTTTACATTGGTAGGGCTATGCTCCCTCAATAAAAAACGTCAGACTTCTCACACGGTTTGGAACAGTTCCCAGTGGCTTCCACACAAACAATCTGGTGTTTTTCACAAATATGGGTAGAGAAGCAAGTTGATATGCCACCAAATGATCATCCTTTTGCACTCCTAGCATAAACCTCATATGCTATAAGAAATAAGTAAAATTAATGAATAAATTTTTCACATCTTTGTTTGTTTTCCTCTTATTATTCATTTCTCACCTTAAATGTCACCTCAGAAAGTCCTTCCTTGTCCACTAATCTCATGCAGCCCCCCTGTCTTTCCCTTATAACTTCCTGCCTTATTGTAAACAAAACACTTATTAGTAATATCTTTTGTTTCGTTGTTTTATCTAGTTCCACCGAAAGTCTGTAAGCCCCATCAGGGCAGAAACTTACATTTCACGAATGTATCCCCTCTACCTGGCAAAGTACTTAGTGGATAATTGGTACATAGTAAGTGTTTGTTGAATAATAAATGGGTGGATGAATCAGTGAGGGAGAGTGTGACTATCTGGAAAATACATATGTAAATGCATTCATTCATCTGATAAATTCCCTACTATTAGTCATTGTTAACATTTATTTTAATCATACATACTGTGATAAAAGAAGGAAAGGATGCTTTTATACCAGCTGTTCTCAACTGGGGTGGAGGAGAGGGATTTTTCCCCCACGGATGTTTTTATGTTATCTGAAGACATTTTTGGTTGTTACAATTGGGAGAATAATACTGGCTTATATTGAGATGCCGGGGATGATGGTTCTAAACATCCAATGTATGTACCCATGGGGTAGTTACCCACACAATGAATGATCAAGCCCATATTTCAGTAATGCCAATAGTTTACACTAGAGTCTGTATTCCTCATATGAATTTAATTTAACATGTATTTATTAGACAACTATCATATGCTAACATCAAATTGAATTCCTGTGAAGAAAAAGATATGTTAGAGACAGATAGACAGACAGATAGATGAATAGATAGTTGACTGGCTAGACTAATGAATAAAAGGATGGATGAATAAGTACTTCATAGATACATGTGTACATAAATAGAAAGATAGTCACAACATTCTACAAAGGACTAAAATAAACCATGTGTGATTGCTAATCTCAGGAAACTTATACTCTTGGTATTATCTAATCATGTCTCCACATAATTCATTCTATTTAATAGCAAAATGTTGGATCACAAAAAAGATACATGCAAACATTAGGGGAAGACTGCAGGCTAATTTCTGCATTGAATGCTAATGATATTCGTGAAGAGAATGGCTATGAGAAAGTGATCATCAAGTTTTATTTATGTACTGCATAAAGCAAACATAATAATATCTTTTTCAAATGAAAGGTTTGTGTTTCTTTCCCATAAATGAGGATCCCTGTGTCAAGTGAGAGATGTATTCACTATGTGAATGGAATGGTTCTGCATGTGATTAGGCAGAAAACTGGAATACAAGGAAACAATCAGAGCAGGAGCTGTTAGAAAACCACCAGATGCCCCAAAAGCAGGGCTTTTACTTGGATCCCTGGACACAAAATCAAAGTATTTTGTTTTCTTAGAAAGACCCTGTATTCTATACAGTATAGTCCAGAAAACAGATAAAAAGTGGCAAAGGCAGGATTTATATGGAGAGAAATAGTAAGTTCCCCCAAGTCTTCCTCATTTCTATTGCAGTATGGAAAGATCCAGAGTGCTTGCTTTGGTGACCCATCTAAAACTTGAATGATACAGGGAAGGTTACTATGGTCCTTGGGCAAAGATGACATGCAAATTTGTGAAGCCATTCACATTTTTCAGTGGGATGACATATTCAATGTGCTGAAGGAGAAAGACAGTCAACCAGTCACAAACAGTCAACCAAGAATTCTATACACAGCAAAACTATTCTTTGAAAATTACAAAAATAATAATAAGACATTCTTGGATAAACAGAAACTGAGATAATTTCTTACTAGCAGTCCTGCACTGCCAAAAATGTTAAGGATCCTTCAAGCTAAAATGAAAGAACACTAGATGTTAACCTCAATCTATACAAATAAATAAAGAACACTAGTAAAGGAAAATACAAAAGAAAGTATTAAAATATTGTTGTAACTCTTTTCTTCTATCCGATTAAAAGACAACTACATAAATCAAGAATTATAATACCACGTTAATGGGCTTACACAGTATAAAAGTAATTTGTATGACAATAACAGCCAAGGAGGAAAGAAGTAACAGGTACATATTAGAGCAAAGTTTCTGTATACTATTAAGTTAATTTTTATCTGATCTAGATTATTTTAGTAAAATGCTAATTGTATTCCCCAGAACAGATACTAAGAAAATAGTTTTAAAGCTACAACAAAAGAAACAAGGTAATAAAATGGCATGCCAGACAATATTTATTTAATGAAAAACAAGGCAGATATGAAGGAATAAAAAAGCAAAGACATAGAAACACCAGGCATCAATTCTACCTTATCAGTAATTATATAAGACATAAATGAATTAAACACTAACAAAAAGTAAGGATTAGCAGAATAGTTTTTGAAATGATATGATTATGTCGTATCTAGAAGAGATAAACTGTATATTCAAAGGTATTTACAAAGCAAAAGCAAAAATATAGGAAAAAGAAATAGGCTGGGCATGGTGGCTCACGCCTGTAATCCCAGCACTTTGGGAGGCCAAGGCAAGCAGATCACTTGAGGCCAGGAGTTCATGACCAGCCTGGCCAACATGGTGAAACCCCATCTCTACTAAAAATACAAAAATTAGCCAGTCATGGTGGCATGTGCCTGTAATCCCAGCTATTTGGGGGGCTGAGGCATGAGAATCGCTTGAACCCAGGAGACAGAGGTTGCAGTAAGCTGAGATTGTGCCACTGCATTCCAGCCTGGGCGACAGAGTGGGACTTTGTCTCAAAAAAAAAAAAAAAAAAGGTACAAATTGGAAAAATAAAACAAATCTGGGGTAGTTATATTAACATTAGACAAAGTAGACTTTAAGACAGAGGTGAACCATCAACAAGAGAAGATTTCTGGGCTCTGGTAGTCCAGGAGAACCGACATGACCACAACTTTACCAATAGTAAATCATAGTGGTGAAGGCAAATAAGGAACCAGAGGATAGCACAGTACCCAAGCACTTGGATGTGAGGTCCCTTTCTATTGTACTCCTGGAGTTATGTAAATTCTCAAGTTTGTGGGCAAATTTGTGGGGAGTAGTAGTGGAAGAAGGAATAACTATGAGATACTGCACAATTACTAGGGAGATTAAGTTACTTCAAGCAATTACAGGGCTTATCAACCTGAGGGCCCTTGAAATTTCCAACTGAATAATTCCTTGTTGTGAGGAGATATGCTGGGTGTTGTAGGAGAATTTAGGAGAATCACTGGTCTCTACCCTTGAGAAACCAGTAATACAAGTCATTACTACCAAAAAATGTATCTAGACATTGTCAGATGTCCCCTAGGGGAAAAAAATAACCCCAGTTGGGAATTACTGGGTTAGAAAATGTGATATCATTAATTAGAAATCCTGTAGCAAACAGTTGTTGTGTGTGCGTGTGTGTGTGTGTGTGTGTGGTGCATGTGTGTGTGTGTGTGGTGCATGTGTGTGTCTACGTGTTTTAACAAAGACACTTACTATTAGTTAACTTTTAAAACCAGAGAGGAAAGTTATTTCCACTCTATTACTCATTAAAGAAGAGTAATGATTAAACTTACTACCCACCCAACCAACCAAATTTTTCCTATTTCATCTCTACCCTTCACTGACTCCTTCTCAGAGAAAAAGGTATTTTGTTGGTGGTAGTAAAGGTGATAGTTTCTAATGGTGGAAGCTCTTGAGTCCTGCATCTTGTGACCATCGTTGAACATCTCCCTTTAAACAGTTCCAGGTTGTCTTTCTCAGGGCCTGCTTGATACAGTAAAATTACCAGAAGCAGTTCTGAATTCAGCTTTACCAGTAATAAAATTGTTTCAGCACTTTAATTCTTATCTAAATTATTCAGCACTTTAATTCTTATCTAAGTTATTCAGCACTTTAATTCTTATCTAAATTATTTTGTGGCTCTTCAGTTTGCTGTTATTAATAAAATAATTTGCCACAGATTCTCTTTTCTAGTAAGAAGACTGATGTTCAATTTTCTTGACATACTTTGTTAGAAAATGGTATAGCTACCATCCATGACAGTGCCACAGTCTCCTGAAAATCCCTTGCAAAATCCCTCATTCTTTTAGATACAAAATTTTCATCACTGTTAGGTACACTAAAAAAAAAAAAATGCCTAGACTCTACTAAGAACTTTTTAAATATGAATTTCAGTTTTAAATTTTATTTTTATCCCGACTTAGCAAAGATATTACATGACACTTCACCTGAAGATCCATGCCTCCAAAATACTTATCTTTACACACCTATATTTATTTCTTTTTATTTTCTTTTCAGATAATAGAAACCTGATTTTAGGACAACATAACCATAATCAGCAGTTAAAAAATACTCAGTGTGAAAAAATGATCTACATTTTCCTACAGTGGTTTTATACCCAGGATGAAAAAATAAATGCTTGTCAAGTAAAGGCATTAACACATTTTCAAGTGACTTCTCAAGTGCAATTTTATCCCTTGTCTCAGCATTTCATTTATACAGCATTTATTAATCAAGTCTAAGCAGCCTTTAAGTCCCCAATCCCTACTTCGGATTCCCTTCCAATCACTGCCCACTTCTCTCATTGTCTCTGGTACTATCTTTCCTCCCTCCATTGTTTCAGTTCAGCTTTTTGCTCTGCTCCTTCAATCATTCCAACTATACTATCCTTTGAGAATAGCAGTCATCAATTTCCAAAACCATAGAACAAGGACTAATGTTTATACTTTCAAAGGAGATTCAGTGAATAAAAAAGACCATTTAAGAAATGCCAGGAAAAATTGATTACTCCAGAATTCAAAGCAACCAGTCCAGATTGTGGAAGAACAGCACCATTTGTTCCCTAGACTTGGTAGTGACATAAAGGGAAAAGACTGCTAAATTTATCTTTGTTCTTTGCTGTATATGAATTTTAAAACTCACAGAATCTAAGAAGCATTTACCTTAAGAAGAAGGAAAAAGACTAGCTATAGAAAACAGCTCCCCCCTCGATTAAAATAAATATTTTAAGAAGCTTAAGGCTCTGCAAAAAGATATATAAGAAGATCCAAAATAGAAAAGAAAAGAAAAGAAAAATGATGCAAGAAACCGGATACTTTCTCTATTGAGAAATCATTTGATCAAAAAACTTTTACTATTTCTCTGAGGTAGAAAGCCATATATAAATGCTGGACTATATTCTTTGTCTTTATCCATAAAAATAACTGCTAAATTGCAGTTTTAAGACTTAAAGACTAAATCCCATTAATCTATTTTTCTAAGACACTGAATATCCGGCATCATTCTGAATATTGTTTTTCTGTGGGTCCCTTTTTCGTGCGTCCCCATTAGAATACTAAGATCTGAGCGTGAGAAATATAGAGAGAAGAGAGAGGAAGCTCAAGGTTGCTTGAAACCATTCGAAAGGCAAGGGCAAACTCACATCTGAAACTCATGCTTCCTGGATTTTTCTTCCACAATGTGGCTCACAATAATGTCATTTCTTGCTCTATGTCTAAGTTTGACAGAGTTCAGAAACTAAAACGTTGCTTCCTGTGTGAGATGTGCAGACTGCCATTCAGAAATTCATAAAATACCACCTTTACTGAATAGCAGTGTGTGTACTTCTACAAGGACACTGTCTATTCATTGTGTCCAGTAACCCAAGTCTACCATTATACTTCTTGAAAGGAACAGTAAATTGTTTCCAAATACAATTTATTCTCATCCTTTTTACGGATAAGCAAAAAAAAGCAGCGCATCAAACAGGAAAACAGGTTAATTTTATGCCAGTCATGAAGCCTGGTGACAGGTGCTGCCATATGTTGCAACAAGATCTCTTGGCCATGGTTCATTGCTTTGAGAGGTACTAACGAACGCTTGCAGTAGTGTGTGACATACCACTGGTCCCCTGGGATCGCATGCAAGATCTTGTGACAGGTATGAAATTAACTCATGGCATCATGGTATTTTCCAAACATGACAGCTCCCACATTAGCCGCCACTTAGCGCAATGGGGATTGTGGGGAAATCTGGAACAACTAGTAAATGATTTCAGTGGGATCTCCTATGGGCCACAAGGAAAACCGACCCCAAAGAGAATGTCTGGAAAGGTTAAAATCATAAAAGGCAGTGGTCAAATACACAGACAGCAAGCAAAATAATTCTGTTTTGGATATTCTTGTAATTTTAATTTGCTTCCTGGCCTGATTTCTATAGAGCGGATGAAGAAAGTATTCAGTATTCTATTTTGAAGGGCTCTTTATTTCCTTCTTGAACTGGAACAAAGTTTCAGTCATGAGTTGAGGAAGTACTGGGCAACCACACTTCCTTCCAGCTCACATGCACAAGCTCACAAACACACTCCACATTCCTGCCTAGTAAAATAAAATACAAATACCTAAATGCAAACTACATTTTATGTTTCTGTTAGATGCAGAGATGTAAAATCTGTGAAATGTAGCTGTAAAACTTCTTGTTATGGAAAAGAAAAATGTTAAAAGAGCAAAGCAAAATATTTGCATCATGTAATAAAGGAATGTGTCACTGGCTAACTTTCCTGATTTCTGAGTTGATTCTCTTTCCAATAACAATTCCAAATGTCATGCCAAAGACAGGGAAAGGGGGAAATATGGAAAAGACAAAATAAGCAAATGTAACACTTAGAAATAAAGTCACAAAAATATTTATTTTCCTTGAATTCGCAATATAAAAATGACACGTAAGTTCTGAATGCCCTTTTTTTGCATTTTTTTCCAGTATAAGGTAAGAGAAATAAATCCCAAGTACAGTGAGTATAGTTTAAAACGGAAGCAATTGGTCATTCTGAAAAGGATAAAAGTAACATGGAAATGAATGTGGTAGAGAAGAGAAAGAGAAAATGAAAATATACAAGATTCAATGCTGTGTTCTTCTGCCAGTTGTCAAATTAAGGATTTTAATGTTATGTGTATTTACAGATATAGAATATTATCCTCTGGTTTCACAGTCTGTGCACTAGTTACTCATTCCTGGCTCTTTATTTTGCTTTTTTAAATATAAACTTCCTTAAGAATGCCTTTATGGTTCCAGGATGTGGCTACTATTATATAATTCTAGCACTGAGAACATCTTAGCACTTTATCAAATAATATCCTTTAGTTTTCAAGCAGATGCATAATTTTTTAAAAAAAATCTATAAGCATTTACTTTATATTTTAAAAGACTTTTTAGAATGAATACTCATGTAACAAACACTACATAACACATATTGTGTATCAGGCACTGTTCTAAGTATTTTATCAGTAATTCATTTAATCTTAATAATAATAATCCTATGAGGCAGGTACAATCATTATCTCCAATTTTCAGATGAGATCATTTGGGTATAGAGAAGTCATTTGAAAAGTCACCAGCTAATAAGTGGAGTGCTTTAGAATGGAACCCGGATAATCTGGCCCGGAGCCCATACTCTTTTTTTTTTTTTTTTTTTTTTTTTTAGGAGACGGAGTCTTCCTCTTTCACCCAGGCTGGAGTGCAGTGGCATGATCTCGGCTCTCTGCAACCTCCGACTTCCAGGTTCACGCTATTCTCCTGCCTCAGCCTCCTGAGTAGCTGGGACTACAGGTGCCGGCCAGCATGCCCAGCTAATTTTTTGTATTTTTAGTAGAGAAGGGATTTCACCCTGTTAGCCAGGACGGTCTCAATCTCCTGACCTCGTGATCCGCCCCCCTCGGCCTCCCAAAGTGCTGGGATTACAGGTGTGAGCCACCGTGCCCAGCCCCAGAGCCCATACTCTTGAACTCCATGCCATGCTGCCATTGAAGTCTTTTTGAGATCAGTGTACGACTCTTTTAATCAGGAGATTTTCCTTGGAACTGAAGTTCTTCTTGCCTCTTATTGAAACCTCATGGTCAAAGGCAGTTGAGTCACTGGATTCCAATCATGCTGCAAACTATAAAACACCAGCTTTCTTCCAAACAGGCTAAACTCTGCAGTTTCCTATCTCCAACTCCTCAAAAATGTCTGAGAAGAAAGGTTATAACACTCTTAATGTTGTGACAATCCCAACCTTCAAAGCTCAAGTTGATTCATTTGATATATTTTATTGAGTATCTACAATGGACACAAATCATATACAATATGATTGGTGGTGCAATATAATACTTTTAATATAGTGGTGAATTAAACAGACATAATGATCTTTACCTTCACAGCATTTTAGACAGGTCGGAAAAATATATTATAAAAGTAATCATGACAATGAATATATAATATTTATCTTAATTTTTAAAAGAATAATATAAACAATAATAATTTCGACTTTAGAGTTCAACATATCTTTAACCCCAACTCTTCTAATTATTAGTTTTTAGAACAAAAATTACCTTCTTAAACATTCAAGTTCTAAGTTTTTTCATATGTTAAAAGGGTTTTAAGGATTAAATAAGGTAAAATATAAACTACTTAGCCAATTGTTTGGCACATAGTATATATATACAATTAATAATATCCTTAATCATGATTGCTAATAATATTTAAATTTTATACTAGTTTTTTTATGTAAGTTTATCTTTGCACTAGCATTCTTTTCAGACTGAGATCTATTCTTTAGAACACAGTAATAGGCTTTGTTTTCAGCAAATAAAGATTTCTCATTATAGAACAATAACAAGTTTATTGAATTCTTCATTCAAAATTCTCATGAATATATGAAGTTAGACTCTTGGAAAAAAGGCCAAACATGTGGACCCTACATGTCTACTCTTCCCTGCCTATGATGTCATGAAAACCATCTGCTAGCTTTCTCTGCAACAAAGCAGTAAATATTTTGCTATAGGTAACAAAACTGTGTCAGTCCAGATAGCACCTAAAACAATTCATAAGATATGGCTTTGTTCTATAGAGATGTGGTAAACCTAGGCCTACGGTTGCCATCAATATATAGCAAGAGGAATAAGAAAAGAATATTATGAAGTTTAAAAGAACCCATACACAACTGGAATGCAAGTAAGATGTTTGCTACTGTCCTGCAAATGAGTGGTTTCTTTTCTCAGTCTGACAAGGGAAATCTGACCAGTGAATATGAAGTTTGAATAAATAAATTATTTTAAAGTAGCAAAATGCCTCCATAACATGTTAGCAAATGCTAGATAATGAGCCACACTGCGACTAAGAGCCTGACCCCTACCACTTAGCAGCTGTGTACACTTGGGCAATCACTCACCCATTCCTTTAAGGGGCAGTTTCATCACTAGTAAATAGGTAGAATATCCCTAACCCACAGGCTGTTTCAAGAATGAAGTTTCAACTGTGTGCTGGTGCCATGCTAGGCAACGAAGTTGCAGTGGTGAGTAGGACCACACTGCTATCCATGCAAAGAGAATTTACTGTCTAAATGCTTAGTTAGAAAAGAGAGATATTGCTTCTTGTCTCATAAAAACACTGATAGTAAGCTACATGCGTCCACCAGAATAATAAATGAAGATGCCACCAAGATCACAGTAGTATATACAGAAAGCAACAGGATTCAATAAGACATCAATAATATTTCTTGCACACTAGGAATTGGGTAAGTCATTATACAGATAAAAGAAACAGAGAAAATTGTGCATCAGTTTTGACAGATACACCTGTATTTCACAAATTGTGGAAAAAAGTTATCCAACTGTAGATGACTTAGATGCTCCTGAAAATGGTAAAAATTATCCTGTTTACACTTTGAGCATCACACTGTATGCTGCTTACAATGAAAAGAAGCTATTGGTAACGTGTCAGCCTACAGCTCACTAGAGTAAAAAAATAAACCAAACAGTAACTGTGCCAGACTGTTCTAGTACAGCATCTGAGATTAGAATATTGTGGGTTAATAACCTTGAAAAGCAGTTATTTCCCCATTTAGCTAATCTGAACAGTGGGTATATGTATTCTGCTGTTTAAAGACAGCTTTAGTCAGCTTAATAATTTGGAATGTTCTTTTTTTGAGCATGGTTCAACTTAGGCAAACACATTCCTATTAAAATAGTAAGATTTCTGAATATTACCTGGAATGTGTGTGGGGTATATGTGTGTATGCACTGTGTGTGCATGTATAATGTTTTAGGGTGACCAGAAATTGCATGTGGTACTCTGTCTAGATCTGCTTTTAACAATCTATCCAGAGATGGTGACTGTCATGAAGTGATCATTGAATTGAGATTTGGGAGGATGTATAGGTTAGTTAGTCAAGGAGGGAAAAAAATGTAGTGAACACGACAAATGAGTACATGCAAATTCTCTGTTTTCAGACTGGCATGGAGAACAGAAACTAAGGAGGAAAAGGTCAGTGAATGGAAACTGGTGAAGTGAGAAGGGATTTGGTCAGAGAGGAGCCTCCCTGCTGCTGAGTCTATTTCATTGAGGCTTTGTAGGCCATGTAAGGAGCTGATCTTTACCCAAAAAGAATGTGAAATCATCAACACATTTTAGGCAGAATTATGGCGTGGTCAAATTTGTATTTCAGAAAGAATTATCTGGTTACAGCATGGAACATTACAGTATAGGCAAGAGTAGATTGGAGCAGTTAGGAAACACATCTAGTAGAAAAGCAAATTTAACATAGGCATATTACCATCCTACCACCTCTAATTTAAAAGGCAGAAACATTATAACTTAAAAATAAGAAGCATTCATAAGAGATATATACCCTTATTCTTTAAAAGAAGTCATTATGATAGAAAACATAAATGTGACATCAAAATTCAAGATTCTGATAATTTCGTGACATTTACATTTGGCCTTGCACAGAAAAAATGAGAGAGAATAGAAAAAGAACGTGAATATATTAAATATAGCTCCAAGCAAATATTGATAAGGCTTAATGGCAAAACAATAAGGGACTGGAGGAAACAAGTCTTGAATAAGATTAAAGAAGGTAACACAGAGGCTAAGAGAAAAATGATTAAGTCTAGGAGTGATAATTGTCTTTATGGAATTAAAGAGCTTAAGAGCTTGTGGAAAAACATAGCTAAACTAAAACATATTGATTCAGGTTCTTGGGTAAGGAACTCTCCTTTGGTCCAGGTGGGGCAAACTAACCACTTCCCAAGGGTGCAATAATGTGGCCAGAGAAACAGCAAATTCATTTTGATCATGAATAATTTATTGACCTGTTTCTAGCTATCGCACACTCACTGATGCCAACAACACTGAAGAATGCACAAAACTTCATAAAGTGCTGAATTTACTCCCACCTCCTCACTGTTTGTGAAATACTACCAAGCTCCCACTTTCCTAGGGTCTTACACCTGCTCTACCCTCCACCTGAAGACTTTCCCAGATCTTCGCAGAGATGTCAGTCAAATCTCAGGTTCAAAGGCACCGCTTCAGAAAGACCTTCTTTCATTATCTAGTTTAAACCAACTTATACCAGCTTAATAGGAATGATCCCTAGGTGGCCCTTCATTATCTCTTCATTGATTTTGCTGTCTGTCATCTCCCTAGATTAGACTGTTGCTCTCATAAGGGCAAAACTTGGTCTTATTCACCTCTCTATCTCTAGCACCAAATGCCTGGCAAATATGGGAGTTCAGTAAGTACTGGATGGATGAAAGACTGAATGAATAAAAGGATGAATCCATTTGGGAGCAAGTGCCAAGGAGTCATCTTTATGATCATCTTTGGAATTTTCAATACAAAATACGTCCATTGCTGCTTTGAACTATTTGAACATAAGCTCTTCCCTAATCCTGTAACTTATTTTTCATAATGTGAACAACTCTACGGTATTTCTAATTGTAAGATCTAAAATTCCCTTTTGCCTTAGATTTCTTGCAATTGAAAATGCCATGGCTAATAGGCTAATACACTAGTGTACTCTATTAGCTACCTGAGGACAGAATATGGGTCTTAATTATCTTCCCATTTCCAAAGAACGAAAACATAGTCTCTTGTTAAGAATGCAGTTTGCCTTCCTGAAATATTTCTGAAAGTAGACTTGAAATTGATGAGATAGAAGTATTTCTATTACCAAACCTAAAACCTGGAAAAAGACTATAAAATCTATGCAAAAACAACAAAGTATACCATAATGACAGGAATACAAAAAACACAAAATTATGAATTGGAAATATGCAACAACTAATGTAAACCCCTGCACAGAGTAGGCACCCCAATATTTTTGGCATTGCTACATGTGCTTATACAAATGTAATGTGTTTCAAATAACAGTAGCAATATTACAGTAAAGCACAAAAACAATGAAAATTTTAACTAATTAATTGAAACAAGAATTCCCTGTATTGATAGCAACTGGTAAGATTATCTATATGAATGTTATTTATAATAGAAATATAAAAACATTATTTTCCCAATTCTATTAAATCATGCTACATTGCAGAAAATGTCTACCATATGATTTTACAGTCAGCACCTATCAAAAGAGTATTTTATCACAATGTGATTTTTAATAGCTAGAGATATGACTACCAAATGGAAATGTTACAAATACATGATCTCCACTTAACATGAAAGATGACTTTTCATAAGAGTGCTTCAAACATCACATGTGTATTAAATGGAAGAACTAAGATGCTTCCCCAACACACAATATCCTTACCCACATTCATCAATGTTCACTTTGATTTCCCCTTCCTCTCTCTGTGGTTTCTCTGAATCTATTTTTCAGATAACCTTATCACACATTTCCTGATTTCTACAGCTTAGCATAAAAATATCAGCCTTCTCTGCTCTGCGCGCTGGCTTTCTATTTATGCCAATGTTCATTCAAAATTACAAATCTTTAGCAGTTTTTCTCCAACCATAAATGAAAGCTTCCAATATACAAATCTTCTTCATTATATCTTGCGAGAAATTCTCTTTGGATACCTCATGTAATATGAGTAAATAATAAGAGCTACTATATATTAGACACTGTCTTTTCATTTAAATTTACAAAAGTGCAATGATTTTTTTGAGACAGGGTCTCACTCTATTGCCCAGGCTGGAGTGCAGTGGTGTAATCACAGCTCACTGCAGTCTCCAACTGCTGGGCTCAAGCAGTCCTCCTGCCTCAGCCTCCTGAGTACCTGGAACTACAGGCATGAGCCACCAACCTCACCCCATTAAACAATAGCACAATAAAGTAGGCATTTTTGCTTTCATTTTGGTAAGAGAAAACTGAAAATCAGCGAGTTAAAATGACTTGCCCGAGTTCACAAAAACTTTCCTTCCCCCTCCCCACAATCCTTAGGAAATGGAACTTTGGCCAAAATATAAGAATTTTTTTTTGATTGGAGCAGTATTTTTGGCTTTTCACAGGGTGATAGATTTAAAACATGTCCACAAACTCTTTGACAACTTCCCATTGAGAGATGAGGCTTATACCTCTCTCCTTGAATTCAGGCTGGTCTTAATGATATACTTGTAACCAATTATTCTAAGGTGTGATCAAACAAAGCTTTCTACTTCCTCTTGGTTCTGAAAAAGCCAGCAGTCATGCCTGAAGTTCAACTACCCTGAGACTGCTGTGATGGAGAGGTCACACATGTGTGCACCCTCAAGTCCACAGCTCCAGCTGAGCTCCCAGTTGGCAGCAGACGTCCACTACGAGCCATGTGGGAAAGCTGTGGTGAGCAGCCAGCCCAGGTGAACCTTCATATAACTGCAGCCCCAGCTAACAACTTGACTGCAATTGCATTTAAAACTTTTAGCAAGAACTGCCCTCTCTATATTCTTAATCCACAATATCGTGAGCAAAATAAATTATTGTTTTTGGCCACCAAATTTTGGGTAATTTTTTATGCACTAACAGTAACTAGAACAACAGGTAGATGTCTCATCAGCTTGGTTCAACGGAAACTTCAAAAACAAGGCAAGGCTCATTCTTTTGCACCCGGATCCCCTGCCCTTTCTGCCTACACCTGGGATCTGTCAATGACAGTGCTTCCAGGTCCAGGTGGTAAAAACACCAATCAGGTCTCTGTAGTCTCCCTTTCAACCTCGCTACCTATGATTGGTTAGAAATAATATTGAGTCCCAGGGTTTAAATTCAGGAAAAATAACATGTGAAGCCTCATAGAGTTCTCTAATCCAGCTGTAACTGGTTTATCAAAGACCCTCATTGGCCTGAAATATTTCCATTTTTTTTCTTCAAACACAGTTTTCCACACTATTTTTTGCCAAATTCTCCTTTCCCATGCCTTTATGCATTTGATTCTTCCATAAATCTCAAGTCACCTTCTGTCACTAAAACTCAGTTTGATTCAAAATATTTCCCCCTTCCCCCCATTTCTGGCCAGAACTATGGCTGGAAGGAGCTGAAATGAAAATAAAAGAGCGTTGTCTCTTTTTTGATTCCCCCTTCCTCTTTAGCACCTTGGAATTATCACATCTCTTCTAGCCTGGCCCCTCTACTGGGTCAGGTTCTGCACAGGTCTCAGGTACTTCCACCTTCATCCCACCTTCCTCCAGCTTCCTGGAGATCTCACTGCCTCTTGCTGCTTTTGTCACTGTAGCCTGTTACCAACCCCCTTAGATGAGGTACCAGCAACAGCTCAAGCCCAGCTGCTTAATACTGGGTCTGTTTTGGCTGAGTGTGGTGGCTCATCCTTGTAATCCGTGCACTTTGGGAGGCCAGGGCAGATGGATCACTTGAGGTCAGAAGTTTGAGACCAGCGTGACCAACATGGTTGAAACCCCATCTCTACTAAAAAGATAAAATTAGCTGGGCATAGTGGCGCATGCCTGTAATCCCAGCTACTTGGGAGGCTGAGGCAGGAGAATCGCTTGAACCCAGGAGGCAGAGGTTGCACTGAGCCAAGATCATACCATTGCACTCCAGCCTGGGCCACAAGAGCAGAACTCCATCTCATATATATATATAGAGAGAGAGAGTCTTTTTTATCTACAGAACATTCATGTACCCCACCTGGGCTGAAAGGCGAGAATGTAGGTGCTCCACTGACCCTCCCTACCATCTCTCTCCATTTTTCTCCTATCTGCCCAACATTGGCACAGAAACAGATTCGGAAGTTCATTACTGATTCAGTTAACTAAACAGGGAACATTTGCAAGTCTCCTTCTTTCACGTGCACCAGTCTGTACAAATGATTAAGTTGGAGCCCTTCACTTGACTTGAGATGAGAAAAGCGCTATAGAAGGAATCCCATCTGATCATAAATGATGCACATTCCACAATGCTAGAACATTTCAAAGAGCTACTCTCCTCCTTCCTGCCTCCAAAACTTTTTGTGCACAAGCCGAGCAGCTGGTTGATGGTTGGGGAAATTGAGTTTTTTCTTTCAACTCTTAAGAAGCTCCTGAGACAGGATTCTGACCATAATTTTTTGCTTCTCTCTTTAGTAAATGGTATACCAGGCTAATCTCTGCATGCAGCTGTGAACTCTAGTTACCAATTTGAGAGCAACAACAGCTACAACAAAATACAAAATCCCACTCAACACCCTTTAACATTCATAATTACTGGGGAAGTGTAAACAAAGCCAATATTTTGCCATCTGATTGAGCTCTGCCTTTAACCCTGTATTCTCGAATACTGGAAGAGAGGTAGAGTGAATTATTTCTTAAACCTAACTCCTAATAATTGAACTCAGGATTTGAACTCAAATCTAAATAATTCCGAAGATTCTTTATTAATTGTTTTCTGTATGCTAACAAGACTATAAGATGTATAGCTGCCTCAAAGTTAATTCTTATTCAGTTTTGCAAGATATATTTATGGCATGTGCAATAATATTGAGGGAAAGAAGAAACCTGTATTAACTGAAGTAGGAAATCTAATCCAAAATGTGTACTGAGAGCATAAGCTAGTCATTATTTTATTTTATTTTATTTTATTTTACTTTATTTTATTTTTTTTAGATGGGGTCCCGCTCTGTCACCCAGGCTGGACTGCAGTGGCGCAATCTCAGCTCACTGCAGCCTCTGCCTCCCAGGTTCAAGTGATTCTGCTGCCTCGGCCTCCCAAGTAGCTGGGATTACAGGTGCCCACCACTGTGCCTGGGTAATTTTTGTATTTTTTAGTAGAGACAGGATTTCACCATGTTAGCCAGACTGCTCTCAAACTCGTGACCTCAAATAATCTGCCCATCTCAGCCTCCCAAAGTGCTGGGATTATAGGAGTGAGCCACTGTGCCTGGCCTAGTCATCATTTTCAATACATTTTCTTCATCACTGCCATAATATCTAAAACACTTTATTATTCCAAATTATTTTACCCACAGTTTGATGTAAATATACTACAGAGTTTTAGAAATCTACTTTCATTTTTATGTAAAGGATTGTATCTATTGAACATGTGTCGGGGCAAAACACATTTGAAGCAAGAATAAACAGAGAATGCGATAATGACAACAAATGTGAAGTAAATAAATTAGCAGCTGTGAAATGAAACCAAAGCATGGTTTTTCATAGGAAAGAATCATTTTAGAATTGATCATCAACACAAAGCTGATCAAACTCATTGCTAAAAATGACGATATCAAGGCAAATGCATTTCTATGGTAATTGTTACATTTTCTCCTTCAAGAAAATGCTTCTTAATTTGCTTTATATTTTGGAAATAGTTCACATTTTAAATCTATTTTCTTAAGAAAACACATCTTGAGTCTTAGGGAGAATATTTGTTGCCCAAAAACTGTATAATCTTTCACATTTTTCTTGAGCTTCATGCAACAATTTAGTGGAGAGCATCAATGAGAACCTAGCCTCACGTTTGAAATACACACACGGTTTAATTAGGTGTTAATTTTAAAATCGGTAAAGATAATGAGATATAATGTATAAGGCAATTTTACATCCTCAAAAAAGGAATTTTACAGATTTTGCTTTTGGTTTTAGTTTTTGACTAATAAAATAACATAAAATCAAAAATCCTCGTAATTTTAAGAGAACAGCTACTAGAAAACTTCTTAATACTAACATTTCAAAGGAAGTGAATGCAGTATTATGAAGTAAAATATAAATGTAAAATAGAGGAAAATGAATAATTCCACCCCACCCCAAGGCCTAAATCACCTTATGGTGGTTAATTAGGATCTTATGCAGAGGAAGTTGCTATGAGGGCAAGGAAACAAATTCTCATTAAATTCTGTGCCCACAGGTCACCAGGGAAATGATGGTGAGACTCTTCATCTTAGCATAATTTTGAACAGAAGTCTTGCTTCCAAGTAAAGCTGCTTAACAAAAATGACATGGCTTATTTGTTGAATTTTTCAATAGGCATTTATTTAAATCCTATGGTGTACTGTGAAAGAGCACAAAGTAAATAGAGCGTAGGGTCCCTACTACTGTGAAATAGGAAATACATACTGCAAAAAACAGATAAATGCAAGATTTATCAATATAGATTCATCAACATAAAAAATAATAAGGACAAATTATGCAGGTAAATGTTATGGAGGTGCTGACACGTGATTTGTGATCAGCCAGCTTCCTGCAGACTTGATTCCTAGTATTTCAAGTAAGGGGAGGGTGAAATGATTTCCTGCACCCTCAGATAATTAGGAAATCTCTCCAGCTCTTATTAACTATTGTTGTAATATCACAACATGAAGTGTAAATAATTGCATCTTAAAGTGCCCTCCACTGAACATTGGAAGTGCTGCCTTGCTAATCTGGAGAGCATCCATCCTCAACCACAATAAATTTAAGAATCTACAGTGTGCTAACATTTCTCAGGACAATGCCATTTGCTCTTGCTTTATTTGCTCAAAATGAAATGCAAGTTTTATTTCAACTTTAACCCTTTGATGCAGGAAAACCACACAATCACTATCAGACATATTGCAAAGTAAGCCTCTGTCCTGTTGTTGCTAGCACCAAAACTGGAGCTTCACGTTTTCACAGAAGAGAAAGAGCAGCCGCAGAGCAAACTTGTACCTCAGGAAAGGAGTCAGTTTGCTCATAATTTTTATTAATTCCAAAGAAACTTAAATCTAAGTAAGAACATGATGCCTGTTGTGCAGCCAGACCTTCAAAATGAGTCCCCAGCCCCCTTCTAACCAGGTTGCTTCCAATGCATCCTTCCCATGTAGAAATTGTATCGCTTTCCTTGTTAAAGAAATGTCTCCATTTGTCGCTCGCTGGTGCATCACTGCAGGTCCCCATCAGAGCCACTTGTAGGTCTTTAGACCTACAAGTTTAGACCAAGTTCCTTTAGGAACAGAGGCTTAAGCTGAGCTGACTACTCTTGTTGCTGCCACAGCTATAGGACCAAGTCCTGAATAAGTTACCAAATCCTTCAAAGTGCAAGAAAGATGGATCCTTCTCCTGGTATACATGCTTAACTGAGGATACTGTACAACAAAATTGGCCATGCTACTAACCTCACCATATTTTACAAATCTTCTGAGAGCTGCCCCCAATAATACCATCTGTCCCTAGTGGGTTAGCCACACAGACTAAGAACCACCACTGGCTTCAAAGCCCCAACCATCCATTTCTTTCTCTGTGCATGGGATGGTTTGTTTATTAGACGGCTTGTTATTTTTGGTGGAAGTTCAAAAGGTTTCCAGAATTTGAATACTGAGGAGAAATCTCTCCCATCCCAGAGACTCCGAGGTTGATTATCCCAATTTACTACCTCACTCTCCATTCCACTCCCACCTTACAAAAACCATCGAGTTTTAAAAACCTTGAAATTCCACCTTATTAAACTCCCTGCTTCACTGTAAATACAAATTCTGACATCTCCCACCCATTCCCCACATCTCCCACCCATAGGTTTTGAATGAATATGAGGATCACAGATCATTGAATAGAATTCTAGTAACATTTCAGGTGCAGTCCTACCCCTTCTCTTTACATATCATCCCCCATTGGAACTGCAGAATCAGATCAAACAGTGTTGGAATTTCAGCTCAGAAATTTAGTGCATTTTTTGACTAAAAGGTTAGTGTGAACTTCAGTTTTTCACTTGCAAACTAAGAATAATAAGACAGCACAATTATTTGAGTTACAGTGATCAGTAAGAGATATGAAAATATTATAGCAAATATTCATTGAGTGATATTATAGAAATGTTATAGCAAATTGAACATTTAGTCTGTGCACTCTAAGCACTTAACCACTATCTTCTGATTTAATCATATAAAAACCTATCAGGCAAGTATTTCCATTTTATAGATAAGGTAGTTGAGACACAGAAATGTTGAGAAATTTGGCTAAGTTCATGCAGCTAGCAAATAATGGAAGCAAGAATGTGAACCTTAGCAGTTTGTCTCTGGAACCCTCTCTCTTAGCTACCCGTTAATTAAATAACATATCCTATGAAAATAAGAAATAAACACAGCACTTGGCACACGGCCAATAAGCCTAGTAAATGGTTGTTGCCTTAGCAGTAGTAGTGTGGGAGTAGTAGTGCACATTAGACAGGTTTGATGTCCCAGTGACGTGATGTAACATCATTATTCGCAAATTTACAAAAATTACTACTTCAGAGGGCTGTGGCTCTCCTGTAGTTCTTTCCTAGTGTTCAAAATAAAGGCACTTCAAAGTGGTCTCTATGACTGACCAGGAAGCAATGACTGGAAAGGAATGTTTACACAGTGTTGTAGATGTCTAATTCACTAAGTACGCTGGTATTTTACGCAAACAGTCCATTGCGAAAGAGACAGAAGGTCTTTGTTGTCCAGAATGACACATTTCTCCTACAACTCTAAGACTATTTTATTAGTCAGATGTCCTTTGTTAAAAGACCAAGGATCATTCATTCTAAGAGTTAGATTGTGAGTATTGACTTCTAGCTTCCGAAATATTTCCAAATTCTGAATATGTCAAAGACAGGAAGTGAGAATTTACTTCTTCAATCTTTGGGTTTGGAACACAGTAGGTCCACAATATATATCTGTACCATGTATAAATGATACAGACCAGGGGCATTTTGTTAATTTGGCAGTCCTCTGCTATTTCTTAAAGAGGCGAATTCCCAGCAAGTATTCTCATTGTTGTTCCTTCAGAGTATGGCTTTCAAAACTAATTCTACCATTCTGTTATATGTTTATTAAAAAAAACTACATACTCCTATTCCTACTGAGTTATTATTTCTACTGGAATACAGAATAGAGGATCTATAAATTCTTCTTTAAAATAAGTCCCTAAGTGTAGGGAAGAAAGCAATAAAGGCAGGGGTTATGAACAATATCATTTACTGTGTGGGCTTGCTTTAAAAGTGCGTAGAGAAATAATTCATATCTCCTATTCATGTGACAGTGAGTTTAGTGTTATTTGAATAGAGTACATAAAAAGACTCCTTCAACTCATTTAACTACTAATTGGTTATCCTTACAGTAAAGTCTAAATGACAGAGTCAGAGCAAAGTACCCAAGGGACAAAGAAATGTCAAACAAAAAACTCCAAGGCATTTCTGCAAGTCTAAGACTGTGATAGTGCAGTCCATCAATACTATCCGTCTTAGATAAGCAGATCACTGGAAAGAAACACACAAGGAAAGGTCATTCTTTTAAAATCAACATTAGCATTTTGCACTACTACTATCTGGCACAGCACATGAATATATTCAAAAGGCATAGCTTATACAATTGTTTGTAGATAAGAACAGTGCAAAAATATGTGGCATAATTAAAATCATTCTTTCAACATTCCCTAGGCCAATATAGATGTGGTGAATGTTCTCTGAGTTCGAAGAGCTATAAAAATCTAAAAGTAAGATATGCAAAAGCAAATACATGCACAAATCAAAAATTTAATATAATTCATGTCTTTGGGAAAAGTCACTCTACATCAATTATGTGAATAAATCAAAGCTAGATGCAGACGCAGATACAGAGATACGTGAATGATTTGGAGCAGTGACAAATGCAAATGGAAATGAGGGATATTTTATGATGTCTTATGCACCACATCTCATCACTGTAAGTTTCCAGTAACAAATGAACATTTCATTTCCCTCACATTATTCTTTCTTAAAAGAAAACATGACAAATAAGAAACGTGTCACAAGGATACAAAGAAACAGTTGACAAAATTCAGAACCATCAGGTACAAATGAGAAATTTTTCAGTTAAATGTTCAGCAAGCACTTTGGCTTTTTTTTTTCTTTTTCCGGATTAACTACTCTAAGAGCTGCAACTCTTAATGTACCTATACCACCCTGGGGATGAGATTGAATTAGCTCTTACAACTGGCAAGGAGTTCACTTGCTAAATCACCAGCAGTCTCGGGGCACTTGAGTGGACAGAAGTTGGGGTCAATGAGTCGGCCTTGCCTGCGATGGAGCTTCAGTGCTGGCACATCTGGATTTCAGTTGAGTGCAACTTATTTAGCAGAGAAATCTTCAGAAGAATCTACTCTCCAAATTTCCCTCACTTTGCATAGCACTTGAAGTGGTCTTCATGTTTCAAGGCGATTCTGAATACTTTAGGGAAGGATCCTCTTGAAATAGCTAAACAAGGTCATTAGGAAGCTGTCATTAAGGATTAATACCTAATTGTAGTTCACCTGATAGTTGAATGGGAGGAAGGAAACTCCAGAAACCCTAGTGGGGCCAAACTCACAGGTGTGTTTTGATTAGTTTGCACAGTGATGTCTTTGAAGGCTTGAATGAACTCCCATGTCTTAAACATTATGAGTTTTAACATTAATATGCTGATTTCTGTCCTTTCTTCCAAAACTTAGAAAGTCTGACAAGACTAGTTCTGCTTTGGCACACAGCAAAATTCTTCCAGAGTTGAGCAAGGCTTTCCTGCTTTAAAACAATCCTGTTTTTCAGTGTACCAGGCCTTACCACTCCCTGTTGTCTTATACCTCTCCTGATACCTCATCCCTTAGCATTTAAATGTGTGAATCCTGCCCTGTGAGTACTGTGTAGATCTAGGCTTAAACGTGTGAATCCTGCCCTGTAAGTACTGTGTAGATCTAGGCTTAAACGTGTGAATCCTGCCCTGTGAGTACTGTGTAGATCTAGGCTTAAACGTGTGAATCCTGCCCTGTGAGTACTGTGTAGATCTGGGCTTAAACGTGTGAATCCTGCCCTGTGAGTACTGTGTAGATCTGGGCTTAAACGTGTGAATCCTGCCCTGTGAGTACTGTGTAGATCTAGGCTTAAACGTGTGAATCCTGCCCTGTGAGTACTGTGTAGATCTAGGCTTAAACGTGTGAATCCTGCCCTGTGAGTACTGTGTAGATCTAGGCTTAAACGTGTGAATCCTGCCCTGTGAGTACTGTGTAGATCTAGGCTTAAACGTGTGAATCCTGCCCTGTGAGTACTGTGTAGATCTAGGCTTAAACGTGTGAATCCTGCCCTGTGAGTACTGTGTAGATCTAGGCTTAAACGTGTGAATCCTGCCCTGTGAGTACTGTGTAGATCTAGGCTTAAACGTGTGAATCCTGCCCTGTGAGTACTGTGTAGATCTAGGCTTAAACGTGTGAATCCTGCCCTGTGAGTACTGTGTAGATCTAGGCTTAAACGTGTGAATCCTGCCCTGTGAGTACTGTGTAGATCTGGGCTTAAATATACTCAAGCTGCTAAAAATTCCCAAACTCGATTATTGACTAAAGGAAGTTATTAAGAACATATATTGTTCAATTTCTTTCCAGTAAAACATTGAAGATTGAATTATAATCAGTAACAATTGTACTTCCCAATTATTATCTTTTTATTCAAAATTTATTTCTCTTTATAAATACTGAGGAGAGGATTTTGAGAGCTGGTTGTTAAGTCTGTGGCTTATGTTTCTAAATACTCATTCTATCTTTGTGTTTCAAATCTGACAGTTACATTAATAATCAAAGAGCCATATAGTTTTTAAAGCTGGAATGTTTCAATAATATCATTCAGCTCTAATTCATATATTTTACAAGTAAGATCTTAGCTCAATGAGTTTGTGACTTTTTGAGGCCAAACAGGTAGTGAATATAAAATTTAAAGATAGAATATGATTTCTTAACCTCAGCCCAATGCTTACTTTTAAGTAGCAACTGGCCTTATTTTCTTCCACGATGCTTCATAATAGAAAAAATAATATTATTTTCTGAATTTGAGAAGGCTCTCTCTCCCTCCTTCCTTCCTTTATTTTTCTCTTCTCCTCTTTCCTTCTTTCTTCCTTCCCTCTCTTCTTCCCTCCCTCTATTTTGCTCTTCTTCCTTCTTTTTTAAAAAAGACCAAGTACTTTACTTGGAGGTAAAAAAAATAAATTAGTAAACATGATGCTAAACAGATCAGGGGCTGGCTTCACTAAGTAATTTTTATGTAACTTTGATTACACTTGGGTTACACAGTCTTGGCTCTTCTTTTTGTGCAATGATCAAGGGTAAAGCCATAGGGTGTGCCCTTCTGACTAGCTGAGAGGCAGAAGTAGTGACTAGTGATGTTATTATAAGGTTTAACAGCTTAGGTCATCATTCAGAAGAATCTCATTTATGTCTGCAAAAAATCAAGTAGAATCAATTTAATAAACAATAAATAAGGCCGACGGAATGGCTTCTCAAACTGTCCAAAAAAAACCAGGCTAATTTCTGACAATCTGGTGGTTACAGAGCTGCTGACGCCTTGTGGAAAAGTCTGAGAAAAAATAATCTCATTTAAAAACCATTTGGCTTCCTTAATCTTATTTGTTTCTTATTGCTCTCCTCCCTTATTTTGTTAGTAATGAAGTTTATAGGGAAATAAGAGTTTCTCCTTCCAAGGAAGGTTTTTATGTAGACTTTTTCTTTCCACCTTTAACTTCAAAGATTAGCATTTTGAACAAATTTCCCAAACTACACCCCAGCTGTGTCAATTTGGTAGCTTTTTGAAATGCTCTACCTGGGTCTTGTTTGGTAAGCTATGGCAGTCTGCAAGTGCCTGTGCCTGTGTGAATCTGCTGTCGTGCTGGTATCGGAATGTTATTTAGGACCTGGGAGTGAATCCTCAACCATGACATCATCATAGTCGAAACAAGGTTTGAATAAGGCCCTTTTACCTCTGTAAATAATAAACCTACATTATAGCAAATTTTATGTCTTAATAGATAGTGATCTCCAGTTGGCCAGTAATATGCAGTTGACTTAAAATATACAGTCAGCATAATTATATTCTAATGCCTTGATACAGACTTATGTTTTCCTTTAAGAATGTAAAGGAAGATGGCCATTTTTTGATTTTTCAAACATTTATTTATTTATTTATTTGAGACAGAGTTTCACTCTGTCACCCAGTCTGGAGTGCAGTGGCACCATCTCGACTCACTGCAACCTCCACCTCCTGGGTTCAAGTGATTCTCTTGCCTCAGCCTCCTGAGTAACTGGCATTACAGGTCCGCGCCACCACACCCAGCTAATTTTGTATTTTTAGTAGAGACAGGGTTTCATCATGCTGGCCAGGCTGGTCTTGAACTCCTGATCTGGAGTGATAGGCCTGCCTCGGCCTCCTAGAGTGCTGGGATTGCAAGCATGAGCCACCATGCCCAGCTGATATTTCAAAAATTTACTCATTACACTTTATTTTCAGTGTTTAGTGCACTGAGATTGTGTGCACTTTCAGTCTTGCTAAAATTTTAGAACACAGATGAAACACTAGAAAAGTAAGTTAAACGGGCCCCATGACCAGAAATTCTAATTCTGTAGGCCCAGCTTGGGACCCAAAAATCTGAATATGCAATCACATCCCAAGTTAGCCTTTTACTTATTATTCAATTGTTCATTTAATAAACTCGTTGTGACAAATAGCAGTGGTAAAAAAACAAAGTACCTCCTTTCATGAAGCCTTGTAATACATAAATAAAAAGATATAAAATGCTTGGAAGTAATAAGAGCTATGAAAAAAATAATAAAGCAGGGTAAAGCAGATAGCAAGGAATGGTGGATGAGATAACAAGCAATGGGACATACAGGAAAGGCCTCCCTGATAAGATGATGCTGAAAAGTGGCTCAAGGACCAAACTTTGAAAAAATACTTTTTTAAAAACAGGCTAAGGAAAAATAAAATTGATGCCTAGCTTCTCAGCTTGAACTTGGGGTCAGACACTTCATATATTTTCAAATTTCCAGTTTCTCTTTATGTTTAACTGTTCGTATTTCTCTGCAATTCCTATCTCCTGCCCCACCCCCACTATATCACACACACACACACGCATGCACACACACACACAAGCACGCACACACACAAGCACACACACGCACGTGTGCACACACACACTACAGATACACATACTTTTATTAGAAAGACATTTGCAGGCCAGGCATTGTGGCTCAAGCCTGTAATCCCAGCATTTTTGGAGGCTGAAATGGGCAGATCACTTGAGCCCAGGAGTTCAAAGCCAGCCTGAAATGTGGTGAAATTCTCTCTCTAAAAAAAAGACATGCATGGTGGCATGTGCCTGTAATGCCAGTTACCCAGGATGCTGAGGTGGGAGGACCACCTGAGCCCAGGAAGTCGAGGCTGCAATGAGCCGTGATCAAGCCACTGCACTCCAGCCTGGGTGACAAAGGGAGAATGTCTCAGAAAAAAAAAAAAAAAAAGATGTTGCCATACGTTTAAAATAAAGGTGTGTGATAATTGTAGTACCTTCTTTATAAAAAAAAAAAGGGGACTTAGTTAATAACAATGTGATGAAATTGCCAAAAAGTTAGTAACCTTAGGGTATGGATAAAGAAGTATGATATCTAGAACAAGAGATGCAATTGTCTCACTTTCGTTTGTCCCACTGAAGCAACACCTGGAAAATTGTATCCAAGTGTAAATGCTTCTATTTAAAACTGATTCAGACAAGCTGAGCTTATTCAGAGGCAAGGTCCGAAGATGGAAAAAGGGACTGACATTATCTCATGGACGGAAAAGTTGAAGGAGCTGGAAATGTTTTCTTGAAGAAAAAAATGGCTCAAGTAAGACATGAAATCTATCTTCAAACATGTGAAAGTAATAGAACAGGGTTTCGATTTTAATTTCCATGGTTCCACAGGGGAGAACTGGGGAAAACAAATGAAAATTCTTGAGAGAGAGATTTGAGGCTCCTACAAACATGACTCCAAGCTTGGACTTGAAAGCCCCAAGAGGGAGAGATGTGGAAGTAGATGTTGGCCACAGATTGCAATGGCAATACCCTTCAGTATCCCAAGAGTGGTTGAAGTGAAGGACATCTGAGGTCTTGTTGCCTGAAACAACCTATAACACATGACTCATAATTCTATGATTCATAATAATATGATTGATTTCCCCAAGACACAATATTCTCTCTTAATCTGAGAGGCCTTTCAAACCAGAGGTCATGTTGCTTCTGCCTGGACAGACAGCCATGGGGGAGCAAGTGAACGTTTTAAATTGATGCAGTTGGCCATTAAAAGGGCCCTGCAGGTGTTTTCAAGGTTTGCTCCCTCCTTTGGAGACTGTCCTCTTTCAGCCTTCCTGCGTCACCTCCCATGTGGTCCCACAGTTATGCAAACACATCCAATCCACCGAACATGCTGCCTCTTCCGGAGCCATTCAAGCTGCAATCTCCAGATTCCATCTTCTCCTTCAAGATGAGACAATGTTAACAAAACAAATAAATTCAATGATTTCTTCGCCTATTTAAGTGACATGATTATGATTTTTTTCATATCTGTACGCTACTTGCACTTATTTGTAATTGGCTTACTTTTCTATTTAAATTAAAATATCTTAATATGTTCTCCACTGCTATAAACAGGAAATCAACACTACTTTACATAAAAAATACATGAATTGAAATAAAAACAATTTTAAATAGACCTGTGGCAAGCTGAATCTCTGATTTTGAGGTTTGCTGTCTCTTTATGAAAAAGAGAGCCAGGCACAGTGGCTCACACTTGTAATCCCAGCACTTAGGGAGGCCGAGGCAGTAGATCACCTGAGGTTAGGAATTTGAGACCAGCCTGGTCAGCATGGTGAAACCCCATCTCTACTAAAAATGCAAAATTAGCCAGGCATGGTGGCAGGCACCTGTAATCCCAGCTACTTGGGAGGCTGAGGCAGGGGAATTGCTTGAACCCGGGAGGCGGAGGTTGCAGTGAGCCGAGGTGGTGCCACTGCACTCCAGCCTGGACTACAGAGAGAGACTCTGTCTCACAAAAAAAAAAAAAAAAGAAGAAGAAAAGAAGAAAAGGAGATGGTGTTAAAAATTAGTTATAAAATCATGATAGCACAAAACCAGCCTTTGACTCTACCTGAAATATTGAAAGAATTAAGGGAAAGAGAACTAAATTTTTTTTAAATGCTTTATGTAAGTTTATTATTTAATTATATCTTAGATTACGTATGATCATTTGATATCCCTTCAGTATTTTCCATCCCATAATCTGGTATATACTGAACTAAACAAAGCTAATGCCTCCATATTTGAGGTGACATGAAGCCATACCACTAAAGATACACAGGTGGACAAAACTTTAAGGAATAACTAATTAGAGAATGTGAGACACCATGGAAAATCCATGGAGGAGGCATCTTTAATCCTTACATATTAGGTATCCCCTTGAATGGGAATTTCCATGGAAAGGCAACCACAGAAATACACAGACTCGTGTCTTTGCTCCTAAGCAGCCCACTTTTGCCCAGATTCCAAGGCTGGTAAAATAATGTTGTCTGATTCAAATCATGCCATCACTCAGTCATCCAAAAACATATTTAGCAACTACTGCATGCTGAGCAAGCTCCCAGGCGCCAGAAATACAATACCAAAAAGATACATATGAATCCTCCCCTCGTTCCCAAATTTTCATGGGAATTTTATGGGCCAGGATGACTAATACAATTCTCTAAGCCAGAGTTTCTCAACCTCAGCATGATTCCATTTGGGGCAAGATAATTCTTTTTGGGCATTCAGTTGTCCTGAGTGTTGCAGAACATGTAGCAGCATCTTTGGCCTCTACTGACCAGGTGCAAGTCTCTCCCTCATTAGCGTTAACAGCTAAAAATATTTCCAAATGTTACCAAATGCTCCTGAAGGGCGAAATCACTCCTGGTTGAAAACCACTACTCTAAGGCCTTTTTCTCTGGTCCAAACCAAAGGTACTGAGTTGTACAACTCTAGATAATTCTATTCATATTTATTCTGTGTTAAGTTACCACTTAGAGTGGTGCAATAGCTGTACATCACTCAAAAGGAGGAGCTCTGCTTTACCATGCTATAAGTAAAAATTGCATGCTATGGTAATATACAATAATTTGGAGATTTCATGAAGTGCCAGAATACAGACTACCTATCAAAGTCATACTATATTTTTAAATTTCATTTATCAGTATTGTTTCACTTTCATGTTTCATCTCTTTGTCAGGCACACTTATGCATACACAGAAGCATGAAACCTCCTTACTTCGCTTAGAATATGTTTAGCTCTAAGCAGAACTCAAAGTGAGGAACTAAAGGCATTATTGATAGATGCTGTAGATAATTATAGGTAACTCACTATTCTTTGGGGAATGGGAGCATGAATCCCAGGAATTTTAGAAAGTTGAAAGTGTGGAAGTAGGCAAGGTAAGAAATATCCTCAATCCACAGACACCTTCCTTTTAGATAGTGTAAAAAACCGATGGTTCACAACCCTAGTTGTCTTACAGGACAATGGGTAGACATTAAAAAGAGCAACTACCACGACAAACAAAACAGCTACCTGGGCTCCATCCACTGAGTTAGAGTATCTGTCCAGGGATCCTTAGATCTAAAATATGCTACGGGCAATGGCAATAGGCAGTCAAAGGCGAGAACTACTGTTCTAGGTTGTCAGGAAATACTAGGAAAAAACTATGCAAGAAAATAAAGCTTGAAGTACACAGATGATCCATTTATCTTTGCATTTTTTAGATTTTAGATACCAACTTGCATCCATTGAGCACAGATACTTGCCCAAAATAGAATAAAAATGCTTAGTATTTAGACTTTTTCCCACACATACAGCAGTACAGTTTAGTGTGTATGTATGTATACACACACACACACATACAAAGACACCAAAAGGCTGTCAACAGTGTGTATCTGAGCCTCTCTGTGACCTAGAAGTTACTGAATTCTAAGTTACTTGAATGATCTCTAATTGTAAGTCAATGCAGCATAGAAATCATAATCACTTAAAACGTCTGGAAAGGTTTTTATGATCACATGAAACTCTAGGAAGTCTTCCCTGTTGCCTTTGAATCCTAGCAGCTGGGACTCCAGTCATTTCAGTGAATAAGAAAGAGACTTTTTAACTACAAACAACTGACTAACTGCATAACAACTCTAACTCAAAACATCGTTTTGCCAGAATGCAACCACTGTTTGAGACTGTAATTATGGTAGGAAACCAGTGAGCAGGTTAAGAATGAAGGGGTATATGAATAACATTCTGAAAGGAAAATTAATCTTTCAAGTCTTGAATTCAAATACAAATTCATGCAGCAAAAACGGGCCCCAAAATTCAGAACAATTGTAGCTAGAGATGGAGATAGGCAAATCCTGGTATCTGAGGAAAGGGTAGGGACAATAGGAAATATAACTTTGGCTTCTTTGCATGATGGTAGGGTTTGAATGCATCCCTTCCCAAATTCAAGTGTTGAGACTTAATGGTCAATGTGATAGTATTAACTGGTGGGCCTTTAAGAGGTGATTAGGTCAGAAGGGCTCCTCCCTCATGAATGGGATTAAGGCCCTCAGAAAGGCCTTAGAAGAGGCTTCATGCAGGATTTAGCTAGCTTGCCTTTCCACTTTCCAATATGTGAGGCATGGCTACCTCCACTCTGAAGGAAGCATCGAGAAGGCCCTCACCAGATGCTGATGCCTTGATCTTGGACTTTCCAACCTCCAGAACTGTGAGACATAAATTTCTACTATCCACAAGGTATCCAGTCTGTGGTATTCTATTATAGCAGCACAAAAGCACCAAGATACGTGGCTTATAAGGCCCTGCATAGTCTGATGTCTGCTGCCCTGACAATCATCTCATCACAAGCTCCCTGTATCCCAGCTAAAAAACCTATCTTTAAGACCCTAGAAAATACCTAGCCCTTTCTCAGATCATACCTTGGAACTATACTTCTCCCAGTTTCAGTGGGTATCAGCCCACTTTACCTCCTTAGAGAGGCCATGTCACTAGCTTGGGCAGAGATATTTGAAAATTACCATAGCAGGTTGGTTTCCCTGGGAAGAAGAGTCTTGTTTATTAGTGAGGGATGTGAGATCAATTTATGGGAAAGGGGTGTTCGGAAGCAGGAGTTGTCCAGAGCTGAGCTGATGGTGTTGGGCCTTTATAGGCATTAGATGTGGGCTTCCCTGGAAAGGGGACATGACATTGCACAAAGGAGTACTCTCTTCCACTGAGGCAATCCCTAAAGCAGGGCTAACATGTTAAGTGCTAGCTACTGGACACATCCCAGCAGCTGGGGAAGCAGCTGGTTCTCAAAGGTCGGTCTGAGCAGAGAACCAGGAGGCCACCAATTTGACTTTAGCTCTTTGTCCCTCCATTTGTGCATTCGTAAAATGGAGATAATATCATCAAGTTCAAAATGTATATAATATCTAACATGATGGCTAGCTCAGTGTAAGTTCTCAATAAATGTTAAATTTGTGTCCTTTTCTAGTCTATTCAGGAAGAAATACAGATGCAATTTTAATTCAGGAGCACTTTTAGAAAAGTGTCACTTTCTTTCTCTTTTTATCCATTTATTCGTCCAATATTTACTGAGAACCTAGTAGGTGGTAGAGGTTTTCCAACAGCTGAAGAAAGAGTACTGCAAGTTTTTGTTCAAATAGAGCTTACATTTTAGTAATTGGGAGAAACAAAATAAACATATAAATAAATAAGTATTAAGATACTGTTGTGAGTAATACATGTTAACTTGAAGACAAAGAAATGTGTCTTTAAGATGTTGTATTATTGGATTACATTAGTGGGTCACAGGAACCCAAATCAAACTAAGCTAAACTAACAAGTTATGGAACTTTATTGGCCCGCATACAAAAACTACAGAAAAGGTAGAGAGGGAACCAGCTACAGGGACCCCTGGATCCAGAAACCCAAACACCTCTGAGACTTTCTTGCTTATTCTTGTTTCTTTCTTGCTTACGTACTGGTATAATTCTCTGATACCAGCTCTGTTACTTCAGCATCAATTCAATAACTCCTCAGAGAAGAACTCTAAACAACCTAACTCGCATTAACTGTCCCATCCTCTATAACTATGGTGCTAAGGGAGCATAATTGGTTCATAACGAGATACATCACAGCCATGGCTAGGGCAATAAAAGCATTGTTAATCATAATATTGAGAGTTTACCATGTGTAAAATATAGTACAATTATAGAAATGTGTCTATTAAAAATAAACTCTGTAAGGACTACTATCTCCTCTTTACTGATGAGAAATTAAGGCTCATAAAGATTAAGTAACTTGTAAAAGCACACATTACTAGTAAGTATGGAAGGTCAAATTCAAGCCCACTTAAATCACCTCTCCAAAGCATATGTTCCTAAATACTAGATAATTAGGCCATGCTAATGTTCATTTCTATATAGTTACATTACAGTAACTATAATTATTTAATTACCTTAATTAATCCATGCTAATCAGTCTTCCACCCAAAATGAAAGCATGATAATTGGACATTCACTAATGAAAAGCGTATCTATACATAGGCTAACAAAATGGGAAATATTATAAGAAACAAATGGAAGGGTAAATGAAAATAAAATACCATTGAATGCTATAATCATTGAGGACAATCAGACCATCAGACATTTAACCAGATTTAATTCATGTCAGCACTCTTTCATTTGATTGGGTAGGTTCTTCCTTACCTTGGAAAATCAGTAAGGCAATGCAAAATAAGAAGTTAGAAGATATGAGATATGAGATCTAATTTTCACTCGATAAATATACAATCGAACTTGAATAAATCAATGGCCCAGTTTTCTAACCTATAACGTAAGGACAATAGCACCTGGTATACCTATTTAATATATTCAATATGTGTTTCCTAAGGTAAAAATAAAGATAAATATGAAAGCACTTAAGAATATTTATTAATCAAAACATGAGTGAGATTTTAAAATACCAAAATAGAAATATATATATATATATAT
The DNA here is from genome assembly GCF_000001405.40 of Homo sapiens. NCBI lineage: Eukaryota > Metazoa > Chordata > Mammalia > Primates > Hominidae > Homo > Homo sapiens. Next base: position 252,383 of record NC_000003.12, on the reverse strand, counting down.
ATATATATATATATATATATATCTGGATGCTTTCTTAAATCTGTGGCTCTACAAAGAAAGATTAAATGTTTAACATAAATATAATCAGAAGCAGGCTTTGTATAGCTAAAACAATAGTAATTTAAGTGAAATATGAATAGAGTCAAGAAGAGGCTCCAATCAAACTAAATATTTTTATGTTTAAATAAGTAACAAGGTGTTAAAAATAGTTTTCCCTTTTCTAGATTTAGAAATGTAATAAAATTTTACTTTGGCCACAAGAATCTTCAAAAGATTATTCTATATTTTATAAGAAACAAGTAACACAAATTTCTGGTGGTCTCTAAGTTTGTGGTGGTTGGAAAGTTTAACCTTATGGTTGGTTTATTATCATTTGATTTTGCAGTCCTTGGATTTCGATTTCCAACTCAGCTTGATATTTTTAGTTGAAAAACTGAATTTGTTTTAAACAGGACTGTAAAAATGTGACAATTACAAAAGGAATGATTTGAGAAACCAACCATAATGGGAAATTAAACATCCCACTGAAACACTTTAAAGGCTTTTTAGTAGAAGAAATATGTGCTATAAAATTGAATCTAAGATAATAGAAACTTCTAAGTGTGGATTAAAGAAATATAAGTAAAATCGCTAACGGGTGGAATTATGCCTCTTTTAAAAAGTCTACTTTCCAAAAACAACACTTTTTCTAACTTTCCAGGATATAGGCTTCCCATGATATCTAGACAGAAATTTCCAGCTTTACATTTGCTTGCAAAATCATGGAAATGTAGAGCTGAAAGAAATCTTGAAACCATTTAATCCAACATCCCCCATTTTAAAGAAGTGTGAAATTGAAACTCAAAGAGATAAAATGGTTTGCCTAAGATCACATTGCAAATCAGCACTATGTTGATGACACTGATAACAAACAGTAGTTGAGATGATTATCTGAGATAAGGATTATGAGCCCACTTTACGGATTAGCAGCCTCAGGTTCAGAGAGGTTGACTAGTTTGTCCAAATCTTCAACCGAAAAGTTGCTGAGTTAAAGCTGGAACTCATATTTTTCTGGAACTAAAATCCATTCTCAGTGCATTATCTACAGCACTGTCTGTCCTCTGCCTGAGAGGTGGACTAATTTTTTACCTCCCCAGCACAGATGGATTCCACATCTATCTCAAGAAAAATGAAAGCATTCTAATAAAGTTCCCAATCAAATGGATCCTTCTAGTCTTACTTTCTGGTTTAGTTTACTTCTCAACTCTGATCAGGCATTTGTTGCTCAGAGAAGCTTTCTCTGACCACCACAGGTCAAATCACCATATTCTGGCGCTTATTAGAGCAGCAATTTTACATTTGTTTGCATTATAACTTGAATAACATATCTGCCTTTATAAGATTATAAGCTTCATGAGGATAAGAACTGTGTCTCTCTTTGCGACTGTATCTTCAACCCTGTGGCTCTTAACAGCCACACAAAAACAATCGTTGAATAAATGCCTTTGAAAATGCTTAATTCCTACAAACTAATAGGGCACCCTATAATTAGACAACTAGAAAGACATTTCATAAGAGGATTACCTTCCTTTTCACTGTCATTTTACACATGGCACAGGTTTAAAATGTCATAAAATATACAAAGCATAATGACAGGAGAATATAATAAATAGGAACTGAAAGAGATCAGAATATGACACCCCAAAATATGCCACTTTGGCAATAAGGTTTACTTTGAGCTGAAGGCAGTCAGCAAGCAGCAAACACAGAAAGAGCTCTTTGCCTCCCCACTATAGGCCTAAAAGGAGGACATACACTTCCTTTTGTGAGGGTCTTCCCCGTTCCCACTGCTGTACCAGGAGGACAACCACTATCACTGGAGATAGAAACTCAGTACTGAGATAGATCTGCACAGACAAATCTTACTAAAAATAACCCTAATCTTCCACTAGGTTTGCCCATATACTTAACTTCTCACAATTAACTGCTCCTAGAAGCCTAAATCTCTTTTCCTTTGTCTTGTCACTTCTACACAATTTATCACCCTTAGTTAAAATAGTATACAAACCTGGTCTAATTGCTTTTTTGATTTTCACTTCTTTACTATGACATCCTCTCCGCATGTAAAAATTAAATTACTAATATCAAATAAAATTTGTGGCTTGTAATCCCAGCAATTTGGGAGGCTGAGGCAGGAGAATTGCTTGAGCTCAGGAGTTCAAGACCAGCCTGGGCAACATAGTGTGACCCCATCTCTATGAATATAAAAAATTAGCCAGGTGTGGTGATGCATGCCTGTAGTGCCAGCTGCTCAAGAGGCTAAGGCAAGAGAATCATTTGAGCCTGGGAGATCAAAGCTGCAATGAGCTATGATTGCACCACTACATTCCAACCTGGGTGACAGAGTGAGACATGTCTCAAAAAAAAAAAGTATGCTTTTTTTTCCTATTAATCTGTCTTTTGTTAGTTTAATTCACAGTCCCCAGGTACAGATTTTAGAAGAATAGAGAAACAGGATTTTTTCCTCCCCATATAATATTCATACAGAGTTAGGGAGCTGGCTATATTCACAGTATGTACTGAAACAACAAAAATTACATAAGGCTTGATATAACTGGTTAACAGGAAGTTAACAATTAGTATGTTACCATGGACCAAAGTCTGTGACCAACTTAAATTCAATAGGCAATAGTCTCTCAAATATACAATTATTTACCTGCTGTTTGCAACTGTGAAGAGAATCTTAATGTATGCATTTGAAGGGCTACAAATAAAGGGAAGCAACTGCAGCAAAAGGCACTGCCTAATAATGCCTGTTTGCAAATAAGTTACTTAAGCCAATAGTGCCAGTTTCTCACTCTTTCGAAGGTAGAACTCAAACATGCCATAATAAAATTCATTTTCATTTTTCTAATAATGCATGCTATCCTTAAGAAAGGTAGATTACATTGCACAGGGTTCTTAGTGAGCTTTGACATGTTTCTTCTTTTTTCCCCTTTCTTCTTTCTGATTTTTTTCCCTCCTTTAGGGTGGGGATGTTGTGGTAAATGTGAAGTCACTAATCTTTGATCTTTGTGCATGAGGCTTCCTTCCACTGCAAGTCAATTATGACAGACTAAATTAGCCTTTGATCAGAGGCTTTGATTTAGTTTTTAATGCCCTGCTTCATCACTAGGCTCTGAGATGTGTCTGCTCTTTGCCCTCTGCAGTTGTGTTGGTGATAATAGTGATATATTTCGCTGGTTTGTTTCCTTTCCAAGACCTCAAATATCTGCCAAATCTCTGCACGCGTGTGCAGTCCAATAAAATCCACTGTTTAGAAGAGATGTCTGTGATTTGTGTCAATGTTTTACATGGTATTTTTCTCCAGCAAGAATTGCCTTAGGGCAAAAATAGCATTTTCTTGAGGAAACACAATTTTCTCCTTTCATTGGATTTTGCTCTGAGTTATTTGTTTAGCTGTGCTACATATTTTCATGGACATTTTATATGTGCAGTCTGTCATGTTGCTACTTGAACAGTCCTTTTAAATGTCAATATAAGATTAAAAGTGTCTGCTTATGAAAGAGATCACCCAAGTTTTGCTGGGTTTCAGTATCTTTTATTCTTTAATAATTTAATGGTGATTATAGTCAGTCTTTTCTCTGCAATGCAGTAGCAACTGAGGAACTGTTTTCTTTTGATGAAATGAATCTGCCTTCTGAATTTGGAAAGAAAGAAAAAATTAACTTAAAAAAAGGCTATGAAGATTGAGCTTGAGCCTATTAAAATCTTACAAACAAAAACAGAGGGACAGAGGAAACTTTTGGAAGTAATAAATACATTTATTACCTTGATTGCAGTGACAGTCTCATGAGTCCTCGGATATGTCCAAACTCATCAAATTGTACACATTAAATATGTCGTTTGTGTATCAGTTATACCTCAATAAAATTATTAATAAAAACCAATAGACTGACAGTAACAACAAAAACCTACAAAATGATCACAGACCTATGCTTTAAAATGTAATTCTTCATATAGTGCTCATTCTATAATCTTTTGATTTTGAGATGTCATTTTCCTAGTGACTTAAAATCTACCTGTAGCATTATAATGAAATATAAGTATACCTCAGCTTCCCTTCGGAGACCTAACTGAATTTTCATGCCTTGGAAATCAAATTTATTTGTGTACTTGATTTGAGTAAAAGCAACTTCAATAAAACTCCAGTTGAAACAAATGCATTTTTGGCACCTCAATACCAAAATTATGTATGCAATTTGGAGGTAATCCAAAGAACAGCTGAGAGAGGATGAAGGGAATGGGGTGTTTGGCTAAGGAAGAAATGTGAGGCTTCTGAATGTCCCCAGAGTGGGTGAACAACAAGAAAGGAACATAACAGCCCATAAATATTTAAAAGGTAAAGACATCAAATATGGATAGGAATGATTAATTCTGGGACAAGGGCATGGAGCTAGTTCTGCTGCACTCATATCCTCATATCATGGGAAAGAAAAAAAAAGGATATGGGGTAGCATCATTGCTGAAGAGCATACAACTTCGATTATTTATGCACAATGTTCTAGCATCCAGTGGAATCTTTCATCACCTCTGAATGCATGTGAAGAGATGTTGAAAATCTATGCATATTTATTTAACAGAGGTGAACTTCTTGACCAGGGTCCCACTTGGCTATGTGGGGCTATCAGAAACCTGATAGTTAAGGCAACATTAAGACGCATCAGTAACCATGTTTAAGTGTAAATGGAAACTCTTAGCAAGACTGCCAAGATAGCAGGATCCAGAGAGGCAATCTCAGAACTTCTCAGCACAGAAAGTGTCCAGAAAGTGATCTATCAGGAAAATCTTTCCCTCCTTCTGTTCCTCTCTTTCTTCTTCTTTCTCCCCACCTCTACACTTACAAAGCGTCTAATATGCCCCAGATTGTGTTCTCAGAGGTAATGATGAAAATAAAAATTTAACTTGAACTCTGCTCTCAAAGATGTGTTCATGAGACCAATGTGTAGAGAATTAATTTCAACTGAGCATGAAGCATGTAAACGGAGATAGAAGGAGACAGAGGCAAGATTGGTCAAGCAAATTGCATTTGTGCCGTATGTGCAGCTCATTGTCCTGAGAACATTTAAAAAGGAGGATTTGGTTAATCGTGTCCTCCTCAGGGTACAGGAGCCAAGCCCTGGTGTAACTAAGCATTTGAATGGTCTCTAGCAGTAGATTTGTGTGTCATTGGAAAATAATCAATATCTTTATAAAAACTTCACAGACCACCAAGAGAAGGCAGCTGTTAACATCTCATAGGATAGAACTTTTTTAAGACTGAAATGAAAATACTATTCTCTCTTCTCTACTCTCTTTATGTCTTTGACATAAAATAAGTCATCCAAATCCATAAATCAGTATGAGATGCAGTGTGTAGAGATAAGTACCATCAAGCAGTCTCGGCACATTACCCAAGGTGACCACACAGCACATGTTTTATCATGATCTTCTGCAGCAAAAATGTAGTCCCTGTCATTCAACTACTTAAGCCTTCTGTTAAGATGCATGGATAACATCGCTTTTGGATAAATTATACATAAATGTAGCAATAATTGAAATGTTATATACAAATATGTATTCATCTGATAGGCACAAACTCAATCTCATAAGATTTCTAACAGTTAAACTGCTTATTGTGCCCTAAGTTCAGATAAATTTGGGTGTTGAAACCTGTAAAAACAAAATTAGCATTCATATGTTGTAATCTAATCAGAGCTTGAAGATTATTTTACTCCATCGTTTTAAAATTCTTGAGAGGTTGGGTATTCTGGGAGGAAATTTCCAAACAAGAGATTCTGAAAAGAAAAATGAAGATTAGGTAAATGCGTGTTTGTGTGTGGGTGTGGGTATGGGTGTTTTATGACTACGATTCCACAAACCCTTCCTGGAACCTGATGGCTGATTTCCCTAGCACAATGAAAACTGACGGTAAGGGAACTTATTTTGTAGAATTAAATAATGATTTCATCAATCACCAAGAGGAACACAAGAAATAAACATAATTCAATAAAATACAGGAAAGAATGCAGGGCTACGAGCAAGAAGGGTGTTTTGCGGGTTACCATCCATTTTCATAATGTCAAGAGAAATAATTATTAATACATCATCATGACACAACCACAATTACAGTTTCTCATAGTAGTATGATAATCTCTTTTTTAAAATTTAATACCCTGGGTATTGTATTTTGTTCATTACTATCTCAGAAGATTTACCTATGTTTCTTATGAACTAGAAATTCATTTAAAGTGAAATCATAAAAGTGTTTTAATGGAATAAATGTATCCCACACAATCATCATCAAAGGAATTGATTAATCAGGTTTTGGGAAGAGTTTTCTCTAAGGATATTAGAATATACTTCAAACCATTTTTAATGTTACAAGAGACTTTCAGATGCCCTGTGGTTAGAAAGTCTGTATGGAGAACCCCTCTTGGAGAAAGTTCCCAAGTGAAGATCTAAAAATAGTGGAGGGCAAAACCACTCCAGTGGATGAGAGAAGAGATCAAATGTTTTTCAAAGCACAGAGAGTTTCTTCATAGACTTATTCTTGGTATGGCCTGCATTCATTTAGAAGGCCGCTGGGGGTTACCAGGAACCAGGTATGCTAACAGTAACCCATAAAGCCAAGATTTTCTATCTCTTTCCACATGGTCTTCATTATTTTATATTTGTATTAAGGTCCCATTTGCAACAAATGCATAGAAAAAAATTCTTCATGCACCAAGTAATATCTTATTTCTTCTGGAGTGCATATTCTCTTGGTGACATAATGTGCTCCTGAGAAAGTAAGAAAACCATTCTTTCATCATTGAGAAAAAAATTACTCGTTTTTGTTTTTCCTCCAATTATTTTGTCTTTAAAAACTAGTCGTGATACTAATTATTGGCACTTACTGAACCAAACACAATGCTATGGACCAAACCCAGTGCTAATATTCATTATCGTAATAATCTAATTTAGGCTGCACCTGTAGGCAGTTACAACTATTATTCCAGTTTTATGATTTACAAAATGGGTCATCAAAATAGCTAAACAGCTTACCTAGAACTACATCACTGTGTGTTTGGCCCTCCTTCCAATGTGAACTTTTCTTATTGTTCCAAACTCTTTGAAATTAGTTATAATTCAGCTTGGTGTTGCACAAAGAATTTGAAAAAACTCCAATCAAGGATTCAGGTCAGATTTCAAACGGATTCAAATTCAAGGAACAGTGACTGAAGCTGTAAGTCGTTCAGACTATGAAGCGTGAGCTCTGTTAACCCCCTGAAAATACAGGTTTTCTCACTGAAACTTCAAGCCTCCTTAGAAGTCAACCTTCTCAAATCTCAGTGGTGAAACTATTTTTTTCTATTAAAAATGACATTTTGATAAATATTATAAATATGCCACTTTCAAATATGCCAACAGGTCAGCCAACAAGAAAAATAACTTTAAGGTAAGGGTTTTGCTCTTTCAAAAATAAACCAGCAATTTAATGGAACTCAAAAAACAAAAAAAACCTTCACTATATGATATATCTGGTCCATATCTACGCTAAGACCGTAGTGAAGACAAAAGTTCTGCAACGTCTCCTTATCCTTATCTTTTGTGACTCCTGCCCTATGTACTGCAATAATTAAATACAATCAAAAATGCATAAAACAACTGATTAAGGAAAATACTCTTACCAGTAAATTAAGTTCCCCTTAGTTCCACTATGATTTGTTTGCAGTATTAAGACAGGATTATGGTTTGCAGTTTACAGCACCTAGGGATAGATTAGAAAGTTGTAATTTTGGAAACAATTATCATTTGAGTCACTTTTAAATTAATTCTTACATTTTCTGTTTAAAAAAATGGATTTAATTTTTCTTTCTCCCCACACCCCTCAAAATTTCCACTCAAATACCTAAGCTATAGTATTGCTCTGTTGCTAAAAAAGGGGTCCTGCGAATTTCTGTCAAGGAACAAAAGGAGGAGAGAGGGCAGGCATGCAAAAAGCAGCCACGTAATTACACTTCTCATTGAAAACATTATCGATGTGTCTTCTCTCATGAATTCACGTATTTTGCAACAGACCACAACTGTAAGCATTTCTACATAGCGGTTCTCCTGACCTGTCTGGCACAATAGCTACTTGCATCTGTCTGATGCTGTGACTAATCTTTCAAAATAAAACGATATGGACCAAAACGAGGAGAGCTTCGTCAGGAAGCATTGAAAGATCAGACCTCTGAACTACAGAGTGAACATAAGCCTTCAACTCAAGAGGTCATCTCTCACCATGGTTTGCCAAGCCGCCTATCTCTTAAAACATCAACATGTGAAATGAGGAGACTGATTCAACCAATATATCCAATCCTTTTACTGTTCATTCCCAGGTGTCTCAAGGATTGGCTCCCAATCTCAGAAAGATTGCTTAAGCTTGTTTTTGAATGCCATCCCATGAACATGCTTTTAAAAAACTCTACTTTCTATTAGGCATCAGAACGATTGGAATAAGTCAACATTTTTTTGCATACCAGCTGTCATAACTTAATGACTGAACATCATTCAGAAGAGCTAAATTCCATGTAATAATTCTAACTCATTCTGGTAGAAATTACTAATTAAGGAGATTTATAAAACTACATCTTTGGCCCTAAGAAAAGGAAGGATGGCTGAAAAATTCAAACAGCTCATTTCCACTCTGTGTATTATTTGACAATCTTTTTGGCCTTATTCCAAAAGCTGTTGCCAAGTAGTTAGAAACAGATTGCAATGCCTCCGGAGAGAACCTCACACCAATACACTGAGAAGAATTCCACCCTGGCAAGTATAAGAAAAGTCGTCACTGCTTTCCAGTTGACCAAGTGACACACTGCACAGACTGTGTCCTTAATACTTTTGTTTAGTAACCTCTTTTCAGCCCCACAAGGCCTACTTCTGACCGCATTATTATTACAAGCAGAAATGTTTATGGATGACTAACCATGCATGAAACTGCATTTAATATGGCTTCTGACCAATGGGTCCATGGTACACATTGTTTTAATATAATTGTGTTCACTGACTTCTGCGGGCTGACAGAAGTTTACCTAAGTAGAAGAGTACAGAACCTGGCTCCCATGTTGCTGTGTCCAGCATCCTATGTGTGTTACGACAGTCTCTCAGTGGGGAAAAGAAATAATGCAATGTTTGCATTTGTTGACTCAAAATGAGATTTGCTGACCCTGCTGTTCCATTTGCTGAGGTGAATGTTACATGACTTAATCTAGAATGTTCTTTATCCCAGTGATAAAGAATGTCATGCATTCAGGATCTCCTACAGCCATGGTACCACTTTTATTGTTCTAACATTAGATCTGTCTAAGACATCTCTTCAAAATCCATCATGTCATGAAGCCACCTCAGGTGGCTCTTCCCAATGGGTCCCCACTTCTTACCACTGTCAAGGACATTCATGACAACAGAGATCAGTACTTGTGCTGAATTACCCACCCCACTCTCACTTAGGATTTTCAAGACAGTTGTTTGACATTAGGCATGGAGACTGTAGCTATGATCAAACTTATTTGTATGCTCACAGCAGCAGCCTACGCCCACAGAGCTCTCATCTGCTTCCTTCAGCTTTGGTTCAGAAGGCATTCACATTAATCATGTATGTAAGTTCCTTGCTACTAATCTAATCTCTCTCTCTCTCTGTGTGTGTGTGTGTGTTTGTGTGCATGTGTTCTTAGTGTTTATTGTAAATGAAGAATTATCTCTGTATTATTTTATTTTATTTTATTTTATTTATTTATTTTGAGATGGAGTCCCACTCTGTTACCCAGGCTGGAGTGCAGTGGCACAATCTCGGCTCACTGCAAGCTCTGCCTCCCTGGTTCAAGCCATTCTCCTGCCTCAGCCTCCCAGGTAGCTGGGACTACAGGCGCCCACCACCACGCCGGGATAATTTTTTGTATTTTTAGTAGAGACGGGGTTTCACCGTGTTAGCCAGGATGGTCTCGATCTCCTGACCTCGTGATCTGCCCCCCTCAGCCTCCCAAAGTGCTGGGATTACAGGCGTGAGCCACCGCGCTCAGCCAGTCTCTGTATTATTAGGTTTTCTTTCATTCCTTCATGTTGTAGGTGCATGATCTCTGGAAAGAGATGCACAGACCATCCTTTAGAATGAAACAAGAAATATGGAAATATATACACACACATATATATATACATACACACACATGTACTTATGGTTTTTCATCTCATTTTTAAACATTTCTCTCCTTTTAATCTTTTCTTATGATAAATTTTAGCATACTAGTGTCTCTGTACAATTTAGGATATACATATAGTGGAGGGATAGACTCAAACACTATTAGATAAGGGTATATACACAATACACTACTATAATCTAAGAAAACGTCTTTCTAATTTTGTTTTTGTTATATTAACATGACATACAATCCTTTGAATTTATTTACTCTAGAAAGCATTTACCCTTTCCCTCACCACCATTGACATAGATACTAACGTCTTACTTATTCTCTGTTATTAGTGAAAAGTTGTTTTTTTTTCAAAGTCCCTTAGTTTCTTTTACTTAAGAGATACAAATAAATATACCCACCAAATGTAAAACAAGAATGGAGAGGAATATTAAAAAGAAAATATTAAAAAGAAAGTAATTTAAGGCGAAACAACATTTGGGTCCTTATTGGTTGTGTGCTTTGTAACTAAGATTTAAAAAGTATGACTGAAAGAAAATATAGTATATGCACAAAAAAACTAGTTAAATTAAACTCTACTGACTTGAGGCAAAGTAAAAAAAAAAACCAGAGAGAAGTATACTGGAAGGAGAAACAGCACTTGCTGAAGAGCAAGATACAGTAAAAACTGGGTTATGAGGGTACACTCAGCAAACAACCTACCCATGGCTGGTGTAATATGAGAGCTGCGGATCAGCGGAAGTCAGGGTCACTTGTTTTCTGAATATGAGCATGTTGTGACTCTGAAGTTATCTAATATTTCAAAGTAGTACTTTTCACACAACATACCCTCTACATCAAACCTATGACTTCATTAGATGCTCAGCAAGAGAAATGGTGATTGCTTGCCATGCTGGAAGAAAACTTGGCTTCACAAGACATTTTGAGACATGTCATTTTATGACATGACTCCTTTCTAAGCTATTTATAAGATAAATTTCTCCTTATGCACTGAACTGACAACAAATCATAAGTAATTTGAAACTCCATCTAGACAAAATTAACTAAAGGCCTAACAGCTATAAATATTCCTACTTCCTTTATTCTGTATTTAACATAAGAAATCTTGAGTTCCATAAGGGCATATATTAGTTGTACCAATGTCACTGCCTGGCACCATAATAAAACATAATATATACTCTTTGGATAAGGCCATAATCACCAAAACAGCATGGTACTTGTATAAAACTAGGCACATAGACCAATGGAACAGAATAGAGAACCCAGAAATAAACCCAAATACTTACAGCCAACTGATCTTCTACAAAGCAAACAAAAACATAAAGTGGGGGAAAGAACACCCTATTTAACAAATGATGCTGCGATAATTCGCAAGCCACATGTAGGAGAATGAAACTGGATCCTCATCTCCTACCTTATACAAAAATCAACTCAAGAGGGATCATGGACTTAAATATAAGACCCGATACCTATAAAAATTCTAGAAGATAACGTCAGAAAAACTCTTCTAGACATTGGCTTAGGCAAAGGCTTCAAGACCAAGAATTCAAAAGCAAATGCAACAAAAACAAAGATAAATAGGTGGGACTTAATTAAAGAGCTTCTGCTCAGCAAAATGAACAGTCAGCAGAATAAATAGACAACCCACAGAGTGGGAGAAAATCTTCACAATCTATACATCCAACAAAGGACTGACATCCAGAATCTACAAGGAACTCAAACAAATTAGCAAGAAAAAAACAAAAAATCCCATCATAAAGTGGGCTAAGGACATGAATAGACAATTCTCAAAAGAAGATATACATATGGCCAACAAACATAAGAAAAAAAATGCTCAACATCACTAATGATCAGGGAAATGCAAATCAAAACTACATCTCTGTACCACCTGACTCCTGCAAGAATGGCCATAATGAAAAAAATTTAAAAAATAGTGGATGTTGGTGTGGATGCAATGGAAAGGGAGCACTTCTACACTGCTGGTGAGAATGTCAACTAGCACAACCACTATGGAAAACAGTACGGAGATTCCTTACAGAACTAAAAGTAGCTCTACCATTTGATTCAGCAATCCCACTACTGGGTATCTACCCAGAGGAAAAGAAGTCATTACACAGAAAAGGTACTTGCACATGCATGTTTATAGCAGCACAATTCGCAATCGCAAAAATGTGGAACCAGCCCAAATGTCCATCAATCAACAAGTGGATAAAGAAATTGTGGTAAATATATATGATGGAATACTACTCAGCCATGAAAGGAGGAAATTAACCGCATTCACAGCACCCTGGATGGAGCTGGAGACGATTATTCTAAGTGAAGTAACTGAGGAATGGAAAACCAAAAATCCTATGTTCTCACTCTTAAGTGGGAGCTAAGCTATGAGGATGCAAAGGCATAAGAATGACTTTGGGGACTTGGGGGAAAGGGTGGGAGTGGGGTGAGGGATAAAAGACTACAAATTGGGTTCATTGTATACTGCTTGGGTAATGAGTGCACCAAAATCTCACAAATCAGCATAAAAGAACTTACGCAACCAAATACCACCCGTTTCCCAAAAGCCTATGAAAAAATAATTTTAAAATATATATATTTTATATATATACTGTTTAGATGAATTAAAGAATGAATGCATTAAAGCTACACATATCAATTAATAGTAGTATTCATAGTTCCTTCACCTTACAGTCACAAGTATGAATGTCATAGCTTCATGGAGCAGGAGGGAGCACATTACCACCACAGTGTCTGTCAAAAGAGATGCTGCAGCAGAGAAAAAAGGGACAGACAGACTGAAAACGGAGCAAGTGTGCACTTACTTGTTGTGCGATCGTAAGCTAATCAAGTAGCCTTTTAGAACTCTAGTTGTCTCATTGGTAAATAAGGGATAATAGTATCTGTTTTGCAGAATGGCTTGGAGGAATGGTACTAACATGCAAAAATTGCTTAGCACTAGGCTGAGATCTAGCCGGTGCTCTGTGATAAGCAAGGGGCAGCTGCGGTAGCAGCAGCCACATCACTGTTCTGATTGATGATGTCCAGTGAAGCCGGGAGGGACACTTGAGATCAGTCTCCGGGTTCCCCCTACTTGACAGTCCCCACTCAACTCAGCCATCAGGAGGAAATCACACAGTACCCCACGTGGTAGCATATGAACCTTGACAGCTGCTATATAAGCTACATGTGTGAGCAGCTACATGCCTTATTCTCACAAGACAAAAAAAAAAGATTTTTTGTTTTGTTTTGTTTGTTTGTTGTTTTAGAAGTCTTGCTCTTGTCACCCAGGCTGGAGTGCAATGGCGCGATTTTGGCTCACTGCAACCTCTGCTTCCTGGGTTCAAGCAATTCTCCTGCCTCAGCCTCCTGAGTAGCTGGGATTACAGACACCCGCCACCACATCCAGCTATTTTTTTTTTTTTTGTATTTTTAGTAGAGACGGGGTTTCACCATGTTAGCTAGGCTGGTCTCGAACTCCTGACCTCAGGTGATCCACCCACCTCGGCCTCCCAAAGTGCTGGGATTATAGGCGTGAGCCACTGTACCTGGCCAGAAAAGGGTTTCTTTACAATGTTTTATGCAAGATTTTGAGTTCCTTAAGTCCAGGTCGGGGAAAAATGATCTTATTAATTTTTGCCTTCCTAGTACTCAAGCACAATTGCTGTCAGATTGCCAAATATTGGTTGCTTAATACACATATGTTGACAAAAAATGCCTATTCTACATAGATGTGTATGCATTTGAGATCAAAACTGGCTATTTTTTTTATTTTTTTTCCTTTAAAAAATGTATCTGATCTCAATTGATCTTTAAACACTGGAGGTTTTGAGTGATTTTTTAAATTGCTAGAAAAGGCTGTGAGCACCTCAGCTTTTAGTCAATATTTAGGTCAATATTCTTAAGAAACTGGGATTGAAAATACCTCTTTTTTGGTCATCAGCTAACATTTACCCGAAAGGAATCAGTTCTTGATTCAAATCATGGAGGCCCAGACCCTCAAAATGTGTGCCAAAATACTCAATACAAATTTGAATGACTGTATCTTTTAAAAAGGAAAATGATACATGAGGCACATAATATTCCCTAGGTTATAAGCTACTAGTACTGCAAAAATGAACACACAGACAGAAATTCTTCAATATGTCTAACATAAAATGATGTACAATAAAGTAAGAACTAGAAAAAATACGATACTTTGTTAATGTTGGCTTTTGGGAATTATTTATCAGCAAAACCTTATATAGGCAATGTGAAGATGTTCAACTTTTTCTAAGAATACTTCTGAAAGAGCATTCTAAATAGAAATAGCCCCTATTTCTGATCACGAGTTTTACCATTTCTTTACTAAATCACAGATATTGACTCTCCACTAAACATCATATGTGATTTTTTTCTAATATCAGTTGAAGACAGATTATATGTCAGATGTCATATTTAATAATTTAGTATAATCTCACGTAATACAAGTACCTTTAATGTGGGTACCACTAACTTTAATTTTACATAAGATTAAACGAATTCAATTAAGTTAGGTATGATTTACAAAGTTACAATGACAATAAATGTCAACACCAAGATACGAACCTAATGTGTGTAACCTCAAGGCCTGTGCCTTTATCTACAGTAGACCCTCTTTCTTATTGCATCACTCATCTAAAATACTTTGAGAAAAGGACTCCATACTGATTATACCTCAGTCTTTTACTATTTTTAAGCTATATTCAACTGTCTAAAGGAGGCTGTATTTTAGCCTGTTTTCACAGTGCTACAAAGAACTTCCTGAGACTGGGTAATTTATAAAGAAAAGAGGTTTAATTGACTCACAGTTCTGCATGGCTTGGGAAGCCTCAGGAGACTTACAATCATGGCAGAAGGTGAAGGGGAAGCAAGGGACATCTTGCATGGTGGCAGCAGAGAGACAGAGTGAGTGGGGAACTTCCACACACTTTTAAACCATCAGATCTTGTGAGACCTCACTCACTATCATGAGAACAGCATGGGGGAAACCACCCCCATAATCCAATCACCTCCCACCAGGTCCTTCCCCCAACACATGGGGATTACAATTTGAGATAAGATTTAGGTGAGAACACAGAGCCAAACCATATTAGAAGCCAACAGCGTAATAGAGAGATATCAGCAAAGAACATTCCAAGGCAAGTCAGAGGTCCTAACGAGTTTGATTCCTTGCTATGTCAGTAACACTCCCTATTAATGACGTGTTTCCTAACTAACTGGGGCCTCAGAATCCTTATCCACGACATGAGAATTTCAACTGAATGCTATTTACAAGGTTTTTTTTTTTGCCCTAAAAGTCTATGATTATTTTTTAAAAACTCTCTAATAATGGGACTGAAGGAGGTACAGAGAAAGGCACTACATTATTTAAGAGGCTGGGGCCATGGGATTCACACAGAGGAAGATTAGAAACATTAGAAATCTTTAGTGTGGAAAGATGAATACAAAGAATAGATAGACTGAAATAAAATGTTAAGGGCCACAGAAAATGTCAGTATAATGTTTTCTACAACCTTGGCCTGTTACAACTTGGAAGACAGGAAATCCTCCAGAAATAAATTGAGGGCAAATCGTACACAATAGAATTATATTACTATAATAGATCATATATGTTAAAGAAATAAATAGCTTCCAAAAACGGAGAGACACATTTTTGGCCAGTGCAGGCATAGTTTATTCATAGAAATGAGGATATGCATTTCATTGCTACTGTCCAAGAACATCATGGAGAACCAAGACACATTCTCAAGAACACTTCCCTTCCCTATAGAAGGCTGACCTAGAAGGACCTGGGGCTGATTGATGATATCAGTAACACTCAGACACTTTGGGGTTTTCATCCAGCTCCAGCATGTAGCACAAAACAGGTCATCACTAAATATTTTCTTGAGTGAATGAATAAGCTCTGCCACTTACTAGCTGTGTCACTTTGGGAAAGTTAGTTAACTCCTGTTTTTTTTCTGCAGTCGAATGTGGATATGACAAAGCTCCTGGGAAACCAGCTATAGCCAATTCATCACAGTAGAATATCAAGCAGGCGGAGCAGGGCCTGAGACCAAATGCTGCCACACAAGGTCCAAATCTCTTATCATTCAGACGCTGGTCTTCCCACCATGAATGCTGAGGCAGCCAAACAATCCTTGAGGCCATGTTTCAAGCATGTTGCATAGTCAAACCTGAAAACTCAGATCCCAGCACCAATACCAAATCATGAAACTTAAAAGCCCCACCTCCCAGAAGCCAGAGGCCCTCTTCTGGAGGTGCTAGTCCTCTGTTTCCCACCTTGGAGTATGACGGCAGAGGCATCTCTTGTTTTCTCACTACTGTCAAAGATAGTATACCGAAAGAAATCATGTTTGAAACAGTCTTGAAAGCAATAAGCAAAAATGTCAATGTTGTAAGTTAAGAATAAGTCAAATAGATAATCTTTTAGATCTCAAATAGGACCCAGTTCTGACTTTATATTACTTTCTAATGCAAATAGAGATGGCCTCCCCTGGAAGTAGAAGGCCATTAAAATTTGTGGTAGTAATTCTGCAAACAATTTATAGAGAAGCACTATGTTTTCCTATATAGTCCAAAATGTATCTGATAGTAACCTCAGATACCACCTTGAACTAATGCCTGATCACACCAGTTAATTGTGGGCAAGTTAATACCAATGTCAAGCTTCTTTGGTAATGATAATGGGATACATTTATACAGGGCTAACTACAGGCCAGGCACTCTCTTAAGTGCTTTACATTTTATTAACTCATTTTATCCTTACAACCCATGAGGTAGATACGGTTTTGCTTTTTTTTTAATGTCCTTCATTTAACAATGACCAAACTAAGGCATGAAGAAGTTACATATTGCCTAATGTCACATGACCATTTCTCCAGGATGGAGCTTTATAATTTTGATAACCTTAAATATTGCCATAGGTGTTATCGCAGCATCAGTACACCTTTAAAGCAAACTCTTGTTCTTTATGGCCGCAAGATTAGTGACACAAATATTTTTAATAATGTTTAGAAAGAGGGGGGAGGGATAGCATTGGGAGATATACCTAATGCTAGATGACGAGTTAGTGGGTGAGCGCACCAGCATGGCACATGTATACATATGTAACTAACCTGCACAATGTGCACATGTACCCTAAAACTTAAAGTATAATTACAAATAATAATAATAATAATAGTAATAAAAAAAGAATTATAAATCATTAAGTCACACTGAAATACATGTGAAAACTGCCTGGAAGTCTTTTAGGCTTATTTAGGTGTGAAAAGATGTTAACATCACTATTATGAAGCATTTCTGTCCCAGAGCATTGTACAAAGGGTCTTTGTTTATTCATCCAAGAACATATTACTTGACTATTCTGTGTCTGGCACTGCACTCAAGGCACACCCATGAATGGGGAGCCCTGTGTCCCCAAAATAGGAACTTGTCTAAACATAGCCAATCTCAGGATATTACTCTGTTTCCTGCTTGAGCCATTGCACCTGCTGCTTTGGACTGAGTATTTGCTCAAGTGGCTTTCAACCTCTGACCACCCTCCAAGATCCGTGCCTCACCAGCATGGGGGCTTCAGAGTCCCGTCCTCTCCCAAAGCAAACCAAGAGCTAAACTTTCTGTTTTCCTTTAAATATCACTAATTTTCAGTACTTTAAATATTACTAATTTTCACACTCCCCAGCTATTTTCAGGGCTGTCTTTGTATTTTAGTCTTGATAACTACGTAACGTCTCATGCTGCAGTGAACCTTGGGAGACAATAAATAATTTTCAAGTAGTTTCACCCTTTCACCAGCAGAAACTCGCTTTCTACCCATGAAGTCTGGTTGGAAAGGATTTGTAGGAGACAGCAATTGGTTAAGGTGGATAATTGTGGGAGTTTTGTTTTATTCTAAAAGTAACAAATTCTCACTCTAGATATTTGGTAAAATACAAATATATATGTATACATACATACATATATACATATATATATATATACACACACACACATATACCTAATAAAATGGACATCATCTGTAAAATAATATTTTAGTGTATTTCCTTCCTCAATTGATATATTAATATTCACCCAGTGCTATAGCTACACTCATATACACACATACAGATATGTGTATGAATACATTACATACGTAAAAATGATATGCTATTTATCTCTACATAATATTATGAGCATTTTGACTTCTTTAAATATTCTAACATAGATTTTTATGTTCATTTGGCCAGTATGCCCAGATCTAGAAATCTAACTAAGTTTGGATTAAACATATTAATATATCACCAACTACCAATGGAAAAATCTTTACTGAGTGTAATTTATAACAATAAAATTTGGGTGACAACCTAAGTGCCCAATAATAGAGAAATAATTAAATATGTAGAATATAGTTATGTATTAGAAAAGTTTATAATTTTAAAAAGTTGTGTTTTTAAAGAATATTGAATGCTGAGACTTTGTATAATATTAGGTGAAATAAAGCACTACAAAATTTTTTATAGAATGTGAGCTTAATTTTGCTCTTATGAAAAATACTATGTATCAATGTCTACATGAGAAATAACATTAGAAAGAAAAACATCAACTTGCTACCATTGTTTATGGGAAGAAAGTGGTAAGCAGAAATTGAAGATGACTTAATGTAATAGATATATTTTTAATGATCATGCGTTACATTTTTTTACATCAAAATAAACAAGCTAAGAAATAAAAACAGTATTTTCTCCAAAGCCACATAGTTATTTGGTTAGGTAAGTGACCCAGTTTAGCAAGCTACAAATGAAAGAATGGCATTCCTGTTGGGGTTGGGGGCTGGTATAGAAAAGCAAGAGAGGCAACTCAGAAACCTAAAAGAGCAGGGCACAGTCAAGAAGATACATGAAATTTTGGAGGCTGAAGATGAGGTGTATAAGGGCAAGCAATAGATAATAAAAAGAGACGAGGCTGAAAAGTTGGATCGCACAGAATGTGAAGAGCCCTAGGTGTCATGCTCAGATAATTAAACTTTATCTTGTAAAAGACCATCGTGGATTTGTAGTAAGAAATGACAAGATCAGATTTATGTGTCAGGAAGATAACTCCAGTTTGGTATCTTTGTATCCTCAGATACCTTTAAGGTTTCAAGGATGCTGGATGTCTTGATTCATTATGAGAGAAAGAAAAAAAAAAAAGGAGGAAAGAAAGGACCAGATTGATTTTGCCAGTAATGGTTTGAGTCCAGCTCTAAACTTAGAGAACAAATTTTAAGTGCTCCCTGGTTTCTTTTATAAAAAGGTCTTTGAGTAGAAAAGGAAGTGGAGTAACAGAGAAAATTCTAGACTAAAATGTAAAGTTAAATGAACAGAACAGCACCATCTCAGGCACTTACTAGCAAGCCATTTAGCCAACCTCTCTGAAGGTCTCTTTCTTCATTTTTTTTTTAACTGGAGCTAACAACCTCTGATTCATTTCACTCACAGGGTGGCAATGAGAATATATAAATGGCAAACTGTAACACAGAAAATATCTAACCTAATGATAATTATTATTTTATAGCTACTCATGAGCAAATAGAAACTTCGATCTGTAAAAAATATCTAAGTACGAACATCTAACTTGTAAAACTGTGAAAATAAATAGCTAATCAGCAGAGCATAAATAAGTGACTCTAATGACTCTTTAAAAAACCTAAAACTGTTACAAAGGGGCATAGTAAAACGTTCAAAAAATAAAGTAGGCTATAGTTATTGACAGGATCTAAATGTTACCTTAATTATTAAACTTCTAATTTACTATAATAATATGCTAATTATTGTAAAGTGCAAGGTAGAAAAGGTACAAATTCAATGACAATTCCCAAAATATTGTTAATGAAAATGAAATAAAAATAACTTAGTACAAAGAGCTCCAGGGACAGTGCACAAACACACCGATATACAAAAACAGTTGTGTCACTCAAAAGACCAAATTAATAATGTGTAATGACATGCCAATACACAGAATGAGATCATGATTCTCCGGTGCCTCCTCACAGTGAGGTCAGTAATGGTAGACACCAAAACCTTCTCAGTTAAGGAGATGAATATACGAATTCCAAGCATAACGTCTCGTCAGCCATCAGTTGTTGCCATGACTTGTCTTCCTGCCAAATACTGATAAGTACAGAAATCAAATATAAGGAAATCCAGAGATTTTTTAACATGAGGAGAGTCAAAATGTTGGAAACCATTCATTAAAATAAAATTTATATTGGGCTAGGTAAGCTGAAAGTATAGTTGAGTGTCACACCAAACACATTCAGAGATTAAGAAATAAGGTCTAGGCTGGGTGTGGTAGTTCATGCCTGTAATCCCAGCACTTTGAGAGGCCAAGGAGGGTGGATCACCAGAGGTCAGGAGTTTGAGACCAGCCTAGCCAACATGGTGAAACCCCGTCTCTACTAAAAATACAAAAATTAGCCAGGCATGGTGGCAGGCACCTGTAATCCCAGCTACTCAGGAGGCTGAGGCAGGAGAATTGCTTGAACCAGGAGGCAGAAGTTGCAATAAACCAGGATTGTGCCACTGCACTCCAGCCTGGGTGACAGAATGAGACTCCATCTCAAAAAAAAAAAAAAAAAAAAGGAAGAAATAAGGTTTTAAAACATGTACTCCCAACTGAAAATTTCAATGAATATAAACTTCTTTTTTTATTAAAACCAACACTTAGCAGAAAATATAGTTAATCCAGTCTTACTTTGCAAACTTTGAAACTTAGTTCAACTATGGGCTAAGCCTGCTTCAGTTCTCTAGGAAATTGTACATATGCAATTATCTACTCTGTTCAAGGGGAAGAGAGAAAAGTGGCAGTGGTAATGATGAGGGTGGTGGTGTTAACGTAAAAAAGAGAGGAGAGGAAGGAGGAAGGAAAAAAATCTGCCTTAATTATGGGAAATCACCAAGGTAATTATTTTTATTTTTTATAAGTATTGTGGAAAAGTGTTCATATCTCCAGTATGCATTGTCTTTCTCCTCCCAGGGAATTTGAAAGGTAGATATTTTACTGCACAAAATTCCTGTTAGACAAAACCGATAGTAAATATAAAGTAACATATAAAATTCACCCTTCTGGTACTTAATACTAAAATAGTAGGACTCCCACTTAATGTGAAAGGAAAATTGGTTGAGATTATCAGGTTAAGGGTTCTTAACCCCATTAGGATCACAAACACATGTGAGCATCTGGGGAAAGCTAAGGATTCTTTCTCCATAAATATGCACGTGCCTTCATGAGCACAATCTATCAAACACAATAACAACAGTCTCAAAAATCATCTCTGATCTGGGCCATTCAAACTACTCAGACAAAGTGGAACTGAAAAAAGAGATTGTTCAGCCTTAATTTAGAGAAATAAAATCTAGTGTAATTGCTTAGTAGAGTTTTATTGCAATCTGCCTATAAGAATATAAGAGTCTACATTTTACCACAATACAAAAATGATTTTTAAATTAAACCCTTGAAACAACTATTCATGTTCATTTTACTAGGTTTATTTATAAATGATGAAAAATAAAATTAATTTACAGACTAAATTACTTCCTTAGTGTCATACATAACAAGTGACAAAGGTCAAGTGTGGCACCCAAGTATTGTGATTCTAATTCTAGTCCTTCTGTAACAATATTGTAACCCAATCACTCTGTCAAAAAAAAAAAAGGTTTATACTTTCTGAAGGTAGATGTTTAAAAAAGGCACAAAACACAAAACAAAGTCAGTCTTTCACTAGAAAGAAAATCATATTTTTTTCAAGTCATCAGCTGGTGGTTTGTTATGAATGTGTGAACAGGCTGTGGATGCAGAGCCTGCCTACTTGGGATTTTGTCAGTGTTAAGCCTTTGCTTTCATCTATTCCTGTTTAATGTGAATGACACAAAAGCCAGAAAGAGTCACCACTTCCTTCATCTCTTCACATAATCCAGGCATCATATAGGAGCTTAAAAGACATGTTTTCTTCTCTTCATTATGTACTGAATGCTCAGAATTTATTATACAAGAGATCCTTTGATCCTTCAGAAACAAGCCCTTTTTGAAGCTCTGGTAACAGAGTGTTTTAAAGAGTTCTTCCAGTGGGGGCCAGTTTGTCACTCAGGACACATTTTAAGTACCCACTTTGTACAGAACCTTATTGGGCCTTTATAATACTATAGAAACTCACGGGGATAAGGAGAGAAGATCCACCCTAAACAAAACGAAGCAACAGCTGCACAGACAAGGAGATGTGACTCTTCCCCTTTGAGAGACCATGTGCTCCGGAGGGAGAGAAATTTTATCTCGTGAAGGCTG
Organism: Homo sapiens; assembly: GCF_000001405.40. Classification (NCBI taxonomy): domain Eukaryota; kingdom Metazoa; phylum Chordata; class Mammalia; order Primates; family Hominidae; genus Homo; species Homo sapiens. The sequence goes on along the minus strand of NC_000003.12, from coordinate 229,875 downwards.
AGATGAGGGAAGAGGTGGTGGGGCACAGACAGATAATTGATTTTCAAGTTCAAGGCAAAAAGAATTTAAAGATTAAGTTCTAAACTGTGCACAGTCAACATTTTGTTTTGTTTTGTTTTTTCAAAACCATGTAAAAGAATATCAAGTCCAGCTATAAAGATTCCACTGAAACCTCAATAGGCATTTCATAATCCCACCAAGAGTCGATAAAATGTAGTAGCTGAGTATTGAACTAAGCTATTATGTGGAAAATTCAAACAAAAGTTTCCTTCCTCTAATTCTTCCGAATACACAAGTATTTCTGGAAAATACTAAGCTACGTATTGTGGAAAATGGACTGAGTTCTGCTTAGCCAACACTTCTTTGAACATTCGCATTCTTTTGGTTTGAGGAATGTAGTATTGTCAGGTTGTTGCCTGCACTGATTATTCACTTCGCATACCTGGAGTGGCTGCAACTGAATTTGTGTCTGTATTTTAGCAAAAGATTTGTGGCAACTTATCAACGGGGGCATGGGGAAACTGGCTGGTCAGAGAACCTTCTGTGAATGCCATTTTCTCCTGCCATTTTTTACACATCAGTGCTCAAAATTAATGAAGTTACCGAAGGACATAACAATTAGGAAAAAAACATTATGAAGGATTTTTAATAAATCATATTGGGCATAAAACATGCTAGCAGAAATTATAATTAATAAGAAGTGAAATGTAACACCACCTTAAAATAGAAAGCAGAGTCCCCTTGGAAACAACACATGGGGCTAATGCAAAAATCAGTGTTCACTGTGCTGGTTGCTTGCAAAATTACACAATTAATCCTGTGTAAACTAACCTATCAGCAATGCACACCGCAGGGCTGCTGATAACTATTAGGCTGCACAATGTATTAAAGAAAGAGAACCTTAATGAGATCCCATGAGAATCTAAAGATTTAAATCAGTTTTTTTTTCCTTCTGTAAAAGATCATTTTTTACTCCACTTAGTGGACAATACTTTTTACATCTGATACACATATGGTCAAATCCACCATTAAATCAACCATTAGGAACCAGAAGACATTCTATTTTGAGTTTAAAATATGCCATTGAGCTGATTTCAAAGTAGAGGATTTAGAAATCTACATAAGATGCCACCTTACTTATCTCCCTCATGGAGTTGATAGAAATCCGTTGCTATCCCATATTACTGGCCTCTCACAGGGGTTAATGAGCCATTATAAAATTGCTGCGATAACACACTCTATACCATGTGAAGATGTGTGGTCTCATGAGCATTCAATTTATGTTAGTTCTAGTCTGCATTATTCCACAGAAGAAAATAAATAGAGATGGAAAGTAACCTAAGTGTAGTCATTTGAGAAATATTTCCCCTGCTGTGTGTGTGTGTGTGTGTGTGTGTACACATATTTACACTGAGTGTATGCAAACATGACTTCATCCATGTGCAGGGATCCCCTTGAACACTTAATATCTACATAAAAAGTTGTGCAAAGTTTAAGAAGGAAATAGTACAAATATTTTTCTGGTGGTTGGGGTAAGCCTTTAAGGTGTCGTTGGTGACGTTTTTCTACCTCTTAGACTAAATGTAATCCTGTCGAAAAGCACATCACCTGGGTAAAAGATAAAAGATTCTTCAAACATTCCCCTGTGTTTTCATTGCACACTTAATTGAATTAAAATTGTCCTTAAAAAACATATTGTTTTTAAGACTATACATTCCAATAACATTAACTTTGGTTTTAACTTCTGAGTCCTGGTTCTTTCACTCCAGCTATGGTCTTGTTGTAGATCAATTCCATTAGGCAGTGTTTGCCTCTATCGAAAAGCTGTATGCCAAAATAAATGAGTAGATGAATGGGTGATGGATAGATCGATAGTCAGACAGACAGACACAGAGATACACAAATAGATGGATAGATAGATGTGGGTGTTAACTGCAAGAAGCACAAGGAAAAAGACGAGTGCTGTTATCATCTCATAGTCTCCCTTGACAGGCATTTCTGGGCTTCCTTCACTTTGGCTCCACTCCTGGAAACACACAGCACAATACTGTAACAAAATCACTAACAGAAGTGCAAGCAATGAGTGCAGGTATCTCAAGGAGTAGAAAGATGTGAAGAAGTAGGAAGAGGCATCAAGAAGGAACTCCATAAGGAGAAAGAACGTAGAGTACAAAGAACGATTTGCCTGAAAAGCTGAGAGCTACTGGTAATAAAGAAAGCTGACATTTCATCTCTGATATGTCAGCATTAAATCTGTAGCATCTGTCCGTCCACACATGCTATTGTCTCCAGAATTCAGACTATTTTTAATCACTTTTGATTTCTATGCATGCCTTTTGTATTTGTTCTCCACATGCATATCACCTATTGTCTTTGAAAATGATATGAGCCTGATAGTCCTCATTTTCATGTAACAGTCATTGAGGATGTTTGAGAAAAGACGAGGTTTTCTGTTCATATGTTTGTCTTCCCTCTTTTGCTCAGAGTCACAATGCTCTCCAGTACTAGGAACTGGCATCACTGGAGCTTGCACACAGGTGTATTTGTATTCTAGACCCCAACTTTGGATTTCCTTCACTAGAATAAGATATCATTTTTTGTTCCTTGTGTTTCTTTTTTATATAGCTTGTCTATAAAATAGTTCAACAGAAAACAGGAAAGGAATATTTTAAAAACTACTCTCTGCTTGGGTTTAATAGATGGACATTCATGGGTGGTAGTTACTAGAGTAAAAGTAAGATGTGCATGGGATGGAAAGAAGAGGTGGACAACATTTACGCTTCTTAAACCTGTTGAAATCAACAACTGCTACTTTTTTATCAAGCATAAACATTCATTTTACCTATGAAGACTCCTGGTGAAATTATTTACCTGAAGTAATAGGCATAAATTAATCTGCCATGCATTTCAGCTTTTAGCAAAAACTTTCCATTTTCAACAAGAAAATATTTTGACAAGGAATAATATGCCCTTCTTATTCTGTTTTGAAAACTCTCCTATATGAAGTCTACTTAGAAAAGGATCCTTGTTTATCAAATTGTCTGCTAAGCATTGAGAAGAAAGGCAACATTTTGGAGAATGATTAAAAGATTAAAAGATTGGAGAAAAATAAAAAATATAGGTACTACAGGTCGGGCGCGGTGGCTTACGCCTGTAATCTCAGCACTTTGGGAGGTCAAGGCAGGTGGATCTGCTGAGGTCAGGAGTTCAAGAACAGTCTGGCCAACATGGTGAAACCCTGTCTCTACTAAAAATACAAGAATTAGCTGGGCGTGGTGTGCGCTTGTAATCCCAGCCACTCGGGAGGCTGAAGCAGGAGAATCGATTGAATCCGGGAGTTGGAGGTTGCGGTGATGCAGTGACCCCAGATCACGCCATTGCACCCCAGCCTGGGCGACAGAGCAAAACTCCGTCTCAGAAAAAATAATAATAATAATAAAATTAAAAAATATATATGTGTGTATAATTATATATTATATAATATATAAGTATATATATATAAAATATTCTATTATATAATATATAATAGAATACAGAATTTTCAGCCTGGCATGGTGGCTCATGCCTGTAATCCTACTTTGGGATCCGCACTTTGGGAGGCCGAAGCAGGCGGATCACATGACACCAGGAGCTCAACATTAGCGTGGCCAACATGGTAAAACCCCGTCTCTACTAAAAATATAAAAAATTAGCTGGGCATAGTGGTGCATGCCTGTAGTCCCAGCTACTCAGGAGGCTGAGGCACGAGAATCACTTGAACCTGACGGTGGAGGTTGCAGTGAGCTGAGATCGTGCCTCCGCACTCTCTCCTGGGCGACGGAACGAGACTCTCTCAAAAAAAGTTAAGATTAACGTGTCTCTTTTTTTTAGACAGAGTCTCATTCTGTCTCCCGGGCTGAAGTGCACTGGTGCTATCTCGGCTCACTGCAAGCTCCGCCTCCCAGGTTCAAGTGATTCTCCTGCCTCAGCCCCCCGAGTAGCTGGGACTACAGGTGCCTGCCACCACACCTGGCTAATTTTTTGAATTTTTAGTAGAGACGGGTTTTCACAGAGTTAGCCAGGATGGCCTCAATCTCCTGACCTCGTGATCTGCCCACCTCAGCCTCCCAAAGTGCTGGGATTACAGGCGTGAGCCACCACGCTTGGCCATAACCTATTCTTAACTGTTCCTCGCTTGATTTTACATATCTAGAAGAGTACAATTATTGTTTAGTTCCTGGACAGTGGTGGTTTTGTGTGTGTGTGTGACTATAAGTGTGTGTATACGTCTGTGTAATTGAACTGTGTTTGAGCCAGCTTTCACTTTTGCTTCAAGAGTTGTCTCATAAAGAAATATAAAGATGTGTTTTAACAATTAATTCTTAATTCTCACATACTATTCTCGTGCTTGAGGAAAGTAAACATTAACCCAAGTCCTACCTTATTGGATGTCTCTCTAATTTGTATGCATTTTCAAACTTCAAAATGTTTAAATATGCTATATAACTCTAAGGATCAAATAAAGGACAGTTTGTGCAACATTCAACACTTATTGTTTGTCTATTAATCATCTACATACTGAGGTAGACTGTACACTCTCTGAGGGTGGAGATCATTCTGAGTTGCTCATAATTATTTCTAAACATAACAGAAAACGTGTTACATACTCAGTGGGCAATAATTATATGTTGAATGAATAAAAGATTCATTAACATAATCTTCTAGTCTGTAAGTACCTAACACAATCTTTTTGAGTTCTTTTTGAGATAGAGTCTCACTCTGTCACTCAGGCTGGAGTGCAGTGGCGAGATCTTGGCTTACTGCAGCCTCTGCCTCCTGAGTTCAAGTGTTCTCCCGCCCGGCCTCCTGAGTAGCTGGGATTACAGGCGTGAGCCACCACACCTGGCTAATTTTTCTGTTTTTAGTAGAGATGGGGTGTCACCATGTTGGCCAGGCTGGTCTTGAACTCTCGACCTTAGGTGATCTGCACGCCTCAGCCTCCTGAGTAGCTGGGATTACAGGCGTGAGCCACTGCACCCGGCTCTGAGTTGTTTAATTGATATTTTCCACTTTTCTATCCTAGCAAACCCTCAATTTGATGTAGCCAACAGGGAAGCTACGTTTGCAAAATTATGACAATAAATGTATTAGGCCATTCTTGCATTGCTATAAAGAAATACCTGAGACCGGGTAATTTGTAAAGAAAAGAGTTTTCACTGGCTCATGCTTCTTCAAGCTGTACAAGCATGGCACTGGCATCTGCTTGGCTTCTGGGTGAGCATTAGGGAGTTTTTACTCGTGGTAGAAGGCAAAGTTGGAGCAGGCACACCATATGGTGGAAGGAGAAGCTAGAGAGAGACTTAGTTGGGGAGGAGCCACCTACTTTTAAACAACCAGATCTCATGAGTACTCACTCTATATCACGAGGACAGCACCAGGCCATACGGGATCTGTTCCCATGACCCAAACACCTCTCCTACCAGGCCTAATCTCGAACACTGGGGATTACATTTCAACATTAGATTTGGCGGAGATATATATTCAAACTATATCAAAGAGAAATCTGACATAGCTGACTCCATCTTGCTTCTCAACTCCAAGCTGTCCTTGGTCATTCCTCGACATAGGCCAAGCTATCTTTGGGAGAAATTTAGTTTATAGTTTAACTTTAAAACAAGGATAAAAATAGCCCTTCCCCAAACTACTCCCTCCTTGTTCAGGGACCAAAACCACCTTTGTAAAAGTAATAAAAGGCCACAAGACTAGGATTATGGGAGGGGCCTGAACTCTATTAGGATGTAGGTACAGTTAAACAATAACCAGCCATTGTGCCAGAGGTTACAAGATTTGTAACCTTCCCAATTGCTCCTATAGGTAACATCATTATTGTGAAAACCTAAGATTAGTCTTTGAGGTATTTTTCAGACTCTTGCATTTGGGCAGGCCAGCTGACTCCACCAGGATCTGTGACTCATACCAAGGAACTAATTCAACCAGTCCTGGAGCTCCCACCCAAGAAGTGACTTCATGTAAGAAGACAGCTTTGACCCCTATGATTTCATCCCTGCCCCAACCTATCAGCATTTCCCATTCCCTAGCCCCCTGCCTACCAAACTATCCTGGAAAAACCTTAGCCTCTGAGCTTTCAGAGATGCTGATCTGAGTAATAATAAATCCAGTCCTTCTGCTTCACTGGGCCTGCAATTATTAAACTCTTTCTCTACTGTAATACCGCTGTCTCAGTGAATTTGCCCTATCCATGCAGTGGGCAAGAAGAACCTGTTGGACAATTATAATACAATTTTTGATAGTTCACATGGATCTAATATTAACAACTGCAGTAAATACATAGCAAGTCTATATGCCAAAATAATAATTTATTTAATAATTGCAACAACCTTCTGAGATAGGTCTTATTCTTTATTCCTTACACAGTTGCAGTTCTGACAACGTGCCAAAACTGACCACATTCTGAATAGTAAATTACTCCAAGAATAAAAGATGGTATAGTCCTCACACAAAAGTCATCTTACCTCCATAAGATAATATTTAGAGGATGTTTATCTTCTAATATTAACTTCATAGTGCAAATTTGTATTCCTATAACACTTCACTTAAGTATCATTGTTTTATATCAGATAGGGATAGTGATGGGTGATGACACTTCACCCGAATGTCACTTAATTTTATGGATATATCAACCAGAAAAGAGTTTAAAGGGTGGAGCAACTGATTAAAATAATAACCCCAAAGATGTTCGTGTCCTAGTTGCTAGGACCTGAGAATATTACCTTACATTGGAAATAGGACTTTGCAAATGTAAGGTGATTCAGGATTTTGAGAGGGAGATATTGTCCTGGATTATGTGGGTGGGCCAATGTATAACAAGTGTCTTTACACAAGAGAAGCTGGAGGGTCAGAATCTGAAAAGATGTTTTGAGGACAGAGCCCAGAAAGAAAGGAAAATTGGAAGATGCTATACTGCTGGCTATAAAAATGAAGGATGGCACTAAAAAAACACAGAGAATTTCACCCCAAAATATGATTCCCTGGAAGTAATGAATACTTTGAATTAAAATCCCTTAGAAATCAATATGCGTTAGAAGAGACTTTTCCCCATCTTCATAAAAATAGGATGGATCCACCAAAAAAAAAATTGTTTTTCCTTCCCTTCCCTGTTATCTCATTATCTATTTCAAGACAGGAGTGAAAGAATGTATTCAGAACTGGCACAGCCTTTCTACAAAATAGTGCCTGTCTCTGAAGTTCATTCAACTTCCAAATCATTTACAAGTCCATCTATTCGTTTTCCCAAGGATCCATTTACTTTTCCCTAGTAATCATGTAATGTCCGTCAAAGGAATTACCTATATTTCCCATCTACCCCCGCTCTTCTGAAAGGAGGTTATATAAGTGTTTGGGTTTGATTGGGTAATTAGGTAATCACTCTGTGATTCTCCACATGCATATGGGTAAATAAATTTTATGCTTTCTTCTTATTAACATGCCTTATTGTGGCTTCATTTTTCAGCAAACCATCCAAGGGCAAGAGGGCAGCTTCCCCTGAGCTCCAACAGGACCGTGAGCTAGAGTGCAAGTGGCCTCTAGAAGCTAAAAAAAAGGCAAGTAAACAGATTCTCCCCTAGAGCTTCTAGAAAGGTACAGCCCTGCTGCCACCTTGATTTTAGGACTTCTAAACTTCAGATCTCTAACAGAAAAAGGTATGTTGGTTTAAGCCACTAAATTTGAGGAACTTGGTTATTACCATAATGGGAAACTAATACAAGTAATATAGCATAGAAATGTGTAGTTAAGAACTTACATTTTAATTTTGGGGACCAATATTTTGTACTTCTTTTTAGTTCATACAAAATATATGCTGCCTTTATTCTAATTACTTTGTAAGGAGATGAAGTGATATTATATTCATAAGCCTGAGTTAAAAGTATGCTGCTTCTTACAGAAACCTAAGTCATAAAATCAAACTTATGTCTTAAATGTAGTTATATTTTTACTGAACACATACAATATTTTTATAAATTGAGTCAATAAAGTACTAAGGCACAATGGATTAATATCTTGGATAAGTTTAGGTGTAGCATCTATGTTCTTGTTAACTTAATACTAAATTAATGATTTAAACTTTTCAATGGTGTGCACATCTATATTTCAATGGTAAGAACACACAGAACTGATAAGAACATTGGAAGGATTACATGAAATGCCAAGTACTGTTGATGCATAAGTCCTTGAATGACTGTTAAGTACTGAGGTGTTGCTCATGCGAATTCCCTCTACTTTTCCTCTTTTAAGGAACTAACTGGGTTGACTTTTTGTCTGGTCTTTCACAAGGACCATGATATTAAAAGTAAAAGGGATGAGATTTCTCTTAGATCTAAGCAAATGATTCTTTGAATAAGTGTAGGGTCTGCTACACATAAACACTCTAATAGGCTCACCTTTTAATCTGGAGCTGAAACAAAAGTTGATATCGATCTTCTGTGATAGTACTTGAACAACTGAGGGCTCAAAATGCACTGATTACTATAGTCTTAATTTTACAATGATGATTAGTGTCAATGAAAAGAGTCAAATTCTGTAAAATATTTGATGAGATTTATTCCGAGCCACACGAGTGACCATGGCCCATGACACAGCTTCAGGAGATCCTGAGAACACGTGCCCAAGGTGGTCGGGCTACAGCTTGGTTTTATCCATTTTAAGGAGAAATAAGACATCAATAAATGCATGAAACATGTACATTGGTTCATTCTGGAAAGGTGAGACAACTCAAAGTGGGTGAGTGTGGGATTTCAGGTCATAGGTGGATTCAAAGATTTTCTAATTGGCAACTAGTCCAAGGAGTTTATCTAAAGACCTGGAATCGATAGAAGGGAGTGTCTTGGTTAAGATAAGGATGGTTGTGGAGACCAAGGTTCTATCCAGATGAGGCCTCCAGGTAGTAGGCTTCAGAGACAATTGATTGTAAATGTTTATCAGACTTTCGAAGGTGTGGGTTAAAACATGTTCAACTTTACTAGCTGATGTGAAATTCCTCCTCTAAAAGGAGGTTATGCCACTGTCCACTCACACCAACAGAGCATGAGCGTTCTCATTTCCTAACACCTTCACAAGATTCTGTACTACATATTTTCATTGTTGTAGTCTAATAAATGATAACATTTTCTCATTGTGAGTCTTTTTTGTGATGGGATCTCACTATGTTGCCCAAGCTGGAGTGCAGTGGCTACTCACAGGTGCAATTATAGCATTCTACATGCATAGGTGTAAAATCCTTTGAATGTGAGGACTTCTTTGATATCTGTGGTGGCATGACAGATATCACAAAAATTATGCATGGACCTTTTTTTAAAAAAAAAACAACTCATCAGCTATCGTTAGTGTTAGTGTATTTTATGTGTGGCTCAAGACAATTCTTCTTCTTCCAATGTGGCCCAGGGTAGTCAAAAGGTTGGACACCCATGCTACAGCCTCGAATTTCCAGGCTCAAGAGATCCTTCCACCTCAGCCTCCTGAGTAGCTGGAACTACAGGTGCATACCACCACTCCTGACTTCACTGTAATGTTTAAAATCAGATCATTGAAGGTTTAATTTACATACATCACAATAACCAAATTTGTAAAGGTACAATTCAATGAATATTGACAAAGGTAGATGGGGTATTAATACCACCACAATCAGCACACAGTATTCCCATCATGTCAGTCGTCAACCACCCTCCCCAGTCTTTAAAAACAATGATTCTATTGCTATCCCTTCAATTTCACCTTTTCCAAAATATCGTATAAATGAAATCCCACAGTATGTAACTTTCTTTCACCTAGCATAATGCTTTTAAGAGTCATTTATTTTGTTGCATATATCAGTAGTCCATCCCTTTTAGATACTAAGTATTATTCAATGATGTAGATGAACAATTGTTTCACTGTGATTTCAATGTGCATTCCCCTGACTATTCATGAGGTTGTCTATCTTAGTATGTATTTTGGCCATTTGAGTTTTTTTCTGAAATGTGTTCTCTTTTTTAAAAAACTTTCATTTTAAGTTCAGGGGTACATGTGCCAGTTTGTTACACAGGTAAACCTGTGTCATGTGGGTTTGTTGTACAGACTATTTCATTAAGCCTAGTTCCCATTAGTTAATTTTTCTGATCCTCTCCCTCCTCCCACCCTCCACCTTCAAGTAGGCCCCAGTGTGTGTTGTTCTCCTCTAAGTGTTCATGTTTTCTCATCACTTAGCTTCCACTTATAAGTGAGAACATGCAGTATTTGGTTTTCCTGCATTAGGTCCTGCATTAGTTTGCTAAGGATAATAGCCTCCAGCTCCATCCATGTCCATGCAAAGGACATGATCTCATTCTTTTTTAATGGCTGCATAATAGTCCATGGTGCATATGTACTACATTTCCTTTATCCAGTCTGTTATTGATGTCATTGATGGGCATTTAGGTTGATTTTATGTCTTTGCTATTGTGAATAGTGCTGCAATGAACATACATATGAATGTGTCTTTTTAACATAATGTAAAAATTTATATTCCTTTGGGAATATATATAGTAATGGGATTGCAGGATTGAATGGTATTTCTGTCTTCAGGTCTTTGAGGAGTCACCACACTGTCTTCTACAACGGTTGACCTAATTTACACCCCCGCTAACAGTGTACTTTCTCTTCCTTTTTCTCCACACAACCTCACCTGCATCTTTTATTTTTTGACCTTTTTTTTTTTGACAGAGTCTCACTCTGTCGCCCAGGCTGGAGTGCAGTGGCATGATCTCGGCTCACTGCAAGCTCCACCTCCCGGGTTCATGCCATTCTCCTGCCTCAGCCTCTGGAGTAGCTGGGACTACAGGTGCCCGCCACCATGCCCAGCTAATTTTTTTGTATTTTTTATTTACTGACGGGGTTTCACCGTGTTAGCCAGGACGGTCTCGATCTCCTGACCTCGTGATCCGCCCGTCTTGGCCTCCCAAAGTGCTGGGATTACAGGTGTGAGCCAGTGCGCCCGGCCTACTTTTTGACTTTTCAATTATAACCATTCTGACCGGTGCGAAATGGTATCTCATTGTGGTTTTGATTTGCATGAAACGTGTTCTCTTTCTTTGCCCATTTTTCCTTTCTGTTGTCTTTTTCCTCATAAATTTAAAAAAGTATTATTTTGTTCTTTATGTCATTCTTTATATCACAATAAATCATATCATTTCACATAGATTTGAAAGTTAGCATCCAAAGCTTAAACTTTAATTTTTATAGAAGAAGAACACATTTAGCAGCACTTGACATCATCAATATATGGGCTAAAACTTAGGGCAGGAATTTGTGCTAAAGTCAACATAATTTATTTTCTATTCAGTAAACCTTTCAATGATCAAATGATTCCTTCTTTGGAAAAGAGGATGTGGGTAACATCTTCTCTACTGACTTGAGGAAACTTAAATATGATACACAAAAGTATATTAAGGAAAAAGATATCCAAACTCCATTTGATACCATTATCATGCCATTTTAATCAACACACATCATGCTTATGATCAATAATTGAATGGAAAGGGTCTTTCATCTTCTAAAACATAACTGCTGTAAGAATTAATAAGCAGGTTCTGTCAGTGCAGAAAGTATTCAGGAATTCTTTCTGCAAGAGCACACCCTCATCCAATCCAGAAGCTCACAAAATTTCACCCATCCCAGCCCTGAGGTCTTTTGGAAATCACCCAATCACTCTGCTATTAAGAAGCCTGAAAACACGTATCGTAAACCTTGTCATCTCACAACCACTTATTCTTTGATTGTTTCCTGTGGAGGTTTCCTGTGCAGGGGCTGTGGGTTATAATTTACAACAGCCCCCAAAGCACCCATATCATCTTAATAGAAGTACAATAAATAAAATAATAAAACAGCCTTGCTCATAAAATCCCCTTTATCACATCCTCATTCAAGCCTAAGCTGTTCTTATCTCCCTTGCGGAATACCAACTGGTCCTCCTCTCCATTGCAATCTACTCTGCATGCAACAGCCAAGGTTTGTTTTGTTTGTATATATAAATATATATACATATAGACACAAATTACATCAACTAGCTTAACTGTTGGAATTCCTTTGAAGTTCCTATACTGCACTTAAATCCATATTGTTGTCCATGACCTACAAGGCCTTATGTGATCTGCCCTAAGCTCACCTTGTGCCAGCTGGTTTCTCCCACACTCACTGCACTGCAGGTTCTAGCCTTCTGTCCATTCCAGATGGGGCCAAATTGATTCCTCCACACCGCCTCTCCACTTGCTTCCCCTCTGCTGGGAACTCTGCTCTTCTGGCTCTTTTCCTGTTTGCCTTCTTCCCTTTCTGGCTCAGCGTGAAAGGCACCTTCTCAGATAATCCTTTCTAAAGTAAGTTTCTCCTCCCATTTTTTTCTATCACAGTCCTTTGTTTCTTTCCCGTAAAGATTTATTTATTGGCTAACATTCTTAGTAATGGCAACTCTGGGAGGGCAGGAAATCTGTCTTCCTCACAGTGCCTGGGATTTGTTCGCAGCTCAATAAATATTTGATGCATGAATAAATGAACCAATGGCTTCTTAGAATCAGAGCTACACATGCACACACACGTATACACATATACCCTTTGCTTGGAGAGACCTGTTTTCTTTCCCTGTTTTGTATCTGGGAGCACAGCTGCAACCCCATGGGTAATTTTTTTTCTGTTATTGTTCTTTTTTCAGCATGAATCTATTAATAATCAAACCAAATTATTCAGGAATTGCACAGAAGGTAATTTCTTCCCCAATGCACACAGGACCAAAGGGTGGGGGAAAATCAAGCTACTGAAAATTTCCTTCCCCTGCAGACTTTTAAACTGCTAATCAGCACAAGCAGCTTGTAGCAGACTGAGCACAAAAGGTTGCTGAAATGGCACATAACTAATTCCAGGTGATTTAATATCTTATGCTGCCTTAGTGAAAATATTGACAAAGAAGAACCACATGATTTGGAGTTTTTCTGCACTGCTGAATTCAGTGTTAGCTTCTGAGCCTCTATCATGGCATTTCCATATATCAGCATTGCTTAAGGAAGTAAGTCTGGGTGTGCCATCCAGAAACCACTGCCAAATTGGAGAAATGCTAGTTTTCTGTTGTGATTGGCCATATTTAGCAGCCTCTCTTAAAAATGTAGAGTTCACTTTGGCCATGGCATCATATGCCTACAGAAGAAATAAGTCTACCAAATATATTGCCAATACCCATGGGTAGTTGGCAGTGATAGGAGAAATTTGAAGTTCAGATACTTTTGGTAAAGCCACATCTCACACAAGACATCTGTAAGCACAGACTTTTTTTAATAGACAGGGTTGGTGTAGAGTTGACTCTCCTAGGGTTCAAAGGCTAGTCTTTCATTCATAAAAGTATTCTGGTACAACGTTTCAGAATTAACTCTCAGCTTTATGAAAGAAAATGTTCATTTTAATTCTCCTGATCACATTAGAAAGAATACACAAAAGTGAAGAGACTTTTTCAATTGTCACATAAGAATGTCAAAGTTAAAATCACAGGACAACAAAAAGGAAAGAGAAAACTATAATATTTAGAATTATTCTGTTAAACACCCTTAAAGATATAGTTTCTGGTTTTTTGAGCCCAAACTGCAAATACCAGTAAGACAATATCCCCCATAGCACTTCAATTTAAAATTGTGCCATCAAGACATCAGCTTTAAAATACTATCTGATTAGTTTTATCCCTTTTAAATACAGTGGTATTTTTTACACATCAATTTTTGTTTACATTTTTGCCATATTTTGGCAGCCAGGTTTGTATCACATTTTCTTATATTTAAAATATTCCTAATAACATATATATTCTCACTCAGAACATTCATTATGCCAATTTCCAATGGTTTAGGCTTGCAGTTGGCAAATTTGATGAAACTGACTGATTTGTGGAACCAGTAAATAAAACACTAGTGGAAATGCTGAAAGTGAAAAAATTCAGAAATCACAAAATGGTAAACTCAGAAATAAATTTCACTATTGAATCATTCAAAAGATACAATGTATCTTTCCCAAAAGTCAGGTTGTAAAGCTCTTGAAAGAGATGCTTCAATGCACAGAGCCATTTTATAATTAATCACCTAGCATGTAGTCAAGAAATAGATGTCACTTTGTAATGCAAAAAAAAAGAGCAAACCCATGACAATTTTTGAATTGTGTTTTTAATTGATACACAATAAGTACACACATCTATGGAGTACATCATAATGATTGGATACATGTGTACATTGGCTTTCGCATATCCGTCTCCTGAAACATTATTTCTTTGTGGTGAGAACTCAGGATCCTCTCTTCTAGTTATTTGGAAATACAAACTATAATACTGTTTACTATAGTCACCCAACTATGCTATAGAACACCAGAACTTATTTCTCCTGTCTAATTGTAATTTTATGTCATTGACCAATCTCTTCCTATCCTCCCCTCCTTGATACATTCCGGAGTCACTAATAACTCTGTACTTTTGTGACATCAGCTTTTTCAGACTCCACAAATGAGTGAGAACGTGGGATATTAGTCTTTCTGTGCCTTGCTTATTTCACTTAGCATATTGTCCTCTAGATTCATCCATGTTACCACAATGACAGGATTTCATTCTTATTATGGCTGAGTACTATTCAATTGTGTATATATACACCACATTTTCTTTATTCATCTGTTGATGGACACTTAGGTTGATTCTATATCTTGGCTATTGTAAATAATGCTGCAATCAACATGGGAATCTCTTCAACATAGTATCTCTTCAACATATTACTTTCAAGTTTTCATTTTGCTAGCATGAGAATGTATAGCCTAAGAGAATGGATTCAACACAATTGATGTGATGAAGATTTGCAAAAGAGCAGTTACGTGTGTGTGTGTGTGTGTGTGTGTGTGCACGTGCACATGCTAGGCATTTCAATTCTCAGCTTTATAATCTCTAAATTATACCTTGTCACTGTTATCTCATTAGGCATACATAATTAATCTTTTCAAGGAATAATTCCAGAAGACAGAGTTATAATATTTCACATCACTCTAACTATTGCTTTATACTCTCTCATAACATGAGGACTTATTCCTATTGAACTTTTAATAAGTTATATCTTCTGTATTTGTAGATATAAGTGAAAAATCTACAGCACTCATAGAGAGGGATACATTATGTAAGGGCTATCAGAAGTAAGGACATCTACTACTAATTAATACCAAGGGTATTCATGTCTATATCTTTCTAAAAAGTGAAGTTTCTTAAAATTATAAATGTAATTAAAATGCAATGTATAAAATAGATTTAACAAGTCAAGTCAATTATTTAAGCATTTCCATGGCCAATAAGAAAATAATATTGATAACGTAGCACGTAACACTGATGTCTCTTAAAAAATGTAGGAAATATTTTCACTTGAAAAATGTAGGAAGGTTACATGAATACAAGAGTTAAAAGATCTGATATTTCATAGTCAGATCCTAATATTTGAAGTCATTATTACTTTTCTCTTTTTTTGTTTCACATGCATATTGTGTCTAGAGAATAGCCTTACCTGAGTGCCTAGGACTGAAAACCAGGCCCTAGAAGGGATCAGTGGATGGAATTAGCAGTACTCTGAAACGTAGAGAAGAAATTAACGCAGCTGAAAAGTAAGGAAGGAGCTCTGTTTTTCTGCTGGGATCAGCTAATTTCTTGGTCGTCTCACAATCGAAAAGCACCTCAATAGATTATTGGCACCAAAGAGCCCTATGATGATACTGGATATCACTGCCTTCCTCAATCTTTCTGTGAAGCGATTAAGCAAGCATTAGGTTGACTCCCCAAATGTAGTTGTAGTAAAGGTATCCATATTCCACCTATGTTTGGCTTTCTCTAACCTGACTCAAATTAGGGAGGGCTCCTGTTTTATAATATGTGAGGAAGCCTTTCAGAACTTGAGACAGGTATTTAAATCACATTTTTTTCACATCAGAAAGTTTTTTCAAATGGTACTAGATTATGAACATGTGGAAAATATTGCTAAAAATTAATTGCTCATTAAATTGGGCTTGAACACTTATTTTGCTTCAGAGAAATAATCATTGCAATTGAATGTCTTCTTTGCAATGCAATCTCTTCTTTGCTTTCCAAATTCTACCTCTTTCCTAATGACTTTTAACAGTGCACAAGCTGGAAATAATCTTTCTCTATTCTAATCTCCCATAAAACATTATCTATACATTCGTATGGCATTTTTCATCCTCTATTTTGCATTATACTTGAGTGAGTTCTTTAATTAGATTGGAGGCTCACAACACTTTGAGAGTTCCAGACCTCAGAAAAGGCATTTAGGTCTATTTTAATATTTTATGGGCATATATTCAGTGGTAACAGTAAGCAACTTCAGGCCAGAAAGTCTATCTATTTCATCTTGGAATTCACCTATCCAGCAGTGATTTTCACTCAGCAGGAACTTCATAAATTTTCATTTAATGTTCATATGTGGGAACAAAACTGGAGAAGGAAAGAGGAGGAGCATGATGAATTTTTCTTGAGTTAGGCTGCATCTCCTTGAACAGTCTATCAGCGCTGAAATGATCCTAGATGTGTTCTGAGCAGGACATAGGTGAACGCATCATGGGAATCAATTCTCTGTGAATTATTTTTCAATTCTTCTTACTATAAAAAGTTGAAAGTCTCAAGTAGGTGTTAATAGAACATTAATAACAATTTAACTTTTCTAATCTCCCTATTTTATAAGACAGAGCAGGGTTCAAGCCCAGAGTCTGGGGCAGGCACAAATATCTACCTAAAATGCAATGACTTCAAGTTGCTTTCATCATAGTAACGTTTGCTCTTACTTTTCATTGTTTGCCGTTGACACTGGTGTTTCATTTAAGGTAATAAATAAAACCTTCATTTTAAGTTAGTATATTTTGTTAGTAAGCCAGTTAAAATCTTAAGTGAATTAGAATTTGGCACAAAGATATGACACAAGTATTGAAGATGGTGAGTTTAGGGGAATGTCTTCTCAGAGAATTGGAGACTGTCGAATGGCTGGTTGTTTTAAGAAGAAAAGACAGCAGGAACTGTGTGTGAAAAGACAGGAGCTTTGAGAAGACAAGAGCAGTGAGCTGTTGAGTCAAAGGAGAGGGTCTCTAAGGATACAGGGACGGAGAGGGGAATAATGAAGGCTGACTCCAGCTGAAAGTGGAAACGAAATGTGACAGTTACTTGGCCTGCAAAGCAGTAGGGAGCCAGGGGAAATTTTCAGGAAGTAAGTGACATCATGGTCAAAGTGACAAGCAAGAAAGGGGATTTTAGCGGTGACATGTAGATCTTAGTGGAGAAGAGTGACTGTTCGAGGCAGAAATCCAGTGAAGGAAAGGTTGCAGGTGTCTAGTGATTAGAAGGCTGAACAAGGAATTTTCCAGAATGGTGAGTGAAGAAATAAATCTCAGTGTATTGAGGGGAAAGTTGAAGCAGGCTTTATGGTAGTGTAAAAGCAGACAAAGGACATACATAGAGTATAGGAAATGGTAAATGGCTAAAGCAAGACTGGTGAACAGTCTTGCTTTATTGCCTGATCATAATAAAAATGTATTATGCTATATAAAAATAGACTATGGAAACATCTGAGAATTGATTGGGTTCCAGAACCCCCAACAAGTTTTTTTTAATGCAAACTCGTTGTAGAAACCTCAGTTTATTACCACCCTTCTCAGCTCATTCTCACCACCAGCCTCTACCACTCTGCATTTGTTTTCCTGAAATCTAAAACGGCAGAATTTAACATATATAACATTTTAGGTTATGTCATGTAAAAATAAAACTTGTCCAGAAGATTGAATTTTCTGAATAAGTAACTTTTTATCGGTGGCTAAATGACTTGTCATTAAAATAACTTAAGACAAAATCAGACATCCGAGTTCCAGTTCCACTCCCACACGTTTGTTCCATTGGTTCCACTGAACTTCGCTAAAGAGGACTGATACCTATCTTGCTTAAATAGCTAGTTACTGCAAGTATCAAATTAAATAATATATAGACATTGTATCTTTCATTCAAAAGCAATTTATAGTATTACCAATACAGAACTAAATTCATCATAGCACAGCATTTTGGGGTTGTGTATATCGCATTTTGCCTGTTGAAGTGTTTTTGAAATATGAAAACTACGGTGCAATACTTTATAAGTGCTTTTTGGCAAGACTGTGAGGGGAAAACATCTACTCATGTTTGTCAGAAGGATGGGATAATGCTTCAGAGGTAGAAGAATGATAGTATGTATGGTTCCTAAGCGTGGAGAGAAAAATGGCTAAGCCACAGAAGGAAGAACGTGATGGTAGGATCTGGAGAAACAGAGAAGTAGAAGCAATGAGAGCACAAATTGAACCCACACCAGACATGGCAGCAGTTCTTCATCCACTTTCAGAGAGAATTTGGAGAGGAATAAGCAGCTCAAGAAAGCTCTACTGCTGTCTATCCTCACCCTGCATCCTACTCTGTGCTCTCATAACACTGCAGGAAGATGTGAGAATAATGGTACTAGCCACACGCTAGTCTCCTTTCCATTTGCTTTTGAGAGTTATAGGTATAGGAGCTCTGCAGCCCGATGTATCATCATTATTTCAGGGCAGAAAGCCTGCTTCCTTTTCCATTTGTGGCTGTAATCAATAAATAGAAGGAAATGCAGGAGCTCTTTTCTCTCCCTCCTCAAGAGTGAAGCCTTGAGTAATCTAGTCAGTTCCTTGTTTCCTGACATTTGGGGTTCACCGTGGCCCTTTTGACTCTGCTAAGATACTCCTGGTTCTCTTAAACCCAAGTCACTTCCCAGATAAATGGAAAAGAGTAAGGATAAACCTAAATAGATCAGAGGAGAAAAGCATCCGAAAAGCCCACCCTGCTAAAGAATCTTAGCCAACAGTATTCTCAGCCAACTGGACGCCTCCTTCCTCTCACTTTTATTCTCGCTCCAGACAAAACCAGGGCACTTCAGCCTTGCCAAAGTTCACTCTCACATCACTCTTCTTTCTCACAGTCATGTGGGTCTAAGATCTCTAGGAAGTGTCGGGAGGGGGAAAGGAGTGTTCCCTTGGAACAGAGGGCTCCATATTTTTTCCCTCTTTGTAAGCAGTCACATGGTGAGTGAATGGTGTATCACAATGGGTTTAATAATTCTGTTAATTAGCATGTCTTTCTTAATTTGTATTTCTTGCTACCTTGTCTGCTAGAAGTTGGATGAGAGTTTCCTTTGAATCTGAACGGTCTGAGGACTAGCCTTTAAGTTTCCAAGTTAGATTTTTAAAGCCCTGAGTCACTGTGTGAAAAGTCCAGTGACATTTCTGGAAGGACCAGGAGAGAGGCCCTGTGACTACTTGGACAGAAAGAGGGGCCCAGCTGAGCTCAGCCCTCCTTGCCATTGCATGGGTCATGTGAGGGAAGCCATCCTGGGGCCACCAGCCCACCCCAGCCACTCTCTGAGATACCACCATATTACCTCAGTTGTCACCAAATGGGGCAGAAGAAATCACCCAGCGGAGCCCTGCCTAAATTCCTCACCTACAATTCATGAGATTTCATAAAATGTCTGTTGTTTGAAGTTACTGTTTAAAGGTATGAGTTAGTTTGTCATTCAGTGATAGGTAAGTGGAAAAATGTGCCTTCACATTTTACACAAATTGTTACTTTGCTACATTCAGAATATTTTTCATCATTTCTCCCCTTAGCTACACACAAGCTTTCAGGTACTTTTCTTCCTAATAACAAACAGCTTGTGTATATCCCTACAGATACCCCAAGAATCTCATATGCAAAACACATATCTATTGAGGTCTTAAACAGTTTTAAGCCATATGGTGAATTCCCCATACACAATTAAACAAAACAAATGATGAAAATAGCATGAGCTCAACTTCAAAAGTCAATGGAATGGTGATGGTATTTACCAAACAGTCTCCCTAAGTGATAGTAATAAAAAGTATACTCTGTGGCAAACTTGGAATGGGCAATACAAAATCCTATCTGTAAACAACGGCACCTACCTTGGATCATTATTAGTGCATTGCTTGTAAAAGAAACCGTTTAAAAGATTTGGGTTCTGTTCAATGAGAACACTTGGACACAGGGTGGGGAACATCACACACGGGGCCTGTCGTGGGGTGGCAGCGGAGGGGAGCTAACATTAGGAGATGTACTTAATGTAAACGACGAGTTAATGGGTGCAGCACACCAACATGGCACATGTATACATATGTAACAAACCTGCACGTTGTGCACATGTACCCTAAAACTTGAAGTATAATAATGACAAAAAAAAGATTAGGGTTCTGTTAAGAATTTGTATTTAACATTATTGAACAACTAGACCACTAGGAAGGATTGGTTCCATAAGATTTTCAGATAAATGATCTGAACTCCTATAGGTGGTATGTCAATTTATTTTTTATTTTAAAATAATTTCTTAATGACTCAAGATCACCCATATAGTCATTTCTGAGTTGTCTTTTTCTAGTCTTTCTATCCCTCTCTCTTGCGGAAGAAATATATTAAATGTAACTTATTTTGTCTTAGAATGAATTTGCAAAATTTCCCTCATCTGCTCCAACTTGCAGTTTATACTTTGTCATCTGCTGAAATAATATAATTATGCATATTAGAATGGTTCTAAATTAAGAGCAAATAGTCACTGAATTAGGAAGATCTTTCCATAATCAAGTGTTTACATTTTAGTGAATTTTTGCCAAGAAAGAGATCTAGGTTGCTTTGAGGCTTCTTTTGTTCAACTTTTAGATATTGGCCTAGCATTTGAATACCTGAAGTAGCTGTTGAAAGCTGAGACATCTCATTATAGTCATTTATTAACTTTATATTTTTTTACTTTTATTTGCAGTACTGAAATAGCATCAGAGGAAAATAAGCATTGTTTTGGCAATACGTGAGAAATATTTACACTACCCTGTACCATCTGATATTTTAGGACATCTATATAGATCAAAATAAATCAGATTGAAAGGATTTAATATCATATAATGATAACAGTAATTACTAACTAAGAAACTATCCTGTATAATTCAAGGTCTCCAGTTTTATTTTTTAATACTTTTGGACATGGGATAGCTGCAGAATTACCTCCATTTTCCACTTCGGTTTTAGGAGTTAGTTGTGAACCCCACCCTCACGCAGGTACACACATAAAACCACCCAAATAAACCAGTTTCATTAATGGTACCATATTCAAATAACCAAAACGGATACTGGAATGCAATCTTCAAAGATAATAAACCACAATGTAAATCTGGTTGAATAAAGGCCTAGAACCAAGCCTTCCACTCCCTTCATAAGGCACAGAAACAAAAGTGTAGCTCAACTAGTCTCCCACTGAGGATATAGTCTAGCTTTCTGCCGAGACAATCAAACAACCCAAACCTAATATTTCAATGAACTTGGGAAATGATGACACACTCCTTTCTGTCTCTCCTCACCAGTTCTGAATTTGGAGGGGCAAAGGAAGTGGAATGCATGCTTAATTGAGGCAGTAAATACTAGGCTGTGGCAGATTGTTTTACTGTTAAATACAGTAATGGGTTTTTAAGGCCTGCTGTCCAAAATTACACTGCAGAAAAAATGGTTTATTAGTAATAATAATAGCTGGCACCTTTATCTTCAAAGCACTTTATAAATATTAGCTCATTAATCCTCCAACTGCCACTGGGAGGCAGCAGTCAATGTTTCTTTCCTCAGTTTACAGCTGGTAAAACAGGAAAACAGAAGCTCATTACAAGTTTTCAAAAGAAGGTCTTGTGTATGGAGATCAATTTCTGATCCAAACCACTCATACCAGTTTTTATACTTGATTGGATGGCATTCATTCTGATGACTGCCAGCCCTTTTTTTGAGGGGACAGTGGTTAAGGTCAAATCCAATTTATTTGAACTTGACTCAGAAGTGTGCATGAGTTGCACCTGAATTGCTCAGTGCTTGGTCCTTTAATGTTATTTCAAGCAAATCAATTGTGTTCAAAATCTATTCAGCCCAAATCAATTACAAGCAGAAACTTGTATGCATGGGAAGAGCAGACTGTTGAAACCCTTTGAAGTTTGCTCCTCTGAGAATTGCTAGAGGTCACGAAGAAAATGGGGTCAAGGTCAAATTTAAACAGGCTTGTTTTGGCTATCTTTATCCATTCACTCAGATCTTCTTTATGGAAAATAGTATATGTCTCAAATTAGTGAACAATAACAAATAACGCAATATAGCCTATTATTCATGCAGATATAGGTGATAGATGTTAAAATTGTTATTGCCTATATGTTTACCCTTGTGGGCAGTGTTTTCAGTTTTTTGCCATTGTATGATGCCTTAAGCATTCTTTACATCTTTAAATTTTAATCAAATGCATGAATTCTCCACTATGTCATCAGATGCATTTTACAGAACAAGTTAGAAAAATCCTTGAATTTACAACACAGAAATAAACTTACTTCTTGAGAAGCCAAGCTGTGTATTCCAGAGAAGCAGGTATGGGTCAAACAAAAGCTTTATAGAAAAGCCATTGTGTATAATCCAAGGAAGTGGGATCTCCTGTCTAGCCAAAGCAGGAAACAAACTTATTCTTGCCACTTTCTAGTACACAAAAAGGAGCCTTTTGGAGCCACTCAGCATCTGAGAATGCTATTTATATTATGCATATCTTAAAAATACATGAACATTTGCTTGTAAATATCCCAAACAAAAAACTCAAAAATCTCTTAAAACTCCCAAATATATTGGCTGTGCCTGAAATAGAGTTGCCTTTTTTTCTTCTAAAGCCTTATCTTTATTGACGGCTGCTAATAAAGACAGTGCCATCATTATGATCGGTGTCATTTTCAAGCCGTTTTCAAGAACAGCAATGCTGAGATATGGCATCTGCCATTGCCAACGATTTCTATTTTAATCTGGAATAGCAGATACTCACACCTTTGTGGAAATGCCAACCGCGAAATGCAATTGGTTACATATAATACCCAGAAGTGAGGGAAATCCATGCGTATTCATATCATAGAGTATCAGAAACATTTCTGCCAAGAAATAAACAATGATAATGAGAGTGAAGTTTCATTTGTACATATAATGATGCCCAGGGTCTGGTACAGGAAGAGTCAGACCATTAGACGCTTATATGACTTGATTTTGGAGAGAACACAAATGTCTCCTCCCTGTAACCTCCAACTCCTGGGCTCAAATGATCCTCCCACCTCAGCCTCCCAAGTAGCTGGGGCTATAGGCATGCCCGACCACACCTGGCTAATTTTTATTTTTATTTATTTATATATTTTTTGTAGACATGGAGTCTTGCTGTGTTGCTGGTCTTGAACTCCTGGCCTCAAGTGATCCTCCAGCCTCAGCCTCCCAAAGTTGCATTAAGATTTTTTTTTAAGACAGTCTCGCTCTGTCACCCAGGCTGGAGTGCAGTGGTGCGATCTAGGCTCACTGCAACCTCCGCCTCCTGGGTTCAAGTGATTCTCCTGCCTCAGCCTCCTGAGTAGCTGGGATTACAGGCATGCCATCATGCCCAGCTAATTTTTGTATTTTTAGTAGAGACGAAGTTTCACCATGTTGGCCAGGCTGGCCTCAAACTCCTGACCTCAAGTGATCCACCCGTCTCAGCCTCCCAAAGTGCTGGGATTACAGGCTTGCACCACCACCTCTGGCAGGTTTTAAAACCTCATATTTAATGCCACCATTCCTGGAATAGGTATGCATTATCATCTAATACCTCAGTAGGATTCCTTTATGTCTACTTTTCCACAAATGGATAATGGGACACAGAACAGGTAAGTTTGGATGGACAACAGGAAAGAGTGTTAGTCCATAGTGAAGACCATAGCTGGAGAATCCTGCTAATCGAGGGGGCACTGCTGGGGCTGGAAATCAGACACTTCTGAGTTTGAATTCTGACTCTGGTACTGCAAGACATATTGTGTGACATTGGACAAGGACCCTTCTGTGTCTGCATCGCCCAGCTTACATTGGGTGTTATAATAGTACTTTCCTCAAATCACTGATGTGGAGATTGCAAAACACATAATAAACACTTGATAAATGATCAATGGTGGCTATTTAAGTATCTGCCTGGCACAGTTTCATTCCTGTCTCTAGCACAAAGTGGCGATCAATAAAAGCTTTTTATAATGACTGGTCACAATGCCTCATAGGACCCACACATACACGTGCGCGCGCACACACACACACACACAGACACACACAAACATAAGAACATGTATTATAGAATTCAGGATGCTTTGGAAAAGTCTATCTCCCTATCTTTGGCCAGGACTACGTTCAACTCTCAAAATATAACTGGTAACATTTTCAATTTTTCCCCTAGACAGCTCTCAGTTTATACGGTGACTCTAGATTTCCTTAAAAAACAATTCACTATCAGTTATACAATGTTGCTCTTTTCTTCCAAAAAAGGAAATCTGGGCTGTGTAAGGTGGCTCATGCCTGTAATCCCAGTACTTTGAGAGGGGCAGGTGGGAGAATCACCTAAGGCCAGGAGTTTGAAACCAGCCTGGACAACATAGTGAAACCTCACCTTTACAAAAAAGATTTTAAAAATTAGCCAGACATGATGGTGCCCGTCTGTAGTCCCAGCACTTTGGGAGGCTGAGGTGAGAGAATAACTTGAGCCCAGGAGTTCGAGGTTGCAGTGAGCGATGACCATACCACTGTACTCCAGCGCTCCAGCCTGGGCAACAGAGCCAGACCCTATCTCCAAAAAAAAAAAAAAAGAAAGAAAGAAAGAAAAAGGAAAAAGAAAACCTGAAAGCAATAGAGTGGGCTATGAACTGGGTTACAAATTAGGATATCTAAGATGATTTAATTCTAATTTTCACTACTGTAGGCAGTGTGGTGGAATAGTGGTAAAGCTAACTACTTGACCTTGCATTAGTTTTTTTCATCTATAAAATGGGCTAACAACCTGTTTCTTTTTGTTCACTATGTTATTGTAAAAGTCAGATGAGATGACATGGAAAAATTTTCTAAAAAGCATAAAGCACACAAATAATGCAAGACATTATGATTTTTTTTTAAAATAGAAATCTTCAGAGGCAATCTTCTGAAAGGATGGAAATGCAGCATCCAGTATCAGTCTTGGAAAAGGTCAGTATTTATCTTCCCCCTGAACCTTTTGCACATGAGACGTGTTATTTCTTTTGAACATAACCAATATGTAAGGCATCCCATAATAAGCTAATATTCTGTCACTTTACAGTTTTTAGCAAGGTTTTCAATGCAATAAAAAACCGAACTTCCAACAACTCTAACCGCAACAGATCATCAAAATCCCCACATTCCTTTTATCCACTTACATTCTATTACTCTGGGAAATACATCTCTTAGTCCCTGGAAATAAAAATTCCTCACATTAAGATGCAACCAGTGCATTCTGGTCTATTCCTTCATCGTCCTTGTTCTGATACAACTATAACAAAGAAGAAGGATACTTCCTCCAAAGATCCAGGCATCCAGGTTACATGAGTTTCAGCTGCCAGACTGACATTTGAGTGTATCTCCGCTTTCCCAGGCATCATAACTACAATCCCTCCCAGGAGAATCACCACTTACAGCAAAAGCTTTTGTTAGGGAGGAACCTCTGCTAAAAATGCCAACCATTACCATAGAAGCTGGAATACATCTTTTACATTATTCTCTCTGCTATGTCAGCTCTCATCTTAGAAAGCATAGATAATGCAATGAAATGGACAAATTTGTTTTGAAGTTTAAGAGTCCCAACTGAAACACACCACTGAATATGAGCATGCCCACTTCGGGCAATGAAAGAAAGAAGAAAGGAATGACAAAGAAAAAGTGGTGAAGATTCTCCTGAATACAAACTTAATGATTCCCTATTTTGTACTGTTTTTGTCAATTCTAGCTTTCCCCTTCCCCACTACTCACGTTCCACAAATGTAAAGCCTTCAAGATGTGCTAGGTATTCCTCACGTACTTCCCAGATTCAGATCCCTTTTCTGCCTTCCTCCATCCTGCTCTGCTCTGGGAGAACTGACCTCCACAAACCACTACAATAGGCTCCCTTGCCGTCTTACTGCCTTGCTGAAGAAGCAACTGGAAATCTTGGGGTAGAAGCAGAGCACTGTCTTGTGATTTGACAGTAGTTATGTTCCTCTACCAAAAGCCATAGGTCCCACGTGACAGCCCTCTTCCAGAGCTACTGCTCCCACCTCCTTCCAGGAACTTCACCTTCCCATTATCCCTTCAGGACAAGGGGCAGTAACAGCTCCAGATGTGCTTCAGCAGCCCTTGTGGGCTTCCCCTAATCCCATCCAAAGAGATGTGGGCCCGTCTTTAAGGTCCCTTAATTACCTCTTTGGAGTAGGATCTATATAAAAGAAAGGAACAAAGTGAAGGTGAGAGGAAGCCATGTTTTACCCAGCGAAGATATGTCTTTCAAGAACATCAAGGGGACAAACCACTGGGTTCTAACCTGTGGCATTCTGCCACCTGGGCATTCAGGTCCAATACTGTGAGAACATCAATCCTTTTAAGATAAGCCAGAAATATGAATTTTACATGAAATCTCCAGTATTTAAATGTTGGCTGAAATTTGTCTTAAACATTCTTTGGGCCAAATGAAATATTTATACAAGCGGTGTTCAAAGTCCAAGGGACATTGGTTTGGCTCCTATATAGACTATGGTGCCTCTTCTTAGAAAGAAAATAAAAATCTGTTTTTCTTTACACTGCACAATTATAACCAAAAAAAGGATGAAAGTCTCATTTTTAAAGCTTTTTCTGACACAGTACTTTAGTCCAAAAACAATAACTCTCCCTACCTCATTGGAAGTCTGCAGGCAAAACAGAGAAATATTCAAAACCCCAAAGTCACAGGAATCTTGTTATCTGGGCCTGTTCTAAATGTATGAATCTAGTCAAATCACTTAATTTCAGTGTAGCTCACTCCATTCACATTCATCTGCAAATCAGGATAATTACTTCTTTCCTACCATCTTCACAGAGACATTTGGTTGAAAAACGAAATTATACACAGTAAATGAAAAGCACATTTGAGATCTTCAGAGAATAAAGTGCTATTTAAACCAAGAAGATTAGTAAGAAAAACCTCAGAAGTTTGCCAGAGCATTTTTTCTCTTTCAGCCACATTTCATGACACCAGGGTGACTGTGAACCAATGCCTTAGCCCAACACAATCTTGTGGACGGCGTACGCAAATCTAAGGTGATGGTTCTTAACCAATATTGGTACATTAGGGCGTGTTAGAATCGCACTAGAAGTTTTCAAAAATCCAGATTTCTAGTCACCATCCACAGAGACTGTAATTGAATTGATTTGGGTTGGTAGCTTTACAGAACTCTCCAGACGATTCTAATTTCAGCCAAGCCTAAGAACAACTATTGCGAAAACCTTTTAAATATGTGAAGCAATCATTATTGGTATATGTGCATATAATTAATGTAGGAATCAACAGTTTGCCATTTGACACCACCATTGATCATGGCTCACAGTTATTCACATACACAGGGATACACACACACATACGCTCTGTCCCTCTATCTTTGTTCATTCACATACTGAACATGATATAGAAGGATAATTATCACTACAATAAAAAACCGTGCTACTAATCTGTCTGCATAGATTGCCCCATACAATGTCCACAAGAACACATGTGACATGTGAGCTAAGTATGGCTATTTCCCCGTTTCTAAAGAAGAAACTAGTCTTAGAGAGGTCAACATGACTAAGCCAATGCCACACACCTGCAAGCTGACAGACTTAGATTTTGAACCCTGGCAGCCTGACTTTTATAGCCAGTGCATGTAACCACCACAACAGTTCGCTTCCTGCTGTGCCAGACACTTTAAGAGTTTATGAGATGCATAAAAGGAAATGTATACCCTCAAGGAGTTTACAGTCTGAAAAGGAAATTGTGATGCACACTAAAATTCATAGGTTGTATAGGAAAATGGCACAATTGTAGTCCCTGGAGTTAGGAAGAGGTGAATCAGAAGATGGGCAACAGAGCTCCTACCTCCACAACTATAGGGGAAATAAGATGCAAACAAACATTAGAAGGGAGAATGTTATAAGACTACCAGGAGAAGAAACCCTGGTCAAAGCATAAAATATAATTATATATTGACCAAGTTCAATGCATTTATCATTCTTATCATCATCTGCCAGCATCATTTGATTCAGATATTTATACCCACCCTAAATGTACCAAACTGTCAGTTCAATTAGCAAACTATGAATTTTGAGAATTCATCTCACCTCAAACTCTAGTTGTGATTCTTATTGAAATTATGTATATAAGCATCACACACACGCACACACACATACACATATACACTCACACACACTTCTAATAATTTAACTTCCAAAGAGATACACAAGTTGTATTCTTCACTAGGAATAAATTATGTGAAAGTGAAGTCAACATTTCAGGAAAATGCCTTAAAATTGAAAACGGAATATGTCCCTTTGTATTTTTATGATCTAAACACAATGAGAAGGTAAGCAGGATCATTTTTTACCCACAACACATAAAATCTCAATTAGTTATGGTCTATTTGTGCACTGACTTAAAACATTCGTTAACGAAACAGAATTTTCTAGTTTACTGGATAAATATACCAGAAATGGCAGAATAATGTCAGGTTGCCAAGCAACCACAGCTCTACTCTACTTTGTGATCAATCCAACTCATTCATTGAGCTTCCTAACCCAGTGATACAGAATTCCAACCAATTTGTTTCTTGGGAAAATTATAGTGACTTTCAGTAACACAATAACACTTTTATTCTCAGAAGATAAACTTAAATCCTTTTTGATCAAAGGGATGTGTTAATTCATTATTCTCTACGTGGTGCTAATGAGAAAGCTATAATTAACTAACTACACTATTGCGACACACATAAAATAAACTGCAGTAATTAGTAATGTTTAAGGTGTTAAGCAGCCTCCCAAATTAGAAAATACAATCTTTCCTCAGATAAAGATGTACAGAAAAAAGAAAGCAGCATATCTAATTAAATTGAGAATTGTTTCCAGTCTCCCCCAAGGGGTGAGAGGAAAGGCATGTGATCACCAAAATATAAGAGATTTCACTTTAATAGCAGAGAAAAGGCTCAATGCCAATTCTACTTGTAGATAGACATAAAATGATAGCGAATAATGTAATCTTTCTTTGAAAGAATGCTTAGCACAATATTTTTCCAGGAACAAACAGAAAGAATATTATGCTTTCACTCATTAGCTGTGTTAACTTAGCATATTGTATGTAAATGACCATAATAATTGCATTCTCTTCCGACTGAATTAGTCAGAATGAAACTGTAATCAAAATGTTCATAATTGAAAATATAGTATTCTCAATCTTGGTTTGAAAAAATAACAAGGAACGTTGACTGAATCAGATAATATAGTACATCACTGAAAACAACCTCAGTACAGAGACAAGTTCATTCTCTTGATTATACCTTTGCATTTCAATTAGGTCCCCAAATTCAGAACTCAACACCTCCCAATCTGTCATGTTTTCCTACTCTTACCATTTGTCTCTGGACTAACTTAAGCATTCCAAGTGCATTGCTGCTAGATTTTTAGGGAAAATAGAAAATGGTGAAAAGCTAATTTTATTGTTTCTAAAATACATTAGACTCTATTGCACTGTTGGCTGTCATAAATTAAAGGGCAAAATAATTTCCAATAAATGAAACATTTAATGCCAAAGCTCCTGGGAAACAATATGTAAATGATCACATGAATTTCAGAGAAGCTGTCACACTAATTCCTCAAGGTACCTTTTAAAGATGACATATTCACAGTGAGGATGAGAGGGTTGTCTTGCAAAGCCAAACACTGCTACCTGAAGTAATACTCTCAGTATTTCCTGACAATCATTCCTTCAAATCTGACACCAGTAGTTCCCCAACTATTACTTAATTTTCTTTTATCGGTTAAAAATACAAGAATCTTAAATCAGTCTTGATCGTTACCCTTATTTTTCTATAAAAGCGAATCAGGCTAAATTATTTCAACAAAGCAATTTTGGGGCAAATAACCTCCTATCTTCAAAGATTTCAGAAGCAACTATAAAATCAGGTTTCTATCTAGCAAATGTTTTTCTGGGTGAGCTCTATTTTGTAAAGGTCACTAAGGATCTTTGTGATGGTGACATCTGTCAGGCTTTACTTGCCTCAAGTTCACCAAGAAATGCCTATATTTTAATAATCAAATGATTTTAAAAATTTATTTAAAACCAATTCATGTAATGAGATGAATTAACTTAAATGCAATAAGTATAGTATGTGCAAAATCAACTCCTCTTAGACCTACAGCTAGGCCCACGAAGTGTACAGTGTACTTATCAGCAGATAGGTTGGAGGACCTATATAACCATGAGGAATCAATAAATATCTATAGCCGTTTCTTTGAAGAAAAGGATCCGTAAGTCTACATGCAACAGATAACAATCTGGGAAACATATATTCATCATCATAGTCTTGTGCTGCAGTGAAGTGGGTACAAACATACCCTGAAAGAGATTTTAATGAGTTGCCATAGCCAGTACTCACACCCATCCAGTAATAACTATTTGTCTCCATTGATTTGCTCACAATATTCAGGAGCTTGCAAGGAATGATTATACACTACGTTCTGCCATTACTAAAGGTAAATCCACTGCAGCACTTAAGGCCATAAAATGGAAAGCCAGGGTATACATAGGCTCTGTAACCACGTTAAATTATGAAAGCCAAATGGTGGTCCCTCACAAAGAGACTGAAATTAAGACAAACCCAACTGCAACATCTGCAGGTGAAAGAGAAAACACAAAGATTTACAAAAGAAAAACTCTGGGATAAACTTTTTATTTTCTTGTCACCAAAAGTTTCCCCAAAGAGCTTCCTAAGCTTCTCTCTCCATCAATATACTGAAAAGCCAACTTCATCGGCAGTTGATCAGTTTCTCTCTTCCAATCTGCTGCAAGGCAGAGCTTCGTAGGAGTTGGACTGTGCAGTACAAATATTCATATTTTAATTAAGATTATTCTCCAAAATTAGAAAACGCAGAATTTTTACTTCAATGAAAATGCAGAGAAATGAAAATGCACCATATGTAATTAAACTGAGGATTAACTAACAGTAATGGCATCAACGACAATAACTTTTGAGTGCTTATTATGCATCAAATATGCATATGGTGTTAAATTTAAAAATCTATGGTGTTAAATTACTTGTATCATCTCATTCCAGTCTTGCAACAACCCAGTATAGAGGGTATCGATAATCTCCGTATTATTGAGAAAGGGAAACTGAGGCACGTAGTTAAATGCCTAGTCCAGAGTGACGCATCACAGTGATGGTGGAGCTGGAATTCGAAGCCACGTGGGCGTCCCGGGAGCCTCCGCCTAGAGCGAGCCCGGGGGGCCCACCAGTTACCATCGCCACGCGCACGCGCAAATCTCCCCGCGCACGGCGCGTTCCCGCGGGAGCGCGCCCTCGCGCACGCGCCTGGCAGGGCAGCCGCTCGCCGGCCCTGGGGCTGCTCCGCGGCTCCCACGAGCGGGACTGGACGCCGGCGCCCTTCGAGGAGGGGCTGAACCTGGGGCGCCCTCTCTGCCGGGCCACCCAGCCCTGCCGACGCACACCTGCCCTCCGCCGCCGGCCTCCCACCCCTTCCCCGCCCGCCTTCCCGCCCAGCAGCCCAAACGCCCACCCTGCGCTCCACCCTGCTGGCCGTCTGGGGCGGGGGTACCTGGGCCCGCGCGGCTGCTGCTCCTCCGGCCCGTGGTTTTTCGCAGGAGTTCCCCGGCCCTGCCCCTGGCTGAGACACTGTGGCTCGCAGCGAGCCCGGAGAGTGGGAACGGAGGGGCTGGCTTTCCCCAGCCTCCCGGCTCCAATCCCTGCTCCCCAAATTAATCACTTTCTCCGTGCTGCCTCCCCACGCACACTCACACTCCAAAAAAAAAAAAAAAGCGAGAGAAAGAGAGAGGCACAAAGAGGAAGAAGGGACCATCCGCGACCGGCATCTCCAGCCCCCCGGGCTCCGCTACCAGGAGCCATGGCAACCACGGCCCCCGGCGCGCCCTCTCGCCCCTCGGCGGTCTGGGGAGGTGGAGCTCTAGCCCCTCTCTGGGTTTTCGTGCTCCCCAACCCCACAACCCCACGGTCCATGGATTCCCCGCTCCAGGCTGGCGGCATTTTCGGAACCCCCCCCGGGCTGGGATCTAGAATCCTCTCCTGAGAGGAGGAGCCACACAGGGGCAGTGGACTGGGGGGGTCTGAGCCCCACACACCAGGCGGTGTCCAGGGGAGCGAGGGGCGCGGTGGGAGACAGAGGCCGGGACTGACCCCCAGACCAGCTAGACCTCGGAGCCCCACCCGAGAGAGGGCGGAGATCTACGGGGGGGTCTGGAATCCTCCTCAGAGAGCAGCGAGGGATGGGGTGGCGGAGGCTGGAAGCGGGAGGGCCAACCTACCGGCGGCCGGCGGGCGTGAGTGGGACCCGGCGGATTCGGGCGCCCGGTGTGCTCCGTCGACTGACCCCGAGCTGTCCGAATCCGGCCTCGGCCACCGGGGGCGGGGCGTGAAAAGGGGGCGTCTCCTCCCGGGTGCAGGCTGAGGGGCCCGGACCACCCCCACTGCGGACGAGGGACCCTGACCGCGCCCCGCTTCCTTTCCATAACGAGTGGACCCCTCCCGGAGCACCTTCAGCCCTTCCTCCACGGGAGACCCCCCCAGCGCCGGCACGAGAGATGCCAGCGGACCCCCACCCCTGACACACCTGCGCCGCCTCCGAAACGCGATCTGTCCGGCGCCTCCCCTCGGGCGCCTTCTCCCCCGAGCCGGCCGGGAGCCGGGACGGGGGCGCGCAGGGTCCGGTAAGCTCTGGGCGGATCCAGGGAGGGTCTCGCCGGCCGCTGCCCGCTGGTCCGCACCCGGGGCTGTCCGCGGAGGTCCCGCCCGTCCCCTCCCGCCGCTGGCTCTCTGGCCGCGGGAAGGCTGGAGCCGTTCTGGCTGGCACCGGGGTCTACGCCCTCCTGCCGGAGGCTGGCTCTCGCCTCTGCTCCCTTCCTGGGTTCTGCGCCGCCACCCCTCACCCACGCCGCTTATCTTCCCTCCCTTTGCACGCTCCCGCGGGACAGGGAGAGTTACAGGCTTCAGACTTTATCTCGTTGTGGAAAGCAAGAGACCAAGCCAAAAACTTTGGTCGTGCTTTTCAACATCTCCGGTCAAAAGAGGTAGGATCCCTGCTCGTTTATCTGCAAAAGCGACATTTAAAAGAAACGCCCCCCACCCCCTCCCCGATGGTTTCACTCGGTTCATGTTGCACACACAGGTCGCCAATCTGCTTTTCTCCCATTGCTGCGTCTTAGAGGGGTGTGGTGCCATGTACGTATTAAAAATTGTCTTCTTGCTTTCCTTCATTTAAGGGCGTGGTGGGGCTTGCTATTGAATTTACAAAATATGCTACGACCATCCGCTGTCAAATTGTGCATGCTTAAATTTACAGATCTTCTACTATCTCACAATTTTTGCCCTAATACAGAGTCTATAATGTTACCACATCGTTTCGTAACGTTTTTCCTACTTATCCTTTATTAATTCACTATTGGAGAGGAAAGCCTTCTGTACTCATATTCAGTGCAAAAAGCCAGTTCTGATGCCTTATGAATCCACAAACACATAAAAATATTTTAGGATTCCAAAATTCATATGGAAAAATTATAATTTTTAGCACTACATTTGATTTATATGCCACTTTATTTTTTTTCCATTATGGTGGTATTTTCCAAAATTTTTACAGGATACCACTTTTGAAAATCCTGTTGAATGCAAGTCCTCTTTGTTGGTAAGAGAATTATTGACTTCTAATTTTTACTCCACTAAGGCTGTGAGATTGACCTTACAGCCTCGTTTTGTTTTCATCTAGCTCATTGAACAATGAGGATATTTAGCTCCCCTCAGAGCTACCCTCAGAGTTGGATGAGCTATCCTCAGAGTTGGATGCCACCACCGGGAGCAGCAAAAGCGAAGGCAACTCATGATTCTGCCTCAGAAGCAATCGAATAAAATATTTTGAAAATGAATGAATGGACTTTTAAATTTTAATCATCGCTAACCTTGGGGCCTCGATTCTGTCAATTTGTGTGTGGGCACAGTTCTTACCAACTGCCTTGGCAAATTGTGAATGCAAGTGAGGGCAGGATTTGTCCTAAGTTTAAATTGTACTGCTGGAGTGATTTCTTTTGCCTGAGGCATCATTATTCACGTGGCATGTTTTCTAAAGTAGAAACAAAGATAGAATATTAAATAAAATTCCAACAGGGGGAAATACTCTGCCTGTAGAAAAACATTTCCAAGGTCAAGGAACCACAAGAGAACAACAAAGCGAAGTTGGTCTCAGGAGTTTACCATCTTCTGGGTGAACAAACATCAGCTGAGCAAGGGACTCGGAACTCCATTTTGGCCAGATGAACAGAGTACTCTTAAATATATAGCTCCTTCTTTCTTGGTGATTTGTTTCTTGACAATAGAATCATTATTTACAAAACAAATATTTATTGAGCAGCTACTATTTAATCAATCACTGGTCTGGGTGCTGGGCTCAGTAGGAAACTCAATAGGCATGGCCAGTAGCTTTTTAAAAAATCAAATACCCTCCAAATATATTAGACAGTACCAAGCCACAATACCCAAAACAAGAAGATGGCCAGTTCTTAACTATGAGTTTTTAACTGAAAGGGAGATAACATTCTTCTAAGCTTCTGGCATTGCATATAAATGAAGAAATAATAGCCACACATAGCTTACTAGGGACAGTAAGGAAGTCAGCTTGTATGCAATACACGTTATCCCAGGCAACCAAATTTTACGAAAGAAAAGAGGGAGATAGGGAAAGTCTAGGGAAGGAAAAAAGGGAGGAAGGAAGGAAGGAAGGGAGGAAGGATGGAAAGAAAGAAGGCCAGCAAATGATAAACCAAGAAAGGAAATCGTACTTTTTAAGGCAATGCAAAAGGAAGACAGATGACCTAAATTTCTACATCCAAGAAACACCTCATAGCTGTCGCTTCCAAGGATGAGTTCATATTTTTGATACATTATCAAAAGCAGGCAACACATCTAGGCTTGCCTGGCCCCAGGAATTCACAACTCTACAGCCTGAGCTTCCAGTAAGGCTGGAACCAGAAGACAGTCCCCAGCCAGAGCGGATGCTTGCTAGAGATACCTTCTGCTGCTGCTTTGGAACCCTCCCCTGGCTCCCATTCTACTGTCTGACACTTGGTTCAGACCCATTTCCCATTCAACATACAATCCTAATCTATCAGGCATCCCACAGTTGCACCTAGGTGCTAGAGAAAGAAGATATACTTATGAGTCACATGGAAATGTGATTGCCGTAGCTTTGAAAGGTGTGAATTTTCTCTCTGATAATTGAGGACGGCCGTTTCGAATGAAAATACTAATATCAAGCCACAAAAATAGGGGAGAAAAGGGCCCTATCATGAATAGAAGCAGAAGGTGAGAGAGAGGCCAGTCATCTGGAAAAAGATAAAAGCTATTAAAAGCTGGGGCATTTTTCAGCTTTTCCTGCTGATTTACTGCCTCCCTCCCTCCCTCCTGAACCATCATTTGGTATCATTCCCAGAGCTAGGGCCATTGAAGTAGTATTGCCTTTTGGCAAATACAAGTAGCTAGTGATGTGGCATCATTCCTAGAAAAATTGTTTAGCAGAAGAGCTGGAGTTTTGAAAATGGCATTTCAGTCTAGCAGTTCCAAATAGTCACAGATCAACAGGGGCTTTCCGGCCAACTGCTGTAATAAAAAATAAAAATAAAAAATAAAAAGCAGGAAGCAGGATGTTCCACTGAGGAATAGATCCTTCAAAAGCAACCTTGAAAGTACAAAGCAGCCACTTCAGCTTTGATATTAATAAAGCTAAAAAGACCATATTAATTCTGCAGAGTTATCCTGACAGAGTCACTACTCCTTTAACTTGTCCTTTAATACAAGAACAAAAGGATATGTATTAAAAATCAAAGGGCAATAATTCTGGAACAACTAAAAAGGTAAAATCTTGTATTGCATGCCATGGATCATTAATATGTATAATTCAGCCCTGGGAGGTCATGAAATCAAATACTTTCACTGGATTTTTTAAAAAGGCTAAGAAACTTTGTGGCCATTAATAACATTATAATTATGTAGCCAAGATAATGTTAAGTGTTTTCAAATCTCATGCTTTAAGGCATCCATTGATTACTTGTGCAGGTCAGAAGGATTTCCCACCCTCCAATCAGCAATGCCTACAATGACTAGTTTTCTCTCCTATTGATGGTTTGCTCCAAAGTCCTATGCCCCCAAGTCTTATCTCAAAGGCCTGTGAACTGAGTTATAGGATGAATTCCTATTTGTTGGAGAAAGTCCTCATATGTCTGGAGGATGAGAATTTCTTCTAAACCTCTCTATTTCCAACATGGTACGAAATCTTTTCAGTCTGGAAGGGACCTCAGAAAACATAATCTTCCATAGCTTCTTTTTATATCTGAAAAGAGTAAGGTTCAGAAATTTTATCAGAGTTGTACAACTGGTTAATGGCCGAGAATATATTGAAAAAAATCTCCAAGTTTTTAATCTTGTATCATTTTACAGGATGAAAAGTCACTGCCATCTTTGAAGATAATTTTATTTATTATTATTCTGTTGCAGCAAACAAGACAAATGTCGAATAGTGGGATAGCGAGTAATACCAGGAGCATAAAGGCTGATCTTTTTACAGAGACACATAGCCAAAATGAAGTTTCTCCTTTTCTTTTTTTTTCCAGTTGTTTTTGAAAGTATGTTTTCCACTCAATGTAACAGAAACATGTTAGAGAAAAAGGAAAGACCAACAAGAGCTTGTGGCAGCCACAGGTTGTTCTCCACTTCCTCTGCCCACTAATCTGTTTTTTGTTGTTTTTGTTGTTGTTGTATGTGACGGAGTCTGGCCCTGTCGCCCAGGCTGGAGTGCGGTGGCGCGACCTCGGCTCCCCGCAAGCTCCGCCCCCCGGGTTCCCGCCATTCTCCCGCCTCGGCCCCGGGAGTAGCTGGGACCACAGGCGCCCGCCAACCCGCCCGGCTCATTTCTTCTTGTATTTTTGGTAGAGACTGATTTTCACCATGTGAGCCAGCATGGTCTCCTGACCTCGTGATCCGCCCGCTTCGGCCTCCCAGAGTGCTGGGGTTACAGGCGAGAGCCAATGGCGCCCGGCCTAGTTCTTTTTCTCCTTCTGGACACAGGGCCGCTAACCTAAAGACTAAATTTTCTAGTCACTCTTTTGACTTAGTTTGGTTCTAGGACTAGGTTCTCACCAAAGAGACATGAGGAAAAATGCTGTTGGCAACTCTCAGCTCATCTACTTAAAGATCATCTAGATTCACTTCTCCTTTTCCTTTTGACTAACCCACAGTAGTAAAAGGCTCATGTTGAGGATGACAAAGAAACCCCACTCTGGCCTGAATTCCTACATGACTCTGAGGATCAGAACCTACTTAATACCATAAAAAATTGAATGTCCCCTTTCAATTTGAGCCAATCTCCTTTGGAGACTTTTATTATAACTGCTTAAACTTTATCCTTAATGCAACTGTAATCTCTGTCGTCAGAACAATTTCAGAAGAATAGTTAAGAAAAATAAGAATGGAAGCTACCACGAATACCTGTTGTTTTTTGCTTGCCAAGCATTTATCTCCGTTCATTTAGCCTGGTTGGACCTAGGGAATAATATCTCCTATGTTTATGTGGCCGAATTGAGGCTAATTCCAATGCTTTCTAGTTACCCCTGGTCCATGTGACCCAGGCACGACCAGCCAATATTTTCTACTCCTAAGTCTATGGGGACTAAAGCTATGAAGGGCATCAGACCCAACAGAAGCCAATGAGAAACCTACCTTGGATTTATGAGCTACTAGGAAAAAACTGAGGGTTGCTCAGAGGTATGACATAAGGCAGGAGAAACTCCCTTCTTCTTATCACCACTTAGAAAGAGCCTTCCTGAGAATAAAGTCACCATAGAGAAAAGAGGAGAGAGACAGATACTTGAGAATTATATTCCAAGACCTAGATCTTCAAATAAACTGAAAGGTTATTTTTTATTAAAAGCTGAAACTGGAATACAACTTGACCTTGTAGCCGGGTGAGACAAAAAAATGTTTCATGTAAAATAGTTTCGATGGTTTCCTGTTTCTTAAAATCAAAATAATTCTTCTTCGTGGTACATTTCTAGGTAAGATTATTCTCTTGTTATAGGTTGTTTAGTAAGAGGTGTATACATGGCAAAAAAAACTCTTCATTTCATAAACTAACCTAACTGATTGGTAGTGACTTACTGAAACACTGTGTCCAAAGGATCCTGACCCTGCATCGGAGCTGAGCAGGAAAGGTTAAAGTGACCTACTAATGTTTTCTATCACAGATATTATACAAAAGATAATTCTCATGTGTTAGGTATTTACTATTCTTGCTTTAAGATATTCTTAAGGTTTAGCATACATTTAGACATGGGTGGGGACTTTATTCTTTTGAACTAAGGTATAATAGGACATCCTTTTAAGGCATATTTTTATCCGTTTTTTTAAAAAGCCATGGACCAATTAGCCCTCTCCATGCATAGTTTAGGAACCATATTTCATGCTTTCAATTAACTTTATTTTCCTACAAAATAAATTAATTAGCAGACATGTACTGAAATCACAGGTTGCTAGTATGTGATGCACTGTGCTAACACAAACATAACTCAGTTTTTTTACAAGCATTGCATTGGATTTATTGTCTTCCAGGGGTTAAATGAGACCTATCAATTTATTATTTTCATGTTGTTTTTCAGAATATGATAAACAGACAAACCTTCTTAGGCATTCAAAGCACTATGCCACAGTACAGTAAGCCCACAGCAAGGGTTCCAAATCGTCTGTTTATATTGACATGAAAAATTTGCCTTATCTTATGGGGATTAGTTACTCTCTCTTATGCCATATCCTTTCTGTTTCTCACTTAGAGAGTTTTGTGCCAGCTCATACTACAACACTTAAGGTCACATAACCAGGCAAGAGCTTTATATATAACACTTGTATTGCCCATATATTGAGTTTTCTCCAAACAGGAAACACTTATTGACTTAGATTCCTTTTTCTGTATCTGAGTGAATGCACAATAATACAAATATAGAACACATTTTCAAATATTATTACTTGCATATAGAAGCCATCTTAAAAGTTTCCTAAAAGTAAACGCTTATACACTGTTGCTGGGAATGTAAATCATTTCAGCCACTGTGTAAAGCAGTTTGGAGATTTCTCAAAGAACTTAAAACAGAGCTACCATTCAACCCAGCAATCCTGTTACTAGGTATACATGCAAAGGAAAATAAATAGTTCTACCAAAATACACATTCACTCATATGTTCATCACAGCACTATTCACAATAGCAAAAACATGGAATCAACTTAGGTGCCCATCAACAGTGTATTGGATACGAAAATGTATACACCGTGGAATACCATGCAGCCATAAAATAAATAACAAAATTGTGTCCTCGTTAGCAACATGGATGCAGCTGAAGGCCATTATCCTAAGCAAATCAAGGCAGGAACAGAAAACCAAATACCACGTTCTCACTTACAACTTGGAGTGAAAGATTGAGTACCCATAAACATAAAGATGGCAACACTAGACAATGGGAACTAGTAGCTGAGGGAGGGGAGGAGGGGACTAAGGATTGCAAAATTAATTACTGGGTACTATGCTCGATGATCCTGGGTGACAGGATCATTCACACCCCAAACCATAGCACCATGTAATATACCCATGTAACAAACCTGCACATGTACCCACTGAATCTAAGATAAAATTTGAAATTATTTTTAGAAATTCCTAAATTTAAGCAGATTTTAAAGTCTTAAATATGGATAAAGGAGGAAATTTGATGATGAAAGTCTCAAATATTTCTGGGTACTTAAAATATTCTGATACATTTACCCAAAGATGAAGTAGAGAAGCTAACAACCATAATGAATATATTCAGTGTGGATAATAAGGAACAAACACAAATCAATTAAATAACTTGATAATATTTTGCCAAAGAAAAAATAGTAAAGCCAAAATGTAATTGCATGACACGATTGTAGGATGAAAGCCATATTAAATATCATTAATGTATGCAACCATTTTACAAAAAAATTACATGTTATTTACATTACAATTTAATAACAAAAATAGCAATTATATTGAAGGGGTTTAAAGACGTACATAAATTTAGACCCAGGCATTCTCCTTCTAACACTCTATACGATGTAAGCAAACTGAACTACAGGAAACTCTATATTCCCATAGATATTCAATGATAAAATAAATTATAAATATCTAAGAACATAATTACTAGTTTAAACCATATGAAATTACCATTATCTGAGCATTTCTGACCTGGAAAAATGACAATTTCACATTGTTTAAACTAATAGATTATTCTGCAATCCTGTAATGAAGCAGCCAATAAAATTATGTTTTCAAAGGTTTGTAATATGAGAACTCTTTCCAATGTGAAGTTATAGATTTCTAATAATGGGTCCTTTCAGAACCAACCAACCCTAAAACTATGAAGTATAGACCAGGTGTGGTAGTTTACACCGGTAGTACCAGCACTTTGGGAGACGAAGGCAGGTGGATCACTTGAGGTCGGGAGTTTGAGACTAGCCTGGCCAACAGGGTGAAACCCCATCTCTACTAAAAATACAAAAATTAGCTGGGCGCAGTGGTGCACGCCTGTAATCCCAGCTTCTCAGGAGGCTGAGGCAGGAGAATTACTAGAGTCTGGGCGGCAGAGGTTGCAGTGAGCCGAGATCACACCACCGCACTCCAGCCTGGGTGATAGAGCAAGACTTTGTCTCAAACAAAACAAAACAAAACAAAACAACTACGAAGTATAGACAAAATATAAAATGTAAGTACCTGAAAACACTGGAAAGTAATCCAAAACAGGCAGATAGTGAAGGGGGCAGACAACTGGAAGAAGGGAACAACACTGGGTAAGTTTCCTATTTTACAGCTTTTAGGGAAGATCAAGACCCAGTCTGCCCATTCTAGGTGGATAAAACGAGGAAAGTAAAGTTGCAGTTATTGGCTTGAAGAAGCAAGGGACGGAGCTTGGGCAACAGAGCAACTGGAAAATGTTGAGGAGAAATCAGTCAAGGAGAAAGCCCCATATTCTATGTGTAAATGATGCCCAATCCCTGGCTATCCTCTGAAACATGCATCAGTGGGTGCTATAGACTGAATATATGTGCCTGCCCCCTAACTTATATGTTGAAACTTAATCTTTAATGAGATGGTGTTTGGAGATGAACCCTTTGGGGAGTGATCAGATCAGGATAGTGGGGCCCATATGACTGGGATTAGTGCCTTCATGAAAGAAGTCCCAGAGAACTCCTTCACCCCTTCCATTATGTGAGGACACTGGGAGAACGTGGCTGCCTATAAACCAGGAAACTGGCCCTCACCAAAAAACAAATCCTCCAGTACCTTGATTTTGGACTTCCCAGCCTCCAGAACCTTGAGAAATACATTTCTGTTGTTTATAAGCCACCTGGCTTATAGTATTCTGTTACAGCAGCCAGAACTAAGACAGCAAGACAGTCTCCAAACAGCTCTGCTGAGGTTAAAAGAATTGAATTGAGATTTCAGCAACCATCCACTTTAAAGGACACTATAGTTTGATTTCTGCTACATTTACTGCCTGGTAGTCAAAACAGAAGTTAATATAATTTGGAGCACATGACAGATTCTGAAATCTCTACAATGACCAGAAAACAATTCAAAATGACTCAACATATGATAAAACCGGACAATGTGTTCCATACTCAAAGAGAAGACAACGGAGATGACCCCTGAGATGACCTACTAAACACTGGACTTAGAAAACAAGGAATTTAAAGCACACTTGTAATTGTGCTTAAGGAATAAAATAATATATTAATATTTTTCAAAATGAACCTAAAATTGAGAAACCTAAACAGAAAAATAGAATTCTTAAAAAAGAACCAGAAAGCTATTCTAGGATTGAAAAAATAATATCAGAAATTAAAATTTTCACTTAGCTTAACAGCAAATTTGAGATAACAGAGAAAAGAACTGGCATACTTGAGGCTAGATCCATAGACATATTCTAGCCTTAAAAACAGAGAGAGAAAAGATTGGGGATGGGGGTTGGGAGTGGAATTGTATAGAGCCTCAAAACGTTTTACATGTGTGTAATTGAATTTTCCACAGAAGAAAGAGAGATGAGGCATAAAAATATATTGGAGAAATATGGCAGAAAATTTATCAAATTTGGTGAAAATCAGGCATTAATAGATTCAAGGATCCCAGCAAACCTTCAGAAGGATGATACTAAGAAAGCCCCACCTAAGTACATAATAAACATAATAATCAAGCTGCCAAAAAATAAAAATAAAAAAACCTTGAAAACAGCCAGAGAGAAAAACAACACATTACATACTGTTTATAGCAAGTTAAAAGTTCTGAAAGAAAAACAAACAAAAAAATCTTGTCAACCCAGAATTCTTTTTCTTTTGAGACAGAGTCTGGCTCTGTCGCCCAGGCTGGAGTGCGGTGGCGCCATCTTGGCTCACTGCAAGCTCCGCCCCCCGGGTTCCCGCCATTCTCCCGCCTCAGCCTCCCGAGTAGCTGGGACTACAGGCGCCCGCCACCACACCCGGCTAATTTTTTGTGTTTTTAGTAGAGACGGGGTTTCACCGTGTTAGCCAGGATGGTCTCGATCTCCTGACCTCGTGATCCACCCGCCTCGGCCTCCCAAAGTGCTGGGATTACAGGCGTGAGCCACCATGCCCGGCGTCAACCCAGAATTCTTTATCTAGTGAAAATATTCAAATATTTAGGTAAAATAAAGATATTTTCAGATAAATGAAAACTAAGAGGATTATCATCATTAGAATTACACTATATGTAAGACACACTAAAAGTCATTTTTAAGGCTGAAAGGACATTATACCAGATAGAAACTCAGATCTTTATAAAGAAGTAAAGAACACTGAAAATGGAAAAGATGTTGCTAAATATAAAATATTTTTTCTTTCAGTTTACCTAAATTATATATGATAGTTTAAATAAAAAGGCCTAACTCTTGTTTCTGATAAAACTGAGACAATTTCCTAACTCCAGAGAAAAAGCACATTATCACAATGCATAAAATATCATTTCATATGTGAAGACTTATTTCAATAATCCATATTTCTATAATAAAATACATTATCTTTCACAATATGGATTTCATCTTTATGATTTGAACAACAAAGGAAGCCCGCAGAGATTTTATAGAAAGATCAGCCTAAATAGATAAAAATAAGAATCCTTTCCTCAGATCTAAATTTTGCATCATCTCTTTAGGAAGAGATCATTAAATTATGATTTAGTCATAGGACTCTTTACTGATGAGAATGCAAAACACTTAACCATTTGCATTTGAAACAAAGTGAAATAAATATAGCTTGCCTACTTCAAAATAAAATAACTTGAAATTTATCTAAATTTGAATGAATTGCTTAAGAGGAAATACAAAAAAAACACATTATGCCCAACTTGATGTGTTTTTTTCTATTACACATGCCCAAAGAAAAATTGTTTCTTGTGGAAACAGCTGGAACTGATTAATTGAAGAATATCTTACACACAGGGTAATCAACCAA
The DNA here is from genome assembly GCF_000001405.40 of Homo sapiens. Taxonomy (NCBI): domain Eukaryota; kingdom Metazoa; phylum Chordata; class Mammalia; order Primates; family Hominidae; genus Homo; species Homo sapiens. The sequence continues at coordinate 186,108 of NC_000003.12, read as the reverse complement.
AATTCTTATACATGAAACATGTGTTATTTGCTTTATCTAATGAAAAAATACACTTTCCTGCAGCTTATATTTTTATTCTCAAAATTAGACTCAAATATAAAAGTTAACAACTTTCAGCTGATTATTAGGTGAGGACTAGACACAATTATTTTAAACTAAAAAAGGTTTTTTAAAACTGGCATTTCATCAAATAACGTGTCATAGCTGTTCTTTTATGCAACAGTTGGGTACCATAAGCAGAAGAAAAAACATTTAAAATTTTGTTAATGATCTAATAACCAATTAATTGTGAAAGTATATTGCCTAATGCACTCTTGTGAGTTTTCAAGGCATTGGTAATTGTTAACAGTTCAATTTAAAAAGAGAACAGGAATAAATAAGTTTGTGTTATATTCATAACCTTTTTTTCTTTACAAAGTAAATATATGGAGGATATTATGCTTTATAACACACATAAAATATCAAAAGTCTAATGTACATATAGAAAACACATTTTTCCTTTAAATGCTACTCAAATAAAATACAAATTAAATTTTTATAACCTGACTTTCTCCAGCAATTTAGTTATGTCTTTAATTCTCACACCCACTCCAAAATTTAGATATAGTGAAATCCTATAATGCTTACCAAGATATGAAATGAAGCATAAATAACAAGCTTTTGAAAATCATAAAACCACACTAAAATTATTTTCATTTGGATAAGCTAATATATTTGCTAGGAGTAACTGGCAAAGCCTTACAAACTAATTTTTACTCAAATGATTTAGATATCAATTTCTGGTGCCAGATTTTGAAGGTGATAGCTGGCAATTAACTTCTCTCAAAGTTTGTGAATAAAGCATGGCATATGTTCCACAATTGATGAATTACACACATCTACTATAAGATCTCGAAAAGAAAGGCATTCCCATGCCAACCTTGAAACCCTCAACAAGAATTTACTCAAGCCATAACTCTACGCCAATGACAGAGCAAACCAACATAAAATGGGGACTTTACCAAAGGAATTGTTTATAGAAGGGTCAGAAGACGTTTCCCATAAAGTGCTGTGGAAGCCCAGCTGTTTTGTTCTGTTTTATACTTACTGTAATAAACTCCTCTCCTTTAAGTTATAGGGTTTTCTCACCACCATGTGATCGAAGATGTGAGGTGGAACAGCCCCTCGTTAGAATTATCTGAAAGAGGGAAAATACAATATGCTCTCTGAAATAGTGAGTGTGGTTTTGTTCATATCCGTTGGTAAATGAATTAGTCTCCTTGGGAATTGGTAGTTAAATGGAATTCCAGTGGTGGAGAGCATCACCAATTTTGTATTTACTACTGTCAGTAGGTGTAAGCTCGTATATTAGTTCAAGATGGATGACTTTGTTTTGCGCTTGGTTCCCAAGACACTGAACGTTAGTAAAAGGATACAGAGAAAGCTGTTAAACAGGGCAACTTTGGTGCATATTAAAGTCAGAAAAGTGCATTAGTAAAGTCAGAAAAGAACAAGCCTAAAACATTGCTTCCATAAATAGGCAGAAGTAATGGAAAGAGAAAAAAGAAAAAAAAAGTAAACACAGAATATATACTAAAAATGCCTCACCTAGAAGACATTTTTATACCTTTATTTTACATTCTTTAAGTAATAAATAGCCCTGCCATAAAATATGTGGTATTCTGGGATCAAAGTGGTAAAGTAAACTTACATAAAAGTCATTAAGAATTTAAAAGAAATGGGAAGATATACACAGGCACACAACTACCAACCAGATCCATTTTGTGAACCTCAGACTTTGCAAGCATTTCCTGGGCTCTGCAAATAAAGAATCAGGGGAAATGTATTTCTGAGACCACTGTTTATGCAAATTATGTTAGGAGAAAGGAAGAGCCTATAATACCACCTAAATCATCATTCATCCATTCGTTCATAAGTGCTTATGTACATACATAATGCATACCTAATCTGCAGATGGTAAACACAGTGTCTCTCTTTGAAAAAGAATAAATTATTTTATACATATTTGGAATAAATGGAACATTAGTATGTTTTAAAATTTCCTCTGAGATTAGAGTAATAAGCATTAAAATATCAAAGTAAAAAATATAAAATACCTTGCATATCACAAAGAAGCAATAGTTCCTTTCAGTGTCTAAAGTTGGAAAGAATTCCTGCCTTCCTAACAGAGGTGTCCTGTGGAGAGTTTCAGTTTGGGCCATAATAGGGATCCCTTTCATCTCAAATGCAGCTCTGATAACAGTACCGCTTGAAGGGTACTCAGGAAGTAAATAAAAGTGAACATCCTGCTATGAGCTGGAAAGCACAGGCAGAATCCTCCACCACCCTGCCAGCCTAACTGTACTGCCCAAAGACAAAGGAATCTTTCCTGTTACAGGTACGTGCAACCCACACCAGGTAAAATGCATTCACTAAGGCTGTTTGGTCTTTCCTTGACACATCACTGCCATTACAGACTGATTCTTCCAAACAGACATTTCATGAAGGCCCTTAGTAAATATAGGCTTGACATAGTAGCTGGCAAAGTTATGAACAAAATGTATTTTATTCTGAGACAGAACCTATTTTAAATAGCTCATTGACCTCTATAATCATAGTGTTTGGTCAAAAACCATCAAAACCACCACATAGAGCCAAATAAGATGCTTCCATTTATATGAAGTAATTTCTTCTCACAGTGCAGAAAAGAGTGGTGATGTTCACACCTATGCACAATTCTACTAAATAATCAAGTTCCTAATCATTGTGAAGACTGCACCTCAGAATCATAATCAGTTGATTTGGAGTTTAATTTACTTTTAAAGTATTAGAGATGACTTGGTTGACATTTGTAGACATTGAAACAAAACACCACAGGCATTTTTAACGATAAATTAACCTGAGTCTAATGGTACAGAATGTAGCCATGGAATAAAGTGGCAAAATAAATGCACCTTCACAAAAGGAAGTGATTCAAAAATTCCTTACTTCTGTGCTCAATCAAAACAGTTATATTTCAATAAATGATCAAGTATTTGCTGAATATCTCCTATCCTCAAAATAACACCTAGTCATTCTTATTCCACTTGGAAAAATGCAATATTTAAATGGGAAAAATATTATGCAATTGACCTTAACAGAGGGCAGGCAAAGCATGCATAAAGGAATAAGGGGTTGCTCTATGATTTCAAGTTGTTTTAAAACTGATTTTATTGGCCGTGCGTGGTGGCTAAAGCCTGTAATCCCAGCACTTTGGGAGGCCGAGGCGGGCGGATCACGAGGTCAGGAGATCGAGACCATCCTGGCTAACACAGTGAAACTCCGTCTCTACTAAAAAATACAAAAACATTAGCCGGGCATGGTGGTGGGCACCTGTAGTCCCAGCTACTCGAGGCTCAGGCAGGAGAATGGTGTGAACCTGGGAGGTGGAGCTTGCTGTGAGCTGAGATCACACCACCACACTCCAGTCTGGGTGACAGAGAGAGACTCCATCTCAAAAAAACAAACAAACAAAAAAAAACCTGATTTTATCACATTATTTTTCAACTCCAAAATCTAAACGGTCTCCACATTGTGAACAGGAGGAAGTTGACAGGTCCTGGCTTATTATTAGAAGCCATCAACCCCCATATACAGTCTCACCCAGCACCACTCATAAATGAAACCTGTCTTTGTGTTGGGTTGTTCATTGAACTGGCCCCAGAAGGGTCACAGCTCACCTCAGTTTCCTTGAATCACTGCTACTCTAGATAATTCTCATGTTGGCTTTTAATCACACATAGCCTTGTCATGACAATGTTCCTTTCTGCTTTTATTGGTAATAATTATAATGGTTAATATTTATTGAGGGTTTATTAGATATTTGACACAGTGTGAAGGCTTAGATGTGCCACCACCTAATTCATAGTCACAAAATATCTATCAAGGATGTACCATTACTATCCAAATTTTACACATGAGAAAATGAGTCATGGGGAGGTTAAGTCAATCGTCTAAGGTTGTAGGAAATAAAGGATCCAAGACTTTAACAGAAGACTATTTGATTCCATAGCATGTGTGCATTATCAATGTCCACTGTCGTCCAAGAGAATATATACCCTGAAAAGCTAGGAGTGGATTGATATTTCACGTATTTTTCATAGTAGAGACCTCAGGATGCTTGGCCCATGGTAGAGCATTAATACTCATTGAATGAATGGATGAATAGGTAGGTGGGTGGAAGGAAAAATAGACTTTTAGGGCAGAAATTAATTCAGGCATGAGATCTAAGGACCTTATCAAGGAGATGAGGGAAGGGCAGATATTTTGACGGAAGGGCAGGATTTGAGAACTGAATAAATACAAGAGAAGAAGATGCAGGAGGGTAGAAAATGACAAAAGTTTCAAGCCTGGGAAATGGGAACAATGATGGTAACTTAGCAAGACTATTCACGTTTCAAACGTCATCAGTTTGGTTTGGAGTATACTTTGTCATGGGTGAGATATACACCCATGGAAATAGCAGATAAAGAGTCGCAAATGTGAGAGCTTAAAACAGAACGTAAGGAATGTGTTTGACTTGTTCTCAGGGGTTGTTGAGATTCCCTGCAAAGAAAGAGTTCTAATGAGAGTGAGTGTGGGGAGCAAGGTTGTACAGAAATAAGCTCTGTGCATTTCATTTAGGAGTCAGAGAAAGGAAACCATCAAATTATATGAAGAAAGAAGTGTCATAAAGGTAGGAGATAAACAGCAGAGTACAGTGACGTGAACAGTATAGCAAAGAAGTATGCTGAGGAAGTGATGTTTAACAATATTAAATGAATAAAAACCTTTATAGCCCCCCCACCCCACAAAGCCATTGGTGACATTAGTGAGAGAAATGTTGGTACAACTTGGGTTCTAGTAATCATATTGCATTGAGGATAGAATTACTGAAAAATTAAAATACTAATAAACTAATATCAAGCTCTTAACTAGGTTCCAAACACTGAGTTTAGTGGTCTGTATATAGGTTAACTCATTTAATCTAGACAAAACCAAACAAATCTTTGAGTTTAATATTGTGCCTTTGCCAACTTTTAGGAATGAACACTTGAGGATTGAGGGATGTAAAGTGAAGTTTCTGAGTCACAAGGTTAAAGAGTGAAAGACTGGAGAACTCAAACTCCTATCTGTCTGATTCACACGTGCTTTGTTGTGCAGTTTGGCAGATCGGAAAAACTAGAGACAGAAATATCATGAGAAGACACCTACAATGTACTACAATGTAAAAGAGATTGGCCAGTGTAGAAGGACAGAATGGAGGTGACAGCTAAAAATTAGGTTGATTAAAAGATTCCTCTGGATTTAAGAAATCATGAAATCAAGAAAAGTTATCTTTACAGGCAAGAAAAAACACCCTTCTTCTGAGACAAATCAAAATAAAAGAAATTAACTGTGACATCTCCTAGCTATATTCTACCATTTTCTTGGGCTCCTCACTTCTTCTTTACTTTCATAATCAACTGAAGTAGTTATCTTTGATTTTAAGGTCAGTTTTTACAAAGTAACTTAGGGTATTTTTTGTTTTTGTTTTTGTTTTTTTTTCTCTTGGCAAATGATACTCCATGTACTTTGACCAAGTAAATTAGAGCATGGCAAAGAGCAATGCCACTTTTTCTTTTTTTTTAAGTCCCATGATACATGTGCAAAATGTGCAGGTTTTTGTTTGTTTGTTTGTTTGAGATGGAGTCTCACTCTGTCGCCCAGGCTAGAGTGCAGTGTAGTGGTGTGATTTTTGCTCACTGCAACTTCCTCTTCCAGGGTTCAAGTGATTCTCCTGCCTCAGCCTCCCGAGTACCTGGGATTACAGGCATGTGGCCCCATGCCAAGCTAATTTTTGTATTTTTAGTAGAGACAGGGTTTTGCCATGTTGGACAGATGTGTCTCAAACTCCTGACCTCTGCCTACCTTGGCCTCCCAAAGTGCTGGCATTACAGGTGTGTAATGAGCCACCACACCTGGCCAAGGATGTGCAGTTCTGTTACATAGGTAAGCATGTGTCATGGTGATTTGCTGTACCTATCAACCCATCACCTAGGTATTAAGCCCGGCATGCATTAGCTACTTTTCCCGATGCTCCCCACTCCCCCACAATGCCACCCTCCCCTGACAGGCCCCAGTGTGTTTTGTTCCCCTCCCTGTGTTCATGTGTTCTCATTGTTCAGCTCCCACTTGTAAGTGAGAACATGCAGTGTTTGGTTTTCTGTTCCTGCTTTAGTTTGCTGAGGATAATGGGCAAAGCCACTGTTGATGGTGCTGGCAGTTAGCTAGGCTCGCTGCCCATGCACAATTACCTGAGCACAAGCATGAAATACTTGCAAAATGACAAATTACCTAATATGCTGTGAAAAGGGTTGGCACACCATGGCCTGTAAGCCAAATCTGGTTTGCCTTTTTTTTTAATTTTGTAAATAAAGTTTTATTGGAAGGCCATGCTCATTTATTTACATATTGTCTTTAGATGCTTTTGTGCTGCAGTAACAAGAGTTCAGTGGTTTCCACAGAGACCATGTGGCATCAAAAGCTCAAAATATTTATTTTCTACTCCTTTACAGAAAAAGTTTCTCAAAGCCTGTTCTGGACCTTAGGGATTGCTAAGCATCTTTATATTGTTGAGAAGAAATTTCTAAATCCAGATGGTCTTCTGAATTACCTTCATAGAAATATACCCTATATCGAATTAGCTACTCTTTTCCCTTTCCCCATTATGTATAATTCTGCACACTAAAAGTCTGGTAGCCCAAAAGGCAAAGTTTACATGTGTAAATTAATATTCTATTATCTTCTTATTCCCGGGGACACAGCTAAACTAGACTTCCCAGGATGCCTTGCATCTGGGTAGAATTATGTGACTGAGTTCCAGCCAATAGAATATGGGAGGAAGAAATATGTGTCACTTCCAAGCATAGCCTTAAAACCATTCTTCAAGTTACCTCTCTTTCCATCCATGTGGCTAGAAGCAAAGGAAAAAGCACTACAAGAAAAAAAGAGAGAAAGCTCTTCGAGTTAACTCTTAAAAAAGGAGGAACCAACTTGGATGTTTATAGTGAATTCATATAAACAAAAAATAAGTTTTTATTTCGTGAAGCCATTGAGATTGAGAGAGGGGCAGAATTTCTTTTTATGGTAGCTAACATTAATTATCTGATGAATATAATATACAAGGTGTGTGTTCTCCCCAAAATAAAATTATAGCATTATACTTTTAATGTTTTCAACATAAGCACCAGATCATTAGGAAACCATTATTATCTTAATTTATAAAGCCTGAGTCATGTCAACCTGCCTGTGATTATACTAATTACCTGTGTCTATCTAAATATGCTCCACTTTTATTTTCTCCGTTTCTGTGAATAACACTCTATTGATTTCTTAGGGCTGCCATAACAAAATACCAGACTGGGTGGCTTAAACAAAAGAAATTTGTTTTCTCACAGTTTGGAGGCTGGCGTTCCAAGATCAAATGTTGTCAAGGTTGGTTTCTTTGGACACCTCTCACCTTTACTTGTAGGTGGTTATCTTCTCTCTGTGTCTTTACATGATCTTCCCTCTGTGCCTGTCCATGTTCTAACCTCCTTCTCTCATAAAGATACCAGTTATATCGAATTAGCACCCACTGTAATGAGCTTATTTTAACTCAGTCACCTCTTTAATGATCCTATCTGCAAAGACAGTCACATTCTGAGGTTCTGGGGTTAGGGCTAGCGTCAAACTTTACATATAAATTTTGGGGGAACACAATTCAGCCCCATGACAGGCATCAAGAATCATCCAGCATTTGACCCTGGATGATTTCCTTTGCATGGCCTTATATATTTATTTGTTAGGTCTGGTTAAGTTTATCCTATAATTATCTCTCATTTCTCTTCCTTCATTCCTATTTCTAGTGCCCCCTAGCTCATGGCCTTTGTCTCGACTTTAGTAACAGTCTTCTAAATTTTCTTCTCATATCTACTTTCCTATATATTCAATACATCTTACTAACTTCAAAAATTAGCAAAGATTTCAATTGCTCTATGAAATAAAGACCAATAAAGACTTTTAGGCCTGTCATTTAAGAACCGAGAAGTTTATGTTTCAAATTGTGCTTCTAGTCTCACATCCTAATATTTGCTTTCATTCAAATTTGACTGTCATCATGTCCCACCAACACCACGTTTCGGTATGTAGACTGCATATATGACGGTGGTATCATAAGAGTATAATACTGTATTTTTACTGTACCGTCTCTGTGTTTAAATATGCTTAGAAACACAGATGCATACCATGGGTTTACAGTTGCCTGCAGTAGTCAGTGTAGTAACATGTTGTACAGTTTGTAACCTAGGAGCAATAGGCTGTACCATATAGCCTAGGTGTGTGGTAGGCTATGCCATCCAAGACAGTGTAAGCACATTCGGAGATGTTGCACAAGAATGAAACTGCTTAAGGAGGCATTTCTCAGAGTGTATCTTGTCATTAAGCAATGCTTGACTGTACATTTATTCTCTCAAGATCACGCCTTGTTTTGTTAACACTCAGCATTTAATTTTTCCACTCCTTTCTCCTGAAACACTTGTGTTGTCTTCTTGGTCTGTTTTAAATCAACAAATCCTTTAATTCTCTACTAGAATGCTTCTGATCCCCAAATGCATTCCACAGAAATTTTCCTTGGAACTTACATGGCAACTTGAGTTTCATTAATACTAATAGTAGTTTATTTTGTGTTATTATTATTGTAATGATTATTGTATTAGGTGCTGTGCTAAATGCTTGACATATTACCTCATTTAATCCTCACATGCATCCATGATATCTACGCTTATTTTTCTCATTTTGCAGACGTACCAAATGAATCTTAGAGAGTTCGAGTGTTTTACTGAAAGTCACATAGCTGAAAACTTACTTGAATCTTAGTCTGTCTGCTCTGATTCAGGTACTTTAAAAGACACAGTTTATTACCTCTGCATATTCATACAGAAACCTTTTCTAGTTGTGAATCTCTCACTTATGAACTTCCAAGGATATAAAGAAAACTACGTTGCAAAACAAGGGAACACCAACTCCGTAAGCTGCCAATAAATGGTGTATGATGGAGACTAAAATGATCATTTTAGTCTCTGCCATATTGTAGCTGGTGGCTCATCTCCACTTGAGGAGAATCAGGTCTCGGTCACCTTTGTAACATATATGGTGTCTAATACTTAGTGTGTTCTGCATATTTGTATACAACTGACCCTCTCTATTGGTGAGTTCAGCTTCCATGGGTTCAATCAACTACAAATAGAAAATATTGGAAAAAATATGTCTATACAGAAACAATTTTTTTTTTCTTTTTTTGTTTGAGACGGAGTCTCGCTCTGTCGCTAAGCTGGAGTGCAGTGGCGCGATCTCGGCTCACTGCAACCTCCACCTCCTGGGTTCAAGTGATTCTCCCACCTCAGCCTCCCGAGTAGCTGGGAGTACAGCTGTGTGCCACCATGCCCAGCTAATTTTTGTATTTTTATTAGAGACGGGGTTTCACCATGTTGGCCACAATGGTCTTGATCTCTTGACCTCGTGATCCTCCTGCCTCGGCCTCCCAAAATGCTGGGATTACAGGCGTGAGCCACCGCGCCCGGCCTTAAATAGCATTTACATTGTGTCAGGTACTATAAGTAATCTAGAGATGATTTACATTATGAGAGGATGTGCACAGGTTATATGCACATACATACTACAGCATTTTACGTCAGGAACTTGAGTATCTGCAGATTTTGGTATCCACAAGAGATCTCTGAGCCAATCCTCCATGGATACCAAGGGACAATTGTACTACTCAAAACGTATGCACAAATCAAATGGAAAATGACGGTTATCATCGACTTTAAGCAAGCGGACCGCCATGTTATCATATGTTATAATGAATGTCCATTTATTTAAAATAGAAGGGAAACGAACTAGTACTCAACATTTAAATTCGTGTTGTGCTTTCACTCATGCTAATTTCTCTCTTCTTATGTAGGGAGTTAGAATTACATGATTTCAAATATGATATGCTTTTTTTCTTTTTACATGTGAGCGGATTTTTTAAAGTTATTCTTTATATAAACTACTGTAGTTTCTTGTTTTTATATATCTATATGAACAAATTGGAAACTAAATATTGTATGAATGAAATATCTGCAACATCGGTTAATTGTGTTTATTTATTTTTAAAGTTATGACATTTATTTTATTGCCATGACTTAAACCATATCTGTTCCAAGTAAAGTGGATAACTGAGGTAGTCACCCAAATAACTTAGAGCCAATCAATCTTAGTACAAAATATACAAGCAGTTTTTCTTTCCTAACTATTCTGTTATTTGTACTCTGAACTTCACCTCACTTGTGCAGAAACAGCATTGTTTTTAAGTCAATATTATTATTAAGTTTGGGTCATTAATTAAGATATTTTCAATCTTTAGAAGTAAATTACACATGAGGCAGCAGTCATACACATAAGAGGCTGACTGTGATGAAAGACTTATTTTGTCATCAGTGAAGTAACAAAAAATGTCTAAGGGGTTGTCCAAATTGATTTAGTTAAAATACCAGAACTATACTTGCATACATACAGTTTGAATTTCACCCTTTCTGTGGTGTTCTCAGTATCTTAGCAAGAGCTCAAGACTCACTTTGTGAATCAAAACTTCTTTTCCCCAGGTGTATTCTGGGAAGTCTATAGAAGAAAAATTATTCCCTAGAACCAAAGAAAAAATCTTTACACTTCTAAGGAACTGTCTTGATTTGACAAAAAAATGAATATGGGCAAAGATGTATGTGGCCTATTGTATTAACTTCTTCAAAATGAAGAAATGCTTATGATGCATTTAGAAGGCATGTTGGTAAAAGTCAAATGAGACCTAATTTTAGATTGAACTGTGGTGAAATGAATAAAAAGTGATTATGTTTGTTCTAATGAGTTTAGTAGCTTGGATTCTGACCTCTTGAGAAAAATAAGATGGAGCATTCTAATGTATTTTTCTTAATCTAATGTAGAAATGATATTGAATGATGGTTCTTAATTAGTACCCCCTCTTCACCTGCATTTGTTGTGACACCCCCACATTTGCCTGTATAGTCTGAAATGCAAAGCTAAGCCTCAAAAGACATGCTCCTTATTTTTCTCTGCAATAAGTAAATGAGAGTGACAAATTTAAATTGTTCCGTGTTCCGTGCAAAGAAAGGAAGCAATGTTGCCCCCAATTTTCCACATGTGTATATTACAAGGTTGTACAAATGATGGAGAATGGACACATCTAGTTCCTTTATAAAATTAAACTAGTCTCGAATTTATTACTCATCAGATATAGAATATTTAAAAATACAGCAGAGAAAGCATGGCAGTGGATGTTGACCATTTTCAAAGGCTTTGTGCAGTAATAGCAAGAGTCTATGCATATTAGTTCATCTGATGTTTAATGATGCAAGGAATGGGTGTCAGATTATTTTCTCCTTATTGCTTAATGAAACAGCCCATTGCCCAACATTCCCCTCTATGAAGCAAGAAAGATAAAAAGAATATAAGATCTTGAAAGTCGTTCCTCAATTAACCTAGTCTCTGATTCTTAACCTTTGGCTAACATGGTCCCTGACTCTGAAGCATTTATTTCAGTTTCCTTGAATCTTTTTCTTGAGTAAATCTACTAAAGACCTCTAAAAGACATAGATTATTTGGTGGTAGTAGTTGGGGTAAGGGAGAGGGGAGAGGGGCTTGCTGTTCTGACCCATGTTTTAAGATAACTCCATATCAGAAATTGAATTCAACATTTAGAATCCATTCCAGTTTCTTATCTTTGAAACCACCTAGAGATGGTAATTTGGAAAAGCTGGATGGATAAATGGAAAACCAGATTCTGATTTTCTCAGGAGAATCAGGCTGGTAAATCCCTGCTGGATCATGGAAATTAAGCATTTCCCCAAACCAACCTTTTATTTTGCCCTAGGGTAACCTGATCAAATTTCTTGGTTTCATTTTCTCTATTGGACTAGCAGTAATGTGAAACTGCAGAAGCCCTGTCAGATCTAAAGCCAATTTCAAAGGAAAGCCAGTTCCTTAGGGGAAAGGCTGCCATGGAAAGGCAAGATTGTGCTAATAGTTAAATCCCATCTTCACATGCCACCAACTGTCTTAAGAGAAAATGATATAGGGAGAGAGAAATAGAGAACCAACCTCAGGAAAAAAGCATAAATGGGAAAGAATAACGTAAAATGAAGACAGAGGAGAATCAGTGCCAAAAGAAGTGAAAAATACAAGCTCTTAAATGTTTTAGGAAATGTATTAACCTAGGATCCACAAGCTAAATTCAGACTATTTCTTAACAAATAAATGGAAACATACTTCATGCTTATTTTCATGTGAAAGAATTAGTTCAAGGTGATATTTCACAACACCTCTCAAGCTATTCTAGTCAGAGGCATATTTCTGCATTTATTTTTGTAGGTATAGATATACCCACAAAAGTAGTATATACATATACCTAATAAGTATATATACACCTTTCTCTCTCTATATATAGAGGTGTATGTATATATAGAGGTGTATGTATATATACACACACACACTTATAAGGTATATATATATATACACACACTTATTTATAAATATAAATAAGTATATAAGTATATACATATAAATATATACAGATATACACATAAGTACATACATATAAATATATACATATATACACATAAGTATATACTTTATATATCTGTAAGTATATAGGTATATAAATCCAATAAGTATAGGTATATAAAGTGTATATATGTATATATATAATATACACAGTTATATGTATATACACACTTATTTAATAAAATAAAAATCACTAGAAAAAATAGCTATTTACTTACTTTATGACATGTAATATTGTAATAATTAATTTTCAAATACTTTGTAATTTTGGAGAAAATTTAGCTAACTGACCTTTTCTAAGTATTACCTTTTTATAGTACAGGCACCAACAGATTATTATTGTTGTGGATTATATTAAGTATTGATTATTAGAGACTGTCTTATATTGAGTATTACATTGTATTACATATTAAGCATTATTATGAGAGATGTTTGGAGAATAAATTTTTGGCATTACACAAATATGTATGTTGAGCAAAATATTATTCTTGAATAAAGATATGGAATATAAATATTACTATTTAAAGATCTCTTATATATTTACCTGGTAAAATTAAGTTTGAACGAAAGATTCATAACATGTATGAATGCTAAGTGAAACAAGGTGTATTGTTGACATATAAATTACTTATAGTAAATATTTTTTATACCTCTCATGAACATAAATTCAAGCTAAAATATAGCAAACTTTATGAAGAAATTATTAAGAAAATTGTTCACATAGGAAGCTTCTCAACATACTTACTTTATTCTAAAATTCTCAAATAACTAAAGGTAAAATGAAAGTTTATTTTCAACTGTTTAATATTCCAAGCTATGCAATATGCAGAAGACAAAAATCATAATTTTACACCCAAAGCTCTCTTACGTCCTCATCCTTAGACCAGAGATATTAAGACTTGCAATTATGTATCTTTCTTACTCCCCTATGCGTGTTTTTGCAAAGAAGCTCCTGTTTCCTTTGTTTACACTGAGTGTGGACATCTAGAATATCAAATCATTCTAATGAAATCACTGCAGATTCTTCATTGGTCGTTATGAGTGTCCTAATTAGGTGGAACAATAGTAATGATTCCAAATTTTCTTCTATTTCAGCATCATTTCCATTCTTAATTCATTATGGCTATGCAGACAGGGTCAAGCATTTAATTAAGAAATGATCGGCCAGGCGGGGTGGCTCACGCCTGTAATCCCAGAACTTTGGGAGGCTGAAGCAGGCAGATCACAAGGTCAGGTGTTTAAGACCAGCCTGGCCAGTATGGTGAAACCCTGTCTCTACTAACAATACAAAAATTAGCTGGGTGTGGTGGTGGGCACCTGTAATCCCAGCTACTTGGGAGACTGAGGCAGGAGAATTGCTTGGACCCAGTAGGCAGAGGTTGCAGTGAGCCGAGATCGTGCCATTGCACTCCAGCCTGGGCAACAAGAGCGAGAATCAGTCTCAAAAAAAAAAAAGAAAGAAAGAAAGAAAGAAAGAAAGAAAGAAAGAAAGAAAGAAAGAAAGAAAGAAAGAAAGAAAGAAACCCCATCTCTACCAAAAATACAAAAAAATAGCCAGATGTGGTGGCACACCCCTGTAGTCCCAGCTACTCAGGAGGCTGAGGCAGGAGAATCACTTGAACCCAGGAGGCGGAGCTTGCAGTGAGCCGAGATCGGGCCACTGCCCTCCAGCCTGGGCGACAGAACGAGACTCCATCTCAAAAAAAAAAAAAAAATTATTTGGATAATTCTCCCAAAAGAAATACCACACATGTACATGCAGAAAAATTCAGTCTTGAAGATCAAATTTGTCATTCAAATTAATTAATTTTACCAGGGAATTCCTCATTTGATGGCTACATGGTATAGTGGAAAGATTATTCAATCATACTATTTGTATTGCAAATAACAAAAAATTCGGCTCACACTATTTTAATGGAAATTTATTGTATCATATATTTGGAGATTCCAATAGTATGTTCTGGCCTTTGGGCATGGTTGGATCCACAGGCACCAGCAGTATCTGTTGGCTACAGTCTCTTTCTTCATTCCTAATTTTATATATATATTTAAATATATATATATTTTTTTGCTTGCTATCATTGTTTGTTCAGACATTCCCCATGCAATAGGTGAGAAGACGAGAGACCCATATTCAGCTACAGACCCATATTCTCCCATCTTAGCAACCCATGAAAAAAGATGATACCAATAGTAATACCAATAAAATAACAGCAGGTATTCAGCTATAAGAAATTACTTCATGCCAGGACATTTCCAAGTTCTTTAATACTCTTTTACTAATCAAAGCAATTTTATGAAGTGGATGTATTATTGTTCATATTTTAAAGATGAGAGTAAGTCCATTAGGCTTTTTGCTAAGTCCATTAGAAAATTTGGGAAATCCCTGATTGATCTGATTGTGGTTCAAATTCTTATTGCTGACACTATCTACACTTAAGGCAGATTTTATATACAATTAGCCCAGCCTAGTTCACATTCTACCCTTACAGCCAGGGAAAGTGTGCAATGTTCTTCAAAAAGGGAGGAAAATATCCTAAAACTACCAGTTCTTTATAGGTTAACATTTGAATCTGGTCACAATCTACCTACACATTTCAATAGCTAAGCTTGGGTTCAATAAATAATTATTGACTATCGTGACTTAAGCGTTGTGAGGAAGGGATTAGTAATTATTAAATTAAATAGTACTAGTTAAATATTAGTAATATAGTAAATTATATAGTGCCAATTAGTAATACAGTTTGTACTGTAGGTTGGAGGATCCTAACGAGTACACAGAAAGAAGTATAAAATGCAGAATTGTAAGAAAATAGGCAGAAACAAATGGTAAATGCAGATTAACAGAAGATAGGGTTGCATGCAATAGAAAAAAATGTGATAATTGTAGCTACCTTTTATGGAGAACCTATTATGTGCAGCACACAGTTAACCAGTGGGGTAAATGCTTAGATTTTTCACACTTTTCAGAAGAAGAAACTGAGGCTGGGAATGAATAAGTGGTTCACTCAAGGAAACACAGATATGCAATTACCACACCTGGGTTCAATCCAGGTCATCAGACTCCATAGTGCTCTCTCTTGATGGCTCTACTTGCTGAATAAAATAGGATTTGGATAGAATTTATTTAATTTAGTCAGGAAAATATATACCCTGAACTAATGGGATTTTTAATATCTTATACATTTAAATGGTTCTTTAATAATGTTCTGCAAATCTGTAATTTGTAACTCCAATTCTACAAAATGCACAGACACATTTGAAGTTATATCTATAAGGAAAAGAAATTTCTTTGGTATTTTACCTTAAATTTAAATTATAAGCTTAAAAGAACAGAATTAGTTTTAAATCAAATTAATGATCACATTAATACAATCCAGGCAATATTCCTGCAGCCCAGTGTGAAATACGACCCGGGAAAGTGCTGTCATATATCAAAATAAAAATACATTTTGCTAAGTTGGTAGGAATATGTTCTATCTTATTTCATAGCTACTGTTTAAAGACCAAAGGTCTACTTTCAGATTGTGACATGCCTCCTCTAATGTCAGAGAAAAATGGTAAGAACCACCCTTTGAATTTTCAAATAGGATCTTATAGTTTATCACCTCAGTGTTCGTTTGATATCTGTTAGTACCTTTGCTTCGCAAGGCTGGAGCTGGGCACAATTCAAGGTCATTCACTTGGCAAGTAAGAGCATGAAAAGAAAGTCCTATATGCAGTGAACTTTATGAAAAAGTTCTGGTTCAGATTTTTAAAACTGAATAAACTGCTATATTAACACAGTGTCCCAGAGTATACCTTATGACACTTAAGGATTTTATAAATGTAAAAATTGAACTTTTAAAATTTGCTTCCAGGTGGGGTAAAATTATCTCTGTCTTTGCATAAGAAATCAATAATGACTTTCATGATATCAAAATTCTAAAGACTATTTTAAACGTATCTATACAGTTGACTCTTGTGCAACACTGGTTTCAACTGTGCAGATTCACTTATATACAAATATCCTTAGGTCTCTGCCACCTCTGCGACACCAAGACCAACCCCTCCTCTTTCTCCTTTTCTTCAGCGTACTTAAAGTGAAGATGATGAGGATGATGACTTTATAATGAGCTGGGTGAGGTGGCTCATGCCTGTAATCCCAGCACATTGGGAGGCTGAGGTGAGTGGATGACTTGAGGCCAGGAGTTCGAGACCAGCCTGGCCAGCTTGGTAAAACCCCATCCCTGCTACAAATACAAAAATTAGCTGGGAATGGTGGCACACACCTATAATCCCAGCTACCTGGGAGGCTGAGGTACCAGAATGGCTTGAACCTGGGAGATGGAGTTTGCAGTGATCCGAGATCACACCACTATACCACTGCGCTGCACTCCAGCCTGGGTGACAGTGCGAGACTTTGTTTAAAAAAAAAGAAAAAAAAAGACTTTATAAGGATCCCACACCACTTAATGAATAGCAACTATATTTTGTCTTTCTTATAATTTTCTTAATAATATTTCTTTTCTCTAGCTTACTTACTGTAAGAATGCAGCACATAATACATAAGACATACAAAATATGTGTTAATCAACTGTTTATGTAATTGGCAAAGCTTTTGGTCAACAGTAAGTTATATAAGTAGTTAAGTTTTGGAGAGTCAGAAGTTATATGCTCATTTTTTATTGCATGGAAGGGTCAGCACCCTTAACCCTAACGTTCTTCAAGGGTCAACTGTATATGTTGTGCACACCGCTCTCAAATGCATCCTGTACTACTACATCCAGTGCTGTGATGTTTTGCATAATATCTACAAAGTATAAACACAGTCTGGAGACTCTAGGAAAAGTTTATGTGCTGAAATTCCCCAGGAGAGATTTATGGTTACCTGTTGATGGTTCTGGCTCTGTATAGACAAGACAACCAGTCCAATGGCTGAATCTTTTACTTCTCACCACCTGCAGTGTGCTTCTCTGGAGCACACTGCAGCACCGTCAACTCAGATTTGCAAAGGTGAGAGAGTAACATTCCCAGAAAGATTCAGAGACACCTCATACCAATTGGTCAAAAAATCGATTTCCAAGTACAGAGTGGATATCAAGGTATTATAAACAGCCAATTCTGATTTGTCAAAAACAAATCAAGCTAAATAAATCCAATTTTTTTATATTGCAAAAACTGGCCCTGCAAGTAGGGAAAATTAGACTTAAAAATTGCCTTAAATTTGTATTTACTTTTGAATTTACACTCATTTGAAGTTTTTATCTACAAAATGGTGAAGGAGACTTGTTTTGGAGTAAATATATATGACACACACTCATATATATTTATATATACACATCCAGAAACAGACTATATGTTTGTGTGTATATATAAGCATGTGTGTGTGTCTCTGTGTCTGTGTATAAGTGTGTAGACAGTAGACTCATGTGGATGAATGCATACAACTTCCTGGAGTTTCTTGCAGTTTTACTCACAGTTTTTCAATTCCAAATTACGTTGAATTCAGGATGAATAGAATTAAGGTAGGGGCTGGACACGGTAGCTCACACCTGTAATCCTAGCACTTTGGGAGGCCGAAGCGAGTGGATCACTTCAGGTCAGCAGTTCGAGGCCAGCCTGGCCAACGTGGTAAAACCCCATCTCTACTAAAAATACAAAAATTATCTGGGCATGGTGATGCATGCCTGTAGTTGCAGCTACTTGGGAGACTGAGGCAGGAGAATTGCTTGAACCTCAGAGGTGGAGTGTGCCATCAGCTGAGGTTGTGCCACTGCATTAGTCTGCAATCTGGGCGACAGAGCAAGACTCCGTCTCAAAAAAAAAAAGGTAAAAAAGGTAAGAAAGGACTGTATTTTAGTGGTCGTAGTGGTGGGAACACTTCAGCAAATGCATATACACAGGTCTAAGTGTACCTTATAGATTTTACGCAGATTAAAAAGTAAGAAATACTTGTGAGAAAAGACAGCAAAGTATCCTCTGAGGAAAGGTTGGGCACGCTGACAGGGCAGAAATCTCAGAGTTTTCTAGAAAGTGGAAGTCTTCATTGAGCCCAGCCCAAGTGGCCTAGGGTCCAGTTTTATATTAACTCGATGATATCTCTGGCTTACTTAACTCTCAATGGCCCATATAAAAAGAAAGGGCAGCAATGCTCATCTTAGTCCACAGCTACTAGCCAGGTTGTGAGTCTTCTTTTTCCTCTAGTTGCTAACCTCAGACCACTACATTCCTGGAGCTGCCCCTTTACTACACAATTTCAACATTAAATGCATTCTTTGCACCTCTCTTGACCAAGAGCAACATAGAGAACAATTCTTTAGGTGACATTAATACTGGAGCTTGGATTAACGATGCCAAATCTGATTTATATTGTCTTTCCCCAGCCATACAATCTAGCATTCTCCATGCCCTTTTGCCGCAGTTGCACATTAAGCTGCATGCTTTAGAGGTTTTCTACATCAACTCCCAGACCACTTTCCTCATTAGTATTCGGCGGTATCTTCCCCTTCAGCAGATGCACATTATTTTCTTCTCCCTTTGTTCTTATATTTATTGTTCTAAGGTTTATCTGCATCAACTGCCTTTGCAGTTTATTAGCGTGGTTTCAACAATGACCCCAAATCCCATAAAAATGTACACTTAAATTGCTTGATAGCAAAACACACCAGCCTGTTTATAGGAAAATTAAGAAATAGGATTTATGAGGAATGCTAAAAAATAAGACATCATTCTTCAGTTGGGTAATCAAATATTGACAGGATTTTTTTAAGTTGTAAGGTCTATGGTGGAATCTCGTTTTAGCCCTTTTAGATAACATCTTTGATCTTAGTGTGTATAAAATTATTTTAGTTAAAATATGTACAATAGCATCAATTTGTTTTTAGAAGTAAAGAAGTAATGCATTCTTGCCTTATGAAATTATTGCAAGACTGCTTTTACTTGAAGCTCTGGAATATAATTTTTTAAAAGGCAATCAGTTACAAAAATGTCATTGAATCAATCTTGGATGTAAATCCTTTTCACTTTCTTAACATGAAAATGTGAAAAGCTTGATGAAAATCAAAGAACATGAGATTCTGGTTAAAGATAATAATCTTTTCATTCTGGGCTCACAGACTGTGCCAGGGAGAAACACTGCAAACAAAAGCATTATTCCCCAGGCTTCCAAATAAGGACTAGACATAATTACAGTCCATGGGTTTACTCAAGTGGTGGTCAATGTGATTCACCAGTTGAATTCTGGCTCTAATTGCCATTACTCAAACTATGCCTATTTATCCCCAGACAGGGCAAAATGACTGCCTTTGTAGCCCAGCTTTACAGCAGCACATTTGGGACAACCAACACTTGCAATTGTTTTCTATTCATGCTTCTGAGAATACAAATTACACTAAATTGTGAGAAATAGTAGGATGAATAATGCTAAAATTTTAAGCCAGTCGTAGTATGCATCCATCCATCCATCCATCCATGCATCCATGAATCCATCCGTCCATCCATCCAACATATATGTGCTAGATATGGTGCTACATGCTGGGAATAAATGATGAAGAAAAGAAGGCATGGCTCTTACTTCCAAGAATTTTACAGTCTAGTTTGGGTGGGGGGGCGGAGCTGGTGACAGGAAGAGGTAGCATCAGTTCAGTCATCACCCAAGTGTATTAAAAAACTGTAACTGTGACATATGCAGGGAGAGGTGCAGGTATGGCTAGAGCCTACAATAGGGGAGTACCCAATAGTCAGAAATCTTAGAGAAAGAGTCCCAGAGAGAGTAGCACTTAGAGCACTGAGCTAACATGAAAAGGATGAGAAGAAATTAACGAGGTGAAGAAGGCAGCAAAAAGAAACTCAGGCAGAAGGAATAGGATAGGTAAACCCCTGGTGTGAGAGAACGCTGGTGCATAAAAGGAACTGAACAGGCAGATTTGCTGGAGCACAGATTGTGAAGATTTTGGCATCACAGTGAGAATCCAGATCCAAAAGTGTCCTGTGGGTCATGATATGGAATTTTGCTTTACCCTCCATGAAATGAGAAGATATTAAACTGCTTTAAAAAGGGGACACATTATCAGATTTGCATTATGAAAAGATCACCCTGGCTTCAAAGCAGACAATATATTATAGGAGAAAAATCAGAAAAATCCCCTTGACAAGAAAACAGCAGGTGATTAGGCAATTAATTATCATGTTGGCAGTATTAAAACTAGAAAGATCACAAAGAAGATATTCTTATACTGAGCTGACAGGTCAGGTTGTGATCCTATTGCTTTGCAAGGAAGATTTTAACTTATTTTAGGAACCTAATGAGGTTGGAATCCCAGTTCTCTATCAGCCTCTTTGTCTCTGTGATCATGACCCTGGTCCAAGCTGTCATTGTACTTGCTTGCGTTATTTCTATCACTGTCTAGGTGGTCATCCTGTCCCACTCTAGTCTCCATTCAGTCTAGCGTCAATAGAGTCACCAAGGCAATCCCTTTAAAATTTGTTAGATCATGTCACTCTCCTGCTCTTCCAATGGCTTCCATCTAAGTTGGAATAAAAGTTAAAGTTGTCACAAAATGGGCCCTAAGAGATGGTTGCACTCTCTCCCTCCAATCCTGCTAGGATGTCTCTAACCTCATGCCCTCTCCATCTGTCTCTCTCATTCTCTTCTTTCTAGCCATCCCAGCCGCCTTGCTATTCCTTGAATAGGCATCCTTGTGCCTCAGGATTTCAACTTGCTGTTCCACCTGACTGGAGCACTTTCCTCCAGTTATCAGTCTGGCTGGCTCTTTCATTCTTTCAGAGTTTTACTCAAATGCCCTCCTGCTCACAGACACTTAACATGGCTAGCTTATTTAAACTTGCACATGCCTCCATTCCTCAGGTTCTTGACAACTTCTTCTCTGTCCTTTTTTTCACTGTTTCTCCAAAACAAACATCAGAATAATTGAAAATATGATTTGCTTTATTTGTTGCTTTTATTTCTTATTTGTCCCCTCCCATCAAGTTTTTTTTTTCTCTGTTTTCTTGTTTTCTGAATCCTCAGTGTCTAGAACTGCTTGATTCATCTTGGGCCTCCAGCACACACACTCGTTAAATGAATAAATTTGGGCCTCTATCCAATAATCCTGTCCAAGAGGACAAACCAGGACATTTCTTCTTCACATATTTTGCTGCTAAGTCAAAGCTTTCTTGTTCTCTAATTAGATCATGTCCACTCCACATCAGCTACATTTCTTTATGAGATTCACGTGTTCATCTGAGATGCATTAATGCAACAAGCATTTACAGGGTGGGAACTATGGGGTAGACTCGATGTGTTAAACTGAGAACACAGTCATAATCTGCAAACTCTGTTCTCAAGTATCTCAGTCCAGGTAAGGACTCACATGTAAACCACATGTGTAAATTGGTATACAAAATGTTCCTCTTGGAGGTCATCTTTGCTATTCCTGGAAAACAGTGGAGGAAGTAACTAACCAACCTGGGCTTTTAGAAAAGACTCCAAAGAGGGAACTATTTTGATCTAGCTCGCAGTCAGCAGGCATGCTCCAGACTCCAGATGTATTTAATGTGACATGCAGAATGTTCCCTTCCTCCATGAAAATAATTTAAAAAGTAAATTTGTATATACAAACACCATGATTTTAAAATTGGACACTTTACATTAAAATCTGGATTTCTAATTACTGCTAGACATTTTTTAAAGAGAGAGATAAAAGATATGATGGTTGCCAGGTAAGTTGGCTCATGCCTATAATCTCAGCACTCTGGCAGGCAGAGGCAGGAGGCTTGCTTGAGTCCAGGAGTTTGAGACCAGCCCCGGCAACATAGTAAGATCCCTTCTCTATAAAAAATAAACAAAATTATCCAGTTGTGGTGGTGCATGCCTACAGTCTCAGCTACTCAGGAGGCTGAGGCAGAAGGATCTCTTGAGCCCAGGAGGTGAAGCTGCAGTGAGTTATGATCATACCATTGCACTCCAGCCTCGGCAACAGAGCAACACCCTGGGAGGAAGAAGAAGGAGAAGGAGAAGAAGATGGAGGAGGGAGGAGGAGATATGATGGTATTGTAGCCATTTTCTATATGGTCATGATTAAAAATGGATGTAAATCATTTTCACTTTCTTAACACAAAAGTGAAATAATTTTGTCTCTATCAGAATTTAGAATTTAGAAAGTGGATCATTATGTCTCTATCGGAATGAGAAGACAAAGGAATGACCAAGAACAGAGAAAATATTAAGAAAAGCAGGATGGAGCATATATCCCTTGTTGCAAGTATGATTTCCATGTGTTTAATATGCAATCGCCAGCACATTCCTCTCATTTACATTATTTCCCTGGTCCCTATAGACATCTAAGATTGTATGATACGAGGTAGACCTTGAAAGATGAGTCGGGAAGGACATTGAAGGCAGAGAGGAAGCAGGGAGGTAGAGAAGAGGATGTGTGTTCAGAAATCTTGAGTTACTGGAAGGAGCGAGCATAGAAGAAGACGTCGGGGGCAAGTTGTGGCCAGATTATGACAGCCCTTTTATGAAATGCTAAAATGTTGACCATACCCTTTTAGGGAAAAACTGAGACAAATGTACAAGCAGTGAGATGAATTAATCATCAATCCTGTCTGGATTGTGAACTAAAAGGGAATAAATAAAACTGAAGATTAAGATCTGAGAAATTTTCTGTAAATTTAACTACATGGACTTGATTACAACTTTTTCTGCTGCTCAAAGGTGTTTGCTACTTTCTGGTTCATGAGCGTGCTGTGATAAAGTTGAAGCCATGAGAAATATGATCTTGAAATTAGCTGTATATTAAATTTAGTAAACTGGCATCGATTTATGCTTCAATTTGCAAACTTAAATTGAGATACAGTAAAGAGTAAGATACAAGGAAATGGAGGCATGGTGTGCACAGGTCATTGATGGGCACTATTCTCAAGTCATTCTCAATCTCAGGCTTCCTTGCTGCTCCTAATCTAAGGTTGGAGATAAACACTCACCATCCACCTCCATTTTTAGTTGAGGGATCCCAAGTGATCCAGTTATGACCCATGTCACATAAACAAAAGTCTTCCAGAGGGACTTAGAAAAATATATTTGCTTTCCTAATAAAAAGAAGAGGCATAGACCTTCTCTTTCTCCCATATTCCCTCTCCTTCCTATCAAATGCCAACAGTGACTGGCAGTCCAGAAAATGTTCAGCTACTATACCTCTTTTAGGCTTTTTGTTACGTGAGAAAAATAAACCTCTCTTCATTTAAGCCAATTCACATTCCTGGCTGTGGCAAGCAATCTCTAAGATGTTCCTCAAGGTTCCTCACTTCTTGGTATTCAGATCATTTTGTAATCTCCTTCCCTTGAGAGTAGGTTAGATCTGGTGACTTACTTCTACTGAATAGAACATTTCTAAAGTAATGGGATGTCATTTCCAAGATTTAGATTACAAATGATGATGTCTTCCATTTCGGGAGCCCTCTCTTGTTCATTTATTTTAAGGGAGACCAGTTGTCATGTTGTGACCTGCTTTCTGGATATGGAGAGATTTATATGGCACAAAACACTGGTGTCTTTGGCCAACAGCCCACAGGGATTGAGGCTACCCAACAATCATAGGAATGAACTTAGAAGCAGATTCTCCCCCAGTTCAACCTAGAGAGGATGTCAGCCCCGGCTGTTACCTTGATTAGTGTCTTGTGAGAGAGCCTAACCCAGAGGGGGCCAGTTAGGCTGCACCTAGATTCCTGACCTACAAATTGTGTAAGGTAATAAATGTTGTTGTTCTAAATTCCTATGTTTTGGAGTAATTTGTTATGCAGCAATAGATAACTAATACATCAACTGACAAAAGATACTTATATGGGGCTCTCAAAAAGATCAATTTCATCAGAAAGAGAGAAGGGCTGGGGCCAGGGAATTGGTAACTTTAAGTGTTCTCTGGGTAATTCTAACATCAGCCATCTTCAGAACAACTGTTTTAAGCTATTCTGTGATTGGCTTTCCTGCTTCTTGCAGTTCAATAAATTCCTAACCATTATGACTTCTAACATTAACTATTATATTAAGTGTTTTGTTACTCAACATTTCTTTATTTCATTATAGTTTTATTTCGCATTTAGCAAAATGGTTAACTTCTTCACCGGGATAGCCCATGCATTTATTTTTCTTGGTTGTTGCCTTACCTTACTATAATTAAGAGTTTTAATTTTCTTCACCTATTATTAATTTAACATTTCAAATCTTGAAGCAGGGGTGGGGAGATGGAGGGAGAAAAAGCCTGTTGCCTTTTTAAAACAGCTGTATTTGTTTATGTTCTCAGCCTTCTAAGTTCAGAATAGTAATGGAAAAAAATTAAATGATGGGACTATATCAGGCCCTACATAAAGACAGCATAAAAACTCTGTGGTTGTCTCTTCCATTCTGTGAAAAGACACCATAGAAACCACAGCTTGATCGTGAACCCTATTTCTTTGCTCAGAGTGTGTGCATGCTCAGCTAACATCAAGTTCCTGCGTTTGTGTAATTCATGAGTTTTTACAAGGGAGTAAAGCAAAGGTTTTCTTTTTTTAACTTTAAATAATTTTTATACACTTGAGGTAGTACTTACTGAAGGTACACGGGCCCTGGATGCAGAAAGACCTGGTTTTGAATTCAAATTTATTCATTTACCAATTAATTCATATTGGATGAGTTTTTCTTTTATGCAGACCAATTTCTTAATTTATAAATAGGAATAATAGCAAATACTTCGCACAATTATTGTGAAATTTATATGTTAAAAATATAAAGCTCATATGTATCTTAGTGCTTAGTAAATGCCCATTGTTAACTTTATTGTCAGTGCTTTTATTTTTAAAAAGTTAAAGAGAACAGTTACATGGTTTATTCACCAAGGATAACAACAATAATCATTTTCTTATTTTTAATTTTATGGAAAGCTCTTAAAAGATGGGGATAAAGCATTTATAAAATTACATCTTTGTAGAAATTATTGCCTTGTAAAAATCTTCTATTTAAATCAAGAGCATAAACCTTGGAGAATTTTGGGGGTGGTGCATAACAAATCTATATAGTTTAAGATAAGAGTCCATGGATACCTTTAAAACTATAAGAGAAGCTGGTAGGAATTAACAGGTACTGTAGATTTAAGTGAGGCAAGGGAGCTGGACTAATGAGTCCCATGAAGTCCCATTAACATATTTTATTAGAATTTATGTTCATTCTGTTTGAATCTTGCCAAAGCAAGTTTCCCACAATGGAAAGTAAGATGTTTAACTGAGATTACAGTTTAATCACCAAAGCCACTGGAGCTTTCGCAGGTAACATTCTATAAGAACTTCCTGAATTCATGTTGTGTTTCCTCATAACATTAACCACAGTCTAGACTGGCTTACATAACAACTCTAGAGTCAGGAACATTAAGTAGTAATAAAACACAAAAGAAAAAATAATAGGAAGAAATATGAAAATTCTGACATTGTAAGAGAATCAGGGTATACTTTAAGTGCTTGGAAATAAGACTGGAGTTAGAACTGTCCTAGGCACAAGAAGAAATCAGTAAGACAGAATCATGACACCCTCATGGAGCTTAGAGTCTAATGGAAAAGAAATACAATGAATCATACAAGAGTGTTCAGTGTAATAAAAAAAGAGGTATAGGATGCAAGTGGTAAGAATGTATAGTAACCAGACCTAACCAAGGCTGGGGGGGTTAGCAAAAGCTTTCTAGAGGATGTGACTTTTAAATTCATATCTGAAGACTAAAATGCTATTAATATGGACATATGGAAGTCATGGGTGCTGTGACAGCCTTTCGCTATATAAAGAGTTACTAAAATTAGAGAAATATTGGGAGAAATCTTGAAGATTATTTACTGTAGATAAGGATCATGAATGATATGCAGAAGAAAGTGTCTGGTAACAGTTGGCATGTAGTGGATATAGCTACAGAAAGAGATCAAAACGTCAAAGTGCAAAGGCTTTCTTTCTGGGTATCTGTGATCCAGTAACCAGAAAAAGAATAGATGCAAAGTAATCCTTTACTATCTTGATCTTGGTAACCAGGTTGTCCCTCCAATTCCCTTCCTATGAACAGTGTTCTGATTTTGAAATGCATCTGCCCCTCTGCTTAGAACTCCTTGATCTCAAGAATATTTTCACTTGCTAAGAGTTTTTCTGTCTACTCACTGCAATTTTGTGCAGGTGGAATAAAAAGCTTTGTAAATTTAGGCATGAGGAGAGAGTGCAGCTGGGCATAAACTAGAATTAAGGAATATGACGAATTACAGCAGGGCACTGACTATAACTTGGTATGGGGTTCACCAAATCCCTGAGCCTCTAGTAGAAAATACTTATGTAGTGTTTACAAGACCTACACAGTGACCCAGAAATTATTCCACAATCTTTATATATAAGAACTAGCTTAATTAGTAGTCTAGATTGGGATACTGAGATTAAATAACTTGCACAAGATCACACAAGTATGAGAGTCAAAATGGAAACCTGGAAGTCTCACTCTAGTATCTACGCTCTTAAACATCTCAAAGGTCAGGTTTTGTTGTTGTTGTTTTGTCTTTAAAAAAATAATAATAAGTGGCTGATATGTGGGCTGGGGAAGCAAGTAATGATTATCCATGGTGATATGAGAAGCACTGCAGGTCTTTAGTAGCAAATGGGGAGAGTCATTTGAGAATTGTGTTGATATTCTTGGGCTCCATTAGATGCCTGTGTGAAGTTAACGTCTCCTACAATTCGACTCCCCCGGTCCCAGACAGAAGTTCAGCTCCATAGCTTTGCAAAGTGGATCTGCTGAAGGCAACCCTAATATTCTGAGGATCGGGGCTAGGTTATGAGGGACCAGGTCTCTAGAGCAGGTGAGTATACTATTAAAATGAACGGACAAAGTCTGTCCTTGATATGTTCAATTATAAATTTGAGGGGTGGACTTAAGAGGCACCATTTCATAATACCCCTTGAGAACCCTGGGATCTAAAGCATTGCTCGTCCTGATTATTATTTATAGTGTTGTGCCAGTCAGTGTGATCATCATCATTATTTTCAATGTTGTTAGCCTCACTGCATGACACATTTTGCCCCACCATTTGAAAAATATGTCTGCTTTTCTCACCATTGTAGACATGGAGTCCCACAGAGTTAAAGTTCAAAGAATACTTATTTAAAAAAAGCATCTTAGTAGAGAGAAATATTTATTTAAAATCCGCATTAATTCTGGTAGGTTATTTATAATACATGATAAAGTTAAACATTCAAGAACATAAAATATGAATTTTTTAAAAGAAGATATTTGATATGTGCTTTAAAAACATATGGTGGGGACACATATGGGATCTCAGTTTTCTGAAAATTGGAATAGTTCTGGAAATTGGGTGCACAACAGTGTGAATATGTTTAACATTACTTAAAAACAGATAAGATGATACATTTTATATTCTGTGATTTTTACCACAATTAAAATAAATTTTAAAAATACATCATCATAAGAAACATGTGTAGAGTAACGCTAAAATAAAGACCCTGGTTAATTAAAAAACTAAACAAAAACACACAGATTGTTCAGAAAAAGCATATGCAAGTCTGTAAAAGATGATTCCCTTACATACTGTGAGAGTAATTTCCTTTCCTCTGCATTTCCTGCTAGATGTTTGCTGCTAGAGCTTTCCTTGTCTGCCTTCAAATTTTTCCCACCTATGAAATGGGAATCATAATCGTAACAACTTTGTTTAATATTCTTAGGAGAAAAGGTCTTTATCCTTGGAAGCATTGGTGCTGTGTATCAGAAAAAAAAAGTTTTGATTATATAAATTTTATTGATTTTTTTTGAGATGCGGTCTTGCTCTATCGCCCAGGCTGGAGTGTAGTGGCACCGTCTCAGCTCACTACCACCTCTGCTTCCCAGGCTCAAGCGATCCTCTCATCTCAGCCTCTTGAGTAGTTGTAACCACACGCACATGCCACTGTGCTAATTTTTTGTATTTTTGGTAGAGTCAAGGTTTTACCACTTTGCCCAGGTTCCTCTCAAACTCCTGAGTTCAAGTGATCTACCCGCCTTGGCCTCCCAACGTGCTGAGATTACAGGCATGAGCCACGACAACTGGCATGATTGTAGAAAGTTTAGAAGACCATCTTTGTGTAGCTACAGCTCTTTCTTACCTCAATCCTAAGCTAAAGTCAAGCTCACAGTTAAATTGGGTGTGTTTAAGACCATTTCTTACATGTGGTGCCAAGTTCATTTTTGCCACTGGTGGCCTGCCTCAAGGGAAATTATCTGCTGTGTGAGTATTTTTTATTACCTCTGACCACTACTGAGGGCTTTCACACAGAAAAGATTAAAAATGAAACAAGGCCAGATGCAGTGGCTCATGCCTATTTTCCCAGCACTTTGGAATGCCAAGGCAAGAGGATCACTTGAGCTCAGGAGTTCAAGACCAGCCTGAGTAACATAGTGAGAACCTGTCTCTACAAAAAATTAAAAATTAGCTGGGCATGCTAGCTAACTACAGTCTCAGCTACTCAGACACAGCTACTCGGGAGGCTGAGGTGGGAGGATTGCTTGAGCCCAGGAGGTCAAGGCTGCAGTGAGCCATAATTAAGCCACTGCACTCCTGCCTAGGTGACAGAGTGAGACCCTGTCTCAAAATAAGTAAATAAATACATTTAAATAAAAAGAAAAGAAAAAATAAAAATAAAACAAAAGGAACAACAAAAACAAGCACAACATCGTTGACCAGGAAAGACCACTGAAATTGGAAGCATACCATCTTCATTAGTACCCAGTTGGGTTTATGATCTAGTTCACATTCTTGCTAAGTTTCACTTTTTCTTTTTTTTCCCAAACAGAAGAGCTGTTCAAACCAGATTCTATTGTTTTTTTGACAAATGTATTCTGACATCTGAAGCAGCTGCCAGGAGATTAACAGGGTTTCGTTACTTATTTTGCCGGAAAATCTTGATGCTCATTTTTTCCCTTATGCACACTTATACACAACACATACATCACACACACACAGTACATGTGTATCATAGCATGTGTGTGTACTCACTGACAGGCTGCCTGTGCAATGAGATTTTAGGAACTCTAGGAAGGGCTCTGTTTTCCTGGCTTCATGAACTGTAATGCTTTCATGCTCTCAAGATTGCCTTTATAAGAAACCACACCTTTATGTAAGTAACATTTATCCCAACTTTATTAATCATCATGATCTGAGCTAGATCTTGGGTGAGAGGACTCAGGATAAAGAAGGCTAGGAAAAGGAAATTCACGGGCAGCAGTACCTGAGGGTGCCAGCAGGAAACAGAATGTAATCAAAAGTTTAGGAGACATTAAGAATGAGAATATTTACTGATATGTACGTAAGTTAAAGAAAACAAAAACGGATGTTGAGGCCTAGACCATAGCAATGGCAGGAAGCTGTTACAACTCTTAAGCTTGAAGCATGGAGAGGAGGAAATAATATTATTGGAGACCAGAGTGAAATGCAATTTTGGAGGAAAGGCTGCCTGGTAAGAGCTTTAAGTTGTGGAGGCATGCAAACTCTGTAAGAAAATGCAGCCCAGAGCAGGAAGGAATCAAGGGGAGAAACAGACCTTCTACTCTCTCTGTCTGTACATAGACCTGCCAGTGACTGGCATCAGCTATATCCTATGTCAGTGGTTTTCAAACTTTAGCATGCATCAGAGTCCTCAGAAAGACTGGTTGAAATATAGATTGCTGGGCCTCACCTACAGAGTTTCTGATTTACTAGCCTTGACGTGGTGCCCCAAAATTTTTAGTTCTATTTAATTTTCTTTTTTTTCTTTTCCTTTTTTTTTTTTTTTGTAGAGATGGGGATCTTGCTATGTTGCCCAGGCTGGTCTTGAACTCCTGGCCTCAAGCAATTCTCCTGCTTCAGCCTCTCAAAGTGCTAGGATTACAAGCATAAGCCACCATGTCCAGCAAAATTTGCAGTTCTAATGAAAAAAGTTTCCAAGTGATGGTAATGCTGCTGGTGGTCCAGGAACTTTACTCTGAGAACCACTTGTGTACAGGAAACCAGGCAGCAAGAAATCCCCAGTGATGCAATATATTATATAAGAGATCAACCTCTGAGGCAGGAATAGAGCAGACAAGGCAGGAGTGTGGGTCTGGGGAGAGCCAAAGGAAAACAACCAGCACAAAGAGAAAAAACCAGAAGGCAAATACAATATGAAGTTGGCAGGTTGGATGTATAAAATCTAGTGGCAGAAAGCTGCTGGGAAGGCTTAGTTCTTTAAATCAGTGTGGAGAACAAGGCAAGATCTCAATTCCCATTTGGGAACAGAGGGATGGATCGGGTGTACCAAGAATAAAACAGCCATAGTGCAGTAGTAGGATGAAAAAAGATGCATAGCGGGAGCCCAGGAAGTGAGTTACAAGAAACAAGGCAGGAGATTAATGCAGGGACAGTATCAAGTGTCCTATGATGCTCAAATACTTAACTTTGAACTGCTGATGAAGGACTTCTCCCCATTTTCCTGGTCATATGATAAGATTGGTCCCTGTGTATGATGTGGGAGATTTAACTTTTCCAACTTGTAAAATTGACAAACTGTTCACAGGAACTCAGCCAAATGAATAGAAACTTATTACATATCATACATATAATTAACTTTGCACCGTGGTTTAAATTAATGCTAATCAAAATGTAGATAAAGCACCTGTAGCATCAGCATCACCTGGGAGCTTGTTAGCGCTGCAAAGTGTCAGTCCCTAACTCCACAGATGTTGAATCAGTGTCCCTGGGGATGGGTTCACAAATCTGTAGTTTAACAAGATTACCAGGTGATTCTGATGCACACCAGAGTTTGAGAAGAACTGGTCAAAACAGCTGGCCCTCAAATTGGTTACATACTGGAGTCACCTAAAATGCTTTTTAAAAAATTCTCTGTCCTTATTCCACTCCAGAAATTCTGGTTTAATTGTAATGGGAGGCTCTCAAAGATGGATACATTATCTCTTTATGCAGGACCTTTTGCCATTCCATCATCAAGAGGTGCAGTTTATTTCTCTACCCCTCAAATCTGGGCATGACTGTGTCACTTGTCTTGTCCAATAGGTTGTTAGCCACCATGATGCAAGCAGAAGCTTGAAAAGAATTGAACATTGAGGTGTGATCCTTTTGGCTACCTTTGGAAACCTGAAATCATGTTTTTTGGATAATAAATCTAAACCTGGCTGGCTATTAGAGATATCACATGGAGGAGAAATTAGATGCCCATATAGTTTCAATGGATGAGTCTTCCCTCTCCAGTTAGATTACAAACTCCTTGAAGCCAGAAGAAATGTGTAAACCTCTTTGACATCTCTGAAAGAAACCAGCACAGTGTCAGGCTGACAAAAGAATGCTTAATAAATATTAACTGAAATAATATTGAATAATTAGGAAAAGGGTGGTCATTAGTAACTTGAGTCAATTACACATACCCTTAGTTATAATTACTATTCAAAATTGAACCAATAATTCTGGAGCTTCACAAATTACCATTTTATAGCAGACCAAATTTAGGAAATAAAAATTGTTTCTAAAGGAGAAAAAATGATTCACACTGGTATTTCCTGAGGGTTGTTCGCTTACATATGCCAAGTATTAAATTCTGCTAAAGTATTTCCAGCTATGAGTTTAATTAATCTGGTTCTGCATGCTCTATCACTGCTTTTGAATAATATGTCTTAATATGCAGATTCCCTGAACTTCAGGTCAAATAATAAAGAAAATTCATTAGACAGCAGCTTGTGTGCAACTAAGTGTACCTCTGCAAGAGAATTTTAATAATCAAAGAAGTTGCTGATGTAGGGATATGATAAATCGCTTTGCTACAGGGTAATATAAGCCTCAACTGGTATGATGAATACTTCTGCTTCACAAGGAAAACTGAAATAGTGCAAACTGTTTAAATATGTGTTCCTGATAAATGAAGACAATCATCTGCGAATATTCTAGAGGAGACACACTATGACTTTCATGTTAAAGTGAAATGTCTCTGTAGGAAAAGTGGCTTAAAGGAAGGCCTTTTGAGAAGGGAAATAGATACATAAAAGTATTTAATAGCACCAATGTATTTGTGGTAATATCTTTGGGACAATGATTGTTAAAAATTCATCCCCCAATTCATGATTATCAAACTTAAGAATAATTGGTTTTCAAAATTCTTTCTGAATACTAATTTTCATGGCTGATAATAAAGGAAGGTCTTTAACAACTGAAATCCCTGAGGTTTAAAATTCATTAACAGACAGGACACTTGTTTCTAAGCTTTCCCCGTATGTTGGTGTTAAAATACGACAAAAAAAAATACCAATTGAAGATTCACTATGGTTGTTTCTGTTTACAACATATAGAACAACAATATCCTGGGATCTAACAAAAATGTGACCAAAGGCTCCAGCAAATTTAGACCCTGAAGGGACATACTTTGTCCTTATCGATGGCAGATGGTGTCTCATATTCTTGTGGGGGCATTCCATTTTATATAGTGTGATTAATCTACACTTTTACCTTTATTAATGCACCCACTCGGTTCATTTTCTTTTGTTGCACTCCTACCTTTCTAAAGTTACTTTATACTTATGTTATTTTTAAATTTTTTCTCTTATCTGTGTTTGCTCTTAACATTATAAATGTTTTTCTTGATGCAACCTTGGCTTCTTTCTACAAGGGGTGTTGTAGTGCTCTTAATACTTTACATTTCCAAATAATTAGAAACTTCGTTTATATAAACACACACACACACATATAAATGTGTTTCATTTTTTCAAGACTTATTTAGAAGTGTGTGTTTATTATAATCTTTCAAGGCATGATATTTGATGATTCTTCAGTTTTTAATTGTCTAACTTTATTACCACTTTATTCAATTTTAAGTCTATATCATTTCTCTTTTGGAGACTATATTGAGATTTTTATTTTTGTCCTAATAAAGATCACCTTTTGTCAGTTTAAAATGTGTTTTAGAATATATTATTTATTGCTTTTTAGAGTTAAAAACAATTAAGTTATACATATTAGTTGTATGAAGCATATTAATCCTATTATTCATATTCACTTTCCTCACTCAGTTATATTGTCAATTAGATATGTCAGTTTCTAAAAGGAAAATAATATTCATTGTGATATTGACAAGTTCTTTTTTTTGGGGGGGGGGGTTTGTTTGTTCTGTTTTGTTTTTTGTTTAGATGGAGTCTCACTCTGTCACCTAGGCTGGAGTGCGGTGGCGCAATCTCGGCTCACTGCAATCTCCGCCTCCCGGGTTCAAGTGACTCTCCTGCCTCAGCCTCCTGAGTAGCTGGGATTACAGGGGTGAGCCACCATGCCCAGCCAATATTATCAAGTTCTTTTATTTTTATCAGTTTTGCATATAGTATTTCAATTTTATGTTTTGGTTAAGATACCACATTGTTAAAGAGATATAAAAAGTAAAAGTTACAGAAATACTGAGAAGAAGCCAAAATGAAAGCAAAAGCAATTCAAGAAAACATCGTAGACTGATTGTGGTGGTTCATGCCTGTAATCCCAGTACTTTGGGAGGCCAAGGTGGGAGAAATGCTTGAGGCCAGTAGTTCAAGACCAGCCTACCTTTTTTTTTTTTTAAGTAGCCAGGTGCATGCCTGTAGACCCAGCTGAGGCTGAGGCAAGAGGATTGCTTGAGCCTGGGAGGTTAAGGCTGCAGTGAGCAGTGATGGCACCACTGCACTCCAAGCTGGGTGACAAAGTAAACCCCATCCCCTCCCCCAATAAAGAAAAAAAAAGTAGAAAAGAAAACATTCTACATGAAATGGTGAAAGTGGTTGAAGTACTGGGAAAGTTGAGTCTACTGCAGATAAGACGTGGTGAGGCATAGGGGTGGGATGGTACTAATGAGAGGTAAACCATCCAAATCCAAATATATGATGTGCCATCCCGTGACTGTGATATGCCAATGGCTGTCTGAGGCCTAGAACCATGTTTGCCAAAGAGAAACACTTTAATAACATTAAATATTAATAACTGCTGTTGCTGTTTTTGAGAGAAAAGGTCTTACTCTGTCACTGAGGCTGGAGGGTGGTGTTGCCATCATGGCTCACTGTCACTTCGCCCTCCTGAGCTCAGGCGATCCACCTTCCTCAGCCTCCCAAAACACTGGGATTACAGATGTACGCCACTGGGCCCAGTCCTGGTTTTTAAAAAATTAAATCCAAATTTTTATTTTTGTTTTGGTTTATTTCAACCAATGAATTAGGCAGCAGCAAGGCACAGTGAAAAGGCTTGGCTTTAATTGCAGTTTCCTTACACTCTAGTCGTATGACCTTGAGTTACTTGTGTTCTCTGACCATCAGTTTCTTAAACTAGAAATACTAATAATGCCTTTTCTTTAAGGTTCTTATGAAAACAAATGAGATGATTTGTGTATAGAATCTAGTGAAGTCGCCAGTCACAATGGCAATTATTAAAAAGTCAGAAAACAACAGATGCTGGCGAGGTTGCAGAGAAAAAGGAACACTTTTACACTGTTGTGTCAGAATGTGAATTAGTTCAACCATTGTGGAAGACAGTGTGGTGACTCCTCAAAAACCTAAAGACAGAAATACCATTCAATCCAGCAATCCCATTACTGGGCATACAACCAAAGGAATATAAATCATTCTGTTATAAAGATACATGCAAGCATATGTTCACTGCAGCACCATTCACAATAGCAATGACATGGAATCAACCGAAATGCCCATCAGTGATAGACTGGATAAAGAAAATGTGGTACATATACACAATGGAATATTATGCAGCCATAAAAAGGAATGAGATCTTGTCCTTTGCAGGGACATAGATAGAGCTGGAAGCCATTATACTCAGCAAACAAACACAGGAACAGAAAACCAAACACCCCATGTTCTCACTTATAAGTGGGAGCTGAAAAATGAGAACACACGGACACAGGGAGGGGAACAACACACTCTGGGGTCTGTTGGGGGCGGGTGGGTGGGGGAGAGCATCAGGAAAACTAGCTAATGCATGCCAAGCTTAACACCTCGGTGATGGGTTGATAGGTGCAGCAAGCCACCATGGCACAAGTTTACCCATATAACAAACCTGCATATCCTGCACATGAATCCCGAAACTTTAAAAAAAGAAAAGGGGGTGGAAGGAGGGGGAAAGAATCTAGTGAAGTGAGAGTGTCTGGCACATAGTAGATACTCAATAAAGGGCTGCCTCTATTGTTGTTGTGATACAACTAATAATAGAATTTTATTATTTTTAATGAAGCCTCTTAAGGAGAATTAGCATTCAAACTGTGATACGTAGTTTTTAGTTATCTATTGCTGCCTAACAAAATCATCACAAATTTAGATACTAAAAACAGCACTCATTTATTGTCTCACAGTTTCTGTCGTTCGGGAATCCAGGGACAGCTTAACTGCATCTTCTATGTCATGATCTTTCACAGGCTGCAATGAAATTGTTAGCCAAAATGGGAGTCTTAGATTTCAAAGGGGAAGGATCTGCTTCCAAGCTCATGTGTTTGTTGACAAAATTCAGTTCCTTGCAGCCTGTTGGACAGAGGACCTTAGTCTCTTGTGGGCTATTGACTAAAGGCCACCATGCTGTCCCCTCTGCAGGACATCTCACAACATGGCAGCTTGCTTCTTTAATGCCAGTAAGGGAGCCTGTCTCCCAGCAAGACAGATTTTGCAATCCTATATAGCATAGCCACAGAAGAAACATCTCATCACCTTTGCTGGATTCTTTGGGTTAGTGGTCACCAGTCCCACACACACTAAAGAAAGAGAAGAATATGTGGGGTTTGAAGAAAGCAGTACTTGGTTTCATGTAAGAGATATCTTAAAATAATTAAAACTGTTCAAAGAAGGAATGGGCCATACTACGAGGAAGTGTTCACATTGGCTAAATACTTCTGTCAAAAATGTTAGGGATTAAGTGGGGCATGATGGACAATGAAGGCAGCTCATTTCTGAATTACCTTCCTAGTATGATATGGTATCATTAAGAAATTCCTGATAGTGCTTCACTAGCATTTTTCTTGAATCATTCTAGTTGTTAGCTTAAAAGAGACCAACGTCTACTTAAGAAGTAACTATTTAGGAAAAAAAGGAGTGAGAATGGCTGTCTAAATATCGACCCTCTGCTATTCCTACACATTTGTGAAACTTAAACATTCTTATAAAATTCAGCTGTTTTTTCTGCTATGTCTTTGAGAAGTCATTGTATAGGCAATAACCGGATGAAAATATAGTTATATGAATTTTTTTAAAAAAACGAGTTATGTTTACAGAGGAGGTCTAAATGGGGTCCAAAGTAATGAATTTCATAATTGTCATTCCACATTTAGAAAATAGTAGTTGAGCTCATTTTAAATATTTGTTGAGAGCCTAACCCATTTTGCTAAAGTTCAGAATGAAAGCTTGGAGTCCCAGCCTCCCTTCTGGTAATTACTTCTGTGTGACCTTGGACAAGTTTCTTAACTACCCTGTACCTCAGTCTTATCCTTTGTAAAAGTGGAGGTAATAATATTACTCTTTAAATGGAGCTGTTTGGAGGATTAAATCAATTAATTTCTGTCAAGCTTTTTCATGGCATGTCCTGTGTACTTAACATGTACTAGCTATTATAATACCATTTAGTGAGAATGGATTGAAAATAGAGGCAATGGTGGCTTTTGGAAATTACATACAGAGTTTTATAACTAAGAAACTTTTGCATGTATGTATGTAATTAGCTATCATGAATTAACAAAATTCATAACTTACAGAGTGAGCACATATAGAACGATTCATTTCCCCTTTGTGGCAGCTTGATTACAATTTCTTTTTACTCTTAACAAGAATCTTGGATGAGATTAAGATGCAAGAAACAGGTGGTTTCTCAGATTTTAATAATAGCAGTGTAATGAAGTCTTTATCTCCCAATTTAATCAATAAATTGTCCCCTTTTTATCCAAAAGCAGGAATAGCTTTGGTAAATAATCAGCCTGCCAATATTTGTCAAACATTTCGCAGTAAATTGCTATCATTTGGATTACAGATGTATGCAGTTCACAAACCCTCTTCCTGGGTTTTCCCAGGAGCGAAGTGCAACTAAATCAGCTCAAAAAGAACATGAGGATTTGGAAGAACTGATTTGAATATATTACAAGACGTTTCACAAAAGTCCTAGTTTACATTCTTGCACGGACCTGAGCAATGCTAATAAATTGCCCTGGCTAAGAAGGCTGTTTCCTTTCCCTTTCCTTTTCTTTGTACGTGGGAATTCATAGATGAAAAATTTTACATTGATGGTGAGAGAGTTTCAGAATTAACCCCTGGGTTGAAATGCTGTAGCCTGCCAGTATGTCTTCACCACCTTCAGTTCCCTTGTCAAATGGGTGTCTTTTTCTGTAATTTGTGAAAGTCATACCAATTACCATGAGGGTGTAGAAAAACAGGGCACAAGAGGGTTTGGACCTCACAACTACCTTTGTTCAGGACTAATTAGGTGCTGATAGTTTCCAAAAGATGCTATCTCATCCTCCATCTCTATCTTGCCATTCTTTTTGTTTTTGAGACGAGGACAAATTTTTGCACGTTTTGTACAACTATCAAGTCATTCATTAAGAAATCTATCAAGTCATTCATTAAGAAAGATAGAGACAACCTTCTAGCAAGCAAGAGCAGACTTATTCCATGAACTCATGATGCCAGACAACAGAGACCTCTGCTAAGGTGAAGTCATTCAATTTACAGTGTCTTCACCTTTCTTTCTCTCTTCCCAGTGCCTGCTACCGTAAATGTCCATTCAATTTTTGCCACTATTTATTTTGTAATATGAGCACCTGTGTCTCGGCTACTAGATCAAGACAGCCAGCTGATTTCACATACCATTAAATAGAAAATAGACATCATTGTCTCGAGCTATAAATTTTACACACACACATACACACATACAACACTTGAAAGTATAGGTTCTTGTCCAGTTAGAAGGAATAAGAGAGAAAAAAAATTCAATAGGAACAATATTCAATTTTTTTCAGAATGCCTCAAGTTTAATATAGAGATGTGGTACAGCATAAGAATACTCTTGAGTCAGACTATCTGATGTTTTCTTCTGGAGGCCTTTGGAAAAGGTATTCAATGTTTTGGTCCTTTAGTCTTTTTATCTTTAAAATGAGATTAATAATAGAGTCTCCATGATAGGGTT
Source organism: Homo sapiens (assembly GCF_000001405.40). Classification (NCBI taxonomy): domain Eukaryota; kingdom Metazoa; phylum Chordata; class Mammalia; order Primates; family Hominidae; genus Homo; species Homo sapiens. The sequence continues at coordinate 147,306 of NC_000003.12, read as the reverse complement.
GTTGTGATAATCAAATGTGTTAATACATGTAAAGTGCCTAGCTAGTCCATCATAAAAGATTAATCAATACTAGGTGGAAGAAATATGAATAGTTGTAGTAGAGTACCAGCAGCAGCAACAGGAAATTATTTTTATTGTCCTGAGTCCAGCAGCAAATGTAATGTATACACTGCGAACGGAAGCCTTCAAATCACGAGTGTCTGTCTTTCGTGTTCCAGTCTACCACTAAAATGAATTTAAAATAAAAATAAAATAAATTTTTGTTCATGTCAATGGTAAATATTTCATTGAAATTCCTAATTTATGGGTCATAATTTACTTTCAGGAAACAGAAATATTCTTTGGCTCCTTAATTGGGAGAAAAGTTGCTTTCTAACCCGATATGAGAACTTAATGCTTCAGCTGTTAGTATGGCCACACAAACTCGTTCTGGCAAGGCATCCACGGTGCTTCGCACGGGGTCCTTTTTTATTAGTGCAGTGTTTACCACCTGTGAACACAACACATGTAAAAAGAGACTTTTACAATTAGCCCTTTCAGAACCAATTCTGAAGTTAATGCATTTTGAATGAATTCACCTGTTTTTTTCCTTATCCATATTGCTCTTGGTGTAATGCCTTTTATATTAAAAAGAGAGTTATTTACTTGATTTATTTTTACTTTGTTCAAAAAGCAAGTAAAAAGCAGGGGCTAAAAGAAATAGTGTAATGCATTCAGTAGAAATATTTATTGTTATTCTCTACCTTATATAGATTTGGGTACCTTGATTAATAAAGTACAATAATACTATTTGAATTCAGGTGTTTCTATTGTGACAGCTAATGTTTGTCATGCTCTTACTATGGGACAGATGATGATATTCTTATATGTATTTCCTTAATCTTCTAGTAACCCTATGAAGGAGGTATCATGATAGTTCCAGTTTTACACATGAAAAATGCTAGGGCGCTGAGGAGAAAAGCAACCTTGCCAACACCTCACCAATTGTCGTAGATGGCCAGGATTTGTGTATTGGGTCTTGTCCTAATCCCGTCCCCCACCCTTTTTTAAAACAAATACGTTATTCTGCCATTAAAAATAATAGCTTCTGACATTGTCCTTACACGTCTAATTTATTGATTCTCCATTTCTCAGATGAGGAGGTTGAGGCACAGAAGAGCGAAAGAGTTTTTTCGAAGTCAGGAGTCGAACCTAGGCGTTCTGGCTCTCCTGACTCAGCTGGGCACACAACTGTGTTCTGTTGAACAAGAACACTATTAGTTTTTGTGTAGAAAGATCTTTCCTATTTGGACTGGCTTTCATTATTGGCAGCAAAGTTGAGTCTTTCAGAAGTATGTTGTCTTCCAAGTGTTGGTCTACCTGGCCTGAAACGGCCACTATTAGGGTCCCTTATGTCATTTAAGGTGGTGTCTCTTTGCATCTGACCCCATTAATACAGTTGCATCCATTCACTTGTTAGCATCCTTTAATACAACATCAGGGAATACTCTACTGTAGCTTTAGGAAAGAAGGTCCCGAGAAAATAGGTCATAGTGTTGGTGAATTTAAGCAAGCATCTGGTGGAAGAGACAAGAAAGATTGGAAATAAGGTTCAGTTTCTCCTCGGGTCCTGAGAGAACATTGAAGTGAGAAGAGGGAAAGTAGCTGGGCAACCTAGCTGAATCAGGACCCAGGATTCCTCAGCAGGGAGCCAGCATGATTTGAGTCTACCAACTGCATGAATACCACAATCTCACTCACCTCAAATCCTCACCCATTTCTAAAGAGTAGCAAAGTCCTATGTTTTACAAAACACTTTCTCAGATAGTATTTCATTTCTTGTGCACTAATACCAGCCACAATACAAATACCAAATGAAGTCTGTGGTATGGCTAAAATGTTTTACACACGTTTAGAAGATTTGGGGGGCAAAGAATTAGAGAAAAAAAATGTCTTTTAGTTTTTAGTTTTAAAATGACAACCCTTCAAAATGGAACAATAACCACGAAGTATATAGGGGATATGTATGCAGATTTGGAGACAGCTGTTTCAATGATTGTTGAGAAAGGTAGAGGTTTGCTAAACGTGATTTTAAGCCTCCATCAGTAACAGCTGGTTAATTCGGGACTATGATGAGATATCGCTTATGAATCAAAAAGTAACCCAAGTATTCCAAGTAGCTGTGATGGGGACAGCAGAGGGCCAGAGGTAACTGAATGGGCTCCGTGACTGGGTTTTTTTTTTCAAACTTACCAGATATGGCCGGGCACAGTGGCTCATGCCTACAATCCCAGCACTTTGGGAGGCTGAGGCGGGAGGGTCACTTGAGGTCAGGTGTTCAATACCAGCCTGACGAACATGTCCAAACCCAGTCTCTACTAAAAAATACAAAAAATAGCTGGGCGTGGTGGCATGTGCCTGTAGTCCTGCTCCTAGGGAGGCTGAGGCAGGAGAATCAGCTTGAACCAAGGAGGCAGAGGTTGCAGTGAGCTGAGATCGTGCCACTGCACTCCAGCCTGGGCAACTCCATCTCAAAAAAACAAAATAAAACAAAACAAAACTAAACTAAAAAACTTGCCAGATGTGTTGAGAGGAAGACTAAAATACTTTGCCAGTATTTTAATTCTAGGAACATGCTTTCAGTAGGCTGAATTGAACTTATCTTTTCACCTTGTTTATAAAAGGACAGAGATGTTTTATGAGTTGAATTTAAATTAAAATGAAACATTACTGTAGTAAGAAGGCCGAGGGATTTGAGCTTTTGTCTCCTAATGACATATTTAGCAAGGGTCTCCGAACACAATAAAATGAAATCACAAATCAAGAACTTGACTTCGTAAGAAACAGTTATAATTGATTAAATAAACTCTTTTTTAGACAGCATGAAGTTGGCACTAATCACATTCAAATCTAATTATATTCTAAAATTGATGTATGTTTCATCCAAAAATCTCATTCAACAATCTAGGAGAATTAAACAGAAAATGACACCTCTCCTTTTCTTACCTATTTTATTATTATTATTATTTATTCAGCCTAGGCACTAATAAAGAAAAAAGCGCTATGTAAATATATTAATAATGAGATAAAACCATAAATCTTTTATACCTGCTAAACTCAGACAGTGATTAAATATTGAAACAGATTCAATTCACTGGAAATGCAAAAAAAAAAAAAAGAACAACATTAAAAAAACAAGGATTCTTGCAAAGAAAAAAGTGCTGGCTGAGAAAATTTCATAATAGTTTCAAAGCTATAATAAGTAAAGTGCCATAATATAATATGCTAAATGACCCATTCTGAAACATTATGGCTTTGTTTGATGTTGTAAATTGCTTTATAACATGCTAGTGTCCATTGAAAATAAATCATATTACTTTAAATTATGGCAGTATCTGTTTGCTCTTAATTATTATTTTTTACCTATGACAACAAACCAATGTTGCAAAAATGAAGACTTGTTTCCTGATATTTTTGAGATAGATATCAACATGAACTATGGGAATTAAAATGTCTCTGAATAATGGCTTGGACTTACTCTAGTGAGTATATATTTTCATGGTTTAGTGTTAAAGTGCACATTGATGTCTGCCATCTAAATGAATTCTTGACACTGAGCTGGCAAAATAAAAGCAATGTGAGTAAGTTAAATACTCATTAATGTTACAAGCTCAAGAAAAACACGTATTTGATCTTTTTTAGGGACATATGGGAGCATCCAAGGTTATAGAAATTTTACACATGATCATGTTTAAATGTGAGTGCATTATGACATTCTGTTGTATATTGCCAATATATAATAATATATTGGGATAAATTGGATTTGAAAGGATGTCTTAGCCCTTCCTCATTCATTCTCCCTTTCCCTCCCCTTCCCTTGTCCCTCCTTTCCTGTTTCTTTTCCTGTATATCAATTTAATCTTAATCCTTATGTAGAATAAAACAAAGTAAACATCTGTGGCAGTAATGGGAGGGAGCCACATTTTTCTAGTGAAGGTGCCCCAGGATGTCTATGTAGCAGGAAATTCTGCAGGGAATGTTGAAGCCTGGCTGGGTTCAGAAGGCCATCAGTGCAGAAGGGTGGTCTGATGGAGATAGTAGGGCCAACTAGGGTGATGACCATGTTCACATACAGGGACACCAATCATGGCGTCAGAGTAGGGCATGGAGGGCATTCATGTTGGAGAGAAGGTAACAGCAAAGGCAGGATATTAGATGCAGAGGGATTGATCAAATAAGCAAATCAATTAAAAATAATGGGATATAGTTTTCTCACTATCAGAGACATGGATATACAAATATGGAAAGGGGAAAAACTAGATGGAACTCTAGGATGTTGGATTGAAATTACAGGTATTGCTGTGAACTCATGTTTTTCAATGTATATGTGACAGAGATGCGAATAAATGTAGATAAAAACATGAATGTATTTTGTGTATGCATTCGTGTATTGCATAGCTGTTTTCACTCAAGGGCCTGCAAATGGGAACACTCCAATACCAATAAGCACATTTAGCACACAGATCTTGGCTTCCAAATATCATTCTGGAGCTCCATGAAGAAATGGTTAAATCCATGGCTGAGAAAGGGAAAGTGCAAAGTAATCCTAAAACATCTCATTATGCCAGAAAATATGAAAGCACTAAAAAAAACATGGTCAAGAGGGTAAAGAAGCCAGACAGAAGGAATTCTCATTGGCCAAATCTGAGACCATATAGCATGAAAATAAATGAGCATAGCAATAGATTTTAAACAATTGGATAAAACAGGAAACATGAGTCCATGCAAATGTAAGTAAAAGAATTCATTGAAAGTTTTATGAAGAATGAGCTATTTATACAATTTTAAGTATCTCCCAATAAAATAAATATTAATTATAAGGGGAAAAAGTAACTTTACATTGGGGAAAATTGGAAGGCACCAACTAAATCAAGTGGCCAAAATGAACAAATAGAAATAAACCCATGGAAATCACAACGTATGTCAGGATTCAATGAGAAGAACACAGCATCACTTCAGTGATACTCTTTCTAAAGACACATCATCTAAATCTAACCATGAAGCACCATTGCATGAACTCAGATTGAAGGATGGTTTTAAAAATAACCAGGCTGTGATCTTCAAAAGTGTCAAGGTCAAACTCAATGATATTAAAGACACATCACAGCTAAATGCAGCTTGTGATTCTGAATTGGATCCTTTAGCTATAAAGGGCAATATTGAGACAATTGATGAAACTTGAATGAGATCTGAGGACTAGATGGCAGTAATTTTTCAGTTCTAATTTCCTGACTCTGATGGGTGTGCTGAGGTGATGGAGGGAATGTCTTTGTTTATAGGCTACTAGGTGGTAACATGGCATTTGGTTGGCAATTTACCCTCAAATGGTTCAGGAGAAAGTTCTGTTACTGTACTTCTAATTTTTATTTAGGTCTGTGATTGTTCCAAGTTTTTATAAATGATAAAATCTTTGGTATCAGAACCTCCCCCAAAACAATTTGCTATTCTCCCAATTTAAAGATAGTTTTGATAATTCGGATTGCTTTAACAATCTCTGAATTTTAATGGATATAATAGATTGCTACCACCCTAGAGAATTTCTATGTAATTCAATTATTTTTCTAGTTCACTTTATATCTTGCTGTGATGTATTTACACATTGTACCCTGGGACCTAAGGATAATATGGATAATCAATTGTTCAACAAAATGGAATGCAAGCCCTAAGACAGCATATACCATTCTTATATATGGTTTAAAATATGCTTATTTAATTCCATGTTAGAGTAAAATCAGATAAAATTACAATTATATTCATGTATTCTCCAGAAGTTAACTAAGCCCTAAAGTGATTAGCCACAAAGAAATTTTAATTAGTTTGATGAAATCAGCCTTATAAGCAGCTGGAAATTTGGAGATCCCAGAAAATGATGTTATTTAATCTTAAAAAAAAATCCCAAGGAATTAAAATGCTTTTTCTGAGAGGAGCAGAGGAGTAACTCCCTGCCAGAACAACACAACTTGTATGCAACCGTGTTCCTCCACAGTTATCTCTGTTTTAATGTGCGTGTGGGGTTCCCGGATTACAAAGCGGCTGAGGTAGGCACAATACTGTTATGTGAATAATGGTATTAAGACAGACAATATGGATTATTGACATTATGTTTTACATAATGCCATATAAAACAAGGGGCCTTGCATAGCAAATCTCTGCTGAAAAGGCTCAACCTTATCACATTACCATGGATCAGTGTGAATTCCTTTTTTAAAGCAGAGTTCTGACCAGGGTTGGGAGCCAAGTTCTTTTCTAACTGTGTTTATGCAAAGACTTCATTTCAGATACCTTGGGCTGGAGCAGCATGTAAATTGTCAGTAAAAAATATTGCTAGCCTGAAGCTACCAATAGAGCCAGTTGTACAGCCAAATGTGCAGATTTGGCAAACCAGCTGTCTTCCCTGCTCAAGGAATTTTCGTGTTGTGCTCCTGCTAAGCAAATCAAACAAGCATTACTTCAGTGGCTTTTATATTGCAATGAAACCTGAGGCTTTGTGGAAATTTAAACAAAGGTTACTCAATATTTTCTCTCTTCTTTTAATGATCATTTCTTCACTTGTTTCTTACATACAAGTTTCAAATGTTGAGAATGTCTAAAGGACAAAATGTAATCCTACATTTTGGCATTTTCAACTACTATAAAGATAGAGAGAGAGGTAGGGAATGAGGCAGAAAGAAAGATGAGCTGGTTCTAAGAACACAATGTCCTTTCTTTTGTTTCTAAAATGATAGATCCATGAAGGCAGCTATTTCTGCTATTTAATTTACTATCATGGCACTCATCAGTGCATGGAAAAATGCCTGGTGGATTTCTGAATTTAAAAGTATTTACTTCTAGGGTAGAGAAAAGTGACTTACATTAAGTTCTTATCATGGGTTTAAGTCATTATTCTTAATTTGGAAGGAGTTTAATCCTGAGAGGATGAAACCTCCTAAAATGAAAAAGAAAGGCTATCATTACTAATTTCTCAAGAACATGGCTTTCTAGTGGAGTCCCCAGTCAGATCAGAAGACAGTCCAGACCAAATGTTTCTTTGAGCATTATTCATTCTTCATTTAACAAATTTGTAGTGTATATCTAGTATGTGTCAAACACTGTAACACATGCTGTAGATATAAACACAAATGGACAACTTCTCTACCTTAGGATGTTTAGTGAGGGTGAAAGATTCTGCAGTACAATGTGATAAGTACTATGAAATGGACACCACAAAGGTGTGGTTTTTGACCCAAATGATGTTAGTATTCATAAATAATAAGAATAAAGTAACATAAGAAAGTCTAATAAGAAAGACAGCCAGATAAGAAGTCTGAATAGTTATGTTGCCCTCAGTATAAAAGCCCTCACGTGTGTTTTGCAAGCAATGGGAGAGCTTCTGTCTTTATTTGTATCATTTCCCCTGAGCTTTCTGTCTACTTAGTAAGCCTATTTAGAAGGTCTTTGGTTTCTGCCCACTTGAAATCATACTAACAAAACCTTGTCATTTTAAAATTACCATTCCACAAGCTACTTTTTATTAGGCATTGTGCTAAGTCTTTTGCATTATCTCATTTATCTTTTAAAATATGCTGCAAGTAAACTATGCATCTGCCAAAGTTCTAATATCCAGCATCTATAAGGAGCTTAACAAATTTACAAGAAAAAAACAAACTATTACATTAAAAAGTGGGCAAAGGACATGAACAGACACTTTTCAAAAGACAACATACATGTGGCCAACAAGCATATGAAAAAAGCTCAACATCACTGATCATTAGAGAAATACAAATCAAAACCACAATGAGATACCATCTCACACCAGTCAGAATGGCTATTATTAAAAAGTCAAAATATAACAGATGCTGGTGAGGTTGCAAAGAAAAAAAGAATTCTTATACACTGTTGGCAAGAGTATAAATTAGTTCAACCTTTGTGGAAAACAATATGGCAATTCCTCAAAGAGCTAAAAGCAGAACTACCATTCAACCCAGTAATCCCAATACTGGCTATATATCCAAAGGAATATAAATTATTCCATCATAAAGACACATGCATATGTATGTTCATTGTAGCACTATTCACAATAGCAAAGACACAGAATCAACCTAAATGACCACGAATAGTAGACTGGAGAAAGAAAATTTGGTACATACACACCATGGAATACTATGCATCCATAAAAAAGAACAAGATCATGTCCTTTGCAGGAACATGAATGGAGCTGGAGGCCATTATCCTAACTAACACAGAAACAGAATACCAAATACCGCATGTTCACGCTTATAAATGGGAACTAAATGATGAGAACACATGGGCACATTGAGGAGAACAACACACACTGAGGCCTAGGTACAAGGAGGGAGAGGATCAGGAAAGATAACCAATAAATACTTGGCTTAATATCTGGGTGACAAAATAATCTGCACAACAAACCCCTGTGGCACAAATTTACCTATGTAACAAAGCTGTATATGTACCCCTGCACTTAAAAGTTAAAAAAAATTAAAAAATAGTATGCTGCAAGTTAGATATTTCTACTCTTGCTACACAGAAGATGAAATTGGAATTTAGAATGCTTAAAAATTCAACTTTTCACATCTAGTAAGAGTCAGAGGCAGGACTACACTGCGCCCTATGACCTTCAAAAATCAAGTAATACTTTAAAAAAAAAAAAAAAAGATCCGCTTCATGGTCATTCTCGCTCAGAGCTGTGAAACTTGTCAGAATTAAAATGGAGTCACTTGGGTCAAATCCTGACAAAATGGTGTCTAAGAAGGCCATGAAGGGAGGGTTCTCACACATGATTGCCTGATAACAAGAGCTATCATGAAAGATTCTGCCAAAACCACGACTGTGCACAAGGCCACTGCAAACCGACATAAAAAATACTTCTGCAAGGACATCTGCCCAGCAACTGCCTGTCCTGCCTTAGACTGAGGCAATCCTGGTTATTCATGCTTGTAGCCAGGGATAACTATTTCAGAAACACTTATGTGGCCCTCATCATTTTACCTTTAAAAATCCTTATCTTCTTTTGCCTCCCTGAAAACACCCATGCGTATTCCTATTGCAATGCTCGTTCCTGAATAAACTTATTTTTGAAGAATCTCCTTCTGTTTGTTATTTTGATTGCCATAACCAAAAACTGTCATATATTTAGATGTTATGCATCCTAGGCAGTTTACTTACTGTGCCACTGCCCCTATAGACAATCATCACTGTGATTTTAGTCAGAGCTTCTGTTTTAGTGAACTTAAGAATCACTGAAAAACACATTAAAATGCAAACTTCTGAGCTGCAGTTTAAGGTACTAAATAAAAATTTCAGGAAGAACAATTCGTATAATTCCATTTTTATCCAGACAACATGTAATTCTAATTCAATTGTTCTGTGGACCACTTGTTGAGCCACATCGATTCAATTATCTCATTATGACACTTGGAATCACTCAGATTATGGGATAAGTCTGATACATGGACTAAAATGCTCTCAGTAGCCCTGGGCTAGAGACCTTACAATCAACTTTAAAATCAGACTTTACAGGACTCTTAATTTGTTATTTCAACATATATTTACAGAACACCTATTCTGAGCCAAATGCTGGCAATAGGAATTAAAGTGGGAAGCAGCTTAGACAAAGTATCTGCTCACAGAGAGCTTACATTTTAGTCATAAAATAAATAAATAAATAAATAAATAAATAGACATATGTAAAGTGAGGAAGTGTTAGGTGACTTTCAGGCACAAAAGTAAATAAAACTGGGTAAAATGATAGAGAAAGCTTTAGAAATGGGGCTACTTTTGACTGAGTTATTAGAGAAGATTTCTCAGAAGTGGTATTTTAGTTGAAATCTTTGAGATAAGGAGAGGCCAACCAAGAAAAGGCCATAAAGAAGGGCAAAGAGAAGAGTTATCCCGTGGGCACCTCGGTGGGAAACAAGCTTGGCATGTGTGGGAAGCTGAGAGAAGGTAGTGAGGCAGGATGTAGTCAGTGAGGGTAACAGGGACACTAAAAAATGTTAGAGGGAGAGGCTGAAGGAAAATTATGCAGCATTGGATTGCCAGTAATCAAGGTGTAATGGAGACCACCGGAGTTTTTAAAGCGAGGTAGCAAGAGAGCTTGCTATACAATCCTTCAGAATAACAAGAGCAAAAGAATTTATTGCATTGGTTGAAACTGTGTGTAATTCATCAACTAAGAGGAGATCATGGGTTGATTTTTCTTCATGTCTTCTTTAGAGGCTAATTTATTCCAGTTTCTCTTATTAATGATGTGAGACACTTACCTTCATATATTGGTCCCTATCTTGTTCAAATCCAGCTAGATTTTCGATCTCACCTGCTTAGAATTTTAGGGCTTTCATGCTGTCTACGCATTTCAGGAGTTCATAGGTTGCAATAGTGTTAATTCTTTCTGAGGAGTTAACACAGAAAATCTGGTAGCTTGCTCCTTGCATGTCGCCATTGGAACCTAGAACCATAATTAACCATGGCAAAACCCTGGGAAGATAGTATGTGGAAGATTCTTTATGTTAATGATTTATGATTTTGCTGTATATATCTGAAGCAATAGACCATGCCATACTAACTCGACAGAATTGCTTTGCACAAACATCAAAATTGATGACATGAACCTGATTTTATTATTGGAGTCCTGAGTTTCAGTCGCCCTCTCTGGTGGCACAGAAGAGTGTACTAATGTGACCAGCCTCCGTGAACATTTCAGGCCCTGACACTTCACTGGGCTTCCCTGGGCAGAGACATTCCAGGGAATCTTCCCATGGCTGTTGGAGAAAAAGCCTGTTCTGTGTGGCCTGAGATGAAGAAGGACTCTAAACCTATTCCCAACATCTATGGAATCTGCCTGATGCATATGTTTTCCCTACCATTGTTACTCCGTATAATTTGTTATAATAAACTTTAGCCATGAGAACAAACTGCTTTTGGGTATTCTGGGTCCTTCTAGCAAATAACTGAATTTGGATGGAGTGGGACTGTTGAAACACTGCCTAGCATTTGTTCCAGCTGATGGAAAAATTGTAGTACTATTTGTGTTTGTTGATTAGGCTTGTTTCTTCTTTGATAACTTCACTGCTTTCTTTTTTATTCTTCCTGATAATTTATTACTAGGGTCAAGTTTTATATACAGTAGTGTCCCCTTATTCATAGTTTCACTTTCTGCAGTTTCAGTTACCTGCAGTCAGCCATGGTCTAAAAATATTAAATAGAAAATTTCAAATATAAACTATTTAAAAGATTTAAATTGTGTGCCATTTTGAGTAGCATGATGAAATCTCCAACCATCCAGGTCCTTCTGCCTGGGATTTGAATCCTCCCTTTGTCCAGCACATCCCCACTGTATACTCTACCTGACACTGGAGAGTTAGTAGCTGTGTCAGTTATCAGACTGACTGTCTCATTATCACAGTGCTTGTGTTCAAGTAACTCTTATTTGACTTAATAATGGCCCCAAAGTGCAAGAGTTGTAATGCTGTCAATTTGAATATGCCAAATAGAATCCTTAAAGTGCTTCCTTAAAGTAAAAAGGTAAAAATTCTTGACAAGAAAAAAAATCGTATGCTACAGTTGCTAAGATGTATGTGAAGAAAAAATCTATCCAAGAAAATATAAAGAAGAAGAAAAAATAGTGCATAGTATATACAGTGTTTAATACTATATCCAGTATATACAGTGTTTAATACTATATCCAGTATATACAGTGTTTAATACTATATCCAGTATATACAGTGTTTAATACTATATCCAGTATATACAGTGTTTAATACTATATCCAGTTTATACAGTGTTTAATACTATATCCAGTATATACAGTGTTTAATACTATATCCAGTATATACAGTGTTTAATACTATATCCAGTATATACAGTGTTTAATACTATATCCAGTATATACAGTGTTTAATACTATATCCAGTATATACAGTGTTTAATACTATATCCAGTTTATACAGTGTTTAATACTGTATCCAGTTTATACAGTGTTTAATACTGTATCCAGTATATACAGTGTTTAATACTGTATCCAGTTTATACAGTGTTTAATACTATATCCAGTTTATACAGTGTTTAATACTATATCCATTTTATACAGTGTTTAATACTATATCCAGTATATACAGTGTTTAATACTATATCCAGTATATACAGTGTTTAATACTATATCCAGTTTATACAGTGTTTAATACTATATCCAGTATATACAGTGTTTAATACTATATCCAGTATATACAGTGTTTAATACTATATCCAGTATATACAGTGTTTAATACTATATCCAGTATATACAGTGTTTAATACTATATCCAGTATATACAGTGTTTAATACTATATCCAGTTTATACAGTGTTTAATACTGTATCCAGTTTATACAGTGTTTAATACTGTATCCAGTATATACAGTGTTTAATACTGTATCCAGTTTATACAGTGTTTAATACTATATCCAGTTTATACAGTGTTTAATACTATATCCATTTTATACAGTGTTTAATACTATATCCAGTATATACAGTGTTTAATACTATATCCAGTTTATACAGTGTTTAATACTATATCCAGTTTATACAGTGTTTAATACTATATCCAGTATATACAGTGTTTAATACTATATCCATTTTATACAGTGTTTAATACTATATCCAGTATATACAGTGTTTAATACTATATCCAGTTTATACAGTGTTTAATACTATATCCAGTTTATACAGTGTTTAATACTATATCCAGTATATACAGTGTTTAATACTATATCCATTTTATACAGTGTTTAATACTATATCCAGTATATACAGTGTTTAATACTATATCCAGTTTATACAGTGTTTAATACTATATCCAGTTTATACAGTGTTTAATACTATATCCATTTTATACAGTGTTTAATACTGTATCCAGTATATACAGTGTTTAATACTGTATCCAGTATATACAGTGTTTAATACTGTATCCAGTTTATACAGTGTTTAATACTGTATCCAGTATATACAGTGTTTAATACTATATCCAGTTTTAGGCACCCTCTGGGGGTCTTAGCACATAACCATTGCAGGAAAGAGGGGACTGCTGTATAGGTACATGAAGGAGATACAAAAACACATGGACATTAGATGGCTTTATGTTTATTTGTACATATACATTTATATATACATGCATTTATATATTATATATAGTGTATATATCACAATATAATACATATATAATTGATACACATACATTTATGCATATATGTAAATTTAAGTATACATCATATAAGAAGAATATGGCTGGCCTTTGCCCCTGGTTCCTGAAGGCGAGACTCTGAATCCTTGAAATTTCCCAAGTGATAGGAGTTTCTTTGTTATTCATGTGTGCCTTGGATCACACTTGAGTTTATGCAAAGCAGATGATTCAGGTTAGGGACTGGTTACCAAAAAAAGGCAACCATGTGATTAGAGAGGCTTTGAGCTTGGGAAGCTAGAAGTGGCTAGAGATTTGGTTCAATCCACTTGCCTATGTAATGAAAACCCAGTAAAAACCCTGGACACCAAAGCTTACTGGAACTTCATGGCTGATGAACACACTGACGTCCTGAGTGGGTGATGTGCTCTGATCCCATGAGAAAAGTGCATAGAAGTTCTGAATATTTGACACTCGAAGACCTCATCTATGTGTCTCTCCCTCTAGCTAGTCCTACATTGTATCCTTTAAAATAAAACTGTAATTATGACACCTTCCTGAATACTGTGAGTCATTCTAGCATTAAAGTATTAAATAGTATTAAAGCTGGGGGAGGGGACATGGGAACATCCCAGTTTTGTAGCCAGTTGATCAAAAGTACAGGTAGCCTGGGGACCCTCTAACTTGCTGTTCACATCTGAAGTGAGGGCAGTCTCGTTGGGGATCGTGTCTTTTAATCTATGGGGAGTCTAACACTAACTCCAGGTGGTTAGCTTCAAAATTGAGTTACAATATTTTAGTATACAAATGTAAAGAGTGAAGGTCAGTATATTAATCAGTGTTCTTCAGGGAAACGTAACCAATGGGATAACAGAAATATAAGAGGAGATTTATTATGAGAATTGGCTCACAACGGTTATGGAGTCCAGGAAATTTTAAGATATGCTGTCTCTATGCTGGAAAACCAGGAAAGCCAATAGTGTAATTCAGCCAAAGTCCAAAGGTTTGAGAGTTAAGGGAGCTAATGGTGTAACTGCCTGTCCAAGGCCAAAAGCCTGAGAACCAGGGAGGAGCAGTAGGGGATGGATGAGAGGCAGCTCTGGGGTGAGTCTCTGAGTTCAAAGGCCCAAGAACCAGGGGCTCTGATGTCCAAGGGCAGGAGAACATGGCTATCCCAACTCAAGAAGAGAGAGAAATAATTGGCCCTTCCTCTACCTTTTTGTTCCATTTGGACCCTCGATGGATAAGATGATGGCTGCCCACATTGGTGAGGGAGAACTGTGTTTACTCAGTCTACTGAGTAAAATACTGATCTTCTCTGGAAACACCCTCACACACACACCCAAAAATAACATTTTATCAGCTATCTGGGCATTCCTTTTCTTAGTTAAGTTGACATATAAAATTATCATCACAATCTGGCAACATGCAAGACACATATCATTCTAAGAGAATGCCTTGTTGATAATGTCCAATATTTCATTTAATTTTAACTTATCCAAGGTCCTTCAAGAACAATATACAAGGAGGCCCAGATTGGCTCTGTCCATGGTAGAGAATTTTAGCCAGTGACTTTCATTTTGCATTTGATTTTAACTTCTAAGTAATTTTGTTTCTCACTAAATGATACATATATAAGATGTCAAAGAAAGTGGTGGGTGTATAGTTGGTGTTCAATTCATGATGGCTTTCTTTTTACCCAACTCTTTATGTAGCTCAAAGTATTTCTTACTGGGACACATTCTTAGAAGGCCAATCCTTTGATGACTAAGAATAATTTCTCCCTTTAATATTTGCTCTGAAAATATAATCCCTTCAGTGTCAGACCACAACCAGGCCAATAGAGTTGCTATATCCATAGACACATGAATAATAAATAAATAGATTTTTCTGCTTTCCCATTTATGTTCTCACTCTCATCCCCACAGCCCTATGTCCAAGGGAAAATAAAGGCTTTTCTGGCATTGGGGTAAAGAATCTTAGAAGTTATTTTATAAAACCATTAACGCTTCACCAAAAATGAAAAAATAGGTGTTAGATACATGGGTTTTGGCAGGAAGAAGGCATTTGGGATTAACAGACATGAACAGGAGTAGGTTGGTAAATTATGACCAATATCTGGGGGAAGGATTTTACCCATTATTTGGGAATGGTTCTCTTTGTATTAGAAGACAGTTCTTCCATGAACAAAAATTGGTTTCTTTGGAATTCTCCTTTCCCTAACTTTTTTCTCCTTTGGTGTTTCTACTCATTTGCATGATTGGCCTAGAGAACAATTTATCATCCCTCTTTTACACATTTGATTTTCTAAAGGTCACCTGGCAAGTCAGGGATGACATTGGGATAGTCTCTTGGGTAGCTTCTAATAATTGCACTTCCTCCCCAATGCTTTGGGTGTCTGGCACACTTGTAATTGACAGAAGGACAACAATGCAATCTGGCTGGTTTCCAAGACCGCTCTCAAAAGAGAGTGTGATGGTGTGAGGTGGCTGAACTGCCCATATCCATTTCTCCACCGTCAGAATGGCAGGCTGAGAGAGCAGGAAGAAAATACAAAATTCAAAATAAAGAAATTCTCTCACTGGGTCATTGTTTGTCTCTTTAATTAAAATAAAATGCTTATAACTAACTATGAAGCTTGATACACAAGCTGTGAATAAGGATAGAAATATACATGCTGCTTAAACTCTCTCCAGCTATCTTTAGAAATGCACAACCTGTTCCTGTCTTTGACATTCTGTCCTTTCACAAGCACTTTGTGCACAGAGAGCTCAGCTCAGAGATAAAAGCTATGGGAGGGTGCACTGATGTCTGAGTGATGTTTAACCATGCCGGTCCAGGTACAGTGCCTGTCTCCGGAATGATGCAGGGATCCCAAAGTGGAGAGAATTAGACCTATCGCATTTGTGATTAGAGTGGGCAAGTAAGTATCAATGATCTCCTCTCTTCAAATGTGGACAGAATAAGAAAAGTGCTGTTTCTTCAGAAGCAGGGGTCAGCCAGGTAATTTACTAACAGACAAAGAAAATGCAAACATTGTCTTTGTATATCCTTTGACCATCTTGTATCGGCCTACTTAAAAAAAAAAAAAACCTTTTTGTTCTAATAACAAGGATTTTTGTTGGTTCATGTAAATGCAAGGTGTTCTGTGGTGGTGGTGGTTGTCATGAAAAAATATTGTACTTCTGAAACAATTAGAACAGCTAATTAAACAGTGTAGATCTGAACAGTTAGAGACTTTACAAATGCTGAAACTTTAGGTAAAAGATGAGTACATAAATTTGATTAACTGAACTTCTTTGAAATTTGATTGCAAAGTACTTTTGTATTTTAACTGTTGTCCTAAATGTTGTACATTAGGGGTGGCTCCAATTCTCCACCCCTCCTGGTATGCATGCTGGGACATATGTCCTTTGCCTTGTGCCCTTGCAGTGACTCTGATTTGAACGATGTAACTCACATTGGCCAATAGAATAAGACCAGAGTGAATATATGCCTGATCTGTGCCTAGACCTCAAGAGCTGTCTTGTGTTTCTGTTGTGATCTTATGTTTTAGCTACCACCAGGAGAAGGACATTTCTCAGGCTAGCCCATTGGTTCCAGGAGATTAATGAGAGACGAATCGGAGTTGTCTCACATAGCTACCCCAGCCAAGCCAAATCTAACAAGAGACCTCAGCTGACCTGCAATTGCGTGAACTCTAACAAGAAATAGTTGTGTAAAGCCCCTGATTTTGGGGACGGTTTGCTCTGCAGCGGTAACTAAATGACTCAGTAGCAGTAAGTCTGGTGTGTTGCACTGTTCTTGATTTACCAAAGACAAAATGGAGATCCTTAATGGAAAAAATGGCTTATTCAAAATCACACTCAAATCACCATTACATCAGGCCTCAAACCCATCTCTTGATTTCCAAACCCATGTTCCTTAACTCCAAGAAGCCCTTCTGGAAACTGAGTATAATGATGAAAGTGTATTAAATGGCCGGGCACGGTGGCTGAAGCTTGTAATCCCAGCACTTTGGGAGGCCAAGGCAGGTGGATCACGAGGTCGGGAGTTTGAGACCAGCCTGGCCAACACAGTGAAACCCCGTCTCTACTAAAAATACAACAATTAGCTGGGCATGGTGGCAGGTGCCTGTAATCCCAGCTATTCGGGAGGCTGAGGCAGGAGAATCACTTGAACCCAGAGGTGGAGGTTGCAGTGAGCTGAGATAGTGCCACTGCACTCCAGCCTGGGTGACAGAGCTAGACTCAGTCTTCAGAAAAAAAAAGAAAGAAAGAAAGAAAGAAAGAAAGCATATTAAACCTCAGACAGAAAATCTATTTTTGTGATCCAGCCCATTCTTCAGCTTCAGCCATCTTGCTCGTGGGTTAAAGCCATGTGATCGATGCTGTAGGAAGCCAACTCCCACAATCTTTATCAGGGATAGTGCCCCGTTCTCTGTGACGACATGCAAGTCTTGCTCACAGCGTAATACACAAGAATCGACTGGAGCCCAAAATTTGGAAAATGTCTGAAAAAGAAATGAATCATGGAAGGGTGATGAAGGGTTTCAACATTACTTTTTGTTTTTACCCAAATTCAACACTTTCCTGAGCTGAGATCAAGGGTTATTAAACCTTGAGCTAATTCTTAGACATAGTAGAAAAAAAATGTAAAAAAATATTAAAAAGAAAAAAGTTATCAAACTTGAATGGAGATAGACAGGTTGGCCTCCTATTTAGTATGCTCCTCTTCACTGCCTGGGGCTTGAGAAGTTGCACACAGCTGGAAACGTTAATTAAGTCTGCCCTTGTAAGAAACTCCTCAAGGCCCTCTTGCAATGCCACATACAAAGGTTTTATAAGTGACAACCAAAAATATAGAGTTGGGGCAAACTGAGGTGGCCTAATTTTATACATGGAAGAAAACCATCAGAATTCAACTTCTCCTTGGACACCATTTATGTTTGGAAGGGGAGATGTTTTATTTATATTTATCTTATTTTATTTTTGCTTTTTTAAGTGCATTTGTAAAAGCAAACTCTGTTACTTCTTTCCTGCTGAGGACTTTGGGGACACATTTAGAGGCTGAAACCAATAGAGCTACTTTAGCATCTTGTAATATATTTTGCAGATTCAGCTAATTGAGAAGGCCTCAGAGGAAGGCTTTTGATAATTGGGCTTCCAAAGTTGTGCACACACACTGGTAGGTAATATTCGTGCACATAAATTTTACAATAAAAAACTCATTGCTCTCATGTGTTAACTACCACCTACGTGCTGATGACTCGACTTTTTAAATCTAACAGAGGCCTGTCCCTGAGTCTCAGACTTCAATATTCAACTGCCTTTTGGAGATCTGCATGTGATTGCCCCCAGGCACCTTGAAATTAACATAGGGAAATCTAAATGTATCATCTTCCCCTGTCACTTTTTCTTCCTGGATTCCCTGTCTCAGTTAATGGCCTCACCATCCACCTTGTCACCTAAGCCATCATCCTAAGTATCATCCCTTGACTCATCTTATTTCTGCATTCTTCACCCTCTGCTGGCATAAAGCCCTGTCAATTTTACCCCACAAATACTTATGAAATCTGTCTCCTCATTTATAATTCCTGGCTTCCTGATATGTCTCAGCTGAAAATTTGCAACTCCAGTCTTACACCTCTCAAATCTTACTTTAAATGAAAGCAAACCAGGTAGCTATCATAACTAAATGGCTTCCAGTAGGCTACTTACAAAAATTCAAGCTCCTTAGCCTGGCCTTATAGGTCTGCGTAAGGTGGTCATTAGTGCTCTCTCAAGTCCATGTACACAGAAAGGACTCCAGAGGCTGATTGTCTGGGTTCCTCTCCCAGCTTCACTACATCTTGGTTGTGTAATCTTGAGCAAATTTCTCAACACCTGTTTGTCTCAGTTGCCCCTTCTGTAAAATGGAGTTATAATACAACTTATATCAAAAGGTTGTTATGAGCATTACTGGAGTTAATATAGTCAATAAGTCAGAGTATCAGAGTATTTCTTGATAGATTATAAGCACGCTGTAAACGTTTCTCAGTCCTCAACTTTCTACTTCAGATTATTCAGGTCTACCTGTCATTTCCTGAATGCACCACTTGCTTCCTAGGTTCATGTCTTTCTTTAAGCTGTTTTGTTTTTTTGTATCAAAATTCTTCTTTCTTTGCCTGGGTACCTCCAATTTATCCTTCATTTGTTCATTGGGGTTACCAAGTCAAATTTTCATGCCTTCGTTCATTCAATAAACTGTAGCTTATTGAATACTGACTCTGTATTTTGCAAAGGGCACGCAAAGGTGGCCATAAACAATCATGCCCTGACTTCGAGGAACTTGTGGGAAGAGGGGGTGGAGAGATAGATAAACACAAAGTCACTTAATTAGGAAGAATGTGTGTTGTGATGAAGAAAAGCCTAGAGAATATAGGAATATACTGGAAAGGCACTGACACAGTTTGGAGGAGGTATTTCAGGTATCCTCTCCTCCAGGAAATTGTCCCTAATGCTCAGACAAGGTTAGGTTTTCCTTCCCTGTGCTCTCAAGGCTCACCTGGTGTATGAGTCAGCTTACGTTGCTATAACAAAATGCCATAGACTGGGTGGTTTAAACAACAGACATTTATTTATCATAGTTCTGGAGCCTGGGAAGACCAAGATCAAGGCTCTGGTCAATTCAGTCCCTAGGGAGAGCACTCTCCCTGGCTTGCAGATGGCCAAGCTGTTTCTCACTATGTCCTCACATGGAAGATCAATCTTTCTGTCTTCATCTTACAAAGCCACTTAACTTACCATGAGGGCTCCACCCTCCTGACTTCATCTAACCCTCATCTCCAAATACCATTACATTGGGTGTTAGGACTTCAACATATGAATTCTGAGGGCAACACAATTCAGTCCATAGCACCTGGCTAGGATTTCCTGAAAAACATATCTTAAGTTATTGCAATTATCTGTTTCTTTTTCCACTTCTCCTTTTAGACTACAAGTAACTTGAAGACAGGCACTGCATCTTTAATCTCCGTGGCTCCAGAGCCAGATGCTCTTGTAGACACAAAGCAGTTGTGCAGCCAGTATTTGTTGAACCAGAATGCAGTGTTCAGGTGCTCATTCAGGGTGATGCTATTATTGGCAAAATTTTGTTTTATATTTTAAGCTAAAATATATAATATTTGAGTATGCCTTAGAAACATCATAACGTGGATGCCTTAGAAAAATGTATTGTATTCTTGAAATGACTTTGGGAAAATCATTTTCTCCTATTGAGCCTCAGTTTTCTTATTTACAAAAATTAGAATCTTTGAACAAAAGACTAAAGTCCCTTTTACTTCTCTCATTCTGTGATTCTACCCTCTGGCCACACTCTTGGCCTCTTGTGATAAATATCTTTTCTTTTCTTGGTGTTCTTTCTGAGGGTTTTCTTCCTCCCTCTGTCACTTCCCTTCCTCAGTCTCCTTTGATGATTTCTTTGCAGCCCTCTCCCATCAGTAACGTAGAGAGTTCCAACTCCCTGTCACTTCTCTAACCACCTTTATTCCTTGAAACCACGAGGGGAAACTAGGAGTAGAGGGCAGATCTTCCCCTACTGCCTGTTTTTGTAAAGAGAGTTGTGTTAGAACACAGCCACACCCATTCATTTACTATTATCTATGGTTACTTTCAAGCTACAATGGCATAGTTGAGTAGTTTCAATGGAGACAATATGGCCCTCAGAGCCTAAAATATTTACTATCTGGACTTTACAGAATAAGTTTGCCAACCTCTGCCCTAGGAGATTTCATCCTGTCCCATGGTTTTAACATCTATAGTCTGATGATTCATAAGTTTGTATCATTGACCTTGACTTCTCTCCTGAGTTCCACTTTGGTGTATACAACTGACTACTCCATGTTGCCATTGATATTTAGTAGGCATCTCGAAATAGTGTTGTGGTTGAGATGATGACTTTGGAGCTAGATGCATGGCTTTAAAACCTGCCGTTTTAAGTACTAGCAGCATGGCCTTAGCAACTCACTAATTTCCCTGTACCTCATGTTTCTCGTGTGTACAATGAGGATGTTAATAATAGTGACACTTCATGAGGTTGTCATGACGACTTGTCAATATATAGAGAGCCCTTAAAGCCCTGTTTCATTGTGGAATCATATTTTAGTTGCTATCACCAACTATCTCTTTGTCTCATACTCCATACAGATTATTGGCAAGTTCTTGCAAGCCTATCTTTAAAATATTCATTACTCAGCATCTACATTGTTAGTATCCTTTACCAAGCTACCATGGTTTATCACCTATACTACTGGCTGTCCTAATTGTTCTTTCCGCTTCATTTTTACACCACCTCTGTGTTACTCAGTTCTTCACCCAGCAGCCACAGCAATCTCTCAAATATCTAATTATATCACATTACCCCCTGCCCAAAATTATCCAGTCTCTTCCCAACACACTTAGAATAAAATCCAAGCACCTCACCATTGACCTACAAAGCCCTGTGTGTCCAGTCTCCACATTGCTTTCATGACATTTCCTCTTAACACTCATCCTCATCATTGTTTTTCCCACTTACCCTGCCTTCTTGGTCCTCTCCAAGCACAAAAAGCTTGGCCCTGTCTCAGAGCCCTTGGATTTGATGTCCCCTCTCTTGAAAATGGTTTTCCTGTAGATACCCACATAATTCTTTCCCTGTTTAGTTCAGCCCTTCACCTAAATGCCACATTCTCGGGGCATTCCTTCCTGCTTACTGTGTTTAAAATTGGCTTTCTATCATTCTCAGTTCTCATAGCCTGATTTTTTTGTGTCTTTATAGCATTTATCACTGATTGTCATTGTATTACTTATTTATCGAATTATTCGTTTGGTGTGTTTATTGTGTAAGCTCCAAGAAGAAAGTAATTGTGCTTTTCGGTCATTACTGTATTCTTGGTGGCTAGATAAAGACATGTCTTTTGTGGGCAAGAAATAAATATGTATTAAGTGAATAACCACCTCTTTGTTAAAGATTCAAGATTGTCTAAAGGGGAAAGGTTATGGAAAAGCCACAAGACCCATCCAATGAGACCTGCCTCTATTTGTCCAGACTCATTTTGTTGGTGCTTATGATTCTGTTCTTTCTTTCACTCATAGTTTGAGTCAAATGGAATTTCTGCCAGCTTGTCATTTGTTGCATAAGCCTTATACTTTCACTTCTCTCCAGTGCTGGTCATGCTGATCCTTTCACATAGACAATTTGTAAAAGCTTCCTTATCCCTTCACTTCTTGAAAACTCCTAGTTAATCTACAAAGACCTATTTAAGCATAACCTGCTCTGTTAAATCTTCTCTCAATACCTCTTACTTCTACTTCCTGATTAGATAAAAATGTTTGCAACTAGATACTCAGTCTGATAGCTTCCCTTGAAATAAAGAGCAGTCATATAAAACAGGCCTGGCCAATGAGAAGTGTCATAGTCTGAATTTCTTTAGAAAGTAGAGCCCGAGAAAAGGATTTGTGTGCAGAAAACATTCTTGGGAAGAAATCTCAGAGATCATAAATAAGTTCTCACTCACACAGTTCTTTTTCTAAGAAAGAAACAGAAAATTATGGAACCTGCAAATTGTGAATTTTTAAAATCATCATCATTGTTGGCAAGTGGGGTCCCATTACACTGGTATTATTTGAGGGACTGTATAGACAAAGCCTCACTATCATCTGCCCAAGAAATGAAAAGGTCGAGAATTTACTTATTGGCTTCTCTTCTCCACTGGCCAAGGACTGTTCTCATAGGTTGTTAATTTTTCATAGCTCCAGTTTGTCCATAAGTGGCAGATTTCCACAGGTTTCCTATAAGCTGTGTTCATGATGCCTGGGCAGAAACTGTTAGATACACAATGAAGCTAAATGGGCTGCTATTCGGTCACAACTTCATGACACTGGTTGCCCCAGTATTGACTAAAAAGACTTGGGAAGGGAAACATATCCACTACATGATGTAAGTGAAAGGTCTGCTGGGATTTTTGAGAAAATTCTTGCTTTCTTGATAAAGGGAAAAGATCCATTTGTTTCTACTTCATTTCCTCTGTCTTCTCTCTGCCTTCAATGTGGATATGATTTCTAGTAGCCATCTTGAAATTCAGAGGAGCTAAGTCTTAGGAAAAGGCCAAGAGAAAAGTGGAGGCATCATTTCTGGCAGCACTAAGCTATTGAACTGGTCCTTAATTACTATATCTCCAATTCTTACATAAGAAAAAAAAAATCTGTTTAACTAAGTCAGTGTAGTTTGACTTTTGTGTTACTTGCAGCTAAATGCATTTCAAATTCCTTCCTCCAATCTCATATAGCAAGTTTTTTTTGCATTATTATCTTAGCTACATTGCATTACATAGTAATTCTTTTAAAAATATAATTACCTTCATATGTATAAAAATAACTTCATTACCTTTGTATCCCCATCTCACAGGTACTTTGTACACGGTAGACAAAATAAAAGTTCAATAATGTACAATGGCTGAAAACGTTTCCTATTCCAAAGGATACCTAATTTGAATAGAATGAACTTACTACAAATAAGAACACTTCCTGATCTTGTATGGGTTTCCCATAGCAACCAACTCAGTGACATCACAGAAACTCAGTAAATATTTCAGTATGAGAAAGAGGTATGGGAACAATTTGCAAGGACTGAAAGGATCATTTCATTAATGCTAACCATCTCTCCACTTTATAAATAATTCGAACAAATTCAGATCTAATATATGTACATCTTTTAAAACCTTGGATCGTTTATGGATTTAAAAGCATTATACTGCAATAGGGAAGCTTTAACATCTCTACAAGATGACAAAAAGAATAAACAGTTTTACACCAGCTGCCTTGACAACTACTTTCTCTGAAAAGATTATTTTAGACCCCCAGACAAAATATTAAGCTTTAATCAGTGCTGGCCTAACACTGAATATTTTGTTGTTTTGTTTCCTCCATCTGTTTGTTATTATATGCACTATATTTTGCTGAAATTGAGACTATAAAACGACAAAAAGAAAATCTTTGTTTTTGTGGTTAAAGAATTCTTCAAAAAAATGTCTTACAGTTCAAAATGACAATTCACTATACAGGAAGGACTTACTTGCCCTAGTAAAGCCAATTTTTAGACATGACTCTAATCTTTCTTTCATCTCATCTTGCCATTTCTGAAACATGCCTGGAATAAAACTGAAAATGTGATTCCTCAGGGCTCAGATCAAGAGCCTAAGAGCAAATACTTTGTGATTCTACCTCAGGAGGAACTAATACACACTCGTGTTGTGTGTCTATGAAAATTATTGCAAGGAATCTATCACCACGACATTTTCCTTTGGAAATAAATCCAAACTCCTAGGTGTATATTTCCACATGATAGTTTTTTCTTTCTTTGATTTCAAAAGTAATACATTTTATTATGAAAAAGTAGTTAACATAATTATGCACAACTAACAACAAAATATCCCTATAACATTGCCTCCAAAGGATGGCCACAATTAGCATTTCAGTGTATTTCCTTATAGTATTTTTTCTCTGCATACATAATAATATATAGATTTTTCATCTTGTAATACAAAAGTGTTATCCAAATAGTATTCTATTAGATCTACTGTTTAATAAGCTACTTTTTAAACCTAACCATGTGTTGTGAACATTTTTCATGATATGACATATTTTTGCAAGATAATTATAGTATCTGCATAGCAGTCTGCTGTTTAGCTGTACCATAAATAATTTCATCTGTTAGATATATAGGTTACTTCAATTCTTGTTGCCAGGTTGGGCATAGTGAATATATGTTGCTTTTATTTTCTCCTCATCATCATTCCTTTTGGGGGTACTAACTACTCCCTTGCTTCTGAAGAGATATCAATCACAGTCCATTGGCCACTTCTGGCTACAAAGTCTTTGGCTTAGCTAATATCTCATCCCCTGGGAAAAGTGATTGGTCTAAAGTTAAGAAGATAACTCACAGAGGTGAAATTAGCATCTTTCCTGAGATTGATATGTAGATGATGGCAGCAGGTGAGAGGGAATACACTTTTTTCTTAATGTTGTATTCTAATTTGTGATGATTTGAGCCAGGAGTTCTCAGAAGCTTTCTTCCAGATTTTCTTAAAAGAAATGTACTAATAGTTGGGGAAAATAAGGATAAGACACTGTGGAGAGAAAGGCTGAGAAGTTTAGGAAGAGAAAAAGAATGCTGATTTTCTGGATCAAGCTGTGCCTGAAGTTCTGTGTACTGAATTTCTCAGTTCCGTTCGCCAATATACTCTTTGATTTTTTGTTGTCATTTTGTTGCTTAAAGTAGTCTGGTCGATACTTCTGATAATATCTAAGTAGCAAAATACATTAATCTGCTAGTTTTTCAAGAACAAAAAAGATTGTTATCTCTTTTTTTGGCATTGTTGTTTTGATGCACAATTAGTAACTACAATTTTTGACACTATGATGTTCTGAATTAAACCTGGGAAATACCTAGTTCATGAGTTGTATTTTTCTTATATTTACTTATTAAAATGGAAAAGGTTTTACGCCTACAGACCGTCATTTTAAGAGCCTGTTTAGTTCCTTAGGATGAGCCCAGCACATGGCTAGTGTACAATAGAAATGTAATGAGTTGATGAACAAATGATTGAATTTGCTGCATGAGGATCCCCAAGAGTTTCTTCTTGAAGGTTCATTGATTCCCTCAAGTTATGATCAAATACTATATCAAACATTGTGAAATACACACTGTTCTCTTTGGTGCTTCAATTTTATGTAGCAGTAAGAAACTTCATTGTATTCATTGCAATTTTTCAACATGAAATGTAAGCTGAGCTTCAGACACATGAATTTTGCTCCCAAGGAAAGTGCTATAAAGTCCCACTGAGATTTGAACACAGACGATGAAACTGCTTGCTAGGTTTTTGATTTGGAATTTCAGCTATCTATGGAAGTCCTGACAGTTTGATGAAAGCACAGTTTGAAAGAGTTAGAAAGATTTTCAGCATCTTTTTTGACCGAAGGGATGATATTTAACATCTAAAGGTGGCACTTCTGGCCCCCCAAAAAAGGCATGTTCTATTTTGCTTCTCTATTGACAAGCAGTGCTTGTCATATTTTTTTCTTTTCTCCATCATACTGGGAACTCTCATGAGAGTGTTCAGCTTCTGGCTGAGTTTAGTATGAGGCAAAGAAGAAAAAAAGCACAAAATATTTAGTTTTAGTCATAATGTTTAGGTTTATTGCAACATCAGAATCGACAGAGTCACAACAAGTAATTGAGGCAGGTGTCAAAAACGGAGAGTAAACAAATGGCCAAAACAAGGAAGCTGGCAGGTATAATAAACTATTATAATGGACTATTCTACCTTTTTTTTTGCACACTGACCAACATATCTGTCAACTAAACCCATATTTTATTCCTTGCAATTAGTTTATTTGGGTATATTTCTCTCTTTCTGATGTTCTTCCTTTTTTCTGATGTTCCACTATCAGTTAGTTACACTGAGTTAAATATGCCTTTGTGATAACACCCCACTTGCAGGCTGCTATATGCGTAGGCCTGGAGAGTGCCTATGCTAAAAAGAAAACCCAACTCTAAAAAAGCTCCATTCAGCAAAGGCCAAGCAGGTGTCTACAACCTCAGAGGAAGATCATCCTTCAGCAGGGTGTGTTGTCTCCAATGGCATTGGCTAAGTGGGAACCACGGAATTCTTCTTTCTGGCAAGGGCCTTCTTCATCCCTTTTCCCCCTCAATACTAGAAGCCTCTTTATTCCATCTGCCTTGAGACCACTGGAGCTAGTCATCATGCCCCTTTCCCTGTTTAGGCTGAATGTCACAAGGTGTCCAGGTGCTTCATATTGTTGCTCATCCTCCAGATCCCCACCCCTAATTCCCATTGCCTTTTCTGACCCTTATCTCTCCCTCCCCATCTTTAATAACCTTTCATGGGGCCATATGGAGCTCTATGTCAATTCTCAGTCAACTGATATTCTCAACCTCATCAGCAAACATTCACTTCTTGCTCACACAAAATCCTTTCTCCTCTAATGGCAAATCTTTCTCTGCAGCACTCTTAGTGAGTGGTTCTTTTCTCTCCTATGGTATCATGGCATCTGGTGGCAGGACAGATGTCCTATCTCTCTCCACTGACACTTCTAGACCATTCCTGTCCAAAGCATAAACAGTCAGCATTGAATCCCATCTCATTTGACTACATATCACCCAACATTCTTCCTTATTTTTCATCCATTCTCAGGTCATTATCTCTCTTTCTTTTTTTTTTTTTTTTTTTTTTTTTTTGAGAGGGAGTCTCACTCTGTCCCCCAGGCTGGAGTGCAGTGGCACAATCTTGGCTCACTGCAACCTCCGCCTTCCGGGTTCATGCCATTCTCCTGCCTCAGCCTCCCAAGTAGCTGGGACTACAGGCTACCGCCACCACGCCTGGCTAATTTTATATATTTTTAATAGAGGTGAGGTTTCACCATGCTAGCCAGGATGGTTCCATCTCCTGACCTCGTGATCCACCCCACTCGGCCTCCCAAAGTGCTGGGATTACAGGTGTGATCCACCATGCCCAGCCTATCTCTTTTTCTTTAGAGATTGTTTTCTCCTGATACACTGTCACTTCAACATTACCAGTGTTGTAATTTTTTATAATTTCCGTAGCCTCTCAGATGATCCTTCCAATGCCCTCCTTTTATTTTCTTGGCCCCTTCTTCTCCAGTGACCTTGCTCTTCACTCTGTCTCAGGCACACCATATCATTGCCATGTATTTAATCTTGTTCTTTATCAACTGCGCATCGCATACTGTTCTCTAGCTGTCTCCTTGTATGCCCAAATTCCAGTAGCACTTCAACCCCTGCATTGCTGTCTAATGCATCAATCCAAGCAATTTTTCACTGTCTTTTACTGACTCCCACCAACCATGTTTTCTCTTCCCTTCCTACTCTGCTTATACTTTGTGCTCAGTTACTACTATAATTTACAGCTTATCTATGATTATAGTCAACTTTCTTGCAACTGCATTGCTTCTCTCACTCTCATGGCAAAACCAAAACCCTGGTTAAATTTACCTTTCTATGTATTCAGTGCCTCCTCTAGCACTGTCGAAGGTGTCTGAAGAAGACACAAAACATCCTGATTGATCTTACTTAAAATTCATCCCTAATCTCAAGTTAGCCCTTACTGCTCCCTGTCAAGCATTCTATAGATCCTTAGCCCTTTCTCTCTCTCTCAGACTCATTCAGTGCCTCTCAGACTCTAATAGACACAAGAAAAATCACATGGGGACTCTATATTTAGTCTATCAGCAAATCCTCTCAGTTCTAACTTCAAACATATTCAGAATTCATCTCATTCTCACTGGTCCTATAGCCACCATCCCAGACCAAACCACTATGCCTAGATATTGCAATGATCCAATTAATCTCCCTGCTTCCACCTTTACCAAATTTATTTGACACAGTAGCTAGAGTAATTCATTTAACAAGTAAGTTAGAGCCTGTCAATCTTTTGCTTAAGCTTCTCCAGGGTTCTCGTTGCAGCCAGACTAAAAGGTCTTACTCTGACCTTCAGGCTTTGTTAATTCTGATTCCTGCAATCTTTCTAGTATCTTTTTTTTTTCTAGTGCCCTCTGCTCCAGACATATCAGCTCTTTTATGCCAGGAACAGCTTAATGCCTTGGGCTTTGTTGTTTCCTCTACTTGCAAGGAGCCTCCTCAACTCTCTGTCTGGCTCACTATATCAATGCCTTCCCGAATTTATTCAGAACCCCAATTCTCAGTACAGCGTTTCCTAGCTAGCTTTTCTAAAATTTCCACCAACATGTCCTGATTTACATTCCTTTTCTGCATTTATCAGTATTACTCAAAATGCATTCTTTTACTTATTTAGTTTATTGTCTCTTTTCACCAGTGAAATGTAAGCTCTGGGAAGGCAGTGGCAGTGATTTGTTTTGTTCTCATTACTGCTTCTCCATTACTTACATCAGTGTCTGACACACAGTAAGGGGTTACAAAGTTTTTGTTGAATGAATAAATCACTTCAGAATTTTGATATAGCACTGGCATAAATAACTCAAAGTTTTGGCATCTATCTCTTTATTGGGGGAGGTCTAGACAAACGCCAATAACTGTTTAAGTCAAAAATCTTAGTCACCTGAACTTGAGCTACGTCTACTTTATGCATACCTCAATACCCTCTTTCTTCCTCTTCTATTCTTTTTTGGTTTTGCCCTCTAGGAAACAAAGTGGAAGCAGAAGTGGCAGCCATAGTCAGCTTTACTGGAGGGTAGGAGTTGTGAGAACAAATGAACTTGCTATTTTTCTAGCTCAAACCCAACCCCGTATGTGTTATAAGAACCTCTTGACAAGCTACTCAAACTTGAAATCACCATCTGCCTCCTACAGCCCTCATCCCCATGTCACCCCACCCATTATCAACCAAAGAAATCTGCTCTGACATTTTACCTCCTTACTCATGGTCTCCTGGTCCTCTGGAGGTGAACATTATCGCAGTGAGATCAACAAATAGTCATAAGCATGGGTTCTTATATTTGTGTAAGCTCTTCCATAGTCAATGAATTATCCAAGAATTTTATTTGTTCAAAGAATCATTTATATGTTTTTAATCAAGTTCCTTGTCAATCTCAATCTTACCAACCTTTCCAAATGAAACATTTGTTGGACCTTGTTCTAGTGAAAGTTCTCATTCATTTTTTTTTCTGGCTCAGTTCCTAGCACTCCCATTATACCTTGTTAAGGAGACCACAGGGCTCCCAAATTGCTACTGAGTACATAGTGTTTGTGTAATAAACATCATCTGAGTGCTTCAAGTGTGCACAGAATCATGGAATCTGAGGTCGTAAGAAATATTAAATCATCTACCTCTGACACTCATCCGCTGTTGGATTCTTTCTCTAATGTTTCCTTTCGAACACCTCTTGCGATGGAGAACACATTGCCTCTTAAAGAAATGCAAGAATAGGCCTGTTACAGAGTTCTTTTATGTTGAGCCATAATCTCTGTCCTTTTTATTTATAACATTGATTCTACTTCTGTTGTATAGCAGGATGGTACAAGAGAAAAGGTTTTGGATGCAGAATAAGAT
This sequence comes from Homo sapiens, assembly GCF_000001405.40. Taxonomy (NCBI): domain Eukaryota; kingdom Metazoa; phylum Chordata; class Mammalia; order Primates; family Hominidae; genus Homo; species Homo sapiens. The sequence continues at coordinate 117,032 of NC_000003.12, read as the reverse complement.
GGCCTGGGTTTGAGTTTAATTGAACCTCTTGATAGTGTAATTGTTTTCAGACTCAACACTTACCTGCTGAGTTTTACTTTCTGAATCTGTTCAATGAATTAACTGCTTTGACAATAGACTTCAAAGTGTATAATGGCTCGGCCTCAATAGAAGTTGAATTATTAGTATATAATACTACAAAGTGGATTAACAAGTTGGTAGGGCTGCCCTCTTCCTTGCAGTCCATCAAGGATCCAGGCTGATGGAGCCTCCATTATAATTAGCTTTGGTTTCCTAGTTTGTACTACAACTCTTCTTCATTCTCGCTAACCGAAAGAGAAAAAGCATATGAAAGCATTTGCATAGGAGATGTGTGTGTGTGTGTGTAAATGTGTCGCCTGTGGAAGTGGGTCCCAATTTTTCCACTACTGTTCCATTCACTGGAACACAATCGTGGGGCCACAGCTCAGTGGGGCTAGGGAATGTAGTCCCTGGCTGGTGGCCACTTCTCAGAGATAACATTATGGAAAAAGGAAACACAAACTTTTTTGGTCTCTGACACAGCTGTCAAACAGGACAATAATATCTCACAAGAATGAGAAACAATGTACATGTCAGTGTTTTGTGAAACAGTAGTTCTTAGTTTCTGTATTTTGCAAGTCAACAGAATGAGCTCCTTTTGTCCTCTATGTAGCAGTCTTAAAATGCTTAAAGTCAACCATCATATGTCATTTGAGTACTTTTTTCTCCTGGTTAAATGCCTCCCTGTTCATTTCACTATTAACCATAGGACATTGTTTCAAGCCCTTTAATAGCCATGCTTTCTTTCTTTGCACATGATTCAAATATAGTGTGCACACCTTGATATAACACTGCAGATACTGTGTAAGCAGCATGGAGTAGAGTTCTCTTTCTTCCCTTTTTTAAGATTCGATGTCTCTTTTAATGTAGTTAGTGATGAAGGCAGGCATTGCAAGAAACCTCATCATAGTGTTGATTTATATTGATCTTATAGTTGAATAAAACCCTTAAGTATTGCGCCATTATGTCGCTTTTCATTTCAAAGATGTTCTACTGCCTTTTGTCTGAAAAAATGCCTGATTTTCACATCAACAGGAAAAGCAACAAATGATCAGGAGAATTGGGGGCTTACCCAGTGAGCGAAGCTTTGGCAAAAATGTAAAGCCGTGCAGCACAGTAAGTCTTTGCTATCCATTGTTCCTACTGAACCACTCAACTCCTTTTTATTTTTGTCATCATTTTAATTTTCAATTATACAAATGCAACATTGATACAATATCATTTTACAATAATTAAGGAATATAGGTAAGGAAAATGCTCTCTGTGGCTTTCCATCCTTAACAGAACTCATATCCTACTTATATGTGAACAAAAGGATGTATGTAGTTTTGTTTTGTAAAGACTCTGGGCATAAGTTATATAATACTAAGTCTATTTTTGCTCACCTATGTGTTTTAACTCCTTTTTATTAAGAATATTTGTTATATGGATACAGACAGTCCATTTAATCAATATTCTCTTAAAAACTGTTTAAATTTGGTCTGATTTTTTTCTATTATAAATGATACTCTAGTGAACCCTCTGAATCTACTCTTTGTACACCTCCGTAATTTTCTTTCATATTTAAATGTGTAATGGCTGAGCCTCCTTAATGGATTTTTTTTCTTAATTTTAAGAGACATAGAAACATATTTTTCTCTGAAAAGCTAAAACCAATCTCCAATCTCTCCAAAAATAAGTGGAAAGTATCTGCTTCCCTACAACTTCAATAATATAAGATTTGATGTCTCTTTTGAAACACAGCTAATGACTGAGATAGCCTTTCAGGCACCTTCATCATACTGTTAATTTTTACTATTTATTTTCTTTCCAATTTTATGAAAAAAATTGTCTCATAATTTTAATTTACATTACTGTGATGAGCAGTGAGTTTAAGCATCTCTTCAAACATGCATTGGCCATTGGCTGATTTGCTCCTGTTCATAGCAAGACCCTGATAAACTTTGATTATTGAAGGGTGATTTGATCTCCACCTTACCATCAGGGTGTTTGTAGTCCCTGGTGCTGTGCCTTGCATATAGATGCTTGAGTAAGACTGGAGCCATAATCTTTCCCTTCCTCTTACTCTCCATGTCTAATTTACCGACAAATTCTGTCAGTTCCACCCTCGAAATGTATCCCAATTTATGGTGTTTATTATTTCTCTCCCTTTACTAACAATTTAGTTTCCACATGAACAGAGGCTCTGTTTCTTGTGTTCATGTACTTATTCTTAGTAATTAGTAATCTACACTCTTAGAAATATTTCTTCTGTCTTTTGATATTTTTTCATTACTTCTGTCATCCTAAATTAGGAGAGAGGAAGCTTTTGGGTCTAAATTTTGAACACGATATAGGACAAAAAAATTAATGGATTCTCTCTTCTTTGCCTTCCAGAAAAAAGTAGTCCTCAATTTTTTTTCTGAGCCATAATATCCATGGAGGACCACCGTTTTATATGGGGCACTGTGGCAGGCAAAATAATGACCCCATATTTCAAAGGGGGGCAACCCATATCCTAATCCACAGTATGTGGGTTGTTAACTTTGCATGGCATAGGTGTTGCAGGAAAGGGGTCCTAATTCAGACTCCAAAAGAGGGTTCTTGGATCTTATGCAAGAAAGAATTCAGGGTGAGTCCATAGAGTAAAATGAAAGTAAGTTTATTAGGAAAATAAAGGAATAAAAAAATGGCACAGCAGAACTGAGGGCTGCTAGTTGCCCATTTTTATGGTTATTTCTTGATGATATGCTAAACAAGGGGTGGATTATTCATGTCCCCCCTTTTTTAGACCACATAGGGTAATTTCCTAAGGTTGCCATGGCATTTGCAAACTGTCATAGCGCTGATGGGAGTGTAGCAGTGAGGATGACCAGAGGTTACTCTTGTCACCATCTTGGTTTTGGTGGGTTTTAGCTGGCTTCTTTGCAACCTGTTTTATCAGCAAGGTCTTATGACCTGTATCTTGTGCCGACCTCCTATCTCATCCTGTGACTGAGAATGCCTTAACCGTCTGGGGATGCAGCCCAGTAGGTCTCAGCCTTATTTTACCCAGCTCCTATTCAAGATGGAGTTGTTCTGGTTTAAACGCTTCTAATACAGGGACTTTGGAGATGTGAGGAAGTTAAGGATCTTGAGATAGGGAGCTAATCCTGGGTTATTCATATGGGTTCAATGTGATCACAGAGGGACCTTATAAGAGGGAGGCAAGGGGGTCAGAGTCAAAAAAGAAGATGTGATGACAGAAGTAGATGTCAGAATGACACCAGGAAGGGGCCATGAGCCAGTGAATGGAGGTGGCCTCTAGAAGCTGGAAAGAGAAGAAACAGATTCTCCCCTAGAGATTCCAGAAGAAACAAAGCCTTGCAGAAAAATTTTAGAATTCTGGTCTCCAGAGCAGTAACATGAAACCAATACATTTCTGGTAATTTGTTACTATAGAAATTGGAAATGCATATGGGTGCACACTCACTCATGAAGAGATCACATTCCAGTCTGCAGTACAGATAAGAGAGCCTGAGGGTTTTATAAAATCTACTATTTATTTTTAATACTCTGACTCCGTTGTTGCCTGTTGATCCTCACCAAACTTACAACAAAGAGGCTGAGAACTGATATTTTGGAGGTGCTGGATAACTCTGCCAACTTGTTAGGTAACAATGTATGTATTATTCAGGGCTCTCCAGAGAAACAAACCCACAAACCGAGAGACAGCGAGCAAGAGAGAGAGTAAACACACACACACACACACACACACACACACAGAGAGAGAGAGAGAAGAGAGAGAGAGAAAGGGAGAGAGAGAGAGAGAGAGAGAGAGAAATAAAGATTTTATTCTAAGGAATTGGCTCACAGGATTGTAGAGGTGCAAGTTAAAAATCTCCAGGAGAAGGAGTGAGCAGGCTAGAGACCAGGGAAGAGTTGAAGTCTGAGGACACAGGCAGTGTGATGGAAGAATTCCTTGTTATTCAGGGGAGGGTAGTCTTTGTTCTATTCAGGCCTTCAACTGATTGGATGAGGCCCACCATTGTGCCTCCATTATGGAGGGCAATCTGCCTTACTCAGAGTCCACTGATATGAATGTGAATCTCATCCAAAAAAACGCCTTCAAAGAAACATCCAGGATAATGTTTGACCAAACATCTGGGCAATGTGGCCCAGCCAAGTCGACATAAAATTAACCATCATGGTGTACTACATTGAAAGACATGACTGCAGGCTGTTAAATGACAGAAATTGTCATAAGTGATTCATATTACGCTGACTTTTCCTCCGACTTGCCAAGTCAATGTCTAATTACCTGTAAAGTCCTCTTCCCACAGGTATTAAACTTCTTTTGATCAGACAAAATTCAAATTAATTATTTTAAATGAAATTTATATTAGAAGAATGCCAGCATTGTACTGAGAACGAAGAGAATAACTGAACAATTGGGCATGCCCCAAGAAATTTAGTAACAAGACTCTGCACTCTGGAGCCCTAATATTAACGTGAGGACACTTTGGTGACTTTCAATCTCTCTATCTTTGATAGATGCAAGAGGAGGCCAAGGACTCCCTGCAAAACCTCAACTTCAAGCCTAAAACAGCCTGAAGGTTGAAAAACTGGACTGCTGGCTCCAGATGAAGTCCACCCTTTCCCAACTGATTCTTTCTGAATAATGCCCACCTGCACACTCAGAGGATGGGGTGGGGCCATGCAAGCTCCCTGCCGGGAACCCAGCCTCTTGAGCTCCTATGTGGTGGGGCAGGAGCCAGTTCACAGGCTTCCCTCTCACTCTGCTGAGAGTTTTTCTCTTTTCCTTTTTTTTGCCCAATAAATTCCATTTTTCTCACCCTTCTGTGTGTCCATGAGCCTAATCTTTTCTGATTGTGTGACAAGAACCTGTATTTTCCTACAACATCTTTACTCAAAAATTCGAATTAGATTACTTTTAAATGTAACTTAAGCAAACCTTATTTTCTCTGCCTGGATCAGATGTCTACCACAAATAATAGATTTCAATAAGAAAAGGCAGGTCCATATAGCAGAGACATAGCTACAGATAGCCTGAACCTGGATGTCAGGGCTGTTCTACTAAAGCAGAGGTTGCTGTGAGATGCGGAGCCTGCCTACGTGGGAACTGCGCTACATCAGATAGATTTGGCACCTGCCAGGGTCTTGCACAGATGCTTGCCAAGATTCTTTGTAATAACCTGGGAAGATGTGTTCTGCCAGGTACCACCGTGTCAATGATAAACTGGAACATCTGAGTTGTCAAAGCTGAATGATGTTCCATTGCAACACATGAGAAAAATGCCTCTCTCTGCATTTACAGTTTCACTTTCTATACATAGTCTCTAAGAGTTGCTGCTTCTACCCTAATACCTTACATGCTGTACTAGTTTTTCCTTAGAGCTCCTTCCCCTGCCCTCCTTCTATGAGACTATTACACGAGGCTAAAATGTGGGGCCAGAAGATAAATCTAATGAGAGCTGTTGCTAGTGGTTTCAAAATAATTTCTTTTCTCAAGTGACTAAATATATATTTTTTAATTTTGCTGGCTCCAGAGTGGCATGCCTGACACAGTCCTCTCTTATTATAACTTCTACTCAAGCAGACACTATGTCTCTTATGCAAATAGACTCCTGAGAGGATTGATCCAACATCCAGTAGACATGCTCAGACATGTCTGCACCCTAGTGACAGACAATGTAGATGTCCCTTGCCCCACCCAATAGTACTTTACCTTTGTACCATGCTTCCTATTTTACAAAACAGTCCATATGTGCAATCACATTTGATTCTCAGCGTGCGTCTCACAGGGAGGCAGGCAGGATCGATGGTTTTACTTCTATTTTACAGATTCAAAAACTACGCCTTATTCAAGTTCACATAGCTGGCAAGTGGATTAGATTAGGCTCTTTTAACTTCAAACCCACTGCTCTTTCTATTCCAGCCTACTATATCCTTTAAAGGGGGGGATGGATTAATTTACTTCCACTTGAGAAATTATCAGGACAATGAGCTACAAGATGACAAACAATGAGGGTTTGCTATTTATTATGTGTGAAGCAGGGCATTTTACCCACTGAACAGCAGGATCTCAATTGTTGCTCATTCCAATACCATGGTAACTATATATTTTTCTTTTTAAAAACAATATTAAATAATACATTGTGCCTTTGTGTACATATAAGTGCAGTATGGTATTTTGGCAGTTTATTGCAAAGTATCAAGGCTTCCCGATGACATGCTAAGGAATCAAATTGAAAACACTGGGTCTATGTTTTCGCATAAAAATCAAGAGCCAAGAACTCTCAAGTGGATACCAATGTAGTATAGTAAGGCAACCACGTTATGCACCTAGATATTCCCATATGTACAGTGACACATGATTACATGAAATTGACAATATTGTCTTTTTAAAATTATCAGCAATAGATCTGGAGTAATAGAAAACTTCTGAAAATATTCCACAGTCCGTCAGTTGTTGGTCCTGTGTCTCTCTCCCACCGATCATTTGATTTTTCATTTCAAAGCATTCACAGAGAAGGCATGACATTTTTTCATTTCTTTTCCATCTGTAGGGCATGTTGGAGTCCTTTATTAGATTTTATTAATATTTCAGAGTCCCAGGATTGGGATGATTGTTGAATTGGTGAAGGCGACAATATCAGGCAATTTGCATTCTATTTGAGTCTCATTATCAACTCAAGTTGGTCAGGCTGTCAGCCATGGAGAAGGGCGTTGCCTGGCATTTAGGAATTATTCAATGAATAAAATTTTTAAAAGCCATAAAAATCATATACTTTTCAAATTCACATACACAGACTTGTGTTAACTTGTCATATTTCAGCATCACATTAAAACTATCTTCTGTAATTATGTCTAATTTAAACTGTAACAATTCTGTAGATATCTTATATCTTAAAGCCCTTTTCTTGGAATAAAAATTCTTACACATCTCCACATTGTCTATCTTAATTCTAGCCATGATTGAGAAGTCTTCCTATTAATTCATACATCTTTATTTTTTAAAGTCTTTTTGTCGTGCATTCTGCACATCTCTCTATGCAGAGTTAGCTCTTTTGAGTTATTAAATTCAATAATAGTACTTATAACAACAATAGCAGCAGCAACAGCACTTACATTTAGATAGTGCTTTCTATATACTAGAAATTGTGCTCAACTATATGCATTATTTCATTTCATACATATAGCAACCTTATGAGTTAGGCTATAACTCATTTTGCCCCCAGATTTGAAGAATCAGGCTCAGAGAAGTTACCTAATTAGCCCATGGTTATGCAGCTAGTGATTTGAACTGAAATTTGAACCCAAGCAATGACTGGATTTTGCATCATTTATATTGAACATGCATCTGTCAAAGTTGTAGTCTTTAAACTCATATCATTAGTATACTTATAGGAGTTATTTAACGTAGCACAAAATCCAACATCTAGATTTCCCACTATTCACCATCTTGAATAGTGGGAATAGACAATTGCCTAGAGGAGAGTGCTACTTTTTCTCTGCAGCCTATCCCAGAAGGAATAGACAATTGTTCAGCATGAGAACGGTGTTTTTTCTTTGCCGCACAATTGGTCATTCCCGTGGGCTAATATAATGCAAACCCAACCCATTTTCCAGAAAATAAAGAAGATTTAAATACAAGATTTGCAGAGGATGAGCTATCTTCAGTTAAGAAGAAAAAACAGCATGCAAGTAGTACAACATCAAGTTTCAAGCCTGACACAACCCAGCTGTGTGACTCTGAACAAATCTATGCTCCTTGCAGAGTTGCAGAGTTCCATTCATAAAATAAAGATGGCCTATATATCTCCCAAAGCCCCTTCCAGCTGTGTGAGTCTCTGCTACTATCTGGGTCAATGGTGCCAGTTACCCTTTGGCATGGTTTGGGTCTGTGTCCCCGTCCACATCACCTGTCAAGTTGTAATACCTAACGTTGGAAGTGGGGCCTGGTGGGAGGCGATTGGATCATGGAGGTGGTCCTTCATGAAAGACTCAGCACCAACCCCTCAGTGCTGTTGATGAGTGTTAACAAGTAATTGAGTTATGATGAGAGCTGATTGTTTAAAAGAGTACAGCCCCTTCCGCTCTCTTTCTTCCTTCTGTTCCAGCCATGTAAAGTACTGGCCTCCCCTTTGCCTTCCACTATGATTCTAAGTTTTCTGAAGCCTCCTCAGAAGCAGAGCAGAGGCTGCCATTGCTTCCCGTACAGCCTGAGGAACCATGAGCCAATTAAACCTATTTTCTTTATAAATTACCCAGTCTCAGATATTTCTTTATAACAGGGTGAGAATGAACTAATACACCCATGTATGGGGGTCTTTTCGGTAAAGATAGTGTAGATCTTCCACTTCTCAATGTCCCATGTTTTTACTTATCTGGTACACAAGAGCAGTGGCCCTTAGGGGACATCTGGCAAAGTCTTGAGACATTTTGGGTAGTAAGGACTACAGTGATGCTACCAACGTCTAGTGGGCAGAGTCCAGGGATGTGGCTATACATCCTATGTTGGATAAGACAGGTCCCCACAATGAAGAATTCTCCAACCCAAGATGTCAGTAATGTTGCTACTGAGGAACTCTGCACTAGATTAGAGTTTAATGTCACTGTGCATTGCAAAATGCGAATCTCATGTTTCCACATCTCATCAATGATAAATAACACTAATGCCTCTTTTTCTTCTTACTCTGCTTTTCTATTCCTAGAATGGTGGCAATAATGCTATACAATTTGATATCTCTATTGCCATTGCTAATGTGTATTCCTTCATCATATAATTATCATTAAGAATAAAAGTGCAGAGAATGACAAGTCTATTGTTGCCAATTTTAGTTTTCCTCCTAATAGTTAAAAGAGATAGCTATAACTCCCTTTGCACCTGCTGTTTTCTGAACCCTGAATATATTTTCTTTTGAAATGTGAATTTGTGGTCAAAAACTACTGAGGCTTAAACATTTCCCAGCCAGAGAATTTAACTCTGCAAGATATCACAATGATGGTGATCTTAATGATATCCTATTTTACCTGCACAAAAATGTGAATCGTGAGTATAAAATGTCATTAAAATAAAATAACTTACACTTTGCAAAGTGTCTCTTCATTTTAAATTGGCAGCTAAAGGCCCACTGTGACTATGAGATGAAGTAAATTCTTCCAATATGAAACAAATTTCAAACAAGGTTTGCTTTTTGTAGAATACACACAGATAAAATGAAAGCTGTTCATCAATGTTAATGAAAACAAGTCCTTGGTAGAGAGAAGAAGCAAATGCCTGAAACGTCAACCATGATGTTTACAGGGGAACAGCACATTGAAAAGAAGTCATAATCAAGTAGCTGGGCCAAACAATGTTGCCTTGTGCTTTAAAATTTGAATCATAATCTGTAATGTAAATATGTCTCAGAGACTTCTGTGAAATCTTAAGTTGTAGATGTAAAGTATTACAACCTTCCTCAACTCCACAGAACTGCTCATCAGTTAGTCCTATGCTAGTCACTCCTCTTTGTTTTGTTATGAATGACTGTAGTCAGGCTGTTTAAAGTAACTGATGCATTCAGTTGTCAGTTATAAATGTCTGTGGAGAGTATCACAAATGAACCACAATTTGATTTAAATCTTTTTTCTTCTTAAGCAAAATGGCAGGATTTGAAAGAATACAAAAAGTACATCTGTTATCGTGACAAAATCTGGAGAAACAATGAAGAGAAAGATTAGAAGGCAAAAACACCTGCAAATAGAAGTTAAAGACCTTTTAGTAAAGAGAGAATGAGACAAATGCCCTTCTGGTAATTTACTCTGTGAAAACAAATCAACTGGGAGTTAAATAAGAAAGCTGCCAGAGCTTGAATCGAGTATTCAGGTTTGTGATATTGATTTCTTCATAGGCATCTTTTGTAAAATACACTTAAAAATTTGGCTACTTCCTGTATCTTGCAGTGAAGCTATAATTCATCTTTATTTAAATGCAGCTAAATGAAATGGAGTTTTCCTCAACACCCCTTTATTCACTTAAATATCAGCAAATATTGACTGCCTACTGTGTGCCCAGCAAGACCTAGCAGTTAGTGCAGCATAGGCATACTACTTATCTGTTGTTGCATAGCAACTGGCCCCCAAACTTAGTGGCTTAGATAAAACACTCATTGTCCCCAACAGATTCTGTGTGTCAAGAATTCAGGAGCAGCCTAGTAGGGTAGTTTTGGCTCCGGGCCTCTTACGACATTGTGCTCAAAATATCAACCAGGGCTGTAGCATCTGAAGCCTTGAGAGTGGCTGGAGAATCAGTTTCCAAGATGTTCACTCACATGCTGCTGGTTGCTGGCAGGAATCCTCAGTTCTTCCCCATGGGGGCCACTTCATGAGTTGCTTGAGTGTCTTCATGACAAGGTGGCTGGCTTTACCCAGAGTGAGCAACCCAAAACAGAGGTAGACAATTTCTCTTATGACCTAGCGTTAGAAGTCATGCATTGTAATTTCCATACTATCACATTGGTTAGAGGTCAGCCTTAAAGGACTGACTACCCCAGAACATGAAGAGCAGAAGGAGAGGATCACTGGGCCATTTGGAGCCTGGCTCCCATGACGGCTAAGATCTCATTGATATTTACAATGAATTGGTTTTTAGGATTAATACTAGAGATAAAGTTCCTTCTTTTATTGACCTTATATTCTGGTGAAGAAGACAGAAAATAAACTAATATAAATAATAAAATAATAAATTGTTACATACAAATATTTGCCATTAAAAGGGAAACCATGATAAAGACTCACTGGGTGGTGAAACTGGGATAGTTTTTATAAGATCATTAAGCAAATTCCTCCTCAAGAGACGTTTAAAACTGAGAGTTCAGTGACAAGAAGGATTGAAGCATTTGATGCTCTCTGGAAATGTACTAAGGCAAACAGAGAGCTTGTGCTAAAGCCTTAAATGGACACAAGCCTGGCTTGTTTGAGACATAGGAAGGAGGCCAGTGTGGTTGGAGGGCTGTGTAAAGGGAAAGCTTGGAATAAGACAAATCTCCTAGGAATTTCAATTTCATTCTAAGAGTGATAGGGAAAAAAAGGGAAATAATTTGTTTCAAGCAAGAAAGCATTTACCAAGGTTAATGGATACGTAGTTGCTTGAATGGGTGTGCATTTTTGGATGTGTATATGGGTGTGTGGGTGTGACTCCTGGAAGAGAGAATTGATGGCTGTTTTTGGAACCATGGACAGAGGTTCTTCAGCCAGCCCTAAGCAGTATTGACCAGGTCTCAGGGACAATGTCCTGACTCTCAGTGCTGCCTTACGAGGTTGCGTTCATGTAAAACACAGAACGAGCCTGAAGGAAACCATTTTACTTCCTCCATGGCTCCCTCAACCAGGCAGAGTTTTCGAGATATGCTGATAAATGACATATTTCCATAAAATCAGTACATATGCCTATATCATTCTTTAGTTTATCAGTCGCCATGATGTCTCTCTTCCACCTTTCTTCACCCTACACTCTCTTTAAAAGGACAGATGATATACACGTCTTCTGTATATTTTAAGCAACAAATACAGTTACAACACATAATACAATGCTTGGGAAACCTTTTTTGAATGAATAAATAAATGCCTGATTAAAGAAATGCATAGTAGAGCAGAGCAACTTTTCCAAAGAAGAATAAGGTATCGTTACGCAAAATGGCAGAAATGTAGACCACAATGAAACAAAAGTAACATCAACTGTTTAAAATATGAGAAACAATTAAATCTACAATATCTACACTGCATGTGCAATCTCTAAGAAACAAGTTATAAATGTGAATCCAAGAATATTCCTAAATATAAAATATAGATATCAAAATGGACTGCTGTGGTAAGCAGCCAAGATATACTCTGTCCTTGAGGCTACAGGCTTTCCAAATCTTAGAATATTTTGTAAAAGAAATTATTATTCAAGATGCAAATACTTACATAAATTTGTTGCTTCTAGAAATAGCTTTAGTTGCTCTCTTAGGCTTTACGGTTGGATGCTACATTTGTATTTTGCCAGTGAAGTTTATAATTACTGACTTTCTTCTGTACTGCCATCCCTTTTCAGTTTCTTTTTCCTTCCATTGTTTTACCTCCTCTCCCAAATGACACTTTTCTTATTGACATTTTCTTCTCTCTGCTTTAAAAATTGAATTAAAAAATACATGTAATAAGAGTTTTTTTTCAAAACACTCTTGCCTCTTTGGAGAAAATGTATAATGGAACCATAACAAATGCATAAAATAAAGGAACATGATGCAGTTGCACATTAGATCTGTTAGTATCATTTATTTTAGATTTTAACCATCAAAGCGATAAAGGTCATTGAAGGGTGGATGTGAAGACAATTAAGGTCAAGGGGATTTACTGGAGATTATTAGCTTTCCTTAAAATGGCACCAGACCTAATATTGAACTAGGATTGCGGAGTGGCAAGAGCCACTTTTAATTATTAAAAGTAATTTCACATGTGGTTTAACAGTCATAATTGGGATTTTGAGTTATGCTTTCCTTGGTAACAACCCATTTCCTTTGTTTGAATAAACCTCAGACATGGAGAGATGAAATATGCTTTCCTTTAATAAGTGATACTTCAAGAAATTACATTTCACCGGCAGGCATTCGGCATTTCTGTGGCTGAAATGGAATTTCAGTAAAATACAATAGAGATTAGGCCCCATCATTAATACATCTCTCTCACCAGTTTCTGGGGCTTCAGTAAACAAAAGCTATTGGCAAAAAGTCAGCATGTTCTTCACAGAAGTACTCACAAAGACCTAGTGAAAAGGGATGCATGGCTGTTATCTCTGGGGGGCTCAGTGGGTATTAGGGAAGATGGCATTCATTGCCTAACAGCAGAAGCAGATGTGTAGCAGCTCCTAGCAGTTTTTAGGAAAAGAAGGAGGCATATCAGACTAAGGCACTATATACCTCTTAAAGAAAAACTGCCACCACCACTACAACAAATAGAATTGCTCCCACTACTGCATCTATCTGGAATGAGCCTCTTTTCTCTATGTGCCTGGTAAGATTCTACTTAGCCATCAAGGCCCATTTCAAACGTTTCCTCATGTGAAGCCTTTGCTGATTTACCATGAGCTGAATTTCGTCCTCTTCTAGGTTCTTACAGCGATTTACTTCATACTCCAGCGATGCTGCCAATTGACATTGACTCATTTACTCACTTGTACATCAGCAAATACTTAACTATGGATCAGGGACTGAACTAAGCATTTCTGTGCTGACCCTTACAACAGTCCTAGGCAAGAAGCTACTAGCTTTTCTCCCATTGAATAGATGAGACAACAGAGGCTTAAAGAACTCAGCCAGTCAGTATAATCCCTGACTGATTATAATGAGTATAAAGTATAATGAGTATAATGGTCGCAATTTAAAGTCACATTGGTCTGATATCAAAACCTTAACTTTTTTTTTCTTTTAACAAGGCAGAGTCTCACTCTGTCACTCAGACTGAAGTGCAATGGCACAAGAAGATGGGACCACAGGTGTGCACCATCCTGCCTGCTAATGTTTTTGTTTTTTTAGAAACAAGTTCTCCCTATGTTGCCCAAGCTGGTCTCGAACATCTGGGCTCAAGTGATTCTCCCACCTCAGTCTCTCAAAGTGCTGACATTACAGGTGTGAGGCCTCCCAAACCTAAACTCTTAACCAATAGGCTATATCTTCTTAACATGGTATTAGATGATTTTAAATTATATTACATTTATTATATTTTGTATATATTATATCCATGTATATTTATATATGTATATAGATAATATGATATACTATATCAGATAATATGATATAACATAAATAATACATTATACAGTGCGCTGGATCTGGCTTGTACTGCTTACAATAAGCAATCTCTTTCCAACTCCACATTTAGTGACATTATGTTGGTAACCTGATATTGATCATAGTGGGAGTATTTATTTACACCATGACGATAGCAAATGAGACAAATACTGCTTTTTTTTCCTAAGGAGCTGGATATAAAACATTTACCTACACTGCTGATTGTATTATACTATTTTAGAGTTGCTTATGTAACAGCCCATATCCAATAATTTGCCCCTCAGGTGAAGGGGTTGTATTTTAATGTCACCTTTTTTCGAGCTGGTGTGTAGCACAGTGCCTCACACATAGTGGGTACTTGGTAAATTATCCTTGCACAAATGAGTGAATATTTTCCAGTGACTTTCACAGCTTTTACAACATTTACTTCCATTAGTCTAACAGGTTCAATGTTTGTAATATCACTACAGTGGGTTGCCAAGGAATAAAACGCCTGAAGTCTGAAGTGCAGTTCTTTGCTTCTCAGCTGAATTGATTCACAGAGAAGAAACACACCGCATATCAAGTACCTCACTCTTATATTTACCTGCAAGGTCTGGAAGGATGCTAGCTCTATAGGGAACTAAATGAAGTCTATAGCCCTCAAAACAAAGTGATTACAAATGCACAAGTAAAATGCAAACATTTGAGTTACGTATGCATGTTTGCCTTTATTTTATCTTACTTCTTTTGTTTTCTTTCTTTCTTTCCCCTTGTCCTGTTCTCTGTCTTAGCCTGGCTTTGAAGTGATCTAGCCATTAAAATCCTAGGTTCCTGTTGTAAAGTAGAATCCTTTCCAAAATATAAAAACAAAATCTCACTCACTTCTTACAAATGATGATGAGGATGGTAATCATGATGATCGTGATGATAATTGAGTCCAGAAACTTACTGTTTTCCTACAATTTCTAGATAAAAAAATTCCAGAAATAATTTTTATCCAAGATTAACACAGACTTTAGAATCTGAAAGACTGTTTACACATCCCAGCTCTGCACTGACCAAGTATGTGATCTTGGGACTCAGTTTTCTTTTCTGTAAAAAGATACAATGCACTTACCTCAAAGAGAGAAATTAAACAATGTATTGAAAGCACTCTGCATGATTTTTTCAGCCTCTGGCCTACTCCTTTTAAGTTAATATATTTTGAAAGAATGATGGAAGGGGAAACAACAAATAGCTCCTGAAGGTTTGAACATTTATCCACTTTCTTCCAGATCTGTCCAGTAGACATTTCTGTGACAGCAGGAATGTTACTGATCTTCGCTGGACAATGTGGTAGCCTTGTGTCACATGTGACTACTGAGTACTTGAAATGTGGCTAGGGTAACTGAGGAACTCAATTTTTAATTTTACATGAACGTAATTCATTTACATTGAGTGTTCACACCTGGCTTATGACTAGCATGTTAAAGCGCAGCTGCATTATCAACTATAGAAAACTAGATTATATAAATTTTGGACACAGAACAAAATTTTCAGAAAGTATTGCCCACTTTTGGAATAACAAAATAAATAATCTTCTCCTAGAGAAGAAGCCCTTCTCTTGGTTCTTTGATCCTGATCTCACTCACGATATTGGAACTGCTTGTGGAGTTTCATGCTTTGAGGAGAAAACCTTGTGTACTGTGATGATAGCCATCCTTTAAAGACCCCACCTGCCTGCCTGGATGTATTTAAGCTCCAAGGATTTCTGAGAAGCACTGGGATCACCAATTAGGACAGGGTGAAGGTGAATGGAGTTAGAAGGTCATGGGTGGCCAGTTCTGCAGTCATCAAGCCTTTTTCAGAGGTCAAATGTGGCTGTGGTTAAAGGTTGACACAGTTATGCTGTGTTTGCTGCTGATAAAATGACCCAGAAACCCCACCAGCTTCATTTGCTTTTAAGTATTCTATGAGGGGATATCATAAATTTATGTTTAGATAGTGCCCTAATGAGGAGAAAAGATGCTACATGCATTTAAAATATGTTGTAATTCAAAGAAGTGTTTTAAACATTGATTTTTGAAAACATTTAAACCATTAAATCATAAAGCATAGGACCCTTAGAAATAATTTAACTCAACCCATTTGTTTTCGAGTTGAAAAGGCTGAGAAGTGACCAGCTCAGGGACAAAAGATAGCAGCATAACTAAGAGTAAAAGCCTGGTTTGCTGGTTCTCAGTGCTGGCTCTGCTAGACCCCATAGAAGTTGCAAATAGAAAAAGGGGAGGGGGGAAAAGATCCATTTTGAAAGACTGCTGGAATGTCAAAACACTTGTAGGCTAAGAAAAGAGTTATATGTAAATGTATTATAATGAGATACTTTGGAAAAGGGGGGTAACATTTATGTATTTTCCTTAATTTTGCCCCCCAGTCCTGTCTCCCCAGGCACTCGTGGCTTCTGATTCGCTCAAAAGACATTAATACCCTCTTAGAGTAAATTAGGCAGGTTGGAAAATGACATTAACTCTTTACACTCCCCAGAGAGGTCATTTGGTAAATCCTTGCATCAGAGCACTAATTTTCTTCCTGGTGTGTGGCGAATGCCCTGGCGGAAAAGGCACCTGTCAGTGTGAGGGTGAGGTCAGGGACCACATTATTGGGACTTTATTGCTAAGGAGATGAGCCGAAGCCTGCTACATGTAAATCAAAGAGTTAACAATGGGCCAGGTGGCCACTCTGGCTTTGTCATCTCAGGGTCACAACTGGACAGGCTACAATCTGTCATCTTTCAGACACTTGGTTTTGGCAGCCACTGTATTTTGCAAACCATCATTTGTGTTTCTGTAAAGCCCGCAACATGGTATTACACAGCCTGAAATCACTCAATTTTCAGGACTCATTCTACTCCTACCATCTAATCTTCTCTGGGATTAAGAAGCCAAGGTGAGCTTGGAAATCTCTGCGGTCATCATTTCTTCAAGTTTTTTCAATTTCCTATTTTGAGTCAGACACAATTGTGGACTCCGAACTTGACATTCACTCCCAGATTGGAAACTCAAAGAACCTCATTTCGTTCTTACAGAAGAATTGCTTCAATATTGTAAGAGAATATAAAACTCCCCCACTGTACCACACTTCTACACACACACATATTTGCCCTTTTCTAAAAAAACAAACAAAGAAACAAAAAAACTACACCAAGACTATAGTAATACTAGAAAAGATGAAACTAACAAGAGACTATCTGAATTCCTAGAGCACTGTTTAGAGAAAATAAGAATTTACAATCCTGTGAGGGGAATTATGTGCATAGAAAACTAAAGTCAAGAAATTGACTCAGTCAGTATTAACCTTCTGGAATCTTTATTTTCCCAGTGGCTGCAGGTTGACATGGAGGGACTCTGTGAGGCCCAGGCTTCTAGGCATTCAAGTTCATTAGGCATGCATCTCATTTTGGCAGGAAGCCATCCTCTTTAGGCAAAACCCAGTCACAGATAAACGGAGGGCAATCATCTCTCAACTAATAAATGCAAGGCTGAAGAGACGGGGCTGCCAATCTCGCAGAACTGGGAATAAAAGGGGCGGAGGGAGAGAGTGTGCTTTGGGTCCTTATGATCCCTCTGTAGAATACAGCCGAAGCAGGAAAGAAACCCTGGCCACCTCTCAGAGGCTAGATCTAAACTGCCCATACAAACAGTAACCATGCCATAAGTTTGGACTGAGTGGTGTATTTGTCCCTGGGAGCTTAGGGCGTCTTGCAAACCCTTTGTTTCTCTTATACTCCCCATAGCATCCTTGGGAAAGGGAATGAGGCCAAGAGTGCACTACAAATTGAGTCACTGAGGCACAGAAAGACCCAGGGATGAAATCAAGGGTGAGTAATCTCGGGAGGTGTGCAAGTACAGTAAAACAGGACATGAGGGACCCTTCATCATATTTCAGACACAGCCACTGAGAAAATGCTGGAACAATGCAGTTGGTGTGCTTCAGAATAATACACAAAGAATACTTCACTGGTGCCAGGAAGCAACAGAAAGAAATGGAGCAGGAGGGTGTCTAATCACAGGGAGCAAAGAAGCCTATTATCAAGAGTACCTAGAAAACTAGCTATTTTGGGTGGAATCTCCCAATTTATGTATATTGGCCATTCATTCAGGAGTTTCAAAAGACAGGGCAAGCCAATCCAAACATGTTTTAGGACGACCAGCAAGCCACCTGTTTGTGACCTTTGGCTTAGGCAATTAAATACACCAGCTAGTAGTTCAAACCTCTCCTTTATCCTGCCTGAGTAGACACAGCAAGACTCAGCCCCCTTTCACCATGTTAAGCATCTGGTTCATTTTGAGTTTGTATGCTTGGTTAAAATGCTACCACAGCAAGGTAAACTGAGCCCCAGAAGCCAGGATGGGAAAAAACGATGCCTTGGAGAGGATGCTCTGGTGAAACGGGACCCAGACACCTCTTCAGAAAGTCAATAACAAACGTCTGTTCATACCTTCCTAATAAGGAGTCCAATTATCTAATATTTTGAACTTCTATCTCACTAACCCTCTCCACAAACTCCACATCTAATCTTCCCCCATGACCCACGTTTCTGCCATCCCTGTAAATCCCAGCATATCTGCCTGTCAAACAGCTGTCTGGGTATTCACATCTTTGCTTATATCCCAGAGAGGCTAATCTTTGGAATTTTTATAACCCACGGGGATGAGAGAAGGGTAAGCCGACTGATGAAATCCCTTCTGCGTTAATGGGTGATAAAGTAAAATCCAATCCCCAGGGACCATGATTCGGAAAGCCTCTGGTGCTACTTTTATGTGGGTCATATATCTTAATAGATTTTCAAGCAATTTAGAAGACAAGACAAAGCAGCTAGTAAGGGCCAATTTACAAAGCCTCAGTTCCAGAGCAACACACCCTGTGGCCTCTAACAAAAGCCCAATTGGCAAAACAAGCCTTTTTCCCCTAGGAGCATACTCGCACGTCTCAGAAATTCCACTTTACCAAACACTCATTTGATCTACTTTATAAAAACATAGCTATCTTACATATTCTCTGGCCCACTACATGTGTTCAGTATTCATTTTCCTTCCTAGCTATTTCAAAATGGCCACTCTGCACCTGGTAAATGCTAGCTGCTTTCTGTGTGCCTGTTGTAAGGGGAAGAAATCAAACTGTAGATCGTCTAAATGAACTAGCAACCCCTGGACCTCTTTCTTTTTATTAGTGATTCCATGGCAACACTTTCACCAATTTAGAGGTAAAAAAGTGATCACTGATCCTGCATGTGATAATAATTTATCTCAGCAATTTTACATTATGCAAAGCTAAGGCAAGCTGTGCTTTGAGGTGTGCCAGTGGGGTTCGGCTGCAAAAAAAAATCAAGACAGGGTAATCTACAGGGGGAGAAAATGAGTCTTGTTCTGCAAGGTGCCTTCTGCTCTGAAACACATTCAGGAAAATTAATCAGTCCCTAACATCACCGTGTTACTCTCTCTCATTACAAATCAGAGTAAACAATTACTGCATTAAGCACTCTCTGAGAGGTTCTGAAAGGCCACTGGTGCTTACTGCTGATTCTCATAAATGATCTTCAAGGAGCTCCCCTGGGGATGGGAGATCTGCAGAGGTCTAGAGAGAGGTTAGCAAGGAATGCATCTCATTACCATGGTGATGAGACGCAACATGCAGCCTGCCTATAGAACGAATCACCATGATTTTGGACTGTGGTTTTCTGATTTTCTGAAAGAGTGTTAAATTTTTATCGATGGCAGGCTCCCTGGGCACAATGTATTTCTCTTATGAGCACTCTTCAGAAATGGGTGGATCCTCTAAGCTGAATCCTGGCTCCAACACTTAAAACTCTATAAGCTTGGAGAAGGGGTTGAAATAGTAATCATCTATATTTCATAGGGTTTTCGTGGGGATCTACAGAGATTAAAGCCTTTTGAATAGTGCCTGCCCTGGAGTTAGCATTCAATGGTGGTCATTAGTTTATTCTTTTACTTAATTATTTTGACAAGGTCTACCTTCCCCATTAACTGGAAACTCTCAGGGAAAACAAGGGTACTGCTTCTATCTTTTGCACTGCAATACTCATGACACCTTGCAAAGTGACAAGTATATAGTAAGAACTTGGTTAATATTTTGTCAATGAATAAGCAAATGAATGCAGGGTGGCTTTTTTTCTTTGAAAAGGGGAGCCCATCTGTCTGCTTTACCTACAGAGACTGAGGTAGAAACATGAGACTAGGATGGCCCGACTCTAGAAATTCCAGCATTCCCCTTGATTCAACCAAAAGGCAGAATTGGAGACAAGAGACAAAATATGAGAATGTCAATGTGTTGTGACATGCTTGAGATGAGTATGTTTGGAGAGACTGAATGCAATGATAAAAGGGAGAGAATTATTGGAGAAGAAGCTCTGCCCATGTCTATAAGGCCTGTAAGGCCTGTCTACCTCTCTCCTGGGGCTTCCTTTATTTTTTTAAGGCAGAGTCTCAGTCCATCACCCATGCTGGAGTGCAATGGTGTGATCAGAGCTCACTGCAGGCTCAAGTTCCCAGGCTCAAGCAATCCTCCTACCTCAGCCTCCTGAATAGGCTGGACTACAGGCACAGGTAAAAATTTTATTTATTACTTCTGTGGCTATAGCACACAGCTTGCGCTCAGACAAGCACCTCTGCACAGAGATACTTGTGCAGATACCCCACTGTATTAAGTGAACATCCTTATCTCACCCACACATAGTTCTGTTTACTTTTGGATTAAAGGGTCTCTTGCATCATTCTGTGAATGTGAGTGAAAGTATAGGGTGGAATGTCCCCACGTTGGCACATTAATGTGCCATCAGAGGTTTTGAGTTTCTAATCTGACTTATACTTTATCCTCAAACAGCACATTTTGGCCTTAGAAAGCCATCGCTGCTTTAACTCGAAGTGCTTTTACTGGAGTATGTAACTAAGGATGCCTAGGGCAGTTCTCAGCCGATAAAAGTTCTTCCACTTCTCAGTGGAACACAAGAGGGATCAAACAATTACTCAAGTCATGCTCTCACAACAGAGAGAGTCATGGGTAGATTTATTTTTTCTGACCAAATGTTGTATCAAAGTCTGTATTAATTCAATTACATGGTTTGTTCATCAGCGGTGTTTACTGAGTGTCTATGTACCCTGCAGGGTCTCATTGAAAAAGAAGCCCATAGTCAACCAATAAGCTCCAAATCCCTTAGCTTGCCATACAATGACATCAATTACCTGACCTCTGCTTCTCATTTTAGTTTTAGCTCCACACACTGCCACCTCCAGAACCCAGTCTTCTAATCACTGGAACTAAATCTGCAACCTGAGTATGCCATGGCTGCTTCAGGATTGGAGGACTTGAAAATTCCTTTTTGTTCCTCCTTGCTTCACTGTTGAAAGAACTATTCCTAACTAAACATTATATTAGAGCATCACTTCTCCAAAAAGCCTTCCTGACTTCCACTCCTCACGCTTTCTCTAATGTGCATGTGAGAACATACATCTATAAAACACTTATTAGTAGGCAGAAAAATGGCCCCCAAGAGATGTCCATGTTCTAACCTTGGGGGTATGATCTTAGAAGGCTCTTAGAAGATGTGATTCAATTATAAATCAGGATGAAGAGATTATCCTGGATTGTCCAATGTAATCACAAGTGTTCTCAAAAGTAGAAGAGGAAGGCAGGAGAGTTAGAGTCAGAAAAGGTGTGAGATGGAAGTAGAGGTTGCAGAGAGGACATTACTGGCTTTGCAGAAGGAAAGGGGCCACAAGCTATGGAATACAGGCAAAATCTAGAGATTGAAAAAGGCAAGGGAACAGATTTTCTGTAGAGCCGTGAGAAAAAATGCAATCTTCTTGAAAATTTGAATTTAACCCATTGAAACCCACCTTGAACTTCTGTCCTCCAGAAGGGTAAATTAATAAATATGTATTATTTTAAGCCATTAAGTATAGGGTAATTTGTTACATCAGCAATAGGATTACTAATACATACCTATATTATTTTATTATTTTCCCACATTTTCTCCTTCCATAGGCTGAACATTTCTTGAAGGAGTTAAAAATAGCCATCCTATATCAAAAGCCATGTCTATATCACAAGCCATGTCTGGCCCTGTGCTAAGTACATGGAAACTGATATTCAAAACAACCCTATGGCGTTAGATTACAAAGCAGTTGGCATTGGGGTTCAGTGCCTGGTATTGGGCCGTAGGCTGCCTGGGTTCTCAACTCCACCACATACCAGCTCTATGACCTCCAGCAAGTTATCTTTTCTCTGCCTCACTTCCTTCATCTACAAAATGGGAATAATAATGATGGCTACCTTATAGGTATACAGTGAGAATGAGTTGCATAATTCATATAAAGAGATCAAAATTGATGTCTGGCATATACTAAGCATTATGTTAAGTGTTTACCTCCAGATATTGCCACCCTTATTTTAAAGGTGATAAAACTAAAGCTCAGAGGCCTTAATGCACTTGCCCTGTAGAGTAGATATGGGAACCAAATTAGGCCCATACATTCTGCTTCAATGTGAGAGAAACACATTTTTTTTTTTTTGCTGAATGCACCAATGAATTTATAAAGCTCACTATCTAATAGGAGAAATAAAACCTACAATAATATGAAAGAATAAAGCATTGAGATGTCTGAATATTATCAGGAGATGTAAAAATAAAGCAGATACATTTTGATGGAAATGAGAGAGACAATCACTCATATAATTTGGTACTAGGCAGTGGCCATATCACATTAGAAAATGATGTATGGCAATGCCAGGAAGGTTTTATGCTGAGAAGATGATTGACTTGGAAGGATTAGTATAAATTAAAATAGTTCTTCACCCTGGAAACATGCTGAAGAGTCAAAAATCAGAACCACATGTAACAGCTTTTTCACAGACTTCCCAGAAGGACATGGGTCTCTGTGAAATATTTCTCTATAGCAGACGTTCTCAAATGTGGGTGTATCCCATTGCTGGGCCCCTACCTCCATTAGTTGCCGATTCAGTAAGGTTGGGGTCTGGCTGGATCACTTGCATGTTCTAATAAGTTTGCAGGTGATACTGATTTTGCTGGTCTGGAGACTGCACTTAGAGGCCCACTGATCTATAGTAATTATTTCCCCACTGCTTTCGTCCAAGATTACTTCCCAAAGACTCACAAAAGGAATTTAATTGTCTCGATCTAACATTTCATTCAGGGAATTGAACGGGAAGTTCTGTCTGGGTATTCGTAACAGCATGAAACCCGTTAAAAGTACAAGACTCTGAGAGAACAAATCGGCTTTATCTGAGAAAGCTTTTAAAGGACTTGCAATACGAAGGAAATAATTCTGAGGCAATAGCTATGTAAGTCAAGCACTGGGTTCTCAATATAGAGGAGCAGGGAAACATTTCATTCTATGTAGAGAGTGTTTCCTGGCTTAATTGAATCTCTTAGGCCTGACTCCCAACACTACCACCATCAATTTGTCCACATTTGAGGATGGGATTTGGGGGACATAACAGAGAAATCTTTAAAAGGCTTTTGGCTGGTTTTCTGCATTAGCACCTTTGCAAGGAAACATTCTCAAGTGGCACAGCATTGCAGCCTGGGTAGAGCAGGCTAATCAACCGAAAAAGTCTCATTCCTAACACAGATGCAAACTCACACCTCTCCTGGTTCACTGGATTCGGTGGGATTCTCTCTTATGAGTATTAACATTCAATACAAGCAGTATACCAGGAGGATGAAGAAGGAGAGAGGAATGGACATTTTTGCAATGTTATCTTTCATTTCCTTTGTAAATTTCTCGTTTAGCTAAGAAATAAGTTTCAGCTCACATTTGGAACTGAATGAATTAAGGGTTTAAATTAAGATAATGAAATATTTAAACACGTCTATGTAAGAAGAGATAGCGAAAAGTAAATTTCTGACCAAAATTGAGGAGAGTCATTGGATGAGAACAGGGGAAAGCAATGCATGTACACTCCTGCAAAAATCATTTAGTCATCTTTAAAATTAATCACTCATCAAAATGCAAAAAAATACTATGTTTGAAGATGTGGGTCATAAAAAGATATAGGTATAAGTACAGGGATATAAATGACCTTCGCAACCAGTATAAATAACTATACTGTGAATGCTCAATGTTTGGCATGAAATTCTTATTTTAAAAGTTAAGAACAAAAATTTAATCTGCCCTTTAATCGGAAAACTTTAAATATTTAATTTTGGAAAAACAACTTCTGATGTATATTAGTCTGTTCTCACACTGCTATAAAGAAATACCTGAGACTGGGTAATTTATAAAGAAAAGAGGTTTAATTGGCTCATGGTTCTGCAGACTATACAGGAAGCATAGCACCTTCTGCTTCTGGAGAGGCCTTAGGAAGCTTCCAATCATGGCAGAAAGCAAAGGAGGAGCCAGATGTCCCACATGGTGGGAGCAGAAGCGAGAGAGAAGGATACCACAAGAGCTCGCGCACTATCATGAGAACAGTAGCAGGGATGGTGCTAACCCATTCATGAGAAATTGCCCCCATGACCCAACCCCCAACAAGGCCTCACCTCCAACACAGGGGATTACAATTCCACATGAGATTTGGTGGGGACACAGATCCAAACCACCTTACTATGATTGCTTTCACCAACGAATTCTTAAGAGGAAGGTGAAAGCAGTTGTAATCCAGTGCAAACCATGAAAGCAACATAAGCAAGACTGACTCATACATTCAGTTTAATTGTCAGCAGCTCGGGTCCACAATGAGTTGTTACCCATTTGTAGAGATAAACTGGTATTCGTGACATAATTTCTCTCTCACTTTACAAGAATGGAGATTTATTTCACACTCAGTAAAAACCAGGCATATTGCCATGAAGATGTTCTTGTCAATAAATATGCCAGATCTTCTAACCGTGTTGATTCATCTTTGTATTCCTCATAGCATCTTGTACAGAAGGATGCTGTTTTTACTAGCTTTGTCTTTAGGCAAGTTAGGTTTATCTTATTAGTTACAGATAACTATCTTTAGCATATGTCAGACACTCTTCTAAGTGTTTTAAAATATTAACCTACTTTATCTTAATAACTCGATGAGGCAGGCATGATTTTTATTCCCAAGTTATGAATGGGCAAACTAAGGTACGAAGAGATGAATGAACTTGCCCAAGGTCAAGAAATTGGCAAGTGGGAAATACAGGATTCATTACCGTGAAGCTATGGACACTTTTCTATGTCACAATGTAGAAAAAAGGAGTACTTACTTTATGGAATTGTAAAGATTCAGTAAGTTAATTTTGTAAATCCTTTGGACCAGAACATGACCTATAGCAACTGATGAAAATTTGTTAGCTAGTAGTAGTGGTACTAAATAAGCACTTAATGAAAGCATCTTCAATGTGAAGCTTTGACTTTACAATAGCGAATTAAATCATGACAAACATAACAAAAGAAGTAATTACATACCGTTTAGAAGACTATCCCTCTTAGCAAATAAATTATTCCAGTTCTTTATAGTCATCTGAGTAATTACTTCTAATAAATTTCCCATATGGATGGTATTGAGTAGTACATACACATAAAAAATTATTGATTGAAAAGTTTTTAAGCATGTCTTTCTACTCAATTTGGAGTACTCAATTTGGAGTCCAGACTGTTGAGATCTAAGGTTGAAAACAATATCTGAGGTTGTCAAATGGAGTTTGGATTGAGCTCTGAGTGAGATGGCAGGTTGCAAGTGGAAGCAAAAGCAATTAGTTACCCATCATGTGGTTATTGATCTTTCTGTCCTTTTCGTTATCAGGACTTCAAAGGCGAGATAAAAGCAGTTAATTCAATACATCACAACTTGTTGTAAATATTAATAACCTTTAGAACATAGGGGCTGTATTTTTCTATGAGACACAGACAGAAACTAGCTCTGTTCCCTGAAAAAGGAAAGTAATTGTCAAATTCAGATGACGCTTTTCAAGGATGGGTAATTTAAAAAAGAAATTAGAAGAATAAAATGTCACTTGAAATAATTGAAGTGAATTAAAAATAACAATAAATATCCCACCTCTGCCACCCAATTTAAAAAGGCCTTTTGACCTTCGTTTTCTATTGAGGTTTGAGAACAGATAAATATTTCAATCAAAGGGCTCATATCAGATTTCCAAATTCTATACCATGCATCTTTGGGATGAGTATTTGAACACAATCAGATGCTTACAGGAATTCCTAATGAGGAAAGATAAAATGGCTTTTTAAAAGACCATAAATCCCATAAGCCTGATTTTTCAATTACTCGTGAAGTTGCCATCTCTAAGTTGAATATGTTTTTGAGGTATTCTATGAATTAGAAGCACTTATGTATTCTGCTTAGGCAATCATTCTATTATATCATATACATGAAAGTTTGACAAACTATGGCCTATGCCTGTTTTTGTAAATAAATCTTCATTGGTACTTCACATTGATGTAAAGCTTTACATTGATGTACTGTCCGAAGATAGTGTGGCCTACAAAGTCCAAAGTATTTACTATCTAGCTCTTTGCAAAAAATTTACCAACTCCTGATATATATTATAGGGATTGTTAAAACAAAACAATTTGTAAGTGGAGAGATATTTTGTAGACATTAGCATAGCTTGTAAAAGTTGTATATCTTTTGAATAGAACTATCATAATTTTTATTTAGAAAAACATTTTTTTAATTACAACTAATCAGTAAATTCAAAAACTTTTTCTTCCCCTCTAGTAATGTCACCACAAGACTCATCCTTAATCTCACTCTTCTTACTCTCAATTTGTACTCCATCAGTATGTCCTGCCACGGCTCCTTTCATTACTTTAAATACGTGTCTTTAATATATTAACTCCACTGCTGCAATCCTACTGCAAGTCGTCATTATTTCTGGCTAGACTATACCAATAGCATCTGCTGTGGACTGAATGTGTCCCCTGCAAAATTCGTAGTTGAAACCCTCATCCTCAGATGACAGTACTATGGGGCCTTTAGGAGGTGATTGAGCCATGAGTATGGAGTCTTCAGGAATGGAATTAGCGCCCTCATAAGAAGGGACACAAGAGAGATGATCTTTTTCTCTGCCATGTAAGGACACAACAAGAAGGTAGCTGTCTGCAAACCAAGAGGAGACCCCTCACCAGAACCCAATCATGCTAGCACCCTGATCTTGGACTGCCAACCTTAAGAATGGTAAGAAATGCATTTCTGTTGTTTAAGCTGTTCAGTCTGTGGTGTTCTGTTACAGCAGTCTGGACTGACTGACAGCATCTTAACTAATGTTTTTGCTTCTGTTCTTGTCCCTGCTCCAGACAATTCACTGTCTAATAGCCAACAAGATCTTTTTAAAACTCAACTCCAATTATGTATATCCTCTGATTAAAAGCTTCCTCTACCTTTCCATTTCACTTGGAGCAGAATCCAAACTCCGCACCAAGGGCTGAGATGGTCCGGCTCCCTTCTGCCTCTGTGTCTCTGCCCACTTGCTTACTAGGATCCAGCCATACTAATTTTCTTTCTATTCCTCCAACAGGTAAACCTGAATCTGCTGGAGGGCATTTCCATTTGTTCTCTCTCCCTGAAGTAATGTGATCCTAGATCACTGCCTGATCTACTCCTTATCTCTCAGATCTCACCTCAAACATAATCTCATCAAAAAGTTTTCTCTAAATCCCCTATCTAATGCACTCGGCTTCATCCTCACAATCCCTCTCAAACATATCATTTGGTTAATTTCCTTGAGAATTTATCATTATCAGAAATCCAATAATTTAATTATATCTTATTTTTGTTCTCTTTCTTACTGTATTTAAGGCCTATGAGAGCACAGAGCATGGCTATTTGCTTTACTGCTATAGTCACATATAGCAGTCTTGCATATAGTAGGTGCTCAGTTTATGTTTGTTGAATACATACTATTTTGAGGGGCAGAGGAAGTTATGGTTAAATGAACAAAAGGATGTATATATTTTTACTTATCTAAAATCCAAGAATTACATATATAGTGCAAAGGGCAAAGGAGAAAAAAGTTTAATAAAATCCATAGGAGATTGGAGGATGAGAAATGTGTGGGTTGGTATAGGCAGAAAAGACCTTCTGGAGGAGAAATAAGACTTGAGGGAAATTGGAAGGAAGGAATGGGTGAACATTAAGACATGGATTCGTACTTGCAAAAACGGAAAAAAGAAAGGGAAGAACTCCGGGAGACTAACCAGATATGAAATTTGCAGAAATAACAGAAACTTTATTGACCATAAGATCAAAATTAATGAGGTGGCTGAAAGTGCATTGCACAGAAAGAAAGATTATTTCAAATCAAATTACTTAAGTACTGCAAAAAATCCTGTACCGGAATCAAAAGATGAGATGAAGAAATTTTCTATCACCCATGTCATAATACAGGCATTTGCAGATGATTGGTGAATGCTCCTGCAGTGGAAAAATCTGGGGACTGGATCTTTTCCTAGGCATCCCTTCCTCTTCTCTCCTTCTAACTTTCTCCTTCCGCCACACAACAATTCCATGATTGCATAAGTAGTTTTCCAAGGGCTCTTACCTTTTCAAGGAGACAGATTGCCTGATATCTGGTCATTTTCTCCTTAATTTAGGAGTTCACACTCTGAAATAGAGTGGCTAAATTCTCCAGGGTACAATAAATGTTTTATTCTCGAAACTTGTAAAGCCATTCTAATGTGTTTCACACTGTGTAACCACTTCCCATTTCTATGATGCTCCAGTCTTTTTGCTCTTCCTGGCACATTACCAGCATTTCTTGAATCTCTACAGCTACTGCTGTTTTCTCATTTGAAAATGCTTTCCCTTATTTTCTCTGTCCTCTCCACACCTTTTCCTACTCATATCCAAACCTATCATCATTTTAGAAAGTGCAAATGCTACTTCCTTTCTGAAAGCTTTTCAAATCTTTTTTATCCTACTTCCTTTAGTAATAGTTTATAAGTGCTCGCTGCGGATCAGAAACTGGGCAGAAGTGTAATGTCTGCTAATATGTTATTGCATTTCATCCTGGTAAACACTTAAGCATCATGATCTCACTTTACAGATAGAAAATTGAAGCTGAGAGAGGTTCTATAATTTGCCCAATATCAAATAGTTCTAAGTGTAAGAATCTAGGCTTTTATTCAAGTCTGTTTGATTCTAAAGTCTGTGTTCCAATGACTGCACTCAAAGAACAAGTTAGTTGATGACTTTCCCTTCCTTAGAGGAAGAAACCGTGTCTAATCATTGATTCCACATCCACTTGCATAATGATGGTACCTGTCCAGTCTTCTGATTGTTTTTTGCTGATGCCATATTCATCATTAAATCTAAGCTGGGCACAGTGGCTCATGCCTGTAATGCCAGCACGTAGCGAGGCCAAGGCAGGCGGATCATTTTAGGTCAGGAGTCCGAGACCCACCTGGCCAACATGGCGAAACCTAGTCTCTACTAAAGATACAAAAATTAGCCGGCACGGTGGCATGCGCCTGTAATCCCAGCTATTTGGGAAGCTGAGGCAGGAGAATTGTTTGAACCAGAAGACAGAGGTTGCAGTGACCTGAGATGGTGCCACTGCACTCCAGCGTGGGTGACAGAGTGAAACTCTGTACCCGCGTCCCCCCACACACACAAAAAGGAATAAATTCATACTAGTATTTTATGTATTGTGTGTGTGTCTCTCTCTCTCTTTTTTTTTTTTTTTTTTTTTTTTTTGAGATGGAGTCTCCCTCTGTCACCCAGGCTGGAGTGCAGTGGTGCAATTTCAGTTCACTGCAACCTCTGTCTCTCAGGTTCAAGCAATTCTCCTGCCTCAGCCTCCCAAGTAGCTGGGACTATAGGCACCCACCACCATGCCCGGCTAAGTTTTGTATTTTTAGTAGAGATGGGACTTCACCATGTTGGACAGGCTAGTCTCGAACTTCCGACCTCAAGTGATCCACCTGCCTCAGTCTCCCAAAGTGCTGAGATTCGAGGCATGAGCCACCATGCCTGGCCTGTACTGTGTATCTCATTCATCTTTATAATCTTCCTAATGCCTAGAACAATAGAATGAATGCTTGTTGTTTTTCTAATAGAAAACATGAAATGATCAAATAAAAATTTACATGATAGTTTCTAATAATTTAATATTTCGTTCCTCAAAGTTGACCGTGAGGTTTTTGAGAGCAGGGACAAGATTTCAATCCGTTCATTCATTCATCCTTTATTCCTTAAACATTCATCACAGAAGATGCTCTTAGCATTTGCCAGAAATGATACAAGGTACTAGGCAGTAAAGAATAAAACAGATCTAGTTTTCGGAGTGAAGAAATTACAACTTGTGTTCAAATCTTTGTTCCTCTCTGTTATGTGATGCAGGGCATCAGCATACAGTGATTGACAGTAATAAATTGAAAGGAACTGACTATATATTAGGGCGCAATGGAAGGAAAATGCAATACCAGAGCACAGGAAATAACTTGAAATACAACATGAAACCTACTTTTTAAAGTTACCAGACTGAAGTTAGTTAATTGAGGAAATAGCTTAGATGAGAGAATCATAAATTAAATTATGCAAAGTTTTTACATATCATTTTTAGGTAGGAACATGTAGAAAGGGCAATACCACATCTCTACAGATAGTTGCCAATGTAACACACTGCTTCTTCCTGATGGTGTACCAGCCACCCCTAGAGGTCTATGGTCTGACCAATGGCGCCAATGAGAAAATCACACAATCACATATCTGTACATTTCCAAAGGTAGTTTTAGATATCATCAGGAGGAGAATTTCAACAAGTTAGACCAGGTTGAACTGCGGCAGACAAAATCTAGTTTCTATGAAGTATTTCTCTGTCATGAGACAAAAGTGACCTGAAGACCAGGCTTACCTATTCTCATCTAGTCACACATGAGTTTCTGGTTGTCTGAGCAGAAGAGGTAGATTATAATAATGACTCTACAGACGATCTCTGTTGTGGTTCTTCCTTTCAATAGTGAGGCTATGAATGAATATTTAGAAGATAGAAATGTTCTTACAGAAATCAGTCTCTTTTCCTCCAACTCTCAAAAGTGAACTAAACCTTCAGTATTTATTCCTACAATTGAACATGCTTCATATATATTCTGATAAATTCACGGTGATAAATATCACAGCTTAGGCTGAAAACCAGTGAAAATGGTACCATGCTGACTCTAAGCACATGTTTCTTTGAGTTATTCAAAAGAGGGAATGATTCATTTATTTTTCAGCTGATGAACGCTGTTGACAAGTATAAAATGCTCCTACCAAGAGCTGCCTTGGGATACAGGGAAATCATACAGGGGAAAGCCCTGTCCAGGATTGCTATTGTTTTAAAATCACAATTCCATGAATCAAGCCTTAGTTTTTAGTTATTAAAAATGGCCTTTGTTGTATAATCCAAATAAATCAGCATCGTATGTCTCCTTCTCCCTGGAGGTTCTCCAGTTGGAGAGAATTACATCAGACTCCATGTTCTGAAAGCCTGCTTCCCAGGTTTTGTCCTGTAAGATAGAAAGTGGCACTATCTTTTTGTATGTCCTATGATGCAAAGTCCTTTTAAAAATAACAATGTATTGCAAGTTGGGTGTCACAAAATGTCTTTACATGATCCAATGTACTTGTCATTTTCTCAATGCCCATATTATCAATATGGCAATAAAAGTCACATGTATGTCTCAGTGAGAAATGATAATGTAACATTGCCCTATTCCTGGAAGGCTGTCGGGGCCTGCCACAAGATCTGGTTGGTTGGTCATCTCTGCAGACATGAGCTATGGGAAGAAAGCCGCAGGCAATGCAATTTTACAGGGAACATATGGGCAGAAATTTACCAGATCCTTGGGGAGGGGCTTCTGTTACCCAGATGGTTGCCAAAATTCCTGATCCCTGCACTCTGGAAATGAGAGTAGGAGAGTTAATCAGATTAGTATGAATGATGATGTGGGAACTTCAATGTGTGCCACCTCCCTGGTTCACAGACCTCTAATGAATGCCTTCATTATGGTCTACCTGGTTCAGAAGCTCATGAGGTCATGGAGTGTCAGCCTAGAACCACATCATAGTCCATTCATTTGTGAGTGGATAATGAACGTGCACAGATCTTACTGAGCAATGTCCAATAAAATAATAATGAAAGTGGCCTCTTCCTTTAAGTGCCTTGAATGATCATTTTTTAAGTGCTAGGTAATAATTATGGACAAGTATAATTTGTGCCTATAAGTAAAATCCTACAGAATCAGAACCAAGTTCACAATTTTGTAAAAATCATAAAAGAAATGAATGAAAGAAAAAATAACCTGAGTAATTAAAATTTATTAAAAATTCACTAGTAATCACCTTGCCCATATTGTTTACCACTATGACCCCAGGATTTAGCTCAATATTTGCTACATAAGTAGCAATTAGTAACTTTTGGAAGAAAGAGAAATTTAATCTCCCTGGGCATTAAGTCATCATTTTTCATTTGGAATTATAAATTAGCATTCTTTACTAAATTGTAAATATTTTTCCTTTGCACAAAGTCAGAAATTGGACAGTATTCCAATTCTCTGTAATGTATAAAAAAGCATATTAAACTGAGAACCAGGAATCTTGGTTACACTCCCTGTCTTATGCTACTACTTACCTGTGTGATCTCAAGCAACAAGTTACAATAGAAAGATCTTGATAGAGCATCAGCCAAACTCAAAAAGCCACCTTCATTCTTCCCTGCCATTCGCCATTCTGACGTTTAGTGTCCTTACCTATAAGGTGGCAATATGTCATGCCTGCATCAAAGAGTTGATGTCAGAATTAAATAATGTAGGTTTTTTTCCATTTACTGAGCACGGTTTCTGGAACACAGTAGTATGAGAGAACTTGTGTAGAACACTCACTATATTCTAGTCACTCTTGTTAGTGCATTACATGCATTATCTCAGTCTTCATAACAACCTTATGAGCTAGGTAATGCTATTACCTCCACTTTACAAATGGAAGAAATGAGGACCTGAAAGGTTAAGCAATTTTCCCAGGGTTATACAGCTAATAAATAACAATAGAGGATTCAAACCCAAGCAGACTATCTTCATAGTCTGTGTTCTTCTCTGTTTACTAATAATAGATGCTCACTAACAGTTAGGGTTTCTCCTAACACTGATAGTCTATCTGTGGTATGCTATCCCTACAAATCTTTTAATAAATACATGCATTCTCTTATTATCTATAATCATCTCTTATTATCTGTAATATGAAAGAGCCTGAAAGAAGTAAGGTCTTATCAGTCTTGGTATTATTAAAATGTGGACTTAGGCCAGGAGTGGTGGCTCACGCCTATATCTCAGCACTTTGGGAGGCCGAGGCGGGTGGATCGGGAGGTCAGGAGAAGACCATCCTGGCCAATATGGTGAAATACCATCTCTACTAAAAATACAAAAATTAGCTGGGCATACTGGCATGTGCCTGTAATCCCAGCTACTCGGGAGGCTGAGGCAGGAGAATCGCTTGAATCTGGGAGTCAGAGGATGTGGTGAGCCGAGATTGCGCCACTGCACTCCAGCCTGGCAACAGAGTGAGACTCCATCACCCCCGCAAAAAAAAATGTGGGTTTAAAAGTATTCAGAAAAAAATTTCTTTGCGTGCTCTCTTCCTGCAGAACTTCCACGCTGGAAGAATCCAGTAGACAATGCATGCATAGCAGTTTGAAAATGTACTTGTCATGGCAGAGACAGCCCTTGGACAGACAGGACACAAACCTACAGTGATTTTCAGTTCTGGCCTTACTGTCTTGTCCTGGGATTTTAGGGACCATATTTTAAGCTGAGCCTTACGCCACAGCTAAATTTAAGACTTTTGCTTTAGACTGGGGCTAAGTGCCAACTGAGTAGCTGCTTCAGCAATAGAGACACCTGTCTCCTAGCAAACCAAATGAGATCACCAACTCATTTACATAAATCAGCAGATGGGGATGAGTTGCATTTGTTATCAATTTTGGCTAGATGTCAACCAATTACATGCACTTAAAATGTTTGGTCTTTCATTGCCAATCTTCTAAGCTATGCACTTCCCTAATGCGATTTTTATAAACATGCTTTTTAAGATCCAAAATATTAATGGTATTTGTTTTACTTTTTTTTTCTGACTGGCTAATGCATTTGTCGGAACTAATAATTCAATCTCTTTTGCATAAACCTTTCTAATAGTCAAAAATTTCATCTCTGATTTCTAAACATTGTGACTCCCCCTGCATTATGTACTTTTTATAAACAGATCATAGCTTAATATGTCATATAATCACATAATATAATTATATTAAAACATTTTTCCCCATTTTAAGCCTAGTGCCACACACAGTGCCTGACACATAATCAATACTCAATGAAGATTTACAGAATTACTGAGTGAATGAATTAAAGAATGAATACTTGAACTACCAGCATTTGATTATCAGCTTTCACAGCTGTAATGGAAAGAAGTCAGAATTTCAGAAACCTCGACAGGGTCTCTATAGGGAATTGCAATCAGTCATCCACCCCCAATCAATATTTATACAGTGTGAACTCTTCTGGGCTGGGTAGGAGCAGCATCTTTTTTCATCTTTCTATCACAGGTTGTTAAGCAGGGCCACGTACATGGCAGAATCTCAATAAATGCTTTTAAGTGACCACAAAAGAGTAAGATTTGACCTTTCTCTTTAAAGGATACATAATCTATATTTTGGTGGCAACAAGACTGCCTCCAATATCTTGTAGGTTGCTGCCTACTACTCCTACAGGTGAAAATGAATATAAATATCATATTTGCTGAAGTTTCTTTATTTTTTTAATTTTCTAGGTTCAATTCCCTTTCAAAATGAGAAGACACTCATTACGTGGGTCTCCTCATGACTTTACTCTAAGACAGTGATTCAGAAAGAAGAATCACCACTCCCCATCATGAGTTACTATGTAGGAGATAAAGCAATTCATCTTTTGTCATTAAATTGTGACATTTGCCTGCATGTGGCCTGAGTTCCAATAAGCTTGGCTTTGTCTAATTCCCTGGGTCATTAGCCATGTAATCATAATTATTTTCAGCTGTGCAGATTGGTGTTATTTTTCTCATCCATTTTTCTCCTCCCCTTCTTCATCACAGTTCTGCATTGATGGAAACCATGAGAGCACCATCTGGTACAACCTGTGCATGGGGCCAGTGAAATGAACGGCAGCCACTGGAGGATGCCCATATTTCATTAGCTGCACTCGTGCTGCCTTCAGTCTCATGCCATTTCCAGTCCCTCCAGATTTCACTTCAGGGAGTTCAAGGGCTTCTGAAGGCTGCCTAAATACAGACTTCCTGTCCACAACACTGGTGACATCTGAAAAACTGTCTCCGCTGAGGGTGATACAATTGACATCAAGGTATGAATAACTGTATTTGCAGAGAATTAACATTTCCTGCATGTCTACAAACTGATCTCCATGAATCACAGTGAAATTGGTACATTAATCCCCTTTGGTATTCTTAGTAGTTCGATATTGTGCCACAAGGAGGAAATGGCATTGAAATGGAAGCCAGGAGATGTGATGTGGTTTCTAGTTTAGAATCTCTGCTGTGCAACCTGAGTATGTGACATCTTGCCTTTGAGTTTTTCTCTCTGGGCCTCAATTTCATATTCTATAAAATGTTCCTCAAAGTGTGGTTCATGAACATTTGCCTGAGAAGCACCTGGGAGGCTGATTTTTTAAGACGTATATTCTTGAGTGATTTCTGCTTCCCGGCAATATACAGTAAAGATGCTTTTGCCAATTCCTCCCATAAAGTACAGCTAAAAACAACAGCAAACATGAGAAAACTCTGAGATGTGAAGAGAAACGCACAGACTGGCTAGATAATTAAGACTCCAGGAATGACATCGGTGAGTTCCCTGGATTCTCTTTTTTGCCTCATGTCTTGGAGCTGAAGAAGGTGGCAACCTGAAAATGCCAATTAGAAACAAAAATGGCCCCAGCAAAAGTTTATTCACTGTAGCCAAAGGACCAGGAAACGGGCAGCCTGTCAACATACAAAATATTTAGATAATAACCACTCTGCCCCAACTAATACCACAGAACTGTGGTCCCATCCCCAACAGTAAAGGCCACAAGGAAAGTCTAGACTCCCTCCCCCACCTATAACCAGGTGCTTCAACACCTCCACTGGGGTGCTGCCAAAAAAGGCCAAGTAGGATCCAGGACTTTTATTCCCCACTGGCAAGTAATGAAGCTCACGGCGCCATGGTGTCAGTGGAGAACATTTGGGGAACTGGAACTCTTAATTCCACCAAGCAGTAATGGGGAGCCCTACCCCCTTGGGTGTCAACAGAGACCAAGTGGGAAAGCTAGACTTCTACCTCCACTTGGCAGGAATGTGTTAGTATCCTCCTCTTCCTAGACATGCTGGACTTATGTCAGGGAAAGCCAGCTAAAGCAGAAGGTTTAAATAAGATCTAGAGCCTCAAAACATAATATGAAAATGTCCCCGTTTCAATAAAAAAATCACTCATCATACCAAAATCCAGGAAGACCCAAACTGAATGAAAAAAGGAAAATCAATAAATGCCAATATCAAGATGACCAGAGATGTTTAGAATTATCAGATGAAGATTTTTGAAGCTGCCAAGATAAAAAATGCTTCAGAGAGTAATCATGAATGTACGTGAAACAAATGAAAAACAGAAAGCTTCAGTAAAGAAATAAAAGGTATAAAGAAGACCTAAATGGAAATTTTAGAACTGAAGAACAGTATAATGGGAATAAAAACCTCAGTGGGTGGGCGTGGCTACAAAAAGGAGAGCTAGAGGATAAGATCAGGGCCCTGAAAGATGGAACAGTAGAAATTACCAAGTTTAAACAACAGAGAGAAAAGAGACTGAACAAAAGTGAACAGAGTTTCAGGGACCTGTTGGACTACAACAGAAGGTCCAATATTCACGTCGTTGGAGTACTGGAAGGAAACGAGAAATAAGAGCTGAAAAAGTACTCAAGCAAATAAGGGCTGAAAACTTTCAAATTTGGCAAGAGGTATCAACCTACACACCCAAGAAACTGATTTCACACTGAACAGAAAAGGCCCAGAGAAATCCATGCCAAGTTGCAATATAATTAAGCTTCTTAAAACTGAAGACAAAAGAAAAAAATCTTGAAAGCTGCCAGAAAAAAAATGGAATTTTTATCCATAGGCAAAAGAACAATTCGAAGGACAGCAGATTTCTCCTCAGAAACCATGGATGCCAGAAAAAAATGACAAAATAGTTTTCTAGTCTTAAAAAGAAAAGATTTGTCAACCCAGAAACCCACAGCCAGTGAAAACATCCTTCAGGAATGAAGAGGAAATCAAAACATCATTAGATGAAAAACTAAGAGAATTTGTCATCATCACACCTACTTTAAAAGAGTGACTAAAAGATGTTCTCTAAGTAAAATTTTTTAAAAAAGGAAATTCGAAAAATAGAAAAGAAAGAAAAGCATGGTCAGCAAAAATACAAATAAATACATTAGATTTTTCTTCTTCTCTTTGAGTTTTCTAAAGTATGTTTGAAGGCTGAAAGAAAAATTGTGACACTGATGTGGCTCTAGATGTATGTAGAGAAACTATCTAGGATAATTATATCATAAATGGGGGAGGGTAAATGCACACAATGGGAGCTAGAGGATGTGGGCGTTGTATCAGGAAGGCAATAATAGCTTTTCCCAAACACCCTGGAAGATTTCTAATTGTGTCTCGCTGGTAAGAACTCTACCACCATGGGCACCTAGAGGCAAGAGAGTAAATGCTTTTAGTCAGGCACATGGATTTTGTTAAAAATAAAAAAGAGAAGGATAACTATTTGGTGGACAATAAACAGTATCTGATACTAACTCTGAGAGCTGGTGAATGAGTTATATAAGATACTATTTTTAAAATGCTCAGTGCAGAGTCTAGCCCATATTACTATTTATACTAAATAAATGTCTCTTTCCTTCTTTGATGGAAACATATAAGAGCACAATATTGTATTTCAGAGATCCAGAATAGACCTAATTTTTCATTTTCAAGAGTAATTTCAGATCTTTTCAAGAAGATATTAAGGGTTTTGATGTATTTTCTGTCTTATTGCCTGAGTATACGCAGTAAAAGTTGACAGTTAAACAGTAAATAATGGGTAAGATAAAGGGTCATGCGTTCAATAAGTTTAGAAATGTAAACCAATATCCAACATGTATACTGGAACCGCAGAAAGGACAGTGGTGATGCAGGAAGAAAAAAGCCCTGCTATGTCAATTAGAAGCAAAATATAGAGCTAGAGGCTTCCCCTCAATGGAGGAGAGTTTATCCACCCCAATTCCTCTCCCAGGTATACACTGTGGTTTCCTGCGTCCACACTCCTCTACCAAACAATCAACCAAATATTTTATTTCAGGGAATGAAGCAAAACCACAACTCTTCTAAGCCTAATGCTAAAGTACAGAGCCTGGGTGGATTTCTGTGTCTGTTCCCTGTACTTTTCACAATATTTCCTGAACAAATTCCTTTTTATATAAACAGTTGCCAAGCTCAGACTGTGTTTGCATTAGAAGATGCTGAAGAACGTTATGAGCTATATGCTCCCAGGGAACTCTGATTTTGTTATGAGCTTTATGTTCAGGGGACTCTGATTTTGAAGAAATAAAAGCAATAAACAAAAAACTCCATAATGACAAAAATGTGAGCTGAAAACTACTGGATATTTTATTAACAAAAATCCTCCCAATCAGTTAGAGTCTCTGCTCTTCACCAATATTGGTTTAGAATATGCAAAACATCATTTATTTTTATGTTTTTTTGTGAGGATATCAAAATAAAATTCAAAGAATCCTGCTGTATTTGATACGGTTGGATGTCCATCCAGTATTCCATCCCCAGTTGTTATTTTCTTGAGACACCCACGGTATTGTTGAGTTATCTGCCCTTCTCCCACACAGCCAGAAGCTCAGGTCTGAGGTAAGTTTAAGGTAATGCTATGTTCCTCACCAGCTATCCATTCTGGAATGAGCACATGACTCAACACTGGACAGTGAGGCTTAAGGTTTCTGTGAAAATCAATTAGCCTTTTAAAAAGAGAGCCTCTTTTTCTCTTCTTGACATTGCTTTTTAAGCATAGGATCCCTAGAAATGCTTTAACCACCAGGCCCCCAGCCAGAGGATCTAACCAACAGATCAGATTCATTTCTCCATCTTTTGAGAGATGGGAAAAATCCTAAGTTTTTGATGGCGTCGTTGAGTCATTGGCTCCACCAAACTTGAAGCCTACTTGTCCTAATCCTCAACTTCCAGTTACAGGAAATAATTTTTCTTATTTTTTATTTCTCTTTCAGTTGTCATCGGAATCACAAGAATCCTAATTGAAACATCTGGAAAAACCACAATGATAAAAAGTATTTCAGAAAAAAATTTTTAGTAACTGAAAATCAACCAGAAAACCAAAACAAACAAACAACAACAACAACAAAACGTGCTTTAATTTAAACCCCGGCTTAAAAAAGTTATTTCCAAACGGTGTGAGCCTTCTTCTCGTACTGGGAAGCCTGAAAAAGTAAGTATGGTTTACTCTTTATTCATTATATTTTTGCCTAGATCTTGCAGGGCCTTAGAAAATCGTTATAAATGTTGATACAGACCGTCTTAGTGTCTTAGTGACCCTTGAGCTATCAAGGACCAGGCACATAATGTGGCTCTACTGATAACTTGGGTGAACCTTGGAAGATCACTCTCATCCTTTTATTTCCTCTATTAACAGAAAAAAACATAAACCACAGAGTAAAATATTTTTAAAGGTTTATTCTGAACCAATATTGATAGATGCAGGAGGAAGATAAGAAGGAGGGACCCTGGGGAATCTCCTACGAGTCTGCGCACTAGGGTAGCGGGGTTGAGCCAGGAGAAGTTCAGGCTGTTTGCAGCAGGGAGGAGCCCGGCCTCTTCAGTTTCCTGTATGTGGCCTGGAATCAATCTGTGAAATGGGGGCCTGTTAGCAGGAACCCCTCTTGCTCTGCTGAGAGAGATTTTTTTTTCTTTTTTTTCCTTTTTACCCAGTAAATTCCATTCCCCTCACCTTTCAATGTGTCTGTATGCCTAACTTTTCCTGGTCATGTGACAAGAACCCAGTTTTGGCTGAATTAAGAAGCAAAGTTCTATATGAGTGATCAATATGAGTGATCACAGCTCAGGGAAAATACAAAGCCAAGAAACCTTGAGGTAGGCAGAGTCCAGTTTGGTCTTATAAGTTTAAGGGAGGCAAGAGTTACAGGCAAAAACATAAATCAATACATAATGGCTATACGTTAGTTCGGCCTGAATAGGTGGGATATCTTAAAGTGGGGGACTTACAAGTCATAGGTGGATTCAGAGATTCTTTAATTTGCAGTTGATTAAAGGAGCAAAACTTTGTCTAAAAACTTGGAGTTGGCAGAAAGGAATGTTTAAGTTAAGGAAGTAAAATAGTCATAGAGCAAGCCACAATATACAAGATCAAATGACCTGGTAAGAAAAATTGATGGCCTGCAGGCATGACTTAACCCTTGTCTTGCACAGCCTTAGGTCCTGTTTATCATTTGATATCTTATTGTCACAAAGAGTCTATTTTGTCATTCTCATGATATCTATTTTTACATTAATACAGGTCAGTTGTTGTGTCTAAATCCCAAAAGGGAGAAGGTATAATGAGGTGAGTCTGACTTCTTGTATCTTCATGGCCAGGGACTTAGTTTTTCAGTTTTCTCTGGGGTCTCCTCAGCCAAGAAGGGGTCTGCTTAGTCAGCTGGGAGGCTTAGGATTTCATTTTTAGTTTACACCTCATATCTCTTACTTTTATCATTATGTTTTCTGTTTCTCAAAGCTTAAAATCCTAGGATCTTGGTTTCAGGAGTGTTAATTGCATTCCAATTAATCCATACATTTTCAGTTGCAAAGGAGCATAGCAAATGCTGAGTGCAAAAGCATGTGTATATTTTTTGTAAAGAAGCTATTGATTTAAGGAAGGCACATTTGTGTGCCTTCAAATAGCCACACAAAGAGAGAGAGAGGATCGGGGGAGAGGTGTGGAGGGGAGGAAAACATATTTAGTATATACATAATCTCCAGCAAAACAAAGAGAACAGTGAATTATTTAGCATGGCACAATTTGAAATTAAGGAGGCAAATTTTGACTAGAAATGGAGAAAATGCTTCTTGACAGTAAAAATAATTGGGATTGTAAAATCACATCCTGAGATAGACGGAAGGTGCTTTATCTTGCATCATTTGTGAAGGTGGGAACACGCAGAGGAAATATTCTAGAAAGTCCCCATTAGGGAATTAATTTTTCTCCTGACATATTGTTTTAATGTGGCCCAGTGATTCTGCTGTTTCTCTCTTTCTGAAATAAACTGGTAAAGACAGCCAAAGAAAAACATTCGTTGAAAATGTGAAGAAATAAGTATGTGCTGTATAATTATGGTGAATATGCACTATCTTTAACAATAATCCAGAGAATGAGAAAATTCTAGGGGTTATGAGGAAGCACAAATGTCATTCAGCCCTTCATTAGAAAGTTAATAACCGTCTATTATCTTTAGCACCTAATTTATTTATCACCTACCTGTGCCAGCCTCAGTATATTCTTTTTTTAAAATCACACTCCTTCCTGTAAAACAGACTTTATTATCTTATTCCAAAGAGGAGGAAATGGACTCAGAGAGTGGAAATATCGTCTGATGTCACACAGCTGTTGAGTGTATGAGGCATAACATTAATCCAGTTATTGGCGTGGAAACTCAAATGCTTTCTTTCCACCATACCACATTTCTCAGGAGACAAAGATCCTAATGTTCAGAGGTGAGGTGTCTGTGCCCAAGTCTTGAAACTGGTTAATGCCAGGGTGTCAGAGTTGTTCGAACCAGAGTGACTCTATCTTGAATAGGGGCTGGGTAAAATGAGGCTGAGCCCACTGGGCTGCATTCCCAGGAGGTTAGGCATTCTTAGTGACAGAATGAGATAGGCTGTTGGCACAAGATATAGGTCATAAAGACCTTGAGGATAAAACAGTAAAGGAAACATCACAAAATCTGGAAACATCACAAAATGATTCCTTATTGGTGGCAACTGGTAAACCTCTGGCTGAGGAAGCCAGATCAGCTTCCTCCAGATGTTGCAGTGAAGAAGCCCAGCCAAAACTCACCAAAACCAAGACGGTGATGAAAGTGACCTCTGGTCATTCCCACTGCTCATTATACGCTAATTATAATGAATTAGCATGCTAAGAGACACTCCTACCAGCACCATGACAGTTACAGATGCCACGGCAATGTCAGGAAGTTACCTTATATGGTCTAACAGGGAGAGAAACCCTCAGTTCTGGGAATTGACCACCCCTTTCCCTGAAAACTCATGAATAACCTACCCCTTGTTTAGCATATAATCAACAAGTAACTAAGTATCAGCAGCTGAGCAGCCCATGCTGCTGCTCTGCCCTATGGAGTAGTCATTCTTTCATTATTTTACTTTCTTAA
This sequence comes from Homo sapiens, assembly GCF_000001405.40. Taxonomy (NCBI): domain Eukaryota; kingdom Metazoa; phylum Chordata; class Mammalia; order Primates; family Hominidae; genus Homo; species Homo sapiens. The sequence continues at coordinate 74,701 of NC_000003.12, read as the reverse complement.
AAAACTTGCTTTCACATTATTTATGGTCTTGCCCTGAATTCTTTCTTGTGCAAGATCCAAGAACATCCTCTTGGGGTCTGGATCAGGACCCCTTTACTTTAACAAGGGCAGACACTATCCTCAGATGTATGCCCTCCTCCTTAGTCCACTGCTTTTTATATGCACATTATATAAATGCACCACTTCAGTTAATAATCAGGTTCTAACATCAGGGTAATTAGAGGTAGGGCCACGTCACACCTGCTTATCTGGTTGGTGGCAATTAAACTATTTTTGTAAATGTGCCTCCCCCAATATTACCTTTTCTACATGTTGTGTTGTTCCCCTTTCCACTAATATATGTTTATCATGATTAAATCCTTAAAAATATAAAACCTGCCAGGTACAGTAGCATGTGCCTGTAATCCCAGCACTTTGGGAGGCTGAGGCAGGAGGATCCCTTGAGTCCTGGAGTTGGAGACCAGCCTGGGCAACATAGCAAGACCCCGTCTCAAAAAACAAACAAACAAAATATGTAAAACCTTAACAGTTGTTGGAATGGTTTCACCCTTCCTGGCTACTCATTTACAGAAAGATCATATGTGACTTCTTCTCAGATAGAGCTTGATCTATTCACTCTACACTTCAATTTCCTTAATCTGGCTTCTTGCATTTCCCCTCCCCACACCATTCCCCATTCCCTATACATGGACATCTCACGCCCTCTTTCCTACCTTCAAGTTCCTTCTTTTTCACCTACTTGCATGCACTGTGCTTTCTCCTATGTTAAGTATTCGTGCTTCTGCCCAAAGCTTTGTTGCCAAATTCTGTTTTATGTCAAAACTAGTCTGATTTCTTTGAGAAACCAGAATTGCTTCCAGTGATCAATAAAAAGTTAGTCCTTATGCTAGCTTGGTGGGGCAGCTAGCACTATTCTCACAAATTTGAAAAAGACACTGGTAACTTCTGAGTTTAAATGACCTGACTGACAACTTTGACTCACAATCATAAGCTAGGGGACCTAGGACAGGCACTGAGCAGAGCATTTAAGAACAATAAGAATTCAAGAGGAATGACATTCACAATATCTAGTCAAAATGGAAGGATCTCTTCCTTGAGTTCCTTCTTTTCAAACTTTTGCTCTCTCCCTTCCCTTTAAAGACCACATTCAATGATAGGGTTGTCTCTTTGAATTGCAAATGAAACCTGGCTCTCTACAAGTTCGCTCTTGGCAGGCCTTGCAAAAGGACGTTTAAAAGCTGGATTCAAAGTGGCAGAGGGTTTCAAATTCTGGAAACATCACAAAATAGTTCCTTATTGGTGGCAACTGGTAAAACCTCTGGCTGAGGAAGCCAGATCAGCTTCCTCCAGATGGTCCAGTGGAAAATGCCCTCTGAGCTTTCCCATTTAAAATGAAAATGGCACATATTGACAAATGTGGTTAATATAGTTGTTCTGTGACACTGTAATATTCTCTCAGTTTTAATTGGCACCCAACTTGAGGCTCTCAGAGTGAAAACAATGGGGAGGGGGAACTGGAGGGAAACTTTATCTGAGAAAATATGGAAGTTTTGAAATCACAATAGCCCTTTACCACATTTTCATCTACAAGTAATAATACAGATTCCCCCTGGGGCTAAGTGGTAACGCTTCAGGATGAAGAAACACACACACATACAGAGAGAGAGGAGAGAGAGAGAGAAATACACAGCAAAGCTCAACCAGTACTCAGTGTAAGAAATACTACACTGAAGGCTGTCTTCTAAAATGGTTGTTTTGAGGAGGAATGTTCTCTGTCCTGAACTGGAATTCACTGCACAAAAACAATGCTCTCTTCAAAGATTCTGGCACATGTACAGATAGCAGGAGGCATCCAGAAATCCTTGATAAACAGACATGAACTTTTGCACAGTGACTGGAAGCAAAGTGATTTGCAGCATGAATGAAATTTTTTGACCTTAACACAGAAAATCTTCCTTGCCTGATAGTAAACTCCTGAAACAAGAATTCATTACAGACTCTGTGGTCTGATTTTAATGAGGTAGACCATGTATGGTGGTTTGACAGTGGCCAATGTTCAACATTGATTTTTGTCCTTTTTAAGTTATTATTGAAAGTAATGGCAGAAACCACAATTACTTTTGCACCAACCTAATAAAAACGGAATGAGATAAACCAAAACCAATGTGACTTGGCAAACTGCGGAAAGTAATACTTTGGAAAAGACAAGCTAAGTCTACTTTTTTTTGAAAAAAGAAAGAATGAGAGTCCTATGGTAAACAAAAAACATATGAGCTTTATTCAAGAAAAGCAGGGCTGCGGTGTAAAAGGCAATGCTCTTGATATAGTCACCTGAATCATTAATGTGGAAGACGTGTGTGTTTTTCACAGCCACCTTTCTCGTGGAATTTAATATTGATGGTGCATCCAGAGCTGGGGTGTTTTTCTCAGGCAGGAATACTTTAAGGGGCCTAGTTGGAATTCAGTGGCAGGTCGGTAATCTAGAAGTAGTCTGTACCTATAAATCAGCTCAGTACACTGAAGATTGCTATGATCACCCTCACTTCAGTTCTGTTGAAATCCTTTCTCTATATTCTTCCTCTGTCAAGGTGAAGGCTGATTTACTAGGCGTTCTGGCCATTTGCAAGATGGTGAGGTTTAGGTTTAATGTAAGGAGAAAGCTAACATTTCACAAATATTAAAAGACTCCTGATATTGCTTATTTTATTCAGGTTTAAACAAGGCTGAGTTAGGGTTTTTGGTTTGTTTGCGTTCACGTTGATTTCTTTGTTTACAGAATTTCTGCAGAAATCTGGCCAACTAATACTTTTTCATGTATTAAAAAAAAATATTGAGTACAAAAAAAAAATTCCAGGCACATAGCATAGTAGAGACTAGTGCTATAATGAAGAACAGGACAACTATAGTCCCTGCTTTCATGGAGCTTTCATTATAGAGCAGAGACAAAAATAAAAACAAAAAAGAAGAAAAAATATTCATGAATAAATAAGTTAACAAATTCAGACTGCGATCATTGCTAGATAGTCACTGAGCAATAAGGGACTATGTTACAGAATAGGGAAGGGGAGGGCTGCTTTTTATGCTGTGGGCAGGGGAGGGCTTTGAGGAGGCGATATTTTCATTGCCACCAAAGAAAGAATAAAAAGGTAATCCTGCAACGAGATGCGAGAGAATGGCAGGTCAGACAGAGCAAAGAGATGTGAAAAAGCCCTGAGACAAGAAAGGAGTCGGCATAGCAAAAGATGAAAGAAAGGCCACTGTAGCCTTAAAGAAAGGCACTGTAGCTAGCGCACGGGGAGTCAGAGAAAGGCAGCCTCAGAGGAGGTTAGAGATGAAAGTGGGGGCCAGGCAGCTCCTGGCACTGTAAGCTGTGCCTCAATGGGAAGGGTGCCTCCATGGCTGGCAACCTTGGGGTTTCAAAATGACAGACGGAGGGTCCCAATGAGTCAACAGTGCCCCTTGATGGGAGTAAACAGGTGAATGACACTCAGAAGGCGAGGTATTGGTAAAGGTATTGGTATCCGGTAAAGGTATTGGCATCCAGTCGCATAAATTAGAGGCAGTACTGACAGGGTTTGGTGACTTGAATTTTAATCGTCTTTTTATGATACCTGTTCCTTTATAAAAGCAAAAGTTCAAGACATAAAATAGTAGAATGTTAGGCTTGAGAGTGACCCGGAGATCTTTTTGCAGGAGAAAAATTGAGGCCCAGTAAAGTTGAATGACATTCAGAGACAGGACTAAAAACTGAATCTACCATACTCCTCAGTGGAATGGATAGAGGTGAAAATAGAGAAGTGTGTGTGGAAGGAGTAGGGGTTCAAGGTACCAGAGGAATCATTAATGTAAATTTGATGGACATATTTTCATGTAGCTTTATTTATGAGAGGTTAGGAAACAACCTAAATTTCTATCAATAAAAGATATTATAATTGAAGAAAGTTGGTGAAGTCTTATGATAGCCTATTATGTAGCCATTCAATGTGATATTTATAAAGAGATTGTGTTGATGTTTGAGAGTACTTATGATAAAAATAGAGGGAGCAGGTTATAAAAGTATATATCCGGGAAATGAACTCTGAAATCTGTTATCCATACAATGAAACAAAGACTAGACATACATTTGTAAAATATAGTATTTTAACATTAAATCTACCCATTTTGCTACTCAATTATTATGTGCCAGATTTTGTGCTAAGCTACCTATTATCTCATTCATCCCCATCAAAACGTTAAGAAGGGATTATGATTGCATGCTTTGAGTGAAGTGAGACTTAATAAGACTTAATTAAGTCACTTGCAATCACAAAGCTAGACTGTGGCTGCGTCAGGTGATAAATCATAGACTACTATCATTTAAATCATTTTTTTTTCGTTTCTGCATTTTCTAATTCTGCACTGTGGAAATGTACTGCATTATACTTAAAAAAAAATAAGTCGGATATTAACTAAAGAGATTATTGCAGCTTGTGCTTTATTCGGTGTGCTTTTTTTCCTCCCCAGCCAGTGGTTCTAGAATATGTCTTCATAGCTGGCTTTCTAGTCAGCTTTCAATTCATGAAGTGTTCATTTAGCACTTACTATGTTTAAAGTTTTATTGATTCTATTTCCCCTCAGACCCACTGGGCGTGAGCCACAGAAAGCACCAGTTCCCATTCATTGCAATGATCTTTGTAGGAGGGAAATGACTTCCTATGCTTTTGCTTGTCCTTATTAGTTGAAGCCAGTGACCAGAGGATTTGCACAATAGGAATTGGCCTTCTTCTTACTTGTCCTCAGCAAATTCCTCACATTTGCATGAAAAACTCTTATTTCATAATTTCAATACACTGTTGCTTCACAATATTACCATCTCTGCCAAGAAAACAAGAAGCATTTTGAACTCCAAAAGCTGCCAACATGATTCATGTCAACATCAACAACATTATATGCCTCTGTATTCTGCTCTTAGTAACCTTATCTTTTCTCTTCTATAAATTGGGGGATCAGGAGTTTGCAAAGTATTCAAACTCCTTTTTATCTGCCTTGTGGCTTTACCAATGTCTTTATAACAATTTTCTGTAATTATTTTACTTCAATAAAACATTTGAAAGAATGTTACAATTTTTTTTTTAATGAATCTATGGTCCCATTTCTGTTGTTGTTTTTTGAAGAGTTCTAAGCCAAAAAAAAAAAAAAGAAACTAATAACTGTTTTTATTTTATTTACCTTAAAAAATCCTCAAACATAAAATTTTATTAACTAGAAAATAAAAATAATTTCCTGGAAGGCTTTTATTTTCAGAAGTTTTCTAAAGACATTTGGTAAATATTTCAAACTCATGAAACAATACAAATAATAATATCCATAATGAAAGTAACAATTATTGAGGCTTTACTACATGATAGATAATATGATTTTTTAAAAAAAATAGAATGATAGTTTGGCCGAGCACAGTGACTCATGCCTGTAATCCCAGCATTCTGGGAGGCCTAGGTGGGCAGATTCCATGAGCCCAGAAGTTCGAGACCAGCCTGGCCAACATGGCAAAACCCCATCTCTACAAAAAAAAAAAAAAAATTAGTTGGGCATGGTGGCACACACCTCTAGTCCCAGCTACTCAGGAGGCTGAGGTGGGAGAATCACTTGAGCCTGGGGAGGTGGAGGCTGCAGTGAGCTGTGATTGCACCACTGCACTCCATGGGTGACAGAGTGAGACCCTGTCTCAAATACATATATATATAACTTTACATATATATATACTTTATTTAATTATTCAGACAAAGTTCTGAGTTAAGTATTATTATGCCCATTAAACCAATGAACAGACAGAAGCTTGGAGAAGCTGACAAACTTGTGTCAGGACACACACCAGTAAATAGTAAGGCTAGGATTCACGCCCAGATCATCCCCACTCTAATATATAACGTTTAATAACCATAACATATCGCATGATTAAATTATATTTGGCAAATGAGAGGGGATTTATGTCCATTCAGTTTTAAATAAAATCACGGCTTGGAAAGCCAGAAAAGTTTTATTAACATCCATGTCGTTCAGTTAAGCTTATGTTGAGCGTATGTCTTTTAAAAGAAAGCTGCTTCTAAATTATTGATCAAAGCCTGTGAAACTCAGGAAAGGAAGAAATCGCAGATCTAATTTATCGACCATAGATCCCTAAATACAAATTGATATAATCAAGTCAACCAGCCAATTTTAATAAACCTTGTCTCCATATACATAATCAATGATATGAATTTAAATTAACTGTCTCATATTTTTACAAGAATAGTCTGCAACATATAACACTTAGGGAGGAATATATGTGGTCATATGGGAAACATGTCTCTGTTGCAATAACGTCAAACTGAAAAGTCTTAAATTAAACATCACTTGAAACATAATAGATGAATACACAGTTTAAAAATGTCCTGTAAAACTTTTAGTATTAATGAACATGACTACTCTCAATTCAGATACCACCATTTGTCATGCTCTATCAGGCACTTCACATACTTACTGTACTAAATTGTCACACAGTTTAGTGAGATAGGTATGACCTCCAATTCAGGTCTGAGGACATGGAGCCACACAGAGGTTAAATCACTGGTTCCAAAACCCACAGACGTTAAAGGGACCTGGCAGCAATTCATAGTTAGGTATGGTGGCGCTAAGTACTGCTGCTTTTTCAACTAAATAAGATTGCTTACCTCTGTAAGTGCTAGACTTCCATTTCCTATGGCTTGCAATTTTATCCTATTATATTTTCACCAATACTTATTTATTTATTTTGACATAAGATATCACTCTGTCTCACAGGCTGGAGCACAGTAGCATAATCATGGCTCACTGCAGCCTCAAACTCCTGGCCTCAAGGGGTCTTCTGGCCTCAGCGTCCCAAATAGCTGGGACTATAGGTGTGTGCCACCACCACGGGCTAATATTTTTTCTTTTCTTCCTCCCTTCCTCCTCCTCCTCTTCCTTGTTCTTCCTCTTCTTCTTCTTCTTCTTCTTCTTCTTCTTCTTCTTCTTCTTCTTCTTCTTCTTCCTATTTTTTGGTAGAGATGGGGGTCTCCCTATTTTAATCGTTCATGTCCTGGAATATCATAAAACAAGTTATATTTATTGGGAAAAAAGTAAAAAGTACACCTTAATCATATTTTTCTGTTTAAATTGCTTTGACAGTTTTACTAAGGCTTTTACACTAACCTTAATGTAAGTGTTGTTTGTACAATTATTATAAAATATTTATGGGTGCTGGGACATCAGGATCCAATTATAAATTTGCTTGCAAATTTAAAGTAGCAATAATTCATGGGCCTTTGAACAAAAATCCCAATGGTTAATGAGTGAATAAGGGTTTCTCTGGTTTGGGAAACAAATGTTCGTAGAAGACATCTGCAAATAGATCATAAGAAGAATGTGAATGCATCACCAATCCTCCATCTCTTTCCTAGACATCATCCCCTTCTACATAGGGTTTGCCATTAGGAATTTTTATTTTGGCCACCAGTAGTCCCTAGTTGTCTGATCACAGACAAGTTGGCTGAACTTACTGAACTTCAGGTTAAAAACTAAAAGCTTATTTATTATGAAAATAACAAGATGGGCTGGGTATTGTGGCTTTACACCTGTAATCCTAACACTGTGGGAGGCCCAGGTGAGAGGACTGCTTAAAGCCAGGAGTTTGAAACCAGCCTGGGCAACATAGCAAAACCCTGTCTCTATTTTTCAAAAAAAAAAAAAATTAAAAAGAATAAAAATGAGAATAATAAGATGAATATAATAACATGCCATCATTCATTTTATTATATTAAATGTAATTGTGATTGTGAAAAGAGGTTTGTAAATACAGCACAAATTTGAATTTATGTTCCTAGTGCTCTTAATACAATTCACCCAGTCCGGTCTTTCAATTTTATATATATTGAGGTCCAGGTAATAAAATGAAGTACGCAAGGGCACACAGTAACATTTCTAAATACCAAGACTATGTTTTTCCTATTCTTTCATGTTGATTTTTATGAGACATTACTCCCTCTCACAGCAACATCGTTGCACAGATGCGCGTTGCACAGCTCTAGAGGGCACCATTCGTATTGTGATCTATGAGTAACACATGCCTTGAAACAGAGCTCAAGATGAATGGCACCCCCCGAAGTTGTGTGCCAGGTGGCCGTTTTCAATATTGCCATCTCAACTGGCTTTTTCTTTCCTCTATTAGATACCTGTCAACAAACCTCATTGTTTTAATATTTTAAAATGCCTGTCCATTTTAGTGATTACCTTTGCAACAACTTTTTTTTTTTTTTGCTGAATAAAAGGTCTGCGTCACATTTAAGTTTTTCTCAAAACCTAACACCTTTTTAGAGCCCTGCAGTTTTGGTGGCCATTGGAGACTTCAACATCCACCTGAAATCTATGCTTTCAATATTAGGATTTCCAAAAATAAAGGATTCTTGACTACATCCTGAGTTTTTCCCTATTATTAGATAATGTCAATTCTTCAGCTTTCAGAAATATTATACCACCTTGCATTATTTTGTCCCACATCTTTCTGACATCCTGAGTGCCTTATTTAGCCCCTGACCAGCATTTCCTCTCCAAACCCAGGAATGTTAGCATCTCCAAAGGGTTAGTTCTAAGCTCTCCATTGTTTCTTGTCTCTTAGCCATTGACTATATTCCACTGCCAAGATGAAGGCTTTTGGACTCAGACAGATCTATGTTTTGAATCCCAGCTCAGCTGTTCATTATATGCATCTCCACTGAACAGAACCTGGACTCTCTGAGTTGAATTCTTTCACTATCAGACAGAATTGATAACACTAATCTCACAAGATTGGTCTGAGGAATAAACGGTGCCATATTTAGAAAGCATCATACGTCCTCACAAATTATAGTCCTACTATGGTGATAATTTCTGTCATTGCCTTTTCACTGGAATTTGAATTCTTTTGGGGCTGGAGACTATGCCAGCTGTGTTAGTCTATTTTTATACTACTATGAATAAATACCCAAAACTTGGTAATTTATAAAGAAAAGAGGTTTAATGGACTCAGAGTTCCACATGGCTGGGGAGGCCTCACCATCATGGTGGAAGGTGAAGGAAGAGCAGAGGTACATCTTACGTGGTGGCAGGCAAGACAGTGTGTGCAGGGCAACTGCCCTTTACAAAACCATCAGATCTCATAAGACTTATACAGTATCATGAGAACAGCATGGGAAAAACCTGCCCCATGATTCAATTGCTACCACCAGGTCCCTCTCATGACATGTGGGCATTATGGGAGCTACAATTCAATGTGAGATTTGGGTGGGGAAGCAGCTAAACCATATCACCAACCTTGATCACTATTGTATACTTAGTGCCTAGAATGGTGCTTCCACATAGACAGTGCTACATACATGTAACCTGAATGTAAGCTGGCACCCATGTAGTAGAGTTTCTGAGGAGAATCCTAGTGACATTCACTCAGCCCAGGAGCCAGAAGTAGTGCAAACTGCAGCACATCCATTAACTTGCATTTCTCAGAAAAGGAAAACTGTTCATTTAAAATTTAAATTAACACTTTGTAAAATCTTCTTTTCCCTTTTTCTTCTAACCTATCATCCTCTCACAGCTCTCATTTCTTTCTCAATTCCTCACCCAAAACTTCTTTGCAAACCTCTTAGTTCTCTTCATTCCCTATATCCAGCAAGTTCTGCACCATGTTCATTTTGAAATATATGTTTTCAATGCACCTTAACTATAAATAATTGACTCATGTTATTCTGTCATATTGTAAAGGATTCTGCAAAAGCCCTAATGCCTAACAAGGAGACGTTACTACTAGAGCAGAAAAAGTGGAAACCGGTGTAAACCCAAGGGGACCATCAGAGTATAAGAAACAGTTAGTCTCCAGATCGGACAAATGAACATGTTCAAAGCAATAGAATGTGGAATCAGAATGAGGGAAGGCTCTGACCTAAACTGACTTTTGTGTTGCACTTCCTAATAATTTTGTGAAGTTCCACTCTGTCCCTCTTCATGATAAATTCCTGAGAGCAGAGACTTCAGTAATTCATTTATTCCTTTTGTAACAGTGTCCCAGCAAAGAACTAAGCATACTGCAGATTCTCATAAGTTGAAAAGGCACTTTTAATACATCTGATTTACCTTTCTTTAGGCCTGTAGAGACAAGGAGAAATAATCCTCCTCAGGAAGCTGAAGGGGGTAACTAGGGATACTAGATGCTGAGAGAATCTCTCCTAAAACATTGAATAAAATCTCCCTTAATTCAAGTGCTTTATTATTTCACCCCACATACATTTGAATAGAGTGCTGGTAACAAGTCTCATTCGCCTACTGATGATATTACAGAGAAAACGTTAATTGTTGGTGAAGAGTAGTTTAGAGAGTTTGACTAAAGAGTAGCATGATCTAATGGAAAGATGTAGACCTGAATTCTTATCTTTGCTCCAGCAATTATGAACTGTATGATGTGAAACAAGTCCTTTAATCTTTCAGTCTTAATTTCTATCTTTATCTGACTTCATCTTGTAGGGATGTTAGAGATTAACAAAATATTTAATGTAATACCTAGCATAGAATATTTCCTAAAAATTTGGTAGTATGGCCTTCATAATACTACAGTATTTTCTATATATTTTAACCTGAAGCTAGCAACCCAAAAATACAATCCTAAAAAAGAGAGATACTGAGGTTTTACCAAGAGTAAGATTTTCTTTACACTGCCATTTAATCTCTTTTTAAAAAATATGTTCTCTATGCATTGACTATTCCCATTGCATTTTGTCTACTCCTTGCCAGTTTTACCACTCACATCCTTCTGACTTATGCTGATGTTTTTCAAGTCTTGACTTAGTCACCTTTTGAATGCAATATTCAGGCTATCTAATTGGGCTTCATAAACCAACTCCTCCTGGATTTCAGTTATTTTCTCTGCTTGGTTTTGAGTTTCCCATTTAGGTTTGTTCGGGATCTTGGCACAGGTCCAGAGGAAGGCAACATGCCTGGGGTGGGGCATCCCTAGACACAATGTTTTACCAGGTATGGGAGAAGTCTCTATGCCCCTGGTTATCTTGCAAAACCTCATTTGCTTCTGGCTGAGAACAGATTGCCCTCACCCTCCCCTTCATTTCGTAACTGTGAGAACAAAGAAGTCTGCTCCTGTGAGAGATAAAGTATTCAGCAGTGTTTGAGATGATTAGAAACAAGAAAAAGATTTCTTGTGGGTTTTGACAGGGCTTTCTCCTCTGCACTGGTGGAAGACAGAGCTTTAGTCAATATTCTGCTACTAGCCAAGAGGTTTACCGCAATTCTGATCCAAGCCTAACCCTGCGAAACAAAGAATTTCTTCATGCCATGAATAATCTGTGTTCTGCAGGCTGGGTGACCTCCTTCCCCGAAATGAAGTGCATAAGTGACTTTTGATCTAACAAGTTTATAGAGTGACTTCAGGGAAATCTCATGTTTAATTTGTGTATTGACCATGTAAATATGCGGCTTTGAATGTGATTGTTTGCTGCTGATGAGCCATCAATCAAGCTGCATTTTAAACTTGCTTTCGAAGCAGTGTTTACTTGAAATGAGTGTTTAGAAGACAGGGAGGAGGAGGGGGACATTTTAGAAATGTTCTTTGAGGCTATTTTAGAGATGTCCGTGACACCTATTTGCACATTTTGGGACTTTTATTCAAGTCAAAAAACATTTACTGAGCACACACAATATCCTCAGAAATGAACTATAAATCAGGACATAACATTATCAGTAACATTTTATGCTTACTCTGGGCTAATGCCTATTCTACTTTCTGGGGATTACCAAGAGCTAAGAGAACTGTATTTGTTTTCTAGGTTGCTGTAACAAATTACTACAAACCTGGAGGCGTAAAACAACAGAAATGTATTTTCTCATAATTATGAAGGCCAGAAGTCCAAACTCAAAGTGTTGGCAAGGTCACACTTCCTCCAAAACTGTAAGGGAGAATCTGCTGCATGCCTATCTTTTAACTTCTGGTAGGCACCATCAACCCTCAGCATTCCTTGGCTTGTAGTTGCATCATTCCAATCTTTGCTGCTCTCTTCATATTGCCTTCTCTGTGTATGTCCTCCGTTTTGTGTCTATCTCTGACTCCCTTTTCCTTTCGCTTTGAAGGATACATGTGTGATTGTTAGTTTTATATATTAACTTGACAGGGCCAATAGATAGGACACCAAAATCCCTCTCCATCTGTGGACATGAGAACCTCGAAAAAAAAAGTTATCTGCCTCCAAAATACAATGATGGGCAAGTGTAGTTAATAGTTATAAACACTGCCATTTTAAGGGAGACAATGGAAGATACAAAGTGGTCACTGATGCCAAGCCAGTTCAAAATCCAGCAAGGAAAATTTCCTTAGGTTTCAAGACCTGACAATTATTTTCTGTTGCTTGAAGCTATGATCTCTGGGTCTGGAGCTTTGCCCTCTGTACCCAAGGCTCTGCACTCAGAGTCATTCTTCTCTTTTTTTTGAATGATAATACATGTTTGTAGCCAACTAGTTCTATCAGCCCATTTTCTGCCTATAAAATCCCAGAAGTCTGACAGTCTGCCTTCATTATGTCCCATGTATGTCCCTTTCAGGCCAGTCTGGCAGTGTTTCTGCTGATACAATATTCCCCAAAACCTTGTGGGTCTCCCATGTTTGTCACAGGGACTCATATAATTAAACAACAGCATACTCCGTAGGCCTTTCCTGGATAAACCCAACTCTTCTTAGCTTCTGTTGAGACGGTTGAGTGAGTTCAGAAGTCACACATCTGCAATTATTAAATTCCTGTCCAGCCACAACTTTGGCTTTCTCTCAAGAGCATTTCTTTTTTCTAACGGTGATCCTTAGTCTCAATATTAGTTAGGTTTCTTTTTAATCCTGATAGGTTGTAAATTTCCAAAATTATTAAATCATCATTTCTTTCTGCTTAACAGTTCCTTCCTCAATCCATTTATTCCCTCTTGCATTCTACAATAAGCATCAAGAAGAAACCAGGTTGCACTTTTTGACAGCAGACCTGGTCATCTCCTTAGCTAAATATCCAAGTTCATTGCTTATAAATCCTGCTTTTGACACAAAAATTGTAGGACACAATTAAGCCAACTTTTCTGCCAGTATATAATAAGGATCCCTTTTCCTCCAGTTTCCAATAACATGCTGCTTATTCCTGGTGCTGAACCCTCTTCTGCCGTGCTTCTAACATTCATATTTCTACCAATATTCTTTCTATGACAACACATGTATTCTCTAAAACTATAGAAGACTTCCCTACCTTGTTCCTCACTTTGTTCTGAGCTCTCACCAGAATCTCCTTCAATGTCCATATTTCTACAAATAGTCTGTTCAAAGAAGTGTAGTCCTTTGTTATCATGCTTCCTCATATTCTTCCAGCTTCTATCACTATGCAATTGCAAAGCCACTTCTACATTTTTAGAAATTTATTACAACAAATATAAAAAACCTGAACCTGGCCTGGTGGCTCATGCCTCTAGTCTCAGCACTTTGGGAAGCTGAGGTGGGAGGATCACTTGAGTCCAGGAGTTCGAGACCAGCCTGGGTAACATGCCAAAACACTGTCTCTACAAAAAAATAAAAAATTAGCCAGACCTGGTGGCTACTGTCAGGTACTATCCCAACTACTTGAGAGGCTGAGGTAGAAGGATTGCTTGAGCCCAGGCCGTCGAGGCTGCAGTGAGACATGATCTTGCCATTGCACTCCAGTCTGGGTGGCAGAATGAGACCCTGTCTCAAAACAAAGCAAAACAAAATAAAATCTGTATCAGTTTTCTATTACCACCGTAACAAAGTACCACATGTCTGGTGGCTTAAAAGAACATAAATTTATATTCCCCAAATTCTAGAGGTCAGAAATCTGAAATCAGTTTCACTGAGTTGAAATCAGTGTCAGAAGGGCTGTGCTCCCTCTGAAACCTCATGGAGATAATTTGTTCTTTGCCTCTTCCAGCTTCTGGTGGCTGTAGCAATTCCTTAGCTTGTGGGCCCATCACTTCAATCTCTGTCTATGTCTCACATCACCCACTCTTCTTCTGTCTATCTTCTTCTTCTTTGTGTGTCTGTGTCTAAATTTCTTCCACCTCTCTGTGATAAGGATGGATGTGATCACATTTACCTTGCACTAGGATAATCCAGGATAGCTCCACCTCTCAAGGTCCTTAGATTAATAACATCTTTTGCCCTATAAGACAAATAGTTATTCTTTTGCCGTGTAAGATAATGGTTACAAAACCTGGGGATTAGAATATGGACATATCTTTTTGTGGGGGCCACCTCACTGCCTACTATAACAATTAATAATCAATAATATCCTGTTTTATGTCAGACATTCTGCTAAGCATTTTAAGTATTATTTCATTTAGGCTTTAAAAAGATACCTTAAAGAATGTGTTATTATCTCCATTTTATAGATGAAGAAGTTAAAAATCAGAGAGGAATTGTCTAAATTTATTTTGTGTTGCTATAAAGGAATACCTGAGACTGAATGATTTATAAAGAAAAAACTATTTGGCTCACAATTCTGCTGGCTGGAAGACTGGGCATCGCGTGAAAGGCTCAGGCTTCTTCCACTCAGAGTGGAAGGTGAAGGGAAGCTGGCATGTGCAGAGATCACACGCTGAGAGAGGAAGCAAGAGAGATCATGGAGAGGTGACGGGATCTTTTTAACAACAGGCTCTTACGGGAACTAAGAGTGAGAACTCACTCACCACCACACCTCCAGGTGAAAGATTCATTGTTGTGTGACGGCAGCGTTAAATTCAAGCAATAAGGGGGAGACTGTGCAACTTAAAGCACCACTTTGTTTCATGTTTCTGATCCGGTGAAAGATTTAGAGCAAGGAACCTAGACAGATCATGAAATGAAGCTGGCCAATCCTGAGTGCTCATGAAGCAACAACTTGGTATCAAGTTTTCTGTGCGTCACCTTCGAGTAAGACAAATGAGAGAAGATGGGGTTCTTTCCTGAAAGAGAACGCTAATAATCATTTAAATGCACATGATAGAAATATTAAACACTGGTGATGGACAGAACAGATTGGAAAGTAAAAGGTCAAGTATCAGCAATGGCCCGAGACGGAAGAAGCTTTGGAAAATTGGCATAGACACAGTCTTCAGTAGAAGCATGTGGCTGAGCAGACAGAAAAGGAGAAGCAGATGGAGGTGATGGATGACAGGCTATGTGTTTGTGTGTGGGTTTGTCTGATTGGAGTAGGACTCAAGGACTGGATTGAAGAGGGAGGTAATTAGGTAATTTCTTTTTCTCCAAACCACTGAGTTTTTGTTTTACTTTATAAAATAACACCTATTAGTTATCATTATTATTAGTAGTAGTGTTTCAAACATAAACTATGTTAATGTGATATACAAATCACACAAACACATAAGTGAACATAGAAAATAAAGACTGCTGGTAATGGTAACTTGCAGAAATAACCACTGTTAACCTTTCATTCTGAATGTTTCCTATTGTATATATTCATCCACATCTATTTGTACACTTTTCTTCTACTTTGGGGTTATGATACACAACCTACCCTGTAGCCTGTTTTCTTTTCTTTACTTAAAAATCTAAGATTTTTCAGATTACATATTCCTCCTAAACATAATTTTAATGGTTGTGTAACTTTTTGTTACACAGGTATATTAACACCAATTTAAATAATTTTTTATTTTTCAGTATTTAGGTTGTTTCCTATTTTAGCTTCTTATAATATTAATCTGATCAACAAATCTGCATCCATGTATTATGTGCATGTAAACTGGATTATCATTTTAAGTGTGAGACAAGAAATTCCCAGCAGTTATTCAATATTAATATGTTTCTCTCTCTCTTCTCCCTGTATATATTACACAGACACACACAAGCATATAAAATAACACTACAAAACAAGTAGCAATATACCAGCAAGGCTGAAGAGGTAACGGAAATACATAGATGGAAAATCCAAGATACAAATTCAGTTCTCTCTAACAACAAATTCTAAATTGTCTCCTCTATGACACTACTGCTAATAGTAATAATAACTCGCCTTAGTTGAGCACTAACTATGTGCTAGGCAAGGTACTAAATACTTTATGTAAACTGTCTCATATAACCCTTACAACATCTCTATAAGGTTGTAGACGCAAAAAGGGGGTGATCCCTTTTCTCCTCATAAAGGGTCATGGCCAAAACTCCCCGTAACAAAAGAGAGCTTGATAAGAGACAAGCATAACAAATTTATTATGTGCATAGGAGTCACACAAAAAAATATTAAAAACTCAAAAAAGGGCCAGATGATTGATGCTTAAATATCCTCTTCATTGGAGAGAGGAAAGTGAATGAATAGACCCAAGGACAAGATAATGATTTATCAAAGATTCTCTTTGGATGCTGAATGCAACCAAAAAACACACAATAGCTGGTGGACAAGTTAGAGAAGGGTGTGGGGCAGAACTGCATTGTGAACAATGGTTGTCTTATTACGCAAGTACAGTTCCCCAAGTAATTTCTCACAACTGCCCTTAAAAGAATCGATGAAAAGTCTGTCTGCATGTGGTTACAATTTCCAGTCTCTCCTCTTCTCCAGTGTTAATCCTTCCTGGTTATTTAATGAGATTCCTAAGAAGAGGGTTTTAAGATAATTTCCTTTAATTTACAAGAAGTTTTCTCAGACAAATACGGAAATTTCAGAGAAAGTCCCTTTTGGAAAATAAAAAGGATCAGAGAAACAGGAAGGCAGAGGAAGGTCAGAGGGAGACCTTAAAGGTCTCCCTTTACTTTGGCATGCCAGAGCAGCATATTTTGAGGTATTGGTTTCTGAGCCCCAACAAGGTAAACAACTATTATTATAACCATTTTAGAGTTGAAGAAAAAGGAGCAAAAATAATTTAATAATTTCTGCAAGGTCACACCACTGGTTACTACATTTGTCAAGAAGTCTCAATGTGTAGAGGGTAGACATACATTACAAGATGACTTCATATTTGGATACACTATATGGGTTTGAGATAGGATTTTTTGGTACCTATAATAGTCATATTGGCAAATGTTACAATGGTGGCAGTAGAGTATCTTGGTTAACAGTACAGACTCTAGAGACAGACTGCTCAAATTCAGATTTCAGCTCTGGCACCCTAGCTGTGTGACCTTAGTCAAGTTAATTAATACCTCTGTGCCTAAGTTTTCTCATCTCTAAAATTGGGATAATTATAATAGATAGTTATGAAAATTAAATAAGATAATTAAATAGACAGCTCCCTTCCAGTAAGGCTTCAATAAATGTTAACTAATATCCAAAGAAGTAATAAACAAAATGACAAAAAAGCATCAAATAAAAATTAACACATAAATAGAGGCGTTTGCTCCTAGACTGAGCTATGAAAAATGAGACTTCCTTTGGAAAATTCCAATTAGGCTTTCGTCTGTTAACATTTAGAGTATAGTGAAAATTAAAAAATAGCACAAAAACATAGTAACTTAATTTCGACTCTATTGTATGTCATAAAATAATTAGCTATTCACTCTTCTCAAATGAAGAGAGCTGGTAGCTCACTGCTGGGTGAGACCTCAGTGAAAACTCATTCACAGAAAGAACCAGGATCAGTTTTCTAGCATTTAGGAAAAAACATCCAAAGAGATATAAACAAAAGTCTGCAGACACAGCCCAGAGAAAGTCTGATAGGTGAATAGAAGCCAAGTGAGCTAGGGAGAATGCCTTTCTCACCCCTCCAATCGACACTTACAAGTTCCCAAGCTTGATGACCTTGGCTCATCCTAAAAAAGACATCTGTACCACATCTGGTAAGACAGGGGATAAGGGGACACAGAATGAAAGAATTTTATACTGAAATGGGACATTGGTCCAAACACTGAGGCAATAGAGATCCTGAAACAGGAGTAAGTGACTCACACAAAACGGCTAGAATCCAGGTTTCCAAGCATGGTCGGTTCAGTGCTCTTTGATTCTACCACCTTGCCTCATTTACGTATGTGTATATATGTGTATTCATGGACATATATTTATTTATTACATGAATGTGTTATATATGTATATATGTCAATATATGTTTATGTGATTGGATATTTATATGCATGAATATGTTAACATATATGCATGATATCTGTATTTATATATATATGTATTTCATTCTGTATATTCTATCAAGTACCTACTGACAGCTCTGTTGCATGATTTGTGTCATGAATAATTGACAATATCCATACAGGGAGTTTAGGTTAATTTACATCAAAATGTTTTTTGAACACATTTAGAAATTTTTCACAGCTCTGCATGGTTATAGATTCGGTTTTCGTGTTCATGGACTTTGTTTTGCTGATGCAGTGCTGAACGGCAGAGGCATTTTCAGAAAAGCACATCTCAAAGGACAAGATCAAATGACATTGTAACTGAAGTCTGCATTTTTGGTAAGACTTTCCCTCTGCTTCTTTGTCACCATGCATGAGACAAGCTGTGCTGTGCTGTTTCAGACAAAGGGGCTTGCAAGAGACAGGCATTAAGACTTTGCTTTATTTCTTATGTATTTGTTTATTCACAGTGTGCAAAACCATGTCCTCCCTGTTTACTCTTGTAATAGAAGGAAATTGTAATTCATTTCCTTAATGAAAAATATGCTATGGTTTACCTCACATGTAGGAAAAAGCCATTATTACTACCACAGCTATTGTTTTCCATTAATAAAATTCATTCATTTCATCTAAATCAGAATAACATTTCTTTTTCTCTTAACTCTTACTTTTCTTTTAGATAATAATCAAAGTTCAGTGGTAACAAAAGTTATGAGGGCCCCTTGGTCAAATGCCATAATCTCCTAAACCTTCCCTCATATAGAGATCAGAACTGCAATTCAGGCACATTGATTGGTTTGATTTCTTTGCATTGAAATAGTCTGCTTTTCCCCATCACACTAAGATGTAGAAAAGTGAGGAATAGTTGCTATGTTCTCTCATTTTGATCTTTATTAGAATTTCATGTTGGGAATCTGCTTATTGGCATATTCAGCCTTGTTACCAAGATGTGTGCTGTTGAGGCCGTAAAATAGACAGCTCAACTTGAAGATTAAGGCAATTGCATGCCATTATGTTCAATGCTAGTTTGCAGTTTAGGGGTAGTAAGTATGTCTGCCAGGCAGGCAAGTTCTGTTACATGGCACTGGTCCAGTGCCTAGCACTTAGGGGACTAGGTGAATGAATGAATAAGCACGTGCATTTTGCCATTCCCCCATACCACTGGTATCATTGTTTTGTCTATTTTTTGCCCCAATTATCAATTTTAATTTATAAATATTGTATAAAAGAAAGTTGTATAAAGCAAGTTTCTTTTGCTGGTTATTATTAATAAAATACATATGTAAGTATAGCGCCGTTTATTTAAATTCATTGTTGTATTCCTTCCACACAAATGTAGGACATAGAACACACCTTGGGAAACACTGAAGTTGGAAAGTTCTCAAGTAATAATAATAGTGATAATAAAGAATAGTTATACCAAGCAACTATCCTTTAAGTACCCAGTATCTACAGAGTTAGCTCATTCAATTTAATTGTCATACCTAAGAGGAAATCATTATTTTTCCCACTTTACAGGCAAGAAAACTGATATTCAACAAATTTAAGAATTCATATGATAAAACTTATAGCAATCATAAAACAGTTATTGATAAAAACTGATTTTATGCTGAGATTTATCAACAATATAGTATTTGATTTTCACAATGACCCTATGAGGTGAGAATTGTTATCTTCATTAACAGATGAGGAAACTTTAAATAGCCCAGTCACTTAACTACTAAGTGGAATAGTCAGTATTTGAGCCCACCTGTCTCTATGACCTAATCCTGCAACACATGCCTTAATCTAGGAGAACTTGCAAATTCCACCATAGTAGCCAAGAGCATACAGTAGTCCCCCCTTATCCAGAGGTGATATGTTCCAAGACCCCCAGTGGATGCCTTAAATCTCCAATAGTAGAGAACCCTATGTATACTTGCTGAATTCTTTTTCCTTCTTCACAATTTCACAGGTAGAAGATTCATTCTTACCATAGATTTTAGCAACTTCAGCATACCATTTTTTCTCACCTTATTAAATGTAGAACTTTCACTTTTTCACTGAAAGGAAGCATTTTACAGCTTCTCTTTGGTATATCCAAATTGTCAGCATCACTACTCTCGTGCTTTGAGGCCATGATGAAGTAAAAGAAGGGTTACTTGAACATAAGCACTGCAATACCACAGCAGTCCACCTGGTAATTGAGCCGGCTATGAAGTTACTAACAGATGGGTGGGTAGAAAGTGTGGATATGCTGGACAAAAGAAGGATTTGTATCCAAGGCGAGGTGGAGCAGGAGCGCAGGAGATTTCCCCAGGCCACTCAGAACGGTGCATGACTAAAAACTTATGAATTGTTTATTTCTAGAATTTTCCATTTAATTTTTTTGGATGGTGGGTAAGCCAAACTGCAGATAAGGTGAAACTATTGTACTTTATAGAATGGAGCAGTAGGAATACTTTCGAGATATTCTAGTTCCACCGTGTCACAGGAAACAATTCTAGAACTGTAAGTTACCAAACTCATCAGTTACTATGATTTCAAATGAATACAAGAACTAAGCTTGCTTTTTTTTTTTTAACTGTTCATTGGTGAAGGTGGCAGGGAATTATTCAGCATCAGTGAAATAACCAAGTATTTTTGGACTGTTAACCAAGTCATTTAGAGCTGTGTGTACATACCTTGTTTGTATAAATTGAGAAGAAAGTCACCCAGCTCTAAGAGCCGTGAAAGGTTACCAGTTGACCTTTTGTCTTCTTTTGGGAAGCACAGAGGAGCAAGGAACAATTCAAGTTTCGAGGGGAGAGGATCCACAAAGTGTTATTTGTTTTCTTCCATTTGATTTCTATATTCAGCTGAGCACTTCCTTGAAACTGATGCCCAGAGCTGTCATTTATCCACTTTTCCATTATCACATCTGAATCCCACAGGCCCACTTCAAATGCGGAGAGATACACCTGCAGTTTCTGAATGGATTTCTTCAACAATGCCGCCTAATTGACTCACATTAAAAATACTTTGATCGACCCATCTCTTTGTCACATGAAGCTGGAAACACTAACAGAGGCTGTTGGAAAGAAAGGTCTGGTTCCGTGGCCAAATACCTTGACTTTTCCAAAAACAGACTTTTTCTGTCTCTTCAGAAGAAGAATTACATGCAATGGGAAGATTGATGTTCCTCTGTCAGAAAGCTACCTTGGAACAGGTGCTCCCAATTAATTTCCATGAGCCACATTTATCCTGTGGTCAGATAATTAAAAAAAAAATAACCTGGATAAACCTTCTTTTGCCAGTCTAATAACCACATTTGATGTAATAAAACAGCAAGCACTTAGGAATATTCCAATAAAAAAGATTTATTTTTATTCTAGTATATATTATAATGAATAATATTATTGATATTATAGAATTTAAAATTACATTAAATCAGAGCTATTTATGTTTATTATGCAAAATGTACACAATATAGAAAAATATAAAGAAAAATTTCAATACACAAAGTATGGATATGCTTTATTTTCACTCCATTTTCACATATATATTGACACAGATGCAGTCAAACATTATTTAGAGTTTTATGAATTAATAACACAGTCATTAAAAAGTAATTAACCAAGTAATATTCATAGTCATTGCAAACTAATTGGAAAATATAAATAAATAAAATATAAGCATCACTTTCTTTTTAGTAGCACAATACTTTTTCTGATACATGTTATTTCTATTTTTTTGCTTTAAAATTCAAAAGATTATATTTATGCAGTAATGGATTTTTGTGGTTGTTATAGAGCCCATGTGCCCTGGGGAAGGATTTTAAATATCATGAAACTGAGTTCTTTCCAGTTTTCTTTCTCATTAAGGGGACTGAAG
The DNA here is from genome assembly GCF_000001405.40 of Homo sapiens. NCBI lineage: Eukaryota > Metazoa > Chordata > Mammalia > Primates > Hominidae > Homo > Homo sapiens. The sequence goes on along the minus strand of NC_000003.12, from coordinate 52,752 downwards.
AGATCAGCCCCTTAGCAAAGATTTGACTGAGATATAATAGAGACAATTATGTACTCTATTACCAATTCGGATGGACTTTATGGTATTTAAATGAACAAAGCTCTCTTTGTCATTTCATTAACATGATTCCTTTTCAGAGAATGAGCAGTTCTCATCTCCTTCCTCCATTTTGGGAAAACAGCCCAATTTTTCTCAAGCTCATTTGAAAGGCAAAATGGTTGTTGATCTCTCCATAATTGATTGAGGATGTGTCTGGCCGCTGAGAGTACCTGAATCCATGGCTTATATCAGACCACACTAGAGTGAGAAGTGCCATGTTCTATTTGGGTGGAATAGTTAGAGGTTCAAAAACCACAGAACATAACAAGCATTATTAATTTATAATTCCGTGGCATTTGTTAGCTTGTTTTTCTCATTTTTTCTTTTTCCCTCTTAAAAAATGAAACGTGTAACGTCTGAGACCAGAACATATTGTTCTAAAAGGGTTCAAATTTAAAATGCTGAATTTCTTCATTTGAACTTTACCCAATTATGAGAATTTTAATACTTGCAAATTATTTTTTATTGTTTTATTTTACTTTTAAAAGTAATTTTATACATTAGCTAGTCTTACTAATTAAAATGCATACATCCAAATTGCCCATATTTAAGAAGCATGTCAAAAATAAATGAAAATAATGGATCCAGATGAACAATGAGCTTTTATTTTACTTTGGCATATTTTAAGAACTATAAGCTCAGAAGTATGTATGCATATTATTTTATATATTGTACATTATTATATGTACATTATCATATACACGTAAGCATATTCATGTATTACCTATCATAGACGTTTGAAATGCTTGTTTCTCGGTGCCGTAAAGAATAGCACTTGAACATAAATTTAATTTACTCAGCAAGGCCGTTTTTATACTTTCTGCAGAAAGGGTACACTCACCAGCAGTTTTGCCAGGAGAGTACACCAAACAAAGGAGACAGGGTCATTTCCAACCTGCAGTGCCCACCATACTGTTGTGTCCAGTTTCCGTTGGCTGGAACGGGGCCTCACATTTTGTTTTGTCTCGATTGACTGGCGACTTAGAACTTTTTAAAGAGGCAAAAGTAGAAGAGAACAAAGGAGAGAGGAAGTAACTTGTGGAATGCTGAGAAAGGTAAAAACACCTTTAAATAAGGAAAAGGAACAGGCTATGACCTAATGCTTGCTTCAACCAGTATAAGCCTGCCAGGGCAAATATTTAGGCCAAATTGTGGGAGCTAAGAACATAAAGTACGTTGATTTCTTTACCACAGCTAGCAGATATTTAAGAATGTTAGCACAGGTCTTTGAATAAATTTTGCTTCTAAGAGAAGTTACTATTTATTCCTAATAAATGGGGAGGAAAATCTTTGAAGAGGAACCTTTACTTTATTTTTTACAATAGAGTTCAATATAAAAGCTGGGGAGGGGCTGGGCGTGGTGGCTCACGCCTGTAATCCCAGCATTTTGGGAGGCCGAGGCGGGCGGATCACAAGGTCAGGAGATCGAGACCATCCTGGCTAACACGGTGAAACCCCGTCTCTACTAAAAATACAAGAAATCAGCCGGGCGTGGTGGCGGGCACCTGTAGTCCCAGCTACTCGGGAGGCTGAGGCAGGAGAATGGCATGAACCCGGGAGGCAGAGCTTGCGGTGAGCTGAGACCGCACCACTGCACTCCAGCCTGGGAGACAGAGCGAGACTCGTCTCAAAAAAAAAACAAACAAACAAAACCTGGGGAGGATTTTCTGCCTTATAGATACTAAGAAGAGACCTCCATATTGTCTCTTTGGGTCTTGGTAATGCTTATATAAGCTACCACCTTGTATAAGACATCGAACCACATACCTTGAGCCTGCTCTCTCAGTATTACTCTTCTAAGAGTGAAAAGAAGTAGTCCAGTATTGAACATTAGTTAAAATAAGGACACAAATGTCTGTGTAATTAAGTTCTTAAACAACAGAGTAGAAATGGAAACAAACTTTAAATACCCTACTTAAGATCTGTAAAATTCTTTGGAACTACCCAAGTTTCTGTGTTACTTCATGGATCTTTTGCCTAAGATGAGACCTCTTCCTCGAGTGCTCTTTTATCCATTTCGACTCATCCCTGAGACCCGTAATTTAGCTAAATCCCATTCATTGTTTGAGTAAAGTGAGTACAGATTTTGGGGACCTAAAGCATGTGTAGGTTTGAGGGACTTATTTTAAGAAAAAGAATATAAAGTTACAAATAGAAAGGGTATGTTGGAAATGAAAGTTGATTATGAATAAGAAAATAAATCACAACAAATAACTGCACACTTAAGATTCAGCCCAATTTCTTCCAAGATCTCTTTAGGTAATTTAATGAAAATACTTAAGAAGAAATGATACCTGTTTGCATCCTGGATTTTCCTCCCCAAATTTAACACCCGTTCCTCTCTGGGACCTGCCCAAGGGAGAAACCAAAAAACTGAAGTTTCTTTAAAAATTTTGTTTTAATTGACACATTGTACATATGGGATACAATGAAATCTTATCCCCTGTGACAACATGAATAAACTTGGATCACATCATGTTAAGTAAAATAAGCCAGACACAGGACAAATAATAATCACACTCATGTGAAATCTAAAAAAAAAAAAAAAAAGTTGTTATCATAGAAGCAGAGTGGAACAGTGGTTAACCAGAGACTGTCGGGGGAGAATGAAGAGAGGTTGGTCAAGCGCTTCTTGAGCATTATGGCAAGTCTCAGGCTGTCCCTTCTTGTAAGAAATCTTCTTTGTTTGCTTTCAGTATTCCTCCCCTGAGCTTCTGTGGCATATTATGTCCTCCTCTATCTTAGCATTTACCACCTTGTATTTTAAGTGCCCTAATTAGAATAGGAGTCTTTCGGATAGGAAATTTGAATCCCTCCCCATTTTATCCCCAATTTTCAGCACAGTTCTTATCATATAATATGCACCAAATAAATATTTTCCAATAATAGCAAATAATTGCATAGTGCTTACCATATACCGGGCTCTCTTCTAAGTATTTTACATCTCTTCACTAGAACAAAGCTAACTTTATTATCAATATTATATAGATGAGGAAACTAAGAAGTAGAGAGCTTAAATAACTTGCCTAAGTCCAGAGAGTTAGTTCACACTGGAGCTGAAATTCAAACCCAGGCGGTGTGCTAATACAGTTCATGCTCTTGACCCCATGCAATACTACCTCTCAAAAGGAATGCTTTTCTTCATTCTTGCTTTAAGTGGCATTTCAACTCCATGCCTCAAGGCATGGTTTGCTACAATGGCCGACTCCTTAAGAATTGATAATCCAATTTGTGAATTTTTGAAGACTTGCAGCCTCTTCACCCCCCCTACAGCTTCTTGCCTGTAGGAAACACATGCTTGTTAGTACCTCCCCAGAGATGTTGTCAGGAGATGAGACCATATTACTTCCATTGTCCTCTACAACCCCCAGTTATTCTTAATCCTACTGGGGTCTCTAGAAGCTAATCTTGCAGTAGTTTGTCTGTAAGTGTGGATTCCAAATAGGAAGTAACCCTTTATTACCTATACTTAACCTTTTCACCCCTTAAGGGTTGATCATCCGAACCAATCCTCTCCTTGGAAAGATATGTTAAGTACACAAATGGAAGCTCAAAATATGTCCTTTCAGCAGTTGAAAGATTTTTAGTGGCAGAGTGACAGAATAAAAACTATATTTAAAGAGGATTAGGAGATGCATTGAAGAAGAGGAAGAGATGGGAGATGAGGAGATGAGTGAAGAGCAAATTGGTTTCGTGCTGCAACAGCTTCCAATGTGGACACTGACCCTGCAAACCTGCCAACCATTTCTAACACTTTACTTTAAAATAATTATTTCCTGAAACTGATTTTGGTATAATTTCCCAAGTCTAGTGATTCTCATAACAGTTTACTTTGAGAACCTTGTGTATCAGTCCATTCTCACACTACTATAAAGAACTGCCCAAGACTGGGTAATTTATAAAGGAAAGAGGTTTAACTGACTCACAGTTCCGCAGGGCTGGGGAAGCCTCAGGAAACTTACAATCGTAGTAGAAGGGGAAACAAATGCATCCTTCTTCAAATGGCGTCAGGAAGGAGAAGTAGTGCTGAGCAAAGGGGGAAAAGCCCCTTATAAAAACAATCAAATCTTGTCAGAACTCACTCACCATCATGAGAAAAGCAGCATGGGGTTAACTGTCCTCATGATTCAGTTACCTCCGACCAGCTCCCTCCCATGACACATGGGGATTATGGGAACTACAATTCAAGATGAGATTTGGGTGAGGACACAGCCAAACCATATCACTTTGTGAGGAGAATATTTAGTTTTGAAGGTAAAGTTGGCATAGGCAAAAGGTTAAAGTAATAATTTATACTTATATTTCATAGCCAGCAAGCAAAGCTGACTAAAATTTCCTTATATCAAGGTTTATTTCTATTATGTAGAATTTTCTGTTTGTAAGAGGAAGAAATATTAAGCTCTAGGGAAATTTCTCTTGAAATTACAGGCATCTAAAGAGGGAAGGCTTCTCTAGCCAAGAGATAGCTTTTGCGATTTTGTAATCCAGACTGTATATGTTTTATGCAACATTAATCTGCCTCATTTTGCTCAGATGAGAGGTTTTATATGTCATTCCCAGGAAAAAAATTGGTGACCATAACTGCATAATGAAGTTGACTTCCTAGTAGCTTATCAGGACTGGGTTCCTGAAATTTTTCAAAGCATTCATGAAGCCTGGCAGAAATGAGCAGAATTATTTCACAGTAAAATTTCATTCATTTGGAAGGCACTCATTTGAAGTTTATGATCATGGGGAATGGCTGGAGTGACCTTTAACAGGCACTACCCACTCAACAGAGTTTTATAAAAACTATTGAGGAAAGCAAACTCTTTTCAAGCATTTTTTATCACTTTAGAGGCACTATTTCAAAAGCTGTTGAATTAATTGAAATAATTTTTACCTCCTTATTTAAGAAAGTCTCCTAGAATTTCTATCTTATTAATGCTACTAGCTTAGTTTGAGTTCATTTACATCTTAAAATACCACTTTTAAAATTTTGATCTAATTCTTGTCATTCCAATCACTATCAGTTCTTTGTTTGATGCTATTTATTTTGTATTGACTTAATAGAATAGATATGTTTGTCCATCTAAAAATGTTATTTGGCAAATATTCAATGAAATTATTATGCATTGGATACTTTTCTAACAATGTGGCTGTTTTGGAGACTTTAGGGATGGGTTTTCGTGCAATACAGTTTTTTAGTGCTCAAGTCAGGCTGTCTTTTGATAATTACCAGTTTTCTTGTCCTTGTGTCCATTTCCAGTGTAGGAACTGCTTTTTGTTGAGTGTGGGTTCCCTTTTTGCAGCATGGCCCAGCATTTGGTAGAAGCTTATTTTTCTTAAAAAACAAATTAATGAGTGATTCAACAAATAAGTGACTCAGGCTTTTATTTGTTGTGCACTAAATCTGAAGTCAATAATTTTAGAGACCATAGAATTATTTGGCAAAGAAGATCCTGGCATGGTATTCCATCTACATGGAAAGGAGCTACAAGGATCCAAGAGAGCAGGGAAGTGGAAGATTGCAAGAAGACAACAGACAGGCACCAAAGTGCTACATAGGCACAGAGGGTCCAGAGAGTCAGCAAGAATGACCCCTCAGTGAAAGTCCAACTATGGGGCCAGAAATGTTAGCTATATCCCCAAATCAGTGAGAGGCAAATAGGGGAATATCTCCATGTTTGAAAAACTATACATTTGTTTATTCACTTTTCACACAGTTGTTAATCTCAACTATTTATAGTGTACTACTACTATTTACCAGATAGTATATTAGCTGCTGTCTAGAACATATGGTTATGTCTGGCATCTGATGGTTGCTCAATATCTGTTTAATAAACGGAATTGGCTGAAGAGAAGTGACATAAAGTGAGTAAGGCTGAAGTAAATCTGGAACAAAGGGAAGAAAAGCCAGGCAAGTTGCCCATGAAGTAGTGAAGCAGCCATGAGTCTCTCCACAACTTTCTCTGCACCTTATCAGCGACACTGAACCTCACTCAGAATGTTTTGCAATCAACATGCTATCCAAATTTGTTGTTATATCTTCTTATATAATTTATCATTGGCCTTTCTGTTCTTAAAGTAGAAGAGTGAATTTGAGTTAGAGAAAATTTCCTGGCTCTTGAAGAACTGCAGTCAATGTGTCACAAGCCCACAGTCCCATGTGGACTCAGTAATACCTACAGTAGAAGTAGCTATGACTGGATAAACACAAAATCATACATTTACTAGTTTGTCATCACTCCTGTTTTGATCAGCTAATCTGTGTAAACATGGAGATGAAACATTAAGAGTAGGCAATCCAAAGAGCAGTGAAAGAAACAGGTACTTTTTTTGTATCAAAAATGTTTTTATTATCTCATTGAGTACTACACTGAGCTGCTGAGTCTTATGGTGAAATAATTTGAAGCCTAAAGATCTTCTTCCAGTTTTTCTGTATACAACCAAAGGCTTATGACCATATTAAGTATGGGGAAGAGAATTGTCCTTGTGTATCTACAGTTCCTAAGACTATTTTGCATACAATAAACTGATCAAAATCAGCTAATTGAACTGAGTTTGGAAAATGCATGTGAATTCAGTTGGCAGACAGAAATCACGCTGTCAGATCAGCTATAGCATATAAGAGGGGAATGAGAAGACAATGAAATCAAGGATGGATTAATCTCAAAAGGGAGAGAATATGCACTAACAAATCCTGAAGTGGAATTGGAAGAACAGAGATAATAGCCATGGATCAAGAAGAACAAAACAAGCTGATAATTGAGGAGTCCTGTTGATCGATTCACATTTTAGACCCTAATTTTGACACTGTCAACTGATAAACATAGTCTTCCAGCATTTCTTTCAGAGGAATAGCTCATATGTCTATTAAATATGAGTTAAAAATGACCTGAATGTCTATGCTTCTTTGTAGTAATAATAATAATTTGAAAATCTTGGCATTTCTAGAAACTTCTGTAGGTTAAGTCATATCTCATCCCCCAAAATCTTGTCTTTCATGATGCCAACAAATACTTGACATTATGTAGGTAAATCAAGTGTTGCAAGAAATGTTTATGTAGTCTCTATACATTTAAAGCCAACAGCTTTACTCCCTTTCTTTTGAAGCATAAACTCCATTTTGGATGATGTGGTGGTGAGGTGTTCTGGTTCTTATGCAGCAAATCGACGGCATTAACATGTTTCAACTATACATTATCTGAGAAACTATCAGTTTTTAAAATTTTTTATTCATAAAATATCAAGGACTAACAATAGAAATTTATGGCAAGCCTACTATATAACAGTAAGAAGGAATACATTAAAAAAGAAACCAAAGCCACTCCTGTTAAAAAAAATAGATTAAAAAAGCAGTATATAATTTGTTTCCTAATTGTACAGTGTGGACTAAAATTTTGTAGATGTCCAGAAGACATCATGAGTAAATATTAATAGTTGTAAAGGCCAGGAGATTAAACTTGACATGCGGTTGGCTCCGGATGTGACCTTCGGACTCCCTGACTAGAAAGTCACTTGCTTTTTTCCAAATACTCCAAAACTAGAAAAACCTAGCTTGGAAAATTTGCTGAGCCAGGAAAAAAAAGAAGAAAAACTGATTATGCACTAAACTCTAAGAAGATCAGAGAGCACATTCTCAAGACAAACCTCAAAGGTGAGCAATCATCTGTTTCCAAGAAAACAGGACTTGCAAAGTCTACTCCGGCATTTTTGCCAAAGAATATCGAGTTTAAATAAAGGCAGGCATAAAATGAGCTTTAAAAGATTCACTGAAAATATATTCTTAAAAAAAATGTGCCGTGGCTAATGAAATGGTCACATTAATAAAAAGATCATTTCAAAGTCTATTTTACACTTTTCTTCTCCAAAGAAACTCAAAGTCATTTATGATATTACCCGAGAGCCCAAACTGTCAAATACTAGAGAAAGTAAAGGTATGAAGTGATGAAAATAAATACCTGAATCATAGTTCTCACACCCTGACGAATCACCTATGCTCTTAAAGTGCTCTTAAACTTGACTAAGCTTTTACGCAGAGTAAGTGAAAAGTAAGGGGAGGTTGGTGGGTTTAAAATGGGTTCTTACACAATACATAAACAGACGTTTTATGGGGGAAGAGGGAAAGGCAAAAGGAGTAGCAGCCCCGGCACTAAAGTTGAAAGTTCAAAGCTTTCCCTTGTTAAACTCTGAGAGGGTACAAGGAGCACACTGGATTCTCCTGGCTCAGAGAAAGGCGCTCAACTGTGAATACGGTTCTAAAGACAATGTATCTAGCTCTTTATCTTTATGCACACACACACACACACACACACACACACACAAACAGGCACATGTATACACATATGCACCTACACACACTCAATTTGCAATCTCCCTACTTGCCTACCAAAATCTCAAATACACATGCAGACACACACACATGCACATTAGGGACACACACATGCATGCACACACACCAGCACACTCTTGCACATGCCTGTGCACACACGTCACACATGAACACACCACAATGTATATCTCACACCCACACACAAACGCGTATGTACACAAGTGCACATCAATGTATGCCAATGCGTGTGCCATACTTGCATATGTACTTCCTGCAGACACACATGCACAGACTCTCATACACCCAACCCTCACACACTTATGTAGTGCACATAGGAAAACACACAACAAAACACAGAGATGCACACACATTGGGTAAGTATTCACTCACATATCACAAGGCAGACATGCAGACACTCATATACATCCATGCACACATGCACACAGGCACACATACAGATACACTTGCAGGCACAGGTGCACATATAATAATCAAACACTACAGATTAAATACGTCTCTACTAAAATGTTGGGAATTTTAAGTTATAAAGAAGGGAAATGAAAAAAGAAATCAGAAATCAATACCCGTGTTATTGGATAGAGTAAACATATCTTCAAGTCCCTGAGACCTTCCCTTGCAGAATGGAGATTGCCATTTTAATTCAAGAGAAGCCCAGCGTTAATGCCAAAGCAAGTTATAGTAGGTGTGTCTAACTCTAAAATGTCGGGCAGCACTGCTTAATCCTCTAAATACACAATTCAGTTCCCAGCTGAGTTGAGCAATTTAATCAAGGTCACTGAGAACGGTAAACAGCCGGAGCTTGACTAACATTTGAACATGAACCACAGGACCACTCCCCTAACTTCATTTCAATATTTCATTTTATAAACAAGATAGGGAAATGAATTTAAAATATAGATTTCTCCATTTAAAATTCTATTTAATTCATCATCATAGATTAGAAGTTTGACAGTGATGAGGTGCTTATAATTTATGTATGAATCTGTTGCATTTTAAGCGCATTCATACACATATGGAAGATGGAGATATGTGCATGTAATTGGTGTTCTCTGCATTGAAGACGTCCAGCTAGCAGCCAATATACTTTGTGGATGCCAAATCACGCTATTTTAAGTATGATTAACAACAACAAATTAGAAAGAAAAACATCTCCAAAGCTCCATCTTACATACATTTAAATAATTATTTTTGTGTGTGGAAAGACCAATATTCTGCAGGTGTGCGATATAAAGCATAATTCTTTACCACCCTCTTGTGGTGATTTTAAAGGACAACTTTCTGATCATTGAATCTCCCTCCACGTTTCTAGAGTAATATTGAGCCTCTACACTTCTTTTAAGGTGAATCATAAGAAATTGCAGATATTTGACAATTTTTGACCTACAGAATGGTGATTTCATATGATATTGCTGCAATTAATCATTGTCCATGTGCTCTGAAGCCAAGGAGAATTCATGTACCATTTACTTGGATTTTTTAAAATTGTCCTTTCATAAGAATTCCCTGTCTAGCTTTAAGAGTAAACAGAATTTCATCTTACCCTTCCTATCCACAGTTTTCTTGCTAGTTATCAACATGACCTAACTCGTTAGAGTCGGTTCCATCCCTGTGCTGTACACATGATGCCTTCTTTCCTAACTCTGCTCCTCACTTCACTGGGGTCCCTTCCTGCCTCATCCAATAGCTATGCAGTCTTCATTACCCAGATAGATGTAACTTTCTTGGATATATCCAGTGCACTTAGATCTGTGCCTTCTCTCTATTCCAATGGCTATAACCTGAATCTCATCAATTAATTGTCCTATACTGTCTTATTTACCAGCAGTCTTGTTTTTATCTCCTCACTTATACATTAATATATCAACTTCCCAACCATATGCTGTGAGAGGAATTTCTCTCTCTGTCTCTCTCTCTCTCTCTCTCTCTCTCTGTCTCTGGTGCAGGCAGAATAATGGTCTCCCAAAGATGTCCATAGCTAATCCCCAGAAACAGTGAATATGTTAGGTTGTATAGCAAAGGACAGTTAAATGTGCTACCCAGCTGACATTAAAATAGGAAGATTATCCTGGACTTTCAAGGTGGACCTAATGTCATCTCCTCAAAAGTGCAGGAGGAGACAGAAGCAAGAGAATTGGAAAGACGGCAGCCTCAAAAGTATTCAGCCAAACCTTGTTGGTTTTGATGATGGAGGAAGGGAGCCATGAGCCAAGGAATGTGGATGACCTCTAAAAGCTAGAAAAAGCCACAGAATGGTTTCTTCCTTACAGCCTCCAGAAGGACTGCAGCCCTACAGATACTTTCTTTTTAGCCTAGTAATCTATTTTGGACTCTGACCTCCAGAACTATAACATAAAATATGTATTACTTGACACTAAATTTGTGGTAATTTGTTGCAGCAGCAATAGAAAAAGCTCCATCTATTCATGGCTTTAGACAGGCTTTGGTAGGAGAGGTCTTGAAGTAGAGGGAAGAAGCATAGAGAGGAGACAACACAAAACCTAAGAGTCTCTGTCTTACACAGGCTGCCATTATCTTTAGAGTTAGAAAGACATGGCTTCTACTGACCCCACTACTCATTAAACTCTTGAACATGTGGCTCAGCCTCTCTAAGACTCAGCTCCTTCCCTCACAATGAAAGAAAGGAGGATTTATAAGGTATCATCCAACATAGGCTTATTAGGATTTTAGATACATAAACTTCTAACTGCTAAGCTTTACAGGCATCATTTAGCAAAATTTCTCTTTCTCTATCTAAACATATCCATTTTGTAGGAAATTCTCAAGCCTCAGAATAGATAACAAATGGAGTATGTAAGGGAGGAAAAATCTTTTCCCTTTACCCATCTGCAAGGGACTGAATGTTTGTGTTCCCCAAAAATTCATGTTGAAATTCGAATCCCAATGTAATGGTGTTTAGAAGTGTCACCTTTGGGAAGTAATTAGGTCATGAGAGTGGAACTGTCATAAATGGGACTAGTGCCCTTAGAAGAGGAGGCTGGAGAGCTAGCTTGCCCTTTTTACATTATGTGAGGATACAAGGAGATGTCAACTGTGCAAACTGGAAGAGGACTCTTACCAGATCCTAACTATGCTGGCACTCTGATCTAAGACTTTCAGCCTCCAGAATTGCGAGAAATAAATATTGAGTCTATGGTAATTTGTTATAAAAGCCCGAATAGAATAAGACACTATCTTATGTTCATTGTAAACTAAACTCACAAAAGATAGATTAATATGAGAAAAACAAAGAGTTTATTAATGTGTGCAGTGCACATCACTTGGGAGAAACCTCAGTGACAAGTGACTCAAAGGGGTGATTAAACTTGAGCATACCAGACTGGGCAGCATAGCAAGATCACATCTCTACAAAAAGTACAAAATTAGCTAGGTTTGGTGGAGTGCACCTGTAGTCCTAGCTACTTGGGAGGCTAAGGCTAGAGGATCCCTTGGGCCAGGAGTTGGAGGCTGCAGTAAACTATGATCACATCACTGCATTGCAGCCTGGGTGACAGAGCAAGATCTTATCTCAGGAAAAATAAAAAATAAAAAAAAAGAACTTGTGCATATATAGTACCTTAGCAAATAATAATAAATGTGTAGAAAAGTGGCAAGACATAAGACAAAAGACTGTTAGCCTTCCAAGGGCTATAACTTGTGGAGGGCTATATATAGAGGCTGAAACTAATAGAAGATACAATTTCTTTTAGTAAAGTTATGTAGGTTCCTCTGGTGCCATCTCTGGGCTGATAAGAGTCTAGCATTGTCTCAGGTGATTAAGAATTGTTCTAGTCTTCCTGGTAGAGAAAGGAAGGACAGAGAGTGTGTCCTGTGTCTGTTTTTCCCTCAGTTGCCTTTAGCTCAAAACAATTCTTATGCCAGAGTAGTCTATTTCAGGGTGGTATACTCTGAACCCCTCAAGTACCTCAACCTAGATTATTAGCTCAGAGAAGATATCACAGTTATGCAAAAGCCCATTGATGTTGGGAACATGTAAACTTTGCATGTATTAACAGGAGCAGCAGTGTACCTTTAGTTCATTAATCAACTCTGTCCCTGTTAGCTTCAACTAGCATTTATGCTCGAGGAGCACAGATTTTCGGCAAGGCTGTGATTGCCGGAAGAAGTCATTTCATTCTTCGAAGAACTTGGTGGAATTGAAAAGACTAGAGACTGGCTTTAGTGGTTGCCATCCTCCCATCCAGGATACTCTTAACACGTACTGGAATACTGCCATATCTTCTAAACATCAAAAAAGAAAAGAAAAAAGTTAAAAAAAAAAAAAAAGCCTTAGGAGTCTCGTTCAGCTCTGACATATAAAGAATTTGGACGTCATACTTGGCCTATGACAAGAAACAGTTGAACCAACTGAAAATCAGTAACTTTTCTTGGACTCATCGGGTGCATCCAGAGAGACATACCTGAGATCTACTTACCTGGAAGAGAACAAGCTGGTGCCATACACTGATAGGAACATTCATTTGGTAATTGTAATGAATTGCTGTGGGCTGTGTATGAATTACTGTGAGAGTGAGAAACTATTAGGAGCTGGATATTTAGGGGTAGGGGTCTCCCACACTTTTTTTTTTTTTTTTTTTTTTTTGAGACGGAGTCTGGCCCTGTCGCCCAGGCTGGAGTGCGGTGGCGCCATCTTGGCTCACTGCAAGCTCCGCCCCCCGGGTTCCCGCCATTCTCCTGCCTCAGCCTCCCGAGTAGCTGGGACTACAGGCGCCCGCCACCGCGCCCGGCTAATTTTTTGTGTTTTTAGTAGAGACGGGGTTTCACCGTCTTAGCCGGGATGGTCTCCATCTCCTGACCTCGTGATCCGCCCGCCTCGGCCTCCCAAGGGTCTCCCACACTTTAAAGGGCTTTATATTTAGGAACCCCACCAGGTTCTCACAGTAAACATCTGAAAAGATGTTTTTTCATGGCTCTGGCAGGTGGAAGAGAAGATTAATCATTGTGAAATAGCTCAGTCTTCTCCTTAATAAAGGCTGATACTCCAAAAGAAAGACTCTGCTAAGAGTTTATCACAGTAGAGGCATTCCTCCCACTGAAGCTCCCTTTAGCCTCCTGGTCTCACCTAAGAAGGGAAAACAAGTCAACAGCAATCAAGGTTTCAAGGAAATACACCGAGGATGCTGCAGCCAGGGAAGGGAATAGGGAGAAGTAGGGGGATAAAAGCTAGATCATGAAGGTCGTAGCCCCAGGATATAGACACTGAGATGTGAGTGGGGCATGGTGGTGGAAGTGCCTGTAATCCTAGCCTCTTGGGAGACCCAGAAGTTCTATCACATCACTGCACTCCAGCCTGGGTGTCAGAGCAAGACCCTATCTCTGACACAGGAGCTAAAAAGAAATTATTTAGGCAGATAGTGAAGGTAACAGAGTCCTCGGCAAGGTTTTCCTTTTAATAAAAAGCAGCCCCCAAGTAACTTCTTTTTTAACAAAAAGCAGCCTGCAAAATCAAGCTGCAAGCATAGATAAGCAAGTGGAAGCTTGCACAGATGAATGCCAGCAGCTGTGCCAATAGAAAAAGGACACCTGGAAATCAGGTATATTCAACATAGGGGTCCCTTTTCTTTGTCACCACATGTGCAGTAAAGAAATGGGCAGCATGGCGCAGGCCAGGTAGAAAACTTCATTTACATAATAAAAGATTAGGGTGGGATGACCAGCCTCTTTGCATGCTATGTAAATGACACATCTGGTCCAACCAATCCTCTGTGCCCTATGTAAATCAGACAGTGCCTCCTCAAGCTCATCTGTAAAAGCAGCTGCATCTTGTTGCAAGGCTAGAAACCCATTCCAGTCCCCTTCCTCTGCACGAGGAAGCTTTCTTTTTACTTTTGTCTATTAAACTTCCGTTCTTTTTTTTGTTTTTTTTGACAGAGTGTTGCTGAGTACAAACAGGGTTTCACCATCTTGGCCAGGCTGGTCTTGAACTCCTGACCTCGTTATCCAACCGCCTCGGCCTCCCAAAGTGCTGGGATTACAGGCGTGAGCCACAGCATCCAGCTTAAACTTCTGTTCTTAGGCGTACTCTTTATGTTTCTGCATCCTCGATTTCCTTGGCATGAGACAATGAACCTCCAGTATTTCCTCAGACAACAACACAGCTTCATCTCAAAAAAAACAAACAAACAAACAAAAAAAACACACACTAAGATTTAATTGGAGGATTTTAATCATGCAATATCTCTCCTACATCTTAACACCATACCATCAGGCTTCAACACAATGGCAGTGGATTACAACTGAAAAAGCTCTCTATTTGGAAAGAAGTACTTACTTAGGGAAGCGTAAAGTCAAGAGGGGAGACCAAAGGGAAAAATAAGATCATCAGCTGAATTTGAAGCCCCTGGCACCTACAGCTACAGCAAATATTAAACACAATCCTACCCCTAGAGAGATTAAAATAAATGTTCACAATGAAGACTTATTTATCTCAGTTCCTGTTACCTGATGCATGTGTAGATTTCTATAAAGCATTACAAGGCATGATAAAGGACGAGGAGAAACACAATCTGAAGAGACAAAGCTGCCATCAAAACAACACTTAGATATGATTCAGATGTTGGAATTATCTTTTTAAAATAAGTATGATTAACATTTTAAAGGCCCTAATGGAAATAGTAATGGGTAATGTCAGCAGAGAGATAGAAACTCTAAGAAACAAAAGAAAATGCTGGAAATAAAAAATCCTATATATGGATATGAAAAATGCCTTTGATGGGCTTATGGGTAGATTTGACACAGCCAAGGGAAGTTCAGTAGAAACTTCCCAAAGAGAAATACTGAAATACAAAGGAAAAATAGGGGCCCGGTGCAGTGGCTGACGCCTGTAATCCCAACACTTTGGAAGGCCGAGGTGGGCAGATCACTTGAGATCAGGAGTTCAAGACCAGCCTGGCCAACATGGTGAAACTCTGTTCCTACTAAAAATACAAAAATTAGCCAGGCGCAGTGGCTCACGCCTGTAATCTCAACACTTTGGGAGGCTGAGGCAGGCGGATCACCTGAGGTCAGGAGTTTGAGACCAGTCCGGCCAACATGGTGAAACCCTGTCTCTACTAAAAATACAAAACTTAGCCAGGCGTCGTGGTGGGCACCTGTAATCCCAGCTACTTGGGAAGCTGAGGCAGGGAGAATCACTTCAACCCCGGGGGTTGCAGTGAACTGAGATCACACCATTGGACTCCAGCCTGGGTGACAGAGAGCAACTCTGTCCCAGAAAAAAAAAAAAAAAATTAGACGAGTGTGGTGGCATTCACCTGTAATCCCAGCCACTTGGGAGGCTGAGGCAGCAGAATGGCTTGCACCCATGAGGTGAAGGTTGCAGTGAGTCGAGAATGCATCACTGCACCCCAGCCTGGGCGAGAGAATGAGACTCTGTCTCAAAAAATATATGTAAAGTAAAAATAAATAAATAAACCAAGAACATCTAAAATTATGGAGCAATTTCAACGTATAACATATGCAGAAATACTTAGAAGGGAGAACAGAACAGTAGAAATATTTTAAGCAAGAAACAAAAAGCCATAAAGTTTAGAATTCTGCATATATCACCAAGTAAAGCATTTACCAAGTTATTTCCCAAATTAACAGGTGACAGCATGGGCACCTGTATTGGTGTAGAAAAGCCTGTATTTCTGTGACCGATGAGTTCATTGTAGCAGAAGGTAAAAGAAAAGGAGCCTAGTAAGAGAATGGTAAGCAGAGGTGATTGTGAAGGCTCATTAATACCACTGTATCAATCCAAAATCTGTGATATAACTTTGCCTTAGAAAGACATAGTAATAATGGGTTTTAGAGTCAGATGAGATTGGAAAGCTATAGTCCATTAGCCCTTACTGCAAAATTCTAGGAAAGGGATAGTGAGAACCATGGCTGGGCAAAAGCTAAAGACTATTACCAGAGGTAGCATATGAAGTAAATCCTGTAACCAAGTAAAAAAAAGTAGTTAAAAAAACAGATTAATAAAAAGTGATTAAGTAAGAGATTCAAGTTGGGAAATCCCACTGACCAGCACCAATATGAAACTATTGTCCAACAAAGGAGTTGACATTTCTAATTTAGAGTTTTCAGAATTGCAAGCAGCAATAAGTAAGTCATAAAGAACTTTCTCTGGAAAGCCCCTACAATTTATAAATGCATAAGGAAGTGAATACTTAACCACTTATATGACCTTGAAAATCATGGGGAAGGCTGTCCATGTAGATAGCAGTGGATAATGCCGATAAGGCTGTTTTTAAAATTTCTGAGAGACTGCCATTAAAGCTTCATATCCTACAAATGCAGATGCTATGGGCATCTGATTTTGGCCTCACTGACTTCAACACTCTATCAGTTTTCTTTATGGATGAATTAGTTGAATAGCTGTGTGATTTATCCTGATTGATTGTCATCATGGCACATTTGCAGAGGGAATAGTCAATGAAATGCATTTTTAGCAATAGCTATTCTGGCTTCCGTCAATATACATGTGGTGTCAAGCCTTGACAGTTATATCTTGCATATTTTAAGGCACCATTTCTCTTAAGTATAGTATCTAAGAGTTTACTTGAGCAAAAATTCTAATACTTGCATCACATGGATGATGTGATATGAAAGCAAGATGATTACATGGCTAAATGGCCTTTCACTGCTTCTGCTATAATGAATTGTCAACAGCACTGGCACAGAGTTTACAAATTGATGACCACATAGGGGTAGATCCAACTCCCAGATGTGTTTGCTTAGATCATTCAATAGTTTATGACTTTTAAAATAAACCAACAAAATATTATTTTGGAAAAAAAAAGATTTCACATGAACTACCTCCCACCTCAATGTACGCACGCACACACACACACACACACACATACACATACACACACTTTATTTTCTTTAAAGATTAGAGAGCTTGACAATACTGTTCCTGCAATTCTGTGTCAACAATGGCCTAACTGCAGTCTCCGTTACTTCTCAAATGCATGCATGTACATTTAACCTCTTGGTTTCCTTTATTTAGATTATTTGCTTAGCCCATTATTATTAGTTAACCAAGGCTGCCATAACAAAATGCCACAGACTGGTATTCTCTCATAGTCCTGGAGGCTGGAAGTCCAAGATCTAGGTGTCAGCAGGCTGGTTTCTCCTGAGGCCTCTCCTTGGTTTGCTGCCTTCAAGCTGTGCCCTTGTATGGTCTTTTCTCTGTGCATGTGCCTTCCTGGTGTCTCTTCTTCTTATAAGGACACCAGTCCTATTGGATTAGGGTCCCACTCTTAAGACCTCGTTTAATCTTAATTACCTCTTTAATGGTCCTATCTCCAAATACAGTCATATTGGGGTTAAACTTTCAACATAATAAACATTCGTGGGTCACAATTCAGTCCATTCCATCCCTGTAAACATTTAGGTTTATGAATGCTTACATCAATTTGTAATTTTTTATGTTGGGAGGAGCCATTGAGCAGGACTCAACATAGGAGAGGCAGAAGGGGACTTGGATGTCATTAGCTTGTCTTCCTAACTGAAATAGCTCCTACATCATTGCTGCTGTCCAATCAACTTTTGCTTCAGCCTTTCCGAGATAGCTAAATGGTCTGGCTAATCACTGCCAACCAAGTCGTTTTCCATCAAATCACATTGTTTTGATTGATCAGCTAGCATTTGTGGAAAGATTTTGCCTGTCTTGTCATTCATTGCATCATGTAAAGTCTTGCTTATATAAATCCCTGGGAAGAGTTCCTTCCTGATAATGTTGATGGTAGTTGCCCTGCTGTTCTTTTGAGCAACTGGTCTCTTAAAAAAAAAAATCATTGGGACAATGTGTTTTGCATAAAAGCCCATATTTCCTATTTGGCTGGTCACCGTAAAGCAGAGATGTCTACTCTTTTGGCTTCCCTGGGCCACACTGGATAAAGAATTGTCTTGGGCCACACATAAAATACACTAACACTAGTGATAGCTGATGAGCTTTAAAAAAATCACCTAAAAATCTCATAATGTTTTAGGAATGTTTACAAACTTATGTTGGGCCACATTCAAAGTCGTGGGCCACAGGTTGGCCAAGCTTGCCGTAAAGCTTACAAACACAGGGGGAGGCTATGCCACTTAGAAACCAAGAAGGGCCTGCAGGCTGGCATAATGCCTCACAATTGTAATCCCAGCACTTTGGGAGGCTGAGGTGGAAGGATCGCTGCAGCCCAGCAGTTTGAGACTAGCCTGGGCAATATGGTGAAATCTCCTCTTTACAAAAAATAAACAAGATTAGCAGCGTGTGGTGGCACGTGCCTGTGGTTCCAGCTACTTCGGATGCTGAGGTGGGAGGATCACGTAAGTCCAAGAGGTTGAGGCTGCAGTTAGCCGGGATCATGCCACGGCACTCTAGCATCGACAACAGGATGAGACTCTGCCCCACCGTCCCCACTCCTGAAAAAAAGTGCCTGGAGTCAGAAAGTGTAAACTCAAAATCTTCCCCTGCACTCACTAAGTGTTTAGTTTTGGGCAAGTTACTTATTCTCTTAGAAGCCTGGTGTCCTCACCTGTAAATTGAAAAACACATTAAAGGTAAATGTTCTTTGTCCAGTTCTTGGCAAAGTTTTATGTGTTCAGGAATCACCCGGGGCCTTGTTAAAATGTAGATGAATCAACAGATTTGGGATGAGGCCAGAGTTTCTGCATTTCTCACAAATCCCAGGTGACGCTGATGCTGTTGTTCTGTGGACTGCACTTTGAGTGGCAGGGTCTTTGAGGATTAAATGAGATACAGGTGGAAAGCAGCTAGAACCCTGCTTCTCACATTATAAGAATCCAACATACCTTTCCTCCAAGGGTTAGTGTTATTCAGATGAAGCTTGTAGGTCAGTATAATCTGCCTTGTAGGAGGATTCATTGTAATATGATTGTGGTATTCCTTTGTGCATATCCTTGCACCCCCTTGAATTCATGCAGTTGCATCATACTTTATGTATTTTAGAAACCACCTGAAATCCTTTTTCATAAAAGAAGATTATATAAATTAAATACATTGATAAATAGACAATGAGAATGTACTTTTAAAAATGAATTTAAAATAATGTGATTCCAAAAAACTAAATCAGAGTACCCATTGTAATCACCACCACTCCCTAATCAGTAAGACACTTCCACATACTGCACCCTGGTGCACCTTATCATGCCTACTTTTCCATGACCCCGAACTTGCACACCATAATCCAGTTTTTCCTAACTTCTTTCAGGTCTTTCAAAAGTATTATATATGCGAGTGTCCTGGCCTTTGTTTTTGCTATTTTGTCTGATATTCTTTATCCTTCCCTCTGCTTCAGATCTCAGCTTAGATGCCACTTCCTTCAGGAAGTTGCCTGATCACCCTCTTAGATCTGAGTTTCCTGCCCCTTCAGGGGCTCTCATAGGACCTTTCTGTACTCTTATCTCGCTGCATTTCAAAATGTATCATAGCTCCTTATTTACTAATTGGTCCCTGTCACCTCCCATCCCCCCAATCTTTAAACTTCAGGAAGTCAAGAGCACTATGCTTATGTCCTGTTATATTCTTAATACTTAGAACAGTGCCTAATTGTTATTACAGTAAGCACCATAATGAAGACTCAATAAATATATGCTCCATTAATGATGAATGGATGAGTGGATAGATGGACGGATGAATAGATATAAAAGCAGATATCTCCATTGTTTGAGGATTTCATACAACATTTATTAGCAACAACTTGAATTAATTTTATTCAGCCTGAAATCCCTGAACATAACAATCATCTCAAAATCCATACACTTACTGGCAGTACCAGTCAACTTATCTTCTTTGCCCAGCTGTAAAGATGTTTAGGAATAATGGAATTCCTTTCTGGATTTTAGCATGTGGCAAACATCTCTCCCTGAGACCTGCTATGAAGGGGTTTCAGGCTGAATTTTATTTAACTTTCTCTGTGTCTAAGATAGTGTCTTCATCAGAGCTAGCAATCTAACATATGTAACAACTGTGCACAGAAAGAAACAGGCAAATACTGAGGAGTAGATTTTCATGAACTCACCATCCCTATAAGAAAAAAAAAACCTTAAAATTGTATTTGGGATTGATCATACCTCAATCTCATCATTTTCCTCATTCAAAAGAGAGAGAGCTCATGATCATGAGTAAGATAAAAATAATGAAATTGTTTTCAGCTTCTATAACATGATTGTATAATTCTCTGCTCAATTTAAAAAAATTCTTCCATTTTGGATCGGACAAACTGAGTGGTTATCAGAAACGATGTTATATTTTCAGTGAAGAATGATAGCCCCGAGCTTAATCAACCCTCTGAAAATATAATGTACATTCACAGAAATATTTTAAAAATATATCCTGAGGTTTTTATCTTGATTGGAAATATAGCATACTCGATTATATAGGACAGAAACCGTTCAGCATGTGCCTTGCGGGCCATTAAGTTCCCCAGGACTTGAGATAATGAAGATAAACAATTTAACCTTTGCTAGACTTGGGACCCTGGTTACCACAATGTCTCATTAGGAAGAGGCACACCAGGAAAAGCACAGAAAAATGCATTACCAAGCACCATGCCTCTAAGTGGTGCCCCAGATCCACTACTTTTACACTCTAATTTTGTTTTCTCATCTCATTCTAGCTATTTTCTATACCCAGACCACAGTGCTTTTGTGAAAGATTTTTGTCATTAAATTCTCAAGCTTACGTTTTGAGAGTTAAAAATCACCTACATGTTGACCCAATAGCTTGCAATGTATTTTATAAATTGAAATCCTTTAGGGACAAACGTTGGGATGCTCCCTAGCATGTAGAAAAGTTTCTGACATTTGATTTCCAATTATTGAGAACTCAATTTGCAATTATTGAGGAATGGGCATGGGGGTAAGGAAAAATGTGTTAGACTATTTGTGATTAACAAAATCTATGACAAAAAAAAAAGTAGCAATCTTATCTTGGTTATTAGAACCTGATAACAATATCTTAGTTTCTTATGTAATAATATAAGGTAGTGGAATTAATAATGACTTATTCTGCTTCTCCTGAATGGATCTCAGGAGGAAATAAGCCAATGGCAATCTTGCTTCTGATCCCCACCATTGAGGAGATAGATGGTCCATTGAGGAGCAGACTTGTTTCTCTTGATAGGAGTAAGAGGAACACTATAAGGCACAGCTAAAGATGGAGGAAAACATGCATGCTATTTGGAAAAGCCACTTTGGCTCTTGAGAGCTTGTGAAGACTCAAACAAAGTGAAGTCACAGTGTTACGCGTTTCAAGATGGACTTGACCTTTCACCCTTCCCAAGAGAGAAAGATTGTCTGGCCTAGGAATACAAGTGGATAACAACTTCACAGAGGTGAATCATTATGTCACTTCCTTATTTCCCAATGGATGTAGTAAATAAGGCACCTTTTTAAAATAAAAGACCCAGGGTTGAGTGTCTTATTCGATCAAGTCACATGAGGAGACATGTGAAGATTGGAATAAGTTACATTTTTGTGATTCTAAATCCATTGGTTCAATCGTGGAACGTGAAGAATCTTTTACTGTGTTATCAAGATAGCTCAAGAAGTTGAGCTTGTGAGGACCAAACAATAACAGGTACAATATAATCTGGATATATTTAAAATCTCCGACAGATAGTTCCTAAGAAGGCTGAGAAGTAAGGAGTACCATCAAGGCAATAATAAAATGAGGTTGTTGGGTTGTTTTTAACATATTAAAATAAAACAGAATTCCCTCTTTCCCTTTTATAGAGAGCCGTGTTATGACTTCGACGGGCACAGGTACTTTTATCCTCCTGGTCCCCTTCCTCCAAAAAAGGTTTAAAGTTATATTTTATGAATACATTGTCTTAAAGGTGAATATATTAATATTATGTATTATTTTCTTTGGCCTAAAAGTTCATTTATTTTCTCTGATTAAAAATAAAACACTTTTTTAGGCCCTTAACAGTACCGTGGGCCTTAAGTACTGTGCCTCGTGTATGTGCTAGAAAAGTCAGCCTGCTATTATCTAGTTGTATCCAGAAACTGTGCATCTTCTTTCAATTCAAAATACAGATTCTCATGCCTAGGAGTCACATCTTAGGGAACTAACACGCTAGAAACTGAGATATACCCAGCAAAACATTAAATATAACTTCAAATGATTTTTACCCTCAAATACATTATATCAAGTTTATTTGATTAGCAAATATGTCTGCTACTCAAAGTAGATTCGTTGGTTCCCTTTGAACAATGCTAGCTTTCATCAAGTGTCCTGTGAAGGAAGCTCCAACTCTTGAAGATCCAGATCTTCCACATTCTTACTACCTACTGTGTGCCCATGATTCCTCTCTGCACCACAGCCCTCCTTCATGAAATCAGTGGGTTAGATAAACACAACCACAAGAACATAAGCTCCAAAAGCAGATATTTTTTTTTCTTTTTTGGTTTGTTTTGTTCATTTTTTTCACTGATGAATCTCAAATACCCAGAACTTTGCCTGACACATAGTGAATGCTCAATATGTACTGAATGAACAAAGTTCAGTTGATTTTACTTCCTTTAAATGTCTTTCTACAGCCCATTTTCCATCTCTACTAGTTTTTGTCACCATTGTCTCTTTCCTTCATTGATCCATCTGCCTCTTCTCTGCTCTTGCTAGTATTTCTCCTATGTGCTTTTCTGAGTCTTACTCATAATGCTCAGTTTTGATGATGTAGTCATCGCCATCTTGTTTTAAAGTCTTTTGATGGTTCCTCATCTTCCTTAGAAGCAAACAAACAAAATCCGAACTATTTAAGTATACGGTATTAAAATCTCTTCATGTACCAACACCAGACTATATCTTCTCTTGTCCCAAGTAGGCTACTGAATTCTTTGATAGAATTGAGAATCTGCTCATCTCTTTAGCCTCCAGTTCTCTGCACATGTCATTCTTCTGCATGGATAATCCTTTCTCAAACCTTTCATAAATTCACTTCCCTTGACCCCACACCTAACCTGACTAAGTCCAACCTTCTCTTCCCTTTAGGAATCCTAGGCATTCTCCCCTGTTCTCGTATATCACCTGCAACTTCCTTTTATGATAGCACTTATTTGACTTTATTGTGACTAGGTGTTTGGGTATCTGTTTCTCCCACTACATTGTAAGTTTCTCCAGGGAACAGTCCCACTGTGCAATATTTTATCCCCAGAACCTGGCACAGTATCTAGAGCTTGTAAGAAATGTAATAAACGAGAATGGAGGACTGAATTAATTAATTAGGCTTTGTTACATTTAAAGCAAAATTGATGTACTTCAGGGTTTAACAGATTAAAGTTATGTGTACCACTTCGTGTATTTGTTTATTTACAGTACTTTCAAAGTAATTGGAAATACTTCTATTCTTTATTTTTTATTTATGCATTTATTTTTGGGGAACAGAGTCTCACTCTGTCACCCAGGCTGGAGTGCAGTGGTGCGACCTTGGCTCACTGCAACTTTGTCTCCTGGGTTCGAGCACTTCTCCTGCCTCAGCCTCCCAAGTAGCTGGGACTACAGGCACGTGCCACCATGCCCAGCTAATTTATGTATTTTTAGTAGAGATGAGGTTTCACCATGTCATCCAGGCTGGTCTCTAACTCCTGACCTCAGGTGATCCATCTGTCCTGTCCTCCCAAAGTGCTGGGATTACAGGCATCAGCCACCATTCCTGGCCTCTCTATTCTTAATAGGAAATAATAAGGATGATTCAAGTTAAGATTGTTGAATTCAGATATTATTTTTAGAAGTCTATGTACATTCAATATTGGGGGCATTTTGGAAAATAAATATTTTTATATACTACTCATAAAAATTAAGGTTGATAAGTCCTGTTTGGGAAGATATTTGGCATATCTTGTAAAACTAAAATTCACAGATCCTGTAACCCATTAATCTTACTTTTAGGTGTATACTCTAGTAAAACACAAGTTCACAAGGAGACACACGTAAATGTGCTCATTTGGGTAACAGTAGAAATTAGAAATGGCATGAATGAACACCAATAGGGAAATGACTAAACAAAATTAGGTATAATCACACAATGGAATGATTCATAAAGCAATTAACATTTGTAAGCAGATACATCTTAAAAACATAATGATAACTGCAAAATAGCAAATTGCAAGATAATAAATACCCTATGCAATCATTTCTGTAAATAGAAACCTCACCAATAAAAACAATATGTATTGTTTATACAAATGCATATATGTTTGAAAAACATGAAAATTTGGATGAAATTATATTAAATTAGCCCTTGACAGACATTGCCTCTGGGCAGGAGTGTAAGTGATGAGACTTAGGGAGTAGTCAAAGAGATTTTAATTTTATTTACAGCATTTTCATTTCTTCATTTTTGTAAATGCCAGTGATGAAATGGGCATTAGTTGTACAGATTATACACTTATCTATGTATTTTATAGTTCCTGCAAAAAGAGAAGGTGATGGACACCCAACCATGCTCTAAGTTTTGGAGTTGAAGCCAGCAGTGGGGTGCCGGGGGTGGGAGGGTGGTGGTGAGGAGAAAGATATGCCACCAAGTAGTGCAAAGGTACAGCATCAAACCCTACCTGTAGGGGTGAAAGATGTCAAGGCAGAGAGATTTGCATGCCCCACAAGTTACCTTTAGAGGATGCCATGACACTCTCGAGGGAGTTGAAAGAGGCTCATGAGTACTGCAAAACTAATGGTCTAGGATAAAGAAATAAAATGATTGCTGTGAAAAGAAAGGAACAAAACTGGCAAAATGATGTTTGCTGTTGCTGAAGCTAGAGAGTGAAAGGCAAACAAGCTGCGTCCTAGGTCTGCTTCCTACAGATAAGATTTCTCTGAATGTAAGGGTCAGTGCTCTGAATATTCAAACATCAGTCAGTAGTCTTAAACTATAAAACAAAAAGCATCCATAAACACATGACCCACAGGATGGCTTTGTGCCATCATTACTGACAGGTTTCTTAAAAGGAGATTAAAAGACACTGTACTCAGTTTTCCTATAGACAAATGAAAGTGACAAGGATGAGAAACATGCAGTGTGTAGTGTAGATAAAGGAAAAGAAGATTTTCCAACAAATACATATTCTGCTGACAGAATGAAAAAGAAGCAAAAGAGAAAGAAGTACGGTTATGAATGTTGAGGATCACAGTAATTAAAATGGACTTTGGGAATGAGTGTTGTGCTGTTATCAAAGAGAGTATAGTTTTAAAGAGAAAGGCCCATGATCCAGAGTGCTGAATGGCTGGGTGATTTTTAAACTGGAGCCTTCTAAGTCTGTTAATTTATTTACTGGCTATGATAAAATCCAGAAAAGTATCAATCGCTATAGCATTCAGTTGTATTTATACAGAAGGTCAAATATTACAAGCCTGCTGTTCAAGAAAATAAACATGTGGATAAGCAGAAGGCATAATTATTAAAAGCAACGAAGCTAGGTTTAATTCTAGCACTGCCTCTGGTTGGCCCTTTCAGTTTGGGTAAGCTGCCCAGTGAATCTGTTTCTCAGTCTCCTGTCCTGGAAATAAGAAAATCAAAACAAATGCACCATTAAATCCCTTTCTGTCTAATATTTTGGAAATTTATTCAATCTTTCTGATATGCTGTGGAAATAAGAAGAAAAAGGTGTTTTGTGGAAGAAAATACATTATTTTAGTGAATGATAGCAGATACATGTTATTGTATTTTACTTTTTTTGTGTTTTGAAAGAAAGTCTTGGTCTGTCATCCAGACTGGAGTGCAGTGGCACAATCATAGCTCACTGCAGCCTCAAACTCCAGGGCTCAAGGGGCCCTGCTGCCTCAGTCTCCCAAATAGCTGGAACTACAGACACCTGCCACCAGACCTGGCTAATTATTATTATTAATAATTATTATTTTGTAGAGGTGGAGTTTGTTGCCCAAGCTGGTCTCAAACTCCTACCCTCAAGCAATCTTCCCACCTCAGCTTCCCAAAGTGGTTACTGCACTTTATAAATTTCTTAAGTAATATATGCTTTCCAAATCATGTATGCAGGACTCATAGGTATTAGAAAATTACTGGATTGCAAAATTGAATATGGAAACCTACTGTCTGGCATTTTACTTTCCTTTCTTTGATATGCTAGAAGAATAGCTACAAATATTTCCTTTTAATTTCTAACATGATTTGAAGATTGGGCTCTCCTTTCCCGCAAATAAATAAAAATTAATTTTGGAATTAGTGATGATTTTGGTGTGCCATTTAGATAGGTATCAAGGTTTATTTTGAAATAACAAAAGAAGGAAAGAGCTTGAATTGTACACCTATCTCCTATGCACATTCCATTGGCCCAAATTTGGTCACATGGACACATCTAACTGTAAGGGAGGCTGGAAAATGTAGTCTTCAGTGGGCAGCAATGTACCCAAGTATAACTGGAAGTATTTTCTTACTAAAAGAAAAAAAAAGTGGATACTGCTTGGTAAGGCAGTTCCTAAAGAAGGGAGTAAGTCTAGCACCCTGAAAGAGCTGAGTAGGAAATCTGACAGAGCGAAAAAAGGAAACGTTTTAAGTGTGCAACTGCCATGGGAGTGCTAAGCCATACTGAAGAACACCCAGTTTTCACTGCACAAGCACCTCCTGTCCCTTGTTTCCAAGGTATAGGTTGTTAAAAGAAAAACTGTAGCCAAATTAAATTTAAAAGAGTTTAATTGAGCAAAGAGTGAATCAGGCAGTCTCTCTGAGCCACAATGGGCTCAGAGACTCCAGTGCAGCCACCTGGTAGAAGAAGATTTATGGACAGGAAAAAAAAGAAAGTGACATATGGAAAATGGAAGTGAGGTACAGAAGCAGCCGGACTGGTGACGCTCAGTGTTTGCCTTATTTGAACATGGTTTGAATAGTTTGCCACCTTTGATTGGCCAATCAAAGTTTTCTCAGGGATTGGCACAAGAGTAGACTATAGTCTGTTTACAACTCCATTTAGGTTATAGTACATGATGTATGGAAAAACCTTTAGGATGAACTTAAAATATGTAAGGAGGCAGCTTTTGGCTATACTTGATTTAACACTATCAATTTTACTCAAGGGGTCTGGTGAAAATTTTGCTTCATCAGCATTCAGGAACCCTCTCACTGGCAACAGAAACGCCATTCTATACCACAAGTCTATTCTTGGGCTCTGATAAACTCTGTATGGCCGGACACTGGAAAACACAGGAGAATAGGTGTGGAGCTCTGGACAGCTAGGGTAGTGATCCACTTGAAGAAGCCAAAGACTCCACCATAAATTGGAATAAAAATTAATAATATATTTGCTACTAATATTTGTATAGACATGTCTTAATATGAAAAAAGCAATGTACACATATAATTTAAATGTAATATAAAGCCTATATAGGGCAGACCAAATATTATCATAAATAGAGCAGGACCATAGTTTGAAACATCACCATTAAGTAGAAAATTTTGTTAGTAGGTGCCAAGGTGATAGATATTAATTATAGGTAAGAAAATTAATTTTCTTTTAAATGTTTTATTTGTTAATTACTTTCATAAAAATTGTACAATCCCAAGTGTAGATTTGCTCACTTTGGCATGAGAAGAAACTTCTGTGGATGTGTGTGTTGAATGAGAAATGTGTTTCTTTAGCTCAAACGTTTTGTTCCATTTTTAGCAACAAGAAATAATTTCTCCTGACCGATTATACCTGAGATAAAATGGAATTGTTATGAGGAAAACTTTTCCATAGCTGTATATATACCTAAAACATATTTATCAGTGAAAAGGCTGCTTTAAAAATATTATACACGGTATTTTCATTTTCATTAATTGCTTTAGTGTGGAAGTAATTCACTAGGAAGCATATGAGATGTTCTCTCTCCCAAGACTCTTTTAATTTTATGGAAAGCCACATACAGTGTTTTACAAAAATTATATTTTTTTAAATTTAGGAGAGAAAAAAAGGTTTTTTCATGTCTGTTTTACCACTTGACAGTATTTTGACTGCCTAGAAGCTTTGAATATCCTGTGTATGTTGGCTAATTTTCCAGCTTATAAGCCTGATCCTTCCCAAGGTAGAAGCCAGAAATTAAGTTCTCAACCTCTCTTAGAGTTGGGATAGAGGCACGTGACTTACATGTTACCAATTAAGTATATACATGCCAGTTTTTGACTATAAAACTACAAATTGAAGAAACAGATACCATGCCCGCTCCACTTCTGTTCTGGTGGTTTCACATCTATCCAGTTTCTGAAGACCTCACCAGCAAAAATTTTAGTGTTATTCGCCAAAATCCAGTGTGTTGTCTGTTGCCAAGGGTTACTGAAGCAGTTATGAAGTCTGATTTTGATTTTCTTCTTTGATTCATAGGCTGGTTTTCTGTCTGATCTTCAAGATTGCTTGAGAGAGAAGAATGGGAATTTCATTGAGTATATAATTATTTATTTTATACATCTTACTTTTTTTTACTGTATTCAGAGTAAACATATTCCCATTCACTAAATCACTTATGAATATATAATTTTAAATAACTGCACAGTATTTCCCATTTTACCTTTCAAATCTGTGTTTCATCTTTTTCACACTGCTTTCTTTCTGGAGCTAATCTGTGTATATGAAATAAAACAGCTCCTTAGATCTCTGGTTTCAGGTGGGTTTGGACAATGGGGAACTAGGGTAAAATAGCAGAGAAAGGAGGAGGCCTGAAGTCAGGCATTTGTATTCACCTTGTTCCTTCTTACTGGATTAACTCTGATTGGCTGCTGCTCTCAAGGAGAGTCACTTTTCATCCAGATTTTGTTAATTACTCCTTATCCATTCCAGCCCGGACATTGCATTCCTTATGATTTCTTGTCACACACTTAGATCCTCTTCAAATAGCTTAAATTTGTGACAATTATGTCTTTTCTTTAGGGTCTCTGACTGGAGCAATATTCCATTGTAGAAATATATCATAATGTATGTCACTATTTTCCTAGTGCTTTACATTTAGGATTCTCTTGATTATTTTAAATCTAAACATTGCTATAATTAGATACTAATATATAATTCTGATGGTTGTCTCTACTTATTTCTTAATTATATTTTCTAATTGCTGCTACGCAGAGACTCTGACTTTTTTTTAGTATGGATCTCTTACATTCACCTACATTGCTAAAATCTAATTTGCTGTAATAGTTTAGCTGTAGAATTTCCTGAATTTTTATGGAGACAATCCTATCAGCTGTAATTAAAATTTTGCATCTTTCTTTCTAATATATCTACTTTCCATTTATGTTTCATATCTTATTGCATTGTCTGGGAAATTTAGTAACATGTTGATTATACTGTTTTATTTTAAGTTAAATTGTACATCTTTATGGGGCACAGGTGCTATTTTGATAAACATACAATGCATAATGATCAAATCAGGGTATTTAGGATATCTATAAGCTCAAACATTCACCATTTCTTTGTGTTGGGTACATTTCAAATCTTCTCTTCTAGCGATTTTGAAATATACAACGTATTATTGTTAATTGTAGCCACCTTGCTTATTCCTTAGATCTAACTGTATTTTGTATCAATTAACCAATGTCTCTATACCTCCCCTACTCCAAGCTGTTTTAATGGGCATATTTTCTTCCTGATTTCAAAGAGACTGATTCTTAATTTTACCACTAAATATAAGCCATTGCTTTAGCATACATTTCTAGATGTTGAATTATTCAAACGGTATAAATATTTTAAAGCTTTTTGGAATATATTATGAAATTTCTCTGCAGAAAATTACAACATTTTATACCATCATCAATAGTTCCTGACAGTGCCTTGACTCACATAACCTTGCCAGCATTAGCTGTGAATTAGATGTATTGTGTTATTTGTAACTAGATTACCTTTCTCTGCTTCACGGCCACACTTGAACCCTAATTTACCACAAGAAAAACAATAACAAAAAGTAGGAATAAGATTCTGCTGAGAATTGATCGAGACTATTGCCCTTGTTGTTAGCTGACAGCATATCCCATGTGCTTTATTTATTTATTTATTTATTTATTTATTTATTTATTAATGTTTGAGACAGCGTCTCTCTCTGTTGCCCAGGCTGGAGTGCAGTGGTGCTGTCATAGCTCACTGCAGCCTCATCTCCCAGGCTCAGGCGATCCTCCTGCCTCAGCCTCCCAAAGTGCTGAGATTACAGGTGTAAGGGACTGCGCCTGGCCTCTATTTACTTTAAAATAAAGACAAATATTTTTATTTTCTAAATTTATGAAATCAGATTTTATACGTTAAAATATTTCTAAAGCATTTTAATCATTGGGAACATTTTTTTTCTTTCACATAAAGGCCCTTAAAATTTAGAAACCACCCCTAAGCTTAGGGGTATTGTTTTTCTCTAACATAAACACTAGATACTTTAAGAAAATAAAATGAGAAAACCAATTTCACTCTACCTAATACACACAGTTTTCTAAAGTGAGATGTTTGTCCCCTAGCTACATAAATGTAAGTCATAAAAAATATTAAATGTTGACAGTTTTACTCCACCTGAAATTTACATTAGGTAATCCCTGGGCTATAGAAGGTATAATGTCTATGACAGAACACATTAAAAACATACATATAAAACATATACCTGCCTTTTGTCTCAGAAGGCTGCATGACTTTTATCTCATCCCATAAATAATGGAGGCATCAGCACATTTTATCTGCACACAATAACAAATCCCATCCTCTTGGTAATTGTAAAAACACTGAAGCCTCTTATTGACCTTGTGCAAAATACAGTCATGGGATAGAAAGACAAAGAAACTTTTTGTCTGTCTATATCTTCAATTCAAAGTGCCTGAAAATGTGCTCAATAAATATTAATTGACAAGGCAAGACATTGGGCCATAGATAGTATTCATTGTTCTAGCAAAGATAATTATCCAAACAGCCAAGTGTCATTTCTTTTTTCAAAATTCTAGCGTGTCTCATTATTTACTCAAAGTAATTGCCCAAATCCTTGCTAGGAAGGAACTCCAAGGTCTGACTCCACGCCCACCCTCAACCTTTCCCTGACCTTATCTCCATCTTCTATATCCCTCAGTCTCTTCAGTCCAGTCACAATGGCCTGCCTATTGTACTCAAAAGCCCACATCAGCTTGTTCTTTATGGTTTTCTTTTCCTATTAACTCTTCCTGAAAGTTCTTCCCACCTTATTTCCTCCTACAAGTCTTCACTCAAATCTCATCTTATCAACGAGTCCTATGAAAAGCACTGTATTTAATTTTCCAACCAGCTGCCACCTGACACTTCAATTCCTTTTCCCTTGTTTTACTTCAATTTTTTCTGCAGCACTTACCACTTTTTAACATGTTGTTTACTCAATAATTATATTTATTTGTTATTTTCTCATTATAATTACAAGTTCAATGAAAGCAGAAACCTTGTCATTCTTGATTGCTGCTATATCCGAAACAGCTACAACAAGCTATATAGTCAATAGTTTCTGAAAGAATGAATGAATAAATAATAATGATAAATAACAATGGTTAATGCTATCTGAGAGCATCTATTTGCCAAGAACATTAAGTGTTAAACTACCTACTAGTATGATCACATTTTTTTCATTTAAGCCTCATAACAATTGTTTAAGGGAATAGGAATTTATAGTAAGTAACAGGCTACAGGTTTCCTAACCATAACTGGTCATCTAACCCAAGTCTCCAGACTCTTGCTTCATATTGCTATGGCTGAAACATAGAGAAAAACATGTCTACTCTGATTATAGTTAAGACATACCAGCATCCAACAATGAAGTCATAGCACATGGAATGTATTCACTGCAGAAAAAAAAATTTTTTGTGAAGCATGTTGGAATTTGATCAAAAATCTAAATTTTGATTCAAGATTGAAATTAATATGCTACAGCAATACTTCTAAGAAAACAAAAAAAATCTTCCTAAATTATTTGTTGTTCTATTAGGGGCAAATTATGATTGGATTTATAAACTAAACAATTGTTCAAAGACATATGTAACTAATTTATATGAACTCTTTTACACTCAAGTTGTACAATTTTTTGTAATACCTCTATTATACTAAATTACACTTTAATTCAAAAATATTTCAATGATTAAATATTTTGAAGTTTCATTTTGGATACCTAT
The DNA here is from genome assembly GCF_000001405.40 of Homo sapiens. Classification (NCBI taxonomy): domain Eukaryota; kingdom Metazoa; phylum Chordata; class Mammalia; order Primates; family Hominidae; genus Homo; species Homo sapiens. Next base: position 20,229 of record NC_000003.12, on the reverse strand, counting down.
ATAGCTTTTCTGTCATATTACTAATATATTATAACCTTCTTTTTGCATTGCTGAAATCAGATGTCAGAGGTCACTTAAGAAGGCTTTAAACATGCCAACCACATGCATTAGATTCCAGTAAGCTTAGAATCCCTATATTTCTTCAACTGCCTAATTATAATCAAGTATTTTCAAATGCAATCTTATTTTGAACACACCTGAAGATGAAATTGTAGCAAGTAAGAAAAATTCTCCAACTTATCAAAATCTCTACCTATAAAATTTTCTCTGTAAAAGCAAATGAAAACAACTAGGAAAATGTATATTTTAATTCAGCGAAACTGTAGCTATGACAAAATGGAAAATGGCTCCCCTATGAAAGGCAGTCTCTTTGTTAAAGTGCTGACACGCCAAAGATAAGTTACTTATTGTTTTTTTACATTAAAAATAAAATAATTATTTCAAGGAATTAAAAACAAGGTAAAGAGTTAGGCTGCATTACATAAAACCAATGAAGACAAAGATAGTTTACAAAACCATGTGTGTTCTATGGTATTCATTAAAGCAAAAGCACTAGGTTTCCTGTTTTGATAACTCAGGACATTTATTATTGCAGTTTGGAAGGCTACTCCTTCATAAGAACACTTTGGGGAGACTGCTAACAGGACCACTTTTCTTCATGTATCTTTTTTCTCATTTTAAAACACTGTGGTAAAATATACATAGTATAAAATTTTTAATGGTACAGTTCAGTTAAGTATATTCACATTGTTGTACAACCAGCTTTTTTTTTCCTTTACACCTACAAATAAAACATTATCATTCTACCTGCTTTATCAAATCTTGTTCATCCAAGTCACACATTAAGGAACAGTTAGGGTTGGGAAGAAATTTCTTAGGAAATTCCAGGACCTCCTAATTTATATTTCCCAAGTGAAGTGCATAATACAAGACCATTGAAAGGCCTGGGAATTCAGACCCCTTTGCCTGTTTCTAATAATAGCTGTCATTTTGTTTTGTTTTGTTTTGGCTTGTTTCTGTAAATTTATGTCTACCTCATGACCATATCCCAAAGTACGTTCCTTGGAGCATCAGTTCTTGGGGTGTCCATAGGTGTTACCCAGAAAAGGAGTATGTGATCAAACAAATTTAGACCCACTCGATTAAACGTGTGTCCTTTCTGCAGAGTTTCTTAGAACTTCTCATACACTGGTGGGCATTGTGGCTGTCTAAGTCAGACGGGTGGCCTGCAGGTTTCACAAAGATCTTGGACCACTGAATTCTGTTATTGCTTGAGAATATTTTAAAACTGTTTTGCAAAGGAGTACACCTTGGAAAACATGAGATAACAGTTCTATACCTCTGTCATTTTCATTATTAAAGTATTTTTTGGCATGAAAAACTTCTTTTTAAAGAAAACATGTGGTTTGATGTTTCATCATCTTGGAACCTTCTGTCACTTTCCACATCCACCACCTTGTGCTAAACTGTCCACCTGTTCACTGCAAAACTCCTCACCTTTTTGCCATTTGTTCACTCTGCCCAGTATTTTTACTTTCAAAGTTTTACCTCCTTTCACAAGAGGTTATGTCAGGAAATATACAATCGAAGTGAGAAGGAGAAAGAAATTCATTACATAAGTCTTAAAGGAAAAAACAGAAAATCCAAAGCATATTGAAAGAAAGCCTTGCAAGAGAGGAGGCTCAAGAGCTTTATGTCATAGCAGGACACCAAGAAAGTTCTAAGAAGGCCATATCAGAATGCCCTCTGCCGACTTTCAACCCCAGGATCAACACTTCACATGCATTAGCAGAGAGAGATAAATCAATGCTTTTCATGTTTGGTGCTGTATCTGTTTTGTCCCCTACCCCAACCCCAATCCACCACTGCTTTGAAGAACAGGTTGACCTCTCCAGATTCTGGGAGGAGATCCGTGTATTCGGTCTGCTCTGACTGTGGATGAGGACAGGTCCCAGACTCCAGACAGTCCCTACTAGTTAGAGCAGAGCACAGCAGCTACCCAGCATGGCCTACTTAAAATTGCTTGTCTCCGTATTAAATTTTGGTCTCCCGCGAAATCAATATTGAGGCACCAACATTTAATAAAAAGGTTCCGGGCATTTTTAGCAATATTTATTTACAGTTTATGCTCTGATAGGCAACGAACCAACTCCATCAGCATTGGGAAGGCTTTCATTTTTTGAAAAAAAAAGATGGTTAAACACTTCATTTTCTTCTAACAGATTCATCCACGTGAGCTCTACTCATCATAATATGCTCCAAGAACAGACTGAAACTGCAGGAGATGCAATGCCAATTTTCTCAGTGCCAATTATTGATTCTAAGAGATCCAACAGCACTTCTTGTGGCAGGGAGCCCTGGGTCACCAGAATGCCCAGGTGTCTTTGTACGTCAGGCTTTTGTGATTTGAGACTTGATGGTGGCTCTGCGCCACGTCAAGCACAAAGGCTTGTCCAGTGCTCTCAGCGTGTTCATCTATCCCTGTGCCTTCAGTGGAATGTCATCTATGACATTAATATTCCTTTGCCTCCTAGCTAACATTCACGTGGAGTCATGATTTCTTTGCCTACTCCTAATTTTTCTGGACTTACAATGTCCTGAAAAGCCAGGTAAATGGCTCTCCCTGCTTTGTTCATTAGATACAGAGTGATGTTACTTTCACTAAATACAATTTTTCTGAGGCAATATTCTCATTGAGTCCCAATCTGCTCTTCTCACACAAACGATACTCCATCAGGAGAAGCTGCATGCAGAGTAAAAGGGTAAATCAGTCATCATCTATATGACTTAAGCTACAATAACCTACATACAACCTCAAATTTAAGAAGGATATTTTGCCTTTTGTTAATAGAATGCCTGGAATGCAGTGGTGTGATCTCAGCTCACAGCAACCTCTACCTCCTGGTCTCAAGTGATCCTCCCACCTCAACCTCCAACGTAGCTGGCACTACAGGTGGGCACCACCATACCCGGCTATTTTTTTTTTTTAATTTTTTGTGGAGACAGAGTTTCACTATGTCGCCTAGGCTGGTCTTGAATTCCTGGACTCAAGCGATCCTCCCACCTAGGCCTCCAAAAAATGCTGGGATTACAAGCATGAGCTACTGTGCCCAGCCTGTAAAAAAAATTTTTTTAATAATATTGACAAAAGAAATGTCCGTTAGTGAGAACCCATGTATGTCAGTGTTAAAAATTCAAGTCAGAATTGCTTAAATGAAAGGAATACCTTACCTTACTTATAACTAAAAATTCAAGGGTTGGAAATTTAAAAAAACTGAGTTTTTAAAGTTTTAATTATGTCTCTCTTTTCTTTTCAATTTCTTCATCTTTGCATGCACCTTCTTTATTTGTTCATTTGTTTTTAGAGACAAGGCCTCACTCTGTTGCCCAAACTGGAGTGCAGTGGCAAGATCACAGTTCACTGCAGCTTCAAACTCTTGGGCTCAAGCAATCCTCCTGTGTGAGCCTCCCAAGTAACTGGGACTACAGATGTGAGCCACCAAATCCAACTCACTTTTTTTGTTTGTTTGTTTGTTTTTTGTAGACATGAGGTTTTGCTATGTTTGCCAGGCTGGTCTCAGTCAAACTCCTAGACTCAAGTGGTCCTCCTGTCTTGGCCTTCCAAAGTTCTAAAATTACTGGTATGAGTCATTACGTCTGGCTTCACCTTCTATGTTATTCTTTTGCATTGTGAAACTGTTGAGCCATATAGGTGCAGTCATAGAAACTATTCTTCCCCAGTTGAAATTATCCCAGTTGAAAGGCTAGAAAGAAAACATCTCTCCCCATGTAGCCATCTCTGAAGTCTCTGAAAAGCATTGTGATTGTCTATTTTGTTCTGCATCTGTTTCGGAGCCAATCACTATGGCTATATAAGGAAGAGAGAGTAATTAACTATCCTATCAAAGTATTTGGACTGAAAGTAGAGACATCCTAAAAGAAAGGGAATAATGTTACCAAGGTAGATATCAAGTGCTGAATTGAGAAAAAGAAAGGCAAAGAAAGGGTTTATTAGTGCTCTGAATTCCAACTAAAGGAAGGCAGAACTGAGAGAAGGTGGAAATTTCTCCTAGCACTGTAAACTCACAGGGAATACAGGCAAACAAACCAATGGGGCATTCTACAACAATACAGACTGTGTAGAATTCTTACTTCCAATCAGAAGTTTCTAATGAAGAAATTAACCTTGCTGCTTTTCATCCAAACTAAAATGTGTGTGTGCAGACATTCCCCCAACACAAATCATATTTAATATATGGAATAAAATCTCCAGGGATAAATGGTTTCTCTAGTTTTGTGGGTAAATAATTCTTTATCCTAATAGATAAAGAATTTTGCTTCATCCTAATAGATAAAGAATTTTGTTTTATCCATTAGGGAGCGCTGTTACTCTTTAACTCTTTTCTAAACTTAGCAAAAATATAGACAAACAAAAGCAGAAATGCACCAGTGTTTGCTTTCTTTGGGAGATCTTCTCACTTCCAGAAAAAGATATCTCTATCCTCCCAATCTCCATAATTCTTAGTTTGTACCATTCATAAGAGACTAAAATGGTTCTATTTTGAATTTGAGTTAATTATGACATTTTTACATATCCTGTTTGTAAATTTTTTGAGTAACATCTACCTAAAAGACAACAGCATAAATAGCTAATTTTGAGCAACTTCTGTGGTCAAGTTATATACTACTTATGTGAGTGTGTCTGGTTTGAAATACATCTATGAGATAGATTCATCCAATTTTAAGATGACAAAGCTGTGGATCACAAAAGTAGACGAACTTGTCCATGATCAACTGCTAATGAAAGACATATCCAAGATCCGAACCCCCAAAAGTGTTGCTCCAAAGCTCCTGAAATAGTCTGAAGGGGGTATGATAAGAGAGACACCAGTTTGATGTGTACGGCTGTGATTCAGGTGACAGAAGACAGTGGCTTAGACTGTGAGGATGGCAGAGAAATGTAGAAAATGAGATGGATTTAAGGATATTTTAGGATGGCATCAACAGATCTTCATGTGAAGGTTAAGCTCTGTTCCATCCATCAATGTTTCAGTCTTTTGGAAGTAGTTAGGAAACATGCTGTGGAGGAGAGGTGGAGAGTGGAAGAGGTAATAAGGCTCCTTAGAGTATTTACACCTCTTCCACCTCGGACTCTCTCCTGAAAGTCTCAGGTAGTCATTATGTTAAGAGCACACGGGAACTTATGAGAGAGGGAGCACTTGGATGTGCGATTCCTTCAGGGCTCAAAATGAGAGGCAGGGTATTGGAAAAGGAGACTTTGAGGATGAAGCAATCAGTCATGTTGAGATAAAGAACTCCAAAGACAGGAGAGAAGTTTCCCCATTAACTGTAATGCCAAGAAAACTGTGAGTCATTGGCCACTCCCTCCAATACTTGCCTGTCACATTCACATCGGTGTTGCCTATGAATATGTAGATACTCTCAGGAAATGTGTAACCCTGTGGAGAGTGAATGCAAATTTAAACTCATATTTTACTTTTTGGAAGGCATTCATCACCTTAAACTGTATTAATGAATACCTAATTAAGGTTGCAGAAATCTTGTTAAATTTTCAAAACCAAAATTAACTTTCATAGGATGATGATAACTCAGTCATCCATTAAAGTGGTCATAATTGTCTATTAGTCTAGTGTCACTTTAGTACCAGAGAAAGGCCTAAAGTTAAATGGTTTCTATTCTGGGGACCATTTTCAGATTTGAGTTGAGAAAATAATATAAAATAGAAGAATTTGAGGTCTGTGTGTACCAGACTAAATTAAGTATTTCCAGCAACAATGCGAATGTAATCTATTTCCTTCTGTATATATATTATTCCCTCTCTAATTTTTTTCTTCCCTCCCTTCTTTTCTTCATTCTTTCCTTTTTTCCTCTTTTCTTTTTTTTTTTTTTACTTTCCCTGTGTCTCTTTGTCACTCTATTCTTCCATTCTACTTTAATAGTTAGAAAAAAGAAAATCTGTATTTTTCCCAAAATAATCCAGCAGAGGGCAAATGTTCTTTGCCTGAATTTTTTAAACCTGAATGAAAGTGAATTCTGAAGCCCTGCCTTTCTCTTTCAACATGAGGCAAATACTAGATATGCACACTTTCCTGGGTCCCTAAATGTTCTTTCTTCTCTCGCAGTTCTTTCTAGTTAACAAGACCATGGTGAACACACTAAGAGATAATGATCTCTCTTTTTTATATTAACCTGTTTGTTATTTCTAAATAAAAATGTGCTCTATTAGACATATTTTCAAAACCAGTTAAAAATGAAGTAATCTCCATGTCTAATTTTATGTCTCTATAAAACTCCTTTCCCTAAATGTGTAAGGAAGCATCAAATAGTACAGTTAGAAACTTCTTTGTCTTGTAAACAAGGAGACAAAAAGCAGCATTAAAAAAGTAGTTGTATTAAAGCTCATAAAAGTTATGGCTCAATTTTAATCAGTGTAGTGTGGCCGCTTTGTATCTATGTCTGTGAGCAGTAGTTTTACCCTATGCAGAAGTTGTTTCTGGAAGATACACTGTGGAATTACTTGTGAGCTTCCTGTTGGCTTTGGATTAACAAACTTCTCTTCAATCTTTAAATGAGAGAAAACGTAGCATACATTTGTGTTACTGATTTTTAACAAAAAGAATAAAAAATTTAACCTATGTGGAGTAAAATCATTTTTAAGATTCAGTACTTAGTGTATTGATACCTTAGAAGGCTTGCTTCAATTCAAAGTGCTTGTTTCTAGAGCTTTGGTAGTACTGTTTTCTTAGTTATTTGTCATGTAGATAGATTGGTTGGTTGGTTGATTTTAATTTTAGGAATAGCACACAAATGCAGTGTCTTCAATGTTTTTTTTTTTGAGACGGAGTTTCGCTCTTGTTGCCCAGGCTGGAGTGCAATGGCGCAATCTCGGCTCACCATAACCTCCTCCTCCCGGGTTCAAGCGATTCTCCTGCCTCAGCCTCCCTAGTAGCTGGGATTACAGGCGCCCACCACCACGCCCAGCTAATTTTTTATATTTTTAGTAGAGACGGGGTTTCTCCATGTAGGTCAGGTTGGTCTCGAGTTCTCTACCTCAGGTGATCCACCCGCCTCGGCCTCCCAAGGTGCTGGGATTACAGGCTTAAGCCACTGCACCTGGCCCAGTGTCTTCAATTTTTATTTTATTTTATTTATTAATTGATTGATTTTTGAGACAGAGTATCACTCTGCTGCCCAGGCTAGAGTGTAGTGGCACAGTCTCAGCTCACTGCAGCCGCCCACCTCTTGGGTTCCATCAATTCTTATGCGTCAGCCTTCTGAGTAGCTGGGATTACAGGTGGGTGCCACCATGTCTAGCTAATTTTTGTATTTTTAGTAGAGACAGGGTTTCACAATGTTGGCCAGGCTGGTCTTGAACTCCTGACCTCAAGTGATCTGCCAGCCTTAGCTTCCCAAAGTGCTGGGATTACAAGCATAAGCTACCATGCCCAGCCAGTGTCTTTAATTTTTAACTTAAGAGCAATATACAGTGTAAAGCAGAAGTCATTCATTCATTCATTCATTCAACAATAACTTCTGAGCTCCTACATACCTACAAAGTACTGCCTCTGCAATCCTTATCCTCATTAAGGATGTGAAGATATGGTTCTTTTGCCCATGAAGCTTTTGGTCTGGAAGTTTCTCTTCACATTTTTTCCTCAATTATCAATTTAGTGCAAATTATTTCATACCATTTGATATCCATTTTTATACATATATGCCTTTTAAACATATGTGTGTGTTTTCACATAAGTGGAATTCAACTATTTAAGTTGTATCATGGGATTTGGTCTTCCCTTGCCTCCAGGCAAAACCTTGGTTAACTTAGTTTATAATATTTATGGTCACTTTTAAATAATACGAATAGTATAGATTTAGAAAGTACAAATAGTGTACAAATAGTACAGAGTTAGAAACTATACTTTTTCATTTGATTATCAAAATGGCAAAGTTGTTTTCGAGTACGGTAGAGGGAAGCCTTTAATGAAGAAAGGGGGTTGTGGTTGGCTTTTTCATCCTTTCTTCTACTCCTAGAAGTTTACTTCCTTCCCCTGCTTTGCTGACATTAGTTCTGGTCCCGGATGATGTTGGGTGAATAGTGGAGAGAAAAGGATGACAGCGAAGGGGTGGTGAAGAAAGTTCTTAATTGATGTGATTCAGGAGAGGGGCAGCGAAGTGCTGAGTAGAGAAGGGCAGGATCCCTGGCAAGGGCTACAACCTCGGGCCTGTGCCCATGGACCTAAATGAGGACAGGCATTTCTGTTTTTGCCCACCAAAACAGTTTTGCCTTTTGGCCCCCCATCCTGTGCCCATCAAAACCCGAGACTGTCGCGGGCACACACACAAACAGCTGTACGTCGAGAAAGAGCACACGGCCAGACACCAGCAGACACCCGCAGGCCATCGACTGACCAAGGAACAAAGTAGACGTCGTTGTGTCTCTCTGCGCCTGCGCCGGCGCTGCGCCTGCGCCGGCGCCGCGCGCCTCTCTGCGCCTGCGCCGGCGCCGCGCGCCTCTCTGCGCCTGCGCCGGCGCCGCGCGCCTCTCTGCGCCTGCGCCGGCGCCGCGCGCCTCTCTGCGCCTGCGCCGGCGCCGCGCGCCTCTCTGCGCCTGCGCCGGCGCCGCGCGCCTCTCTGCGCCTGCGCCGGCGCCGCGCGCCTCTCTGCGCCTGCGCCGGCGCCGCGCGCCTCTCTGCGCCTGCGCCGGCGCCGCGCGCCTCTCTGCGCCTGCGCCGGCGCCGCGCGCCTCTCTGCGCCTGCGCCGGCGCGCGCGCCCTCTCTGCGCCTGCGCCGGCGCCGCGCGCCTCTCTGCGCCTGCGCCGGCGCCGCGCGCCTCTCTGCGCCTGCGCCGGCGCCGCGCGCCTCTCTGCGCCTGCGCCGGCGCCGCGCGCCTCTCTGCGCCTGCGCCGGCGCCGCGCGCCTCTCTGCGCCTGCGCCGGCGCCGCGCGCCTCTCTGCGCCTGCGCCGGCGCCGCGCGCCTCTCTGCGCCTGCGCCGGCGCCGCGCGCCTCTCTGCGCCTGCGCCGGCGCCGCGCGCCTCTCTGCGCCTGCGCCGGCGCCGCGCGCCTCTCTGCGCCTGCGCCGGCGCCGCGCGCCTCTCTGCGCCTGCGCCGGCGCCGCGCGCCTCTCTGCGCCTGCGCCGGCGCCGCGCGCCTCTCTGCGCCTGCGCCGGCGCCGCGCGCCTCTCTGCGCCTGCGCCGGCGCCGCGCGCCTCTCTGCGCCTGCAGAGAGGGTTACGGTTAGGGTCGGGGTCGGGGTCGGGGTCGGGGTCGGGGTCGGGGTCGGGGTCGGGGTCGGGGTGAGGGTGAGGGTGAGGGTGAGGGTGAGGGTGAGGGATAGGGTTGGGGTTGGGGTTGGGGTTGGGGTTGGGGTTAGGGTTAGGGTTAAGGGTTAGGGTTAAGGGTTAAGGGTTAGGGGTAGGGGTAGGGGTAGGGGTAGGGGTAGGGTTAGGGTTAGGGTTAAGGGTTAGGGTTCGGGTTCGGGTTCGGGTTCGGGGTTAGGGTTAGGGTTAGGGTTAGGGGTTAGGGGTTAGGGTTAGGGTTAGGGTTAGGGTTAGGGTTAGGGTTAGGGTAGGGTTAGGGTTAGGGTTAGGGTTAGGGTTAGGGTTAGGGGTAGGGTTAGGGGTAGGGTTGGGGTTGGGGTAGGGGTAGGGTTAGGGTTAGGGTTAGGGTTAGGGTTAGGGTTAGGGTTAGGGTTGGGTTAGGGTTAGGGTAGGGTTAGGGTTAGGGTTAGGGTTAGGGTTAGGGTTAGGGTTAAGGGTTAGGGTTAGGGTTAGGGTTAGGGTAGGGTTAGGGTTAGGGTTAGGGTTAGGGTTAGGGTTAGGGGTTAGGGTTAGGGTTAGGGTCAGGGTCAGGGTCAGGGTCAGGGTCAGGGTCAGAGGGTTAGGGTTAGGGTTAGGGTTAGGGTTAGGGTTAGGGTTAGGGTTAGGGTTAGAGGGTTAGGGTTAGAGGGTTAGGGTTAGGGTTAGGGTTAGGGTTGGGGTTGGGGTGGGGTTGGGGTTGGGGTTAGGGTTAGGGTTAGGTTAGGGTTAGGGTTAGGGGTTAGGGGTTAGGGTTAGGGTTAGGGTTAGGGTTAGGGGTTAGGGTTAGGGTGGAGGTTAGGGTGAGGGTTAGGGTTGAGTGAGGGTGAGGGTGAGGGTTAGGGTTAGGGTTAGGGTAGGGTGAGGGTTAGGGTTAGGGTTAGGGTTAGGGTTAGGGTTAGGGTTAGGGTTAG